>NC_000020.11:31161625-32449811 GCF_000001405.40 Homo sapiens | reverse complement strand
AGAGAGAACCAGACCCTCTTCCCCCGCATCCCTCTGGGTCCATCCCCTGCAATATCCAGAAGTTAGCAGAGGCACTCCTGTTCCAAGCTTCTCAGTCCCGCATTGTGACAACACCCTGGGAGTCAGTCACCTGTTTGGCTGCTGTTTCCAGACACAGCCCCAACCCCTTCCCCCTGTGTTTGATTTTAACAGACTCAACTGTTTCCTTAACTCTCAATTCCAAGGACGCTATTTAGAAAATAGTTCCTAGGACCTCCTCCTTGGTGTCCACATTCTCTGGCCGGAGAGGAAATAACCCCATGTGACAAACTGTCCCATCTTAGACTCCAGCTTCCTTCCCCATTTGGGGGCTGCACCAGCTTCCTTTTAGCAGCAGTCAGGTTTCCATAGTTTATCCCAAGATGTTACTTCCAGTCTGGATACCTCCCGTGACAAGAGCTTGTCCATCTCTCTTCATAGCAGCATAAAAACTGCCATGGAGATGCAATCATGAGAGAATGTGACCATCAGAACTTTCAGGGTAGCTGGGGGAGCCTCACACCCCCGTGGAAGATAAAGCTGTGGGGAAGGGACTCCAGGGGGAGGGCAGACAACAGAGAAGCTGACCTGGCTGCATCAGAGAAGGCTTCCCAGGGAAGCGGCAGCTCTGCCTGCACCTGCCCAGATTCTCTCTTCTTTGGCTGTTTCTTGCCGAACACCTTGTAGAATGCTTTTCAAATTCCAGGAGCTTCCAGGTCTCCTGGGAGCCCATTCAGAAAGCCCTGAAACCTCTTTGGAAGCCCTTCCCTATTGGGCCAGTCTAGGCAGTCAGGCCTCCTGTGGGCTGAGAAGGAGCCTCAGCCTGTGCTGAGTGTTTCACAGCCGGCATCTCAGCTTCTGCTCGCAGGAGCCGCCTAGTTTTGGCAGATGAGGGCTCTGAGGCCCAGAGAAGTTAAAGAATTTGCCAATGAAGTAGCAGAGCAGGACTTGAATCCACACTTGCCTGACTCCAAAGCCAGGAGCTTCTTGGGAAAGGCCAAGAGAGGACAGGGCCTGGCGGTCCCCTCCCCAACACGCACACCCCTAGTGTGTTTTGAAAGATGGCAGGCTCCCTCTTTGCCATCATCCGAGGACAAAGGGCGGGCAGTTTCTCCAGAAGCGAGTCTGAGTCTTGTCCTGATGGTTCCGGCCCACACTCCCTCGTATCCTAGCAGCATGAACCCTCCACCTCACTCAGGCACAGGACTCCTCCCAGGAGGGGGGATTCGAGGTGCTTGAGGCTTAGCAGAAAGAGGCTTCACACACCCAGCCCCTTCCTCCATCCACTGGCTGCCATGGTCCCTCCTGGGGGTGCAGTTATGGCCTGGCCAGTCTGGCCTGTACCTCTCCCCCCAGACAACCAGGGCAGCTGGCCTCTCTCCAGCTGGACAGAAGCCCCTTTCTTGTCTGGGCACACAGATGTTTCTTCTCCTGGCCTTTTGTGGCTCGACTCTCAGCTCCTCCTGGGCTTTCCCCACACGCATCTCTCAGGTGTGTTGGGCCCCTGCCTACCTGCAGAGTCTCCTGCACACCATCTCCCCTTCCAGCCTCGGTGTCTGGGCTGGGGAAGAGCACACAGATGGGTGCTGCTCCTTTAGGCACACTGGCAGAGGCTTTCTTTTAGCACTTGTCCCACAGTTCCTCAATGGAAGTAGTATTTCCCATTCCCAAGCTCTGCTCACCACACTGAGGAGAGGCAGATCTTAGGAGTTCCTTTGCCCCAAGGCCGCCTCTTCCTCACCTAAAACCGGATCCTTGCAAGATCACCCTGAGGATTCTCTGAGAACCCTGTCGCCCGCAGGCCCATTCTAAGCACTAGGGATAGAGCCATCAGGGAGATGGACCAGAGCCACGGACTTCAGTGCCCAACTCACAGTGGGCACTAGGCCATAGGTTATGACAGTGCCAAGGAAGGTACACCTCCCAGATGCCAGGCAGGGTGGCTGCTCCCTTCTCACCCTACTTCCCTCTCCACAGGGCCCACGGACCTCAGCATGAAAGGCGGGGCCTCTACCACCTCCACCACCCCCACGCCCACCCCCTCCAGCACCAGCACCAGCAGGCCCGTGCCCACCGCTCAGCTCAGCCCCACGGAGATCAGCGCCGTGCGGCAGCTCATCGCGGGCTACCGGGAGTCTGCTGCCTTCCTGCTGCGCTCTGCAGATGAACTGGAAAACCTCATCCTACAGCAGAACTGACCCCACCGGCACCTGGAGCGCACTGCCCTAGGGAAGGAGGCTGTCCCAGCCTGGACCTGGCTTCCTGCCTCACCAGTTGGTACATTTTGTTTTTGAAAGAGGTGGGATCCAAAAGAGCTGTTTCTAGCCACACTCCAAGCACCTGAGACTTTGGGCACAAGGACACTTTTTTTTTTTTTTTTTTTTTTTTTTGGAATCTCACCACACGGGTGCTCTGACCTGCTTGGAAGAGGCCAACGGGGCAGCTCTGGAAGGGTTGGGGGCTCCCCTGACAAGGCGCTGGGGCTGCAGCTCTGTTTAGAATCACCTTCGTGGACCCTGATGTTAGAATCCCACCCCCAGATAATTACCTTTCAAGTCTTAGGTGAGCAGAATTGCATATTTATTGAGAAAAGCAAAGTGGACCCTTTCTTCCTCTCCCCTTAGTAATTTATTTTTCTGAAAATGGATTCTTTTGTGTTTGTACAGATTGCTAGTCTGTGTCTGTCTGATCAGAAGGATGTATCCCCATACCTAACATTCCATATCACTACACTGATGTGGGCTGGGGCCAGTAGGGGCAGGACAGGTGCCAGGCTGGCTGTTCCTCTGCATGCCTGGTGCACCCTGTGGCCGCTAGCCCTTGGCCAGGCCATCCTGTTGCAGATCCCAGTGCTGCCACAGGGACACCACCAGGCACCTCCCTAGGCAACGCCAAGCAGGAGGACCTCACCCACACCCATGGCAAAGCAAAACAAAAGAGGCACCCCGACCCCATTCTACAGAAGCCCCAGTCCATGGTCACCTGTATTCTACCTCACACTCCAGCGTGGGCTTTTTCCAGGATGTGCCCTGAGCCTGTTCTGAACAGCTGTAACCCCAACTCCCCCACACAATGTGTCTGCCTGGGAGGTAAGTAAGTCCAGACTGGGTGTCCAGGAGCTGGAACCCAGAGAGCGTCCTGTCCCTAACCAGCCACTGCAGCCCTCCAGCTCTGGCCCTCAGCTGCTTGACAGGACGGACTGCTGGGAGATGGCAGCCGGTTGGCAGGGCCCTTGCCCTCACACCCCGCTGCCCAGGAGCCAGGTCTGAACTTCTGTGCACAGGCCTGGCCCCTCAGACTCACTCCTGCCAAGAGGGGCCACTTCTTCAGGGTGAGCCCCGGCTATCAGGCAGCCGTGAGCTCCAGGGCGGGCTGCAGCTCCCATCCCCTTGCGCCATGTTTGGAGTAAAGGGATCAGTGGAAGTGGAGGAGCCACTTGGGTTCTCCTAAGACCAGCCCTTCCGGAGGGGCCGGTCCTGGAAGAAACCCATAATCCCTGGAGTGTGAAAAAGGGCAAAAAGAAAAAGCTGGCCTGGTTTCCTTCCTCCCTGATTGATTGATTGATAGGCACTTCCTCTTGCTCAGTGCAATACCTACCAGTGCTGCTAAACCAGGGACTCGCCCAGACCTCAGCAGGCCCCCAGGGCCTCTCCGTGCAACACTCCGTAGCCATGACAGCAGCTCTCTGCTGCCCGCCCCTGCCCAGAGCTGGCAGAAGCCCTCTGTTGCCTTTCCTCCCTCAGAGCAGAGAGGCCCCAGGGGAGCCAGGGCCGAGTGGATCCTAGGATGGCCACGGAGAGCCACTCGCTCCCAGAACAGGCACCCCTTCCCAAACCAGCTTTTCTGCAGCCAATTGCCTGTTGCAGCTGTGGCCACTGCCTCCCGGCACTGTGGCAGACTCCCCCCAAGGAGGGATGGGGGGGGCACCAGTGAGGATGCCCCATCCTGCCTCAGGTCCAGAACTCTGAAAGGTAGGGTGCCCACCCCGTGCTTACTTCCGGCCCCTAGAGGTTGGGGGTGGTCGTTATCTCTCAAGTGGCCTCCAATACCCCATCCAGCCACACCACCTCTGCCTTCCATCTGACCAATCCCCAGGCCTCTGGTCAGGGCCAGGACACCTGAGACTCACCCTTAGCACAGCACAACCTCCAGTGCCCAAGGCCTCTCCCACACCCCAGCCATCCACACATCTGGCCCCACCTGCTCAGTACTACTCAACATTTGAATTCGTGTAAATATTTATTTTTGTGTGTGAACAATACTACAAAGTAATCAGTAAGATCTTTTGCAAAAATGTTACCCCAGGCAATTATTTGTGAAAATCTTAATGTTAAAACCTGGCAGAGACAATCGCCACCCTAGAATTCCTGGTATCAGTTACTTAACGTGTCACTTCTCCTCCCAGAGGCAGTACCCAAGCTAGACATGAACCGTTTGCATTTCTTGGCAGACAGGAGTGAGAAAGACTGGGGAAGGGGCTCCCTCCCCCTACCCACACAAGGATTAGATCTAAAGATCAGCATAAGCTACAGTTTGAAGTCATGTTTTTCTGAGTTCAAGCTGTTGGAACTGACCACCCTCCAGCCTGCCTTAGTACTGCGGCAAGAGCGTAGGTTCAATGTGTTTTCAAGAGAAAGGAAAGAATATGTTGTTAAAGTCCATTGGGCCTCCCAGGCCCCTCCAGGACAATGGATTTCATCATGTCGACCCCACCTCTTGGGTGGGCTCCTCCTTTCCAGTGAAACTACACCTGAAGCCCTAGAGATGGCAGAATCAGGAGCAAGTTTCTGCATGGAAACAGGATTCCATTTAGCTGGCTCAGTCAGGGAACTTGTTTTGCTTTTGTTTTAAAAGATGCAGCTTCAACCCCTTCCCCCTACTCCCGACTTGGAGGGCACCAAAGAGCTGGTTCTGATGAACTAAGCTCACTGCTGTCTCACCCTCACCAGAGGGACTGCCTTCTCCCAAAAGGAGCTCCCAAAGCCCTTGTCCCACAGCCATTTAAAAATCTTCTGAAGGGCCTCAGGGCACAAAGTGATCATTTGGGATCCTAAGTTAAAAAGGAAATGCAAGAGTAGGATACTCCAATTCCAGAGTCTTTGCAGGAGGCTAATCCCACAAGAAGGGTAGCATCAGAGAAGTGGGCATTGGTCTTAGTGGTGGATCATCAGGTAGACAAGTGATAGTGTGTGTAACCCATCTGAAATTCATTTTACCGTCACCACTCTTACAAAGGACAGTTTATTCCCAAGGACAGTGCTGACGGGGAGGGGGACAGGCAGGGAGTTAGGAGGGTTTTCGAGGATTTCAAACAGGTGGAACCCATCCATCCCTATTCCCAAGGGCCACTTACAACTCTAAGGGTGGTTACAGGATTAACTACCAGTTCATTTTCAAAATGCTGCTTTGAACTCAGAGGGTTGATACTTTTAATTTGTAATTTTTTGTAAAACTTTTTACAAAATAGTAAAGTATTTCACCAGAATACCAGTTTCAATCCGTCCATGGTCTGATTTTTATATAATTTAGTGGTGCTTTAGAAACTTTGTTTTTGTTGTTTCTGAGCTAAACAGCTCAATCCTTTTTCGCCTGTATCTACCTAAGACCAATGTGAACCTTTGTATTTTTGCTCCTAATTTTGGACTCAGTGAAAGTGTACTGTTTACATGTACAGATGCCCCCAGTCCCTGTGTGTTCTGCAAGACTTGCTCTTGAGGAGGAAGATGCACCTCACTAAGCTCATCTGCTTAGCAAAGCCACAAACAAAAACCTCTCACTTTTTACCTACGTTTCCACCTAAAAATACAACAAAAAACCTATACCACGTAGAACTCAGATTGGCTGAAAAACACTTTCCACCTGGTAGATGGCCCATATGCCTCAATTATGTGGTCCATTTAGGAGCAGGAGTCAGAAGAGAGACCTCTTATTGGCTGCTGGTGGGTAACTGCATGGACAGAGGAAAAGGGAAGGCAGGACTTTGCTGCAGAGCTGTGGGATGAATGTAGTTCTTCCCTGGGCAGCCTGGGAGTGGGAAGGTCAGAATGACTCATGTTGCCTTCAGGATCAAGCCATCCAGGATTTAGGGACAACCCAAGAGGTCTTTAGTCCTCTGGCATAATTTAGACATGTTTTGGAAGAGCATGAGTTCCATATCTGAGATGAGATTTAAGACTTTCAGTGCAGATAGTACAAGCCATTTCTTCAGGGTTCCTCTGGGGGCAGCTCCTTCATGAGGTCCCACCTCCGGGGAGGGGCACAGGGCTCCAGATAGTAAGCACTTAAGGCAAACAGTGGATGGCACCAACTTTTAAAGGTGACTCTATTAATGGCTTCACCTCTAAATTATATTTTTACAGATATGCACCTATGCAACTTAACGTGGCTCTTCTAAGCAGGTGAGGACTTCCTCCTCAATGCTCTCTATAAAAATTATTTGTGTTCTATATAGTGAGTTTTACCAGTAAATGTGGCTTAATATTTTAATTCTTAGAATGTGTCTTCTCTACGTGATGTGACTAAATTCTGTTTTGTTTGTGGAATGACTAGCACAGGCCGACTCCCTCTCTCCCTCACTTAACAAAAGACCAATGAGCTGTTAATCGAGCTGTTATCTCCATGGTATTACTTGCTAAATGCACTGATTTCATAAGTATGTGGAATCCTTTTCCTTTTGAATCTGTATATCATATATAAGACTGAATCTACTTAATAAACACTGAACAACAAACCGAATGCTCTGCTTCCACTGTGTCCTATCAACAGCAGCACCGCCTGCCACTTCTCATCCTTCCTCATCTAGTTGGGCACCGAAACATCTTTCTACTAGTAGATTCCACCTTTTCCTAGCCAATAGTATGGCACACAGAAGGTCCTCAGTACATTTTCTAGAACAAATAAACCTGTAATTCCAGCACCTCATCTGTTAGAAAGGGAAGGAAATGAACCTTTCCCAGGTGCCCTTCAGTTGCTGAGCACAGGCAGAACTCTCATGCACTGTTTTAAATCTCAGTTCCCTTACCCGCCACGTGCAGACACAGAGGCACACGGGGTACACGCCTTGCTGAAATTCAGTGACCAGCAAAAAACTTGTAGCTTTTCCACAACCTCTCACCCTAGCACATGGCCAACTGACTGAAACCAAATTCCCATAACAATCCCTAAGTGCTAGTTTGGAAAACTGAGCAAACATGATCCCTGGTTCTGAACCTTCAGTGCTGCACATTCCATTCTATGCAAAACCCTGGATCCCACCTTGAAGGAAACAAAAGGGCTGCTTTTCCCAAAGATACTTATTTGTGCTAATTTTTTTTCATCCTATATATATGGTTTAGGTTAAGCTTTAAGGAAAAATGGTAGGAATATGGCTGGGAACCAACATGATCATGGATTTAAAAACAACTTTAGGCATGTTAAAAGCATACATTTGCTAAAATTCCGTGTGTGTGTATATATACACACACATATATACATACATATATACACATATATATACATACATACACACATACACACATATATACACATACATATACACATATATACACATACATATACACATATATACACACATACATATATACATATATATGTATACACATTTATGGCAGTTATTAAAACCTTGATTTTTAAATAACATAAGAATCCTTTTTCTCATAGAAAGTCTGTGCAGTAGCCAAATACATAAAATGGAGAAGGGCATGACTTTGGGGCTGAGACTCACTGAGAGCCAGAAGACGATGGCCCTTGACACCTCCCTTGCCGCTTTCCTTTTGCTGAGGGGCAGCAAATCCTCAGTTAATACCACGGAAATTCCTTCTCCTGCCTCAAATGATCACCACTGAGACTCCTCAAACTATTAAGACTATTAGAAACCCACAACCTGTGACAACAGCTCCAGAACATGGACCCCGCTGGCCTGCTGGCCAGCCCTGCAAACACTTACCTCCTTCCACAGGAAATACTGCAGTCCACCAGAGCACTGAGATTCCCAGGAGAAATTGCCTGAGGGCAGAAAAGTGCTCCCTTATTCTAGTCTGGCTCCTTTGGGGGCTCCGCACCACTGTTGTTAACAGTGGATAAAAGACTTCATCAAATGGGAATGTCCCCTCAGAAGAGTGAACTAAAATGTATTCAATGACAAAACAGGCAAACCTCCCTTTATGAAAAATAGGAAAACATGCATATGCTATTTTTCCAACTTAAAATGCACTAGGGAAGCTTAGTAGTTACATTTCTTTGCAAGAAGAATCTCTGCAAAATCCTATCTTCCCTTAATTGATCTTTTGTATAAACACAGATTTTATTAGGTTTATTCTCAGCCAGTGGTTCTTAAACAAAGGGCCCCAGCTGCCTAAGGAGCTGGTAAATCCTGACACAGTATGCAAAACTTTGTGAGGCCAGGTGTGCTGGCGGGAAGATCGGGAAGATCGCTTGAGGCCTGGAGTTCAAGACTAGTCTGGGCAACAGTCTCTACAAAAAATTTTAATATTAGCTGGGCATGGTGGCACGTGCCTGTAGCCTGAGCTACTTGGGAGGATGAGGTGGAAGGACCACTGGAGCTCAGGAGTTCGAGGCTACAGTGAGCTATGATCACGCCACTGCACTCCAGCCTGAAGAGAGTGAGAGTCTGCAAAAAAACCCCAAAAAACTTTGTATGTGCATTCCATGGGGGGAGAGTTCCCAAAAAAAGGTTAAGACCCACCCATATCAGGTAACACAGCACTGACAACTGTTGTTCTCACAGGGCGTTCGTCTATGGCTTACGGTAGAGATGTTCATTCTAGGCTTTCAAATTGACCAGAGACAAGAGGAAGCATAGGGGTGTTGTCCAATTTTGGAGCAATCTCCAAAGTTCCACATCCTGCCACTTCTATGGCTTCAAACAACACCCACACGAGGGCAACACAGCCTGGGTCCCCTCCTCTCAGGGAGACAGGGCAGGCAGATGCTTTGGCCATCAAGACCCCTGATGGATGCAGGCAGCTCTATTTAGCATGCACACATACCCACACACACTCTAACACAGTCTTACAGCAGGCTGGATAGCAAATAAATGACACCTTGCCAGGCCAGTACCATTCTTCCTATATTCTGAAACATTATTTCCCTTGTCCTTTGGACCATGAGCAAAATAAGCCTTCCTGACCAAATATTCAGTCTAAACTCAGGACTACACTCAACCTTTGGTCAGGTCTGTGGCCTGAGACCAAAAGCCAGGGTCCAAAGTGACTTCACAGCCTGCATCACCCCTCAGCGCAGTGGGCACAAGGCCTACATCCTGACAGCTCCTTTCTGGAGCAAGAGTGAAGTAGCTGGCAGTAGCTGTATAGATTTCTACTATAAGTTCACCTAACAATTATTGCCTTGGCCTGCTGTGAACTAATAGTCATTATGTCCTAGGTGGCAGGCACTAACAACCTCATGAAGTAAGAACTATTACACCCATTCATATATGAGAGTTGGCAGCCTGGTTAAATAACATGGCCCAAGAACACAGAGCTGGCACGTCGCAGAGGCTATACTCTAGGAACTCACTACACCATTCTGCCTCCCTGAGGAGAGGCAACAGGCATTGGAAGGTCCCGATCTGGGACCGTAATGCATTCTGAGCTCCTGCAGACATAAGTGGGCAAATGGATTCTGTGACACAAGGACATATCACCAACAGCAGGCAGTTGCTCAGTCACTACAGGGCCTCCGAACCATCAATTCTCAAAACTGCATGTCGATCAAACGGCAGCAATACAAAATGGCAGCTTGAACTCCCCAAAGGATATCCCACCACAAAGTTTTTCCTCCAATTCACAGGAAAAAATTAATGAATATATGTTTAAACTCCCATCATTTTGCTGTTTTGGCTTATTTATATACTAATAAAATTATTTCTGATAAGCACAAAGTCAATGTATTTACGTACTCTAGAGACGTCTGAGGACTTCTCAAGAAGTCAATCCCTGAAGCACGTCGTCTACTCAGGCTCACGCAACTAGCATCAGACACCCCACCCTGGGCCAGCACCTTCCTCTCACTGCCACCAGAGGCTACAGAAAGAGGTGCTTGTGGTTAAGGTTTTCCAAGGTTAGAGCTAGTCACCCTCCCACAGAAGACCACTAACCATTAGGAAGCCACTTGGCAACCTCAACCTCAGTGAAGCTGTTTGGATGAGTTGCTGCAGAGGGATGTCACAGTTTGTGACTCGCACTCCCAAGGGGAAACATTCTCATTGCTCTCAGTAGAACGCTGACTGCAGTCTATGTGGTGAAGTCCGCCAAGTCATGAATGGCTAAAGACCAGTGAAGCTGCCAAGTCATTCCTTTTGGACTAACCTCCCAAAAGAAGAGCTCCAAGTATAAGAAGAGTAGCTCCAGAGCCAAGGTGAGGAGAGCTGGCGTCTACTCCTTCCCTTCCAGCTCAGCACTCCAGCTGACCTTCCCACACCAGCGAGGCAGCCACAGATGACTGAGACCACAACTGCAGGTTGTACGGGTTTATTGTTCCAATACCACAAGAGACATACAGAAGCAGTGCTTTCTCTGGGCAGCCTCATGGACCAGATCAGTGTCAAACTGTACCCTTGAGTGTCCCCAAAGGTTCCAGCAGAGGGAAGAAGAGGACTGGACATGTTTGGGCCCCTGTTCCCGGTCTTTGGTAAACAGACGCTTAAGTTGACAACTTGGACTTGGCCAATACTGCATTCTAAATCACCACATCATTCCCAACTTGTCACTCATGCTTCAGATGACGAAAATGCCACATCAGATTAAATGAGAAAAAAACCTTTCAGATAAAATGAGACTTGAAGTCATACAAATTTTATACTTGATCTAAATTAAGCAAGAACCCTCAACTCTGTAATAAGTCGAAATACAAGATATAAGGCAGGAAACAAGGCAAGGGAAAACACACACAGGGGCATCTACTTGCTGGAAACATGTTGGGAGAGAGGCAGGAGCAGGCATGGCTTTGTTTCTTCCCAAACCTGCCTGATGTCAAAAGTACGTCAAAAGGAGCCTCACAGTCCCAGGAGAGCATGGTCCCAGGTATTGCTGTGACAGGTGGTGACCCTGGAGCCAGATCTGGAAGGCCTTCCTGGGGGCTGCCCAGGGAACTCACCCATGAATCCAGAAGCACTTAACACTGGTGGTGGTGATTTGTCACATATGGCAGCAAGCAGCCATTAAGGCTGTAGGAGGAGAGATGTGAAAAGCAAGATGCGTTTGCTCGGTGGCATGTGGGCAGGCTGACTGTGGCTCTGCAGGCTGCAGCAGGTCCAGCCGGTGACCCAACAGGGCATCGGGCAACCTGGCAGGTCACAAGTCAATCATTTCACCCTCACGTCGAGCAGCACAGCACTCAGTGGCTCTGACAACAGATGTAGAGAAGGAGATTACACCACTTTAATGCAATGATGCTGAAGATGTAAAATTAGGAAGAGACGTTCATGTTCTCTGTACAATACATCCATTTACAGAATCAGCCAGTACTGTGTACAACATATAAATACATGATAAAACATTAGAGGTGCATAGAGCATACTTACAGAAGCCAAAAAGTTCACTTTATACATCCAAGAATAAAGAGTTAAAAATATAAAAATAAGAAACACACACTGCTTTGAAATGTAAAATGACTTTCACATACACAGGTGCGTGGAGATGCCCACTCCCATAGGGTCCAAAGTGACAGGGAGGATGTCAAGCAGAGGAATTCACCTGCAAACATCTGGACGGCTGACTCACAAGGTCTACAGATGGCATTTTCATAGGAAAGACAACCCTATTCCCCAACCCCATTGTCCAAGCAGAGCTATTCAAGGTTCCAAATGATCCTGTGGGTTAGTGGATCACACTGAGACAGAAAAGTTCCAAATTTGCTTCAGCAACAGAACCAAGGTCAAACTTGCTCCGTCAACTGGCAAATGACTCAACTGTGACCCTGAGGTCAGCAGGTGCACCAGCCCCCTGGTGGGCAATGCCAGGAGTTACTTTAACCCTGTGCTGGCTTCTTTCCTGGCCATCAACTCCCCAAAGTAGCAGAAGAAAAGATGGCAGGGAGGGGGTAGTGGAAGACTGGCATTTCTACTTAGTTCAGGTAGGTTAACTCCCTTGGTGGAGAATGCAACCTTCTTGCTTCAGTTTCAAGTCCCTCTGGGAGTCAGGCAGTCCCCCCACCCCCCGCAACCCCACTCCGTGCCACATCAGGCTCTGTCTTGCAGGAGAGCTCAGGCTGGCTGGCCTTGGGCAGCCCAATGGGTTATACCCAGGAAACCCCTCCAGCAAGACCAGAAGGGTCGCCAAGTGACAGAGGGCTTTAGCAGTGTAAATTTTGGGGGAAGGCAAGAGTGCTCCTGCCTAAAGAGTATTATATCAATGATATTCTGTATACAGATTTAAGATCAATCATTATCAAAATACACACACTAAATATACAATGTTTCCCATGGCCATAATTTATTATCTCACCACAAGGCACAATACACAGAGCTTTGAGGGTCCAATACAGTCATCGTGACAGAACGCACCGCAGCCTTGGCACATGATCATGGCTTTCAGGCTGCACGCACACTGGAGCGAGATGCTTTCCACCGTGCTGCTGTCAGTGAACATTTGCAAGGAAAGTGATGCACTGTGGCTCGCACCAAAGTTTGCTTTGTGGCTCAGCTGCACCACACTTCCAGCAAGGCCTTTGGGAAAGGTGGGAGAGCTAGAGGAATAATTAAAGCTGGTGGAACTCAGTTGGAGTTTAGAAAGCTTCCCATAAAATGCCTGCTTGATGCTGAGTTGGGAGGGGAGAGAAGAAGGCTCCAGAGGCTCACTGAGCCCCTTCCCTGGCTCTCGGGGTAATTTCCAGAAGGGCAAGTCCATGACAAAGGGCATCCCTTCCAAGTGACCCACCAGTTCCAGGGGACTATGCCCAGTAGCTTTCCTGTTCTCGGCATTTGCCTTAAGAGGACCCCCCACAAAAGTCTTCTCATTCTTGACGCTGCCAACAAAGGCATGTGGCTTTGGAGCCCAGTCTTCCCTTGGAGTCTGTACCCCACCAGACATGGAGTTTGTGCTTGGTCCCAACTTCCCACTGGGAAAAACTGGAGGGATCTCAGCAGGAAGAGGCATCGGGTCCGCAGGCCTGGGGCGCTGAAGGGTTGCAGCCACATTCCCAGAGCCAAAAAGCTTCTTCCCTTGGCCTGTAACATTGCTCTGATCACCCAGGGCCCGACCTGTCTGCTCTGGACCAAAGGAGATCACATTTGGAGATGAGAAACGAGGTGTTCTCGAGGTAGTAAGATCTCCTGGGCTCTTTCCTGGAGCAGCATTTGAATTACTGTCCTGTGACATAGCACGGACTTCCTTCTGATCTTCACAACTAAAGGAAGAGAACTGCTCTTTGGAATCCATTTCTTCCAGTTTCCTAGAGGATGTAATGGGATTTGTCACTGGATGGAGGGAGTCAAAACTTGGGACTGCCTTGCAATTCTTTTGGGGTGCTCCAGGAGCCTGGGTGGCCTCAATCCTGGCAAGACCAGTGCCTGTTTCACAGCTATCTGGCAGAAGAGGCTCCTTCAAAGCCCTTAAAGAACTGGGGCTGCTTCCATCAACCATGCCACTGTTTTTTCCAAGACCATGTAAAGATCCCATGCGTAGCGAGCCATGGCTCTGGTCTTTTGTAAGTGGTACTTGTGGGGATTCTGACATGCTGTCATCGTGGGCTGGTGGAAGAACCTTCTCTAGGGGCAAGCTACCCTGCAGCAACTGCATCACAAGTGGGTTAGTGGCCTCCACTGAGGACCCAGGCATGGACAGGCACACGGCTCTTGGCTGGTACTCAGTACTGGCCAGCAGTAGGGAATCTGGGATCTTTTGGCGGACCGCACATACTCGAGACACCCAGCTCTGAGGAGCAACCATCCCATCTGTCCTTGTAACCAGACGCATGTCACCATTCACCTTGGACAGTGGGGCAGATTGGTTCCAATTGGGTTTCTCATCCTTGTCCACCGAAGATCCCTTTGTCACTGCAGCTTCTCTAGTGTCAGCCTCACTGCTGTCCTCCGTGAGGTGACCTTCAAAGTCAGAGGCTGTATCCGTGGACTCACCGTGAGGACTCAGTGCTTCAGAGTCTCCGTTGATTTTCAGCTTTTCAATGTCCACCTGTTGACAGTAACTGCCATTGCTGTCACTGCCTCCTCGAGATGGCACAGTCCAGAGTGAAGTAAGGCTGTCAAGAGGATCTAGACCCTCCTCAGCTGTCAAATCCCCAGGCAATGCAGGAGGGGTGGGAGCAGCTTTCTCCCACTCCTCTCCAACCTGGGGCTCAACAGATGGTATGTGTTCTCTGGATTCTGGTTTGGGCTGTTTCACTACCTCATCATTCGATGGGATGGGTATCCAATGCAAAGAACTGTTAGAAACGAGAGCCTTGGTTTTCAAGTTTTCTTGTCTAGTATCACTTTCCCTCATAGGAGGGCATGAGCCACCAAGCCCTAATTCGTCATCAAATGCTCTGTTCTGCAGGCAATCAGTCGGTGAGGATTCAGGTGTGGAACTGGGGGTCACATTTACAGGATCCTTCATAGTGGGATGACTGTCAAGAGCTTGGCCAGTTCCTTTCTCTAATGTATCATCTCCCACTAGAGACGGAATGGGACCATTGTCTGCAGGAACGGTGGGTCCTTGCTCCTCATCATCACTTTCCCAGGAAGTGGTGCCAGACTCACATTCAGTTCTAACATCCGGATGCAACTGAGGCTGCTCCACTAATCTCTCAGCTACTGAGGTTTGGGAGGACAGTAGGGGCAAGGCCTGGCATGGCTGGTCCCCAGTGGGAGCAACGGGGAGTTGGGAGGCATCTCCTAGCCCATCTGTGAGTCCAACTGTAGCCCTCTGTAGTAGGCAGCTTTCCTCCTTTCTCAGAGAAGGCAGGTCCTCTCTCCTAGCTCTGGACATGGCAGTTCCGGCCTGGGTATGCTCCCCATTTAGAGGATAAGGCGGCAGTAGTTGTGTTCGCTGTAGATCTGACGTACACTTTCCAGGGGTGCTCGGGCCTCCCCTGGGCTCAGGGTGGCCACAGGCCTCACCACCATCACCACTGCTGCTGCCTCTGCCACCTCCCTCATCGGTGGCCCCGCCGCCACCTCCACCCGGGCCACCCCCCCCTCCGATGGCAGTGGTGGCCGCCTCTCTATGGCAGTGGTGACCTCTCGCCCCTCGGACCTGCAGAGCACGGGCTTTAATGTCTGCGAGGGTCCTGGCGCCAGTCCAACCCCGGCAGGAGGACTCCGTGGTGGGGATGATCCGGGGGCATATCTGGTAAGTGGGCTGACCTTTAACCACCCAGGGTGGTTTGATACGTGAAAGTTGAATCTGCAAAAAAAGAATTAGAAAATAGTTTTAACTGACTGGGTGATCTGACCTAGGGACTGTAAAGCAAAACTAGGATTCTAGTAGCTTAAGGGTCATGGCATACAGAATCAAATAATTTCCTTAAAACAATGAAATCATCATAGTAAAATGGCGCCATAACACACCATTCAGAGAAGATTCTGCTCAAGGGCTGTTATATGCCACACTTCTAAATTTAATTTCTGGTGGGACTGTGTGAGTCACTATAGCAAAGAATCTAATGCTATCTTAAAAAGATTTTAAAACCCCAAAGGATTTTGACCTCTCAAGATAACTTCAACAGAGTGAACAAAAAAGTGAGGAAGAAAAGAACCTATCTCACTAAACTTGAAGGCTGTCTCAAGCAAACCTCTCATAAAAAGCTCTACATTCCCACATAATTAACTTCAGGGCCCCAGAGTTAAGGGCTCTATAATCTCATGACCCTCAAAGAAAACCTGGCTCCAGGGCAGCCAGGAATCAAACAGTCTCCTACCCGGATGGGCGGGACTTTGGGCTCCTCTTTAGTGGGCTGTGGCTTTTCGGTGTGAACACTTTCAATTGTGTTACGAAAGGACTGACGATCTTCAAGCCGGGGCTTCTTTTCGGGAAAGGATGCAGAGGCCGCCTGCTCAAAGGATTTCCTCTTCTGATCCTTGGGTTCCTGATCCACAGTTTCCTGAGGCAGGCTAGGAATTCTGTCTGGAGATGCAGAGGCACGTGCCAAGTTGTCTGGCTCAGCCTGGATCCGAGAAGCCACAGACTCAACTGGGAATTCGGGACCCTCCAGGTCGGGTGCTGCAGAGGATGTGCCTGGCAGATGGGGACTGCTCAGCCCTGCTGGGTCAGTCTTAGCCTCCCCATCCTTGTAGAGGGGAACATCTGAGGCCACAGATTTTGCATCCTTAGCAACCCCTGCTTGTTCTGACTCCTGTTTTTTGTACAGATTCCTTCTGGCTCTGGTTCGGAGATCTGGCCGAGAGCGTTTCTTAAAATGCCCATCTCGCTGTCGGGTGGCTGGACCACGCTGTATACGCACTGATTCTCCTGGGACACACAAGCCACTTTTGATTTCAGCCTCCTCCTGGCCCACGTTCTGCTGCAATGACTCTTCTTTGGTCAAACCCAGCCTGCAAATCAAAATCACAGCCATCAGTTTCAGGCCAGAGTGGACATGTCTCTTATTTCTATGAATAATATGGACCCAGAAACACAGATATCTCAGAACAAAATAAATCTGTGTGGTGCACAATCTAACCATGGAAAAACTTCTGTTAGCTTCACTATGAATGGCATTAAGATAAATGACCCAAGTGTCACTGCAATCTCCACATTCTTGTCCAACACATAAGTATATGCTATTTTGAGACCATCTACCTCTATCCCCTCAAAACCCCAGACCAGGACTCATAGCTCCAACTGCCTTACTTCTGTCCATAGTAGTCTTCAAAGAACTTTTCTTTCCATTGTTCCACCTTCTTTTCCTTCTCCATTTCCTGTCGTATCCTGACTTGCATCTCATGAGTAAATTCACCTAGGGAGAAATAAACCTCTTCTAGTAAGTGCATTCGGGATATTAATGTCTGTCTTATGGACAGCTGAATCTCCCAGTTTTAAAACAACACGTCTCTTCTAAAGGCTCTCTCACATCATGCTCTTATAGGGACAGAGCTAACACATCTACTATAAGGGAAATTCACTCTTCCTTAAAGTGAGACCAAGCAACTCCTTGATCGAAAAAGCAAAACAACAAACAAAAGAACCATTCATATTTCCTGTGTAGATAAAAAGTTAACATAGTAGGTAGGCCTGATTGTTTACTCTTAGAAAGGCCTACTTAAAAGAACAGCCCTTGGCTGACATCTGGGAACTTAGATTTCAGGAGGGTTCCCAACCACCCTAACTGATATGAGTTGTTCACTGTGCCTAAATTGTTTATGCAAACAATACGGCTTATGCTGAACACCTGCCTTCCTTTTGGGAATCTGGAAGCTGGGTATGTGCCAAGCAGTGGCTTCCTACATGATCAGCCCTTGATAAAAACCCTGGGCACCGAGTCTTTAACAGGTTTCCCTAGTAGACATTTCATACATGTTATCATAACTTGTTACTGGGGGAATTAAATGTGTCCTGTGTGACACCACTGAGAGAGGACCTTGGAAGCCAACACATGGTTTCCCCTGGACCCCACCCCATGTGCCTCTCCATCTGCTGATTTTACTTTGTATTCTTCTGCTGTAATAAACCGCAGCCCTGTACATATAACTATATGCTGAGTCCTGCTAGCAAATCATCAAACCTAGGGGTGTTCTTAGAGCCCTCTCAACACTTTCCCCACAAAATTAAATTAATAGAAGCTAACAATCACTCCAAGTGACAATGCCTAAAAAGACAGAGCATGGTGGAGCTTCTCAACTCCACAGTGTACTTTCCTCCACCCTTCCAGACCATGCCATGATTACTGGAATAGGTGTTTATAGTTTTAATGATAAAAAGGAGATGATGAATGAGTACATACATACAATATAGTGAAAGTCTAAACCTAAACACCCTGTTATTTCTTCAGAGCTGTGTGGCATATTAATACCCACCACATTTATTAGTAATGAGGAAAGCCTGTCTTATACTAAATAACCCTTTGAGAAGAGCGAGCTTGGGTTTTAAATACCAGGAGACATGCAACACCACACGACAGGTGCGTCGCAAGCCGTCCGAGATGACCAAGTCTACATACCATCAGCCAGGCGCTCCCGCCAGCTCTGAGCCGCATGGGTAAAAAACTCGTTATTTAGTGCACTGCTGCTGAGACGCAACAGGCCATCCGTCCCCACCTAGAAGGATCAAGGGGGAAAAAAATCCTAATAAATAAACTTAAAAGAGAACAGAAGCCCACCCAGAGAGAGGCAAAGGGGAGGCTGCCCATGTGCACCTGTCTGTCTACTTCAGGCAGGAGGAAGAGGAGCTGCTGCTGGAAGTGTGATGGTAAGGCATGGAAGGTCCGAGAGTTGATCAGGGCACGGAGGTTGGTGTTGACAAGAATGGACCCAGGTGTCTCAAAATCTATTTCTTCCCCTCTGTTGCGCTTCATTTGACCTATGATTTTTGAAGCAAGGTATAGATTTCAGCTTTTTAAAAGAAAAAACAAATGCCAACTGATGGGAAAACTTTGGTGACAGCACCCAAGCTACCCAGGAGTTATCTGCACACAATCTGCTCAATTGTCCAGTCCATCCTAACCTGTATATTCTTTCCAGGTTACTGTCATTGCCATCAAACCCAGGAGAACACTTGGGGTTGCATCTCCTCAGACAAAACTCTGTACCGTGCTGTGTCACAGCCTGAAAAGGACACTTCCCACAGAAAATCAGGCAAGGGGCAGGTTCTGAGCTTCCCTCCAAAGCTGGAGAACAGGCTCCACAAAGCTCAACTGGAGAAATCATGAGAATTATCTAAAAGTAAATCTAGTTAGTATACTATAGAAAAATCTGCAGAAGCCTTCTGTGAATGGGCTGGAGAGGGATGATCTCCATGCAGAAATGTACTAAGGACTGTTCAAAGCCAACTGAGATGCTAATACCTCTCACAGAAGCCTCAGCAAATGTTACTTTTATCTGAAAAACTCACTAGGACTAGAGACCTGTGAGACCTTAGATTGAGCACTGCTGATGAGCTGGAAAAGCAGCAAGACAGCAAACCTAGTTCTCACATGGGCAAAGGTTTACTCTAATTCTCAGAAGCAAAAGCTTGTCTTCTTAATGGTTTCATCTACAAAAAAAACCAGCATGTGGGTCATTAAGAATTAAATCCTGAAATAGCAAAGAGCATACTAATATTGCAAATAACCCTAATGGGGGTGGGGTGGGGTGAGGGGTGGGAGGTATAGATAATAGCACTACTGAATTTGTTTGCATCCCCAAAATTCAACACATGCTTCCACTCAACATACTGACTAGGTTGTAAAAAAGGGAGCGTCTGATACAGACTACAGATGTTGGGAACAAATGTGGCAACATGCTACCGAAGAGAGAAAAGGGGTGTTGGAATTCTTCACTGAGAAGCTCAGAAGCAGTTTTCACTCACTCAAACACTTACTATGCAGTACAAGGCAGGCATAGACTAGGCCTACAGGGACATACGAGAAACAGTATGGCATCATCTCTGCCTGAAAGGAGTTCTCACAGTTTAGCAGAGAGCTACAAATGAAATAAGCAAATTACAAAGTAAAAATAAACAAAAAATAGAGGGCCACCCAAGAAGTAAAAATAAACTGGTAAAGGAATTGGAATAGAAGACATCATCTTCTCACTAGGCCTGCAGGGGCCCCCTTTACAGGCAGAGAAATAAGTGCCACGCCACTCACCTGTGGCTGGCTTCCGGAAGCCTCTCAGGAGCGGGGCAGGGTCCTGGGTGACCTCGGCCTGGCCACGAATAGCAGCGCTGCCCAGGGCCAGAGAGCCGCTGCTGCTGCTGGACGGGCTGCCGCTCTCGCCATCGGCGTGGCAGCCCGAGAACCCTGAAGGCACAGCATTCCACTGGTCAAAAGTATCACCAAGCCGCGCCCATGGCTCTCAGACAAGCTCATTTCTCCCAGCTCTCCCTGAGATGCTGCCAGCAATACTGGGATGCTTCCATCTCCCAGCCTTAGGCTGAGAGAAACCACCACTTCATGGTCTGGCTTTAAAATATCACCTTACAGGTGCCAAACTGCCATCTTTATTTGTATAGCACTACACCTTTTACAAAGCACTGGCATAATCAAATCCTCCGTTGGATCCTCACGACTGCCCTGGGAGACAAAGAGGAAGGCACACAGCAGAGCCCAGCACTAGAACCTATGGCAGGCCTCATCCATTGGCAGGGCTCTTGCCTGTGGCCCGACAGCTCTCCTAGTATCGCACTATTAGGTCAGAAACTGCTGACAGAGGGAGGCCAGGTCCCCAGGACCTGAGGAAAAAGCATCACAACCATGAGTTTACACATACCTGATGCAGATTCCACGTGGGCCCCGTTTACCTTCAGAGGAGTCAGGACAACTCGAGGCAGCATCACCCCAGTCTTTTTCTTTTGTTTGTTCGCCTGCGTTCCAAGAGAGAACAAAAGAGAGCCCAAGTCAACTGCAGAGCCACAAAAGCATTCCCTGGCGACACTATCTCTACTCACGCTCTTGTAAAATGAAGTTCGTCTTCAACCAGATCTGTCAAATAATGCTGACAAGAGCACTGGTTAATGTTACTGAGCTACGTGCTGGTCACTGTGCCAAGCATCATTCCAAGCTACAAAAATGTACTGTTATCCCCATTTTACAGGTAAGGAATTTTCCCCAAGTCTCAAGGCTAGTAAGTGCAGGGTTATCATTCAAACTGCTCACTCCCAATCTCCTGTTCTCTCTACTCTGCACTAACCACACTTCTCCCTGAATGTTCACGTGTATATTACAAGAATGAACAGAATCAGGCTAGGCATGGTGACTCACACCTGTAATCCCAGCACTTTGGGAGGCTGAGGTGGACAGACCACTTGAGGTCAGGAATTCGAGACTAGCCTGGCCAACATGGCAAAACCCTATCTCTACTAAAAATACAAATATTAGCCAGGCACGGTGGTACGTGCCTGTAATCCCAGCTACTCGGGAGGCTGAGGCAGGAGAATTGCTTGAACCCCAGAGGCAGAGGTTGCAGTAAGCGGAGATCATGCCACTGCACTCCAGCCTGAGCGACAGGCGCGACTCCATCTCAAAAAAAAAAAAAAAAAAAAAAAAAAAGAATGAACAAAATCACTCAGCCAAGGTAAAGAAAGAGAAAAAACTTACTCTGCTCAAACCTACTGTTCACTTTTCCTGCGGCCCCCTGTTAAATGCTACTAACAGCTGGAGACCAGACTTCTATTCTTCACTCTCTGAACATGTTCACAGCTCACTACAGGAGAAGGAGGGATCTTGCCTTATACCTGTCATCATTCATCCTCCCAGGCTAGGCTCTACCTCTTCCTTACCTGTGAGGAAGCTCTGTAGCTGTCCCTGGGATTGGAAAGAGGTCGACTCTGAGATTCTGTAGAACAGGATGCGTTCGAAGATGTTTCATCAAGAGATACTGGAAGAGAGGAAAATAAAGGTTAGTCCCTAGTGCCTGCTGTGGCTCCCTCACCCATCCATTAAAGGGTCCTTACCATCGTTTTCACCACTCACAGTGCTGGCTTCATTAGACCCACAGCTCTCCACATCAGCCGTGTCCTCTGGCTCCTCTCCCTCCACTGTAGCTGGATGGCGAGACCACTGCAGGGCATCCTTCTGTGACAGCAAGGTACAACTCAGGTGAACAAAACCCTACAAATTCTTAAAGCAAGGCAGTCATTCCTAAATGTGTATGCTTTTGAAAAAGAGGGATTTAGAATACTGACAAGTTCCTAACCCTTTCTAACTGACCTTTTTCTCAGCAAGTTCTTTTCATAAATATATCATTAAGAAAGTTAGATACACTTTTGCATTCAAACATTCATTAAACATTTATAGGGTGCCTCCTATAAGCTATACCATGTTAGTTCTGGGGAGGGTGGAGTGCTAAGGAGCAGGAATCAAGGCCCTGCTCTCAAGGAGCTCAAATAAGTAGGGGGGTCAATTAAACTGATTACAATACAAAGTACAGTACATAGGTGAACATGGAGAGCCGTGGCAGCCCAGAAGAGGGGCACCTAACTTCAATGAGTTGAGCGAAAGACGGCATGGAGGTGAATAACGATCAGGGAAGTAACACATCCAAAAGGATGTGTTGCTTAAGCTGGGTTTTAAAATAAATTAGCAACTAGACAGACAGGTTGGCAGTAGAGAGATTGTAGGAAGTTTCTAGATAGTGGGATGAGCAAATGTGAAAGAATATTCCAAACTCAGGGAAACTAGGGCTGTGGGGAACTCAATATGCAGGAAGCTAGAGAGGGCACGAGGGCAGATGGTAAGACCCATGTGGAGGGATCAAGAATTTGATTGTTCCGGAGTCACTGAAGAATATTAACTACAGGAATGATTTGAGTTTTCGGAATTTCATCTGGCAACCGCGGGAAGCCTAGAGGCAGGAAGAAGAGGTAGACACTATGAAAGATGTCCAACAAAAAATGCCAAAGATCTAAACCAAAGATTGTGGCTACAGGGCTAGAGTGTAGAGGAGAACTCCATCCCAAATTTCACCTCCTAAGAAAAGCTTCTTCCAATAGACTCACGACATGTAGACTCAGAATTAAACTCTACCCATTCCCAAGAAGAACTTGGGAGTTATCTCACACCTCAAAACTACAAAGAGTGTGGATGAGAATACTGGCAGTTGGAGACAAGAAGAAGATAAGTTGGGGCAGAGGAGGAGAATGTCTTCTTTGAATAAAAGTATGTGAAAAAGAGTTGATAAAGTCATGATTCTGCTAAAAAGGCACCATAAATTTAAAACAGGTGCCCACAACAATCTAACTCATCAATTTCATGAGTCTCTTGATCCACTACATTGAAGTTTCATCAATTTATTTTCATTAGTTTTAGCCAAAATCATGTATCTTAAATTAATAAAAAAGAGGCCAGGTGCAGTGGCTCACTCACACCTGTAATCCCAGCACTTTGGGAGGCTGAGGCAGGTGGATCACGAGGTCAGGAGATTGAGACCATCCTGGCCAACACGGTGAAACCCTGTTTCTACTAAAATACAAAAAATTAGCCAGGTGTGGTGGCACGCGCCTGTAGTACCAGCTACTCGGGAGGCTAAGGCAGGGGAATCACTTGAACCCAGGAGGTGGAGGATGCAGTGAGCTGAGATTACGCCACTGCACTCCAGCCTGGCGACAGAGCAAGACTCCATCTCAAAAAAAAAAAAAAAAAAAAAAAAGAAAGAAAAAAAAGAAAACAGTTTTCTACATCTTTACCTCTTTTCCTTACTGGCCATACATGGTCTTCAGAATCAAAAGCTAAATAATATTTTTAGTTATGCTTATTGACTGCCATGTTCTTGGTATAATAAAACAAATTTAATCTCTCTTCTCTCATGGGCAAACTAAGATAAAATACTCCTTAATGAATTAAGAAAGTCTATTACACTGGCAAAGTTACCCCAAATCTCCAGTTCTGACAAGAGTATGAGAAAATCATACATACACCCTTGATGAAAGTAAAAATGGCATAAAAAGGTTCACATGCTGCCAACGGAAAACTATTAGCCAAAACCTAAAAAATATATATGTATCTTTTATCCCAATACGAGATTTACACAGGACATGAAAAATATTGATTCTTACAAAGGAGAAAACAAATCAATTAAACTACATTAAAATTAAGACCTCCTATTCATCAAAAAACATTATTACCTACAGAGCTGAAAAAGATATCTGCAACTTACATAACCAATAAAGAACTTGTATTTAGACTACATTTATAAATCAGGCCGGGCATGGTGGCTTGCACCTGTAATCCCAGTACTTTGGGAGGCCAAGGCGGATGGATCACTTGAGGTCAGGGGTTCAAGACAAGCCTGGTCAACATGGTGAAACCCTGTCTCTACTAAAAATACAAAAATTAGCTGGGCGTGGTGGCGCACACCTGCAGTCCCAGCTACTTGGGAGGCTGAGGCAGGAGAATCACTTGAACGAAGGAGGCAGAGGTTAGTGAGCCAAGATTGTGCCACTGTACTCCAGCCTGGGTGACAGAGCCAGACTCCTTCTTGGGGGCGGGGAGAGAGGGGGAACAAATATAAATCAATGGGCAAAAGGCAACTCAGAAGAAAAATAAAAGATGTGAATTAGGCACTGCACAAGAGGATACTGAAGTAGCCAAAACATATAAAAGGGTATTTAATCTCACTAACAATAAGGAAAATGCAAAATAATGCAAATTAAAACCGCAATGAGATACTACCACATCCATCAGAATGGCTACAATTAAAGTTTGACAATATCAAGTAGTGTTAATTAGGAGTAGAACAAGTACACTGAAAACAGATCCAAGCATTTGAGAATACAATTTGGCCTTATCTGGTACAGTTGAAGATACAAACATCCTCTGACCCAGCAACGTCCCTCCTAGGCTTGGATTCCTTAGAGAAGTACATGCACATCTACACAAATCACAACCCACATGTTCATGATGCAGCATTTGAAATCTGGATTATAAACAATCAAAGTGGCTGCCAAAGGCAGAATCAAATTGTAGTACATTCAATAAATGGATGATTATACAGCAACAAAAAATGAATGAACTATAGCTACTAACGACATAGATGAATATTAAAAACAAAATAGTGAATGAAAGCCAGATACAAAATAATGCATAGTTGATGATTCCGTTTGTGAAAAGTTCAAAATAAGCTCAACTAAACTACAGCATTAGGAATGCAAAGACGGGTAGGTAATCTAAAGGAAAGCAAGAAAATAACTTTCATAAAGTCAAGACAGAAGTTACCTTCAGCTGGAAGAATGGGGCTGTGACTGGGAAGGGGCAGTGGGGGGTAGGGGAGGTGCGCCTGGCTGCTGGCCATATTTGATGTCGTGATCTAAGTGGCAGTTACAGGGTGTTCACTTTATAATAATTCCTTAAGCTGAACATTTGTGTCCTATGCATTCACTGTATTACATTCCCACAATTATAAAAGTTTAAAAACAAAAAATTTTAAGGTATTTCCTTCAAGGAACACTACCACAGATAGCCATTTAAAAGAAAGCTGTACAGCATTTAATGACAAGAGAAACGATGATACACAAGCTTAATTAGGCAATTAAATTCATACAGTATGATTCTATCATCTTTTTTAAAAAATGAAAATTTGAATGTGTTTGCATAGAAAAATGCAAGAGAAATTCTTACTAAGCTGTTGGCCACCACCATCTCTAGGTGGCAGTTTTTTTGTTTGTTTTTTGAGACAAGAGTCTCGCTCTGTCACCCAGGATGGAGTGCAGCGGCATGATCTCGGCTCACTGCAACCTCCTCCTCCTGGGTTCAAGCGATTTTCCTGCCTCAGCCTCCCGAGCAGCTGGGATTACAGGTGGCTGCCACCACGCCCAGCTAATTTTTGTAGTTTTAGTAGATATGGGGTTTCACCATGTTGGCCAGGATGGTCTTGAAATCCTGACCTCAGGTGATCCACCCACCTCAGCCTCCCAAAGTACTGGGATTACAGGTGTGAGCCACCGTACCTAGCCTAGGTGGTAGAGTTTTAGTAAGTGCTTTATATTCTTTTCAATTGTGGGTATTTTCTACTATTAACATGTATTGTTTTCTGTGATCAAGAAAATAACAATGAAAAAGAAAAATTAGGTGTTAAATGCTTTACCAAGAGCTAAATCAAAATTTCCTTCCTCTAGGTCCTAGAGTCTGGGGAAACCAAGTACTGTTTACAAATCTCATTAGTTAAACAAACAGGAATAGGGCCTGGTTGTCTGCAATTCAAACTACCCAGAAGTTTCTAAAGCCATGCATTTTCAGTAAAAAGACAAGGAAAACAAAACTTTTAAGAGTAAGATTTGCTATTCTAATACTGCATAATTTTTATTGTACAGACAGGGTCTTGGTCTGTTGCCCAGGCTGGTCTCAAAGTCCTGGGCTTGGCCAGGTGCAGTGGCTCAAGCCTGTAATTCCAGCATTTTGGGAGGCCAAGCCAGGCAGATCACTTGAGGTCCAGAGTTCGAGACCAGCCTGACCAACATAATGAAACCCTGACTCTACTTAAATACAAAAATTAGTTGGGTGTGGTGTACATGCCTGTATTCCCAGCTACTCGGGAGGTTGTGGCAGGAGGATCGCTTGAACCCGGGACATGCAGGCTGCAGTGAGCCAAGATCATGCCATTGCACTCCAGCCTGGGCAACAGGGTGAAACTCCATCTCAAATACATAAATAAATAAATAAATAAAAAATGCTGGGTATTGTGGCCCACACCTGTAATCCAGCACTTTGGGAGGCCGAGATGGGGGGACCACCTGAAGCTGGGAGTTCGAGACCAGCCTGGGCCAACATGATGAAACCCCCCCTACTAAATATACACACACACACAAAAAATTAGCTAGGCATGGTGGCACACACCTGTAATCCCAGCTACTTGGGAAGCTGAGGCACAAGAATCGCTTGAACCTGGGAGGTGGAGGTTGCAGTGAGCTGAGATCATGCCATTGCACTTCAGCCAGGGCGACAGAGTGAGACTGTCTCAAAAAATAAAAAATTAAAAAAAAAAATCAAACTCCTGGACTCAAGCGATCCTCCCACCTCAGCCTCCCTAAGTGCTAGGTTACAGGCCAATTCTACAATTAGCCACATCCAGCCAATTCTGCATTTGTAAAAGATCATTAATCTTTCCATATAAACTCTATAAGTTTGACATAATTGACTTTTCATACATTAACCCTATATGTCTGACAAAAACGAAATGGGTTACTGAAAATAACAGGTGCCAGAAAACATGCCCTAGGATTCAAGATTTTAACATTTTACAAGAATAATTTTCATCATGAAGCTTTTAAAAAAATTAATAATGGGTGATCTTTCACTAAATCCTACATATAAAAAATTCTATAGGCCGGGCACGGTGGCTCATGCCTGCAATCCCAGCACTTTGGGAGGCCAAGGCGGGTGGATCACAAGGTCAGGAGTTCGAGACCAGCCTGGCCAACATGGTGAAACCCCGTCTCTACTAAAAATACAAAAATTAGCCGGGCATGGTGGTGCACGCTTGTAATCCCAGCTACTCGGGAGGCTGAGGCACAAGAATCACTTGAACCTGGAAGGCAAAGGTTGCAGTGAGCCAAGATCATGCCATTGCACTCCAGCCTGGGAGACAGTGCAAGACTCTGTCTTTAAAAAAAAAAAAAAAAAAAAAAATTAACCAATCCTTCACCACACAGTTACCATGAGAGGGAGAGTGTGAGATGGGGAGTGTGAAGACAATTAAGATCTACTCTCAGCAAATTTCAAGACACTGGGATATTTGAATGTGAACTGCATACTAGATGGTAATGCTGCATTAATGTTAAATTTTCTGAGTGTGATAACTGTATTGTGCTTACGTAGGAGAATGCCCTTGGATCAATGTATACCTCCTCCTATCCTTCCCCTATTTTTTTAAATTAAAGTTTAATTTAAACACAGTGATATGCACAGATCTTAGGTGTACCATTTAATGAGTTCTAACAAATGCATATCAAGATATAGAACATTTCCAACACCCCCAAAAGTTTCCTTGTGCCCCTTCCTAATCAACCCCCATTTGAAACCACCCCTCTCGGCCGGGCGCGGTGGCTCACACCTGTAATCCCAGCACTTTGGAAGGCCAAGGCAGGCGGATCACGAGGTCAGGAGATCGAGACCATCCTGGCTAACACGGTGAAACCCCGTCTCTACTAAAAATACAAAAAAAAAAAAAAAAATTAGCCAGGAGTGGTGGCGGTCGCCTGTAGTCCCAGCTACTCGGGAGGCTGAGGCAGGAGAATGGCATGAACCCGGGAGGCGGAGCTTGCAGTGAGCCGAGATCACGCCACTGCACTCCAGCCTGGGTGACAGAGCCAGACTCCGTCTCAAAAAAAAAAAAAAAAAAAAGAAAAGAAACCACCCCTCTCACCCCACGAAGGCAATCATTGTTCTGACTTCTATCTCCATAACGTACTTTTGCCTGTTCTTGGTCTTCATGTAAATGGACTCATACATATATATTCTTTTGTATCTGGCTTCTTTCACTCAGCCTGTTTATGCTATTCATCTACATTGTTGCATGCATCAGTAGTTCATTATTTGTTATTACAGACTAATATTCTCATATACAACCATTTGTATATTCTCTCTTGATGGACATTTGGGTTATTTCCAGGTTCTAGCTATTATGAATAAAGCTATTATGAACATTCTTGTAAATTTTTGGAGACGTTTTCATTTCTCCTGAATAACTATCTAGGAGTAGAAATGCCGAGTCATAAGATGGATGAAAGCTAACTTTATTAAAAAAAAAATTATACTCCCAACAGCACTTGAGGAGAGTTCCAGTTGATCCAAATCCTCACCATTATTTGAAGCTGGCAGTTTTATTTTAGCCATTCTAGTGGGAGTATAATGGTACCTCATTGTGGTTTTAATTTTAATTCAGAGTGCTAGATTTCAATGATTTTCATTTTAATTTGCCTAATGTCTAAAGATGTTGAGCACTTTTTTTTTTTTGAAGTTTTTTTTTTTTTAAATTTTACTTTAAGTTCTGGGATACATGTGCAGAATGTGCAGGTTTGTTACATAAGCATACATGTGCCATGGTGGTTTGCTGCACCTATTAACCCATCATCTAGGTTTTAAGCCCCGCATGCATTAGGTATTTTTCCTAATGCTCTCCCTCCCCTTTCCCCCCACCCCCCAACAGGCCCCGGTGTGTGATGTTTCCCTCCCTGTGTCCATGGGTTCTCACTGTTCACTCCCATTTATGAGTGAGAACATGGGGTGTTTGGTTTTCTGTTCCTGTGTTAGTTTGCTGAGGATGATGGTTTCCAGCTTCATCCACGTCCCTGCAAAGGGCATGAACTCATTCTTTTTTATGGCTGCATGAGCACTTCTTAATGTGCTTATTGGCCATATTCATATCTTCCTCTTTAAGTATCTGTTCAAGTCTTTCACCCATTTTTTTTTTGAGTTGTCTTTTAAAAACTGTAGTTGTAGGGATTCTTTATTCTGAACCTTTTTAATACTGATGATGAGTACGTATTCCTTTTACAAATACATTTTGAACATTTTTATATGGAAAGAAATTCAATTTTACAGGAAAGCTGCAAAAGCTTTTCATTCTACTTTTGCAAGAGTAAAACAGTACAAAGAAGACTTGCTGTATACTTTTTACTCACGTTCATCTATTAATACAAATAAGTGTTTCTAAAATGCATAACGTATACTAGTTTGGCAAGGTAACTAGAAAAGAAGCTAATGTTGAAAAAAAATAAACCATCTGTAATAAGTAAACCAAAATAAAATGTTCTCCCACAGGTCAGATGTTTTAAAAAATACAAGACACTACGAATGTGGCAAATCTGAGCAAAGGAGAGCTAACATTTAAATTGATAAAGTTTAAACTGCCCAAGATTAGATTCTGAAGTAAAAAAAAAAGCAAAATATCAGTTATGCCTTTCCTTATATCTTTCCTGAGCAAAAAATAAGTACTATCTCTTAGGAGAAGGCTGACTTGAAGGCTGTGAAAAACTAAGAAAACACCAACCATTCAACAGTATACTAGAATTCCTTTCAATGCATAATAGAAACAAGAAGGGATTAGAAAAGCATGTCATAATTTCCAGATAGCATAATTATTTACATTAAAGATCCAAGAGACTCAGACCTAGTAAAAGATTTTGGCCACATTGTGACATTTGAGATCACATTAAAAAAAAAAAAAAGGAAAAATCAAGTGATACTAACATCACCAATTAACATCATCAATTAGAAAATTTATCCATCAGCCGGGTGTGGGGGCTCATGCCTGTAATGCCAGCATTTCGGGAGGCCGAGGTGGGTGGATCATCTGAGGTCAGGAGTTCAAGACCAACCTGGCCAACATGGTGAAACCCTGACTCTAGTAAAAATACAAAAATTAGCCCGGCGTGGTAGCGCACGCCTGTAATCCCGGCCACTCAGGAGGCTGAGGCAGGAGAATTGCCTGAATGGGAGACGGAGGTTGCAGTGAGCTGACATGGTGCCACTGCACTCCAGCCTGGGCAACAAGAGCGAAACTCTGTCTCAAAAAAAAAAAAAAAGAAAATATATCCATTTGCCAGGGTTGAAGAAAAAAGAAAACAAAAATATAATTTATAACAAAAATATAATTTATAACAAAAACGAACGTAAGTTACCCAGGGATAAATTCCACAAAAGAAATATCATCATTTTATGAAGAAAACATAAAACTTTATCAAGAAAGGCTTAAAACCTTGGTAAGGCCAGGCATGTTGGCTACACTTGTAATCCCAGCACTTTGGGAAGCTGAGGAAGGAGGATCACTTGAGCCCAAGAGTTCAAGACCAACATGAGCAACGTAAGGAGACCCCCGCTCTACAAAAAAATTCAAAAATTAGCTGCACATGGTGACGCGCACCTGTAGTCTCAGCTACTCGGGAGGCTGAGGTGGGAGCATTGCTTGAGCCCAGGAGTTTCAGGTTGCAGCGAGCTATGATCGCACCACTGCACTCTAGCCTGAGAGACAGAACAAGACCCTGTCTCAAAAAAACAAAAACAAACAAACCCTAAATAAATGGAGAGCTATACCATGTTCTTGATTAAGAAGATTTTATATCATAAAGATGTCAATTTGGCTGGGCATGGTGGCTCAAGCCTGTAATCCCAGCACTTTGAGAGGCTAAGGCGGGCAGATCACGACGTCAGGAGTTCAAGACCAGCCTGACCAACATGATGAAACCCCATCTCTACCAAAAATACAATAATTAGCCAGACATGGTGGCGTGCACCTGTAATCCTAGCTACTCGCAAGGCTAAGGCAGGAGAATCGCTTGAAGCTGGGAGGCGGAGATTACAGTAGGCCAAGATTGTGCCACTGCATTCCAGCCTGGGTGACAGAGCAAGACTCCGTCTCAAAAAAAAAAAAAAAAAAAAAAAAAAAAAAAAAAAAAAAAAGATGTCAATTCTTCCCATTTTGATTTGTCGATTCAATGCAGTTCCAATAAAGCTCTCAACACGATCTTTTACAGAATTTTACATGGAAAAGCACAGGGTCACAAAGAGCCAAGATACTCTTGAAGAACAAGATGAGAGGAGTTGCTTTTTAGAAAGTTTTAGTAATTAAATGAGTAGACTGGTGATGCTAGGGACTAGGAGGAGGTGAGAATAGGAATGACCTACTGGGGTTTCCTTTTGGGGTGATGGAAATATTATGCAATCAGACCATGGTGATGGTTGCATAACTTCATGAATATACTAGAAGCCACTGAATTGTATACTTTAAATTGGTGAACTGTATGGTCTATGAATTAAATCCCAATTAAAGTAGGTAAACAATGGCTTACAAAATTTAACTGATAGTTCTAAAACGTATTTTTTGTTTTTGTTTTTTGAGACAGGGTCTCACTGTGCGGGCCCAGGCTAAAGTGCCACGGTGCTATCACAGCTCATTTGCAGCCTTGACCTCCCAGGCTTAAGTGATCTTCCCACCTCAGCCTCTCAAGTAGCTGGAACTAGAGGCATGCACCACCACTCCAGGCTAATTTATTTATTTATTTATTGTATTTATTTATTATTATTATTTTTTTGATACAGAGTCTTGCTCTGTCATCTGGGCTGGAGTACAGTGGCTCCATCTCAGCTCACTGCAATCTCTGCCTCCCGGGTTCAAGCAATTCTCCTGCCTCAGCCTCCCAAGTAGCTGGGGTTACAGGCGCCTGCCACTATGCCCAGCTAATTTTTTGTATTTTTAGTAGAGACGGGGTTTCCCCATGTTGGCCAGGCTAGTCTCGAACTCCTGACCTCGTGATTCGCCTGCCTCAGCCTCCCAAAGTGCTGGGATTACTGACATGAGTCACCGCGCCCGGCCAACTTTTTTATTTTTTGTAGAGATGGGGTTCTTGCCATATTGCCCAGGCTGCTCTTGAACTCCTGAGCGCAAGCAATCCACCCTCCTCAGCCTCAAGTGCTAGGACTACAGGTGTGAGCCACCACACCTGGCCTAAAACAAAAGATTCTGATCAAAAAAAAAAAATTTTTTTTAAACCTACACATACCTATTAAAGTATACAGAAAGTTTAAAGATCCAAAGTCAAAATGCAACTTTGGAAAACTGTGGCTAAAATGGTCCATTAATGATGTTTTAATTTTCTCATGAAAATCCTAAAGAAGAATTAAAACAAGGAAAGCAATCTCCATACATGCTTGAGAAAAGGCTTCTCCATTTAAACAAAATACTTAACATAAAAAGGTTCTCTTGAATGTGAAATCCATTTGCATTATCAAAAGCAATTTCAATATTATAGATGTCAACGAAAGAAAAGGAAGAGCTGTTATTTAAAAAATGAACACACTCTTGGAATATAACGTAAAGAAATTGTCTGAGTTCTTACTAATAATAAGAAAGGAGTTTCTATCAACCAGAAAGAAATTCTTGTAAGTTGCCACTCACAGCTGAAACTTTCTAGCTAATGGTGACCACAGGTCCACAATCCCTTACCTGAAATCTTTGGGTCTAGATGTGTTTTTATTTAGAATTTCTTGAATTTTAGAATGTTAATATATGCATATATTGTGTATCAGCACCACCAGCAACCCATAATCAAACACATTAATTTTTAAAAAAATAAAATGTAGACAAAGACCAAGTGAAACAAATAAGCTAACCTAGACCTGTCAATCTACATCAGAGTTTTGACACAAAATGAGTTTACACAGGTCAGGTTTTACTACTAAATCAGTCAAGGGGAAAAAAATTCAGTTCTCATAATATTTTGGATTTCAGAATTGTTAATAAGGGACTATAGATCTGTATCAGGAATTTGAAGAGTTCATCATTAAACACAAGGAATTACAGACTTTTTAAGCATAAAACTTGATGTCATGATCGTAACAAAGCATGTTTCTCAAAACTTTTAAAAAAGATTTATAAGTTTTATATTTTTCTCATCATAATTACAAAATGCAAAGAAAATGTAATGAAATCTTTTCACTAACCCCCACAGAAAGAGCCTCCAAGTCACTTCCATTTTACCCAAGCATACAATATGAAAAGGTAAGGGAATAGTCCCTTAGAGAAATTCTCACACGTTTGTACATGGAGATTAAGGATAAGTGTTGCTGCAGTGTTTATAACAGGGATTAGAAAACAGTGAAAAACGCACATATTCATAGCAGGGGACTGGATAAATAAAATGTAGCTATATTGATATGGTACACTATTAAACATTAAAGAAAATAAAATACACTTATATAAACAAACATACCACATACCTCCATATGAATAGGAGGATGCACGTTAAATTAATGATAGTGGTTGTAGCTACTGGGAAGAACAGGGGCAACAGGCCAGGGTGGCAGGTGGGGACAGAGGGATTGGGGTTTGGCATAAAAGCCAAGGGCATTTTCCACTTTCTCTGTACAAACGCTTGAGCTTCCATATTTAAACATGGCAAAATAGAAGTTGGTTAAGGGGTATAAAATTACAGTTAAATAGAAGGAGTAAGTTCTAATATTCAATAGTAGAATAGGAAAATTATAGTAAACAATAATTTACTATATATTTCAAAATAACTAGAAAAGAAGAATTTTAATGTTCCCAACACAAAGAAAAATGTCTATGTATTGCATACAGGTATCAAAATATCACCTGTACCCCCAAAATACATATAACTATTATATCTCAATTTTCAAAATTTGTAGTGTACTGCATTGAATCTACAAATCAAATTGGGAAGAACTGACATCTTTACGATATAGAATCTTCTTAATCAACAACATGGCATAGCTGCTCTCCATTTATTAAGGGTTTGTTTTGTTTTTGTTTTTGTTTTCTTTTTTAAATATTTTTTCTTTTCTTTTGTTTAATGGTATTTGGGGGTTGTGGATAAACATGGCAAAATGAACATATACTTCTTTGCATCTTCCTGAGGGTTCACTAGAATGACTATAAGGGAACAGTAAAAGTGTACATGCATAAAGACAAAGAGTAAGGGGAAGGAAAAAGGCAGTAGATGAGGGATGTCAACAGAAATCTGAAAGACCAGGTTGAGCAGGAAGGTAAGAAGTAACTGACTCAGCAAAGAAGGAAAGTTGAAGTTTATGGCTGCAGAGGGAAAAGCCACAAAAAGCAAGCCAGTGCTTCAAAAGCCCGGAGCACGCAGGGAAGTGGGAGGCACCAGGAACCACTGCAGACAAGAGTTGAGAGGCAGGGGCTGAGAACAGGAGAACTGTTTCAAACTCTGAATAAAACAGTCAGACCCCCTCAGGTCTCCTTCCTGTCCCTAAACAGTAAGGCAATACACCCTTCTCCCACTCCAGAGGAAAACAGATTTATATTCTGATTAAACTGAACCACGGAAGTTCTGGAACAGAAGACTAGAGGCACAGCTCAAGGGATGGGGCATGGAGTGAGATGCCACACTCTAAATAAGACCAACAATAGAAAATCATGACGCAGGCTGGGCATGGTGGCTCACACCTGTAATCCCAGCACTTTGGGAGGCTGAGGCAGGAAGATCACCTGAGGTCAGGAGTTCGAGACCAGCCTGGCCAACATGGCGAAACCCCATCTATACTAAAAATACAAAAATTAGCCAGGGGTGATGGCGGGCACCTGTAATCCCAGCTACTAGGGAGGCTGAGGCTGGAGAATTGCTTGAACCCAGGAGGTAGAGGTTGCAGTGAGTTGAGATGGCACCACTGCACTCCAGCCTGGGCGGCAAGAGATAAACTCCATCTCAAACAAAACAAAACAAACAAACAAACAAACAAACAAACAAAAAACACCAGAAAATCATGACACCACTAGCTTCCCTCCCCACCTTGGCTCCCAAAGCTCCCCAAATAGTAGTAGTACTATGACCCCAACCACAGCCTACTGTCATGTAGATGGCAAGAGATGAAAGGATTTCTCCTCCTGGAAAAAGTGACCAGCCTAGGAGAAAACACTTTCAGAAATGGATAACAGGAGGATCCCCTAAAAGCATCTAGGTCCCCACCCTCTATCACAGCCAATAAACACTGCTCACAAACACAGGATCCATCAGTTTGCTCACTGTTGAGTGACCTATCAAGAACCACCAGCTATTTAAGCACATTGTTATATGAAAGATAATCACAATAAACAAAAGAAGAACTGAAAGGAAACAAAGATAAATAAAATTTCATAGTAAATGTTCTCAAAGAGGCCCAAAACAAACATAGAGTGCTTTTTTTAAAATAAGATATGGGGTGTTGCTATGTTGCCCAGGCTGGACTCAAACTCCTGGTCGTAAGCAATTCTCCCACCTTGGCCTCCCCAGTAGTCGGGACCACAGACACGTACTACAGCTCAGCCAGAATATTTTTTTAAAAAAATAAAGCAACATTAAAGAACATGAACAATCTGCTAGAAATTAAAAATGAGAGGCCAAAAACAACAGATTATCTCCTAGAGAACTGATTAAAAAAAAAAAAGAAAAAGAAGCTCCATTAAGAGAGTCCCACATCCAACAAATAGAAGGTCCAGAGGAAGAAAGCCAAAAGACAGAAATAATACAAGAAATTTTCCCCAAATGAGAAGACTCCAGTTTCCGAGTTTAATAAGGCAAAACACTCAGCATAATGAATGAAAAAGACCCATTCCACAGCATTATCATGAAATCTCAAAACACAGGAGAGAAACAGATCCTAAAATCTTCCGGTCAAAAAAAACACACGATATCCAGAAATCACAATGGCATGTTTCTCAAAAGCAGCTCTGAAGAATGTAGTAGTAAGAGTAACATCTTCTGGAATTCTGAGCCCAACCAACAATCTAGTGTGGAACACAGAATAAAGACATGTAAGGCCTCAATTTACCTCCTAGGCACCTGTTCTCTAGAAGCAACTCTACGTCAATCTGCTCTACATAAATGTATTGTGTAGAGAATGCGCACACAACTAAAGGAGTAACAATAAATGAGATTTGTGTGAGATCTAGGAAAGGCAGGACATACCAGGAGAAAGTGAAGAGAATTCCCAAGGTACATATAAGGAAAGTCCGAGGAAAACAGCCACATGCACGTGAAAAGAGTAGCCAACAGGCCCCAGTTTGCCTGGGAGTTTCCAGTTTTAGCACTGAAAGTCCTACACCCCGGGAAACCCCTCAATCGTGGGCAAACCAGGATGGCTGGCCACCTTACACCACAAACTGTCCATGCGGAGAGCAGGAAAAAAGATGGCTCCAGGAACAAACATTCAGAAAGAAGAATGAAATACGTTGAACACATCAAGAATTGTACAGCTGTTAATAGCACTGGGTTTCATCTTTTGTTTGTAACCCATTTTGTTTTTTATTTCCCATCTTTGTTATTTTATCTACATATTGAATTATGTGAAATATAACATGATTACAAATCAAAACTATATAAAAGGTTATACTCAGAGTAAGTGACACTGCTCCCCACCATCCCTTCCATTTCCATCCCCCTCCAACTCTCCATTCCATTCCTGTTAGTCCCCTAACCAACCTCATTGTTTCCGGTGTATTCTTCTTGTGTTTCTTTTTGTACAAATGATAATATACACATCTGTTTTATTTATCCTTCATCCTTAAACAACAACAACAACAAAATCTGCGTGCCTCAGAGAGTATTTTGCTCTTCAATTTTCCACTTAACAATATATTCTGGAAATTACTCTATCGTTTCATGAAAACTTCCTCATTTTCTTCTCAGCTGCATGATACTCCATGATGTTGATGTATCAAAGTATAACCACTCCCTCATGTACCACCAGCATTTAGATGGCTTTTAATATTCTGCAACTACAAATACTACTGCCTTGAATAATCAAATGGAAACAATCGGTCAAAAGGTAGATGCAAATATAATTTTGTTAATAGTATCAAATCCCCCAACAAAAAAAAGTATCCATTTGTTTTCTTGACCTGGGGACAGTGGCTCACGCCTATAATCCTAACACTTTGGAATGGCAAGGCGGGAGGATCACTTGAGCCCAGGAGTTCAAGATAAGCCTAGGCAACATAGTGAGACCCCCATGTCTGCAAAAAAAAAAAAAAATTAGCCAGCCAGGATGCATATGCCTGTAGTCCCAGCTACTTGGGAGGCTGACGTGAGCTACGATCCCACCATTGCCCTCCAGCCTGGGAGACAGAGTGAGACCTGTTTCCAAAAAAAAAAAAAAAAAAATTTATTTCTTTTCTTAAGGGTAATGCAACAGTGCTTGTTTTCCCACAGCACTAAAAAGAGGAAGTGGTTGTGATACATTTAAAATTTTTACTGACATATACTTAAAGTGAATAACATAACCACACTGAAGGGGCACAAGGACAGATCTAACCCAAGTAATTCTTCAAGTATTTTGACTATATATCCTTAGGCTAAAAACCTAAATGAACTATAAACAAATACTGAGTTCTAGTTAGATTTGTTCTTCCACAGTGGAATGGGTTAACAATTATAAAACTACTAAGTGTTTATACTAAAACTGAGCAAGTAGGTAGATACAAAGTACATAATAGAAGCCAGGTTGTTCAATGTTGGAGTAGCAAGATGCACATATAGAAAGGTAAAGTTAGAATGAAACCCCCAGTAAGAGACTAATTTCAAGGTATTAGTATGAATACTATATTTACCTATAGACAGACAAAGAGAGAAACAGGTACAGATGTATACATGCATACTATTCTAAGCTAAAAGAAACCAGAGCTCCCCAGGAAAATGGATGATTCTAGAAGTGGGGCTGGGAAAATATAAGCTAAGCCCAGAACATCTTGCTGGGTCAGAAAGCAGGTAAGTAAAGAAGTGTTCAGGAATGAGGAAAACACATAAAAAGGACACAAAAGCTGGAGTACATGCAATTCCACTGGCCAAATCAGCGACAATTTGTACATTAAAAATGATAGTAAGATTATAACTCAATAATAAAATAAGAATCCATGGGTAGGGCTGGGCATAATGGCTCATGCCTATGATCTCAGCACTTTGGGAGGCCAAAGCGGGTGGATAACTTGAGGTCAGGAGTTCGAGACCAGCCTGGCCAACATGGTGAAACCCCATCTCTACTAAAAATATAAAAGCTGGGTGTGGTGGCACAAACCTGTAATCCCAGCTACTTGTGAGGCTGAGGCAGGAGAATCACTTGAACCCAGGCGGCAGAGGCTGCAGTGAGCCAAGATCGCACTACTGCACTCCAGCCTGGGCAACAGAGCGAGTCTTCATATTTTAAAAAAAAAAAAAAAAAAAAAGGAATCCATGGCCGGGCACAGTGGCTTATGCCTGTAATCCCAGCACTTTGGGAGGCTGAGGCGGGTGGATCGCTTGAGGCCAGGAGTTGGAGAGACAAGCCTGGCCAACATGGTGAAACCGTCTCTACTAAAAAGACAAAAATTAGCCGGGCATGGTGGCAGGCACCTGTAACCCCAGCTACTCGTGAAGCTAAGGAAGATGAATCACTTGAACCCAGGAGACAGAGGTTGCAGTGAGCCGAGATTGTGCCACTACATTCCAGCCTGGGTGACAGAGCGCATGAGACTCCATCTCAAAAAAAAAAAAAAAAAAAAAAAAAAGAATCCATAAATTCACAACGAATAAACAAATGGGGGAATAAATTAAAGCTCTCCCCCTTACTGAAAAACCACAACTAATAGATGTCAGATAAATGGTGGAACTTAAAAAAAAAAAAAATCACCACTTGACAACAACTCTCAGAGTACTAATTTTTTTTTATTTTTTTTATTTTTTTTTTTTTTTGAGACAGAGTCTTGTTCTGTTGCCCAGGCTGGAGTGCAGTGGCACGATCTCAGCTCACTGCAACCTCCATCTCCAGGGTTCAAGCGATTCTCCTGCCTCACCCTCCCCCAGTAGCTGAGATTACAGGCATGCGCCATCATGTCCAGCTAATTTTTTTGTATTTTTAGCAGAGACAGGGTTTCACCATGTTGGCAAGGCTGGTCTCAAACTCCTGACATCAAATGATCCACCCACCTCGGTCTCCCAAAGTGTTGGGATTACAGGTGTGAGCTACTGCACCCAGCCTCAGCGTACTAACTGTTTTAGGTAGGAATCCTTCATCAGTGGATGCTAAAACCAGTGAATGAAAGTACATGAGACTATTCATATAGTCTCAAAGTACAGTAAGTGCCCTCTACCCGAAGTTTCACCTTCCACAGTTTAAATAACCTGTGGTCAACAGCAGTCCAAAAAATTACAGTATTTTGAGAGAGAAAGAAGGATCACATCCACATAACTTTGATTATAGTACATTGTTGCAATTGTTATATTTTATTCTTAGTTATTGTTGTTATTCTTTTACTGTGCCTAATTTAGAAATTAAACTTGGGGGGCTGGGCACAGTGGCTCACACCTGTAGTCCCAACACTTTGGGAGACCAGTGCAGGAGGATCACTTGAGGCCAGAAGTTCATTCAGGACCAGGCTGGGCAACGGTGTAAGACCGTATTTCTAAAAACTAAATAAAGGAATAATAAAATAAAATTTATCAAAAGTACATATGCATAGGAAAAAACACAGTATATATAGGGCTTGGGACTATCTGTAATTTCAGGCACCCACTGGTCTTGAAACATCCCCAGCAGATAAAGGGGACTACTGTATCTCTCTACAAGGTACTATTTATAGGAGAGAAATAAGGCAGACACCACCTTAACCAAGTGTTTGAAGTTATCGTTATCAGAAATCAGACAAACAGGTATCGTGTCTCCTGATAAAATGTACTGAGGAGGACATGCTGAGGTATTCCTGTCAAAAACATTACTTTAATAATGAAAAGCATCAAGACAAATCCATATTGGAGAACTTACTATTAATACAAAATAAATGGTCTGTACTTTAAAAAAAATTAAGTCATAAAAGACAATGTTTGTGAGAACTTTTTCAGATTAAAGAAAATGAGATTTGACAAACAAATGTACCATGTGATCAAGGATGAGATCCTCAACCAGAATTTTGCTTTATAATTGGCATTAGAAAAGAATAGGTAAAATTTCAGTAAAATATGCAGTTTTTTTTTTAAAGATAGGGATCTCACTATTGTTGCCCAGGCTGGAGTACAGTGGCTATTCACAGGGTTGATCATGGCATACTGCAGCCTTCAACTCCTAGGCTCAAGCGATCCTCCCACCTCAGCCTCCTGAGTAGCTAAGACTATAGGTGTATACCACCAAGCCCAGCTCAAAGTATGCACATTAGACAGCAAGCAGTACCATATCAACATTAATTTTCTGACATTGATAATTGCAATGTGGTTATGAAAGAGAATGTACTTGTTGTTAATAACTATTTAGAGGTTAGGGGGCATTATGTCTGCACTTTAGTACATGAAAAAAATAACATGTAGCTAGAATTATAAAGCAAATACAATCGTGTCTGAAATTATGTCAAAATTACAAGTTATTGAAAAATCAGCTATATACCTGCTAGGGCAAAAAACTGGGAAACAAATTTTTAAAACAAATTCCATGTATAATAGCATCGAAAATAAAAATAGCTGAGGCTGGGCATGGTGGCTCACGCCTATAATCCCAGCACTTTGGAAGGCCAAGGCAGGTAGATCACGAGGTCAAGAGTTTGAGAACAGCCTGGCCAACATGGTGAAACCCTGTCTCTACTAAAAATACAAAAAATTAGCCAGGTATGGTGGTGCCCGCCTGTAATCCCAGCTACTAGGGAGGCTGAGGCAGGTGAATCGCTTGAAACTGGGAGGCAAAGGTTGCAGTGAGCCAAGATTCCGCCACTGCACTCCAGCCTGGGCAACAAGAGCAAAACGCCATCTCAAAAAAATAAATTAATTTAAAAAATTAAAAAAATAAAAATACTTGAGAAAAAAATGTTAAGGCATGCAAGACCTCATTGGAAACTATAAAACACTAAGAAAAATTAAAGATGATAATAACTGGAGATTATACCATGTTCATGGATTGAAAAAAAATGCTGTTGAGAAGTTAATTCTCCCTACAAAGTCAACATAATCCTAATCAAAATCCCAATTTTTTTAATTGATAAAAATTGACAAGTTGATTCTAAAATTTATATGAAAATGCAAAGAAGGCTGGGCATGGTGGCTCACACACATAATCCCAGCGCCTTGGGAGCTTGAGGCAGGAGGATGGCTTGAGCCCGGAAGTTTTAGGATGCAGTAAGCTAGGACTGCGTCACTGCACTACAGCCTGCCGACAGAGCAAGACCTTGTCTCTAAAAAAGAAAGAAAAATAAATGCAAAGAACCAAAAGCAGTCCAAGCAATTTTAAGAAGGAAGAACACAGAGGATTCACACTACTAACACTATCCAATCTCATGACTTACTAAAATCAGGAGAGTAAAATATTGGTATAAAAATAGATAGATTAATGGAACAGAACAGAGTACAAAAACATATCCTTATGTATGGACTCAACTGATTTTTGACAAAGGCACCAAAGCTATTCAATAAAGAGGGGAACATCATTTCAACAAATAAAGCTGAAACAAGATAAACACGTAAAAACGCAAACCTGAATGACTACCTCGAACCGTACATAGAAATTAATTTGAGGCCAGGCATGGTGACTCAAGCCTGTAATCCCAGCAACTTTGGGAGGCTGAAGCGGGCAGGTCACCTGAGGTCAGGAGTTCAAGACCAGGCTGGCAAACATGGTAAAACCCCATCTCTACTAAAAATAGAAAAATAGGCATGGTGGCAAGTGCTTATAATCCCAGCTACTCAGGAGGCTGAGGTAGGAGAATTGCTTGAACCTGGGAGGTGGAGATTGCAGTGAGCCAAGATTGTGCCACTGCACTCCAGCCTGGGTGACAAAGCTAGACTCCCTCTCAAAAATAAAAATTAATTTGACATAAATCGCACACCTAAGAGCCAAAAATATAAAGCCAAAAAATATTTTTGTGCACTATTAATAGATAGGCAAAAGTTCCTAAAAACATATTGTTTTAATGTGGATAAAACAGACTTCCTCAAAACAAAAAAACTTCTAATCAAAAGACACTTTAATAAAAATGCAAAGGCAGGCCAGGCCAGGCCAGGCATGGTGGCTCACCAGCACTTTGGGAGGCTGAGGTGGGATGATCACTTGAGCCTAGGAGTTTGAGACCACCCTAGGCAACATAGTGAGACGTCATCTCTACAAAAAACAGACATAATGGGCCAGGAGTGGTGGCACGTGTCTGTAGTCCCAGCTACTCAAGAGACTGAGGTGGGAGGATCACTTTGAGCCCAGGAAGTTGAGGCTGCGGTGAGTTGTGACTGTGCTACCGCACTCTAGCGTGGGTGACAGAGGAAGACCCTGTCTCAAAAAAAAGAAAAGAAATAAAAGGCAGGCCACAGACTGGGAGAAAATATTTGCAAAACACATACTCGGGATACAGTATGTATCCAGAGTGTGTATATGTGTGTGTATACATATATTTCAATTCTTTTTTTTCCCCCCGAGACGGAGTCTAGCTCTGTTGCCCAGGTTGGAGAGCAGTGGCACGATCTCAGCTCACTGCAACCTCCACCTCCCAGGTTCAAGCAATTCTTGTGCCTCAGCCTTCTGAGTAGCTGGAATTACAGGTACCCTCCACCACACCCAGCTAATTTTTCTGTATTTTTAGTAGAGATGGGGTTTCACCATGTTGACCAGGCTAATCTCAAACTCCTAAACCAAAGTGATCCACCTGCCTCAGCCTCCCAAAGTGCTGGGATTACATGCGTGAGCCACCAAGCCCACCTATATATTTCAATTCTATAAACCTAAAACAAAAAGACAAACCAATCTTTTTAAATGGGAAGAGCTGCCCTTCTCTTCCCCCAAACTAGTCTTCCCTTCCATTACATGGTACACAGCAAGGTAGGCATCCATACAAAAGTGGAGGCCTGAGGCTAGGTAGACAAGAGTAGAGAGTCAGAGCCTGAGTGGAGCACAGAAGGTATCTGTGTGTATCTGAGTGTGGTATGACGTGAGAGTTGGAGATCAAGATGAGTGAAATGCCCAAACAGGGAATGACAAAGGACAGAGTATTGAAGCCCACGCGGGTTGAGAAGGGCATGTATATGGGAGAACACCCTGATGTGACTGGTCAGAGCTTGAGTGAACTCATCCATGGGATGAGAGTGGAGCCAACCCAACACAGGGTGTTGGAGTCCAAGCAAAGTAAAGAGGACATCTGCATGAAGAAAGGGCTGCAACAGTGAAGAGTGGGTGATTAAATAATTAGGTAAATATATTAGGGAATAGATTTGAGACAGGGTCTCACTCAGTAGCTCTGGCTGGAGTGCAGTGGTGCAATCTCGGCTCGCTGTAGCCTTGACCTCCTGGGCTCAAGTGATCCTCCCACCTCAGCCTCCTGAGTAGCTGGGACTACAGGCATGTGCCACCACACCTGGCTAACTTTTTTTTTTTTCCCCATATAGATGGGGTTTTGACATGTTGCCCAGGCTGATCTAGAACGCCTGTGTTCAAGCAATCCACCCGCCTCAGCCTCCCAAAGTGCTGGGATTACAGGTGTAAGCCACTGCGCCCAGCCCAGATTTATTATTGTTGGAAAAAGGACTTATACATATGGAAAGGGAAAAAACTAGAATGACTGGATTAGAACTTGTATTATTGGGGTAAGCTCATAGTTTTCAACATATTTAGATAAAGACAGATATAAATATAGATTGAGTGAACATATGTGTATGTATGTAAATATACCCATATATTCCTTAGCCCCTTCCCACTGAAAGGAACTGGGATCACCAACACTCCAACAGCAGCAAACATTTAGAAACTAGATCTTGGCTTCTAACTATGACTGTATATATTACTATTAATTTTTTTTTGAGACATTGCACTCCAAGCCTGGGCAAGAGGAGCAAAACCCCATCTCAAAAAAAAAGGGGTGGGGGTAAAAAGGAGCTTTATAGTGATGAAGGATGGCAGATGCTACCTTAACCAAGTGATCAAAGAGATAATCAATAATAGGAAAAAACTGAAATAAAGAGCTACCTGACAGGACACACTAAGAACCTAGCATCACTTCTCTGCTATACCTGACAAAGATGCAAAACCTGAATCCAATTATGAGAAAATTCAAACTAAAAAAGATTCCACAAAATAACTGGTCTGTAGTCTTCAAAGGAGTCAAGGTCACGAAAATCAAAGAAAGATTAAAGAACTGTTCTAGAATGAAGGAGACCAAAGACATATGACAACTCCATGCAACACATAATTCTGACCTAGATACTTTGGACAAAAAGGACATTACATGGACAATTAGCTAAACTTTAATGAAATCTGAAGATTAGATGGTAATAATGACTCAGTGTAATTTTCTGAATTTTATGAATGTATTGTGGACAGGTAGCAAGGAGAATGTCATTAACTTTAAGGCAAATATACTAAAACATTAATACTAAAGTATTAAGGGTAGGGCCAGGTGCGGTGGTGCATGCCTATAATCCCAACACTTTGGGAGGCTGAGGCAAGAGGATCGCTTGAGCCCAGAAGTTCAAAAAATTAAAATTAAAAAAATTAGCCAGGCATGGTGGCACACACTTGTCCCAGCTACTCAGGAGGCTGAGGCAGGAGGATCGTTTATGCCCTGGAGTGAGCTATGATAGTACCACTGCACTCCAGTCTGTACAACAGAGTGACAGACCCTGTCTCAAAAAATAAATAAAAATAGTAAGGAACAACAGGGCTCTAAAATGGGTCAGGAAAAAATAAAGTTCTTTGTACTGTACTTAGAACTTTATGAAAGCTTAAAATTGCTACAAAATAAAAACTTTTTTTAAATGGGCAAAACTAATAGAAAATTCACGCAGGAAGATGATAAAATGGTCAGTAAGCATATGAAAAGGAATTCATCATCAAGGAAATGCAAACTAAAACAATAAGATGTGAAAAGAAAGCATAATTATTTATATCAATGCAGAAACTTTGACAAAATTCAACAAATACATTCATGATAAAAACTCTCAGTAAACTAGGAATAGAAGAAAACGTCCTCAACTTGATAAAGACCATCTATAAAATGTCTATAACTAACATCATACTAGTGGTGAAAGACTAAAGGCTTTCTATCTGAAAGCGGGAATAAGGCAAGAATGTCCACACTAAGCACTCATATTCGACACAGCAAACAAGTCCCAGCTAGTCAATCAAGCAAGAAAAGGAAATAAAAGGTACACATATCAGAAAGGAATATATTAAACCGGCCCTATTAACAGATGATATGATGGTCTAACAGAGAAAATCCCAAAGATTCTAGGAGAAAAACTTGTAGAACTAATAAGTGAGTTTATAAAGGTCACAGAATACAGATCAACACACTAACATCAATAATGTCTATATATTAGCAATCAGCAATTAGAAACAAAAATTAAAAGCACAATTTCATTTATAATAGTTTACCAAAAAAAACTAGGTATATATCTAACAAAACTGTACAAAATATGCATGCTAAAACCTATGAAATGCTGATAAAAATACCAAAGATGACCTAAATACATTGTTAAGTAAAGGAAGAGGCACAGAAAGATAAATATCACATGTTGTCACTCCTATGTGGGAGCTAAAAGAGTTGATCTCGTGGAGGCAGAGAGTAAAATGATCGTTACCAGAGCTGGGAAGGGGGCAGGGAGATAAAGAGGGGTTGGTCAATGGGTACAAACATACAGTTAGATAGAAGAAATTAGTTCCAGGGTTCAACAGCACAGTATGGTGACTGTAGTTAACTATAATTTGTTTATATTTCAAAATACCTAGAAGGGAAGAGTTGAAAAATTCCCAACATAAAGAAATGATAAATATTTGAGGTGATGGATAGCCTAAATACCTTGCTTTGATCATTATACACTGCATACCTGTATCAAAATATCACATGCACCCCATAAATATGTACAATTATTATGTACCTTTAAAAAAAAAAGACAACCTAAATAAATGTAAAAAAACATACTATATCCATGAACTGGAAGACAACATGGCCAAGATGTCACTTCTCCCCAAACTAACCAATGGGTTTAATGCATTTACTATTGAAACTCCACCAAAACTTTATTGTAGATAATATGATTCTAAAATTCATACACAGCTGACTGTGGTGGCTCATGCCTTTAATCCCAGCACTTTGGGAGGCTGAGGCAGGAAGATCACTTGAGCCCAGGTGTTTGAGACCAACATGGGCAACAGGGTGACACCCCAGCACTACAAAAAAAGTAAAAATTAGCTGGGAGTGGTGGTGTACATCTGTAGTCCCAGCTACCCGGAAGGCTGAGGCAGGAGGATCCCTTGAGCCCAGGAATTCCAGGCAGCAGTGAACTATGATCATACCACCACACCCCAGCCCGGGCAAAACACTGAGGCTGTCTCAAGAAAATAAATAATAAATAAATAAAATTTCCATGTAAAGACAAAGAAACCAGAATAGCTGAAACAACTCTGAAAAAGAAAAACGAAGGTGGAGGAATAACACTACCTGATTTTAGGACTTACTATACAGCTACATTACAGTAATCAAGACAGTACGGTATTGACAGAGGAACAGATGCGTAGGTCAATGAGCCAGAACAGTGTGCGTAGGAATAGAACTTTTCACAAAATATGGCCAACTGACTTTTGCTAGAGGTGAGAAAGCAATTCAATAAATAAAGAATAATCATTTTAAGCAAATGGTTTTGGAATAATTGGTCCCCCAAAAAGGAAAATGAACATTGATGTAACCTTATGCTTAATTTAAAAATTAATTCAAATGCAATCACAGACTTAAATGTAAAGCATACAACTTTTAGAAAAAAAGAGAAAATTTTGTTAGCCAAAGAGTGCTTAGATATGACACCAAAAAAAACTATAAAATTTAAAAATAGATAAATTAGACTTCATAAGAATTCAAACCTTTTGCTCTATGAAGCACACTCTTAGGCAAATTAAAAGATTAGGAGAAAATATTTGCAAATCACGTATCCAACAAATAACTTGTGTCTAGAACACTCAACAGTAAGAAAAAATCCAATTTGAAAATAGAAAAGTCTTGAACATAAACTACACCAAAGAGAATATTCAAATGGAACCTAAGGAGATGAAAAGATATTCAACATCATTAGCCACTACGGAAATGCAAATTTAAGGCATGAGATACTACTATGCATCTATTACAATGAACAGAAGGAAAAATACTGACAATACTAAAGTGCTAATAAAAAAGCAGAACAATTGGATTTCTTATACATTGTTAGTGGGAATGAAAAACTACCACCACTCTGGAAAACAGTGTAGTCGTTTCTTACAGAGTTAAATATACATGTATCATACGACCCAGCAATTCTACTCATAGGTAGGTATTCATCCTAGAGAAATAAAAATATTTTCACACTAAAATCTGCATGCAAATGTTCACAGCAGCTTTATTTGTAATAGCCCCAAACTGGGAACAACTCAAATGTTCTTCAGTGGGGCCAGGCACAGTGGCACATGCCTCTAATCCCAGCACTTTGGGAGGCTGAGGCAGGAGGATAGATTGAGCCTAGGAGTTGGAGACCAACCACAAAGCAAGACTCCATCTCTGTTTGTAATTTAGGGGGGAGAAATGCTCTCAATGGAAGAATGGGTAAACTGTAGTGTGCCCAAGAATAGAATACTACTCACCAATAAAAAGAAACAGTGTTAATACATAGGACTTGGATCGATTTCAAAGGCATTTTGCCGAGTTAAAAAAGAAAAGCCAATCTCAAAGGTAACATATTATATGATTCTATTTACAGTAGTCACCACTTACCCTTGCTTTCAGCTACGCATGGTCAACTGCAGCCTGAAAATATTACAGTATTTTGAGAGAGAAACAACATTCACATAACTTTTATTATAGTATATTGTTATAATTTTTTATTATTGTTAATCTCTTACTGTGCCTAATTTATAAATTAAATTTCATCATAGGCGTATATGTATAGTAGGCCAGGTGCAGTGGCTCACGCCTGTAATCCCAGCACTTTGGGAGGCTAAGGTGGGTGGATCACTTGAGGTCAGGAGTTCGAGACCAGCCTGGCCAACATGGTGAAACCCCACCTCAACTAAAAATACAAAAAATTAGCCTGCGTGGTAACACGAACCTGTAATCCCAGTTACCCAGGAGGCTGAGGCAGAAGAATCGCTTGAACCTGTGAGGTGCAGATTGCAGTGAGCCAAGATCACACCACTGCACCCTAGTCTGGGTGACGAGAGTGAGACTCCGTCTCAAAAAAAAAAAGGGGGGGGGGGAAAAAACACACACACACACACACACACATATATGGTTCAGTACTATAGCTGGTTTCAGGCATCCACTGGGGGTCTTAGAACATATCACCACAGATAACGGGGACTACTGTATTATGACATTCTGAGAAAGATAAAATTATAGCGAAAGTGATAAAATTCAGACAACTGGTAGCTGCCAGGATTAAAGTTGGTTGGTTGATTGGTGGTGGAGGCTGGAAGGAGGACATGATGACTACACAGGAGTAGTACAAAGGCATTTCATTAAAATGATGGAATACTTCTATAACCTGACTAGTGATAATTACACGAAATCTATACACGTGATAAAACTTCATAGAACTGTATATTAACCATGCCAGCTCAAAATAGTTCATGTGAAAATATGAAATAAGGCATGAGGTTTAGTTAACACTATTATACCAATGTCAATTTCCTAGTTTTAATAACTATACTATGGTTATGTAAAATGTTATCATGGGGGAAGTGGGTGAAAGACACCTCAGAACTCTGTATTATTTCTGCAGCTTTTAGTAAACCTAAAATTATTTCTAAAAGAAAAGTTGAAAAAAACTTTTCAAGCACAACAGGGACCAGATTTACCCTCTCACCTTAAACCACTAAAATAACTAACAAAACATGAAACTATAGCTTTCAAGATGCTGCGCAGCAGGCAATGAGAGACAGTAATCCCCAAAGGAAGAGAAACAAAGATATGAGTCCTATGATGGCCAAACTTAGTGCCTGAAGAGAGTTTCCTGGGCACCATGCAGAAGCAGAAGCCCTATGGAGGCTGCAGAACTCAAAATTGAAGACAGCGAGCTCAGCTCAGAGTGCAGGACTTAGGCAGCTAGAATTCATGGGACAATACCACACAGTAGAGGGCTGAGGAGATCTAGAGAGGTACTCACTGAGTACTGAGTGGCCCATAGTGTGATGAAACTACCCAAGACCATGGGCAGCAAGGAGAGGAAAACAACACCCAAAAGAATTATGAACAGTACTCTGCCCTTACCCACTCAAGTAGCTATTAGACTGGAAATCTCAAGACAACCCTCAAGATTTGGGAAGAATCTTGTCTCAGAAGTGAGGAAGAATTAGCCATAAACCAACTACTACACCGTTCCCAGCTAACAAATCTTACAAACAAGACCTAAAGGAATCAACGGTTTTCAAGTGACTTAACTGCATCCAATAACAAAGTTAAAGAACATATGTAGAAATACAAATATCCCCAGCACCCAACGAGGTAAAACTCTCTATGTCTGAAATCCAATCAAAGATCACCAGGCAAGAGGCAAGGAAAAAAAAGTATACTAAAGAGAATAGTCAATTGCAACCAACCCTGAAATGACACAGATGTTAGAATGAGTACACAAGGACATTATAAGAGTTATATCTGCATTTCATATATTCAAAAACTTAAGTAGAGACAGGAAAGATTTTTTTTTAAACCAAATCAAAATTCTAACGATAAAAAAAGGTAAAATATGGCCGGGCATGGTGGCTCACACCTGTAATCCCATCAATTTGGGAGGCTGAGGCAAGCAGATCACTTGAGGTCAGGAGTTCAAGACCAGCCTGGCCAACATGGCGAAACCCCGTCTCTACTACAAATACAAAAATGAGCCAGGCGTAGTGGCGGGTGCCTGTAGTCCCAGCTACTCGGGAGGCTGAGGTGGGAGGATCGCTTGAAACCAGGAGGCGGAGGTTGTAGTGAGCTGAAATTGTGCCACTGCACCCCAGCCCAGGCAACAGAGTGAGACTCAGTCTTTAAAAAAAAAAAAAAAAAAAAAAAAAAAAAAAGAGTAAAATATGTGAGATTTTTAAAAATGCTAAATGTGACTAACTTCAGATTACACACTGCAAAAGAAAGTAAATTCAAAGGCACAGAAATAGAATCTTTCAAATAAAACACAGGTTAAAACAAAAACTATCAGTAAGCTATGGGGCAACTTCAAGCAGCCTAATGTTTGGATAAAGAGTACCTGACTAAAAAGAAAAGAGAAATTAAATGGAAAATAATTTGAAAAAAATGGCCAAAAAAAAAAAAAATCCGAAACCTGAAGAAAGCTATAAACCGACATATCCAAGAACATCAATGAACCACAAGCACAATAAACACAAGAAAAACCATACTGGCATATCATAATCTAATGCTCAAAACCAGTAATAAAGAGAAAATAATAAAAGCAGCAAGGAAAAAAAAAGCATGCAAAATACAGAACAAAGATAGCAGATTTCTTGTTAGAAACAAGGTGAGTGACAAGACAGTGGTATATCATCTTTAAAGTATTGAAAGAAAAAAAAACCTGTCAACTACGTATTCTTTTTTTTTTCTTTGAAACGAGTCTTGCTCTTGTCGCCCAGGCTAGAGTGCAGTGGCATGATCTTGGCTAACTGCAAACTCCGCTTCCCGGGTTCAAGCAATCCTCCTGCCTCAGCCTTCCAAGTAGCTGGGATTACAAGGTACCCGCCACCATGCCTGACTAATTTTTGTATTTTTAGTAAAGATGGGGTTTCACTGTGTTGGCCAGGCTGGGCCAACTCGGCCTCCCAAAGTGCTGGGATTATAGGCATGAGCCACCACCCCTGGCCCAACCTTATTCTTAATCCAGCAAAAGTATCTTACTAAAACAAAACCAGGCCGGGCGCGGTGGCTCACGCCTGTAATCCCAGCACTTTGGGAGGCCGAGGCGGGCGGATCACGAGGTCAGGAGATCGAGACCATCCCAGCTAAAACGGTGAAACCCCGTCTCTACTAAAAATACAAAAAATGAGCCGGGCGTAGTGGCGGGCGCCTGTAGTCCCAGCTACTTGGGAGGCTGAGGCAGGAGAATGGCGTGAACCCGGCAGGTGGAGCTTGCAGTGAGCCGAGATCCCGCCACTGCACTCCAGCCTGGGCGACAGAGCAAGACTCCGTCTCAAAAAAAAAAAACAAAAAAAAAAACAAACAAAAAAAACAAAACCAGCCACAAAAGGCTACATACGCTATGATTCCATTTGTATAAAATATCCAGAACAGGTAAATCCACAGAAACAGAGCAGACTGGTGTTTGCCAGAAGCGAGTGAAGGGAAAAGGACAGAGAGAAAAATGCTTAATAAATACGGGGTTTTCTTTCAAAGAAAAAAAAATGTTTTGGAACCAGATAAAGATGGTTACCCAACACTGTGAATGTACTAAATGCCACTTAACTGTGCACTTTAAAATGGTTAAGGCTGAGAATCGCTTGAACCCAGGAGGCAGATGTTGCAGTGAGCCGAGATCGCGTCACTGCACTCCAGCCTGGGCTACAGAGTGAGACTCCATCTCAGAAAATATATATAAAATTAAAAAAATAAAATGGTTAATTTTGTTATGTGAATTTCATCTCAATTTTTAAAAGAGAAACAACCTATTGATTCATTTAACAACATGAATGAATTTTAAATGTATTTTTCTAAGGAAAGAAACCACACCCAAAAGGATACATAACAATAACTTTATAACAGTGTTTTAACTAGATACTATAAGGCTACAAACGAACCGATCTATACGTAAATACCCTACTACAATTGGTAAATTTGTTTCACATCTAAGGAAACATGACAACTAAATGCAATGTGGTATTCTGACCGTGTACTGTAACAGAAAGATAACAGTGGAAAAACTGATGAAATGCAAAGACATTACAGGCGTGAGCCAAGGCACTTGGCCTATAACTTTTAAACTTATGTCCCAGAGCAAGTTTGTCCAACCTGCGGCCAGCAGGTCGCACACAGCCCAGGACAGCTTTCAATGCGGCCCAACGCAAACTTTGTAAACTTTCGATGCTGCCCAATACTAATTCATAAACTTTTCTTAAAACACAATTGGCTTGGCATGGTGGCTCACGCCTGCAATTCCAGCAGCATTTGGGAGGCCCAGGTGGGTGCATCACTTGAGGTCAGGAGTTCACCAGCCTGGCCAATATGGTGAAACCTGCCTCTACTAAAAATACAAAAAACTAGCTGGGAGTGGTGGCACACACCTGTAATCCCAGCTACTCGGGAGGGTGAGGCAGGAGAACTGCTTGAACCCGGGAGGCAGTGGCTGCAGCGAGCCGAGATCATGCCACTGCACTCCAGCCTGGGTGACAAAGTGAGACTCCATCTCAAAAAAAAAAAAAAAAAAGGCCAGGAGTGGTGGCTCACACCTGTAATCCCAACACCTTAGGAGGCCAAGGCAGGTGAATTACAAGGTCAAGAGTTCGAGACCAGACTGGCCAACATGATGAAACCCCATCTCTACCAAAAAAAAAAAAAAAAAAAAAAAAAAAAAAAGCCAGGCATGGTCGCTCACCCCACAAAAAAAAAAAAAAAAAGGCCAGGCATGGGGGCTTACCCCTTTAATCCCAGCTACTCGGGAGGCTGAGGCAGGAGAACTGCTTGAACCTGGTAGGCGGAGGTTGCAGTGAGCCGAGATCACACTACTGCACTCCAGCCTGAGCAACAGAGCATGACTTCATCTCGGGAAAAAGAAAAATACAGGGAAAAAAAAAAAAAGCCACAGTGAGTTTTTTTTGTTTGTTTTTTTTTTTTGCAATGTTTAATTTTTAGCTATTCAGCTATCATTAGTGTATTTTATGTGTGGCCCAAGACAATTCTTCTTCTAATGTGGCCCAGGGAAGCCAAAAGATTGGATACCACTGTTCAGAGTTATTTCAAAATGAACACATAAAAAATGCTAACTTAGTAAGCAGTATGTGACCTCATGTATAAACAAATATGTATACTGAGAGAGAATGAGAGTTTGAGCTCAAAAAAATTTTTTATATTACTATTAGGGGAATAATTTTTTAAGTGAATCCTACTGCTGTAGGCACTGAAAAGCAATACAGTGACAATATCAGAATTGTGCTTTAGAATTATTCTGACAGTAGTCTGTACACTGCATTAGAGACAGAAAAAGTCTGGGAACCAGAGTGCCAATTAAGAAGCTAATGCAACAGTTAGGGAAGAGGTAATTACTCCCTAACTAAGAATGTTACGAATATAAGGAAAAAGATTGTTACAGATTAAATAAGAATAAATAAAGAGGGAAATAAGAAAACATGTATATCTGTATACCCTTACAAAAATAAACACAGAAAGGATACGCCCCACCTAACAAAGCTAAAAAGCAAGCCTCAAAAGAATTAGTTTCCAGCTAACTCATCTGCACTCCAGAACAAATCTCAAAAATACCAACATGAATACAAAAATATCCACAACCCAAAGTGAAATTCACAATGTCTTTCATCTAAACAGAATTTATTAGGATTGCAAAGAACTGGGAAATCTGACCCATAATGACAAGAAAAATAGAATACATAAAAACAGACCCAAAGATGATATAGAGACAGAATCAGAAGAGATTATGAAAAGTTATTATATTTCACATGTTCAACATTGAGCACGTTAAGCAGAGAAATATAAGATGTTTTTTAAGAAACAAACCAGGTGTGGTCGCTCATTCCTGTAATCCCAGCACTCTAGGAGGCTGAGGCAGGTGGATCACCTGAAGTCAGGGGTTTGAGACCAGCCTGGCAAACATGGTGAAGCTCTGTCTCTACTAAAAATACAAAAACTAGCCAGACATGGTGATGCATGCCTGTAATCACAGCTACTTGGGAGGCTGAGGCAGGATAATCGCTTGAACCTGGGAAGCGGAGGTTGCAGCGAGCCAAGATCATGCCACTGCACTTCAGCCTGGGTGACAGAATGAGACTCCGTCTCAAAAAAAAGAAAAAAACTGAATTTTTAAGGATAAAAGGTATAATTCTGGATAAGAGTAACAGATTTAACATGGGAAAGATAAAGACTAGTGAAATGAAGATCAGTAGAAACTACCCAAAACAAAGAGAATCAAATGACTAAAAAACATAACAGTGCATCAGTGAGTTGTATGACTACTTCAAGCAGCCAAATATACATGTAATTACAGACTCCAGATGCGGTGGGGAAGTACAAAAGAAAAATATTTCAAGAAATAGTAGCTGAATACGTAAATTTCATCCATGAAGCTCAAGAGAATTCAAACACAAGAAATATGACGCAAACTACAACAAAGTATATAATAAACACATTGCTGAAAAAGCAGTGATAAAAAGAAAATCTTAAAAATTAACCAAAAAAGGCAAAAAAGATAAATTTGCTCGCTGAAGAACAAAGATTAAAATAACAACAGATTTTACAGGAGAAATAATGCAAGCTAGAGACAGTGGAGCAACATCTTTAAAGTACACAATGAAAAAAACCTGTCAACCTAGAATTCTGTATCAAAGGAATATATCTTTCTAAAAACAAGAGGAAGTACTTTTTCAAACACACCAAAGCTTAAAGATATCACCAGCAGACCTACACTACAAGAAACACATTAAAGGAAGTCCTCTGGCAGAAAGAAAATCTGAACTGACGAGAAAAAACTGAAGAAAATCTGGCAGATGAGAATCTGGAACCGCTCATAGGCAATAAAGAACACCAGAAATGGAAAACATATAAAGTAAAAGACATTTTTTCTTACTTTTAAAATCTTTTTAGGCCAGGCATGGTGGCTCATGCCTGTAATCCCAGCACTTTGGGAGGCCAAGACAGGCGGATCACTGGAGCTCAGGAGTTCGAGACCTGCTGGGCCAACGTGGCAAAACCCCATCTCTACTAATAATACAAAAATCAGCCAGGCATGATGGGGCGCACCTGTAATCCCAGCTACTCAGGAGGCTGAGGCATAAGAATCACTTGAACCCAGGAGGCAGAGGCTGCAGTAAGCCAAGATTGCACCACTGCACTGTAGCCTGGGCAACCGAGTGAGACTCCGTCTCAAAAAAAAAAAAATTGTTTTAAAAAAATTGACTACTTAAATGAAAAATAATAATGTATTGTGGAGTTTACAACATATGTAAAAGTGAAGTGTATGACAAACATAGCACAAAGTCTGAAGGGAAAATGAAGTGTACTGCTATAAGGTTCTTGTAATATAGGTGAAGTGGTATAATATTAAAGACTGAGTTTCACAAGCTGAACTCAATAAACACTAAAGCAGCCACTAAAATAACAAAGTACTAATGAGCCAAGAAAGGACTTAAAAATGAACCACTAAAAAATCCTCAATCCAGGCCAGGCATGGCGTAGCTCACTCCTGTAATGCCAGCACTTTGGGAGGCCAAGGGCAGGGATCACTTGAGGTCAGGAATTCGAGACCTGCTTGGCCAACATGGCAAAAGCCCATCTCTACTAAAAATACAAAAATTAGGCCAGGCACGGTGGCTCACGCCTGTAATCCCAGCACTTTGGGAGGCCAAGGCGGGCAGATCACAAGGTCAGGAATTTGAGACCAGCCTGGCCAATATAGTGAAACCCTGTCTCTACTAAAAATACAAAACATTAGCTGGGTGTGGTGATGGGCGCCTGTAATACCAGCTACTTGGGAGGCTGAGGCAGGAGTATCGCTTGAACCCAGGAGGCGGAGATTGCAGTGAGCCGAGATCGCGCCACTGCACTCCAGCCCAGGTGACAGTGCGAGACTCTGTCTCAAACCAAAAAAAAAAAAAAAAAAATAGCCAGGTGTGGTGGCACGCACCTGTAATCCCAGCTACTTGGGAGGCTGAGACAGGAAAACTGCTTGAACCCAGGAGGCAAAGGTTACAGTGAGTTGAGATTGCACCACTGCACTCCAGCCTAGACGACAGAGTGACAGTCCATCTTAAAAAAACAAAAACGAAAAAAACACCACATCAGACAAATAGAAAAGATGGTTGTTTAAACTCTATAAAAATCAGTAAACATCCAGCCGCAGTGGCTCACACCTGTAATCCCAGCACTTTGGGAGGCTGAGGTGGGCGGATCACAAAGTCAGCAGTTTGAGACCAGCCTGGCCAATATGGTGAAACCCCATCTCTACTAAAAATACAAAAATTAGCCGGGTGTGGTGTCAGGTGCCTGCAGTCCCAGCTACTTGGGAGGCTGAGGCAAGAGAATGACTTGAACCCGGGAAACGGAGGTTGGAGTGAGCTGAGATCGTGCCACTGCACTGCAGCCTGGGCGACAGGGCGAGACTCCATCTCAAAAAAAAATCAGTAATCACATTAAACATAAATAGTCTACAAACTCCAATTAAAAGGCAAACACTATCAAACTGGATAAAAGCAAGATCCCAAACACATGATGCCTGGGAAAAAAAACCACTTTAAACATAAAGACACAGGTGATAAGTTTTTTTAAAATATAAAAATATATGCCAAACACTAATCAAATGAAAAGCACGAGTAGCTATATTATGAGACAAAGTAAGTTCTGTCATTTCAAAATGACAGAGACCAATTCATCAAGATGACGACAATCATAAATGCTTATGTACCTTATAAGTAAATTTCAAACCAAAAACAAACAGAATTGAGATTTTAACACCTCTCTCTATAATTGATAGAACAGAAAATCGGTAAGAATACAGAAGACTTAAACATTATCAATCAACAAGCAAAACAGAATTGAGATTTTAACACCCTCTGTCTATAACTGATAGAATAGGAAATCGGTAAGAATACAGAAGACTTGAACATTATCAATCAACAAGCCAATCAACATTAATAGAATGCTCTACCTAACAACAGTAGAATACACATTCTTTTCAAGTGCCCGTGGAACCTTTATCAAGACACCTTATTCTGATCCATAAAACAAGTCTCAATCAATTTAAAAGGATTCAAATCATATAAGGTATGTTCTCTTACCACAATGGAATTAAATCAAAAATCAGTAACAGTAAGATCTCTGGATTTTTATTCCCAAAATATAATATCACACTTCTAAATAATCAGTAAGTTAAAGAATAAATCAAAAGAAAAATTAGATATTTTAAGCTGAATGAAAATTAAAACATAGCATATCAAAATGTGTGTGTGCATTAAATGTCTATCTTAGAAAAGAGGAAAGATTTCAGGGCTGGGAGCAGTGGCTACCCGCCTCAGCCTCCCAGCACAGGCGTGATCTGCCCGCCTCGGCCTTCCAACACTTTGGGAGGCCGAGGCGGGCAGATCACGAGGTCAAGAGTTCAAGATCAGCCTGGCCAACATAGTGAAACCCCATCTCTACTAAAAATACAGAATTAGCTGGGCATGGTGGCAGGCACCTGTAATCTCAGCTACTCGGGAGACTGAGGCAGGAGAATTGCTTGAACCCAGGAGGCAGAGGCTGCGGTGAGCCAAGATTGCGCCACTGCACTCCAGAGTGGGCAACAAGAGCAAATCTCCATCTCGGAAAAAAAAAAAAAAAATCAGCTAGGCTTGGTGGCACACGCCTGTAATCCCAGCTTCTCGGGAGACTGCAGTGAGATGACTGCTTGAGCCCAGAAGTTAGAGGCTTCAGTGAGCCATGATCATGCCACTAGCACCCCAGCCTGGGTGGCACAGCAAGACCTTGGCTCTAAAAATAAATAAATAACAAATAGCTAGATGGTGGACTTAACCCAACCATATCAATAATTAAATACACATGGTCCAAGCATCCCAAGTAAAAGACACATTAGGAAAAACTAGACACACATTAGGTCCAAGCATCCCAAGTAAAAGAATTAGGGAAAAAAAAAAAATCAAGGTCCAACTACAAATATAATGAAACAGACAGTATAACACAAAAGGATGGAAAAAATATACCATGCAAAAACTAAGCACTGAAAAGAACTGGAGTGACTATATCAATATCAAAGTAAATTTCAGAAAAAAGTATTGCCAGGAAGAGCAGAAATTTTACTAAAACACAAAAACCTTGGCTGGGCTTGGTGGCTCACACCTGCAATCCCAGCACTTTGGGAGGCCAAGGCAGGAGGACTGCTTGAGCTCAGAAGTTCAAGACCAGCCTGGGAAACATAGCCAGACCTTATCTCTACTAAAAATCAAAACTTAGCCAGGCATGGTGACACACACCTGTACTCTCAGCTACCTGGGAGGCTGAGGTGAGAGGATCGCTTGAGCCTGGAAGATCGAGGCTGCAGTGAGCTATAATATAATCTTGCCATTGCACTCCAGCCTGGGCAAGAGAGTAAAGCTCTGCCTCAAATACAACGAAAACAAAAACTTGAATTTAAGATGGTGAAGCCACTTTGGAAAACAGCTTAGCTATTTCTTTAAAAGTTAAACAGAAATTACCACCCAACCCAGCAATTACTCCAAGGTTTATCTACCCAAGAATAATGAAACTGTATGTCCACATAGAAACTTACACACAAATATTTATTCACAGCAGCATTACTCACAGCAGCCAAAAGGAGGAAGTAGTCCAAATGTCTATCAACTGAAGAATGAATACGCAAAATGTGGTACATCTATACAATGAGATACTATCCTGCAATATACAGAAATAAACTGCTAGCCAACTGTAATGGTTCACACCTGTAATCCCAGCACTTTGAGAGGCATAGGTGGGAGGATTCCTTGAGGCCAGGAGTTTGAAATCAGCCTGGGCAACAGAGTGAGATCCTGTCTCTACCAAGAAAAAAAAAAAATTAGCTGAACATGGTGGTGTGCGCCTGCAGTCCCAGCTACTCAGGAGGCTGAAGTGGGAGGATTGCTTGAGTTTAAGCCTGCAGTGAACTATGATCGTGCCGCTGCACTTCAGCCTGGGTGACAGAGCAAGACCTTGTCTCCAAAAAGAAAAAAAAGAAAAAAGAAATAAATTGCTAATACACATCACAAGACAAATAAATCTCAAATACTTCACACTAAGTAAAAGACGCCAGACTCAAAGTGTTATATAATGTAGGATTCAATTTATATGGCATTCTGGAAAAGACAGTACTGCAAGGACAGAGAACAAATCAGTGGTCACCAGGAGCTGGGGGTGAAAAAAGAAGCTGACTACAAAAGGATACAGGGAAAGTTTCTGGGATGATGAAACTGTTCTGGATCTTAATTATGGTGGTGGCAGGGCACACTGGCTCATTCCTGTAATCCTAGCACTTTGGGAGGCTGAGGCAGGAGGAGCACTTAAGGCCAGGAGTTTGAGGCTGCAGTGAGCTACGATCATGCCACTGCATTCCAGCCTGGGTGACAGTGAGACTGTCTCAAAAATATATTTTTTTAAATTAAAAAAGAATCATGGGTGGGGATTACATATCTGTATATAGATCTGTCAAAACTTACAAGACTATACACAAAAAAAGGTGAATTTCCTGTATTTTAAAATGGAAGTATGTTAGCACCAATAAAATATACAGCATACCCTGACTTATGATTTTTTGAGTTTACGATGGTATATGAAAGTGATATGCATTGAAGAGAAGCCATACTCTGACTACTCATACAACTATTGTTTTTCACTTTAGTATTCAATAAATTATATAAGATATTCAACACTTTATTACAAATAGGCTTTGTGTTTGATGATTTGCCCACTGTAAACTAATTTAAGTGTTCTAAGTGCATTTAAGGTAGGCTAAGTTAGGATTTACAGCAGGTTAGTCATATTAAATGCATTTTCAACTTAATATTTTCAACTTAAGGTGGGCTTACAGGGACACAAAAACATCATAAGTCAAGGACCATCTGTACTAGGATAATTGCATTCAAGCCATATATGGCATATATTTAAATAGCACTGTTAAAATACCAAATATAACTTTAAAACAAATTTGAACTAAAGAAATCAAACTCTCACAAAGCTGTATACTTGTACACTAAAAAGGGTGAATTTGGCTGGGCGTGGTGGCTCATACCTCTAATCCCAACACTTGGGGAGGCCAAGGTGGGTGGATCACCTGAGGTAAGGAGTTTGAGACCAGCCTGGCCAACATGGTGAAACCCTGTCTCTACAAAATTAGCCTGGCAGGCACCTGTAATCCCAACTACTTGTGAGGCTGAGGCAGGAGAATCGCTTGAACCCAGTAAGTAAAGGTTGCAGTGAGCCGAGATTGTGCCACTGCACTCCAGCCTGGACAACAGAGCGAGACTCTGTTTCAGAAAAAGAAAAAGGCGGGGCAGGGGGGCGGTGGTAAATTTTACTGTACGTAAATTATGCCATAAACTGAGAGGGAAAAAAAACAAAAACAAGATACTATTATACACTCACAATACTCAGTCCCATTCCCAGCAACATATACACCCCAGAGAAGTGAATGCACACATGCATCAGGAGACACATACACAAGCACTAAATGCAGCTGTTTGTTACAGCAAGAACCAGAAACAACCCAAATACATGCTAAGAACAGGTAAATCATATGGCACGTTGATAGCATAAGATGATACACAGCAGAAAATATGAAGTATTTCTATAAATGCACCAACATAGATCAAGCTCAGAAATGAGAGGCAAAAGCAGCAAATCAGAGAAAATACATCCACCAGTATGATTTCATTGACATAAAAATATATTTTAAAGCAGGAAAAATTATTATTTAGGACTTAAACTTCAGTAACACATGTGGGTTAAAAGCAAAAGAATCATTAATATGAAAAATCTGAATAGAGGTTTCTAAAGCAGTGAGGGAAAGGAAAATGCTCAGAGGCTCCAAAAGGGTGTATACTCTAGAGGGGTGGGGGAAAATAAATAAATAAAATAGAGTGTAAAAGATGTTTTGTTTGACGATGGTTGGATGTGGGGGCGTGCAATTTATTTTTAGCTATTATTCTTTAAAGGAACACAAACTCTGTATATACATATTTTAAAATAAATTATATATTTCATAACAAGGAAAGTAAAAACAATATATTCCCACAATAAAAACATACATGCCCAGGTCTTATAGGCATGATCTACCAAAAAGAATGAATAATCACTATCTTAAAGAGACTACTACTGAGAATCAAGAGAGGAAAAACAGCACAGCTTGTTTTGATAATAAAACTGGAAAAGGCCTGAAATTAGAATGTAACACTTGTAAATACAGATGCAAAAATTCTCAATAATTTATAACCTAAATCCAGCAATGTATATTTAAAAGGAAAATCATGTTGAAGTACCATTTATCCTAGGAATGCAAGGATGCTTGAGCACTGGAAAAAAAGAATCTATTAACATAACTCACTATATTACCAAATTAAAGGAAATAAAATACATCTCTTTACCCAAAGGAATAAAAAATTTGGCCAAGCATGGTGGCTGACGCCTGTAATCCCAACACTTTGGGAGGCTGAGGCGGGCAGATGACCTGAGGTCAGGAGTTCGAGACCAGCCTGGCCAACATGGTGAAACTCCATCTCTACTAAAAAATACAAAAATTAGCCAGGCATGGTGGTGCATGCCTGCAGCCCCAGCTACTCGGGAGGCTGAGGCAGGAGAATTGCTTAAGCCTGGAAGACAGAGGTTGCAGTGAGCCAAGATCAAGCCACCGCATTCCAGCTGGGGTGACAGAGCAAGACTCTGTCTCAAAATAAATAAATAAATAAATAAAATATATCTTCGGTGTTGAGGAAGGTGGCAAGAATGGAAGGAAGGAGACCAGTTAGGAAGCTACTAAAATAACCTAAGAGATGAAGGTGGCTTAAACCACTCTGGTGGCAGAGAGAGTGATAAAATGAGATATATTCTGAAGATAGAGCCAACAGGATTTATTCGTGATTACATGTGCCACAAGAGCAAAGGGACAGACTCCAAAATTGATGACTCCCAGGTTTCTGATTTAAGCAACTTAAAAAATGGAGTTCCCACTAATTTATACAGCCAACACAAGGGTGGAACAGGTTGGTTTTGCACATGTTAATTTTGAGATGCCATTAGATATCCGAATAGAGATACTGAGGAGGTAACTGAATATATGAGTCTGACGTTCAAAAGGAATATCCAGGATGGGGATATAACTTGGAAGTCATCAATGACAGAGAAACAAATGGAGAAGCAAAGAGAATAGTTAGCAAAGCAAAGGAAGATGAGATCTAAGCGTTGCAGAGGGAGATGCTGAAAAGAACCAAGCAGATTCATCCCCTGAACTGCAGACAGGCTAAGAGCTTAAACCAGACAAGGATGGAGTATGGAGTGGAAAACATGGGGATTATTTAAAGTGTGCATCAGGAGATAGACATCTCTACTTCAGAACCATGCATCGAAGTAAAAACCACTTCCCCACTTCTGTAAGAGACAAGTGAAGTCACAAAACCACAATGCACTGAATTCGCCAGTAGTATTTAAGAGCCTGACTCTCAAGCATCACACCTCAATCAAGGATCAGCAGGCATCTGAGTAAGGCTATGATGTGAAAGAAACAGGGCATGACAAATAGAAAAGCCTGGGCTGGATATTATATACATAATATTAAATTTTTTATGTATTTTATTTATATTTTGAGACAGGGTCTTGCTCTGTCTCAGTCTCGGCTCACTGAAACCTGTCTCCCAGTTCCAGTGATTCTCGTACCTCAGCCTCCTGAGTAACTGGGATTATGGGGGTGCACAACCATGCCCAGTTAATTTTTGTTTTTTTGTTTTTTTAGTAGAAGGGGTTTCACCATGTTGGCCAGGCTGGTTTTGAACTCCTGACCTCAAGTGTTCCTCCCACCTCAGCCTCACAAAGTGCATGAGCCACTGCACCTGGCTTAAATTTTTCATTTGCATTATGAAATGTTTCTAACATAAAGTTAAATACTGACAGTATCAGAACAAACAGCTAGTTACGCACCAGCTGGAAAAACTGTAAAATCATTTCCCAGACCTGAGACACATGAGTTGCTAGACCTAATAGCACAAAGGGCGAGAAAAGACCCACATCAAGGTACATAATCGTGGAAAAAAAGATCCTAAAAACTTTCGGGGAGAGGTAGCAAAAAAAAAAAAAAAAGAGAGAGAGAGGTCATACACAAAAGATCAGGAATCAATATGGCATTTGATTTCGATTTCAGAAGTAACAATGGGCCGGGCACGGTGGCTCTCATCTGTAATCCCAGCACTTTGGGAGGCCAAGGCTGGCAGATCACTTGAGGCCAGGAGCTTGAGACCAGCCTGGTCAACATGGCGAAACCCCATCTCTAATAATTATACAAAAAACAGCTGGGCATGGTGGCACACACCTGTAATCCCAGCTATTCCAGTGGCTAAGGCATGAGAATTACTTAAACTCGGGAGGTGGAGGTTGCAGTGAGCCGGGATCATGCCACTGCACTCCAGCCTGGGCAACAGAACAAGACTCTGTCTCAAAAAAAAAAGTAACCCCAAATATGACTGTTTTCTTTTGAGAAAAAAAAAAACTTACACTTTGGAGGTTTTCAAACATTCCATTCCATGAGAAAAAGATCTTGCTAATAAACATTCCATACTACACATCTCCTTGTTGACACTAAAAATTACTATTGTAAACCAATTCAACTGTTGGCACTGAGAACTGCTGCCACAGCACCTCTTCTATGTGTTTTTCCACTGCCTTTATTCAACAAACATTTATTGAATACCTACCATAAGAGCTCCTAGGGATATAAACAAGAACAAAATAATACAGATTCTCTGCCCCTAAGGCCCAGTCAGGAGAGACACATCAAACAATCACCCAAATAATTATAAACTTGTGATAACAAGTAAGGTTTGGACACAGGAAAATCCAATTTAGAGATAAATGAAGGATCCTCTTAAGAACTGAGGTAAGTTGTCAGCTCTTGAAACCTGTGGCCAGGAAAAAGTGGAGGAGAAAGAGTTCAAAATGGGAAATCCTGAAACTGGAAAAAGCTTAAGGAATTCAAATTACTGAAAGAAGGGCAGTGTGGCCAAACAAGGTTTGGATTTTTCTGCAACTGCCATGGGAAACCATGGATAAGTATCAAACATAGATCTGTTATAATCAAATTATGTTTTGAAAAAAATCCCTCTGGCCACTGGATTAAAAGGAGCAAAGCACTGGATCGTAAGGGGGCGAAGTGAAAGTAAGTAGACCAGGCAGAAGCTATTTCAGTATCCAGCATAACGGGATAATTTAGGATAGGGTGGTGGCAATGGAAATGAAGACTAAAAAAAAAAAGTTGAAGTTTTAGAAGTAGAATTGTCAGGACAGATAACTTTCCAAAGAAAACCAGCTCAAAGAGTCATCTGTATTTCAAAAAAGAAGACTAAAACAAAATAATTAGCTAATGCATTTAAGAAGTATCATACAAGCAAAGCCCATTTAGCACCACTGCATCAAAAAAGACAGCATCATTCAGAAGAAATTATACATATTTTTGCTCCCTACTCCTCTCATGATGTACAAATTAATTAAGCTATTCCTCCAGATCCTTGAGCATGCTTCTCAAACATTTGAGAACTGACTCATTTAGCTGAAGCTTCAAAGTTCCTAACCTGTCCTCTCTGTATTAAAAACAAATCTCTGAACCAAAAGTGTTACTTTGTACAATTTACTTAAACTCTCACAGGCAATTTCCTCATTATTATAGGACTTGGAAACATATTTATGCTTCAAAAGGACCAATATAAGGAGTATAACGTCTGTCTGGAATACAGTTAGCACTCAAACATCAGGTTCCATTTTTTCTTCCAGATTTAGCTAAGCTAGAAGCAACTTTCTTAGACTAAACAAATTCTTCAACTAACTCTCCCCAAAAGCCTGATCTGAAGGATTGAGATCAAATGCAGTTTTCATACTGGCTGACCCAAAGAAAAGTTTTTTTTTTTTCAAATGCAGTCCCAAGGAAGCCTAGAGTATGTACAATCTTCTCATTTTCCCAGAACCCTCATGCTTTAAAATCAAACTTAATAGAAACATTTATAACCTTCTTGTTCCAAAAAAAAATACATCTTTAGCACCTCTGAAGTAAGCATCCTGCCCACTCTGCTAGGCTACCACAAAATCGTCCCAGTGCTGGTGCTTTTCAAACTACTGCTACTTGACCTTTACCACTTCATTTTCACAGGGCTCTGAACTTCAGGAGGTAGAAGGACAAAAGGCAGTTCATCCCTTGGGCATAAAACCAGACTCTGACCAGGGCCCTGAAAACAATCAAGTTCTCTCTTCTCCCAGAGCTAGCTAGGAATACTGACAACGGAATACCCCTTCTTTTGAAGACAGATCGAGATGTCCTTTGGGAATTAGTCAAAGAAGGAACCTTTTACCAAATGAGGGGTCAAAGCCTCCTTTAAAACCAGATTGCTGGCCGGGCACGGTGGCTCACACCTGTAATCCTAGCACTTTGGGAGGCCGAAGCAAGTGGATCACTTGAGGTTAGGAGTTTAAGACCAGCCTGGGGGTGAAACCCCATCTCTATTAAAAATACAGAATTAGCCGGGCATGGTGGCACACACCTGCAATCCCACTTGGGAGGCCAAGGCAGGAGAATCGCTTGAACCCAGGAGGCGGAGGTTGCAGTGAGCAAAGATCACACCACTGCACTCCAGCCTGAGCAACACAGCAAGACTCTGTCTCAAAAAAAAAAAAAAAAAAAAAAAAAACAGACTGCTGCTACAATTGACCAAAGCAAATGGTACTGCTCTACTAACTAGGCTTTCTGAGCAGACCTCCTATAGTACACAGTGGAACAAGGTTTGCAACAAAACAGGCAGCCTCCAGTAAATACCAAATGCCTCACAAAATAGGAAAGAAAAATATCCACAGCTGACTTACTCTTCACACACAACAATCTAAAAAGGCTAGAACGTGAGTATCAGAAGGTCTGTACTGGTTTTTAGCCCAAGAGATTTTCAACAGAGCTCTGGGATGGAGGAAAGATGCCTTAGGAGATCAGGATGTCAGACAGTGATGGTGGAGCCCACGAGAGATGGAGAAACTGAGCCCTCATGCTTGTTTCAAAAGCAGTTTCAGAGTCATCCACTTATATTCTGCAGTTCCATTTCATGGGATACTAGCGTTTTACACCCACAGTTTTTAAACAACCAATTATACCTCTTCAGTGTTAGAGACAAGTGGAGATACCAAGTAATACATGAGGTGCTATGCTGTACCTCAGTCCTTGACTCCTATTCCAGTGCTCTTAGTACCACCATATATCACTCAATCTGGCACAGAAAAGAAAACCAACAACTGGCCGGGTGCAGTGGCTCACGCCTGTAATCCCAGCACTTGTGGGAGGCCGAGGCGGGAGGATCACAAGGTCAGGAGATGGAGACCATCCTGGCAAACACAGTGAAACCCCGTCTCTATTAAAAATACAAAAAAATTAGCCGGGCATGGTGGCGGGCGCCTATAGTCCCAGCTACTCAGGAGGCTGAGGCAGGAGAATGGCGTGAACCCGGGAGGCAGAGCTTGCAGTGAGCCGAGATCGCGCCACTGCACTCTAGCCTGGGCGACAGAGACAGACTCCGTCTCAAAAGAAAAAAAAAAAAGAAAACCAACAACTATAAATGCCAATATAATGGAGAGTACAAAAACTCCAGCCTAAGGAACAGGTTCACATTTAAGGATATGAAAGGCTACTTTCACCTAACAAGAACTTTCATTGAAGAGAATAAAACTGACATTTTGAGAAATATCAAGGAACTTACAAGATCCTTCAAAAGATGAAGTGGCCAAAGGTCAGAAAACCAAGAGAAAAAATTTTATTCTAAATTGGCATAATGAAAAGAAATCAAATCAAAGATTGGGTCCTGGGTTCTAACCTCAACTCAGCCATATGCAATTATCATATAGATGTATGGTATAAATCCTTTCATCTATCAGAAGTTTAGTTTTTATCTGTAAAATGACAGTAAATTAGATAACTTGAGAGCTCCTCCCTCACTAAAATTCTAGGATTCCAAGCATTAAAAATCACATATATTTGATGAGATTCACACAGACTACATAAGTTATTATCTAAAATGTTGCTACCATTCATTTTTAAATGAATGCAAAAATTCATTTTTTTTGAGACAGGGTCTTACTCTGTTGCCCAGGCTGGAGTGCAGTGGCACAATCACAGCTCACTGCAGTCGCAACTTCCCAGGCTCAAGCAATCCTTCCATCTCAGCCTCCTGAGTAGCTGGGAACACAGGCATGAGCCACCACGCCTGGCTAACAGGTTTTGTTTTTTTTTTTTTTTTTTTGTAGAGACGAGGTCTCCATATGTTGCCCAGGCTGGTACCAAACTCCTGGGCTCAAGTGACTTCCTGACGACTCAGCCTCCAAAATGCTGGGATTACAGGTATGAGGCACAGTGCCTGGCCTCTTTTTTCTAACAAGATGATCAAAGTTCAAAACTCTAACAGGAATAATATATCTAAAAACCACCTAGAATGTTTAAACTGTTCCTAAGGGTTCAGTTTTTTCCTTCAGCAATTACAACGAACCAGATTATGGCCACACCCTGAGAAAGGTTTATTTCTAACGTCAGCAGATTATTCCACAGATTTATGTAGAACTGCTCTAAAGAGGGCAAGAGGCCGGGTGCGCTGGCTCACACCTGTAATCCCAGGACTTCGGGAGGTCAAGGCGGGTGGATCACCTGAGGACGAGAATTCAAGACCAGCCTGACCAACATGGAAAAACACTGTCTCTAGTAAAAAATAAAAATAAAAAATAAAAAATAAAAATAGCCAGGCCTGGTGGCCTCATGCCTGTAATCCCAGCTACTCGGGAGGCTGGGGCAGGAGAATCACTTGAACCCGGGAAGTGGAGGTTGCCGTTAGCTGAGATCGCGCCATTGCACTCCAGCCTGGGCAACAAAACCAAAATTCTGTCTCAAAAAAAAAAAAAAAAGGCAAGAAAAAAAAGATTCTTCAAAGTTAACTTGCTGAGCAGAAGAAAAATAACCTAAAAAGAAAGCACATTCTATAACAAAAACTGATATAAAAGCAAGGTGAGATACAAGAATTAACAAGTTTAAGATTTTGATAAGAGGCGGCCAGGCGCGGTAGCTCATGCCTGTAATCCCAGCACTTTGGGAGGCCGAGGTGGGTGGATCACGAGGTCAAAAGATCGAGACCATCCTGGCCAACATGGTGAAACCCCGTCTCTACTAAAAATATAAAAAATTAGCCGGGCGTGGTAGCAGGCGCCTGTAGTCCCAGCTACTCAGGAGGCTGAGGCAGGAGAATGGTGTGAACCCGGGAGGCGGAGCTTGCAGTGAGCCGAGATCCCGCCACTGCACTCCAGCCTGGGCGACACAGCGAGACTCCGTCTCAAAAAAAAAAAAAAAAAAAGATTTTGGTAAGAGGCTGGACCAGTGGCTCACACCTATAATCTCAGCATTTTGGGAGGCTGAGGCAGGTGGATCACTTGAGCCCAGGAGTTTGACACCATTCTGGGCAACACAGTAAGACCTCTTCTCTACAAATAAAAAAATTGGCCAGGCATGGTGACACACACCTGTGGTCCCAGCTTCTCAGGAGGCTGAGGTGGGAGGATCATTTGAGTCCAAGAAGTCAAGGCTGCAGTGAGCCGTGATGGCACCACTGCACTCAGCCTAAATAACAGAGGGAAATCTTGTCTCAAAAAAAAGGACTTTGGTAATGTTCTCTTCTACTACTTCTACTACCGAAGCCAGCTTTTTTGGTTGCATGCAGCCAATATTTATTAGCACCTATTATGTGCAAGAAGTTACCGCAGAATTTTCCAGGTAAATGAGCTAGCAAATGCAAGGGCCCTAAAGTATACCCAAGATTGGGGTGTTTGAGAAATAGGTTGAAGGCCAGAATGGCTGAAACACAATGAATAATGACCAGTTAGAATGTGCTAGGAGAACCATTCGAGAAGTAGGCAAAGGCCAAGCAGAAAAGTGACATGATGTGACTTGCATTTTTCAAAAGGACCACTTTGCTTGCTACACACCTATGAAAAGTCAAAAATGCCTTTCAAATGATAAGCTCCATGATTTTGTTGTATCTAAATCTAAGCTTACTCCAGTCATTCTTTTCTTGGTATTTAATGGTAAGTAAATCATTTGGGTTTTTTTTGTTTCTTTGTTCGTTGAGACAGGGTCTCAATTAGTCGCCCAGGATAGAGTCTAGTGGCTTGATGTCAGCTGCAGCCTCAACCTCCTGGGCTCAAGCAATCCTCTCACGTCAGCTCCCCCAGTACCTCCAACTACAGATGCAGGCTACCACACCTGGCTAATTTTATTTCTTGTAGAGACAAAAGTTTCGCTATGTTGCCCAGGCTGGTCTCGAATTCCAGGGCTCAAGCAATTCTCCCACCTTGGGCTCCCAAAGTACTGGGATTACAGGCGTAAGACACCACACCTGGCAATAAGGCATTTGCAAATTGCTATTAAATGTGGAATTGTACACAAAAATTTTAATTGTAATTATTTAACATTGTAAAAATGAAGTAATTATCTCACTCTCTTCCTCCACTGCTTTTTCCTTTATTTGTAAACTATGGATTTAAATGGAAGATATTTTAAATGTAGTCATCTATTTCTTTTTTTTATGGGAGGGACGGAGTCTCCTTCTTGTCGCCCAGGCTACAGTGCAGTTGCGCAATAGGCTCATTGCAATCTCCGCCTCCCGGGTTCAAGGGATTCTCCTGCCTCAGCCTCCCAAGTGGCTGGGATTACAGGCGGCCGCCACCACGCCCAGCTAATTTTTGTATTTTTAGTAGAGATGGAGTTTCACTGTGTTGGCCAGGCTGGTCTTGAACTCCTGACCTCAGGTGATCTGCCCGCCTCAGCCTACCAAAGTGCTGGGATTACAGGGGTGAGCCACCATGCCCAGCCATCCATTTCTTTTATTAAGTTTTTTTATACTTTTAAAAAATATTCTAAACAGGAAAAGGGTTCAACTGAACTTAACTGAAAAAAGACCCTGATGCTGAACCATATATCATCACATGAAGTATAATAAAGTACAAATAGCCATAACTGACATCTTTTTTATTTTTTTCTTTTTTTGAGACGCAGTCTTGCTCTGTCACCCAGGCTGGAGTGCAATGGCACGATCTCAGCTCACTGCAACCTCTGCCTCCCGGGTTCAAGTGATTCTCCTGCCTCAGCCTCCCTAGTAGCTGGGATTACAGGTGCCCGCCTGTAATCCCAGCTAATTTTCATATTTTTAGTACAGACGGGGTTTCACCAGGTTGGCCAGGCTGGTCTCAAACTCCTGACCTCAGGTGATCCACACACCTCAGCCTCCCAAAGTGCTGGGATTACAGGCGTGACCCACCATGCCTGGCCGTGACATCTTATGTAACAACAAAAGTGAATAATGTTGGCTGGACACAGTGGCTCACACCTGTAATCCCAGCACTTTGGGAGGCCAAGGCAGGTGGATCACATGAAGTCAGGAGTTCAAAGTCAGCCTGACCAACATGGCAAAACTCCATCTCTACTAAAAAATAATAATAATAATAATAATAAATAAATAAATTAGTTGGGCGTGGTGGTCTGCACCTGTAATCCCAGCTACCTGGGAGGCTAAGGCAGAAGAACTGCTTGAACCTAGAAGGTGGAGGTTGCAATGAGCTGAGACTACACCACTGCTCTCCAGCCTGGGTGACAGAAGGAGACTCTGTCTCAAAAAAAAAAAAAAAAAAAAAAAAAAAAAAAAAAAAAAAAAGACTGAAGTTATACCTGACAGTGAGTGCTGGAATCACCATTTATGAACCCAATTTATTTATCTGTGTGTGTGTGTGTGTGAGAGACAGAGTCTCACTCTGTCTCTGGGTTCAAGTGATTCTCCTGCCTCAGCCTCCCGAGTAGCTGGGACTACAGGCGTTCACCACCACACCTGGCTAGGTTTTTTTTTTATTTTTAATAGAGACAGGGCTTCGCCGTGTTAGCCAGGCTGGTCTCGAACTCCTGACCTCAGGTGATCCGCCCGCCTCCGCCTCCCAAAGTGCTGGGATTACAGGCATGAGCCACCGAGCCTGGCCTATTTAACTATATTTAGTTGAGGGTGTTTTTTTTTTGAGACAGGGTAAGCATGAGCCACCATGCCTGGCCTGGACCCTATTTAAACTCAGCAAAGACACAACAACCATTTTATAAAAGCATAGTATTTCAGCATGAAAGTCCTAAGAATGTACAACACTACAAGGGAGTTCACAGTGATCTTATGACAACAGGAAATTCCAAGTGTAAAAAAACAATACAAATCCTACCTCTAACCGGGCAATAATCAACACTGACACATGACTTTAGGAAAAGCTTAAGAAAAAAGAATTCAAATCAAGAACTCAAAGTAGAGATAATTTTCACCTATCCCACCACTGAGGACTAGCTCCAAGCACTGATGCAAGCATCTGTAAATAAACTGTCAAATGTACAGGCTGAGCATCCCTAATCCAAAACTCCAAGGAGCTCCACAATCTGAAACCTTTGGAGTGCCAACCTGACGCCAAAAATGGAAATTTCTACACCTGACCTCACGTGATGGGTTGCCATCAAAACACAGTCAAAGGCTGGGCATGGTGGTTCACGCCTATAATCCTAGCACTTTGGGAGGTCAAGGTGGGCAGATGGCTTGAGCCCAAGAGGTCAAGAGCCAGGCTGGGCAACATGGCAAAGCCCCATCTCTATTAAAACACACACACACACACACACACACACACACACACACAAATTACTCAGCCACAGTGGCACGCACCTGTAGTCCCAACTACCTGGGAGGCTAAAGTGGGAGGATCATTTGAGCCCAGGAAGCTAAGGTTGCAGTGAGCTGTGATCATGCCACTGCACTCCAGCCTGGGCGACAGAGTGAGACTCTGTCTCCAAAACACACACACACACACACACACACACACACAGAGTCAAAACTTTATTTTGGGGCCAGGTGCGGTGGTTCACACCTGTAATCCCAGGACTTTGGGAGGCTGAGGCAGGCAGATCACTTCAGGTCAGGGGTTTGAGACCAGCCTGGCCAACATGGTGAAACCCCATCTCTACTAAAAATACAAAAATTTGCCGGGCATGGTGCCTCATGTCTGTAATCCCAGCTACGCAGGAGGCTGAGGTAAGAGAATCGCTTGGACCTGGGAGGCGGAGGTTGCAGTGAGCCAAGACCATGCCATTGCACTCCAGCCTGGGCGACAGAGTGAGACTCCGTCTCAAAAAAAAAAGAAAACAAACAACTTTGTTTCATGCATATAAGATAAATATGAAACACAAATGAATTCTGTGTTTAGACTTGGGCCCCATCCTCAAGGTACCTTACTATGTATGTGGTAAATATTCCAAGATGCTAAAAATTCTCAAATCCAAAACACTTCATGTCTCAAGCATTTCAGATAAAGGATACTCAACCTGTACCATCACATTACCCAGAAAAACTTTTATCAAAGAAGAAACCCTTTGTCATGCCCAAAAAATCTCCAGCAAATCAGTAAACCTGACAATCATAGGTAAGTCCACACAAATGTTTCCAGAACCAAAAAATAAAATAAAAAATTGCAATTATTTTCAAATAGTAAAACCACGTAGATAAAATATAATTCTGGCCAGGCACGTGGCTCACGCCTGTAATCCCAGCACTTTGCGAGGCTAAGGTGGGTGGATCACCTGACGTCAGGTGATATAATATACATAGATATATCTATAATATATTATATATAATATATTTATAGATATCTGTATAATATATAATATATATTATATTAATATATCTATTAATATATTATATATAATATAGATATCTATATAACATTATATATAATATATAATAGACATATTATATCTGTTGTATATTATATCACCTGACCTCAGGTGATCCACCCACCTTAGCCTCCCAAAGTGCTGGGATTACAGGCATGAGCCACGTGCCTGGCCAGAATTATATTTTATCTACGTGGTTTTACTATTTGAAAATAATTGCAATTTTTTATTTTTATTTTATAAATATAAAATATATAACATATAATTATATATTATATATCTATCATGATATTTATATAATATATAATATATAAAATACATTATATATATCATGATAGATATATAATATATAATATACAAAATTCTGACCCTAATGTCCCACCAGATGAGATTTCCAAGTACGGAGGAGAAAAAACTTAACAAGCCATTCTGCACGTAAGCTTATCCTTAACACATAAGGGAGAACAGGCAAAGAAAATGCCAAAAGATTTCAAAGGTGTCACTACTACCTTTAAAAGGAAAACAGAGAAATGTGAGTTAAATAACTGGTGTCAGCTGGGTGTGGTGGCTCACGCCTGTAATCCCAACACTTTGGGGGGCTGCGGTGGGTGGATCACCTGAGGTAAGGAGTTCAAGACCAGCCTGGCCAACATGGTAAAACCCTGTCTCTACTAAAAATACAAAAAATTAGTCGGGTGTGGTGGCTCACGCATATAATCCCAGCTACTCAAGAGGCTGAGGCAGGAGGATCACTTCAACCCGGGAGGCAGAGGTTACAGTGAGCCGAGATTGCGCCACTGCACTCCAGCCTGGGTGATACAGTGAGACTCCATCTCAAAGATAACACAACACAACACAAAATAAAATTAAAATAAAATAAAATAAAATAAAAATAAAATAAAATAACTGGTGTCTTCCTGTCCATTATCATAGGCAAGACACTCACCAAACTAGCCCTTGGTCGACCACTATGCAAAACTTCCCACCACTTTCATCCTTTGCTGCTGAATCCTTTGGACAACCTGGAACAGTAGACATGACTACTGTCTGGCATTACTACATTAGTACTGGCAGTAAAACATAAAGGATTCCGGAAATAACGAAGATTTCTACATTTTTATTAGTCCTTAAAAAATGTACTTAACTGCCAGGCCTGGTGGCTCACACCTATAAATCCCAGCACTTTGGGAGGCTGAGGTGGGAGGATTGCTTCGAGTCCAGGAGTTCAAGACCAGCCTGGGCAACATGACAAAACCCCATCTCTATTAAAAATACAAAAATTAGCTAGGCGTGGTGTCACGCACCTCTAATTCCAGTTATTTAGGAAGCTGAGGCACAAGATTGCTTGAGCACAGGAGGCAGAGGTTGCAGTAAGCCGTGATCATGCCACTGCACTCCAGCCTGGGCAACGGAGCCAGGCCCTGTCTCAAAAAACAAAACAAAACAAAACAAAAAAAACAAACTACTTACTTCTATACAACAACTAGTCTGGATTGTTCAAAAATATCATGATTGGATACAGGATTTTAGGCCACAAAGAATAATTTTGAAATGAGAGAAAAATTTGAATATGGACTATGTATTATACACAATCATATCAATGTTAAGTTTCTTGAGTGTGATAACGGCATTGTGGTTATATAGGAAAATGTCTTTGTTCTTTTTTTCTTTTTTTTTTTTGAGACCAAGTCTTGCTCTGTCACCCAGGCTACAGTGCAGTGGTGCCATCTCGGCTCACTGCAGCCTCTGCCTCCTGGGTTCAAGTGATTCTCCAGCCTCAGCCTCCCGAGTAGCTGGGATTACAGGTGCACGCCACCACACCCAGCTAATTTTTTGTATTTTTAGTAGTAACGGGGTTTTGCCGCGAACTCCTGACCTAAGGTGATCCGCCCGACTCAGCCTCCCAAACTGCTGGGATTACAGGCGTGAGCCACTGCGCCGGGCTATGTCTTTGTTCTTAAGACATACTATCTAAAGTGCTCAGAGGTGGCTGGGCACGGTGGCTTATGCCTGTAATCCCAGCACTTTGGGAGGCCAAGGCAGGCCTTGAGGTCAGGAGTTCGAGACCAGCCTGACCAACATGGCAAAACGCTGACCAGATATGTCCCCTCGACCTTGGCCTCCATAGCTGTAAGAAATAAATTAATTTTCTTTATAAATTACTCACTTTTGGATATTCTAAGTAATGGAAAATGGACTAAGACTATGGTACTGCCTCAATTTTTCTATAGGTTTGAAATTTTTCAAAATAAATAAACGTAAAGTAAAAATATATATATATGTATTTAACACCACCTTGGATTAGGGTGTTTATTGGACAGACCTGAGTTCTCAAGTGACCAAGATGGTAATCAGCTGGTTCAGATCTTTGATATCCTTTCTCATCCATTCCTGAGTAACAATAAACTAAATGCCTGCACAACTTCTGGGAGAAGTGTGGTGTTGATGAGGCATATAACAAGAGACTAGTTAGTAATCACACATTCATGGCTGGAAATCTGGAATTCTTAAAACAGCCTTCAAAAAGAATAAGGGGCCGGGCACCGTGGCTCACACCTGTAATCCCAGCACTTCGGGAGGCTGAAGCAGAGGATTGCTTGAGGCCAGGAGTTTGAGACTAGCCTGAGGAACAAAATGAGACCCCCTCCATCTCTATAAAAAAAATTTTTTTTAATTAGGTGCAGTGGTGCATGCCTGTGGTCCCAGCTACTGGGGAGGCTGACAGGAAGATTCCTTAAGCCCAGGCGCTCAAGGTTGTAGTGAGCTATGATGGTGCCACTGCACCATCTAGCTTTAAGCCACAGAGCGAGACCCTGTATCTAAAAATAAAAAACTGGGTGAGCACAGTGGCTCATGCCTATAATCCCAGCACTTTGGGAAGCCAAGATGGGAGGATTGCTTGAGCTCAGGAATTCAAGACTAGTGAATTCCCACCTCAACAAAAACTACAAAAATTAGCTGGGTGTGGTGGCATGCGCCTGTAGTCCCAGCTACTAGGGAAGCTGGAAGGATTGCTTGAGCCCAGGAAGTCAAGGGTGCAGTGAGCCATGATTGTACCACTGAACTCCAGCCTGGATGACAAAGCGAGACTCTGTCTCAAAAAATAAATAAATACACACATATATATACACATATATAAGACATGTCTATATATAACACCATGGCAAGTGGTTCAAAATATATTAACTGAATGAAAGAAGCAATGATGAAATTTTTTCAAATATTAATTATTTAGGTTACAGGTATCTGAATTTTTTTTTCTTTTTCTTAAGAGTCTCTGTCACCCAGGCTAGAGTGCAGTGGTGCAATCTTGGCTCACTGCAACCTCTGCCTCCCGGGTTCAAGCAATTCTCCAGCCTCAGCCTCCCCAAGTACCTGGAATTACAGGCACCCACCACCATGCCCAGCTAATTTTCGCATTTTCAGTAGAGACAGGGTTTCACCATGTTGGCCAGGCTGGTCTCGAACTCCTGACCTCAAGTGATCCACCCACCGCAACCTCCCAAAGTGCTGGGATTACAGGCATGAGCCATCGCAGCTGGCCACAGGTAGAATTTTATGGATTACTTTCATTTTCTCTGTTGCATTTACGTATATTGCTTTTATAATAGGTCAAAAAAATTAAGGCACACACATAATTAACCAAGCTAAAATTTACCAAACCCAGAGGTAAGCATCCTTCATTCTGGCTCTGAGATATGAGCTAGATGCCAGATGCAAATCTAGGGACAATTTCATCAAAACTGTTCTTGAGATGGAGCTTCACTCTTGTTGCCCAGGCTGGAGTGCAATGGCACGATCTCAGCTCACTGCAACCTCCATCTCCCGGGTTAAAGTGATTCTCCTGCCTCAGCCTCTTGGGTAGCTAGGATTACAGGCGTGCACAACCACGCCCGGCTAATTTTTGTATTTTTCGTAGAGACGGGGTTTCGCCATGTTGGCCAGGCTGGTCTTGAACTCCTGACCTCAAGTGATTCACCCACCTCGGCCTCCCAAAGTGCTGGGATTACAGGCGTGAGCCACTGCGCCCAGCCCATCAAAATTATGAACAAGGACACACGAGGTGGCTCATGCATGTAAACCCAACACTTTGGGAGGCTGAGGTGGGTGGATCGCTTGAGTCCAAAAGTTCAAGACCAGCCTGGGCAACAAAGCGAGACTGTCTCTACCAAAAAAAAAAAAAGAAAAAGAAAATCATAAACAGTATTTATCATCAAATGTCAAAAGAATAATGAAGGCTGGGCGCGGTGGCTCACACCTGTAATCCCAGCACTCTGGGAGGCCGAGGCAGACGGATCACGAGGTCAAGAGTTCAAGACCAGCCTGGCCAACATAGTAAAATCCCATCTCTACTAAAAATACAAAAATTGGCCAGGTATGGTGGTGCACGCCTGTAGTCCTAGCTACTCGGGAGGCTGAGGCAGGAGAATCACTTCAGCCTGGGCGGTGGAGGTTGCAGTGAGCCAAGATCACACCACTGCACTCCAGCGTGGGTTACAGAGCAAGACTCTGTCTCAGAAAAAAAAAATAAATAAATAATAACGAAGTACAAAAATGTAGCCATTATTCACTAAATTCGTTCATTAAATATATATTTATTGAAGGCAACTATGTACCTAGTACTGTGGGTAATTAATAAAATACAGACTCTGCTCTCAAGGAGTTTACAGTCTAACTAGAGGAACCAACCAAGCAAACCATTAATCCATTAAAAGAGCACAACGAATATCAGAGAAGTGATGCCTATGGATGTAAAAGGCCAATGAACAAGATACTATGAAGGATAAGCAACATAAAGCCAAAGGCAGTTAAGATGAGGTACTGAGCAAATATTCAATTAGCACATCTCAGACACAAGCTGTAGACTAACAGACCACTCCCAAGCTTACAGCAGGTTCATACAATGGTGTTTATTCAAAGATATATTAAAATTAAGATGAAGGGGCCTGGTGCAGTGGCTCACACCTGTAAAATTAAGATGAAGAAATATAATTCAGTTCACACATAAAGCACGTACTATGCCAAGAATTCTGCCCAGAGCCAAATTACAAACACAAATAAAACTCAGTTCCTGCCCTTAAGGTACTCATAGAAAAAAGTAATTATCCTTCCTTTTAAAAACAGAATATACCATTAACAGGCATATTTGTAATAAACATATATGTATTAAATAATTATAACTATATATAATTACAGCATATGTAACAATAAGCTATATATGAGATAATAGAGGGCCAGGTATGGTTGCTCACACCTGTAATCCATCCCAGTGCTTTGTGAAGCTGTGGTGGGAAGATCACTTGAGGCCAGGAGTTTGAGACCAGTTTAACCAACATAGCAAGACTTCATCTCTAGGAAAAAATTTAAAAATTAGCTGGGGTGATGGTGTACGCTACTCGGGAGGCTGAGGTGGGACTACTGCTTGAGCCCAGGAGTTCAAGGCTACGGTGAGCTATGATTATACTACTGCACTCCAGCTGTGGACAACAGTGTGAGACCCTGTTTCTAAAAATATAAATTAATATTAAATTAAAAAATAATAGGCCAGGTGCAGTGGCCCACGTCTGTAATCCTGGCAGTTTGGGAGGCCAAAGCCAGTGGATCGCTTGACCCCAGGAGCTCGAGACCAGCCTGGGCAACATGGCAAAACTCCTTCTCCACAAAAAATACAAAAAATTAGCCAGGCATAGTGGTATGCGCCTGAAGTCCTAGCTACTCAGAAGGCTGAGGTGGGAGGATCACTTGAGCCTAGTAGGTCAAGGCTGCAGTGAGCTGTGACTATGATACTGCACTCCAGCCCAGGTGACAGAACAAGACCCTATCTCAAAAAATAGATAATATTAATAGAAAAATGCCATTAACAGGCAATTAAGAATGATAAACCTCAGATCATCATAAAGGCTATCATTTATTAAGGACTGACTCAATGCCAGGGATGCATATTCCACCAAAAAGAAGGGTTAAATCCCTCCCAGGTTACAAAGCTAAGTTTTTGTTTTGAGACAGGGTCTTGCTATGTGGCCCAGGCTGGAGAGCAGTGGTGTGATCACAGCTCACTGCAGCCTCCATCTCCAAGCTACCCTCCTGCTTCAGCCTCCTGAGTAGCTAAGACTATAAGCACACACACCACCACGCAAGGCTTTTTTTTTTTTTTTTTTTTTTTAATAGAGACAAGGTCTCATACTCCTGAGTTTAAGCAATCCTCCCGCCTTAGCCTCCCAAAGTGCTGGGATTACAGGCATGAGCCACCACAGCCGACCACAAAGCTAGGTTTTGGGCTCAGTGGCTCTGTCTCTTCCAAGGCTCGATTACAAGAAAAGCATACAAAACTGAAAGGAAAAAGACCAAACTATTGGATATAAAAAAATATAGAAAACAGCACAGACATCTGACCCCAAGATAAACTTTATTTATATATAAAGACCAAGTTTTATGGCTTCATGTTATATAGTTGGTATTTGTTCAGGTATTTATTTTGAATACAGTCCATCAAGAAAACAAAACTTAAAGGAAAAAGTTTGTACTGACTGCTAAAATTTATAACCCACTATGGAAGAACGAAAGGGTCAGCATCAAATTTTCAGTTTCTCCAATGTCGACAAGTCATCTTATGTCTAAATCAGGGGTCGACAAAGTACAGCCCCAAATCAAATCTGGCCTGCAGCCTGTTTTCGTAAGTAAAACAAACATTTGTAAATAAATTTTTTTTTTTTTTGGAACACAGCCATGCCCATTCATTTGGGTATGGCTGCTTTCCTACTACAATGGCAGACCTGAGTGGTTAAGACAAAGACAGTATGATCCACAAAACAAAAAAACATTGATTTTCTGGTCCTTTACAGAAAAACTTTGCAGACCCCCGGTCTAAATGATTACCATATATATCACAAATGGTGGAAAAATAATTAGCCTGTTCATTTCGGCCCTATTTAAGCTTTATTATGAACTCTACCTGATTTAAGTACTCTTACTTTATAATTACTGTCACTTAATTTCCACAAATATGTTCACATTTCAGTTATTTTCCATAGAGTAGGTCTTACATTAGCTGACCAGTAATTTATCCTTCACATCATTACTACAACAAAATCCTAATTAAGGCACATCTGTGGCCAGGTGCAGTGGCTCACGCCTGTAATCCCAGCACTTTGGGAGGCTAAGGCGGACGGATCACAAGGTCAGGAGTTCAAGACGAGCCTGGCCAACATGGTGAAACCCCGTCTCTACTAAAAATACAAAAATTACCTGGGCATGGTAGTGCACTCTTAGCTACTCAGGAGGCTGAGGCAGAAGAATTGCTTGAACCTGGGAGGTGGAGGGTGCAATGAGCTGAGATCGCACCACTGCACTCCAGCCTGGGCAACAGAGTGAGACTCCATCTCAGAATAAAAAAAAAAAAAAAAAAAAAAAGGCACATCTGCAATTATCCCCATAGTTATGCTTCAGTTTTGTACAATCTACAAAGATATAGACAAGAAAAGATGAACACACAAACAAGAGCTGCTATGACTAAATAATTTCTAATATCTGATTCATATTAGAACACCTCAAAGTGCCATTTAGAACCAACAGCATCTGGCCAGGTGCGGTGGCTCATGCCTGTAATCCCAGCACTTTGGGAGGCCGAGGTAGGTGGATCACCTGAGGTCAGGATTTCGAGACCAGCCTGGCCAACATGGTGAAACCCCGTCTCTATTAAAAAAAATAAAAAAATTAGCCGAGCATGGTGGCATGTGCCTGTAGTCCCAGCTACTTGGGAGGTTGAGGTGGGAGAATCACTTGAACATGGGAGGCAGAGATTGCAGTGAGCCGAGATCTCGCCCCATTGCACTCCAGCCTGGGTGACACAGCGAGACTATGTCTAAAAAAAAGAAAAACATCAGTGTCACCTGACTGCATATGAGAAATGCAAATTCATGGCCCCTATTCCAGACCTACCAGGTGATTTTTATGCACATTAAAAGTCCAAGAATCACTGCACCAAAAGAGAGTTCATATCACTTACCTTGAGCGTGAAAAGGCTGATTCGGCCAGGCAGTTTATAAAACAACCCCTCTCCTCCTCTTGAATTGGAATGTAGCATAGCATTGAGGCATGCGAGAGGGGAAGTCCCACTGTAAAACCACAAAAGAATGGATGAGGGTTATACAATCCATCTGCCTACTTAAAGACCTAATCCCTCCAACTCATTCTTAAATGAGAAGAAGCTAAGCAAGAAATACAGAAGAAAAAATCTCATGACAATTTCACTGTGAAAATAGTAAAAGAATAACCAAATGAAATTCACATAAATCACACTCAGAAAACTCTGGAATAAACATTATGTGATACCCGAAATCCATAACTAACACTTCTTCAGTGCTTTTTGACAATATAAATCAAATTTCCAAGAAATTTAGAAAAACCTCACAATTTTTTCAAGTTATATTTTAATAAGTTAATAAATTTTTAGTAAAATTTTACTATTAAAAGTTTCCTAGCCTCTATATTTCAATCTACATATCATACTCAGAAACTGCCACAGAATACTATGACAAAGAATCACAGAATCAATGGTGCTGTGCCAATAAAACAAGCAGAACTTTTTTTCCAGTTAAACATTTTCTAGTAAGTACACAAAAAGAACAGTATTTCATTTGTTTTTTCTCTGCTGGAAGTGGGGAGATTGAGTTTTATTCTGTATCTACCCAGGAACAATTATTTAAACCTAAATGCAAAAAGTAAGTCAAGTGGATTTAGTTCCCAGTAATGCTTAAAAAATAAACTGAAACAATGGCATACTAAGTTGTTTCATGGTCCCTGCCACAACAGCAGGTTACAAAACGTGACAATTCAGTGCAAAGGATGCTACTTACTGAATCTTTAAATAGAAAAGCTACCAAAAATATCAACAAATGACCATTATTAATATTAACTGAGTTTGGCACTAGCATATTAGTGCTAGGAGTCACCTGTGCACCCTCTCTTCCCTCTCCCCAGCATGTTAAAAAATATATAAATAGCTTAAGTAAGCCTCTTTGCATTTTTCAGAACTAGAAGCCCTAATTTATGCAGTGTTAAAAATAAATTCTGAGTCTAAAAAAACCATTAAAAAACTATTACTTATTTTGCCTTGGAACACACTGGATGCTAAAAAATTTTTCACCAAGAACCAATCTCTAAAAGAAACCCTATGCAAAATCTGGAGTATCAAGTGGGTGTGCTAGCATCTCTGCTACAAGGGGAACAGCATGCTGGCACAGCTCTTCTGTGACTCCTACATATTATACCTCTGTCTACAAATTACAGAGCTGCTCACTCATCATGAGCCATCATGACTGCTTCATAATTCCTCTAAGAACAAGAAGCAGAAACAAGTTAAGGTTCTCAATTCCATATGTCCCAAAGGGACTCATTTACCTTCTATAGGCAAAGTGGTCCAACAGCAGTGCAGACAGCAGCATGATGGGAAATAGCCCATAAAAACAAAAATAAAGCACAATTATAACACTACACAGTGGATAAGTACAAGTCAAATAAATGTGATGTAGACAATCTCAATCTTCCCTCCCCACAAAACATCAACTTGAGAACGTTTGAACTGACAACTGGAAAGTGAAGGCCTTTTGACCCTAAAAGGTCAATTAAAGCAGCTAAGTTTGACTAGCAAAAACATGAAGTTTGCTCTGAGTCCCAGGCAAGGACTGTGTAGTGCTCTCCTCTTTCCTCATTTAAGTACTTTCTTTGTTTTTTGTTTTGTTTTGTTTTTTGAGATGCAGTCTTATTCTGTTGTCCAGGCTGGAGTGCAGTGGTGCAATCTCGGCTCACTGCAACCTCCGTCTCCTGAGTTCAAGCGATTCTCCAGCCTCCGCCTCCCAAGCTGGAACTACAGGCTACAGGCATGCGTCACCATGCCGGCTAATCTTTGTATTGTTAGTAGAGACGGGGTTTTGCCATGTTGGCCAGGCTGGTCTCGAACTCCTGACCTAAGTGATCTGCCTGCCTTGGCCTCCCAAAGTGCTGGGATTACAGGCATGGGCCACTACCCCCAGCTTTTTTTTTTTTTTTTTTTAAGTTTGAAGTTAGGATGAGGAAAAAGAAAGATGAAAGATAGTCCTGGCTTTCAAGCCTGCAAATTCTATGTTTCTAACTTGTTACTTCTCCAGGAAAACTACACCATAAATTTGGAAAATAAAGGTCACCTCAAAATTTAGTAAATTCACATCATATATGACTGCAATTAGTAAGGGGAAAAAAGTCAGTGGTTTTTTATGTTGATGAGACCACTGTTCTTTTATTCTAAAAGAAAGAACTTCAGTGATACGGCATAGAGAAAAGGGTAGCGTTAGGCACAATAGAGGCTATCAGGTCTGAAACTTCCAAAACAGCACAAGAGAAAATGTGCCCTGACTCCTTACACAAAAAACAAGCTCTATGCCAAGATTTAAGGAAGAACAAGGAGATGGGGAAAGCCACTGCACCTCTAAATGAAAACAAATGGATGTTCACCCACTGCCACCCTCCACTGAGACGACACACAATTTGGGAAATGGATAGTTCCATCTCACTACCAGACACAGAAGCACAAATACATACACAGGTGTACTTACTCATATCACTACAACTACAGAAAGACACATATCCTATGAAACCCTCATGTTAAGCAACAAGAACAATACAAACCTCATTTCCTTTAGTCCTTCTGCCTCTATGACCTGCAGAATCTGTTTTGGTGTCATTGGAGCATCCGAGTAGTTTTCTAATACCTGAAGAAATATAAACGTCCTAATTTCAGTGTGCAATTTCCATTTATATCCATCCATCCATATATCATGGGCTAAAGTTATGCTATGAGGTACCGCTGGTGACAACTTAGTTTTTCCACAGTTAAAATTACTTCAGAAATCAAATTACACATATATCTAGTTACTGAAAAGTTACTGCAATTAACTGAAATGTTCTAATTCTCAATTCTAAGGATGCATATCTTCTCAGCATACATGGTATAGTATGCGAGACCTTAGCAACACTGGTTACTGTTCAGCTTGATGCTGTTAATACTGCTAAACCACAGAATATATAGTGCTGCACAAGAAATGTATGACACAGAAATGCATTCACATTTTCTTTCCCAAGGAAGTTTGATTAGTATATATATATACACACACACACTAATTTTTGTATTTTAGTAGAGACTAGAGCTAGTCTCGAACTCCTGACCTCAGGTGATCTGCCCGCCTCAGCCTCCTAAAGTGCTGGGATTATAGAAGTGAGCCACCACGCCTGGCCAAGTACCCATATTTTTAAACGGTGCTTTCTGCCACTGTGTTGTTAATTTGTGGTGTTAACTGCCACAGTACGTTCTGCCATCTGGCACATGATGCTATGATTCTGCATGACTGGTGCAATGAGAAACAGAATATCCCATTTATGTTAGCATCACCTATAACCAAGTCATGGCAGTATTGCAGTATTTTCTTAGTGTGCAACTGCAGCTCTCTTGCTTTAAGAGTTGTTTTAGATATGTTATTCTTCTAAAGGAAGAAAAAAGCTGTCAATATCTTTGTACTTTGTCTACCTGTGCAGCTACTCAGGGTACTCCAAATCAAGCTAACATCTTACAGTCCATTTAACTGCCATAGCCAAGTACTGCTGTCACAAGCAAAACATAAAGAAGTCTGATACGATGCTGCTGTCTACAGCCATACCACCCTGAATGTGCCCGATCTCGTCTGATAGGTCTGCTGCGGAAGGTACTCTCTATGGAAGAACATAAGACCTCAGCACCAAAGTCAAGGTTTGGAGAAGGTACTAAAATAAAACCCCTATTTCCCATGGTCCTATTCTTTGCTTCTCTTTTCAGATTTTCCATTCTCCATGGGTAACATTATCATCTCAGTTTCAGCTACTACCTAAATTCTGATAACTACCTAATCTCTACCTCTAGCTCTGACTTCTCCCCCAAATTTCAGATTCAAATATTCAGTTGTGTACTGACTATACCCCTTCATTATCTACTCTAATTCAGCTCTACTCTTAATTCATCTAATTGGCAACTCTAATTCACCTCTTCTCCAGACCCACTCTTCTTCCTGTATTCCCTACCTTGATTGACAGCCTGTATAATCACCTAATTCAGAAACGCAGGTGTCATCTTTCTCGCTCATCTGTCCGCCAAGTCCCAAAACCAGTCTCTTACCTGACCCAACACAACAGCCTCTTAATATTTATCCCTCCATCCAGTCCTGCTTTCCTCAAATCCATTCTGACTCTGTTGTCATCCTTCATTCAACAAACACATGGAACACGTACCTTGTGCCAGACACAATTCTAGGGATTCACAGTAAACAAGACCAAATCCCTGCTCTGGTAGAACTTACATGTTATAGACTGAGGTCAACCCAGCAAAGCAAACCTGCCCTCATCACTTTCAGCTCTAAAATCCTTCAACAGGCCAGGCACGGTGGTGCACACCTATAGTCTCAGCTGAGACTGAGGCAGGAGGGTCACTTGCTGCGCTCAGGAGCTCCAGGCTCTAGTGCACTATGATCGTGCCTGTGTATAGCCACTGCACTCCAGCCTGGGTAACACAGTGAAACCTCATCTCTTTAAAGAATTTAAAAAATATATATGGCTGGGTAAAGTGGGTCACACCTGTAATCCCAGCACTTTGGGAGGCCAAGGTGGGCAGATTGCTTGAGCCTAGGAGTTCAAAACCAGCCTGGGCGACATGGTGAAACCCTGTCTCTACAAAAAAATACAAAAAACTAGATGGGCATGGTGGCTCATGCCCGTAATCCCAGCTACACAGGAGGCTGAGGTGGGAGAATCATCTGAGCCCAGGAAGTGGAAGCTGCAGTGAGCTGTGATGGCACCACTGCACTTCAGCCAGGGTGACAGAGTGAGACCCTGTCTCAAAAAATAGTAATAATAATAATAGAAAGCAAATAAAATCCTTCAACAGCTCCTTAATCACATACTGCAAAAGCTGAAGCTTCCAAAGTCCACTGGCCCACCGGTAAAGAACAGGATCTAGAGTTAGATTCAAATTTTTACATTCTAAACTGGGGCAATTACAACCCAACCTGAACCTAGGTTCTCTTTTGAAGGATACTGATGTCTTCCTCTCGAGTTGTTGGACAGATTAGAGACAATGTAAGTAATGCCTACAATGTCTGGCACAGAGTAGGTGCTCACTGGCCTGGCATATGGAACCCTCACAATCTGGTCTCTGCCTCTCTACCCATCCACAGTGACACTCTACAAACTTTATGTTCCAATAATTTGTAGATATACCTAATTCCCACACGTTGCAAATACACACACTCCCTCTCACCCACTCTGACTCTTTCTCTCCTGCTATGTGTTGTCACCAGCTCCTGCTTATGCCCTCTGTGATTGGCCTAACTCCTAGTTACCCTTCAAGATTCAGCTCAGAAAGCACCTTCCTCCAGGAAGCCTTCCCTGATCTCTGCCAGGCAGAGGTAAATGTCTCTTTTCAATGTTCCCATTGTTTCATAACACATACAATTATCTTCCAAACCAGGACAGTTGAGAGTGAAAGGAGAAACTATGACTAGACAAGAGGCAGCAACTGGGATATCTGTTTATGATTTATACAACTATGATAACACGTATCATGACTGTAGTAAAATTCTGTTCCTGCGTCTGGACCTTCTTCATCCCCAGAAGACCATAAGCCCTGAGGGGCAAACCTTATCCACCTCTGTATTCCAAGAACCTAAGTGCCAAGATGGGCAGTACTGACTTGAACAAACCTACAATAAACCCTGGAACAAGCTACTAATGTTCACTGCCACAGATAACATTTCTTTGATACTAATTAAATGAAAGCTGAGCTGGCGAATTTTTATATCTTTTTTTTTTAAGAAGCATGACTCAAATAGTAACTACCAATTATTTAAACAGCAATCAGAAATAGCCTGAGAATTTAAGACAGGGGAAACAGAATCTCTAAAGGGAAGTTACATCAAAAGATACAAAGTATTCTTTTTTATTAAAACTGTTTATGCCTCCAGCTCTTGGTATAAGAACAAGTCAGCAGTGTTCTATTCCTAGTCTCTTTCTAGACTACATTTTTTTTTTTAAGTATCTCTTCTCTTACTTCAAAGGGGAAAAAAATGTTTGATGTAAGAACTGGTCAGTCATGAATCAAAGTAAAAGATAAAGCATACAACAAAGAGTTTCTCGAAGCCAGGGAGAATCCATTTAGCGTCCTCGATTTAAAGGGAAATCCCCTTGGCTATTTCTCCCAAACAAACTGTTTATAACAAGTTGGAGGATTTATATCCACTCAACCACATAAGGTCTACTTCTTACACCTAGAAAAGACAATACTACAAAATGTGTGAAAGAAAGACTATTTTTCAACAGCATAATTAACATCTGCAAAAATCAATCTCCTGGGGTACACTATACTGAAATTCTTAAGAATCTTCTTTCCTCTACGAAAGGTTTTTTTGTTGTTGTTGTTTTGTTTGTTTGTTTTTGAGACAGAGTCTTGCTCTGTCGCCCAGGCTGGATGGAGTGCAGTAGCTCGATCTCGGCTCACTGCAAGCTCCGCCTCCCGCGTTCACGCCATTCTCCGGCCTCAGCCTCCCGAGTAGCTGGGACTACAGGCACTCGCCACCACGCCTGGCTAATTTTTTGTATTTTTAGTAGAGATGGGGTTTCACCGTGTTAGCCAGGATGGTCTCGATCTCCTGACCTCGTGATCCGCCCGCCTCGGCCTCCCAAAGTGCTGGGATTACAGGCGTGAGCCACCGCGCACAGCCTACAAAAACAATTTTTAAAAGGATTCCCAGTAACACTCTAGTCACCAATCTGAGTGGGGTCAGGAGCAATCTGAAAGCGTTCCCATGGAAGTGCATACAATTGCCATTGCAAGCACTCCAAATTCACCTGCCCAAAGAGAAGTGTTCAGGTGTTCTAATCAACTGTCCTACGTTCCCTCCTAGTCAAGTTTCTCTCAGTCCAGTGTACGCTCTCACAAATTCTCCAGTACAGTGTTACAGCAACTTTTTTTAAACATTAAGAGGACTGGTTTTTTCTTTTGTTTTGTTTTTGAGACAGAGTCTCACTGTCGCCGCTGGAGTGCAGTGGTGTGATCTGGGTTCACTGCAACCTCCACCTCCCGAGTTCAAGTGATTCTCCTGCCTCAGCCTCCCGAGTAGCTGAGGTTACAGGCATGCACCATCACCATGCCTGGCTAATTTTTGTATTTTTAGTAGAGACGGGGTTTCACCATGTTGGCCAGGCTGGTCTCGAACTTCTGGCCTCAGGTGATCCGTCTGCCTCGGCCTCCCAAAGAGCTGGGATTACAGGCGTGAGCCACCGTGCCCGGCCTGGGACTCTTAAAAAGTTCCCCCTCACCTACCATCCAGTCCCATTCAAAGAAATGGAAAATTCTAAAACAAAAAACACACACAAGATACTCAAATTGCATATCACATTCTCAACAAGTCCTTTTTCTTTTTTTCTTTTTTTTTTTTTTTTGAGACGAGTCTTGCTCTGTCACCCAGGCTGGACAGTGGCATGGCCTTGGCTCTCTGCAACCTCCACCTCCCAAGTTCAAGTGATTCTCCTGTCTCAGCCCCCTCAGTAGCTGGGATTACAGGCGTGCACCACCACACCCGGCTAATTTTTGTATTTTTAGTAGAGACTGGGTTTTACCTTGTTGGCCAAGCTGGTCTAGAACTCCTGACCCTGTGATCCACCCACCTCGGCGTCCCAAAGTGCTGGGATTACAGGCGTGAGCCACAGCGCCCAGCCTCATTATTTTTTTAGAGTCAGGGTCTCCCTCTATCACCCAGGCTGGAGTGCAGTGGTACAATCAATCATTGGGCACTGCAGCCTCCAACTCCTCGGCCTAAGCTATCCTCAGCCTCCTGAGTAGCTAGGACCACAGGTGTGTACCACCATGCCCAGCTCATTTTGTTGCTGTTGTTGTAGAGACCGGGTCTATGTTGCCCAGGCTCATCTCGAATTCCTAGCCTCAAGTGATTATTCCACCTCAGACTCCCAAAGTCTCGCAAATCCTTTTTCACATGTATAACAGCACCACAAAGTAATTCCTACTCATAGGCTGGGCGCGGTGGCTCACGCCTGTAATCCCAGCACTTTGGGAGGCCAAGGTGGGCGGATAACCTAAGGTCACGAGTTCGAGACCAGCCTGACCAGCATGGAAAAACCCCATCTTTACTAAAAATAAAAAATTAGCCGGGTGTGGTGGCAAACAAACGAAAAACAAACAAACAAAGTAATTCCTATTCATATTACTATTTTTAATGAAGAGCCTTAGAAGAAAAAGAGGAATAACTTACCCTGATAACCTGGCTTGAAGTTGAGTCAATGATAAAACAGAAATAGCAACCTCGATGTTGAAGTTCAGACCACGGTAAATTCGAGAATCTAAAGAGACTTAACAGTGGACCCCAAATTCCTAAAGTCAACTAGTAAGAGCCAACAGAACTTTGAGACAAACAGATTTCATAATTCTGTCAAGACATAAATAACACAAGACTTAAAAGTACTTTCACCTACCTCTAACAAGTAAAACTCTGGCAAGCAAATTTCCTTGGGTGCCCAGGGTCATAAACACCCGCATAACAGGAACGCCAAGGAGAATGTCAATGAACACACAAAACTCATTGTCGAGGAGGAGAACGAGAGCTCTCTCCCACTCCCCATCAGGCCTATATTTGTTTCCAGGTGCAGAACCGTTAGAGAAATCCTGAAATTTCTACAAGATCCTGAAAACTAGCCCAAGCTTCCAATTTTGACTCAATCAGAAAAAAAATATTTCGGAACCTCAAAATCTTCAAACTTCACATGCCAGGCCAAAATAAACTGAAGCACAAAACTTCAGCATACAAACAATTGCTATTTTTGTTCCCTGGGCAACAAATGACTAGGGAAGAGGATAGCAAGCACCAATGAAAATTCTGTAGCCCAAATTCCTTCAGTTTTTATAAATCTGTAACTTTTACAGACTTCGAGAAAGAAAAAGGTGTACTTCAGGTTTGTGTCAACCCCCCCAATACAGTCTATTTTTTTTTTTTTTGCACAACACCTTTGAAGCAGAAAACTCACTTCAAAATAAGAGAGAAAATTAAGTCTGAGCTTCACTCATCATTAAAACTGAATTACAACCATTACATATAAACTACAGTGTCAAGAGACACTTATGCTATCCGCACCACAACCTCGCTGTGTGACAGATCTTAGGAACTGACATCTTAGTATAACCTGTTACTACTGGTATCAGCAGATAATTACCCGAATATGTCTCAAAGTGTCTGAGCTTTGTGGGAGTAATCCAAAAGGAAGCTATTTCACCTGCAAGTCCTCTGACGCTCTGAACACAAAATTCACAACCCCCATCGGTTGAACGAGACGGCTTCAAACACTCAAGTTACGCTCTCCCTTGCTAAATCCTCAGTGAACAACGTCTCCCAACAGAGATACTTTGTCTTTGTCCAACATACATTCTTTGCAAAGTGGATTCAGTTCTCCTCAAAATACCAATTTCCAGTCCAGCTTCTGAAGGCAAACAGCCCAGTCTGCGTTTCTCAAAGTGGGGTCCGTGAGCCACTGCGTTTGAATCACCTGGGAAGCTGGTGAAAGCGCAGATTCCCAGGCTCTATCCCAGACCCTGAGGCTCAGCAGGTCTTACGAAGGGCCCTAGGAGTAGCGTTCCTAACCGCCTCCCAGGTGTCGCCCACAGGACACTAAAGTTAGAGAACCGCTGCTCAGGGTTCAAGCTGGGAGTAAGCACTTGCTTCCCTCCACGCACCTGGTTTAGATTGGGAAAGCTCAACATGCCATTGGCGTCCTTGAATGTGGGGTCGCTTTTCCACCCCCGGAGTCAAAGGCACCACCCCATTACCCACCAGGAAGCGAGGGAGGAGCTTCCGACCCTTCCCGGAAACCCAACTCCCCCGGGTGAATGAACGAAGCTGCCCCAGACCCCCAGACGCTGCCAAATAGTGGGGGAGGGGACGCGGGACCCCGCTGCCCAGAGTGGGAGGAGCCGGCCTGCCAGCTCGCCCCTCCGCCGGAATTTAGCTGCGCGGGGCGGGGGGGGCGCGAGGGCGAGCGGAAAAAGGCGCCACATCCCATCCCGGCGGAGCGCTCCCCACCCCTCGCCTTGCGGGGCTGTCCCGTTCTTAAAGGAAGATGGCCCCGCCCCCTCCCGCGGTGGGCAGGGCCTTGCCCCTCCCCCCCCAGTGGGGGGGTGCGCGGCGAGCCCCCCCCACCCCGGGCCCCACGGAGCCCCCCTCGGCTGTCCGCCTCACCAGGCGCGCGGCCTCGGCCCACGTGCGCTCCTTCTTCTTCTTCTGTTTGTCCTTCATCCTTCTCCCCGGCGGCGGCGGCAGCTCCACGCGGGACCTCCGGGCTGGGCGGGCTGGGGCGGTGGCGCGGGGCTGGGGCGGCGGCGGCGGTGGGGGGGGCGCGTGGCAGCGGCGGCGCGCGAGGTCTCGGGTGCGGCCGGGGAGAAGGGGCGGGCACGCGGGGACCGGCTGGCGCGAGAGCGGCGGTGGGGGAGGGGCGGCGGCGGCTCCACGCGCCCGCGCTGCGTCAGTCGCCCACGGCGGCAGCGGCGGCTGCCCCGCGATCGCTAAGGAATGCGGCGGCTCCGCATAACCACGGGGTCAGAGGTCACGGCTCCGGCCTCCGCTTTCCCGCTCTGCTGAGGGACTGAGACAGGACCGACGGCGGGGCGGGAGGGCGAGACGCGGCTTTCCCTTCGGCGCCCGGGTGCGTGCGTGTCTGCCGTGGGTGTGTGTGAGTGTGTGTGAAGAGTGAGGAGGGGGAGTGTGGGGTTTTTTTTTTTTGAACAAAAACAAACCGAAAGGGCGCCTGGGAGTCGTAGTCCCAACGGCCTCTCTGGCCTCCCCCGCTCCGGAAGAATATGGCCGCGTGAAGCGCGTGGACCACACTTCCCGGCGTGCCCGGCGGCCCCCTTCCGCTCTCCCTCTCGCGTCCTCCGCCTAGCACCGACCTCAGCTAGGAACGGGGACGGGTCGCTGTTCGGGGAAGGGGCTGGGTGGAGTCTCGCGAGGTGCGAGAACTGGCTGGGGGCCTGCGGGATTCTGGGAGGCGATGCTGGGAAGGGGCGGTGGCTGGGCTCCCCCGGCCACCCTTAACCCCTTCGGTGCTTTTTGCTTCAGGACCTCCTGGCGGGTGCGGGTGGGGAGTGAGGATGGGGAGCTCGACTCGCAGTTCCCACTTCGTGCTTCTCCTCGCCTAAACGGTTCTTACCTACACTTCTCGTAGGGGACGAGAGGCAGGACTTTCCCTTTTGGTCACCTCTAAATGACTCACTGCCACATAATAATGAGACAAAAAGACCCTCATACCAGTAAAACGGTTATTCCACGGCTGATGGACTTAGACGGTTCTTCATTTCTTCCTGTGCTTTCAGGCCGCTGTGTATTTGCAGAGCCTGCACCAGCAGCCTAGAGCGTTCTTAGGAACTTGGTGATATGTTGACGGGTCGTGTAAAGAACTTGGACTCTGGGGCCATACTGACCAGAATGCACCTGAGGGCGTTTTTAGAGGCAGTACCCTGGAGAGAATTCAGGCCCTGGAGTCCAGCGGACCTAGACTGGAATCTTGGCTGAGTCACTCCCTGGCTGTCCACTCAACCTCTCTGAGCCTCAGTTTTCTGATCTGCATTTGTCTTGTATTTCATGGCATTATTGGAATTAAAATTAACATACAATTCTTGACAGATTGGAAGAGGATGTGAAGGGAGATCTTGACATTATCAGGTCCGTATGATATGGCGCCTGGCATAGAGCAAATGTTTAATAAATGGTAGCTGTTATTACCAGCTGAGAAACAATAGGCAATATACTTAGCCTCTCTGAGCCTTAGTTTTAGAACCTGAAATGAAATTCAGAGCGCCCAGCACATAGGTTTTCTGTAACTATAGGTTCAGTCGTTGTCCAGAAACATTTCTAGAGTCCGTCCGGAGTTGGATTGATGCCAGCTCTTAAAAACTATGAAGGCAGGATCAGTGGCCACATTTAAACGGTTTCCCTGGGTGAGGAAACACACTCTCCACTCCCTAATGTTAACACGTAGCGAGAGCCAGTATTGATAGGAGACCATTATGGTGTAGCCCAAACTCTAACGCCAAGGGGTTCAGTGTTTTCTGCTTCTAATACTGGTCACAGAAAACTTGTGAGTCCGGTAAGCAAAATCCTACAAAGGGAAAAGACTGCAAGTTAGAATAAGACACCTCTTAAAAATCTCTCTAGCTTTACCCTGAGAGAAAGGAGGAACTACTGTCCCTCAAAAAACTGTTTGCCTTGATTTTTTACAAAGGATTTTTAACTTCTTTTTTTTCAATCTACGGCTGATACAGTACTCTTTGGCAAGTCATTTGGCTTCTTTCCGATGTCTTCTGAAGTAGCTTTACTGCCCTCTGACCTACAGGGAATAACTGAAATTTACATGTTTAATACAGGTACTGTGGTAGACAGAATAATGTCTTCCCCGCTTGCCCAAAACTGTCCAAGTCCTAGTCCCTGGAACCTGTGAATATGTTGCTTTTTTATTTATTTATTTATTTATTTTTTGAGACAGAGTCTCGCTGTGTTACCCAGGCTGGAGTGCAGTGGCGTGATCTTGGCTAACTGCAACCTCCGCCTCCTGGGTTCATGCGATCCTCCTGCCTCAGCCTCCCAAGTAGCTGAGATTACAGGCATGCGCTACCATGCCCAGCTAATTTTTGTATCTTTAGTAGTGACTGGGTTTCTCCATGTTGGCCAGGCTGGTCTTGAACTCCTGACCTCAGGTGATCCACCCATCTCGGCCTCCCAAAGTGCTGGGATTACCAGCCAGCATTCTTTGGCAAAAGATATTTTGCCAATGGAAATAAAGCCCTTAAAATTAGATGATTCCGTATTATATGGGTGAGCCCAGTGTAATCACATGAACCCTTAAAAGCACAAAAGGGAGGCAAAAGAGATGTTTTGGAGAGATGAGGCAGAGGAATTAAATTCAAAGTATGAGAGGAATTCAACCCACTGTTACTGGCTTTGAAAGTGGCCACAAGCCAGGGAATCCAGGCAGCCTCCAAAAGCTCAGAGGAAGTCCTGCCAAGAGCCAGCAAGGAAATGGGGACTTCAGTCCTACAACCTCACAGAGCTGAATTCTGACAAGCTGAATGAACTTGGGAACAGATTATACCCCCTCCCCAACTCTCTAGAAAGGAATATAGACACCTTGATTTCAGCCTCGTGAGACTGGAAGCAGAGAATCAGCTGAGCCATGGAATCCAGACGTCGGGCCCACAAGAAGCGTGAAACAGAAATGAATATTGTTTTATGACACTAAATCTGTGGTAACTTCTTACAGCCCCAAAAGAAAGCTAATACAGGCATTATGGAAACACCTTTATTTCTTTCAGCGAACACTGCCTGACTTCAGCTGGGTCAAACCATGGGGGAATCCAGATTTGAATATTTCAAGGTCTCTGCCCTTGCAGAATCAGACAGAAACAAGTGACAACATCGTAGTTAAGTGTGAAAACAGTATGTTCAGAGAACGGTACAGATATGTTAGAAAGTTGGCTTTAGTCATTAAACCTTAAGTAGATGTGATTTTTTTAAAGTTAATGAGATTCATGAGTTTATTTTCTTGTCAGAAGCACCAACAGACAAACCTATACATTTTTGGTGTGTGTTTTTCTGTTTTTTAATCACAGTGCTTTTATTATAGATTATCTTCAGAAGTTAGTGCAGGTGGCATGTGGAAGATAAACAGGACAGACACTCAACCCTGCCTAGTTTGGGGATGAGTCACTTTTCAAACTGCACAGTTATAAGCAAAGTGCATATTCAAGAACCAAGTTAACAGGCCACCAGCAGACACCCAGGAATTCCCAAAGGGACACATATATCCCATAAACTGCACTGCAAGATAATATATTCTCATTGGCTCTGCATGTCAGCAGGCCTGGGTTTGAATCTCTGCAGTCTTTCTCCATCCAGTTCTGTGGCCTTGGGCAAGTTATGAAACCTCTCACTGACTCAGTGCCGTCATTTGGACAGCAGGGTACATAGCAAATTCAAAGAATGGAACTGAGATTAAATGAGATCTCTGTAAAGTGCCTAGCACATAGCAGATACTCACTAAATACCAGCCCTCTTTGCCTCCAAAAAGTTTTAGTGTCTAAAGTGTAAAAAGTGCCTCATTGTTTATACTTTGAGTGAAAGAAACCTTGGAACAGGGTTTGCCCCTGTAACAAATGTTCTCTCTCAATAATATTATCCCCGTTTTCACATGAAGCTGAGATTCAGAGAGGTCAGATTACCTCCCTTGGGTCCAGATGATTAAATAAGATTACATTTGCTAAATAAACTTCCAGCATAGCAGATGATCAGTACATGTATAGCTCTCCTTGTCCCTCCCACATTTAATTTATTTGTGTGACTTTGGTTTAGTGATTGTGTTCATGCTAGCATCTTTGGTTTCATCATCATATCCCCAGTGCCTGGCACAGTCTTGGCACATGGTAGGCACCCAATCTGTTGAATAAATGACCCGATCTCCGTAATTACTTTACTGGAGAAACTCTGAAGACTAATTTCCCTTTGAGCCCTAAACAATGTTTGGAACCTGCTCAGGGAGAATCGGGAAAGACCAAGACAGGATTTCACCCAAATATATCTATGCAAGTTATAAAGATGCTCATGGATAGAGAGCATGACTTCAGCTGGGCGTGGCAGCATGTGCCTATAGTCCCAGCTACTCAGGAGGCTGAGGCAGGAGGATCATTTGAGCCCAAGAGTTTGAGGCTGCAGTGAGCCATGGTTGCGCCATTGCACTCCAGCTTGGGTGACAGAGCAAGACCCTGTATAGGAGACTTCATGACCTTATTATTGTCATTAAGTCACAGAATCTGCCCATGTGATGGGCAGCCCTAACTCATAGCTCACCTTCCATTCACCATCGTTTAAATCCTGCTGTTCAGTCTCCCAGTAGGGAGGAAAACGTGTTTAAATTACCAAAATGTCTTTTTCGTTTGTTTGAGACAGGGTCTCTCTGTTGCCTACACTGGAGTGCAATGGTGCAATCTCAGCTTATTGTAGCCTTGACCTCCTGGGCTCAAGTAATTCTCCCACCTCAGCCTCCCAAAGTGCTGGGATTGCAGGCATGAGCCACTGTGCCTGGCAACAAAATGTCAATAATGGTTACCTCTGGGTAACCATCAGACTATGGCAACTTTTGATTGTCTTTTTTTTTTGAGACAAGGTCTCACTCTGTCACCCAGGCTGGAGTGCAGTAGCATGATCATGGCTCACCGCAGTCTTGACCTCCTGGGCTTAAGCCATCCTCCCACCTCAGACTCCTGAGTAGCTAGGAGTAGGTAGGGCCACAGACACATCCCACCACCCCGAGCTAATTTTTTTTTTAAATTTTTTGTAGAGACAGGGTCTCGCTATGTTGCCCAGGATAGTCTCGAACTCCTAACCTCAAGTGATCCTCCTGCCTCGGCCTCCCAAAGTGCTGGCATTACAGTTGTGAGCCATGGACATATTACCTTTTGTTTTTGAGATAAAGTCTTGCTCTGTCATCCAGGGTGGAGTGCAGTGGCATGATCTTGGCTTATAGCAACCTCTGCCTCCCAGGTTCAAGCAATCTTCCTACCTCAGTTGGTGGGATAACAGGCATGTGCCACAACACCAGGTTAATTTCTGTATTTTTAGTAGAGACAGGGTTTCTCCATGTTTGGCCAGGCTGGTCTCAAACTCCAGACTTCAAGTGATCTGCCTGCCTCAGCCTCCCAAAGTGCTGGGATTATAGGCATGAGCCACCACGCCCGGCCCATATTACACTTTTTAATTGAAAAAAATTCTTTTTCATTTCAACCGCAAAACATAGAACATTTAGATTAAGGTAGTAGCTATGGGTAATATTTTTTCTTTTTTATATTTGTATTTTCAAAACCTAGAATTAGTATGTGCTACTTTTATGATGGAAAAACAAATTCCATTCTTAATGCAATATACCTCAACAATGTGAAAACAACTTTAATAATTATTAATATTTTTATTTTGCTTAAAAAGATTTGTGGGACCCCCTAGAATGGCCTCAAAGGAAGGATAACCTGAGCTGCTTTTTACCGAAATCACGGAAAATGGCAGCTCTCTGATGCTTTAAGGTTTTCAAGTATAGATTTCAGGACCTCAATAAGGTACCCATCCCAATTTTTAATCTCTCTTAATAATGCAGAGATTTACTCACATCCACCATAATGCTTCTGGCCTCAGTTTAAGCCATTTCCTCTATTATTTCCTCTGTGAAAGAAGGAAAAGAACCTTTAAAATGTATTTTAACATCAAAATGCTGAGCGGGTGGTGTGCCCAAGTGATGAGAGCGGTGAATGGGTTATTTCTTTGTTTCCCATGATTTATAATAAAAACATCAACTTACACCCTACCCTAAATGACTTTTCTTCCTCTAATAACTAAATGTGAAGTTGGGGGCTTATATAAATGGCTTTTCACAGGACTTAACTCTTGAATTCCAAAACCATCATACGAGGTGAATGAGAAAAGTGGGCCAGTAAAGAAAAGACACTTTCCCAAGATTGCACAATTGGTTGTTGCTGGAGTCAACATTTAAACCCCAAGCTCCTCATTCCAAGTTCTTTCTAAGGCACTGTGGTAGCCTTAGAAATGGCCACCTCCTCACATTCATATCCTTTTTTAGTCCCCTCCCACTTTGATTAGGGCTGAACTCTGTAACTGTGGAAATGAGCATAAGTGGCTTCTGGGGCTAGGTCAGAGAAAACATTGCAGCTCTGCCTTGTTCCAGGTCACATGCTCTGGGGGAAACTAGCCACCATGTCATAAGGACACTCAAGCAGCTTTCTGGAGAGGTCTATACGACAGTAGCCCCAGACAAACTTTCACATGACTTCAGCCTTGGCCAACATCTTGCCTACAACCTCACGAAAGACCCCAAGCCAGAATCATCCACATAAGCTGGATTCCAGACCCACAGAAACAGCGAGACATGATATGTTGATTTTTTGTTGTTGTGGTGGTGGTGGTTTTTTTTTTTTTTTTTGGTTTTTGGTTTTTGGTTTTTTATTTTTTTGAGATGGATTCTCACTCTGTCGCCCAGCCTGGAGTGCAGTGGTGTGATCTCAGCTCACTGCAACCTCTGCCACCCGGGTTCAGGCAATTCTCCTGCCTCAGCCTCCCAAGTAGCTGGGATTACAGGTGCCTGCCATCGGGCCCAGCTAATTTTTGTATTTTTAGTAAAGGTGGGGTTTCACCATGTTGGCCAGGCTGGTCTTGAACTCCTGACCTCATGATCCACCTAACTTCAGCCTCCCAAAATGCTGGGATTACAGGTGAGGGCCACCGTGCCCAGCCGAAATGTTGATTGTTTTAAGTCACTAGATTTTGAGGTAATTCGTTTCACAGCAATTGACAACTAATAAAGACAGTGTCTCCCCTTCTGAGTGGTGCTTACCTTTTGTGAAGCCTGTTAAAAAGCAATGGACTCTCTTTCCAGAAAAACTTATACCTATTTATATGAAATTCTCTATAGTGTTCCAAGGTATTCCTGGCCCCTCTTGAAACCCCAAGAAATACAACTACATGTCCCAGTTTATGGAGTTAATAGATGCCAGAGCCAGGATTCAAACCCAACTACCTCAACTACACAGCTCACATCCTCTGCCCCTTTGCCGTTCTGCCTTCCTGGAGGCCTGGGTTCAGAACCACTGCTCTAAGTTAAGTTGTCCTTACATCTTCATCTTCCTTCTGCATTCTATCCCTTTATTCTTTTTTTTTTTTTTTTAAGAGTGAGCAGCAGCAAGATTTATTGTGAAGAGCGAAAGAACAAAGCTTCCACAGCGTGGAAGGGGACCAGAGTGGGTTGCCCTATCCCTTTATTCTTGCAGGTCACATTTCTCTGGACCCATTTTAATTGCAATTCCTGAGTGACCCATTGTGTATTAGGTCCCAGCAAAAACACAAAGACAAGCTCACTGACTCCGAGGGCCCCTGGTCTAATGGGATCTTAGAGATGGAAATAAATAACTGTACACATTATTAAAACCTATTATCTTAGGTCCTTTTGGACAAGGAGGCAGCAACAAACTCCGAGAGGGCAGCCTTCACAGAGGAGCTAATACTTTAGCTGGGCCTTGAAAGCCCAAAGGAAAGAGGGTGGCTCAGGTGAATTCTGGGTAGAAGTGCCAGTGAGTATGATAGGGAGTGGTCTCCATGGGTCTGTGTGTGAAAGAGCAAGTGTGTTCACTTGGGGACAGGCCAGCAGTCCAGAGGGGCAGGAGCAGGAGACAAAGCCAGAAAGGTGGGCTGGGCAGATCCCAAGCAAAGTCTTGACCACCTCCTGTAACAACCAGCTCAATAGAGCTATGATCTGAGCTCATATATTGGCTCTTACCCAACCCTGTGGCCCCAGACCCAACAGCAGAGGCCCTGACACAGGTGTTTGTCAACGTTTTCTGAATGAATTCATTCAAGCAGAACTGGGTGCTAAGACTGGTCTGCAGTTGGGGCAGGGAAAGCAAGACAGGGTTGCAGAGTCACCCTTGATGTCTCCTTGAATGTCATTTCTTTGGCAAGGTTTTGCCTGATTTCCTACATTCATTAAGCCGTCCATCCTCCCATACCACTCAATGCGTTCTTCAACATATAATGAAAAATCTAATTCACTCTTGACATTAATGATGACTTCAATGTCTACTCCAAATTAGACAGTCAGCCAGATGATGTAAGGGACTGCTTGCTTCTTCACTGCTCTGCTCTCCATCCTAGAGGAAAGACTCCTCTATCCCAGAAAACAACAGTAATACAGCATGGGGCACCTTCTTCCATTGGCACTGATAGCCTCTTACTGGGATGCCAGCCCTGTGCTGAGCCCTGGGGACTTACAGCCTAGATAGACACAGTTCCTGTGTTTACACAGATGGATTACAAATGATGGCAAGCCAACGTAGTAGGTGCCCTAGCAGATAGAAGCCTGGGGTGCTGTTAGAGTTGACAGAAGGGGATGTCTGAAAGCTGACACCAGGTAGGGGAGAAATTAGTTCCAAACTCAACAATTATAGTCACTTTGGGTGCAAAATAAGCATTCAAAAATGAATAACTTTTAATGTACTACTAATAATTCCATTAGAAAATGGTGCGATGAGGGCCAGGCACAGTGGCTCATGCCTGTAATCCTAGCACTTTGGGAGACCAAGGTGGTAGGGTTGCTTGAGGCCAGGCATTCAAGACCAGCCTGGGCAACATAGTGAGACCGTGTCTCAAAAAAAATAAGAAGAAAAAAAGAAGGAGAAGGAGGAAGAGGAAGAAGAATAGGGAAAAGAAGAACAAGAAGAAAAGAGGAAGAGGAAGAAGGAGAAGGAGAAGAAAATAATAATAATAATGGTGAGATGGCTGGGCACAGTGGTTTGCACCTGCAATCTCAGCATTTTGGGAGGCTGAGGCAAGGGTATAATTTCAGCCCAGGAGTTCAAGACCAGCCTGCACAATATAACAAGACTTCATCTATACTAAAAATAAAATAAATTAGCTGGGTATGGTGATGCACACCTGTAGTCCCAGCTACTTGGGAGGCTGGGGCAGGAGAGCTGCTTGAGCCTAGGAGTTCAACATTGCAGGGACCTCTGATCATGCCATTGCACTCCAGTCTGGGCAACAGAGTGAGACATGTCTCAAAAACAGGAAATAGGTTGGGAGAAAAAACCAAAATGGGTTGGGAGAAAAAAAAATGGTGGGAAAAAAAGGATTCCATTCACAAGAGCAATTAAAATATTACATCATCTGGGCTGGGCACAGTGGCTCACACTTGTAAACCCAGCACTTTGGGAGGCTGAGGCGGGAGGATCACTTGAGGTCAGGAGTTTGAGACCAGCCTGACCAACATGGTGAAACCAGTCTCTACTAAAAATACAAAAATTAGCCAGGCATGGTGGCGCATGCCTCTAATTCCGGCTACTTGGGAGGCTGAGGCAGGAGAATTGCTTGAACCTTGGAGGTGGAAGTTGCAGTGAGCCAAGATGGTGTCACTGCACTCCAGCCTGGGTGACAGAGTGAGACTCCGTCTCAAAAAAGAATAATAATAATAATAGTAATAGATAAAAAAAATTACACCATCTGGAAATAAAGTTAACAAAAATGTACTGGTCTTATAAAAAGAAAACTATAAAACTCTACTGAAGAGCATAACATCTTGGACCAGTGGAAATCAGAGCTTTCCTTAGAGTGGAAGGTCCTATAACGTGGATATTAATTATCCCAAAATCATCCCACCAAGTAAATGTCATCCCAATGAAGATCCCAGTGAGATTTTATTGTCAAAACAATCCTAAAATTCAACTGGAAAAATAGGTGCATCATTTTCATAAAAAAAAAGACCTAACATTTACTGACCACTCACCATGTGCCAGGTGCCATCCTGAGGACTTGCTATGCATCGTCTCATCACATCTTCACAAACACACTGTGAGGTAGATACTGTTATTGTTAACATTATACAGATGAGGAAGCAGAAGTTCAGAGAGCAAAAAAATAACTTGTTCAAGGTAACACAGCTAGTTAGCGGCTAACCTGGGATTAAAGCTCAGGCGGGCTGACCTCAAGGTCCATGAATTTTACCACTTTGCTCTACTGCCAGGAAAACTTTGAAGAAGATTAACGAGCTGGGACTTGTTCTACCAGATATTAAAATGCATTAGATAGCTACAACAGCTAAAACAGCAATTTCAACAAAGAAATACAGTCCTATTAAACCAAACAGAGTATAGAAACAGAGCCAGGTGTATGAGGAATTGTAGTGTATGATAAAGGTGACATTTCCAACTGGTGGAGAAAAAGAAGTCAATAAACAGAATGGGACTAGCCACAGACTAGCCACTTGGAGAAAAATTAAGCTAGAGCTCCACCTCTCTCATTAAATCTAAATAAATTCCACCTAGATCAAAAATTTACATGTGATAAAAGAAACAATAAAAGTATTGAAAGAAACAAATGGATATTTTTATAATCCTGGAACTATTAATCTTTTAACTATATTTTAATAATTAGGCAGTTTTCCTAAGCACAATATGGAAGTTAAAAAATCCTTGGGGGCCGGGCGCGGTGGCTCATGCCTGTAATCCCAGCACTTTGTGACGCTGAGGCAGGCAGATCACTTGAGGTCAGGAGTTGGAGACCAGCCTGGACAACATGGTGAAACCCCGTCTCTACTAAAATTACAAAAATTAGCCCGGCATGGTGGCACATGCCTGTAGTCTCAGCTACTTGAGAGGCTGAGGCAGGAGAATCGCTTGAACCCGGGAGACAGAGTTTGCAGTAAGCCGAGATTGCGCCGTTGCACTCCAGCCTGGGTGACAGAGGGAGACTCCGTCTCAAAAAAAAAAAACAAAAAACAAAAAAAAAACAGGCCTAAACATGCTATTAACAAAAGAAGAAATACAAATGGAAATAAATACTTGAAAAGATTTTCAGCCTCATTAGGAATGGAACTACAGATTAAAACAAGATTGAGATATTTTTCAATAGATCAGAGTGGCAAAGGTTAAAAAGATTGGCAGAATTCAGCAAAGATGGAGGGAAACAGACACAACTCATGCACTGTTGATGGGAGTGCAAATTCATACAATTGATTTGGGAGGCAGGTTAGCAATATGTAACAAAATCATACTTGCTCTGGGTGTATCAGGATTTGAACACAAGTCTGGCTAACACAAGAAAATTATAGGCCAACAGTGGTGGCTCACGCCTGTAATCTCAGCACTTTGGGAGGCTGAGGTGAGAGGACTGCTTGAGCCCAGGAGTTCAAGACCATCCTGGGCAACACAGTGAGACCCTGTCTCTTTATAAAAAATAACAATTTAAAAGATTTTAGCCGGCCATGGTGGCTCACGCCTGTGATCCTAGCACTTTGGGAGGCTGAGGCGGGTGGATCACCTGAGGTAGACCAGCCTGACCAACATGGAGAAACCCCGTCTCTACTAAAAGTACAAAATTAGCTGGGTGTGGTGGCGCATGCCTGTAATCCCAGCTACTTGGGAAGCTGAGGCAGGAGAATCACTTGAACACGGGAGGCGGAAGTTGCGGTGAGCCAAGATCACTGTATTGCACTCCAGCCTGGGCAACAAGAGCAAAACTCCATCTCAAAAAAAAAAAAAAAAAAATTAATAAAATTATAATGGGAAAACCTTTTGATTTGGTAATTCATGTACAGTGATTTATTCCAGGAGGAAATTAAACAAGCGAACAGTGATCTTTGTCCAAGGTTGCTTAATATAGCATTGTATAAAATGGTAAAAATCTGGAAGTAGCTTCAATGACCATCAATAGTGTTAAATAAATTCTGGTACAATATAATATAATATAATGCAAGGTACTGATTTAAAACAATAATATAAATTTAAATTAACTGGATATATGTCCACAACATATCATTGAGTGAAAATAGGACAGGTGAGTAGAATAAATTTACATATACCATGATGGTCAAACTAAAAGAGTTTGCACAAAGAGGTATCCAAAAGATAATCATTGGCTCTGGGTAACGGAGTTTCCAGTGATTTGTAATTACTTTCTTAAAATGTTTTTGTATTGTTTGAATTTTTTACCATTAGAAGATGTAACTTTTATAATCAAAATATTCAGTACCAGCCTAGGCAACATGGCAAAACCATGTTTCTTTTTTTTTTCCCGAGACAGTCTTGCTCTGTCACCCAGGCTGGAGTGCAGTGACGTGATCTCAGCTCACTGCAACCTCTGCCTCCCAGGTTCAAGCAATTCTCCTGCCTTAGCCTCCCAAGCAGCTGGGATTACAGGCATGCGCCACCATGCTCGGCTAATTTTTGTATTTCTAGTAGAGACAGAGTTTCACCCTGTTGGCCAGGCTGGTCTCAAACTCCTGACCTTGTGATCCACTCCCCTCAGCCTCCCAAAGTGCTGGGATTACAGGCGTGAGCCACCGCGCCCCACCTGCAAAACCATGTTTCTACACAAAATACAAAAAATTAGCCGGGCATGGTGGTGCACGCCTGTACTCCCGGCTACTTGGGAGGCCCAGGTGGAAGGATCACTTGAACCAGGGAGGTGGATGTTGCACTGAACTAAGATGGTGCCACCACACTTCAGCCTGTGAAACAGGGCAAGACCCTGTCTCAAAAATAAACAAACAAACAAAAAATTTCAATAGAGCTCACTGCATTTTGGTTTTAAAATAGCACTTAACTGAACATCTATTACATAGCCTACAAAGTCTATATTCTTATTTATTCCCTACATCAACCCTACATAGGAGGTCTTACTTGTTTATTTTGCAGGTGAGGAGACAACTAAAGGCTCAGAAAGGTTAAGAAGCTTGCTCTGGATGTATCAGAATTTGAACACAGGGCTGGCTGACACAAGAACTCTTTCCATGATGCTCCACTACTTATCTTAATATTGCTATTAATATCTAATAATATATGCCTCATATTGTGTGCCTATTAAGTGCCAGGCACTTGATGGATATTTCTTTAATCCCTTCAGCAACCCTGCAGGGTATTAACCCTCCCCCAGACGTGCAATAGCTCAAAACAGATAGTAAGTGCCAACCCTGGTTTATCCGGCTTCAAAACCTCCCTGCTCCATTTGGCTACATTTCCTGCTAATTTAGTAGTGTACTGTCTTCGATTGGAGACGTTATTTGCCCTGAGGTCTGTGCTCCTCTACATGCCTTTACATCTCCATCTTGTAGCTTTTTGGTTTGACTGCAGTGCTTAAATATAGATTATGGATTTAACCATAATGCAAATATTTACTTTTACCATGCAGTACTTAAACAAGAATGTTGTGAACTCTTAGTTTATCCACGAACTTTATCACCCAGCTCAGAAGCCTTCAGAGTCTCCCCTGGCAGAATAAAAGCAAAACTCAGCAGCTAGGTTCCTTCACAGTCTAGCTCTAATGTGCATGGCCACGAGGCTCCCAGAATGCCCTGGGCTCCCTCCTGCAGGCTCCTGACCATGCTCCTTCTGGGTTTTGCAGCTCAATAGCCCCAGCGCCCAGCAGGATGCTCAGCCCAAAGTGGCATTCAGTAAATGCTGGATGAAAAGAGGAAAGGAGAAAGCTCTACACCCTGAGACAAAGATTTCACCCAGGCAACAAGATGGGGGCGTTGGAGGCTGAATGAAATTCAATTGAGCAGAGATGAGGTAAGGCTTCAATGAAGGCCACATGCTCATGGCACAGTCACCTTCAGACCTACCTCTCTGCTGTGCTATCCAGCTTTACAAAATGCTTTCACATAATAACCCTAACTGCTACTACTTCTAGAGAGCTCACCACATGCCAGGCACTAGGTGCTTTACAAATATGCTTTCTTATTTTATTAGGATTACTGTGATTATTATTAATTTCTGTCCCTCTGCACTAGCTCCACACAAGCTCCAGGAGGGCAGAGGTTTTTGTCTGTGGTGTTCAAAACAGTGCTGGGCATATAGTAGGTATTAAATAGGTCATTGAATTCTTCACAGAGCTCCATGAAGTAAGGAGGATTTTTTTTTTAATAGGGTCTCTCCTCTGTCACCCAGTCTGGAGTACAGTGGTGTGATAACAACTCACTGCAGCCTCCAACTCCTGGGCTCAAGAGATGCTTCTGCCTCAGACTCCTGAGTACTTGGGACTACAGGTGTGCGCCATCACACTCGGCTAATTTATCAATTTTTTTGTAGAGACAGGGGTCTCGCTATGTTGCCCAGTCTGGTCTTTTTATTATTATTATTATTTTATTATTTTTTATTTTTTTGAGACGGAGTCTCACTCTGTCGCCCAGGCTGGAGTGCAGTGGCGTGATCTCGGCTCACTGCAAGCTCCGCCTTCCAGGTTCACACCATTCTCCTGCCTCAGCCTCCCGAATAGCTGGGACTACAGGTGCCTGCCACCACGCCAGCTAATTTTTTGTATTTTTAGTAGAGACGGGGTTTCACTGTGTTAGCCAGGATGGTCTCGATCTCCTGACCTCGTGATCCGCCCGCCTCCCAAAGTGCTGGGATTACAGGCGTGAGCCACCACGCCTGGCCAGCCCAGGCTAGTCTTGAACTCAGTGCCTCAAGCAATCCTCCCGCCTTGGCCATCCAAAGTCCTGAAATTATGTGCTTTGAGCCACTGTGCCAGGCCTGAAGTAAGGATGATTTTAACCTCCATTTTACAGATGAGCAACTTAAGGCTTAGAGGGGTAAGTGACTTTTCCAAAGGTACAGATCCAACAAAAGGCACAGCCAGCACTAAAAACAGGTCACCCTATTGCCCTTGCAACCACCTGGATTCAGAAATGTCCACTCCTGGTCATGAAGTTGGGAGCCACCACCTGTCTGCAGGACTTCTTAATTGACTAATAAAGATAACACGGTACCAATTAACATTCACATTAACATTGCCACATACCAGGCACTGTTCCCAATGCTTCACATGTGTGACTCACGGCAACTTAAGAATTATAGTCATGCATTGCATAATAATGCTTCAGTCAATGGACCACATATAAGACAGTGGTCCCATAAGATTATAGTGGAGCATATACAGAAACATAAGGCCAGGCACAGTGGCTCATGCCTGTAATCTCGGCACTTTAAAAGGCCAAGGTGGGAGACTCACTTGAGGCTAGGAGTTTGAAACCAGCCTGGGCAACATAGTGAGACCCCCATCTCTACAAAAAATACAAAAATTAGTCGGAGGTAGTGGCACAAGCCTGTAGTCCTAGCTACTCAGGAGGCTGAGCTGGGAGGATTGCTTGAGCCCAGGAGTTTCAGAATTCTGCTACTGCACTCTCCCCTGGGCATCAGAGTGAGACCCTGTCTTTTTTTTAAAAAAAAAAAAAAAAAAGAAAGAAAGAAAGAAAGAAAAAAATGGAAATCTGACATATGGCACTTGATATTGACATTGCAGCTCAAGTAGAGGAGATGAGTGATATTCAGTAACGGTGCTGGGACATTGCGTTTTCCACATGAAAAAATATAGGAGAATGGCTTGAGCCCAGGAGCTCAAGACCAGTCTGGGCAACACAGGGAGACCCCCATCTCTACCAAAAAATTAAAAACTTAGCTGGGTGTGGTGGTGCACACCTGTGGTCCCAGCTACTGGGGAGGCTGAGGTGGGAGGATCACTTGAGCCTGGGTGACAGAGTGAGACCCTGTCTCAAGAAAAAAAAAAAAAAAAGAGAAGAAAAAATATATAAATAAAATGTATATACCATCTAGATTTGTGTAAGTACACTCTATCATGCTCACGCAATGACAAAATTGCCTAAATAATGCATTTATCAGAAAGTATCCCGACATTAAGGGATGCATGACTATACTTGCTATGACTCATTTTTGACAGTTGAGGAATCTGAAACCCCAAGGAGGTCTAGAAACATTGCCAGAATTGCAAAGCTAGTAAATCGTGAGTTCAGAATTCCCAATCCAGCCCTCTGGGTCTGGCACCCACACTCTTCACTACAGCTCACACTGCCTCAGTAACGCATCGTCAGAGCTGTCCTGCTCTGGGATGGCAAACCAGGAGTCAGGGCAGCAGTGAAGGGCACAGCCACTTTGTTTGGCCTGCTAGACAAGCTCTCATGTTTTCACATCACCTTTTGAAACCTCACAGTTACCCTGTGAAGTTACAGATGAGCAAATAGCAATACAGATAAGACCCAAAAAGAGCCAGGAGCAGACGAGACACAGCGGATTAGAGGTTGCCTAGGGCCACAGAGTTCAAAGAAAATGGGGAGTGACTGGTAATGCATACTTGGGGTGATGAAAATGTTTTTTTGTTTTGTTTTGGGGATGGAGTCCTCCTCTGTTGCCCAGGCTGGAGTATGGTGGCACAATCTTGGCTCACTGCAACCCCCGCCTCCCAGGTTCAAGCGATTCTCATGACTCAGCCTCCCGAGTAGCTGAGATTACAGGTGTGCACCACCATGCCCAACTAATTTTTTGTATTTTTAGTAGAGACAGGGTTTCACCATGTTGGTCAGGCTGGTCTTGAACTCCTAAACTTGAATGATCCACCAGCCTCGGCCTTCCAAAGTGCTAGGATTACAGGAGTGAGCCACTGGGCCCGGCCTGAAAATGTTTTAAAATTAATGATAGTGGCTGAGTGCTATGGCTCACGCCTGTAATCCAGCACTTTGGGAGGGCAAGGCAGGCGGATCACCCGAGGTCAAGAGTTGGAGACCAGCCTGGCCAACATGGTGAAACCCTGCCTCTACCAAAAATACAAAAATTAGCTGGGCGTGGTGGCAGGCACCTGTAATCCCAGCTACTCTGGAGGCTGAGGCCAGAGAATCGCTTGAACCTGGGAGGCGGAGGTTGCAGTGAGCCGAGATCATGTCACTGCACTCCAGTCTGGGTGACAGAGTGAGACTCCATCTCAAAAAATAAAAATAAAAAATCAACTAAAATTAATGATGGTGATGGTTGCACAACTGCGAATACACTAAAAAAGCATTGGATTGTATACTAAATGGGTGAATTGTATGTTAAGTGAATTACAGCCACACACCACATAAGGACATTTTGGTTAATGACAGACTGCATATACCATGGTGGTCCCATAAGATTATAATAACATATTTTTACTGTACCTTTTCTGTTTAGAAATGTTTAGCCACACAAACACTTACCATTGTGTTACAATTGCCTACAGTATTCAGTGCAGTAACATGCTTTACAGCTTTGTAGCCTAGGAGCAATAGGCTATACTATATAGCCTAATTGTGTGGTAGGCTATACCAGTAAGCTTGTGCACATACACTTCATAGTGATCACACAGTGATGAAATCACCTAATGATGCATTTCTCAGATGGTCTCCCCATTGTTAAGCAATGCATGACTGTAAATCTCAATAAAGTTGTGTGGGTTTTGTTGTATTTTTGTTTTTTAAAAAGGGAAAAAACAGGCTGGGCGTGGTGGCTCATGCCTGTAATCCTAGCACTTTGGGAGGCTGAGGTGGGTGGATCACAAGGTCAGGAGTTCAAGACCAGCTTGACCAACATGGTGAAACCCCGTCTCTACTAAAAATACAAAAATTAGCCGGGCGTGGTGGCGCATGCCTGTAATTCTAGCTACTCAGGAGGTTGAGGCAGGAGAATCGCTTGAACTCAGGAGGCAGAGGTTGCAGTGAGCCAAGATTATGCCACTGCACTCCAGCCTGGGCGACAAGTGGCATAGGTTGAATTTCAATAAGTTTCAGATCAAAAACCTTGGAACTATTGTTGCTTCTTTTTATCTCCCCTCTCATCTCTGATTATCAGCAGACAAAATAAATCTAAGGCACGTTCCTACTTCTCTGTCCCCACTGCCTGGTCCAAGCTGCCCTCTCTCATCTGCATTACCTTTGCCGGCCCACTGCACCTTCCTCACCCCATCCCCGTGTCCCCAAACCCCCTGCCACTCCAAGCAGTCTCCTCACTTCCCCTTCTGCTACCTACAGTTTGTCTCCACCAAGCAGCCAGAGGGATCCTTTGAGAGCATTCCTGTCAGATCATTTCCCTCTTTTGCTCAGAAGTGTCCAATGGCTCAAAAATAAAATTCACTTACGACTTGCCTCTGCCCACCTTCCTAACCTACTGCCCACTAAGCACACTTGTCCCCTTCCTGTCTCTAAATGCACTCCCACCTCCTTTGCACTCTTTTTTTTTTTTTTTTGAGACTGAGTCTTACTCTGTTGCCCAGGCTGGAGTGCAATGGCGCAATCTCAGCTCACTGCAACCTCCACCTCCTAGGTTCAAATAATTCTCCTGCCTCAGCCTCCTGAGTAGCTGCGATTACAGGCGCATGTCACCATGCCTGGCTAATTGTTGTATTTTTAGTAGAGACAGGATTTCACCATGTTGGCCAGGCTGGTCTCGAACTCCTGACCTCAGGTGATCTGCCTGCCTCAGCCTCTCAAAGTGCTGGGATTTCAGGTGTGAACCACCATGCCCAGCCACACTCTGACTCTTATTTCCTAGAATATTCTGCCTCCAGGTACCAGACACACAGCTTGCTCCCTAATTTCACTCAGGGCTCTGCTCAAATGTACATCTCATCACTCCAGAGATGCTTTCCCTGCCCTCCCAATCCAGCTCAGCCACACCCCAGCTCTTTACTTTCTGACCTGCCTGGTTTTACTTCAGAGCACTCTGACCACCATTAGACACAGCCTGTTTGTCCTTTGACAACCATCTGCCTCCACTATTAGGATGTGACATTCCCTAGGACAGGAGCTGCCTTCTGTATCCCTAGGATCTAGAAGAATGCCCAGTACTTAGTAGATGCTCAAAGAATGAATAAATGAATCTGATGCCAAAGTCCTGGCTCCTCACTGTCCCTGGAATAATCTAGCAGAGGGTGATCACTGCATTAACAAAGCCCCTTATGGAAATCTGTGACGCCTCCTTTGTGCTGTATCTGTGCCACTGCTCACCTTAAATTTACTTATTTGTGAATGGCCAGAATTTCCTCCAGACTGAGAGTTCTGGAAGGGCAGGGTTCATGGCTGCTGTAGCCCATGACATAGAGTCTTGAACAGCATAGGTTATTTAATCTTTTGTTGACTGAACAGAAAAACAAATCCCCAAACCAATGGCAGAAGTTTAATTTCTCTGCTGCCAAATGCAGAATAGGGGCCACCTTCCAGCCCACTGCCCTGAAAAAAGACTAGGCCCCATTCCTAGGGAACTAAGACCTTGGAGTCAAGCTCAAGTGCTCCTTAGAATTCCTTGGGTAGTGAGCTGTGCCAGGGAAAGCTCCTGGCAGAATGCAATTTGCCAACTAAGCCCAGAAAGCTGTGTGAACAGCAGGCAAACTTAAAGCAGGCACTTAGTGAAATTGCTTTCTGTTATCTCAAAAAGAAATAATAGCATGCCAGGCTGGCTTAAGGGGAAAATACTCGAGTGTAAATAGGCTGCGCTTCACTCCCCTGGTCTCCAAAACACACAAAAGCCTCCAAGGGCTCTCCCTCTAACTTGAGCCATGGAGTCGAGACCCTCCCAGCCCCGTTCTCCATCCCCATTCCATCACTCCAGGCCCATCAGATTCCGCAGTCACCAGGAACTCTCCTTGCATTTATTCATGTTGTCCCCTTTGTCTGGCATGCTTGTCCTTCCTTCCTCTGTCACCCAGGCTGGAGTGCAGTGATGCAATCGTAACTCACTGCACCCTTGACCTCCTAGGCTCAAGTGAGCCTCCAACCTCAACCTTCTGAGTAGCTGGGACTACAGGTTCATGTCACTATGCCTGACGAATTAAAGAATTTTTTTTGTGGCTGGACGCGGTGGCTCACACCTGTAATTTGGGAGGCTGAGGCAGGCAGATCATGAGGTCAGGAGATCGAGACCATCCTGGTTAACACGGGTGAAACCCCATCTCTACTAAAAATATAAAAAATTAGCTGGGCATGGTGGCACCAGCCTATAGTCCCAGCTACTCGGGAGGCTGAGGCAGGACAATTGCTTGAACCTGGGAGGCGGAGATGGGGAAAACCACAACGAAGGGCTGGGGAAGGCTTCTCTGAGGAGGTGACATTCAACTGGTTCCTGATGGATGAGAAGGAGTTAGCCGAGCAAAGAATGAGGAGAAAATGTTTCAGGCAGAAGGCATATGGCATGTGTGAAGGTGTGAAGGTGCCAGGCAGGAAAGCACATGGCATAACCCAGGAACCAAATGGAGGCCTGTGTAGCTCCGGCCTCAGAGGACTAGGAGGGCTGTGTGAGGAGAGGAGCCAGGCCTCCTATGCAGCAAGTGCTCTGAATTGCCATCCTTGTGTTTCTGTCTCCCCTCTCCTCAGAAGGGCCATGGTACATCTACTCCCCTCCCTATCTCCAGTGCAGGGCAAGGCCTGGTGCATAGAGGGCACTCAACAAGTGCCTGTGGGCTACACCGTCCCCAGAGATGCGGTGAGCCATCGCTCCCTCTGCCCATTCCTCCAGCCCAACAGCAAGTCCCCAGTTGGCACGCCTAACTGAAGCACCCAGGGACCGGTTAACCACAAGACTAGTGAAAGAAATGGAGGTTGAAACAGGAGCAGCTGCAAGAGCTAGTTACGTCCTTGACAAATGCCACCAACGACCCAGTTGGCAGATGTGACCACCACATGGTCCTTGGAGACCAGAATCTCAGGGTAAGCTTCAATCAGATGGTAACTCTAATATAAGAGGGCCTGCCAAAATCACAGCCCCCAAGACTTAAATTATCAGTCTGAAGTTCAAAATACAGTTTCCAAAATTCAGTAGTTTGTTGATTAAAATTTTAAAAATCCAAAAGATAAAAACAAAGCTGAGTTGGTAGGAATTTCCAAGTTGCCAGGTGCCCCGTCTGTCCTGTATTTCCCCTGATGAATTAGCCTCTGGCCCAACCAAGAATTCTGTCATTTTCTTTTCTTTTTTTTTTTTTAAGATGGATGGATGGAGTTTCACTCTTGTTGCCCAGGCTGGAGTGCAATGGAGCGATCTCGGCTCACCACAACCTCTGCCTCCTGAGTTCAAGCGATTCTCCTCCCTCAGCCTCCTGAGTAGCTGGGATTACAGGGATGTTCCACCACGCCTGGCTAATTTTGTATTTTCAGTAGAGACGGGGATTCTCCATGTTGGTCAGGCTGGTCTCAAACTCCTGACCTCAGGTGATCTGCCCACCTCAGCCTCCCAAAGTGCTGGGATTACAGGCGTGAGCCACCGTGCCCAGCAAATTCTGTCATTTTCAAGAACACACTCACAGTTCTTCAAATCCTACTTTGAATTCTTGCTTTCTGGGTAATGGATTCTGAACTATTCTAAACTAGTAATTACTGAGGCTAAGCCAAGCTGTTTCTTAACTCTTTTTGGAAGGGTGGGGAGTAAACAGACATTACACATAGTTTGAAAGCGTCTTATGAAGAAACACAATTATGAAACGTTTGCCCGAGTCGCACAGGCCACTGTCCCCTTTGTGCTCTTTACATTTTTTGTTGCTATCTTTAAAGTCCTAGACTGTAATCTTTTCTACAGTTCTCCATGCTACCCTCTAGTGAGGGTAAAAAGGGACTGCAGATACCTTCTTGTGAAATTTGAGTTTGTTCTGCAAAACCCTCGCAAACACTGTTCCCCCATCCCTTCACAAATGCCCTTCCCTCCTCCTTGCCCAGCTAACTCCTGTCCTCTAGATCTCACTGTAACTGTCATTTCTTCAAAGAGCCCTTTCCTACTTTACCCACCCCATCTAAATTAGGTCTCCACTCTCCTTTTATAATATTCTATTATATTGGCCACACAGGGTGGCTCACACATATAATTCCAGCACTTTGGGAAGCTGAGGCAGGAGCATCACTTGAGCCCATAAGTTCAAGACCATCCTGGGCAAAATGACAAAATCCTATCTCTATAAAAAATTTTAAAAAATTAGTCAGCCATGGTGGTTCGCACCTTGGTCCGTTACTTGGGGGACTGAGGCAGGAGGATCGTTTGAGCCCAGGAGGTCGAGGCTACAGTGAGCTATGATCACGCCACTCACTGTACTTCAGCCTGGGTGACAGAGCGAGAGCTCGTCTCAAAACAAAAATAAAAACAAAAACCTATTATAACTTCATGACATTTGACACAATTCATAATCATATATTTGTGTGCATTTGGTTAATTTAACATTTACCCATCCTCCATCCCCATTAAAGTGCAAGTTCCATGTAGGCAGGTTCCTGGTGTTACGTCTATATATCTAGTGCCTAGAACAGCTTGACACATAGTAGGTACTCAATACACATTACTAAACAGTTAACAGCTTTTCTTTAGGATTTTCTAAAGATGGTATGTCCAATACTGACTTCTAGTTTCTCGGGACACAAAGTGTTCATGGTGTCTTCTAAACACAGTGCCTTATCACAGCAATAACCACATTTTTTTCACGTTTGCTCTATCCCATACTGTACTTGCTGCTTTAAATGTATCGCTGATCCTCAAAATGGCCCTTCAAAGTGGGGATAATCACTCCACTTTACAGACAAAGGCCCCAAAGTTCAGAGAGGTCAATTAAATTCCTCCTAGTCATATGGCTAGTAAGTGGTGGCAATACTAGAATTCAAACCCAGCTTGGAATCCAGGGTCTGTGCTCCTTCCACCCAGTCCCACTTCTCAACTAAGGGGCACAACCCCCCAGGGTCACTCCAGCAGGCCTACGAGCATGGAAATCCAAAAGACAATGTGTGGCCCATTTTTTGTATCTTCTTTTCCTGATGGTAAACAACATAAAATACTTTAGTGTTAAAAAAGGCACAGATCAGCCTGGGCAACATAGAGAGACCCCATTTCTACAAAAAATAAAAAATTAGCCAGGTATAGTGGTGCACACCTGTAGTCTTGGCTGAGGTGGGAAGATCACTAGCCTGTGAGGCTGAGGCTGCAGAGAACCGTGATCACGCCACTGCATTCCAGCCTGGGCAACAGAATGATGCCCTGTCTCAAAAAAAAAAAAAGGCACATATATTTTAAAGTATGATGTATAATAGTAAATTTAAAAGAATTTTTAAAACAAAACACAAAAGTTAAAAGAAATTTCATGCCGTTGCCCAGGCCAGTCTCAGGAACCTCCACGGAAAAACATGAAAAACACTTATTTGTCACTCTATCATTCTTCATTTTGTGTCCTTTTCCTTGTTGCTACATTATTTATTTATTTTTATTTACTTATTTATTTTTGAGGCGGAGTCTCGCTCCGTTGCCCAGGCTGAAGTGCAGTTGTGCAATCTTGGCCTACTGCAATCTCGGCCTCAAGCGATTCTCCTGCCTCAGTCTCCCGAGTAGCTGGGATGACAGGTGCGCACCACCACGCCCGACTCAATTTTGTATTTTTAGTACAGACAGGGTTTCACCATGTTGGCCAGGCTCGTCTCCAACTCCTGACCTGAAGTGATCCACCCGGCTCAGCCTCCCAAAGTGCTGGGATTACAGGCATGAGCCACTGCACCCTGCCCCTTGTTGCTATATTAAATAATGCCAGCATCCCAACTCAATCTTCATTTTCCCACTCCCACCCAGTTAAAATGTTTATTGAAAATGGCAGTGTGTCAGCCACAGGCATGTCATTTTCAAAAGCCTTAGTCATTTATGAGGACACCTTTTTGTAGGTACAATAAATCTGATTGATTTTTATTACACATCTTAGTTTAGAATCACTTTTACATTCCTAGACAAAGAGATGATACAAATAAATATCAATTGTAAAACTTAGAGCCCCAAGTATTGATTGGCGTATTCTTTGTCTAAAGGTAGCCAAAGAGAAGGTCAAGATCAGTAATAACTTCAAGGAGCCATGAAGCCCACTGCCTCCTGCCTGCCCCAGGATCACTCCTTTCATAAATAACCCCAGAAGCATTTCATTCAGGAAACAAGGGCAGGCAGAAAGGTGACAGATTTCTGAACAGTACAAAACAAAGCCTTGCGTGATAGACAATCACCAGGCCCACTATTCTTAGCCAGTTCCCTCAGAGCATTTTTAGTATGGCTTTTAGAGTATATTAACAGCCCCATTTTCGTCCACTGATGGGGTTCAGATGGTCTGAGGTGTTGTCTCCAGTACGCCTCAACCTCAAGTGGGAAATGTGAGGCAGAACTGATATCCATGTTAACAGGGAATCGACACTTCTCAGAAACTTGGCAACGATTCTACATTCAGTGAGGGAGGACTTGTCAGAGTCAGACAGGAAAAGCAGAGAGCGGCCCACGCCCCAGTTGCAGCACTCTGGCGCCCTTGGTCATGGAGGTGTGGGTGGAGCAATTCAAGCAGCATGCAGGCATTGGACGGGAAATAATCCAGCGTTAGGTCAGTCTTAAGAAAGTGCTTCATGCCTATGATTTGTGGCCTTGGGTTCTGAATCCAGGGGTCTGAGAGACATGTGACTTGAAAATATGAAGCCAGATACATTCTCCAGATCAGAGTAAAAGGGGGTCTATTGGGGGTTGCATACACAGTCTCAAACTCCTTCTCCTGATGGTCATCTTAGATCCTGTTAGACTTGCTTTCTGGCTTTGCTAGCTGCTGCCGGCATGAAGGCCCTCAGACGGCTCAGAACATTCTAGGTATGACTAGAGACATGAAAACCTAGTCCCTCAGTGGGCTTGGTAGGTCCTCTACATATTTGGCTCAATGCAGAACCCAAAACAGCAGCTTTCTGGTGACAGCACGACATTCTACAATCTGCTCTATTCAAATATTTATCGGATCCATTTTGAGAGAAGAAAAGCACCAGAGACTGCTTGGAAAGGGACAGCTTCATTTCCAAATGAGTCTTCTTTTCTTTCCACAGACCACCACATGAACACAGCTGAGTACAAGGCATGCCTGTCAACTTGTCTGTCTTCTCTTAGAAAAGTTCTATGTGTCACTTAACCACCCTTGGTCAGAAGAGTCACCTCGAGATACCAGTATTAATGTATAGGGTTATCTGCAGTTTTCTTTTTCTTTCTTTCTGTTTTTTTTTTTTTTTTTTTTTTTTTTGAGGGGGAGTCTCACTCTGTCACCCAGGCTGGAATGCAGTAGTGTTATCTCGACTCACTGCAACCTCCGCCTCCCAGGTTCAAGTGATTCTCGTGCCTCAGCCTCCCGAGTAGCTAGGACTAGAGGCATGCACCACCACACCAGGCAAATTTTTGTATTTTTAGTACAGATGGGGTTTCACCATGTTGGCCAGGCTGGTCTTGAAGTCCTAACCTCAGGTGGTCCACCCACCTCGGCCTCCCAAAGTGCTAGGATTACAGGCATGAGTCACCATACCCGGCCGGTTATCTGCAGTTTTCAATTCTCAGATTTGCTACATGAATATTTTTAGCCTACAGAATTCAGATTAGCTTTGAGGAAATGTGGTGTGAGAGACACGTGTAACCAGCAGAAAATCAGCTTAGGCTACCCACCTTAGCGTTTTGTTCTTATTCAAACAGGCAAATTCTTAGTAAATAAGAAAGAAGTAAAGTTTGATCTCAAGAAAATATGAGGGAAGGCTGAAAAGGGCCCTGGGTTCAGAAAGAAGGGTTACTAAAAAGGAGATAAGCCGCTGGACAACAGATCTCCATTTTGCAGAATGCTAAGACATTGCACTTAGTACCTCCTGTTTCCCATGGGTTCTGATCCAGAAATGTGCCCTGGGAACTGAGCAGCTGAGTTAAAATATAACTCAAGGCCCACCTGAGTCGCCACCTTCCTGAGGCACCGTGCCAGCAAGGTGCACCAGTGTGGCAGACCTGGAGACTCACTGTCCCCTCAGGCTTGGCTCATGGACTCAGACACCCACATGGGAATGCTTCCAGCCTGGATTAGTCATTCAATGGGCCTTCAATACAGACAAAAGGCAACAACTGCACATTAGTGTATTTCTAAAATTGGGCAAGTTCTTGGTCTCTGTCTCTCTTACAGACACATATGGACACATTCACAGAACACAGGCACCATCGTGCTCTCACACCCACACACACTTATGAGCTTCTCTTGAGGGAAAATGAGTAATATTCACCTAATGACCAACATAAAATGAAGCTCTGAATCTCAATAATACAAGGAACTAAAACTTACAAACCAAACTAGTAATATGTAAATGGGAATTCTGAACTCTCCTTTGAGCCTATTCAATCACACAGCTATTCTTCACCAGCATCTTAGGCTCTGCCTGGAGGGAGCCACAGTTCTAGGATTCGGTGAATTCTCTGCTGAAGGCAGGCAGGATTCCTTTGCTTCCATCTGTTATGTCTTCCCTGCCCACTGCACTGAGTCTCATGTCTCCATCTCTGCATCTGCCTAGCTACTCTTCTGCTCTCTATACCAATATGGAACAAAACGGGGAATTCAGAAGTGCCACAATACAGCTCCTTCCCTCAACTCCAGTCCCATCAGAGAAGGCAGAGACAGCCTCCTTTCTTCCACAAAACAGGCCCACTGCAGAGCATGCTCTGGATGCAGAGGATGGGCCCACACAAGGATGTTCAGAGTATGCGTGCATGGGAAAAGATGGTGACAAATGAAGAGTAAAGTGACATGGTGTATGGACATGGCACCAGCTTACAGACTTAGGTCTTTGACAGGATGGTCATGGTTTTGAGGTTTTAAAGAAGCTATTTCCCTAAACACTCAGAGAAGGCAAAGGGAATGTTATTTCTATTGCTCCCAACATTGAATCATTCAGAAGCAGAAATTGGAAGAGATTTCCTCACTGAGCAGGTCCCAAAGGCAGATCCACTTCTTACTGAGGTGCATGGAAGCAAGACTGCTGATGGTGCCCACCTGGGGCCTGGATCCAAATGCGATTTCTCATTTCTCCCTACAAGAACAGGCACCTATTCAAGTTCTAGGGTTTTCACTTTTCAACCTCACTGTCATTTTATCCCGAGGCTCCAAAGATGTGGTCCTGCTAAGGTGACTCCTGATTCTGCCCTATTGTTCAACAAGAAGGGAGCCCCATGTAAAGAACAGGCTAGAAAAGGAGAGAGGAGAGAAAGGGAGCACAGGGGAAGGGGGAGAAGAAGGCAAGGGGGAAGGAAGCAAGGTCACTGGTCATTCTCTTGCTTTCCACTTGAACTATCGCACTTTACCTTACCCATGCATTTCTGAGATGCTAATTAAAAGATGTTTCCCAGAGGGGCTGAGTGCCAGATTAGGAACAGCACGTTCAACCAGATTAAGTTGGTTGATCTGCAAAGAGGCCACCGCTTCTCCTCAGGGGAACAGTTCTGAGTTTGGGCCGAATCCTCTCTGCAGCTTTTTGCTAGTCTCTTCTCTCAGAAGGCAAATGCTGTTTCCGCCCTGGGAGAGGAGAAGCTGGCTTTACTTTGGAACCAGCCCCCGAGACTGTGGATAAAGCTGAGATGCAGGGGTTCCTGAGGAAGAGGAGGAGGATCCCGACTTCCTTCCACTTTTAGGCCTGCAAAAGTCAAACACATGTTTATATTACATGTCCCCATCTCTGTCCCTGACACATCAGATGTCATTAACATTTCATTTCAGGCCATTCTTCAATGGCCTGAAAACGACAAGTTCAACTGTAAAACCACTACACTGGCACAGCCTGAACCTTTGGGGATGGTGAAAATGGCCTCAGAACAGAGGTGTGGAACCTGAGAGAAGGAGACTCTGATGCTTAGCAATTGTTCTTCTTTAAAACCAAAGCTTGACTGTACTGTCCTTCCCTGATTGATAAAAAAATATTAAGTTTGCAGGTAGAATTTCTTCCATTTTGGTTTTCCACCCAATTGTTTTCCTACAACTTTTAATCCAGGATGTAATAAGACAGAATTACTAGTTTTGCACCACATGGGTGAGGTAAACTTAGCATGGAGGCCCAGAGACTGGGTTGTGGATCTGGATTGACCTATTTTTGAATTCTTGCTTTGGCCCTTACTTGCTGGGTTTCCTTAGAGATGGCTACTTTCTCAAATTCTCTAAGTTTCAGTTTTCTTGTCTATAAAATGGGACTGATTATAATATTTGCCTTCTAAGTTTTTACAGGAAATCATTAAGAGAATGTTTGTAAAGCACTTAGAACTACCGGACACCTCATGAGAACAGAAGAACTGACTGCTATTTCACTAGAACACATTCACCTTATAGTAAGGGACTGGGGACATTAGGTATTCTGGTATTCGGTATACCCAGCATAGTGTCTCAACCATAAATATTTGTAGAATAAATAAGTAAACATAGGAGTAATATGGCAATATTTTCTAGTGTGTTCTGCAAAGTATTCCATGATAAACAAGCATTCTTGCTTTGGTTTGTCCTTGTTCAAACATGTTCTGTTTAAACACACGTCATCAAAGCCACTCACCTGGCCTTGGATTTCTTATTTGCAGTGCTTTCAAATGATGATGCATCCACCTGTATCTCATCTTCATCCTGCAGAGCCGCATCCAATGCAGCCTGGACCTTGGGGGCAATGGCTGGACCCTCATAGTCTCTGGTGGTCCGGCTGGGCATGTCCAGCTCTAACAGCACAATGTTTTCTGCCTGCAGAAGCACAGCCATCACCAGCTAGGTTAGCCTCCAACTGGACACAGGCAGTACAAGCAATCGAGGGCCCCTCCAAGAATAGAAGTGCAAATTGCTTGTTATTCAGGGCCTATCAAGAAAGAGCCTGCCTGAAAGAAGTGATGCCGTTTTACAACACCTAACTCCACCTAATTTTTTGCTTTTGCTTTCTTTCTTTTAAATAACTCAAAGCCAGGAAGAATGGCACCCAAAGAGCTAACTAACCGTAATCTTCTGTTTGGCTCTGGCTGCCAAGAGAGACTCAGAAACATCTAAAAATATTTCAAGTGAAAATCTTTCACTATAAAAATAATACAAGTTCCCTATTGATAGTTATAAAATACAGATGAGCAAAAAGAAAAAAAACATTGAGTGTGCTTCCACCAACCAGAGAAAAACAGTTTACATTTCAATATATTTTACATCAAATTTTATATCATATATATACTTCTGGTGTAAATTACTCTATAACTTAATACGTTGTGTATCCTAGTTCAGCCACTTGCCCCACTACTTGACCTTTAAGCAACAGGACTGAATGCATAGAGAAGATGGGGAAACTTAATTAGAGAAAGCAGTCAAGTGCTGGGTACAATGCCCAGCACACAGCAAGTGCTCAGCTGGGCATGGTCATCCCAGTGCTTTGGGAGGCCAAGGCAGGAGGATCACTTGAGCCGAGGAGTCTGAGGATACAGCGAGCTATGACTGTGCTACAGCACTCCAGCTTGGGTGACACAGTGAGATCCTGCCTCAAAAAAAAAAAAAAAAAGAAAAAAAAGGCCAGTGCGGTGGCTCACGCCTGTAATCCCAGCACTTTGGGAGGCTAAGGCGGGTGGATCACCTGAGGTCAGGAGTTCGAGAGCAGCCTGGCCAACATGGTGAAACCCCGTCTCTACTAAATATACAAAAATTAGCTGAGCGTGTTGGCACATGCCTGTAATCCCAGCACTCTGGGAGGCCGAGGTGGGTGGATCACCTGAGGTCAGGCATTCAAGACCAACTTGGCCAACATGGTGAAACCCTGTCTCCACTAAAAATACAAAAACTAGCTGGGTGTCGTGGCATGTGCCTGTAGTCTCAGCTACTAGGAAGGCTGAAGCACCAGAATTGCTTGAACCCAGGAGACAGGGGTTGCAGTAAGCAGAGCTCGCGCCACTGCACTCCAGCCTGGGCGACAGAGCGAGACTCCATCTCAAAACAAATTAATTAATTAATTTAATTTAATTAAAAAGTAGAGGCTCTCATGGCAGAGTTTCTATTTTTCTATTTTGGGGTCATTAAATAGTCCTCAATGATGTCCCTTTAAATGACTACATGACTGACACACATTTTGTGAGATGAAAGTACCTGAAGTTCTTTACGACAGGTCCATCTCCTGTCACTACACATCTGTGTTCTCTCCAGCCTTCCCACAGAGCCATTTTGAAGTTCATTGTTAATATTTACTGGCCATGACAGACAGGATGTTTGTACTCTCCTTCTCTAGTACTGACTTTTTTTTTTTTTTGAGACAGAGTGTCGCTCTGCCACCCAGGCTGGAGTGCAGTGGCACGATCTTGGCTCACTGCAACCTCCGCCTCCTGCCTCCTGGGTTCAAGCGATTCTCCTGCCTCAGCCTCCCGAGTAGCTGGGATTACAGGTGCCTGCCACCATACCCGGCTAATTTTTGTGTTTTTAGTTTTTGTTTTTTGTTTTTGAGACGGAGTCTTGCCCTGTTGCCCAGGCTGGAATGCAGTGGCGCGATCTTGGCTCACTGCAAGCTCCACCCGCTGGGTTCACGCCATTCTCCTGCCTCAGCCTCCCAAGTAGCTGGGATTACAGGTGCCTGCCACCATACCCAGCTAATTTTTGTGTTTTTAGTAGAGATGGGGTTTCACCACGTTGGCCAGGCTGGTCTCGAACTCCTGACCTCAGGTGATCCACCAACCTCAGCCTCCCAAAGTGCTGGGATTACAGGCATCAGCCACTGCGCCCGGCCTATTAGTTATTATTTTTATTATATTTACTTATTTATTTTTTGAGACAGGGTCTCACTCTGTCACCCAGGCTAGAGTGCTGTGGCATGATCTTGGCTCAATGCAGCCTCTGCCTCCTGGGCTCAGGTAATCCTCCCACCTCAGCCTCCCAAGTAGCTGGGACTACAGGCACACACCACCACACCTGGCTAATTTTTGTATTTTTAGTAGAGTTAGGGTTTCGCCACATTGCCCAGGCTGGTCTCAAACTCCTGGGAATCAACCAATCTGCCCACCTTGGACTCTCAAACTGCTGGGATTACAAGTGTGAGCTACTGTGCTCGGCTTATTTATTTATTATTTGTTATAATTGTTATTGGTATAAATGTCTTCAAGTACCTCTGGAAAGAAGGTATGAACTCTGAGTGGAATAGTATCTAAGGGCTTACACAAATCTAGACTCCAAAAGAGACAGGAGAAAAACCCAAGAAGGATCTTCTCACCCTATATCGGGCCTCTGGACGAATCATCATGGACATTCTTGCGTGCTGGCTCAATGGTCTCTTATATCCCACGGCTGAGACTGGCCGCTTCATCATCTGCTGGTTCCTGGAAATGAACTGCAGTGTTAAAGCCCTGGCTGGAGTCCTGTGGAACCAGCACTCGGAAGACACTGACAGAACCTGAAGCAAGTAACTCCCTGGACTGCAGGCTGACGTAAGTGGGACGGGAAATGCTTCTGTTTTCTGCTTGAGTTGCTTTCTGATTCAGAGCATCATGCATCTTTTAAGCCAGAAGAGATTTTTAATCATCACCCAGTTCTTAGACAGCATTCACAAAGCATAGCTGTCAACACCCCCCACCTCTGCATCCCTGCCAGGTGTCTCCCATCTTTCCAGCAGCACCCAGACTTAGCATGAGAATCCTTCTCAACACTGTGGGTCAGAATGACACACAAAGATAACAGCTCTGAATTGCCCCTTACGTGACCTAGCATACTTCACTTCACAGCTGGAGAAACAGAAATGCAGGAACTTTGGAAAGGTCACTTGCTCACTCACTAGTGACAAAGTCTCCCAATTCCTAAAACCACACTCATGATCAAACTTTTACCTGGTGGATCTATGGCAGCTAGAAAATCAGTAATGCAGTGGGTTTTGAGTTTAAATAAGCCAAACTGTGTTCTTATCAAACCCCTTTGTTGACCAGAGGGCTCTTGTTATCAACATTCTTTTCCTCCCTCATACTTGAAAATATACTTGAAGTTAATAGTGACTTACTCCAGTCTGGTTATAGGATGTAGTTTCCAATGATCTTCCTCTTCATCAAAGAAGGCTCTATTCATAATTTTACTTTTTTCTTCCAGAGGGATAAAGTTTTCTATAATAAGATGCCTGTAAGAGCACACATAACAGGTGAAAACAGATACAGAATACATATGAAGTGTCAGCTATCTGGTCTCATGCATGGTGAGTAATCAGGTAAGAGTCAAGGCACATAGCAAACATTTACTCAGCAAGTACGATGGGCCTAACATCATACAAAGAGCTGAGATACAGACACAAATGACATCTGGCTCCTGCCTGAAACAAAGGGTAATGGTGCAGCCCTGTTAGGTATAATAGGTACTGACAGTGGTCTGTCTTAGAAATATGGAGAGGTCACTTCTGCCTGGGAAGGGGCAGGATGTGAACAGGCTCAAGAGGGAGGTGACCCCTGGGCTATATTGGAGTGAACATTTGCTACCTGAAGTATCTTTCAGAGGGCCACTGGTGCTGATAACCAAGGTCATTAACTTCCAAAATGCCAAAAACAGAAGAAATTAAACTGCCTTACTCCAATCCCATGGCTCGTTGTCCAAGCTGGAAAATTTCCCATTCTAACTGACCAGGATAAAAAGCAGGACTAAGTGGATTTCAGCCCCTGAGAATGAAGACCATTCCTACTAACAGTCTCTGTCTGACAAGTGCCCAGGAAACACATCAAACAAGGAAACTGGAACCCACTGGTGGTGTCTCTCTATGGTGATGACTGTCTCCCATTATATCTCTGCCTTTACTCTTCTAAAGCCTCAGGACAAAACAATGCCAAAAGGAAATGAACATGGAAGGGACACAAAGCAAACAGCACAGAGGTATAGGGTACTGTGAGAAAGAGGCTGACTCACTGTTTACTCAAAAGATATAAAAAGAGATATAGGCCAGGCACGGTGGCTCATGTCTGTAATCCTAACACTTTGGGAGGCCGAGCCAGTGGATTGCCTGAGGTCAGGAGTTCGAGAACAGCCTGGCCAACATGGCGAAACTCTGTCTCTACTAAAAATACAAAAATTAGCTGTGTGTGGTAGTAGGCACCTATAATCCCAGCTACTCAGGAGGCTGAGACAGGAGAATCACTTGAACCCAGAGGGCAGAGGTTGCAGTGAGCCGAGATCACACCACTGCACTCTGGCCTGGGCCAAAGAGCAAAACTCTGTCTCAAAAAAAAAAAAAAAAAAAAAAAAAAAAAAGAGAGAGAGAGAGAGATAATAATGAAAATAGACTCCTTAGAAAAAAAAATATTTTGGGGAGCTAAAATTTTCTCTTTGACATTTCAGAAACTATTTTTTATAACACATATTTGGCTTTCTTCTGGTTACAATGATTCTATTTATTCATTAGAAAATGTAAAAAACAGGCCAGGCCCAGTGGCTCACACCTGTAATCTCAGTGCTTCGGGAGGCCGAGGTGGGTGGATCACCTGAGGTCAGGAGTTCGAGACCAGCCTGATAAACATGGCAAAACCCTGTCTCTACTAAAAATATAAAAATTAGCCGTGCGTGGTTGACCTGCACCTGTAATCCCAGCTACTTGGGAGGCTGAGGCATGAAATTCACTTGAACCTGGGAGGCAGAGGTTGCAGTGAGCCAAGATCGTGCCACCGCACTCCAATCCGGGTGACAGAGCAATACTCTGTCTCAAACAACAACAACAACAAAAAGAAAATGTAAAAAACATAATCACCCACAATTTCACTATCCAGAGATAACTATTATTATTATGTTGGTATATTTTGTCCTGATCTTTTTCTAGATGTACATACCTGCAAAGAGGACTGACCGACACACACATTTAATTAATTAATTAGTTTTTCTGGAGACAGAGTCTCACTTTGTCGCCCAGGCTGGAGTAAAGTGGCGCAATCTCAGCCCACTGCAACCTTCGTCTCCCAGGTTCAAGCGATTCTCGTGCCTCAGCCCCCGGAGTAGCTGAGACTATAGACACATGTCTCCATGCCCAGCTAATTTTTTTGTATTTTTAGTAGAGACAGGGTTTCACCATGTTGCCCAGGCTGGTCTTGAGCTCCTGAGCTCAGGCAATTTGCCCACCTCAGCCTCCAAAAGTGCTGGGATTATAGGCATGAGCCACCGCACCTTGCCTACATTTAATTTTAAGGGCTCTTTTCCAAATTTAAAATTTGATCATTAAAAGAATCCCTTTGAAAACTTCTTCTTTGGCCAGGCATGGTCATTTTGTAACCCCACTAATGAAATAATGGATCCAGACAAAGATCATCTGTTGGCTGAAACTATTAGCTCCACATTTCTCAGGCCAGGCTGCACATTAACGTTACCTACAGAGTTTTGAAAAATATCTTGCCCAGACCTCATGAGAGACCAAGAGTTCTCAAAGTGCATTCACCAAACCAGCAGAAGCAATACCTGGAACCTACTAGAAATGAACATTCTCAGGCCCTGCCCCAGCCTTTCTGAATCAGACTCCGGGTGTGATACCCAGCAATCTGTGTTTAACAATCCCTTCAGGTAATTCTGATGCCTGCTAAAGTTTAAGGACTACTGCCCTAGACCAATTAAATCAGAATCTCTGAGGTGGGGCTCAGACATCATTAATTTTTAAAACTTCTCAGTTTGTAGCCAAGGTTGGGAACCCGTGCTTCAGAGATAGCTTTCAGTTAGAGCTAAATAAAGGGGATAGAGATACAAGTTAATTGACACCATGAAGAAAGAGACCAACAAATCCAGAATGTAGTATATTTCTTCTTTTTTTTTTTTCTTTTGAGTTGGTGTCTCACTCGGTCACCCAGACTGGAATGCAGTGGCATAATCTTGGCTCACTGCAGCCTTGAACTCCTGGGCTCAAGCAATCCTCCTGCCTCAGCTTCCCAAGTAGCTGGAACTACAGGCACATGCCACCACTCCCGCCTACAATGTGGGATATTTCTACAGGCTATCTGATTCAGTCTTTTCAACAAGTCAACTATGAAAAATATGTATATATATACTTTTTGAGATGGAGTTTCGCTCTTGTTGCCCCAGCTGGAGTGCAGTGGCACAATCTTGGCTCACTGCAACCTCCGCCTTCCAGGTTCAAGCAATTTTCCTGCCTCAGCCTCCCGAGTAGTTGAGATTACAGGCGCCCGCCACCACACCCAGCTAATTCTTGTATTTTTAGTAGAGATGGGGGTTTCACCATCTTGGCCAGGCTGGTCTTGAACTCCTGACCTCATGATCCACCTGCCTCAGCCTCCCAAAGTGCTGGGATTACAGGTACGAGCCACCATGCTCGGCTGAAAAATATTTTTAAAAATAAAAAGAATTGGCTGGGCGTGGTGGCTCACTACTCGAGTAGTCCCAGCTACCTGGGAGGCCGAGGCAGGAGAATCACTTGAACCTGGGAGGCAGAGTTTGCAGTGAGCCGAGACCGCGCCACTGCACTCCAGTCTGGCGACAAAGTGAGACTCTGTCTCAAATAAACAAATAAATAAAATAAAAAATAAAAAGAATTGCCTCAGATTAAAATAAGTCTAAGAGACTTAATAACCAAATGTAACATGTAGTCCTAATATGTAGATCTTAAAACGAGCAAACCAAGAAAATCTGAATGTGGATTGGGTACTAGAAAATACTAAGAAACTTAATTTTTTTAGGTATAAAAATATCATTGTGTAGACAAAAATCAATTATATATAAATATAAATATATATAAATATATAAATATAAATATATAAATATAAATATATAAATATATGTAAATATATAAATATAAATATATAAATATATATAAATATATAAATATAAATATATATAAATATATAAATATATATAAATATAAATATATATAAATATAAATATATAAATATATAAATATAAATATATATAAATATAAATATATGTATATATAAATATGTGTATATATATAAATATGTATATATATAAATATGTATATATATAAATATGTATATATAAATATATAAAAATATATATGAATATGTATATAAATATATAAAAATATATATGAATATGTATATATAAATATATATAAATATATAAAAATATACATATAAATATATATAAATATATATAAATATATATATAAATATATATAAATATATATATAAATATATATAAATATATATATAAATAAATATATATAAATAAATAAATATAAATATATATAAATATATAAATATATATAAATATATATAAATATATAAATATATATATAAATATATAAAAATATATATATAAATATATATAAATATATAAAATTTTTTTTTTGAGACGGATTCTCGCTCTGTCGCCCAGGCTGGAGTGCAATGGCGCAATCTCGGCTCACTGCAACCTCCGCCTCCAGGGTTCAAGCGATTCTCTTGCCTCAGCCTCCCAAGTAGCTGGGATTATAGACACCCGCCACCACGCCTGGCTAATTTCTGTATTTTTGTAGAGACAGGGTTTCACCATGTTGGCCGGGCTGGTCTCAAACTCCTGACTTCAGGTGATCCGTCCACCTGGGCCTCTCAAAGTGCTGGGATTACACGTGTGAGCCACCATGCCCAGCCAGTATTTTTATATACTAGTAATTAATATTCCAAAAATAAAATTAAGAAAACAATGTCATATACCATAGCACCCAAAAAACCCTTAGGTATAAATTTAACAAAAGTGTAAGAATTATACACTGAAAACTACAAAACATTCTCGAGAAAAATTAAAGAAATAATAAATAAATGGAAAGACATCTCATGTTCATGGATCTGAATACTTAATACTGTTAAGATTACAATATTGCCCAAATTGATCTACAGATTCAATGTGATCAATATCAAAATCCCAGCTGGCTTTGTTTGCAGAAATTGACAAGCTGACCTTAAAATGTAGAGGCATACCTCAGAGATACTGTGGGTTTGGTTCCAGACTACTCCAATAAAGTAAGTATCACAATAAAGCAAGTAACACAATTTTTTGGTTTCCCAGTGCATATAAAAGTTATGCTTACACTATACTGTAGTCTATTAAATGTATAATACCATTTTGTCTACAAAAAGTATAGACTTTAAGAATACTTTATTGCTAATAAATGCTTACACAGAGACATGAAGAGAGCATATGCTGTTGAAAAAATGGTGCCAACAGACTTGCTTTATGCAGGGTTTCCACAAACCTTCAATTTGTAGAAAATGTAATATCTGTGAATTATAACAAAGCAGAGTGCAGTAAAACAAAGTATGTTTGAATATGGAAATGCAAGGGACCCTGAACAGTCAAAACACTCCTGAAAAAGAACAAGGCTGGAGGACTCACACTTCCTGATTTCAAAACTAACAAAGCTATAGTAATTAAGACAGAATGGTACTAGCATGAGGATAGATATATAGAACAATGGAACAGTATTGAAAGTCCAGAAATAAATAAATAAATGCTTAATTACGGTCAACTGACTTTCTTTTTTTTTTTTTTGAGACAGAGTCTTGCTCTGTTGCCCAGGCTGGAGTACAGTGGCATGATCTCAGCTCACTGCAACCTACACCTCCCAGGTTCAAGGGATTCCTCTGCCTCAGCCTCCTGAGTAGCTGGGACTACAGGTGTGCACCACCACACCTGGCTAATTTTTGTATTTCTAGTAGAGACAGGGTTTCACCATATTGGCCAGGGTGATCTCGAACTCCTGACCTCAGGTGATCCACCCACCTCGGCCTCCCAAATGCTGGGATTACAGGCATGAGCCACAGCGCCCGGCCCTGACTTTCAATAAGTATGCCAAGACAATGAAATGGGAGAGAAAAGCCCTTTCAACAAATGGTGCTGGAACAACTAGATATCTGCATCCAAAACACTGTACTTGAAACCCTACCTCATACCATACACAGAAATTAACTCAAATGGATCATAGACCTAAATGTAAGACCTAACACTATAAGCCTCTTAGAGGATCTAAGAGAATGAAACATGCGTCCACAAAAGAAACTTGAATATGAATGTTCACAGCAGCATTATTCATAACACCCAAAAGTAGAAATAACCCAAATGTCCATCAAATAATGAATGGATAAATAAAATGTGGTATATTTATACAACAGAATATTATTTGGTCATAAAAAATGAATAAAGTATTGATACATGCTACAACATGGAAGACTGTTGAAAACACTATACTAGCTTTGGCAACACAGCAAGACCCATCCTTATGAAAAAATTTTAAAAAATTAGCCAGGTGTGCTAGCATGCAACTGAAGTCCTAGCAACTCAGGAGGCTCAAGCAGGAAGATTACTTGAACCCAAGAGGTCAAGGCTGTGAGCTATGATGGCACCACTGCACTCCAGTCTGATTGACAGAAGAAGGCCTTATCTCTAAAAAAAAAAAAAAACTAACAAAACACACACATGCACACACACACACACACACATATGAAGAAAGCAGTCACAAAAGGCCACATTATTCCAACATTATTTCATTTATAAACTTATATGAAAGGTCCAGAAAAGGCAAATCTAGATACAATACCAAAAGTAAAATAAACAAAAGAAAATACAATTAAATTGGGCTATATCACAACGGAAATCTTTTGTGCTATAAGTAATACCATCAAGAAAGTTTAAAAACAACTCAGAATAACAGAAAGCATCTTCAAATCATGAATCTCATGAGAAAGTGGTATTCATAATATATTAATATAAAGAACTCTTAAAACTCAGCCGGGCACAGTGGCTCACGCCTGTAATCCTAGCATTTTGGGAGGCTGAGGCGGGTGGATCACCTGAGGTCAGGAGTTCCAGACCAGCCTGGCCAAGATGGTAAAACCCCGTCTCTACTAAAAATACAAAAATTAGCTGGGCATGGTGGCACATGCCTATAGTCCCAGCTACTCGGGAGGCTGAAGCAGGACAATCACTTGAACCCAGGAGGCAGAGGCTGCAGTGAGCTAAGATCATGCCATTGCACTCCAGCCTGGGTGACAGACCCAGACTCTGTCTCAAAAAAAACTCTTAAAACTTAATTATTGGCTGGACATGGTGGCTCATGCCTGTAATCCAAGCACTTTGGGATGCCAAGGCAGGTGGATCACCTGAGGTTAGGAGTTCAAGACCAGCCTGGGCAACATGGTGACACCCCATCTCTACTAAAAATACAAAAATCAGCCGGGCATGGTGGCGGGTGCCTGTATTCCCAGCTATTCGGGAGGCTGAGGCATGAGAATCGCTTGAACCCAGGAGGCAGAGGTTGCAATGAGTCAAGTTCACGCCATTGCATTCCAGCCTGGATGACAGAGCGAGACTCCAACTCCAAAAAAAAAAAAAAAAAAAACAAAAACAAAACAAAAAAAAACTATATATATACACATATGTGTGTGTGTGTGTGTATGAAATATATATATTTCATATATATACGAAATATATACATATATATATATATGAAACAACCCCATTTTAAAATGGGGTAAAGGATTTGTATAGATATTTCTCCAAAGACATACAAATGGCCAATAAGCCCGTGAAAGGATGCTCAACATCATTAGTCATCAGAGAAATATGCAAATCAAAACTATAATGAAGTACCATTTCACACTCGTTAGGATGTCTATGATAAAAGAGACAGGAAATAACAAGTGTCGACAAGGATGTGGAGAGGCCGGGCATGGTGGCTCACACTTGTAATCCTAGCACTTTGGGAGGCTAAGTCGGGCAGACTGCTTGAGCCCAGGAGTTTGAGACCAGCCTAGGCAACATGGTGAAACCCCATCTCTACAAAAAACACAAAAATTAGCCAAGTAGGGTGGCATGCCGCTATAGTCCCAGCTATTCCAGAGGTTGAGGTGGGAGGATCGCTTGAGCCCAGGAGGTGGAGGTTGCAGTGTGCTGAGACTGCACCTCTGCACACCAGCCTGGGTGGCAGAACGAGACTGTCTCAAAGAAAAAAAAAAAAAAGAAGATGTGGAGAAATTGGTGGTAGAAATGTAAAATAGTGCAGCCACTGTGGCAAACAGTTTGGCATTCTCTCAAAAAGTTAAACACTGAGTTACCATATGACCCAGCAATTCCACTCCTATGAATGTATCCCAGAGAAATGAAAACACACATCCATACAAAACCTTATACATGAATGCTTATAGAAGTATTATCCATAATAGCCAAAGACTAGAAATAATCGGAATGTATATAAACTGAAAAATAAATAAATATGTGTCCTATTCATACAGTGCAATATTATTCAGTCATAATAAAGAACAATTGATGTTGGGACTACCAGATATCTGTTGATCCATGCTACGGCATGGACGATCCTTGAAAGCGTCATGCTAAGCAAAAGACACCAGGCCAAAAAGGCCACACAGTGTGTGATTCCATTTATATGAGATGGCCAGAATAGGCAAAGCCATAGAGACAGGAAGCAGATTAGTGATTACTTCGGGTTGGGAAAGGGGGTAATGAGGAGTGACTACTAACTGGTAGAGTTTCTTTTAGAGGAGAGTAATAAAAATGTTCTAAAATTAGATTGTAGTGGTGGTTTTATAGCCCTATGCATATATATGCTTTTAAAAAAACACTGATTTGTATACTTTATCATTTTTTAATTTTTTTTTTTTTGAGACAAGAATCTCGCTGTGTCACCCAGGCTTGAGTAAAGTGGTGTGATCTCAGCTCACTGCAACCTCCGCCTCCCAGGTTCAAGAGATTCTCCTGCCTCAGCCTCCTGAGTAACTGGGATTACAGGTACACGCCATCACACCCAGCTAATTTTTGGATTTTTAGTAGAGACGGGGTTTCACCATGTTGGCCAGGCTGGTCTTGAACTCCTGGCCTCAGGTGATCCACCTGCCTCGGCCTCCCAAATGCTGGGATTACAGGCATGAGCCACCATGCCCGGACTGATTTGTACACTTTAAATATGTGAATTGTATGGTATGTGAAGTATGTCTCAATTAAGCTTTTTTAAAAACAGTATTGTGGGCTGGGTGTGGTGGCTCACACCTATAATCCCAGCACTTTGGGAGGCTGAAACAGGAGGATTGCTTGAGCCTAGGAGTTTGAGATCAGCTTAGGTAACATAGAGAGACTCTATCTCTATAAAATTTTTTTTAAAAATTAGCTGGGCATAGTGGCACACACCTGTAGTTCCAGCTACCCGGGAGGCTAAGGTGGGAGGACTGTTTGAGCCCACAAGTTACAGGCTGCTGTGAACTGTGATTGTGCCACTGCACTCCAGCCTGGGTGATAGAGCAAAACTCTGTCTCAAAAAAAAAAAAAACCACTGTGATCATATATATATATATATAAGTATGTAGGAGTGAGATAACATGAGGTTAAGATTTGCTTTAAAATATTTTTGTGAAAGATAGATGGCAAAAGCTTGTTAATCCTTGAATCTGGGTGATGGGTACTTGGGTATTTATTATACCATTCAGAAAATTGTCACAATAAAAAGTCAAGTTAATAAAATATTCCCTCTTATCATCAGACAGATGTAAGACCAGAATCTTTAAAAGCTTCGAGAAGGTAGGGTTAGAAGGGAACTTGGAGATCACCTGATGAAGTCATTCAGTTAACAGATGGGATCCAGAGATGGAAAGTGACTTTTTCAGGAATGAACAGAACATGGGGTGGCAGGAGATGAGCTGGAGAAGGACCTGTCCTCAGGGCTATTTCTTTTTTTGTGTTTTTTTCTCACTCCGTCGCCCAGGCTGGAGTGCAGTGGCACGATATCAACTCACCGCAATCTCCACTTCCCGGGTTCAAGCGATTCTCCTATCTCAGCCTCCCAAGTAGCTAGGACTACAGGCATGCACCACCACGCCCAGCTAATTTTTGTATTTCTTAGTAGAGACGGGGTTTCACCATGTTGGTCAGGCTGGTCTCGAACTCCTGACATCAGGTGATCTGCCCGCCTCCGCTTCCCAAAACACTGGGATTACAGGCGTAGGCCACCAAGCCCAGCCAGGGCTGTTTCTAACTAAACAAACGAGATCAATGACTCAGCAAGTGGCTTGGGGGCACTATGGAAGGCCTGGCACTTACTTGAGTTTCAGCTCCCTGGTGAGCTCATTCTGAGTCTGCTCTAGCTCTTGGCGCTCCTTGATGTGTTCTTCTTGGAGGTCATGGATCTCAGCCTTCACTGCCTGAAGCTTGGAGAAGAGCTGGAATGAGGGGAGAGGCAGGTGAGGAGGGTGTCTGTCCAAAGGGTAGAGTTCTCCCTTTCCCCAAGTCTCAAGGCAACTCCATCTGGCCTCATTCCTTTCATACCTTTTTGAGTTTTTTGGTCTTGATGTCCACCTCTTGCTGCAATGAGCTGTATGTCTCTTTAAGTTCCAAGGTCTCCTCATCTCGACTTTCCATCTGTTGCTGGATTTCTCTTTCTCGACGTTTCTGAGCAACATGACAAAATTCATCAGCTTGCCCTAGAGACTGTGTCTATGCTGGGTTCCCCAAGCTAGGATCAGAGTCTCCAGCTAGGATGAGGCAGACACACCTTGCTCTCATTCTCTTTGAAGAGAGTCTAATATGAGACGTTTGCTCTGCAGCATAAACACACCTTACCTCACCCATTCTCCCTGAAAAAGAATGAAAAGTTACCTGCTCTGCAATTTCCTGTCGTTTCTGCTCCAGGATTTTCTGCTGTTCATTCGTATGATCTACTATATTTTTTCCTCCAACAAGCAACTTACTCTCCATGGCCTGAGTGAGAAACAAAGTAGAATCCATCTCATGAACGGTTTCTCTCAGAACATAATTCCTCACAGGGGAGCCTGTGAAAGATAAAGAGCTCAGGACTGAGCCAAAAGGGACAAACTCTGGGAAAAAATACACTGTGCTCAGCTGTGCCCATCCATCACTGGTGAGGGACTGGGGCAGCTTCACTAGAGGCTTCTTGGTAACACTGAAGATACAGTTTCTTCAGATACATGAATTTCAGCTTTAACAAATTTTTTTTTTTTGCTTGTTTCTACAAAGTATTAACCCCACTTAGAACATATTAAGCAGACCCTTTATGTTAGGTCCTGGGGATGCAATGTGAGTGTGAATCACAAAGCTCCGAGTCCACTGAGGAAAACAGACAAGCAAGCAGGCTTTAACCATATGGCGCCAGATGCCATCATGAGGAAAGGACACAGTAATTCATGGGAGAGGCACACTGATGGGATAGAATTCAGACTCTGTGGGGATTTTTTAAAATTTTTTAAAGACAGGGTCTAGTTCTGTCACCCAAGCTGGAATGCGGTGGCACGATCACAGCTCACTGCAGCCTTGACCTCCTTAGTTCAAGCAATCCTCCCACCTCAGCCTCCCAAGCAGCTGGGACTACAGGTGTACACCACCACACTTGGCTGATTGGTTGATTGACTGATTGATTGTAGAGGTGAAATCTTGCTATGTTGTCTGGGCTGGTCTTGAATTCCTGGCCTCAAGAGATCCTCTGCCTTGGCCTCTCAAACTGCTGGGATTATAGGCATGAGCACAGCGCCCAGTCAGAGAATTCAGACTTTTAGAGGGAGTCAGAGAAAGCTTTCTGTCTGCAGGGCCAGATACACAGACAGCTGAAGTTAAAAAATAGGAATTAGGTAAGAAAAAAAGATTGTTTTGTGAGGGGAAGGTGGGAAGTGATGAAGTTGACCTAAATCCCTGTCAAGGAGACTAAACTTCTTGATCCTGAGAAGTTCGGGGAACCACTGACATATTCTTTTGAGCATGAGGCTACACAATCAGATGTGTGTTTTAGAAACATTACTCCCCTGCAATGGGAAGCATGGCAAAGGACTGGCAGGATGGAGGGAGACATGACAGGAAGCCACTGCAGGGGTCTAGGCCTGGGCTAGGCCTCCTCCCTAGTTGGGGAGGGCAGAGTAGATGAGTCCAAGAGACCCTGATGAGGCAGGATCCAAAGGCTTTGGGACGGCCTGGCTGTAAGTGAGAGGGAGTGGCTGCTGGCAAGGATAACTCCCAGGGGTCTGGCTTCCCTGAGATAAGGAAGGCAAGAGCAGGCTCTGAGTGGCTGTGAGCATCCCAGTGGGCAGAAGGTTATTGGGCCTGGATGGCAGGAGACAGTGCTAGGCTAGACATACAATGGGCCTGGATGGCAGGAGACAGTGCTAGGCTAGATATACAGATTGGGAGCCTTCAGCATTTTGATAGGGGCTGAAGCCATGAGAATGATTTTGACCTAAAAAGTATGGGACCCCAAAACTGCACAACTTTTAAGAAACTTATAAACCTCACTGGAGCTCTGCTGCCATCTTTCAGTGAGTCCTCTGAGCCTGTTTCCTCACCTCTCGAATGAAGGGGCTGGACTAGATTGCTAAACTCCACATACATACCTAACAATACCTAACCACTCTAACATTCTTTTTTTTTTTTTTAGATGGAGTCTCGCTTTGTCGCCCAGGCTGGAGTGCAGTGGCATGATCTTGGCTCACTGCAACCTCTGCCTCCCAGGTTCAAGCAATTCTCGTGCCTCAGCCTCCCAAGTAGCTGGAACTACAGGTGCATGCCACCACACCCAGCTAATTTTTGTATTCTTAGTAGAGACAGGGTTTCACCATGTTGGCCAGGCTGGCCTTGAACTCCTGACCTCAAGGGATCCACCTGCCTGGGCCTCCCAAAGTGTTGGGATTACAGGCGTGAGCCACCGCGCCCAGCCTCTAACATTCTTTTATGATTTCACAGCATCCAGGGATTGAGAAAGACAGAAATAATGTCATTCTCCATAGTCAAAATGTCTAAGAGATGCAGTGACCTTAAGATGATGCTGAATCTTGCAGACTCAGCCTCTGAGAGTTCAACTTTCTCTGAGGGGTTGTTTAGAGAATCTAGGTGCTCCTGGCCTTGAATAACAGATCTGATCCTAAAAGACAGTATGCAAGTCAAATATGGGCATACCCAGGCCGGACATAAGGGTGCGGTGGCTCACGCCTGTAATCCTGACACTTTGGGAGACTAAGGTGGAAGGATTGCTTGAGTCTAGGAGTTCAAGACCAGCCTAGGCAACATAGTGAGACCTTGTCTTTACAGAAAATCAACAAAATTAGCTGGGCATGGCAGTGCACACCTGTAGTCCCAGATACTCGAAGGCTGAGGTGGGAAGATTGCTTGAGCCTGGGAGGTCAAGGCTGCAGTGAGCCAAGATCACGCCACTGCACTCCAACCTGGGTGACAGAGTGAGACCCTTTCTCAAAACAAAACAAAACAAAACAAAATATGGGCACAGCCAGTCGCGCTTACTGTGCAGCAGTGAGAAGGCATGAAGTGCTTTGACATAATGGCATCTCAGAACCCCTCCCTGGAACAAAGTTACCTCCTAATTGTGTTGTATACGACTCCATTTTCACATCAGGTCTTAAAAGTGCTAGAAGGGACTTTCAAGGTTTTAAAACCCTGCCTCTGAAGTAAAATAGCACCCAGCTCTGTGAAAGGGCTACTATGAAGCCACTGATTAAAACAAACAAACAAAAAAACAGTACAGCTTCATACAGTAGGGGTAGGAGGGAGGCAAAGATAACTTGTAATTTTAAAATTTATAAACATGGAGACATTTTAGGATAGAAATCAAAGTTTGCATGAATTCAATAAAACAGAACTGAACATTTCCAAGGAATTCTGCCTTGTGGTTAGCCAGTGGCCATCCTCAGCCTTCCAAGTCTACCTTTGCACTCTCCTCTGCCATTAAAGCCCAGTGGAAGCTCAGAGTCCAGGCAACTGCAGGCATAGTGCATTGCCACCAGAAAGAAGGCTCAAAACAATGGGAGCCTCAGCACTCCAGAATGCTAACTAGCCATTGGGTGGAAAATGGAATGGATGTAAAGAAATATATTAGCACACAGGGGTTGGGAGAGGAGGCTGACTATAAGAAAGTAGCATGAGGACATTTTGGGGGTGATGGAAGTGTTCCTTATCTTGTGTAATCAGGGTACTGCATACTGAAACTGCACTGAGAGGCTATACTATATGCAAATGTTAGTCTGATCATCACAAGTGCTGGTAAGGATGCGGGGCATCCAGAACTGATACCCTGCTGCGAGGTGTTTCAATCTGCACAACCACTTTAGAAAACAACTTGTCCTTGTCTAGAGAAGTTGAAGCTGCAAATACCCTAAGACCTAACAGTGCCAAACAAGACAATCTTGCACGTCCATGTTCTCCTGAAGCCAAGCACAAGAGCATTCACAGCAGAAACTGGAAACAACCCATACACCAGGAGAATGGAATACCATGGAATACTTGGAACAGTAATAATGAGTGAACCACAGCTTCAGGCATCAACATGGATAAATCTCATGAACGTAATGTTGCAAAAATAAAAGCAAATGGCATGAGTGGGATTCCATTTACATAAAAGCAAAAAATTATATGAAAACGAAACCATGTTTTCTTTAGAAATATACATGTAGAAAGTAAAACTATAAGGAAAAGCAAGGAAACAATAAACACCGAATTCAGGATGATGGTTATCTGTTGGGGAGGGAAACGCAAGGAGCTACTAAAGATATAGGTATCAGCTGGGTGCAGTGGCTCACGCCTGTAATCCCAGCACTTTGGGAGGGGGAGGTGGGAGAATCATTCGAGCCCAGGAGTTTGAGACCAGCCTGAACAACATAGTGAGACCATGTCTCTACAAAAAATTTAAAAAATTTAGCCAGGCAAAGTTGCGTGCCTGTAGTCCTAGCTACTTGGGAGGCTGAGGTGGGAGGATCCTTTGAGCCTAGGAGGTCAAGGCTGCAGTGATTGGGCCACTGCACTCCAGGGTTGACAGAGCAAGATCCTGTCTCAAAAAAAAAAAAGAAAGAAAGAAAAAAAAAAGCCGGACACGGTGGCTCACGTCTGTAATCCCAGCACTTGGGGAGGCTGAGACAGGCAGATTACCTGAGGTCAGGAGTTCGAGACCAGCCAGGCCAACATAGTGAAACCCCATCTCTACTAAAAATACAAAACTTAGCCGGGCGTGGTGGCAGGCACCTGTAATCCCAGGTACTCTGGAGGCTGAGACAAGAGAATCACTTGAACCCGGATGGCAGACGTTGCAGTGAGCCGAGATCGCGCCACTGCACTCCAGCCTGGGTGACGAGAGTGAAACTCCATCTCAAAAAAAAAAAAAAAAAGAAAAATGGATGTTGTTCTATTTCTTACACTGGGTGGGGGGGTACGTGGGTGTTACTTTTATTGCTGTTCTTTTTTTTTTTTTTTTTTTTTTTTTTTTTTTTGAGACGGAGTCTCGCTCTGTCGCCCAGGCTGGAGTGCAGTGGCGCAATCTCGGCTCACTGCAAGCTCCGCCTCCCGGGTTCACGCCATTCTCCTGCCTCAGCCTCCCAAGTAGCTGGGACTACAGGCGCCCGCCACTACGCCCGGCTAATTTTTTGTATTTTTTTAGTAGAGACGGGGTTTCACCGTTTTAGCCGGGATGGTCTCGATCTCCTGACCTCGTGATCCGCCCGCCTCGGCCTCCCAAAGTGCTGGGATTACAGGCGTTGCTGTTCTTTATACTATGTGCATACATAATAATTATTCTCATTATGAATTCAATTTTCATTTTTGTAAATGTGAAAAAATCATATTCATGTCAATTAAACAGAGGTTTACTGAGTACTGGATATCATGAGCTGTTGGAAATCCAAAACTGATGAGAGACATCATCCCTCATATGGTTATGTTTTTTGTTGTTGTTTGATGAAAGCAAAAGCAGTGACAGGGCAAGGGCCTAAGGAAGGGTACGGGTATGGTACCTTGATCTTGGCGCCCAGCATCTCGGCAGCATCCTTCTCCCGCCGCAGGTCCTCCATCTTTTTCTCTTTCTCCTTCAGCAGCCTCATCTTCTCCTCTGCAACCAAGCTGTGATCCTCTACAATGGCCCGCTTCTCAATCTCCAGTTTTTCTTGCTGTTCCCGCCAGTAATCATCCTTATCATCCCCTTCCTCCTCACCCTCTTCTCCCTCCTCCTCCTCCTCTTCCCCACCCCCACCACTGCCACCACCTTCCCTCCGCTTCTCTCGCCTCTTCCTCCTACCAATGGACCGTTTTTCCAGCTGGGCCTTGAGCCGAGCAATCTCTTCCTGGAATTCTCGAAGGAGGGCATCCTTGGGGTCCTCATTGACCCTTGGTTTGTTCTTAATGTTTTTGGCACGGTTGGCATATCGCAGAGTGGTCAGAGTCTCTTCTACGTTGTAAGAGGCAGGCCCCACGTTGGCCACCATCACAGTCTTGGCATTGCCACCAAGGGAATCTTGGAGGAGCCTGGTAAGCTTTGAGTCCCGATATGGAATGTGAGTGCTTTTGCCGTCCACTAGAGCAGAGATGACATTACCCAAAGCGGAAAGGGAGAGGTTGATCTTGGTAGCTTCTTTTAATCTCTCCCCTTGTGCGCCGGTCTTGGCTTGCCGTTCGCTGCCAGCAAGATCTACAAGGTTCAATTTTCCTACACGGATGTGGTTTTCACCATCGAGGCCCACCTCGCTGCACTCAATAGTGATAACGAAAATTGCATGAGAACGCGAGCTGTGCTCGTTCATGTTGGTAGCACCGACAGAACGGTTCTGGTTCCCCACATTCATCACATGCTCTATCTCCTTCACACTCTTGGTGACAAAGGAAGACAGGTCTTTCACATACACTCCTGTGTCAGGCCTCTCTTTGAGCTCAAGCCTTTTGGTCTGATCCTTTGAGAGCAAATCTCGGATCTCCTCCTGGTAGATCTCTAAGTAAGAAGCCCTGACCAGGTATTGTTGATTCTGGGATCGAGAGATGTGGGTGAAGATATGGTCAAATGAGTTAGGAATGACTCCTCTTTTTTCAGGGTCACCACGGATTCCTTCCATGGTGTAGGTTTTTCCTGTCCCAGTTTGTCCATAGGCAAAAATGGTTCCATTGAAACCTTGCAGGACAGAGTCAACAAGTGGTCGGAACGTCTCATCGTACAGTTCAAACTGCTTGGCATTCCAGTCATAGACGGCATCAAAGGTGAAGGTCTTGGGCATTTCATGGGCCGTCCCTTTGGGGTTCTTCACAGACACCTGCCCCAGCTTAACATCCACATCCACCACTTTGTCATACGAAGCAGCCTTTTCCTTGCCATTCATGGGCCGACAGCGAACCACCACCCTGACTGACTCTGAGCTTTTCAACTTTGACATGATGAACTCTGATCCAGTCAAATCTTGAGAAGTGTCAATTCAAAATGTCTCAGGATGCTACGGTCCTAGAGAAAAAGCAAAAGTAAATAAGCACAGTACCGTTGTCATTGCAGCCTGCCTGACAGAAGCTGACACACCTAAATAGTCTTCATCTTGCTAACCTGACAGCCATATCTGATAACTTTACTACACTGTATATTTCCTCACAGGATCTTAACCAGCTTCAGTGGTAAAAATAAAAAACTGCAGTCCACCAGTGTTGTTGGCTAGCCCATCCTCCTCTCAATCAATATCTGATCTTATGCTATAGGCTGAGGCAGCTGGAAATCTTTTAAGTCTGGGTCTCACTCTGGGAGGCCGAGGCAGGGAAATTCCTTGAGACCAGGAGTTTGAGACCAGCTTGGGCAACACAGCAAGATCCTGTCTCCAAAAAATTTGTGAATTAGGCTGTACACAGTAGCTCACATCTGTAATCCCAGCATTTTAGGAGGCTGAAGCCAGAGGATCACTTGAGTACAGGTGTTTGAGATCAGCCTGGGCAACATAGGGAGCCCCCATCTCTCCAAAAAAAAAAAAAAAAAATACCAACAACAATTAGCTGCACACGGTGGCTCATGCCTGTAGTCTTAGCTACTCGGGAAGCTGAGATGGGAGGACTGCTTGAGCCCAGGAGGTTGAGGGTACAGTAAGCCGCAATCACGCCACTGCCCTTCAGCCTGGATGACAGAGTGAGACTCTATCTTAAAAATAAAGTAAAATAAGCGGCTGGGCGCGGTGGCTCATGCCTGTAATCCCAGCACTTTGGGAGGCCGAGGCGGGTGGATCACGAGGTCAGGAGATCGAGACTATCCTGGCTAACACGGTGAAACCCCATCTCTACTAAATATACAAAAAATCAGCCGGGTGTGGTGGCAGGCGCCTATAGTCCCAGCTACTTGGGAGGCTGAGGCAGGAGAATGGCGTGAACCTGGGAGGCAGAGGCCGAGATCCTGGCACTGCGCTCCAGCCTGGGTGACAAAGCGAGACTCCGTCTCAAAAAAAAAAAAAAAAAGTAAAATAAAAATAATGACCAGGCTCAGTGGCTCACGCCTGTAATCCCAGCACTTTGGGAGAACGAGGTGGATGGATCCCTTGTGGCCAGGAGTTCGAGACCAGCCTGGCCAACATGGCAAAACCCTGTCTCTACAAAAAATACAAAAATTGGCTGGGCGTGGTGGTGGGCACCTGTAATCCCAGCTACTCAGGGGGCCGTGGCACGAGAATCACTTGAGCCTAGGAGGCAGAAGTTGCAGAGAGCCAAGACTGCGCCACTGCACTCTGGCCTGGAGGACAGAGCAAGACTCTGTTTCAAAATAAATACAGTAAAATAAAAATACAAAAATAAAAATTAGCCAGGGGTGGTGATGTGTGCCTGTGGTCCCAGCTACTCAGGAGGCTGAGGAAGAAGGATTGCTTGAGCCCAGGAGTTCAAGGCTGCAGTGAGCTATGATCGTGTCACTGCACTCCAGCCTACACAACAGAATGAAACCCTTTTTTTAATTTGAGACGGAGTCTCGCTCTGTCACCCAGGCTGGAGTGCAGTGGTGTGAGCTTGGCTCACTGCAAGCTCTGCCTCCCGAATTCATGCCATTCTCCTGCCTCAGCCTCCCAAGTAGCTGGGACTACAGGCACCTGCCACCATGCCCGGCTAATTTTTTGTATTTTTAGTAGAGACAGGGTTTTGCCATGTTGGCCAGGCTGGTCTCAAACTCCTGGCCACAAGGGATCCCTCCACCTCATTCTCTCAAAGTGCTAGGATTATAGGCGTGAGCCACCCAGGCTGGTCACTATTTTTATTTTCCTTTTTTTTTTTTTTTTTTGAGACAGAGTCCTGCTTTGTCACCCAGGCTGGAGCACAGTGGCACGATCTCGGCTCACTGCAAGCTCCGCCTCCTGGGTTCATGCCATTCTCCTGTCTCAGCCTCCCGAGTAACTGGGACTATAGGTGCCCGCCACCATGCCCAGCTAATTTTTTGTGTTTTTAGGAGAGATAGGGTTTCACTGTGGTCTCGATCTTCTGACCTCGTGATCCACCCACCTCGGCCTCCCAAAAAAACCTTTTCTTAAACAAATGAAAAAAAGTCTTATATTCTCTTGAACTACTATAACCTGTTGAAATACTACAACCTCTGGGTAGAGCAATTTGGACCTACCCATCAACATTTAAAATGCATATACTTTTTGAACTAGCAATTGTACTGCTAAGAATTTATCCTAGAGATACAGATTTTAAACAATGACATATACATAAGGATATTTATTGTGGGAGCAACAGATTGTGAGCAACCCGGGTTCCCATCAAGAGGAGACTGATTAAATTAAATATATTCCATATATGTGGAATCCTATGCAGTTATTAAAAAGAAGGTGGTAATCTAAATGTAATCCTATACCAAGATATGTTGTTAAGTGAAAAAAGTAGGTGACAGTGTGTACAGTATAGTTTACATAGTGTGAAAAATGGAAGCTATAACACCAAGAATGAACCTTAATGTAAATTATGCACTTTGGGTGATAATGTGTCAATGCAGGTCTGTTGCTTATAACAAACGTACCACTCTGGTAGGAGATGTCCATAATGGGGGAGGCTTTGTATGTGTGGAGGCAGAGGTATGTGAGAAATCTGTGTACCTTCCGCTTATTTTTGCTGGGAACCTGAAACTGCTCTAAAAATAAACTCTATTTAAAAAACAAACATTACATAAGAAAAGGGGGGATATATGCATGTTATATGCTTGATATGAATACAATATTGTTAGAAGTATACTTCTAAAGGTAGTAACAGTAGCAGCTTTAGCACGGGAACTATGGGCCCAGGAGACTCAGAAGCCTAAAGAGAGAGGAAAGGCTGAGCGTGGTGGCTCACGCCTGTAATCCCAGCACTTTGGGAGGCTGAGGTAGGTGGATCACAAGGTCAAGAGATCAAGACCATCTGGGCCAACATGGTGAAACCCCGTCTTTACTAAACATACAAAAATTAGCTGGGCATGGTGGCGCAAGCTTGTAGTCCCAGCTACTTGGGAGGCTGAGACAGGAGAATTGCTTGAACCCGGGAGGTGGCGGTTGCATTGCAGTGAGCCGAGATTGCACCACTGCACTCCAGCCTGGTGACACAGCGAGACTCCGTCTCAAAAAAAAAAAAAAAAAAAAAAAAAAAGAGGAAAAACTTTTCACAGTATACTCATTTGTAGTGTTAGAATTTCCTAGCTTGTGCTAATAATACTTTTCAATCCCACAATCATTAATAAAAACTGGCTTGTGCAAAATGTGTGCAAATAAATAAGGATGTGGTATAATGCATTACATAAAAAGCACTCATTCAATCAATAATTTTTTTTTTCTTTGAGACGGAATCTTGCTCTGTTGCCAGGCTGGAGTGCAGTGGTGTGATCTTGGCTCACTGCAACCTCCGACTCCCTGGTTCAAGCGATTCACCTGCCTCAGCCTCCCTAGTAGCTGGGATTACAGGCACATGCCACCATGCCCAGCTAATCTTTTTCGTATATTTAGTAGAGATGGGGTTTCACCATGTTGGCCAGGATGGTCTCGATCTCCTGACCTCATGACTGGCCTGCCTCGGCCTCCCAAAGTGCTGGGATTACAGGCATGAGCCACCGCACCCGGCAATAACTTTCTTTTTTTTTTTTTTTTTCAGATGGAGTCTTGCTCTTATTGACCAGGCTGGAGTGCAATGGCGTGATCTCGGCTCACTGCAACCTCTGCCTCCTGGGTTCAAGCAATTATCCTGCCTCAGCCTCCCGAATAGTTAGGATTACAGGCACCTGCCACCATGGTCTACTAAAAATACAAAATCAATCAATAAATTTAATAGAATTGGAATGCAAATAAGAAAATGGAGCCAGGTGTGGTGGCTCACACCTGTAATCCCAGCACTTTGGGAAGCCAAGGAGGGCAGATCACCTGAGCAGCAGTTCGAGACCAGCCTGGCCAACATGGTGAAACACCATCTGTACTAAAAAAAAAAAAATACAAAAATTTAGCCGGGCATGGTGGCATGTGCCTGTAATCCCAGCTACTTGAGGCAGCAGAATTGTTTGAACCTGGGAGGCGGAGGCTGCAGTGAGCCAAGATTGTGCCATTGCACTCCAGTCTGGGTGACAGAGCAAGACTCCATCTACACACACAAAAAAAAAAAAAAAAAAAAAAAGGTGGGGGAGTGTTAAAATTTTATAAAGTAAAAACAAAAAGAGACAGAGTTTCATTTGGTGCTGGAAAACTCAGGGAGCAGAAGAAAGGATTAAATGGGTCCTTTGGGTGGGGGTAGGTAGTAAGCAGGTCAGAGTACTTTACCGGTATATATGAGGACCCCAAACTCCTATAAATCTCAGTGCAGGGATTTTTAAATTTTCTTTTTAAAAGACAGTCTCGCTTTGTCACCCAGGCTGAAGTGCAGTGGCGTGATGACAGCTCACTGCAGCCTTGACCTCCCAGGCTCAAGTGATCTCCTCCCACCTCGGCCTCCCAAGTAGCTGGGACTATAGGTGCACACCACCACACCTGACTAAGTGCAGGGATTTTTAAAAACATGTAATTCATGTTTTTTTGGGTTTTTTTTGTTTGTTTGTTTTTTAAACAGAGTCTCCCCTCTGTCCCCCAGGCTGGAGTGCAGTGGTGCGATCTCGGCTCACTGCAACCTCCACCTCCTGGGTTCAAGCAATTCTCCTGCCTCAGCCTCCTAAGTAGCTGGGACTACAGGCACCCACCACCATGCCCGGCTAATTTCTGTATTTTTTTTTTTTAGTAGAGACAGGGTTTTGCCATGTTGGCCAGGCTGGTCTCTAACTCCTGACCTCAGGTGATCCACCCACCTCAGCCTCCCAAAGTGGTGGGATTACAGGCGTGAGCCACCATGCCTGGCTGTTTTTTTTTATCAAAAGGCTCTTCAGTGACAGGTCTCTCTCTCTCTCTCTCTCTCTCTCTCTGTGACCTGCTCTCTAGCCACCCTGTTCTGCTGCTCACAGACAAGTGTTATTAGATTTTAAATCATTGATACATAAGCAAATATGTATTAATACACATTTATCCTCTCCCTTTTTACACAAACATATTATATACAATAATAAACAGTGTCCTTGGAGTTCATTCCTTCGGTAAATACAGAGCTGCTTTATTCTCTGCAACAGCAGCATCATACTCTACTGCATGCATGCACCATAATTTATGTCACTGCTGCAGATGCACTTCAGCTGTTTCTGATATTCTGCTGTGAAAAACCTAGGACGTACAATCATTCATGTGTGGGAAAGTGTATCTGTAAGCATCAATTCCTAGAAGTGGAATTGCTGAATCAAAGGATATATGCAATTGCAATTTTTAAAAAATATGCAGAACAATGACAGCAGTATTCTTTTTAGTTGTGAGAATGACTTATTTCCTGCCATTCTCCCATGGTGGGAGAAGGTGAAGCAGTGATGGGCCACTTGGGCATATATGCTGTGGCTTAATAAATAGACAGCATCAACATATTCCCCCACTGCCCTTCACAGACTGTTCTGCTGCTAAGCAAGTGGAAACACAAAAAGTTGCTTTTCATATTTCTTCTAGTTGTTACATGTAATAAAATATTATTGTCTAGAATGAAGAAATCCAGAAGACGTCTTACCCTCTCTGAACCCGTTTTCTGTAAATCTGAAAAAATAGGTATAATTCTTCTTTCTTATGGATGATTATGAGACTAAGAGGTGCTTATAAGGGTGGAAGTACTTTGTAAACTAATACAAAGCTAGATTAAAATAACAATACAGATTCATCCAAAACCCTTGTCAGAGGGTCATTCCAGAGATTAAGGATGAGGCCTAATTTTATGCATTAAACATCACTAGAATAACATTTCTTTTTCTTTCTTTTTTTTTTTTTTTTTGTGAGACTGAGTTTTGCTCTTGTGACCCAGGCTGGAGTGCAATGGCACAATCTTGGCTCACTGCAACCTCTGCCTCCAAGGTTCAAGCAATTATCCTGCCTCAGCCTCCCGAATAGCTGGGATTACAGGTGCCCACCAACACACATGGTTAATTTTTGTATTTTTAGTAGAGATGTTGGCCAGGCTGGTCTCAAACTCCTCATCTCAGGTGATCCACCTGCCTTGGCCTCCCAAAGTGCTGGGATTACAGGTTTGAGCCACTGCACCCAGCCTAAATTAACATTTTTTTTTTTTTAACGGAGTCTCGCTCTGTCACCCAGGCTGGAGTACAGTGGCATGATCTCGGCCCACTGCAACCTGTGTCTCCCGGGTTCAAGCAATTCTCCTGCCTCAGCCTCCCAAGTAGCTGGGATCACAAGCACCCGCCACCAGGTCCAGCTAATTTTTGCATTTTTAGTAGAGATGGGGTTTCACCATGATGGCCAAGCTGGTCTGGAACTCCTGGCCTCAGGCGATCCACCCCACTCAGCCTCCCAAAGTGCTGGGATTACAGGCATGAGCCACAGCGCCCACTCTAAAATAACATTTCTATTGTTCAGTTTGTAACAATCATCCTAAAAAAAATTCAGATTAAATTGAGATCTAAATACCTAATTGATGTTCAATAAGAACTAAATCTCAAGCCGTGTAAAGAAAACTATGCAAAAGGAAGCCCTTCAGGAATGTAGTCATTATCTTCTAGATCAAGGGTGTCCAATCTTTGGCTTCCTTGGGCCACACTGGAAGAAGAATTGTCTTGAGCCACACCACACATAAAATACACTAACACTACGATGGTTAATGAGTTAAACAAAAAATTGCAAAAAAAATCTCATAATGTTTAAAGAAAGTTTACAAATTTGTGTTGGGCCACATTCAAAGCCATCCTGGGCCGCGGGTTGGACAAACTTCTTCTACATGCTATTAGAATTTTGCCAGATGGGAAGAAAGAGACAGATGTTAGAATGGCCAGTTTCCTGCGTCTTTTCATTTCAGGGGAATGGCTCATGAGCTACGGCCTGTCTCTCCCTCCATTTCAACAGACGCCTGCCAAAGCTGATCTAGGTGCAAAGGGAAAATCCCAGCCCCTGATATCCTCTGGGAAGACCTCTGTTTCAGTGCACGAGCCTGCCAGACAAGATCCTAGACCTGATAGAGTAAGAGAAACAGAATGGCAGGGCAGGACAGGGAGACAGGTCAGTGCAGAGGACTGATTCTTCTGCATTACAGACTTCTGAGAAGGCGGAGCTGTCCGACTTTTACCTGTCAAAACAATGGGGCTCCAAGCCTATGAAAGAAGAAAGAAAGCCTGCAGCAAGCTGACCTTGAGGTTCAGCTGCTTTGTAATAGCTCCATATATTTTTTGAGCTCTCCAAAATGATAGAAACAAAGGAATGATAATGACCTACATTAATCTTAAAAATCTTTAAAAAGGAAGGAATTCCCAAAGCATGAGTCCCCTTAATTAAATCTCCTCAACTCTGAACACAGAACACCATTTCTTTTCTGAACTCACCCAGCTAGACTGAACTAGTCATGTATTATTGACATATTCTTTCAGGAAAATGGACTAAGTTAATTTCCTGCCACCAAGGCTTAAAATCTTATTCTGGGTCTTCCTCAAAGGAGAGAGTTTTCTTGGAAGGATGCCCTGATACTCTTTCTTTATTACCTTTGTTATTCTTCCAGTGGGTCTAATTAGAGTGATAAATCTTTAAAGAAACTCACAGAATTGCCAGGAAAGAAGGAAGCACAGATCAGCAGCTCATCGCCTTCATCCTGAAGACCTTTTCTGCTAGAACTTGTCATTCAATGTTAACACCCACTGTTTGAATGGTTATTGAACATGAAAAATTGAGTAATTCCCCAACCTCAACTCTTTTATCTGCTGAGGAAATCAGATGCACATTTGTCACGGCAGTCACACTCTTCCAGACCGTTCTCCAACTCTTTTGTGTTTAGATTCACGCATCCTCACCTTGCTAGCTGTCATAGAGTCTCACCTCAAAGTCCAGAACTAGGTATGAATTGGATTCTCAGTAACTATTGGCTTCCTATGGAAAGCGTAAGAGAGAGGTCACAAACTGGTTACATTCTATCTAAAACATTTCATTTGGCCCACCTGGTATTTAAAACAACATGGGCCTGGCATGGTGGCTCACATCTGTAATCTCAGCACTTTGGGAGGCTGAGGCAGGTGGATCACCTGAGGTCAGGAATTCAAGACTAGCCTGTCCAACACGGTGAGACCCCGTCTTTACTAAAAATACAAAAATTAGCTGGGCATAGTGGTGGGCGCCTGTAATCCCAGCTACTCGGGAGGCTGAGGCAGGAGAATTGCTTGAACCCAGAGGCAGGGTTTGCAGTGAGCTGAGATCGCGCCATTACACTCCAGCCTAGTTGACAAGAGCAGAACTACGTCTCAAAAATAAATAAATAAATAAATAAAACATGGGCTGGGCACAGTGACTCACACCTGTAATCCCAGCACTTTGGGAGGCCGAGGCGGGCGTATCACCTGAGGTCAGGAGTTTGAGACCTCGTCTCTACTAAAAATACCAAAATTAGCTGGGTGTGGTGGCATGTGCCTGTAGTCCCAGGTACTTGGGAGGCTGAGGCGGGAGAATTGCTTGAATCCAGGAGGTGGAGGCTGCAGTGAGCCGAGATTGCGCCACTGCACTCCAGCCTGGGTGACAGTGAGACTCTGTCTCAAAAAAAAAAAAAAAAAAAAAAGACCATGAAGCGTGGGCAACATAGGAAGACCTCCATCTCCACCAAAAATTTAAAAATTAGCAGGGCATGGTGCCGCTTGCCTGTGGTCCTAGCTAGTCGAGAGATTGAGGCGAGAGGATCACGTAAGCCCAAGTCAAGGCTACAGTGAGCCATGATTGCACCACTGCACTCCAGCCTGGTGCTAGGTCTTGCCCTGTTTCCAAAAGTAAAAATAAACAACAACAACAACAACAACAACAACAACAAAATCCTCAGCAATTCCACTTCTCTATCTATGTATATCCTAGTAAAAAGCTTTGCATATGTGCACAAGAAAACATGGACAAGATTGCTTCCTGCAGCATGGTTATCACAGTAGAAAAACTAGAAACAGGCTGGATGCAGTGGCTCACACCTGTAATCCTAGCACTCTGCGAGGCCGAGGTGGGAGGATTCTTTGTGGCCAGGAGTTCAAGACCAGCCTGGGGAACATAGTGAGACCATCTCTACAAAAAAATTTTTAAAAATCAGCGGGTGCGGCGGCTCACGCCTGTAATCCCAGCACTTTGGGAGGCCGAGGTGGGCAGATCACAAGGACAGGAGATGGAGACTATTGTGGCTAACGCGGTGAAATCCTGTCTCTACTAAAAAAATACAGAAAAAATTGGGGGCGTGGTGGTGGACGACTGCAGTCCCAGCTACTCGGGAGGCTGAGGCAGGAGAATGGTGTGAACCTGGGAGGCGGAGCTTGCAGTGAGTGGAGATCGCACCACTGCACTCCAGCCCGGGCGACAGAGAGAGACTCTGTCTCAAAAAAAAAATTTACATTTAAAAAATATAGCTGGGTGTGGTAGAATATACCTGTAGTCCCAGCTTCTTGGGAGGCTGAGGCAGTAGGATACCTTGAGTCCAGGAGTTGGAGGTTGTAGTGAGCCATAATAGCCCTACTGCACTCCAACCTGGGTGACAGAGGGAGACACTATCTGTAAACAAAACAAAACAAAACAAAACAAAACAAAACAAAACAAAACAGGCCAGTGTGGCGGCTCTCACCTATAACCCCAGTACTTTGGGAGGACAAGGCAGGAGGATTGCCTTAGTCCAGGAGTTGGAGACCAGCCTGGGAACAGAAGGAGACCCCATCTTTAAAAATTAGCCAGGCGTGATGACACATGCCTATAGTCCCAGTACTTGGGAGGCTGAGGCAGGAGGATTGCTTAAGCCCAGGAGGTTAAGACTGCAGCAAGTCAGGATCACACCACTGCACTCCAGCCTGAGTCACAGAGGAAGACCCTGTCCCAAAAAACAAACAAAAAAAATCTAGAAACAACCTAGACATCCATTTATAGGGGAATTGAATAATAAAATATGATATATTCATATTATAGACAATATGGCTGGGTGTGGTGGCTCACGCCTATAATCCCAGCACTTTGGGAGGCTGACGCCGGAGGATCATCTGAGGTCAGGAGTTTGAAACCACCCTGGCCAACATGGCGAAACCCTCTCTCTACTAAAAAATACAAAAATTAGCAGGGCATGCTGCGATGCGCTGTAATCCCAGCTACTTAGGAAGCTGAGGCACGAGAATCACTTGAACCCAAGAGTCGGAGGTTGCAAGCGAGCTGAGATTGCGACACTGTGCCCCAGCCTGGGTGATAAAGCAAGACTCTGTCTCAAAAAAAAAAAAAAAAAAAAAAAAATATATATATATATATATATATATACACACACACCATTCAGTAGTTACAAGTTATAAGGAATAAATTAGAGCAGAGGTCAGCAAATTACAGTCCAGGATACAAATCTGGCCCAGAGCCTGGTTTTGTAAACAAAGTTATATTAGAACAGCAATATTCCTTAGTTTACATATTATCTACTGCTGCATTAACTATAGAGGTGAATAGAGTTGAGTAGTTGCAATAGAGACAATATGGACTACAATACTAAAATATTTACTATCTGGCCTTTTACAGAAAGTGTTTGCCAATCTCTGAATTAGGCTTACAGATTTAACATGGATAAATAAATAGGCTGAGTGAGAAACAAAGCTGCAGAGTGACAGTTACGATTAGGAATTTACAAAAAAATACGGTGCTCATGGATTTGCATTTATGTATGTATAAGTACTAAAAAGTGGGATAGGATGGGTGCAGTGGCTCACACCTCTGTAACTGCAGCACTTTGGTAGGCTGAGGTAGGAGGATGATCACTTGAGTTCAGAAGTTTGAGACCATCCAGGGCAACAGAGCAAGACCCTATTTCTACAAGAAATGAAAATTAGCCCAGTGTGGTGGCCTACTACCTACAGCTACTCCAAAAAGGTGGAAGGATCACTTGAGCCCAGGAGGTGGAGGTTACAGTCAGTCACGATTGTACCACTGCACTCCAGAGTGAGACCCTGTCTCTGAAGAAGGGAAGGGGAAGAGAGGGGAGGGGAGGGGAGGGGAGATAGAAGGATATATAACAATTTATGACAGTGGCTGCCCAAACTGGGCAATGGGAAGTATGGATAATGGGAGTAGAGATGGGAAGGATATTTCAACTTTATCTGTAATACTTTATCCTTTCTCTTAAAAAACAAAAACAGGAAGGTTTCAAGCTTTATAACATTTCCCTTACTTTGCTGATTCTATTTCTTATATTATTCTCTGAATTTTTGTTTTGTTTGTTTTTTGAGATAGAGTCTCACTCTGTCACCCAGGCTGGAGTGCAGTGGCGCAATCACAGCTCACTGCAACCTCCGCCTCCCTGGCGATTTTCCGCCTCAGCCTCCTGAGTAGCTGGGATTACAGGCTCAGGCCGCCATGCACAATTAATTGTTGTATCTGTTTGTAGGGCTGGGTTTTTGCCATGTTGGCCAGGCTGGTCTCGAACTCCCAGCCTCAAGTGACCCACCCACCCTGGACTTCCAAAGTGCTGGGATTACTGGTGTGACATTGCACCAGGCCTGAATTTTTTTTTTTAATTCAAAAAAACAACAATTTTTTTTTTTTTTTGAGACGGAGTTTTACTCTTGTCCAGGCTGGAGTGCAACGACATGATCTTGGCTCACTGCAACCTCCGCCTCCCAGGTTCAAGCGATTCTCCCCGCTTAGCCTCCCAAGTAGCTGGGATTGCAGGGATGCGCCACCTTGCCCAGCTAATTTTGTATTTTTTTAAGTAGAGATGGGGTTTCTCCATGTTGGTCAGGCTGGTCTCAAACTCTTGACCTCAGGTGATCTGCCCGCCTCAGCCTCCCAAAGTGCTGGGATTATAGGCGTGAGCCACAGCACCCGGCCTAACAATTTCATATTAAAAAAAAAAATCCACTTCTCTGGAAACATGGGAATATCTGACAGCCCTTGACCTGAACCCCAAGTGGCAGCAATAGGAATCTTCCCCAACCCCACTATCTCCTGTTTCATATCTAGCATGCTTTGCTCATTTATACTTCCTGGCTGGCTCTTGTAGACATCTCTGTCTATGACCAAATTCATATATGTATGATTTGATTAAGAAAGGCCCGACATACTAGCCCATCTTTTTAAATGCCATTTGCCGAGGCTCTGTAATGACATGGAAAATGCTTATCATAAATGAAAAAGCAGTTTACAAAATTGAATCACTGCATGCAATCACAATTATATAAAAATAAAGACACACGTAAAAACATCAATAGTGGTCAACCTTGGGTAATAGTATAGGTGATTTCCCCTGCTCTTTCAACATTTCTGTATTTTCCAAATTCTCTTTAATGAGTATGTGGTATCTCCAAATGGGAAAAAATAGAGGTCTGGCAATTCCCCAGGAACAACCCTGCAAGGAGGTGCAACCTGTGGGCACACAGAGTGCATACTAACGCACCTCAAATCAATGCATTCCAAAGCAATGTCCTCTAAGATCAGATCACGCAACCACCTGCCAACTGCCTGGCCCAGGGTTCAAATACTCAGAGTATCTGAAATGCAGCCCAAGCCAAAGATCACATGAGCCATCAGAAAAGCACTGCAACACTCGAGCAAGAAGTAAAAGCGACTCCCTGCTAAGCAGCCTAAACCAATTCCCTGGACAGGCTTCTCTCGGGGGAAGCAGCTGTTTTTACTCTGTATCCACCTCATCACCATCAACACTACTCCTTTTTACAATTATTTCTAATTGTTTTTGAAGTATCAGGACTCCGTGTTTGCAATCCCTGAACCACACCATGAAAGCAAGTCCAATTCTAGGTCTCTGGTTCCTATGATGGCCAGTTTCACAAAGGGAGTTACACACTTTTTAAAACAAGATTATCCATCTTGGGTTGAAAAATAACACCACTGTCCTGCAGAACTTTTAAAAAGACGTTTTATACATATTGAGAAAATGGTTCTACATTTGCTTATATGTGCATAAAATATATCTGAAAGAATTCACAAGAACCATGTAACAATTGCCAGATAACAACACTGGCTTTCCCTAAAAGAGCTAGGTGGATGAGGGCCAAAAGTAGAAGAGAAACTTTTCATTATATACCCTTTTTTTTTTCTTCAGACCGAGTTTCACTCTGTCACCCAGGCTGGAGTGCTGTGGTGCAATCTTGGCTCACTGCAACCTCTGCCTCCCATTCAAGCGATTCTTGTGCCTCAGCCTCCCGAGTAGCTGGGATGGCAGGCACCCACCATCACACCGAGCTAATTTTTGTATTTTTAGTAGAGAAAGGGTTTCGCCATGGCCAGGCTGTTCTTGAACTCCCGGCCTCAGGTGATCTGCCCACCTCAGCCTCCCAAAGTGTGTTTACCCTTTAATATCTCTTGAGTTTTGAATCATGTAAATATATTACTTAGTCAAAAAATAAAATAAAATCAAGGGGAAAGAGAGATGGAAAGGCTTTGTGAAATTAAACAAATATACAGGGGTTACTCATTTTTCCCATTTTATCTATCCATTTGTGCTGACCACCATGAATATAAGATAATAAAAATGGGCCGGGTGTGGTGGCTCACACCTGTAATCTCAGCACTTTGGGAGGCCGAGGCGGGTGGATCACAAGGTCAAGAGATCGAGACCATCCTGGCCAACACGGTGAAACCCCGTCTCTACTACAAGTACAAAACTTAGCCGGGCGTGGTGGCAGGCAGTTGTAGTCTCAGCTACTTGGGAGGCTGAGACAGAAGAATCACTCAAACCCGGGAGGCAGAGGTTGCAGTGAGCTGAGATCATGCCACTGCACTCCAGCCCAGGCGACAGTGCAAGATTCTGTCTCAATTTAAAAAAAAAAAAAAAAAAAAAAAGATAATAAAAATGTTTTAATTGATAAATGAGGGGACCTACTAGGAGACCTAAATTCGGGACCTACTTATCCTAAATTTATGATGAAGCTTCGTAAAACAGTTTCTATTAGGTCCACAGCACTAGAATTTTTAACTTTCTAAGGTAAATGTAGCAAGTCATGCAGTGACGGCTCTAAAAAGCATTTAGAGCATAGACGTCAAATAAGAAAGTAATGAAATATATTCTGTTGTTATTACAGGCATTATTTGTAAACATAAGGTCAGCCAGGCGTGGTGGCTCACACCTGTAATCCCAGCACTTCGGGAGGCTGAGGCGGGTGGATCACGATCTCAGGAGATCGAGACCATCCTGGCTAACACGGTGAAACCCCGTCTCTACTAAAAATACAAAAAAATTAGCTGGGCATGATGGCGGGCACCTGTAGTCCCAGCTATTCAGGAGGCTGAGGCAGGAGAATGGTGTGAACCCGGGAGGCGGAGCTTGCAGTGAGCTGAGATCGCACCACTGCACTCCAGCCTGGGCGACAGAGCGAGATTCTGTCACAAAAGAAAAAAAAAAGGGGGCGGGGGGCGTCACCTTTTTTGTAAGCCAAACAGTTGCGTGAACTGTCTAAAAAGTTTCAAAATGTCCCTTACAGAAAGAACATATAAGAGCCACAGCATCTCAAATTGGCACAACATACTTGAGGGCAGTCAGGCAATCAGTACCAAAACTCTAAATGTGAATACTCCCTTGAAACAGCAATTCCATTTCTTGGAATTATTTTAAGGACATAATTGAGTAACTAAATACATGTGCAACAATGTAATACACAATTTGTGTTTGTCACATCACCACCTCTAAGCACTTAAATGCTCATCAATAAGGGAGTGGTTAGATTATGGCACATCTCTACAATGGGAAACTATGAAGTCATTAAAAATGGCAACAAACCTCTAGGTATTTAGATATGGGCAATATTCAAGACATATTGCTGAGTGAAGAAAAAGGCTACTAAACAGAATTACTATGATACAGTTAATGTTTATGTGTACAGGCACATGTGCAGATGCAGATTTGGGGAACACAGAGTAAAGACATTGTTAAAAGCATGAGCTGAGGTGTTCAGCAGGTCTGGCTTTGAATTTCTGCTCTGCCATTTACTAGCTATAAAATCTCAAGAAACTAAGTCACAGTTTCTTCTTCCACCAAGTATGGTTAATAGCAATATCTCCCTTAAAGAACTGTTCTGAGGATTAAATAAACTAATGAATGTTAAATGCTTAGCTTTTAACATTGAAAAGTACTAATAAATACTCATGAAATGCAGGTAATATTGACCTCTAGGGTGGTGCGCCTGCAGGCTATTTTTTTGCTTTCTTTGTATTTTTTGATGGGTGCATGTATTTTGATTTTTATAATTAAGGTGGGGGAAGCAATAAAGCAATGTTTTCTTTGGAGAAAAGTCCAGAACTTTGATTTCAGCTTAAATGTCTGAAGAAGACACGCTAGTTCTCCGGAAAGAAACCTAAAAACGTCACAGTCAAGTAACAAGGACAATAAATGCCTGCCCTGAATTCAAACTGGCGCCATGTACTCTCTGTCATTTGATGACACAAAGAGGCAAACAAAGCATTTATTTAGGCAGGGAAAGAAGAAAAGAAACTCTTTTTGGCATTCAATTGTAAAACATAAAATACATTCAAAAATATATTCAAGTCTGTTGGACAACACCTACTATTCAGAATCAATGCAGTTCTTGGGTTTTATTGTATTCAATAGTCACAACTCACAGTATACCAAGAGCTTAATGTGAGTCCTCTTTTAATCCTCAAAATCACCTTGGGAGGAAGGCAGGCATTAGCCTCATTTAAAGAATAAGGATCAGAGACTCAGGGAAATTAATTTGCCCAAGGTTACACGACAATTAAGTGGAAGAGTCAGGATTCAAAACCAGATTTGTCTTATTTTAAAACCCATATATAAACCCATATATTTTTAAAACACCTGATATATACGCATATATACATGTGTATGTCTATGCAAAGATTAACGCAATTCAAGCTGTACAGAGTGTACAGTGAACATGTAAATCTTCCTAACATATCTGCATTGCTCCTTCATCTTCATCTTTTGCTTTTAAACCTTTTTAACTCAAGTAGCAGTATACTATATACCACTGTACTTCTTCCTATATAAATCTTGGAGAACTCCTTCTCCCCGCCCCCCAACTCATTTTGTGTTGTTTTCTTTGTTTGTTTTTTTGAGACAGACTCTTGCTCTGCACTCCAGGCTGGAGTGCAGTGGCATGATGTTGGCTCGCCATAGCCTCAACCTCCTGGGCTCAGGTAGTCTTCCCACCTCAACCTCCTCAGTAGCTGGGACTACAGGTACATGCCACCAAACCTAATTTTGTTTTTATTTTTTGTAGAGACAAATGTCTCACTATGTTGCCCAGGCTGGTCCCCAGGCTGGTCTCAAACTCCTGGCTCAAGTGATCCTTCCGTCTCTCAGCCTCCCAAAGTATGGGATTACAGGCATCAGACACCATGCTTAGCTGCTTCTTTTTCCTTTCTTTTCTGTCTTACTTCCTTTCATTCATTCATTCATTCACTCATTTATTTTGAGACAGAGTCTCAGTTGCCCAGGCTGGAGTGCAGTGGCACAATCACAGCTCACTGCAACGTCAACCTCCTGGGGTCAAGCAATCTTCCCACCTCAGACTCCCAAGTACCTGGGACTATAAGCACACCCCACCACATCCAACTAATTTTTTATTTTTTGTAGAGACGGGGTTTTGCCATGTTGGCCAGGCTGGTCTTGAACTCCTGACCTCAGGTGTTCCGCCTGCCTTGGCCTCCCAAAGTGCTGGGATTACAGTCATGAGCCACTGCGCCCAGCCAAAAAATGTCTTTGATCAGTCAGTCCCTTATTGAGGGACCTTCTGATGGTCTCTGGTCATTTGCTACTGCAAACAGTACTGCAGTGGCTATACTGAACATATATACCTTTAGGGTAAGTGGGAGTAGTTGGTAGGATCCACTCCCAGAGGTAGGACTGTTGTACACATTCTATTGTTTTTTAAGAGTCAAGGTCTTCACATTCTGTTGTTTTTCAAGAGCCAAGGTCTTGCTCTGTTGCCCAGGCTGGAGTGCAGTGGCAGAATCTCAGCTTACTGCAGCCTCGAACTCCTCGCTCAAGCAATCGTCCCACCTCAGCCTCCAGAGTAGCTGGGACTACAGGCGTGCGCCACTGGACCCGACTTTTCTTTTTTTTTTTTTTTTTTTTTTTCTATTTTTAGTAGAGACGAGGTTTCACCGTGTTGGCCAGGCTGGTCTCAAACACCTGACCTCAAGTGATCCACCCACCTCAGCCTCCCAAAGTGCTAGGATTACAGGCATGAGCCACCATGCCTGGACTAATTTTTAAAATTGTTTGTAGAAGTTGGGGGGGGTCTTGCTTTGTTGCACAGGCTGGTCTCAAACTCTTGGCTTCATGTGATTCTCCCACTTAGGCCTCCCAAACTGCTGGTATTACAGGTCCATCATGTAATACCAGCCACCATGGTGAGCCACTACGTCCAGCTCCTTTTTTGATCTTGATTCAAACAAACCAACTGTTAAGAAATGTACAAGGACCAAGCTAGGTGGTTCACCACCCATAATCCCAGCACTTTGGGAGGCTGAGGTGGGAGGATCACTTGAGCCTAGGAGTTCAAGACCAGCTTGGACAAGATGGCAAGATCCTGTCTCTACAAAAAAATTTTTAAAAATTAGCCAGGTGCGGTGGTATATGCCTGTGGCCCCAGCTACTCAGGAGGCTAAGTTGGGAGGATCACTTGAGCCCAGGAGTTTGCTTGAGCCGCCTAAGAGTTTGAGGCAGCAGTGAGCTCTGACTACACCACTGCACTCAAGCCTGGGTGATACAGTGAGACCCTGTCTCAAGAAAAAAAAAATGAGGCGAGGCGCGGTGGCTCACACCTGTAATCCCAGCACTTTGGGAGGCCGAGGAGGGTGCATCACTCGAGGTCAGGAGTTCAAGACCAGCCTAGCTAACATGGTGAAACCCTGTCTCTACTAAAAATATAAAAATTAGTTGGGTGTGGTGCATGCATGTCTGTAATCCCAGCTACTTGGGAGGCTGAGGCAGGAGAATTGCTTGAACCCGGGAGGCAGAGATTGCAGTGGGCCTAGATCGCACCACTGCACTCCAGCCCGGGTGACAGAGCGAGACTCTGTCTCAAAAAAAAAAAAAAAATGTATAAGACAATCAAGGAAATTGGAACACTGGATATGAGACAATGTAAGAAATTATTTTTACGTGTAAAAAAATGTTATTATTTTAAAAAGAAAGTTCTTATCCTCTAGAGGTAAACAAGAATATTTTCAGATAAAGTTATATGCCATCTGGGATCTTTTTCAGGGGTGGGGTGCATGGAAGGTTATAGGTAAAATAGGATTGCCAAGTGCTGAGAACTGCTGGAGGTGGGTAATGGGTTCATGATTCATTACATTATTCTAGTTTTATGCATAATTGGGATTTTCCAAATGAAAAAAAAATCACCCTCTAACCAATGGCTTATCATTTAAAATTTTTTTAAAATTACAGTAAAAAACCCCACATAATATAAAATTTACCCTCTTAATCATTTTAAGTGTATAGTTCAGTAGTGTTAACTATATTCACATTGTTGTATAACACATTTCTAGAACTTTTTCATCTTGCAAAGCTGAAACTTTATAACCACTGAACAATTCCCCATTTCCCCCTCTCCTTAGCCCCTGGTAACCATGTTTCCATGATTTTGTCTACTCTAGCTACCTCGGATAAGTGGAATCATAACAGTATTTGTCCTTTTGTGACTGGCTTATTTCACTCAGCACAATGCCCTCAAGGTTCATCAATACTAAAGCATGTGTCAGAACTTCCTTCTTTTTTAAGGCTGAATAATATTCCATTCCATGTATGCACTATATATATTTTCTTTTTTTTTTTTTTGAGACACAGTCTTGCTGACACCCAGGCTGGAGTGCAGTGGTGCAATCACAGCTCACTGCATCCTTGAACTCCTAGGCTCAAGCAATCCTCCCACCTCAGCCTTTTGAGTAGCTGAGACTACAGGTACATGCCACCATACTGAGCTAATTTATTATTATTATTATTTGTTATAGAAACAAGGTCTCACTATATTGCCCAGGCTGGTCTGGAACTCCTGGGTTCAAGCAATCCTTCCGCCTTGGCCTCCCAAAGTGCTGGGATTACAGGCGTGAGCCATCGCGCCTGGCCTGTACCACATATTCTTTATCCATTTATCTGTTAACGGACATTTGGGCTGCTTCTACCTCTTGGCTATTGTGAATAATGCTATGGGCAGAGGGCCATAGCAAAACCTGTATTTAACAGGCAGAGGTAGCCTGAATAGCCAAAAAGAGATTCAGACACACCTGGGACTGAAACCCAGCTCTATCATTCCTAGTTTTGTTTGTTTGTTTTTGAGATGGAGTCTTGCTGTCACCCAGGCTGCAGTGTAGTGGCGTGATCTCGGCTCACTGCAACTTCCACCTCCCAGGTTCAAGGGATTCTCCTGCCTCAGCTTCCCAAGCAGCTGGGATTACAGGCGCCTGCCACCACGCACGGCTAACTTTTGTATTTTTAGTAGAGCGTGGGTTTCACTATGTTGGCCAGGCTGGTCTCGAATTCCTGACCTCAGGTGTTCTACCTGCCTCGGCCTCCTAAAGTGCTGGGAGCCACTGTGCCCAGCCTATCATTCGTAGTTCTGAGGCTCTGTGAAAGTTTCTTACCCCTCGGAGCTGATTTCCTCATCTGTAAAATGGGAATATCACTAACACCTGCTGCTTGGGGCCGTGTGAGGACTAGAAGAAGACAGGCAGCAAGCGTCTGGCCCACAAGTGGTAACTCTGCCCTGACCCAATTTGCAGGAGAAAAAAAACAGAGACTTAGACAGGGAAGTAACATGGCACACTGAGTTAATAAGTGGCAAAGCAAGCTGAAACCAGGTCCATCTGGCTCCAAAGTCCATGGCCTTTCTTCCACACCAGCATGTCCTAAATGTCAATAATCCGATTGTTTCTGGACAATTTTCGCCATGTCTATCATCACCTGTACTATTATTTACTTAACGTTTTTTCTTTAAATCTACTTTGCTTAACACAAAGTTTATTTTAAAAAGAAACTTTATATAACCACCATGAATGGAAAATCAGTATCACTTGTTATAAATAGAAAGTAACTGTGAAAATAAATATAAGAACAGACAACAATGTTACTAAATTCTAGCTAAATACTGTAGCTTATCTGAGGCCTTAAGCTTGATCACCATTGGTTTGAAAGGGAGCTTAATAAGTGTTAAGAAATAGACTAGTGGCCGAGCATGGTGGCTCCCGCCTGTAGTCCCAGCCCTTTGGGAGGCCAAGGCAGGTGGATCACAAGGTCAGGTGTTCAAGACCAGCATGGCTAAGATGGTGAAACCCCGTCTTTACTAAAAATACAAAAATTAGCCGGGCATGGTGGCAGGCACCTGTAATCCCAGCTACTCAGGAGGCTGAGGCAGAGAACTGCTTGAACCCAGGAGGCAGAGGTTGCAGTGAGCTGAGATCGTGCCACTGCACTCCAGCCTGGGTGACTGAGACTCCATTTCAAAAAAAAAAAAAAAAAAACCAGACCAGTACCAAACAAATACAGTATTCTTGACACAGTCAGAAGAACCAAGAGAGAGTTTTAAAGGGAATAGCTCTCACCACTACATTCAACATAATTTTGGATGTTGTGTTTGACTGTTACCCAAACTCTCCTCCTATTCCACCTGGTTCAGCTCTGCAGAATATAAGGACCCACTCAGAACCCCGGATCAGAATCTTGTCTTATCAAGATTCATGCCTACGCATGCTACCTTTATAGTAAACAGTTTCCAAAGTTGATCCAACAGAATTTCCCATAAATCATAGGATTTATTTTATTAATATGATGAGTTAAATGCTTTTTGAAAAATCCCTCTTCAAAAGTCCATCAGAACTGTCTTGGCTCATTGTCCAATGTTATAATGATATGCTTGCTCTCACAGTTCATACAGTGCACATCACTTGAACCCAGGAGGCGGAGGTTGCAGTGAGCTGAGGCGACAGAGTGAGACTCCAATGCTGTACATAAAATGTTTCCAGTTAATGTTGCCAATAAACAGCCTATTCAGAGAACGAAGGGTTGAAATGACAAAGGCCTATGTTCTGGGTCCTACTCACAGGGAATTCTTCATCAGAAAGAAAAATGGATAAAGAGAAGACTAAAAAGAAGGTGAGAAAAACTACTACATCAAAAAAATACTTCATCATATGTAAAATATATCTAAATAAAGTTCATTTTTTGTTTGTTTGGAGACAGGATCTCATTCACTGTGTCACCCAGGCTGGAATGCAGTAGCGCAATCATGGCTCACTGTAGCCTTGAACTCCTGGGCTTGAACTTGCCTCAGCTTCCCGAGTAGTTGGGAGTACAGGTGCAAGCCACTGCACCCGGGTAAATTTTCATATGTTTTGTATAGATGGGGTCTCACTATGCTGCCCAGGCTGGTCTCAAACTTCTGGCCTCAAGCAATCTTCCCACTTAGGCCTCCCAAAGTGCTGGGATTACAGGAATGAGCCACCACATCCAGCTAAATCTGTTTTTTAAAGATACTTTTAGGCCAGGCACGGTGGCTCACGCCTGTAATCCCAGCACTTTGGGAGGCCGAGATGGGCAGATCTCAAGGTCAGGGGTTCAAGACCAGCCTGACCAACATGGTGAAACCCTATCTCTACTAAAAATACCAAAATCAGCTGGGCGTGGTGGTGTGCACCTGTAATCCCAGGTACTCAGGAGGCTGAGGCAGGAGAATCACTTGAACCCAGGAGGCGGAGGTTGCAGTGAGCTGAGACTGCACCACTGCACTCCAGCCTAGGCGACAGAGTGAGACTCCATCTGAAAAAAAAAAAAAAAAAAAAAAAAAAAAGATACTTTTAGAGGATCCTAAGAAGGGAAATGGACAGTTCTCTGTTAGAATTTTTTAAAGTTCAAACTTTTCACAAACCACTTATTTAGAATTGTTCTCTTAAGAGGCTGAGAGAGAAGGAGATATTCTGTATAACACATTATATGTGATTATAAAAAGGTGGAAACAACTTCAATGCTCAATGCCAGGGAAAGTGTAGTAGTTACTACTAAACTACTAACATGTAGTAATAACTACTAAACACAAAAACACAGCAAGGCGTAGTGGCTCACACTTGTAGTCTCAGCACTTTGGGAGGCTGAGTCAGGAGCATTGCTTGAGGCCAGGAGTTGAGACCAGCCTGAGCAACATAGTGAGATCCTGCCTCCATGAAAAATTTAAAAATTAGCCACAAGTGGTGGCACGCACCTGTGGCCCTGGCTGCTTAGGAAGCTGAGGTGGAAGGACCACTTGAGCCCAGGAGCTGGAGGTTACGGTGAGCTATGATCATGCCACAGTATTCCAGCCTGGGCAACGGAGCGACACCCTATCTCAAAAATAAACAAATAAAAAAAATAGATTGGGCCTGGTGGCTCACACTTGTAATCTGAGCACTTTGGGAGGCCAAGGCAGGAGGATCGCTTGAGCCTAGGAGTTTGAGACCAGCCTGAGCAACATAGTGAGACCCTGTTTCTACAAAAATAAAATGAAACAAAAATTGAAATAAATAAGTACAAAAATATGGAAAAATGGTTATGAAATAATGTTAAGCAAACATTTCCAAATAGAAAATGGGAAATATGCTTTGAATACAACTTTCTAAAAATATACTTGCAAGTAGTCAAGTAAGCTAAAACCTGAGTTAGGATACCATCACCATGGGTAAATTCCCCAACCAAATTGTAATTCTGTCTGTCTTTTCAGCTTTAGGTTAACACTGCCATGTTAAAAACATTATTTAAGGGGGGTTGCCTTTGTAATTTAAAATTTTTAACATTAAAGGACCTAGTTTAAAGAAATCATCAGCAGTGCAGACAAAGGTTTACACAAAATAATCATCATTAAGATGTTCTCTGAAGCATTACTCATAATGTTTAAATGTTGAAAATGGCCTAAATAACAACAATGGAGGAAACAGGTGAGAACTGCAAGCCTATGAGATAAAATGTATTTAGGAATACATTTGTATATGGACAGTAAAATGTTAACAGTAGTTATTTCTCAGTGGTGGATCTTAAAGTCAGCCTTATTTAATCTGTTCAGTATTTTCCTCATTTTTTTACTCAATGGAAGTTTATTATTTTTATAATCGGAAAAAATTATATATTTTTAAAAGGCTGACAATTGAAGAATAAGGAAAAACATTACATATATTTCTTAGGCCAGAGTCTAACTTATTATTGCAGATCTTGCAAAACCAGTAACTACTTCCACCAAGGACTATCTTCTTGTGGTTATCTTTAGGTAACTTGAACTGATATTTTATCTTACCTAGATGGAATCTTTTATGATTTGCCAGCTAGATTTTTTGCTTATGTTCTGAAATGTGTTACAAAGTAATGATTACTGTAGTCTGCTAAGCTGCTAGAGATTGTGCTATGAGCTTTTAGTTTCTGTTTAATTTATGTCACACACAAAAGGCCAAGCAAGCCCTTCCTGAAAGCACTGCTGAAGGTGATATGAAGGACTCCAGAGTGGTTAAGTCCCAAGCTCCCAATAATCTATGGCAATTTCTATTTCACTTGAACCCATTTCCATTTATAGACTATATTCAAGCATGACAAAATGCAAGTGCTGCAAATGTCTTGCCAAAAACTTTAAAAATAAAAGCCACACCCACCATGATTATCACTGGTTCCCTCTCTAATGCAAATTATGAGTTAAATAAATCAGCATGCTAAAGATAGATCTTCCTGTGTGAAGAGCTCAATGTCCGCAATCAGTGTGACAAAGTGAGAAGACACAATGTGTCACCATGATTAACTGAACCTTAAACATGAACATCCCAAGCTGCTGTGCAGATGTGTGATGCTGATAAGATGAGCTGATTGTAATGCTCTCTGACTGCCAAGAAATACGCTCTAAAAGCCACACCCGAAAGGTCTGGGAGAAAGCTCAGTATGAAGTCACCAAGAAAGAACAAAATATCACCCAACTCAAGGTTCAGTCTTGTGGGCAGGGCTGGAAGGGCTTTGGGAAGAACTGTCCTATATCTTTATTTTACATATATATATGTATGCGCAAGACAGAGGCCTAGAGAGGTTGAGTCACTTGCTCCAAGTCACACAGCAAGTAGCAGAATTGATAGAATCCTGCCTTTACCCAGTTCCCACCATCCTTTCAGGTCAAAATTTCCTATAATGGCATAGTCCTCGACCAATATATCTTTCTGAGAGTCTAGAAAGACAGGAGGTGTTGAAAGGAAAATAATGAGCCCACAGGGCAGAGAGAGAAAACTGAGGCACAGTGAGATGGAATGTTTTAACAATTAGTTGGCAGGTGTTATATGGGACTTTATCCACTATCTTCTCACCCAGTGTAGATATTTATCACCAGAATCAAGAAACAGCTTAGAGCTAAATGACTCAGAATACAAGCTCACAGTTCCTACCTGCTTCAGCTGTTCGGACCCTGAAGTTAGATCACTAAGAAGTGTGAGAGGTAGCTTATCTGACCAAATGAGATATCTGTTTGCGGCCTCATCAGTCAAGTAACTGACACCCATCTAGCTCAGAAGTTTTTCCCTTGATTTTCTCAAACATTCTTTCAAGTCACTGTTTTTTTTTTTTTTTTTGGTCATCATTTAAAATTAGTTATGCAGGTATGGAAGAGAAAGGCCTTTGACAAGACAGCTAAGATGTGGTCACTGCCCACCTGAAAAACAGATGAACACGCGAATGAATGGTAGAAAGAGCAATAGACTTGGAGTCAGCAGATGTCAGGAAGTTACTGAACTTTTCTGAGCCTCTACTTTCCTCTTCTGGAAATCTGTGTTACAGGATTGGTGTGAGGTCTAAATCTAAATGAAACAACATGTGTAAAGTGCTTACAACAGTGCTTGGCTAATGTATCTTAGCTACGACTATTACCTTCATTGTCATTATCATTGGTAAGTCTTAGTTTTGCTACTGATTACCTAGGTGAGAGCATCTCAAACTTTTAATGTGCACAGGAAACATCCGGGATCTTGGTAAAAGGCAGGCTCTGATTTATTAGATCTGGGCCTTGTTATTGTTGTTGTTTTCTTCTTCTTCTTCTGTTTTTAAAAATACAGAGGAGGTCTCACTGTTTTGCCCAGGTTGGTCTCGGACTCCTGGCCTCCAGTGATCCTCCTGCCTTGACCTCCCAAAGTGCTGGGATTACAAGCGTGAGCCACTACACCCAGCCTAGATTCTGCATTTCTGACAAGGTCCTGGGGACATGGTACATCTGTCACAGAGAACACACTTTGAGCAGCAAGGATCTCCCTAACTCAGCACCTAGAAAATGCTCAATATTACTGACAAAAACAAGTGACCTCTCCACACCACAATGTCTTCATTTGTAAACCAGGGATAATATGTAGTCCAGATGATCTCAACTGATTGACAATTAGTAAATGAGAATGCACAGGAAAGAGCGTTCTAAACTGCAAAGTTATACAAATAGCAGTGGTGGCCAGGTGCTGTGGCTCATGCCTGTAATCCCAGCACTTTGGGAGGCTGAGGCAGGAAGATTGCTTGAAGCCAGGAGTTTGAGACTAGCCTGTAACATAGCAAGACCCCATCTCTACAAAAAATAAAAATTAAAAACAAAAATTTTTTTTTTTTAATTAGCTGGGTGTAGTGGCATGCACCTGTAGTCTCAGCTACTTGGATGGCTGACGTGGGAGGATCGCTTGAGCCCAGGAGTTGGAGGTTACAATGAGCTATGACTGCACCACTGCACTCCAGCCTGGGCAACAGAGTGAGACCAAGTTTTCTAAAAAAATTAGCGGCTCATGCCTGTAATCCCAGCACTTTGAGAGGCCAAGGTGAGTGGATCACTTGTGGCCAAGACGCCTGGACAATACAGTAAGACCCGTCTCTACAAATTTCTTTTTTTTGAGATGGAGTCTCACTCTGTCACCCAGGCTGGAGTGAAGTGGTACAATCTCAGCTCACTGCAACCTCCGCTTCCTAGGTTCAAGCGATTCTCCCGCCTCAGCCTCCGAAGTAGCTGGGACTACAAGCATGCACCACCACACCCGACTAATTTTTGTATTTTCAGTAGAGATGGGGTTTCCCCATGTTGGCCAGGCTGGTCTTAAACTCCTGATCTCAGGTGATCCACGTGCCTCAGCCTCCCAAAGTGCTGAGATTACAGGTGTGAGTCACCATGCCTAGCCATCTACAGAATTTTTTTTTTTTTTGAGACGGAGTCTCACTCTGTCGCCCAGGCTGGAGTGCAGTGGTGCGATCTCAGCTCACTGCAACCACCACCTCCCGGGTTCAAGCGATTCTCCTGCCTCAGCCTCCTGAGTAGCTGGGATTACAGGTGCGCACCACCACGCCCAGCTAATTTTTGTATTCTTAGTAAAGAAGGGGTTTCACCATGTTGGTCAGGCTGGTCTCAAACTCCTGACCTCGTGATCTGCACACCTCAGCCTCCCAAAGTGCTGGGATTACAGGCATAAGCCACCACACCCGTCCCCAAAACATTTTTTTTTAAATTAGCCAGGCACGACAGTACATGCCTGCGGTCCCAGCCACTCAAGAGACTGAGGTAGAAGGATCACTTGAGCCCAGGAGTTCAAGGCTGTGGGGGAGCCATGATCACACCACTGCATTCCAACCTGGGTGACAGAGGGAGTCCCTGTCTCCAAAATGAATAAATTTATTAAATTTAATTAAATAAACAAGTGGCAGTGATAAGACTATTAGTTTTACTATTCACAATGTTGAATGTACAACCCTGTAATGCCCAGATTTACAAGTACAGTTACTGGAATACATAACAATGAAGCTCGAATTCCCTTGCTCAGAAGAGATTCAAGAATCCTCTAGGAATTCTGGTAGAGTACAATAGGTTTTCCAGGGATTCTGAAGTCAAAAGCTCTGAAACTTCAGAACTGTCATTTGGTGACCAGGAAAGAACCACTTTGGCAGGGAGAATGTGGCCATTTGGCACACCAAGTGAACTTCACTAGTGATTCCGCTCCCTCTTCCAGAGCTGGCCAGGCTCCCTCAGCCAAGATCCCGAGTCAGCACTGCAATGCCAACAGCACAAGACAGAAAGACAGATGGGTACTGCCCTGGCAAAGCCCACACCTGCCGCTCCACAGGCTGGCAAAAAGCCAGACTGTAGAAAAGCAGGACTTTTTTTTTTGGTTCACAGTAAGAACGTCAAGCTTCAATCAGTTGCACCTGGCTAGCTTCTGCCAGCATAATCTGGGATTTCCTCCCCACAGACTATAAAGTATGATGCTTATACCTTGTGCCTCTCCTCTACAGGGTTCAAAATAAACTATGAATAATTCTTCCTCATAGGGCCCCTTACCAAAAAGTCCTTTCATCATTTCAGAGGCAGATGGCATCTCTAACATCTACTTAATTGCTCAGGCCAAAAACCCAGGAGTCATCCTTATTCTCTCACCCTCATCCCGCCATCCTGCTGGTTCTACCTCCGAAACACATCCCCAATCCGTCCTCTTACCATCTCCACTGCCACCAACCTAGAAAGCCACTATCTTCTCTCACCTAACCTCTTAACTAGCCTCCTGGCTGCCACTCCTATGCCCTCTAAAATTCACTGCCACAAAGAGGCCAGAGTGATTTTTTTAAAAAACAAAAATAGATCATGCCACGTCCCTTCTCCAGAACCTCCAATGATTTCCACAGCTTTTAGAACAAAATCCCAACTCATTACTCTAGCAGACAAGGTCCTGTATGATCTGAGCGCTCCCTACCACTTCCATCCCCTACATCCACCCACCTCCCCACTCTGCCTTTGACTCACCTGTCCCTGCCATTGTAAGCCTTCTTGCAGTTTCTGGAACTTACCAAGCTTGTTGCCACCTCACAGCCTTTACCCTTGCTCTTCCTTCTGACATGTCTTCAAATGGCTGGCCCGTCCCTGGGAGCAAATCTCAGCAAAAACGTCACCATCCTAGCAAGGCCTTTTCTTTTTCTTTTTGTTTGTTGGGTTTTTTTTCTTTTTGAGATGGAGTCTCGCTCTGTTGCCCAGGCTGGAGTGCAATGGCGCAACCTCGGCTTACTGCAGCCTCTGCTTCCCAGGTTCAAGCAATTCTTGTGCCTCAGCCTCCTGAATAGCTGGGACTACAGGCACGTGCCACCACACCCAGCTAAGTTTTGTATTTTTAATAGAGATGGGATTTCACCCCAGCACTTATTCCTCATCCAAATTCCCTTGTTCATTTACTGCTGTATTTTTCTGTTTGCTGCCAGTAGAATATAAGCTGCATGAGAGCAAGGGACTCTGTACCTTTCTACCATGATATCTCCAGGCTAAAACAGAACTGACACATTCTAGGTGCTCAGGAAATACTGAATAAATACAATCCGGGCAGGATAGTGGTAAGTACACTGAATTTGAAGACAGAAGACTGGATTTCAACGTGAAATGGGCCACTCAATAGCATCATGGCTTCTTGGCTTCCATTCAGATTCCTCGACTATAAAACAGAGATCCTAATCTGCACCTTACCTTCCTTGAAGGGACACAGATAAGATTAAATGAGTAAAAGCATGTGTAAGCAAGTGTAGGCATTTTTGTAAGCCATTAGGCACCTTATTGTTATTGTCAAGTATTGCTACTCTCTGTTACATAAGACGGGGTCTTTCTCAGGGACTTGCGAATTAATGGATGAAAAGGCTTAGGAAGCAATCTGAGGTTTCTAATCCAGGCACCTAACAGAAGTCTAGGGACACAACAAAACAGATTAGAATCAGTGGCTTCACTCTGCAGCCAAGGCAAACATAAGATATGAATTCATTTAAAGATGTCAAATGCAGTAATTTGCAAATTAAGCTCTGAGTTCCTCGAAGGATATGGAGATGGGATTGACCTCCACATCCTCCATGTGCCTAGCATAAGGGGATTTAGCAAATATTTACTGAATTGGATGTTGAGCTACTAAACCTAACGTCCTACCATCAGCTTTCATCTTTCTTTCTTTTTTTTTTTTTTTTTTTTTTTTTTGAGACGGAGTCTTGCTCTGTCGCCCAGGCTGGAGTGCAGTGGCGCAATCTTGGCTCACTGCAAGTTCCACCTCCCCGGTTCACGCCATTCTCCTGCCTCAGCCTCCCGAGTAGCTGGGACTACAGGCGCCCGCCACCATGCCCAGCTAATTTTTTTTTTCTTTTAGTAGAGATGGGGTTTCACTGTGCTAGCCAGGATGGTCTCGATCTCCTGACCTCGTGATCCACCCGTCTTGGCCTCCCAAAGTGCTGGGATTACAGCCGTGAGCCACCATGCCTGGACAGCTTTACCTTTCTTTGCAACCCATTGTGGCACATGATTACAGGTTCCTGGGGCCAACTGTATAAAAATATCAACATTTATATAATGCCATGATGGCTACTGTTTCATGCTTGCAATGACATTATGGTTGACGGACCTGGTATTATCACATACTTTAATTTATTCTTTCACCAACCATACACGGAAAATACAGCACAAGCACCACGTTAAACCCAAATAACGATAGCTAATGTTTACCAAATATGCTGGGCACTTCACATATATTAAGTTCAAATAAATCCTCAGAACAGCCATACATGATAATAAGGCCACAGGTAATAAGGCCTATTACTATCCCCATTTTACAGATGAGGAAACTATACCACCAAGGGGTTCAAAATGAACTATGAATAATTCTTCCTCACAGAGCCCCTTACCAAAAAGTCCTCTCATCATTTCAGAGGTACTGAGCATCATTTCAGAGGTAAAGTAGCACCTCTTTGCTCAGTAGCACACAGCTTGGAAGTGGCAGAGCCAAGATTTTAGTCCAGGTAGTCTGATTGCAAGCTTTTAACCACAACTGCATAACAGCACTGAAAGGGCCTTCAGTATAATCTAGCCTAGTCCCCTCATTTTAATGAGGAGGGAATGAGGGACAGAGAAGCCCTCTTTTAAAGATTCCAGCTCTCAGGCTGGGCACAGTGGCTCATGCCTGTAATCCCAGTCCTTTGGGAGGCCAAGGCAGGCGATCACCTGAGGTCGGGAGTTTGAGACCAGCCTGACCAACATGGAGAAACCCCATCTCTACTAAAAATACAAAATTAGCCGGGCATGGTGGCACATGCCTGTAATCCCAGCTACTTGGGAGGCTGAGGCAGGAGAACTGCTTGAACCAGGGAGGCGGAGGTTGCAGTGAGCTGAGATGGCACCATTGCACTCCAGCCTGGGCAACAACAGCAAAACTCCGTCTCAAAAAAAAAAAAAAAGATTCCAACTATTTTCTGAGATCCTCACTTTGGGTGGTATCTATTTAAATAAAGCTTTACCTGAGATCTTGTTTCCTTGCCTTTTAACTTCTAGCCAGTTAAAAGTAACAAAAGAATACCCCTGTGGCCTTATAATAGCAACTGTTGCAAAATCAGAGGCAACAGTGAATGGGGGATAAAATACAGGATTTACCTAGAAACACGTCCACTTCCATCACTTAATAGATACAAGATTCTTAGGCAATGACTGGGTGTGGTGGCTCACGCATGTAATCCTAGCACTTTGGGAGGCCGAGGCAGGTATATCACTTGAGGCCAGGAGTTCGAGACCAGCCAGGCCAACATGGTGAAACCTTGTCTCTACTAAAACTACAAAAATTAGTGGACGAGGTGGTGAACATCTGTAGTCCCAGCTACTCGGGAGGCTGAGGCAGGAGAATCGCTTGAACACACGAGGCGGAGGTTGCAGTGAGCTGAGATCGCGCCACTGCACTCCAGCCTGGGCAACAGACTAAGACTCTGTCTCAAAAAAAAAAAAAAAAAAAAGGATTCTTAAGCAGGTCCTTCCCTTTACTTTTCTGAACCTCAGTTTCCTCATCGGCAAAATGAGGATGACATCACCAGGCACCTGGCAAAGTCTACATAAAGATTAAATGAAATAATATGCCTGGTAAAGTGCTTCTTAATCATATGCTTGTAAATAGTTATTACTGCTTTAAGCACTTCCCAAAGGACACAAAGATGCCTTTTTTCTTCTGGAAGGGTCAACGAAGCCCAGGTAGAAAATGAGACCATGACCCCAGCTATCTACAAGGGGTTGACCTCAAAGAGTTTCCCAGGACTACTTGTAGAAGTACCTCCCTTGCTCTGAGCAGAATGGAGAAGTAAAACCGGGGTTGGGGGTTGGCATTGCAGTAGGACTACCCATATGAGCTGGCACTCTACACACCTACACCTTACCTGTCCCAAAGTCATCTCCTCCTGGAAGTCTTGCCCTCCTACCCTGGACGCCTCATAATAGCTGGTTGAGCACTTACTATGTGCCAAGCTACTTGACATACCCAGTCTCACTGATTTCCACAGTAGTCTATTACCTCATTTCACAGATAAGGAAAAGAAGACTCAGAGAAATTAACTTGCCCAGGGCCACACAGTTACTAAGTGGAAATGCCACGTCTCTAACTCGCTCAGACTTCAAACTGCCCTCTTGGTCTCCCATCTAGGGTGCCCTAAGAATTCTCCCTCTCCCCATTTAGGGCACTTTCACATACACTTCTCATTATCTTTACCACTCTGAGCAGCAATGTTAGGACCCCATTGAATAAACAGGTCAGCTAAGGCCAGGGAGGTGAAAAGACTTGCCCAAGGTCACACAGCAAGCCCAGCACAGCGCCGAGGTTCGGACCCCAGGCTCTCGCTTCCCCGCCCTCCTCCCAAACTGGGGCCCTGACCACCGCCTCAGGGCCCCCAGGTGGGCTGCGACCCAAGGTGGCCGTGTCTGGGGGTCGGGCCGCGACCCTGCCAGGGGAAGGAGGGGCAAGGCCGTCCGGACTACCAAAGGATGCCTAGGAGGCAGGGCAGAGGATGCTCCGGCTCGCGGGACAGCAAAGCCAGGCAGAGGCGCGGGCGCAGGTCGCAGGGAAAACCCCAGGCGGCCACAGGATTAGCCCTGCTCGGTGGGCGCCCGGCCCCTCCGACTCACCTGAGGCCCGAGCCGAAAGCGGGCGGCGGCGGCGGCGGCGGCGGCGGCGGCGGCGGCGGGGGCGGCGAACCCCTGGCTCAGCCATTCCCCGCTGCCCCGGATGGGGAGAGACAGTGGCCGCTCACTTCCTTAGCAACCTGGCTCGGCGACCCACTTCCTTAGCAACCGGTGTCAATTTCAATAACTTTATTGGCACACGAGCAGAGGACAGGGAAAGCCGGCTGGAGGGGTCTGGGCGGGGCTCAGGTCGGTGCTGGTGTTTAGCGGGGGCCCAACACACCTCGGTCTCCTCACCCACCTAAGCGGGGAGAGTGGCGCACAACGTGGCCTGACTCCATCCTCTGGTATCTCGTGCCTCAGTTTCCCATCTGTAAATGGAACACACGCGATTTCAGCCGCCGTTCAACCTTTCTAAAAGCTTTCACATCCATTATCTGACTGGTGTCTCAAACTGCTACTGAGGTAACTCCCATTTAGGGTGCCCCCAGTGACTCAATACGAACACCTATAGGCACCCTTGTTGTAGCTTTCCTGTCCTTCACCCAATCCAGTCAGTCACAACCGCCCCAGGCAAGGCCAGGCCACGCTCATCTCTAGCCTGCCTGAAATATCTGGTCTGTTTCCATTCTTTTGTCCAGCTCTGTCCGAACAATCCATTTTCCATAAGGTGGCCAGAGTAATTATTTAAAACAGATCATGCGGCCAGGTGCGGTGGCTCCCGCTGTAATCCCAGCACTTTGGGAGGCTGAGGCAGGTGAATCACCTGAGGTCAGGAGTTCGAGACCAGCTTGGCCAACATGGCGAAACCCCGTCTCTAATAAAAATACAAAAAATTAGCCGGGCGTGGTGGCGCATGCCTGTAGTCCCAGCTACTCGGGAGGCTGAGGCAGGAGAATCGCTTGAACCCGGGAGGCAGGGGTTGCAGTGAGAGAGATGGCACCACTGCACTCCAGCCTGGGCGACAACAGCGAAACTCCGTCTCAGATATAAAGATTAAAATAAATAAATAAATAAATAAATAAATAAAACAGATCATGCCACTTTCTGATTAATACTCGATTTAATGGAGTCTCATTGCTCTTAGAATCAAATATGAAGTCCTTATTACTTCCTGCAAAATTCGTTAAAACTCTATTCCAACCACACTGGCCTAGAAGGGCAGGTTCCAACCCCCATGGAACTTACACCTGCTGTTCCCCACTAAATAGAAACTGCATAAGAGCAGTCTTTTATTTGTTCACTCTTGTATCCACCATGCCTGGAACCAAGCTTAGTCAATAGTAGTTGCTGAACAAATATGTTTTGCTCCTTGAATAAATGAATACCTGAGATGGTCTTCTTCATCTGCCTACAACTACTTTTTGCCTGTTGTGGCAGATATTGCTACTTCCTCTCAAAAACGTTATTTCTTCCTGCTCCTGGACACACAACTAGACAGTATTTCCCAGCCTTCCTTACAGTTCAGACCAAGTTCTGGCCAATTAAATGTGATGTGTGCTATTCTCAGGCCTGGCCCATTAAAACTCCCACATAATTTGATTTACACTTTCTCTACAGTGAAGAAGTTTATTTTTAAATAAAATAATAAAGGAAATACCAAAAGAGACTGCACCCAGCCTCTTTTGGTATTTCCTGAAGCTAATAATTGCCTCATTTTTTCCCCCCTTTCATTAGCTTTCTTTGCAGATATTGTTAATTTTTTCCTATGTGGTTAATAAATTAGACAAAATAATCAGCAGTGATTTTTCCAGATGTGTAACATAACAATTCGGCTAGGCATGGTGGCTCATGCCCATAATCCCAGCACCTTGGGAGGCTGAGGCAGGCAGATCACCCTGAGGTCAGGAGTTCAAGACCAGCCTGGCCAACATGGAGAAACCACGTCTCTACTAAAAATACAAAAATCAGCCAGGAGTGGTGGCAGGCACCTGTAATCCCCACTACTTTGGAGGCTGAGGCAGGAGAATTGCTTGAACCTAGGAGGTGGAGGTTGCAGTGACCCGAAATAACCCTATTGCACTCTAGCTTGGGTGACAAGAGCAAAACTCCATCTCACAAAAACAACAACAACTTAAAAAAAAAAAAAAAGTTCATGAGTTCTCTTTTGTTTTTTTCTCCTGAAGGCTTCAGCTCTGATCTGGACCAGTGCTCTCCAGGCCTACTGCACAGCTGTCATACTGAACTTTCCTATATCCTACACCTGGTTGGGATTCCCTGTGCCCTGGACCTTGTGTCTCAAACTTCTAGATTGTGGATTTACTCTGTCATCTCTGTGCAGCACATCTTTCTGTAGATTCCTGAGAAAGGTTGCAAAGAAGCAAATATATTTAGTCCTTGTATGTCTAAATATGCATTTATACTGTTTTCACACTTGATTAATAGTTTAGCAGGGTATAGAAATCTAGGCTGAAGGCCAGGCGCCATGTCTTATGCCTGTAATCCCAGCACTTTGGGAGGTCGAGGCAGGCAGATCACCTGAGGTCAAGTGTTTGAGACCAGCCTGGCCAACATGCTGAAACCTTGTCTCTACTAAAAATACAAAAAAAACATTAGCTGGGCATGGTGGCACATGCCTGTAGTCCCAGCTACTCGGGGAGGCTGAGGCAGGATAATCACTTGAACCCAGGAGGCAGAGGTTGCAGTAAGCCAAGATTGCACCACTGCACTCCAGCCTGAGCGACAGAGGGAGCCTCCATTTCAAAAAAAAAAAAAAAAAAGAAATCTAGGCTGAAAATTATTTCTCTCAGAATTTTTAAAACATTGCATTATTGTTTCTAGTATCCAGATTTAAGACATCTAATGCCATTCTTAATCCTGTTGCTTTATATGTGTCTTGTTCTTTTTTTATTTTTAATCTTTGAAAACTTTTAGGCTATCATCTTTATCCATAATGTTGTATTTGATGATGACTCCCCTCAGTGAGGCTTTTCCTCACTTGTGTTAGCTGGGCCTTTTCAATCTGGAGACTTATATCCCTCTAATCTAGGAAATTTTCTTGTATTATTTTTTCGATAATTTTCTCCCCTCCTATTTTTTTTTCCCCTGAAACAGTGTTGTGCTATGTTGCACAGGCTGGAATGCAGTGGCATGATCATGGCTCACTGCAGCTTCAAGTGATCCTGCCACCTCAGCCTCCCGAGTAGCTAGGACTACAGGTGCATACCACCATGCCTGAGTAATTTTTCTATTTTTTGTAGAAATGGGGTCTCACTGTGTTGCCCAGCTGGTCTCAAACTCCTGGGCTCAAGCAATCCCCCTGCCTCGGCCTCCCAAACTGTTGGGACTACAGGAATGAGACACCAGACTTGGCTCTCCCCTCCATTTTTTTCTCTTTCTGGAATTTCTCTTAGTCAGAAGTTATACTTTCCAAACTGAGTTTCTAATTTTCTCTGTTTTTCTCTTATTGTCCCTCTTTTTGGCTCTTTTGTTCTACTCTGTGGGAGATTTCCATCCATATCTTTATTTTTAGTGTCTATCTCTTCTATGGAAGAATCTGGGCTCACCTTTTAGTCATCAAATCAATATTCCCTGCAGACATTTGGGTCATAACTTCCTCCCCCTGTTAAGTCAGTTACTACTTCCCCTTCTGTCCCTGTTTTCTAAAAACTTGCTGAAATCCCTGGGCCACTAATGTCTCCTTTTCATTCCTATTCATGTTCTGGGTTAATACATTTTTTATTCCTTATTGCCATATAGATGGGGTTCGAGGGAGAAAAAAATAAATACGCATCATCAATCCACTATGTTTAACTGGATGTGTTTACTGCTATTTAACAAAAATGTATTGTGTTCTTCAAAACAGCTAGAAGACCTGAAATGTACCCAACACATAGAAATGATAAATACTTGGGTGATAGATAACCTAAATACCCTGACTTTATCATTACACATTCTATGCATGTAACAAAATTGCACATGTACCCCATAAATATGTACAAAAACTATTTAAAAATTTTTTTAAACAGGTAGGTAAAAGGTATGAACAGATAGTTCAGAGAAAAGGAATAGAAAATATTGCTTTTAAACATAGGAAAAGGAAAGATACTTATGCTTACTCATATTAAAGAAATGAAAATTAAAACAACTTTTTTTTTTTTTGAGACAGAATATTGCTCTGTTGCCCAGGCTGGAGTGCTGTGGCGCAATCTCAGCTCACTGCAACCTCTACCTCCCGGGTTTAAGTGATTCTCATGCCTCAGCCTCCTGAGTAGCTGGGATTACAGACATGTGCCACCATGCCTGGCTCATTTTTGTATTTTTCAGTAGAGGCAGGGTTTCGCCATGTTGACCAGGCTGGTCTCGAATTCCTGACCTCAAGTGATCCACCTGCCTCAGCCTCCCAAAGTGCTGGGATTGCAGGCATGACCCACTCACTGCACCTGGCCGAAAAAAGAACTTTGGTAAGGCATTGTTGATGACGGTCTGGTCTTGATTCTGTCCTTAGCAAGCTGAATAAAGCTGTGTATTGAAGTGGGATTAGTAGTAGTAGCTGTACAGTTGTAGGGTGACTAACTTGTTCTAGTTTGCACAGGTCTGTCCCTGTTTTAGCACCAAAAGTTCCATGTCCCAAGAAACTCCTTAGTCCAGGCAAACTAGGATGAGTGGTCACCCTAGTATGATGGGGTAACTTCTATATTACCAAGTATGTTTCCACTCCTGGCATTTCCTTTCCATACTGTGTCCTCTTTTCCATCTAACCTGGACTGTGAGGTATTTATTGCTCAGAAAAGAGTTATTTCAGTAGAAAAATAGAGAAAGGACTTTCTGAGCCCCAGAATCTTGGGGAGGAGACTCAGGGAATGAAAGAAGTTTTGAAAAGTCAGAGTAGGGCTTCCAAACCTCTCAATTCTGGAGATTTGCTCAGTTCAATGAAGGGGAGAGATGGTGAGGATGCAAAAAGAGGAAGGAGGCCAGTGGGGCTGGAAAAAAAGGGTCCTGGAGAGATCACATGGACCAGAGCAGAGATCCTCCTTCCTACCTCCCCAAGAGCAAACTCTAGCCTAGAAATGATCTAATTCCAGCGAGCACCATTGTGTCAGTTTATCATAATAATAGATATCATAAATAATAGAAACCAATTCTGATGGTAGCAGAAAAGGAATTTATTAGCAGGGTAGTAGGAAGGCCACAAAATCACCAGGAAGTTTCTAGAAGTGGCCACTAATAAGAAAGGCGAGGCCACGTGGGACCATGTACTACTGGACTTGTATGGTGAGAACACTAGTTGCCCTGCTTTCACCATGGCTACCTGGCCATGGGCACTGTCTCAAGACCATTCTCACCTTCCCTCTCCATAAGGATTCCCCACAGTCTCGACCTCTATAACCCAAGCCTTAATTGGTTGATCCTTGATCACATGCCCATCTCCTACCTGCAGTGGAAGCTGTAAAGACAAACATCTGACCTTTTGGCTTCTATGGTAGGAAGAAGACTGCCTTCCGTTCACAAAGTAAGGAGTCCCCAGACATAGGGAGGGGGTTCTGTTGCTAAGCGGGGGGAAGAATCCCTTTATAACCAGACATCCCCTTTGCCAAGAAACTCCGTTAGCCCTCCTCCTCAACGTCAGTCAGTGAGGACCCTCCTCCCCAGTGGCAGGCATGTCGCCCAGGGACCACCCAGCTGGAATTAAGCCCACTGTGTTATAAAATTTTGCTCAGTCTCCATCTGAGTTGTCCTGTGAGGATGCCCCACTTTAGTGACTAAGATAACCCAAATCCTGTATGACAGAGAAAGGCACTAGATACCTGGCGACTGGGTGGCAGCAGGGGAGTGTGGGAAAGGGCATGCTTGCATCTATCATGGATGGGGATGAATGGAGGCCAAACCAGGAGAAAGGTAAAACATAGCCCAGACACCCATGGATGGTTTTATTATGATCTCATCCAGGAAAAATAACTTCCGATGAACTCTCTACAAAGCTGACAAGTGGCAGATGGCCTGGCTCCCCATGCAAGGGTAAAATCACGATGTTTTCTTTCTTCTCTCACATTTGAGAGCAGCGCTGTCCAACAGATCTTTCCACCGTGGTGGACATGTTCTATATCTGTGCTGTCCAATAAGGCAGCCAACAGCCACATGTGGCTATTGAGCACTTGAAATGAGTCTAGTGCTACTGAAAAACTGAATTGTATTTATTTAATTTTAATTAATTTATGCCTAAGCAGCCACATGCAGCTAGTGGTTATCACATTGGACAGTGCATCTCTGAGCTATGAAAATGACAAGCATGGACTGCGGGGTCCAGACAGTCAAAGGTTTGAATCCCAGCTCCATTCCTTATGTGTTAGCTGAGTGACCCAGTGCACATCACTTGACCTCTCTGGGACTCACATTTCTCATATGCAAAGTGGAGCTAGAAATGCAACTGCTTAGGTTTGTTGTGAGGATTAACTAAAATATGGTCTGGGGCTGGGCACAGTGGCTCACGCCTGTAATTAGGGAGGCCAAGGCCGGTGGACTGCTTAAGCTTAGATGTTTAAGATCAGCCTGGGCAACATGGCAAAACCCTGTGTCTACAAAAAATACAAAAATTAGCCGGTCATGGTGGTGCACACCTGTAGCCCCAGCTACTCAGAAGGTTGATATGGGAGGATTGCTTGAGCCCAGGAAGTTGAGGCTGCAATCAGCTGAGATCACACCACTGCACTCCAGCCTGGGCAACAGAGCAAGATTCTGTCTCAAAAAAAAAAAAAAAAAAAAAAAAAAAAAAAAAAAAAAAAAAGATGCACTTAGTACGTTCTCCATGAATGGTGGCTGTCTTTCCTTTCTTTATCAGTGGAGTCATGGTGCCCTCCAGCAAAGCAATCACTGTAAATGTGAGAAGTCATGCTGGTGAGAGAGTTCAGTATTCCTGGAAATTTAATACCATTTGGGGAGGAGGGCTGAAGAGGGGTTGTATAAAAAGACTGCAAAGGGAACTATTTATTAGAATGCAAGGAGGTGACATCCCAGCGCCCCTTTCAGGAAGAAACAAGATGTAGGGCTTGGACTGAAGCCAAGCACCTGAGCTGTGCTTGATGCTTCTCACTTGGCGGAGTGCCCAGGTTCAGAATGGATGGAACTCTGGGACCTCAGGGAGGCTCTAAGGGCTGAGGATCAAGCTAATGGCTTCTAAATTCACATCTTTGATGTTTTCTGAAGAAAGCCAGACAGGAGTTGGCTGCTAATTGCTTCCTCCTCAGGCACTTAACTGGCTGTGTGATCTTGGGCAAGTGAGTTCACCCTCAGGACCTCGTTTCCCTGCCTGCTTCCCTCAGGGCTGCTGTGAGGGTTTACCCAGGGAATGGGTGTGAAATGCTTTCCCATTTGTAAGGCCCATACATAGTAATACTGAAATAAAGAAAACAATACTCTTTTTTTTTTTATTTTTTTGAGACACAGTCTTGCTCTTTCGCCTAGGCTGGAGTGCAGTGGCATGGTCTCGGCTCACTGCAACCTCCGTCTCCCGAGTTCAAGCGATTCTCCTGCCCCAGCCTCCCTAGTAGCTGAGATTACAGGCATGTGCCACCATGGCCAGCTAATTTTTTTTTTTTTTTTGTATTTTTAGTAGAGATGGGGTTTCACCATGGTGGTCAGCCTGGTCTCGAACTCCTTGACCTCAAATGATCCACCTGCCTCGGCCTCCCAAAATGCTGGGATTGCAGGCGTGAGCCACTGTGCCTGGCCAAGAAAACAGTGATATTAAAGTCTTAGAGCCAGGAGGAGGTCATAAAATCCCTTGACAGACCAAAACTACCACCTAGGTCCCAGGACCGGGTTTTATGTTACTTATTTGTATCCTCTGTGCTTAGCACAGTGGCTGGTGCACTGCACGCAGTACACTTATTTAAAAACATGTATTTGACAGGCGAGGTAATTCATGCTTGTAATCCCAGCATCCTGGGGGCCCAAGGTGGGAGGATCCCCTGACACCAGGAGTTTGAGACCAGCCTGGGCAATGTAGAGAGACTTCATCCCTAAAAATTAAAATTAAAAAATTAGCAGTCAGGCGTGGTGGTTCACGCCTATAATCCCAGCACTTTGGGAGGCCAAGGCAGGTGGATTATGAGGTCAGGAGATCAAGACCGTCCTGGCTAACACGGTGAAACCCTGTCTCTACTAAAAATACAAAAAAATTAGCCAGGTGTGGTGGTGGGTGCCTATAATCCCAGCTACTCGGGAGGCTGAGGCAGGAGAATTGCTTGAACCCGGAAGGCGGAGGTTGCAGTGCGCCGAGATCACGCTGTTGCACTCCAGCCTGGGCAACAGAGCAAGACTCTGTTTCAAAAAAAAAAAAAAAAAAATTAGCTGGTGGTGCATGCCTATAGTCCCAGCTATTTGGGAGGCTGAGGCAAGAGGATCCTTTGAGCCTAGGAGTTTGAGGCTGCAGTGAGCCAAGATCATGCCCCTGCACTTTAGCCTGGGTAATGGAGTGAGACCCTGTCTCAAAAACAAACAAAAAAAATATATTATCATCATTTACTTCTCAAATTAGCAGATTTTTTTTTAAAGCATCATACTTGGCTGGGCTCAGTTGTTCACACCTATAATCCCAGCACTTTGGAAGGCCAAGACAGGAGGATTGCTTGAGCCCAGGAGATTGAGAGCAGCCTGGATAACATAGTGAGTCCCCAATCTCTACAACAAAATTTAAAAATTAGCCAGGTGTGGTGGCACATGCCTGTAGTCTCAGCTACTGGGGAGGCTAAGGCAGGATGATTGCTGGAGCCCAGGAGGTCAAGGCTGAGTGAGCCATGATTGTGCCACTGCACTCCAGCCTGGGTGACAGAGTGAGACCTTGGCTTAAAAAAAGAGAGAGAGAGAGAAAAAGCATCATACACAATGTTGGCAAGGAGCACTTTCATCCCATTGCTGATGGTATTGAGAAATTGCCACAAATTGTAAGAAAATAAATCATGGCCGGGTGCAGTGGCTCACGCCTGTAATCCCAGCACTTTGGGAGGCCGAGGCGGGCAGATCACGAGGTCAGGAGATCAAGACCATCTTGGCTAACACGGTGAAACCCCGTCTCTACTAAAAATACAAAAAAATTAGCCGGGCATGGTGGCAGGCGCCTGTTGCCCTAGCTACTCGGGAGGCTGAGGCGGGAGAATGGCTTGAACCCGGGAGGCGGAGCTTGCAGTGAGCCAAGATTGCGTCACTGAACTCCAGCCTGGGCGACAGAGCAAGACTCCGTCTCAAAAATAAATAAATAAATAAAATAATCATGATGACTAAAAAGCATTTGAGTCAGCCCATTCCATTTCTAGGAATCAATTTTGAGAAAATAATGAGATATACTCGCAAAGATTAGGCACAAGCTTGTTCACCTCAGCTTCACTTGCAACAGGGAAATATTATGTCTGATATTAGAGGAATGGAGAGAATAAGAGATGTCAGTAAGGAGAAATATCATGCTGCCATTGAAAATAATATTTTTCAGCCGGGCGCGATGTCTCACGCCTGTAATCCCAGCACTTCGGGAGGCCAAGGCGGGTGGATCACAAGGTCAGAAGATCGAGAGCATGCCGACCAACATGGTAAAAACCCATCTCTACTAAAAATATAAAAATTAGCTGGGCATGGTGGTGCACACCTGTAGTCCCAGCTACTTGGGAGGCTGAGGCAGGAGAATCACTTAAACCCGGGAGGCAGAGGTTGCAGTGAGCCGAGATCGCACCACTGCACTCCAGCCTGGCAACAGAGTAAGACTCTGTCTAGAAAGAAAGAAAGAAAGAAAGAAAAAAAAAAGAAAGAAAGAAAGAGAGAGAGAGAGAGGAAGGAAGGAAGGAAGGAAGGAAGGAAGGAAGGAAGGAAGGGAGGGAGGGAAATGATATTTTTCAATAGCATCCAATGATATGGGGAAATGCTCATGAAAATATAAGAAAGTAAAAGGATATCTATACTCATTAGGAAAAATTTTTAACTGCTCTATGGTGGTCTTCAAGAAAGTTTCTTATACAATAAACAGAATTAAAAAGGCAACACACGGAATGGGAGAAAACAGTTGCAATTCATATATTAAGGGGTTAATATCCAGGTTCTATAAGGAACTCTGGCCTGGTGCGGTGGCTCATGCCTGTAATCCCAGCACTTTGGGAAGGGGATAGATTACCTGAGCTTAGGAGTTTGAGACCAGCCTGGCCAACATGGTGAACTCTATCTCTACTAATAATACAAAAACTAGCCAGGCATGGTGGCGCATGCCTGTAATCCCAGCTAATTGGGAGGCTGAGGCAGGAGAATCGCTTGAACCCTGGAGGCAGAGGTTGCAGTGAGCCAAGATCGTGCCCGGCAACAAGAGCAAAACTCTGTCTGCAAAAAACAAAAATAACTCCTACAACTCAACAACAAACATATAAACAACCCAATTAAAAACGGACAAAAGCTGGGTGTGGTGGCTCACACCTGTAATCCCAATACTTTTAGAAGCCAAGGCAGGAGGATGGCATGAGACCAGGAATTCAAGGCAGCCTGAGCAACGTGTTAAGACTCTGCCTCTACCAAAAAGCAAGGAAAAAAAAATTAGCCTGGCATGGAGGCTGAGGTATAACAATCATTTGATCCTGAGAGGTCAAGGCTGCAGTGAGCCATGATTGCATCACTGTGCTCCAGCCTGGGTGACAGAGTAAGCCTGTCTCAAAAAAATAAAGAATAGAAAATGGGCGAAGGACTTGAATAGACATTTCTCCAAAGAAACTACAGAAATGGCAAAAAAAACGGCCAGGCGTGGTGGCTCACGCCTGTAATCCCAGCACTTTGGGAGGCCAAGGCGGGGGGATCACCTGAGGTCAGTAGTTTGAGACCAGCCTGACCAACATGGTGAAACCCTACATCTACTAAAAATACAAAATTAGCTGGTCATGGTGGCAGGCGCCTGTAATCCCAGCTACTTGGGGGGCTGAGGCAAGAGAATCACTTGAACCCAGCAGGTGGAGGTTGCTGCCAGCAGAGATCGTGCCACTGCACTCCAGCCTGGGCAACAAGAGTGAAACTCCCTCTCAAAAAAAAAGAAATGAAACACATGAAAAGATATCCAAAATAACTAATTATGGAAATGCAAATCAAACCACAATGAGCTAGCACCTCAAACCCATTAGATGATTATTATAAAAAATAAAAATAAAAAAACAGGAAATACGTGTTGGCAAGGATGGAGAAATTGGAAACCTTATGCGCTGTTGGTGGAAATGTAAAATGGTAGAGGTGCTGCAGTGTTAGTTCATCAAAAAACTAAAAATAGATTTTTATATGATCCAGCAATTCCACTTTAAATACCCAACAGAATTGAAAGCAGGGTCTCAAAGAGATTTTTGTTTACCTATGTTCATAGCAGCATTATTCCCAATAGCCAAAAGGTAGAAGCAACCCATTGTCCCTCAACGGATAAATGGATAATAAAATGTAGTATAAACATAAAATAGAATATTGTTCAACTTCAAAAAGGAATGAGATTCTGACACATGCTACAACATGGATGAATCTTGAGGGTATTATGTTAAATAAACCAGTCACGGGCTGGGAGCGGTGGGTCATGCCTGTAATCCCAGAACTTTGGGAGGCCCAGGCAGGCAGATCACTTGAGGTCAGGAGTTCAAGACCAGCCTGGCCAACATGGTGAAATACTGTCTCTACTAAAAATACAAAAACTAGCTGGGTGTGGTGGTGTGCACCTGTAACCCCAGCTACTCGTGAGGCTGAGGCAGGAGAATCGCTTAAACCTGGGAGGCGAAGGTTGCAGTGAGCTGAGATCACGCCGTTGCACTCCAGCCTGGGTGACAGAGCAAGACTCTGTTTCAAAAAAAAAAAGCCAGGCGTGGTAGCTTATGCCCGTAATCCCAGCACTTTGGGAGGCCCAGGCAGGTGGATCACGAGGTCAGGAGGTCGAGACCAGCCTGGCTACCATGGTGAAACCTCGTCTCTACTAAAAACACAAAAATTAGCTGGGCATGGTGGCAGGCACCTGTAATCCCAGCTACTGAGGAGGTTGAGGCAGGAGAATCGCTTGAACCCAGGAGGTGGAGGTTGCAGTGAGCCGAGATCACACCATTGCACTCCAGCCTGGGTGACAGGGAGAGACTCTGTCTCAAAAAAAAAAAAAAAAAATATATATACATATATATATATATATATATATATATATATATATGTAAACAAATAAATAAACAAACCAGTCACAAAAGGACAAACACAGCATGATTTCACCTGTATGAAGTACTTAGAGTAGTCAAATTCGTGGAGATAGAAAATAGAGTGGTAGTTGCTAGGTGCTGGGGAGAGAAAATGGGAAATTGTTTAATGGAGACAGAGTTTCAGTTTTGGAAGATGAAAAGAGCTCTGAGGATTGGCTGCACAATCATGTAAACGTGCTTAACACTACTGAACCGTACACTAAAAGAGGGCTAATATGGTATATTTTATATGTATTTTACCACAATTTTATTTTTTATTTTAATTTTTTTGAGACAGGGTCTAGCTCTGTACCAGGCTGGAGTGCAGTGAGTGGCACAATCACTGCTCACTGCAGCCTCAACCTCCAGGGATCAAGCGATCCTCCCACCTCAGCCTCCTGAGTAGCTGGGACTACAGGCATGTGCCACCATGTTCAGCTAATTTTTTATCTTTGTATGTTGCCCAGACTGGTCTTGAATTCCTGGGCTCAAGCGATCCTCCCATCTCGGCCTCCTAAAGTGTTGGGATTACAAGCTTGAATCACAGTGCCCAACCCTTACGCAATTTTAAAAAAGAAAAGAGGCTGGGTGCAGTGGCTCATGCCTGTAATCGCAGCACTTTGGGAGGCCAAGGCAGGTGGATTACTTGAGGTCAGGAGTTCGAGACCAGCTTGGCCAACATGGCGAAATCCTGTCTCTACTAAAAATACAAAAATTAGCCTGGCATGGTGGCGGGCACCTGTAGTCTAGCTACTCAGGAGGCTGAGACAGGAGAATCGCTTGAACCCGGTGGAGCAGAGGTTGCAGTGAGTTGAGATTGCACCACTGCACTCCAGCCTGGGCGAAAGAGCAAAACTCCATCTCAAAAAAAAAAGGGAAAGAAAAGAAAGAAAGAAGCAGCCTATTTTCATCCTATTCCATCGCCATCCTCACAATTTGTCTTTTTGTCCTCGCACTTGTTATCTTGTGGTTGCAAGATGGCTGCTAGACATCATACTCACACCAGGGTCTTGGACAGGAAGATGCAGGAACAGAGGTTCTGTCCTAATGAGGCTCTTTTTTTCTATCTATGTAGGGGAGTCCCCCCAAACTTACCACTCGTGTTTCATTGGCCAGAATTGGACCACTTGCATACCCCCAGCACTGTCCAATAAAACTTTCTGTAGTGATGGAAATGTCCTATATCTGTGTTGTCCAAAATGGTAGCCACTAGTCATGGATGGCATTTTTTGTTTGTTTTTGTTTTTGCTTTTGTTTTTTGAGACAAAGTCTGGCTCTTGTCACCAAGGCTGGAGTGTAATGGCATGATCTTGGCTCACTGCAACCTCCGCCTCCTGGGTCCAAGCAATTCTCCTGCCTCAGCTTCCCAAGTAGCTGGGATTACAGTCGCCTGTCACCATGCCCGGTGAATTTTTGTATTTTCAGTAGAGACAGGGTTTCACCATGTTGGCAAGGCTGGTCTCGAACTCCTGACCTCATGATCTGCCAGCCTCAGCCTCCCAAAGTGCTGGGATTACAGGCATGAGCCACCACGCCCGGCCATGGATGGCTCTTAAACACTTAAAATGTGGCTAGTGCAGCAGAAAAACTGCATTTTAAATTTGATTTAATTTTAATTAACATTAGTTTAAAAAGCCACCGGCGTGGGTAATGACAACCATGTTAGACAATGCAGCAATCCAATCTAGAAGGGGAATCAGATTACCATGACTGGTCTAGACCAGCCGTGATTCATCACCTGGCACAGGTTAAATCTTCTCTAAGATTAAGGCAACTCCACGACTACCTAAAAACAAAATTAGAGTTCTGCTGGGCAAGGTGGCTCACGCCTGTAATCCCAGAACTTTGGGAGGCTGAAGTGGGAGGATTGCTTGAGCCCACGAGTTTGAGACCAGCATGGAAAACAAAGCAAGATCCTATCTCTACAAAAAAATTTAAAATCAGCTGGGTGTGGTGGCTCACGCTTGTAGTCCCTGCTACTCAGGAGGCTGAGGTGGGAGGATCACCTGAGCTCAGGAGGTTGAGGCTGTAGTGAGCCGTGATCACGCCTCTGCACTCCAGTCTGGGAAACAGTGAAACCCTGTCTCAAAAAAAAAAATTGGAGTTATGTAAACAGGGAGAAGGGAGAGTGTGTATTGAGTAGGCAATCAATAGCATCTGCTACAGGTATGTTACTGTAGTTTTTTTATGATCACACATTTGACCTAATAGGAAGTATGTGTGCATGTGTGTTGGCACAGAGAAATCTAGAGGGAAATACATCAAATATTTGCAATGGTCATTATCTTTGGGTATTCAGATTATAGTTGATTCTTATTTTCCTCTTAACAGCTTTTCCTATTTTCTAAATTGTATATAGTAAGGAGGAATCATGTTTATTGTTAAAATAAAGCAGCTGTTGTGGTCTTCTTTTTTTTTTTTTTTTTTTTTTTTTTTTGAGACAGAGTCTCGTTCTGTCACCTAAGCTGGAGTGCAGTGGTGCAGTCTCGGCTCACTGCACCCTCTGACTTCCAGGTTCAAGGGATTCTCGTGTCTCAGCCTCCCAAGTAGCTGGGATTACAGGCATGCACTGCCACGCCTGGCTAATTTTTCTATTTTTAGTAGAGATGTGGTTTTGCCATGTTGGCCAGGCTGGCCTCGAACTCCTGGCCTCAAGTGATCCTTCTGCTTCAGCCTCCCAAAGTGCTGGGATTACAAGTGTGAGCCACCACGCCTGGCCTGTTCGTGGTCTTAATGAAGGCCACCATTCTCAACTCCACCATTTGGACATGGTGACTATCACCCTGTAATGGTCACCACCTGGAAAGTCAAGACGGTCCATCAGGATATGGTCACTTATCCTCTCCTTCTCTGAGAAGCAAGGCCATTTCCTGTGCCTTGGGCACACGACTCAGGCTCTACAGAAAACTGGCATCTGACACAGGGGTGGCCAATCCGTCAGGAAACATTTACTGAAACAATTGTGTGAAGGACAATGCTTTAGGAGGTATGTGACCCCTTAAAGTGGTTAAGGTGTAGAGTTTTCACTAGGCTAGGACCCTGGAAGTGTGGAGAATATTGACTATATAAAGTCAATGTGGACTTGGACTAGTCGCTTTCTCTCTCTGAGCCTCAGTTTCTTCATCCACAAATGGGCATGACTCCCGCTGGATGACCTCACAGAATTTCTGTGACAGTTGATAATCAAGCGCTATAGTGAAATGCTCCAGTATTTAATGACCATATAGGAGAAGCATGGTGATTCCACTAAAAGGCCACTAAAGATTCCACATGGAGACTGGGGAGCATGGGGTAGGGGAGAATCACCAGATTTGGAGCCAGGCAGACATAAGTGTGGCTCTCAGGTCTACCATTGACAGCTGTGGAGCTGGACAGGAACACTTATTTTTTTTTTTTTTTTGACACAGGGTCTCACTCTGCTGCCCAGGCTGGAGTACAGTGGCACGATCACAGATCACTGCAGCCTCAACCTCCAGGGCTCAAGCACTTCTCCCACCTAAGCCTCCCCAGTAGCTGGGACTACAGGTGCACACAGCCACACCTGGCTAATTATAAAATTTTCTGTAGAAATGGGAACTCACTTTGTTTTCCAGACTGGTCTCAAACTCCTGGACTCAAAGTGATCCTCCCACCTCAGACTCCCAAAGTGCTGAGATTGCAGGCATGAGCCACTGTGCCCCACCTAGAAACTTGATTTCTCACAGCCAGTACGTAATGGACCCAAAGAGCAGAGGGTGGTATAAGAGTTCATGAACTTGACCTGGATTCAAGACCAAATTCTTCCATTTTTCAGCTGGGTGTGACATTTTGTCTTTTCCTAAAAAGCATCAGAAGTAAATACATGCAATGGTTCATATTTGACCAGTAGGAAAGTGGGATCAGGAAATGAAAGGGTGAGAGCAAAAGGGGTGGAGGGCAGTGGGAGACGATAATCCACAGACACAATGTTGGGGGCTAAGGCAAGGAGACCAAGGGGAAGGCTGCTGGGGGAGCTGAAAATCCCCAAAAGGACATTTATTGAGCACTTATGAGTTAAGCACATCAGTCTTTGTAATCATTCTATCATGAAGGTACTATTATTTTTATTATTATTATTATTATTATTATTATTATTATTATTATTATTATTATTTTTGAGATGGAGTTTCACTCTTGTTGCCCAGGCTGGAGTGCAGTGGTGTGATCTTGGCTCACTGTAACCTCCGCCTCCCACCTCAAGCGATTCTCCTGCCTCAGCCTCCAGAGTAGCTGGGATTACAGGCGCCCGCCGCCATGCCCAGCTAATTTTTGTATTTTTGGTAGAGACGGGGTTCCACCATGTTAGCCAGGCTGGTCTCGAACTCCTGACCTCAGGTAATCTGCCCACCTCGGCCTCCCAAAGTGCTGGAATTATAGGCGTGAGCCACCGCACCCGGCCCAAAGGTACTATTATTATCCCCACCTTACAGATGGGAAGACTGAGGCTCAGTTCATTAACTAGCCAAGGTTGTGTAGCTACCTCGTGGCAGAGTCAGGTTGTAACCCAGAGCTCACACTCTCTCCTCTGCCTACAATCAGGTGACCCCAGCTCAGTCCCTCCCCTTCTCTCAAGTCCTCTGCAAATATTGGGTGTGTTTCTAGGACAGAGAGATGAAAAATATCCTATTCCCCTCGTCCCTGGAGGCTCCCAGACTCTGGAGAAGAGACACAATATATAACTGATTTGAGACGAGTCCTTTCAGAAGCACATTCAGTGAGTGACTTGCAAACCGTGATCATTCTTGGTTAGCCCTCTTTGTGTGTTTCTGCAGAACTGCCCTGCTTACATCTCTCTAATGGCTCCCCATTTTCCAGAGGTTAGGCCAGGTTGTCTTCCTGTCAACACCAGGCCCAACTTAAGTATTGGCGATATTTCCCTTTTTTCTCTGATCAGGCTCCAGGAGCTCACCCGCCTCTAAATACTTTGTTCCACCGGTTCTCCTCACCTAGAATGCCCTCTCCACTAAACCCCTCTCTTCACCTACAAACAACACACCTATGTCCATAGTTGTTCATTGCCCACCATCCCAAAGAAGCAGGATCCTGCAGACATCCTCACTCAGCTGAGTTTTATCTGCATTGTGGACAAAGGAAAATGTCGTATTTCTGGCACTTAAAGGGAAAATGTGAGCTGTACTTCTAATAATTAAAAACAAAGTCCTGGCCCGGCGTGGTGGCTCATGCCTGTAATCCCAGCACTTTGGGAGCGGAGGCGGGTGGATCACCTGAGGTCAAGAGTTCGAGACCAGCCTGGCCAACCCCATCTCTGCTAAAAATACAAAAATGGCCGGGTGTGGTGGCTCACGCCTGTAATCCCAGCACTTTGGGAGGCCCAGGCGGGTGAATCACGAAGTCAGGAGTTCAAGATCAGCCTGGCCAACATGGTGAAACCCCATCTCTACTAAAAATACAAAAAAAATTAGCTGGGTGTGGTGGCGCATACCTGTAATCCCAGCTACTCAAGAGGCTGAGGCAGGAGAATCACTTGAATCCAGGAGGCGGAGGTTGCAGTGAGCCGAGATCAGATAGTCACTGTACTCCAGCCAGGGTGACAGTGCGAGACTCTGTCTCAAAAAAGTAAATAAATAAAAATAAAAATACAAAAATTAGCCAGGCATGGTGGTGCATGCCTGTAATCCTAGCTACTTGGGAGGCTGAGGCATGAGAATCACTTGAACCCAGGAGGCGGAGGTTGCGGTGAGCTGAGATCACCACTGCACTCCAGCCTGGGCGACAGAGTGAGACCCTGTCTCAAAAAAAAACAAAAACAAAAAAACAAAAACCAAAGTCACTGAAACCTTGGAACGTACCTCAACCAGTCTTATAAAAAATTACCTTTGGCCGGACATGGTGGCTCACACCTGTAATCCCAGCACTTTGGGAGGCCGAGGCCGGCGGATCACGAGGTCAGGAGATCAAGACCACCCTGGCCAACACGGTGAAACCCTGTCTCTACTAGAAATACAAAAAATTAGCCGGGCATGGTGGCACGCACCTATAGTCCCAGCTACTCGAGAGGCTGAGGCAGGAGAATCACTTGAACCCGGGAGGCGGAGGTTGCAGTGAGCCAAGATGGAACCACTCCAGCCTGGGCAACACAGCGAGACTCCGTCTCAAAAAAAAAAAAAATTACTTCGCCAGGTGGGGTGGCTCACGCCTGTAATTCCAGCACTTTGTGGGGCCAAGGCGGGTGGATCACCTGAGGTCAGGAGTTTGAGACCAGCCTGACCAACATGGTGAAACTTTGTCTCTACTAAAAATACAAAAATTAGCCAGGTATGGTGGTACACGCTTGTAATCCCAGCTACTCAGGAGGCTGAGACAGGAGAATTGCTTGAACCTGGGAGGCGGAGGTTGCAGTGAGCTGAGATCACGCCACTGCACTTCAGCCTGGGCAACGGCGAGACTCTGTCTAAAAAAAAAAAAAATTGCCTTTATGGGTAAAGCAGGAATTACTGGATGAAAGCTCCAGAGAGACCCTCAAAATAGTTTATTTATTTTACTGATTGATTGATTGATTGATTGATTGATTTTGAGACAGGGTCTTGCTCTGTCACCCACGCTGGAGTGCAGTGGCACAATCACAGGTTACTGTAGGCTTGACATCCAGGCTCAAGCTATCCTCCCACCTCAACCTCCCAAGTAGCTGGGACTATAGCCACACACCACCGCACTCAGCTAATTTTGGTATTTTTGTAGAGACAGGGTCTCCCTATGTTGCCCAGGCTGGTCTTGAACTCCTGGGCTCAAGCAATTCACCTGCCTTGGGCTCCCAAAAAGTGTTGGGATTATAGGAGTGAGCCACTGTGCCCAGCCAAAAATAGTTTATTTATTGTAGTTATTAATATTTAGCATTATTTATTTATTTATTGAGACAGGGTATCATTCTGTCACCTGGGCTGGAGTGCAGTGGCACAATCTCAGCTCACTGCAACCTCTGCCTCCAAAGTTCAAGTGATTCTTCTGCCTCAGCCTCACGAATAGCTGGGATTACAGGTGTGCAACACAACGCCTGGCTAATTTTTGTATTTTTAGTAGAGACGCGGTTTTGCTCTGTTGGCCAGGCCACACCTATAATTTCAGCACTTTGGGAGGTTGAGGTGGGAGGATCTTTTGAGCCCAGGAGTCCGAGACCAGCCTGTCTCTACAAAAAAAAAAAAAATTAAAAATTAGTCAATTATGGTGGCATGTACCAGTAGTTCTGGCTACTTGGGAGACTGAGGTGGGAGGATCACTTGAGCCCAGGAGTTTGAGGCTGCAGTGAGAGATAGAGCAAGACTTCGTCCCTGAAAAAGGAAAAAAAGAGGTAGGTAAGTGCTATTATTATTCCCATTTTACAGATGAGAATTGAGGCTACAATTATGCAATGAGTAAGTCGCAGAGCGAGATTCAAAGCCTGTTTTAACCCAGCTTTAAAGCCTGAGACTTTGGCCACCTTGGACTCACAAGCCTGTGAACCAGAGACAGCACAGGTCTGCAGTTGTATTTCCTGTGGGCTGTTCAGTGTTTTATAAACTAGAGAATTAGGCCGGGCATAATGGCTCACGCCTGTAACCCCAGCACTTTGGGAGGCCGAGGCGCGCAGATCACGAGGTTGGGAGTTCGAGACCAGCCTGGCCAATATGGTGAAACCCCATCAGTACTAAAAATACAAAAATTAGCTGAGTGTGGCAGCGGGCACCTGTAGTCCCAGCTACTTGGGAGGCTGAGGCGGAAGAAGCACTTGAACCTGGGAGGCGGAGGTTGCAGTGAGCCGAGATTGTGTCACTGCACTCCAACCTGGGCAAAAGAGCGAGATTCTGTCTCAAAAATAAAATAAAATAAAGAATTAATTGCCAATTTAAAACCCAGGAAATTGCCTGACACAGTGGCTCATGCCTGTAACCCCAGCACTTTGGGAAGCCAAGGCGGGTGGATCGCTTGAGCTCAAGAGTTTGAGACCGACCTGGGCAACATGGCAAAACCTTGTCTCTACAGAAATTAGCCAGGTGTAGTGGTGTGCACCTGTAGTCCCAGATACTCAGGAGGCTGAAGTGGGAGGATTGCTTGAGCCCGGGAGACAGAAGTCGCAGTGAGCTGAGATCATGCCACCACTCCAGCCTGGGTGACACAGTGAGACCCTGTCTCAAAAAAAAAAGGGAAATTTCCTATAAAATCGGGATTTTTCAGCTTCTCTTGAAATATCTAAAGATCTGGCTACACTGGACCTAAGTCCCATATGGCAACAATTGGCTGGGAGGAGTAGCAGTTGCTACAGTTAAAGGGGGTGTGTGCATTGCACTTTGACTTAGACCCCCAGCCCCCACTCCACCACATTGACCTGCCTCATTCATCTGGTCCTTGAAAGCATTTGGGGATTTTTTTGTGGTTTTTTTTTTTTTTTTTTTTTTTGAGACAGAGTCTCGTTCTATTGCCCAGACTGGAGTGCAGTGGCGCGATCTCAGCTCACTGCAACCTCCACCTTCCAGGTTCAAGTGATTCTCCTGCCTCAGCCTCCTGAGTAGCTGGAATTACAGGTGTACACAACCACTCCCAGCTAGTTTTTGTATTTTTAGTAGAGATGGGATTTCATCATGTTGGCCAGGCTGGTCTTGAACTCCTGAACTCAGGTGATCCGCCTGCCTCGGCCTCCCAAAGTGCTGGGATTACAGGTGTGAGCTACCACGCCCAGCCCTTGGAAGCATTTGAATTTGTGACTCCTGGGTCCATACTTTCTAACAGTTGGAATTGCCTTGCAATGTACTGATCTCCCCGTCACTGGAAATGTGCAAACTCAGGCTAGATGGCTACTGTAGGGATGTCAGAGAGGGATTTCAAGAGCCAGTTGGGTAATTAGATCAGATAACATACATTATGCTTTCCAGCCCTGCAATGACAAATATTTACTTAAGACTTTGCAGCATATATTTTTGAGAACTAACTTCCCCTCTGGTTTCAACTTACTGTTTCAGTCTTTCCTTTCCCTTTCCCTTGGTTTCTTGATCTATTTATATATTTTTAATCATACGATTATACTGTATGAATCCCTGTAAGCTTCCTCAAATCTTTTCTGGGAATAAGGGGAACAAATGAATCTATACGTAAATATTTACCTAAAGGGTTTGGCTCCAGGTACTGAAGAGAAACAAAAAGAGAATTATAAGTTACAACTGCCAAGTTACCTCAGGTCTCTCCGAGATTATCAGACTCAAAGCAATAAAGGCAACAAAACAGAAAGAGCTAAGAGTCTGGGATATGAGCATGTGCCTAGGTGCTCCCAACCCACTGTCTTAGGAAAGGCAGCCTCAATGTTTATTGCTCACCCTTTGTTTAAAATACATGTTTTTTTTGAGACAGGGTCTCACTGTATCACCCAGGCTGGAGTGCAGTGGCACGATCTTGGCTCACTGCAACCTTTGCCTCCCAGATTCAAGCGATTCTCGTGCCTCAGCTTCCCAAGTATCTGGGATTACAGGCGTGCACCACCACTCCTGGCTAATTTTTGTAATTATAGTAGAGACAACATTTCACCATGTTGGCCAGACTGGTTTTGAACTCCTGACCTCAAGTGATCCGCCCACCTCGGCCTCCCAAAGTGCTGGGATTACAGGCATGAGCCACCGTGCCCGACCTAAAATAGATTTTTAAATCCCATGGCCAGGCATGGTGGTTCACGTCCGTAATCCCAGCACTTTAGGAGGCTGAGGCAGGAGGATCACTTGAGGCCAGGAGTTTAAGATCAGCCTGGGCCACACAGTGAGATCATGTCTCTACAAAAATAAAATAATACAATAAATTCTATAACTAAATGTGGCAGTTTTTAAAGAAGTGGCTGCAAATTCCTTGACACTCCTCCCATTGGAGGGGAGTCTATGTCCCCTTTCCTTGAATCTGGGTGGCTTGTGGCTGATTTCACCAATAGAGTATGGCAGAGGTGATGCTATGTGACTTCTGAGGTTGGGTCATAAATAAACATGCAGCTCTGCCTGGTTCTCTTGGAATATTCTTTCTCCAAATGCTTCTTTCTGGAATATTCCCTCTTGGAACACAGCTTCCACGCTGCAAGGAGGCCTAGGCCACAGTGAGAGGCCATTTGTAGGTGTTCTAGTCAATGGCTGTAGCTGAGCCCAGCATGCTAGTCATCCAAACCCAGGCACCAGAAACGTGAGTCATCACCAGCTGTTGTCATCTCCCAGCTCAGGCTCCATATATCAGGGAGCAGAGACAAACCAATTATGTTGTGCCTTGTGCAAATTCCTGATCCACAGAATCTGTGAATGGAATAAAAGGATTGTTGTTTCATGCCACTAAGTTTGGGGTGCTTTGCTATCCAGCGACAGAAAATTAGACCAGTTACCCAGGAACACAGTTATTGCAAATGATTCAAACCATCAAGAAAAATATGTAATATAAAAGTGATAGGTCCAGTGGGGCAAGGTGGCTCACGCCTGTAATCCCAGCACTTTGGGAGGCTGAGGTGGGCAAATCACCTGAGGTCAGGAGTTTGAGACTAGCCTGGCCAATATGGTGAAACCCTGTCTCTACTGAAAACACAAAAATTACCTGGGTGTGGTGGTGGGTGCCTCTAATCCCAGCTACTGAGGAGGCTGAGGCAGGAGAATCACTTGAACCTGGGAGGCGGAGGTTGCAGTGAGCTGAGATCATGCCATTGCGCTCCAGCCTGGGCGACAGAGTGAGACTCCGTCAAAAAAAAAAAGTCTGTCCTGGCCAGGTGCAGTGGCTCATGCCTGTAATCCCAGCACTTCAAGAGGCCGAGGTGGACAGACCCCTTGAGCTCAGGAGTTTGTGACCAGCCTGGGAAACATGGCAAAACCCCATCTCTACAAAAAATACAAAAATTAGCTGGGCGTAGTGGTGCCTGTATTCTCAGTTACTTGGGAGGCTGAGGTGGGAGGATCACTTGAGCCTGGGAGGCAGCAGTTGTGGTGAGCTGAGATTGCACCACTGCACTCCAGGCTAGGTGACAGGGTGTAACCCTGTCTCAAAAAAAAAAAAAAAAAGATAGGTTCCCTTCTCTTTTTTGTGTGTGTGTGTGAGATGGAGTCTTGCTCTGTCACCCAGGCTGGAGTGCAGTGGCACGATCTTGGCTCACTACAACCTCCACCTCCCGGGTTCATGCCATTCTCCTGCCTCAGCCTCCTGAGTAGCTGGGACTTCAGGTCCCCTCCGCCACGCCTGGCTAATTTTTTGTATTTTTAGTAGAGACGGGGTTTCACCGTGTTAGCCAGGATGGTCTCGATCTCCTGACCTCATGATCTGCCGGCCTTGGCCTCCCAAAATGCTGGGATTACAGGTGCGAGCCACCACACCCGGCCCTGGTAGATTCCCTTTTCATAATATGCCTACCATTCCATCTCCCTCCCCAGGGATGACATTGTTACCAGTTTTTGTTGTTGTTCTTGTTGTTTTTGAGACGGAGTTTCACTCTTGTTGCAATGGCGCAATCTCGGCTCACTACAACCTCCGCCCTCCAGGTTCAAGCAATTCTCCTGCCTCAGCCTCCCGAGTAGCTGGGATTACAGGAGCATGCCAACACGTCCGGCTAATTTTTGTATTTTTAGTAGAGACAGTGTTTTGCCACGTTGGCCAGGCTGGTCTCAAACTCCTGACCTCAGGTGATCCACCCACCTCGGCCTCCCAAAGTGCTAGAATTACAGGTGCGTGCAACCATGCCCAGCCATTACCAGTTTTAAGTGTATCCTTCTCAATCTTTTTCTACATATTTATATGTGTATGTAATAGAAATATGTAGGTTTCATGCTTCTTTTTTAAGTGAGATTATATATATGCAGGCAACTTGCCTTCTTTCTATTAATAATATGTCTCAGTGATATCTTTATATTCACAAAAGAATCTGAATTGGTAATACATTCATGTGCTGTGGTCACCAGCTTTGAAGATGGCCTTCAATGACCCCCACCTACTTGTATTCAAATCCTTGTGTAGTCTCTTCCCACACGGAACCAGCACTGGCCTGTGTGACCAATAGAATATGGCTGAAATGATATTATATGACACTTCTGAGATTAGGTTATAAAAGACACAGTAGCTTCTGTCTTGGATCTTTCTCTTGGATCCCTTGTTGTGGGTGAAGCCAGCTGTCAAATTGAGAGCATCTCTGTGAAGAAGCCCACAAGGAGAATAACTGAGGCCTCTGGTCAACAGCTAGTGAGGAACTGAGACCTCCAGCCAACAGCCACACGAGTGAGACATCTTGGAAGTGCACCCTGCAGCCCCAGTCAAACCTTCAGATGATGGCAGCCCTGGCTGACATTTTGACTGTAACCTCATGAAAGACCCTGAGCCAGAATCACCCAGCAAAGCTGATTCCAGATTCCTTGTCCTCAAAAAATGTGTGAGATAATAAATGTTGTCGTTAGCTGCTGAGTTTAAGGGTAACTTATTTGCAGCAATAGATAACTAATACTATTTTTTTCCTTTTTTTTCTGACTCCAACTTGTATGACTAAAGTACTAAATTTAAAAAGTATAAAAAGAGATAAGCTGGGTGTGGTGGCTCACACCTGTAATCCCAACACTTTGGCAGGCTGAGGCAGGAAGATTGCTTGAATCCAGGAGTTTGAGACCAGCCTGGGCAACATGGCAAAACCCCGATTCAACAACAAATACAAAAATGAGCTGGGCATGGTGGTGTGTCCCTGCAGTCCCAGTTACTCAGCCGTCTGAGGTAGGAGGATCACTCGAGCCCTGGGAGTCAGGGCTACAGTGAGCCAAGATCATGCCACGCCACTGCACTCCAGCCTGGGTGACAGGTTGAGATCCTGTCTCAAACAAAAAACAAAAAACAAAAAAAACCCAGAAAACAAAAACCAAAAAAGGGATACAACAAACACTCTTTGTCACTCCTACCTTTAAACACCTGATCTCCCATCCTCTCCCACCTCTGCTATCTCATTTACAGTAAGCCCTAGGGAACTGTTCAGTTTATTCTCTTGGGTTCAGAAGCAGACATCCCCTTGACCCCTCTTCTTGATCATCCAACCCAAGAAAGGCTGCAGCAGTATGACAATCCCTTTCAGCAGCTGCAAAATTGCACACCCTTCTTTCTCCACAGGAACTGCGCCATTGGCCTTTCCAGATTAGATGCCACCTTCCCTGCCAAGGCCTTAGACACCTACAAGCATCCCCACATCCTGTCTCAGGTCTGGGGGTGGGGGCTTCCCCCTCCTTCTACACTAGTGGAAAATGTTATCGGGTCTTTTTCTTCAAACCATAGAAATCAGAAATCAACCACTCACCTCTCAACGTCTAGTCCCAGCCCATTTCGCTGGCCCCTTTCTCATGGCACTCACCCTTCATCCTGCCCAACCTTGCCCTCTTCACTTCAGACAACCCAAAGTGTTACTTTCCAGGCTTCGCAGTCTTTTGCCCCTCACGACATCACTCAGGGACCGGGCGCGGTGGCTCATACCCGTAATCCCAGCCCTTTGGGAGGCTGAGGTGGGCGGACCACTTGAGACCAGGAGTTTGAGACTAGGAGTTTAAGACCAGCCTGGCCAACATGGTAAAACCCCATCTCTACTAAAAATACAAAAATTAGATGGGCATGGTGTCACGCGCCTGTAATTCCAGCTACACAGGAGGCTGAGGCACGAGAATCGCTTGAACCCGGGAGGCAGAGGTTGCAGTGAGCCAAGGTTGCACCACTGCACTCCAGCCTGGTAGACAGAGTGAGACTCTGTCTCAAAAAAAAAAAAAAAAAAAAAAGACATCACTCAGATCCATCTCTCTGTCCTGAATGGTCTACCCACAACTAGCCCTTCTGAAAACAGCCACTTATCTTTTAAGATTCGATCCAGAGGTCACCTCTGTGAAGCCTCCTCTGACCTCCCCGCAGGTCTCCTTACTTCCAACCTTGCCCCCTTCAGTCAACTGTCTGCTGGATGGCCAGAGGGATTGATTCAAAGCCTCCCTGTCTCTGCTGCTGAAGACAGCTATAAACCCTGTGCAGAGCCCAGGGAACAGCCAGCTGAGGGCTCTGAAGAGTCAAGAGTAGCAGGCAAACTGGGGCAGAAGACCACTGATTGAATTACCACCAGCACTTCGGGAGGCTGAGGTGGGAGAATTGCTTGAGGCCAGGAGTTCAAGACCAGCCTAGGCAACACAGCAAGACCCTGCCTCTACAAAAAATATTAAAGATTAGGCAGGTATGGAGGTGCATACTAGTAGTCCTAGCTACATGGAAAAGTGGGAGGATCCCTTGAGCCCAGGAGTTGGAGTCTGCAGTGAGTTATGATCCCATCACTGCACTCCAGTCTAGGGGACACAGCAAGACCCTGTGTCTAAAAAACAAACAAACAAACAAATGAACAAACAAACAAACAAAAAAACTCCAAGGAAGAAATGGGAATAATTGTTTAATGGGTCCAGAGTTTCAGTTTGGGAGGATAAAATGTTATATAGGTAGACAGTGGTGATGGTTGCACAACAATGTGGATGTATTAATGCCTCTGAACAGACTGAACTGTACACTTAAAAATGGTTAAAATGGTTGCCGGGTGTGGTGGCTCACACCTGTAATCCCAGCACTTTGGGAGGTTGAGGCGGGTGGATCACTTGAGGCCAGGAGTTTGAGACCAGCCTGGCCAACATGGCAAAACCCCGTCTCTACTAAAAATACAAAAATTAGCCGGGTGTGGTGATGCATGCCTGTAATCCCAGCTACTTGGGAGGCTGAGGTGGGAAAATTGCTTGAACCCAGGATGCGGAGGTTGCAGTGAGCCGAGATCATGCCACTGCACTCCAGCTTGGGGGACAGAATAAGATCCTGTCTCAAAAACAAAAACAAAAACAAACCATGAAATTAAAAAAAAAAAATTCATTTATTGGCTGGGCAAGGTGGCTCACACCTGTAATCCCAGCACTTTGGGAGGCTGAGGCAGGTGGATCACCTGGGGTCAGGAGTTCCAGACCAGCCTGGCCAACATGGTGAAACCCCATCTCTCCTAAAAATACAAAATGTTGCTGGGTGTGTTGGTGGCGAGCCTGTAATCCCAGCTACTTGGGAAGCTGAGGCCGGATAATGGCTTGAACCTGGGAGACAGAGGCTGCAGTGAGCCGAGATCGCACCGCTGCACTCCAGCCTAGGTGACAAGAAATTAAAAAAAGAAAATTCATTTGTTGAAATCCTAATCCCTGGTGGGGCGCGGTGGCTCACGCCTGTAATCCCAGCACTTTGGGAGGCCGAGGCGGGTGGATCACGAGGTCAGGAGATTGAGACCATCCTGGCTAACACAGTGAAACCACATCTCTACTAAAAATTAGCCAGGGGTGGTGGCGGGCACCTGTAGTCCCAGCTACTCGGGAGGCTGAGGCAGGAGAATGGCATGAACCTGGGAGGCGGAGGTTGCAGTGAGCCAAGATCACGCCACTGCACTCCAGCCTGGGCGACAGAGCGAGACTCTGCCTCAAAAAAAAAAAAAAAAAAGCTGTAAACAAGAAATTTCTGTTGTTTATAAGCCTCTTAGTCCATGATGCTTTGGTATAGCAGCCCAAATGGACCAAGACACAGCTCTACTCACAATTTCCCCAGATTGGAAACAAGCCCTTCAATGGGTAAATTGATAAACTGTGACCTATCCATACACTGGAACATAATTCAGCAATAAAAAGAAATGAATTACTGATTCCTGCAACAACTTAGATGAATCTCAAAGGCATTATTCTGAGTGAAAGACGCCAGTTTCAAAAGGTTACATAGTAATGATTTCATTGCTATGACGTTTTCTAAAAGACAAAACTATCAGCCGGGCGTGGTGGATCATGCCTATAATCCCAGCACTTTGGGAGGCTGAGGCGGGCGGATCACTTGAGGTCAGGAGTTCGAGACCAGCCTGACCAACATGGTGAAACCCCATCTCTACTAAAAATACAAAATTAGCTGGGCATAGTGTTGCATGCCTGTAATCCCAGCTAACTGGGAGGCTGAGGCAGGACAATCAATTAAACCCAGGAGGCAGAAGCTGCAGTGAGCTGAGACCGTGCCACTGCACTCCAGCCTGGGCAACAAAAGCGAAACTCTGTCTCAAAAAAAAAAAAGACAAAACTATCATGATGGATCTGCAGTTACCACAGGTTGAGGTAGGAGGAGTGTGTCACTACAAAGGGGAACACGAGGGTTTTTTGAGGGGTGATGGAACTCTTCTATATCCTGTTTGTGGTAGTGGTTACGCAAATATACTCATATGTTAACATTCATAGACCTATACATCTTTACGTCAAAATTAAGAAAGAAAAGGGTAAATTTCATTGTATGTTAATTAAAACAAACAAATAAAAAACTTTTGGTAGCCTGCCTCTAAGATGTTCCACAATGACCTCACCTCCTCCTTGTACTTACGCCCTTCTCATATTGAACAGGGCTAGCCTGCACACAGGCTTGTGCCATTTTTCTTGGTCACAAGAAAAATGGCAAGACATGGCGGCTCATGCCTATAAATCCCGGTTGGGAGGCTGAGGCTGGAGGATCATTTGAGGCCAGGAGTTCGAGACTAGCCTAGACCACATATTGAGATCCCATCTCTACCAAAAACCTTTTTTTTTTTTTTTTTTTTTGAGACAAAGTCTTGCTCTGTAGCCCAGGCTGGAGTGCAGTGGTCTGATCTTGGCTCACAGCAACCTCCGCCTCCCGAGTTCAAGTGATTCTCCTGCCTCAGCCTCCAGAGTAGCTGGGATTACAGGTGCGTGCCACCACACCTGGCTAATTTTTTGTATTTTTAGTAGAGACAGGGTTTCACCATGTTAGCCAGGATGGTCTTGAACTCCCGACCTCAGGTAATCTGCCCACCTCAGCCTCCCAAACTGCTAGGATTACAGGCGTGAGCCACCATGCCCGGCCTCTACCCCAGATTTTTTTTTTTTTTTAATTAGCCAGGGCCAGGCGCGGTGGCTCACACCTGTAATCCCAGCACTTTGGGAGGCCAAGGCGGGTGAATCACTAGGTCAAGAGATCGAGACCATCCTGGCCAACATGGCGAAACCCTGTCTCTACTAAAAATATAAAAAATTACCTGGGCATGGTGGCGTGTGCCTGTAGTCCCAGCTACTGAGGAGCCTGAGGCAAGAGAAGCTGTTGAACCTGGGAGGCAGAGGTTGCCGTGAGCCGAGAACGTGCCACTGTACTCCAGCCTGGCAATAGAGCAAGACTATGTCTGGAAAAAAAAAAAATTAGCCGGGCATGGTGGTACGTGCCTGTAGTCCCAGCTACTGTGGAGGCTGAGGTGGGAGGACTGCTTGAGCCCAGGAGGTCAAGGCTGCAGTGAACTGTGATCATTCCACTGCATTCCAGCCTGGGTGACACAGAGAGACTGTGTCTCAAAAAAAAAAGACATTGCAGCTTCTGTCTTGGTGTCTTGACTCACTCTCTGGGGGTAGACAGCCACGATGTTGCAAAGACCTTCCAGCAACCCCATGGAGAGGAACAGAGGCCTCCGGCCAATAGTCAGCCCCAACTTGCCAGCCATAAGAGTGAGCCACCTTGGAAACGAAGCCTCTAGACACAGTCAAGCCTTCAGATGACTGTAGCCCTGACCAATATTTGACTACAATCTCATGAGAGATCCTGAGCCAGAACTGCTCAGCCAAACTACTTCCAAATTTCTGACCCACAAAAACTGAAAGATAATAAATGATTCTTGTTTTAAGACACTACATTTGGGGGTTATTTGTTATACAGCAACGGATAACTAATATAAAACCTAAGTCAGAGGCCAGGCACGGTGGCTCACACCTGTAATCCCAGCACCTTGGGAGGCCGAGGCAGGCGGATCACGAGGTCAGGAGATCGAGAACATCCTGGCTAACACGGTGAAACCCCGTCTCTATTAAAAATACAAAAAAATTAGCCAGGCGTGGCAGTGTGCGCCTGTAGTCCCAGCTGCTGGGGAGGCTGAGAAAGGAGAATGGCATGATCCCAGGAGGCGGAGCTTGCAGTGAGCCCAGATGGCGCCGCTGCACTCCAGCCTGGGTGACAGAGCAAGACTCTGTCTCAAAAAAAAAAAAAAAAACCTAAGTCAGATATGTCACTCCCCTCTGCTCAAAACCTTCCAATGGTTTCTCAGGTCACTCACATAAAACCAAAGGCGATGGCTCACGCCTGTAATCCCAGCACTTTGGGAGGCCGAGGCAGGCGGATCACCTGAGGTCGGAAGTTCGAGGCCAGCCTGACCAACATGGTGAAACCCCGTCTCTACTTAAAAATACAAAATTAGCCAGGCATGGTGGCGCATGTCTGTAATCCCAGCTACTCAGGAGTCTGAGGCAGGAGAATTGCTTGAACCCAGGAGGTGGAGGTTGCGGTGAGCCGAGATCGCACCATTGCACTCCAGCCTGGGCAACAAAAGTGAAACTCCATCCCAAAAAAACAAACAAACAAACAAACAAACAAAAAACCAAAGGTGAGGCTGGGTACAGTGAGTCACGTCTGTAATTCCAGCATTTTGAGAGGCTGAGGCAGGAGGATCACTTGAACCCATGAGTTCGAGACCAGTCGGGGCAACATAGTGAGACCTCATCTCTACAAAAATTTAAAAATTAGCTAGGCATGCTCATGCATGCCTGTAGTCCCAGCTACTTGGGAGACTAAGGTGGGAGGATCGTGTGAGTCTTGGAGGTTGAGGCTGTAGTGGGCCATGATTGTACCCCTGCATTCCAGCCTTGATGACAGAGTGGGAGATTCAGGAGAATCGCCTGAATCTGGGAGGTGGAGGTTGCAGTGAGCTGAGATCGTGCCACCACACTCCAGCCTAGGCAACAGAGCAAGACTCCGTCACAAAATAAGTAAATAAATAAAAATCTCAAAACAAAAACAAAAACAAAGGCAGAACCCATGAAAAACCAAAGGTGAGGTCCATTATGATCTGGCCTCTCTCACTGTCATACCTCACCTCCTGCCCCGCTCCCTATGGCCAAAATCATCTCCCTTTCAGGACTTCTGCACTTGCTGTTCCTTCTACCTGAAATGGTCTTCCCCAGATACCCATATGGCTCACTCACTCACCTCCTTCAGGCCTCTGCTCAAATGTGACCTGAACACAGAGGCCTCCCCTGACCACCCCAGTTACTCTCTTTCTCTTTACTCTATTTCATTCTCATTCATAGTCTTCGTTACCGCCTCATACTTTCTTTTTCTTTGAGATGTGGTCTCTGTCACCAGGCTGGAATGCAGTGGCACAATCATGGCTCACTGCAGCCTTGACCTCCTAGGCTCAAGCAATCCTCCCAGCTCAGCCTCCCATGTACCTGGGACCACAGGTGTACACCACTATGCCCGGCTAATTTTTTTTTTTTTTTTTTTTGGACAGAGTCTCACTCTGTTGCCAGGCTGGAGTGCAGTGGCGCAGTCTCGGCTCACTGCTACCTCTGCCTCCCAGGTTCAAGCAATTATCCTGCCTTAGCCTCCTGAGTAGCTGGGAGTACAGGCACGCACTACCACACCCAGCTAACTTTTCTGTATTTTTAGTAGAGACGGGGTTTCACCATGTTGTCCAGGATGGTCTCAATCTCTTGACCTCATGATCTGCCAGCCTCAGCCTCCCAAAGTGCTGGGATTATAGGCGTGAGTCACTGTGCCCGGCTAATTTTTTATTTTTATTTATTTACTTATTTTGCGACGGAGTCTTGCTCTGTTGCCTAGGCTGGAGTGTAGTGGCACAATCTCACCTCACTGCAACCTCCACCTCCCAGATTCAGGTGATTCTCCTGCCTCAGCCTCTCGAGCAGCTGGGATTACAGGCACACACCATCACACCCGGCTAATTTTTGTAGTTTTAGTAGAGATGGGGTTTCACCATGTTGGCCAGGTTGGTCTCAAGCTCCTGACCTCAAGTGATCCGCCTGCCTTGGCCTCCCAAAGTGCTGGGATTACAGGCATGACCACCGTGCCGGGCCCCAGCTAATTGTTTAAAAAATAAAAGTGGTTAATTGGGCTGGGCACAGTGGTTCACGCCTGTAATCCCCGCACTTTGGGAGCTCAAGGCGGGCAGATCACCTGAGGCCAGGAGTTGGAGACCAGCCTGGCCAACATGGTGAAAATCCATCTCTATTAAAAATATAAAAATTAGCCAGGCGTGGTGGCACATGCCTGTAACTCCAGCTACTTGGGAGGCTGAGGCATGAGAATCAGTTGAACCTGGGAGGCAGAGGTTGCAGTGAGCCGAGATTGTGCCACTGCACTCCAGCCTGGGTGATGGAGTGAGACTCTATCTCAAAAAAAAAAAAAAAAAAAAGAAAAGAAAAAAAACTGGTTAAGTATTGGATGATGAGAGTGTGGCTGAGTTTTTTTGTTGTTTTGTTTTTTGAGACAGGGTCTTGCTCTGTCGCCCAGGCTGGAGTACAATGGTGCCATCACGGCTTACTACAACCTCCACCTCCTGGGCTCAAGTGATCCTCTCACCTCAGCCTCCTAAAGTGCTGGGATTACAGGCGTGACTCACTGCACCTGGCCTCATCTTTGGTTTTACAGGACTACAGGCATGTGCCATTATGCCTGGCTAATTTTCGTTTGTTCTTTTTTTTTTCTTTCTTTTGGTAGAGACAGGGTTTTCTCACATTGCCAGGCTGGTCTCAACTCTTGGGCTCAAGCCATCCTTCCACCTTGGCCTCCCAAAGTGCTGAGATTACAGACATAAGCCTGGCCCCAGCTAATGTTTCGTTATTTATTTCTTATCTGTTTCTTCCCCACTAGAATGCCAGTACCATGGGAGGAAGACTTAATTCATAATGGTTCAATGGCTTAATTTGTATTCTCATTTTACAGATGAGAACACTGAGTCTCATAATTACACTCCGGATTAATTTTAAAGCTAGGCCTTGCACCCGCGCCCTTACACTCCAAACCTAATGCCCTTTCCAAAGGGTGACTCAGTTCCAAAGCCCTCATTTTACAGTTGCAGAGGAGGCAAGAGTTCACGGAAGGCCAGGGCCTGTTGCAAAGAGGCAGTTCTCTGCCTCTCCCCATTCTCTGCCCCTACATCATTGGCCTGGGTCCTTAACTCCCTCCAAGCCCTACTCCCCAGAAGCCTAACCCCTTGGAGGTGGGAGGGGGTTTCTCCTGCCAGCCCATCTCCCCAGCAGGCAAAGTGCTCAGAGTTCCTGTTCGCTTACCGGCAGCAGCTGGGAGAAAATGGTCTCACTGTAAGCAAACACAACATTTAAAAGCCAGAGGGAGATGTAAAGGAAACTTATAGCAGGCAATGCCTGGCAGGGTTGCCAGAGCCCCCATAATGCTTAATCCTTCATATTTGAGGCCCTCCTAAGACTTGCAAAACATTTTCATGAACTTTGGAATCTCTCTGACAGCCTCATGCCAACTGCTGGTTCCTAGCTGAAGAATCTGAATTTCAGAAAGGTTATGCAATTTCACTAAATAATAACACACTTTTATTATCAACCATCTACTATGTATCAGGTACTGTGGCAATATTATTTATATCTATCTATATCTATATCTATATCTATATCTGTGTGTGTGTGTGCGTGTGTATTTTTTTTTTAGATGCAGTCTTGCTCTGTTGCCCAGGCTGGAGTGCGGTAGCACCATCACAGCTCACTACAGCATCTGCCTCCTGGGCTCAAGTGATCCTCCTGCCTCAGCCACCTAAGTAGCTGGGACCACAGGCACACAGCACCACACCTGGCTAAATTTTTAATTTTTATTTTGTATTGATGGGAGTTTTGCCATATTGCTCAGGCTGTTCTTGATTTCTTGGTCTCAAGTGATTCTCCTGACTCAGCCTCCCAAAATACTGGGATTAAAGGCATGAGCCACCACGCTAGGCCTATTTCTGTATTGTAGATGCAAAAACTGAGGTTCAGACAGGCTAGTGACTTGTTTGAGTCCCACAATGACTTGAGTTAGTGACTGGGCTGGGATTTGAAGCCAAGTCTCCCAGACTGTGTATAGCCAGCACACTGTAGCACCAGGACAGAAATCAAAGTGCACAAATCCAAGACTTTTGTACTTTTAGTAGAGACTGGGTTTTGCCATTTTGGCCAGGCTGATCTCCAACTCCTGATCTCAAGTGATCCACCTGCCTCCACCTCCTAAAGTGCTGGGATTACAGGCGTGAGCCACCACACCTGGCCATGAAACTTTGAGCAGTGTTTGCCTCTGGAGTGGGGTTTGCGCTAGCAAGGGGGCACTTATTTTTCACACTACAGGTATATTATTTTGAACTTTTTGAATTTTTCACCCTGTACATGAATTTATTGTCATTACATTTTTGACTAATTTATGCAGCCAAAGTCCTGCCTTTTGGCATTGCCCTCAAGGGGCACTATGAGGACCCTTTCACTCCTATGATGCCTCAGGGCCCTTAGTGAGCCCTGCAAAGCCCCTGCTCGTACCCTTACCCCATGTATTTGCCTCTAATCCTGAGACAACTTCTGGTTAAGATCCCCAAGGGTAAGGACCAAACCTCTTAGTTTGGCATTCCAGAGCCTTCTCACATGGCTCAAACCTCCTGATGCTGCCTCATCTCTTGTCTCCACCTCCCTAAACCTATGGCCAGCACTGCTTGCTGCTCCCCACAGACTTAGCTCTCAACACCTGGGTCAGCACCTTTGTTCACGCAATCCCTCCATCTATAATTCCTTTTCTTATCTCCCATGTGTGGCTGTTAAAATCATACCCAGCATTTGACTCGACTCCTATCTCCTCCACGAACCCTCCATGATGCCAGACGTATATGTACACATACACATATATGGGTTGAATGAGTGAATATATATATATATATATATATATTCTTTTTTTTTTTTTTTTTTGAGAGAGTCTTGCTCTGTTGCCCAGGCTGGAGTGCAGTGGCGTGATCCTGGCTTACTGTAACCTCTGCCTCCCAGGTTCAAGCAATTCTCCTGCCTCAGCCTCCCAAGTAGCTGGGATTACAGGGCCTGCCACCATGCCTGGCTAATTTTTGTATTTTCTTTTTTTATTTTTTTGAGATGGAGTTTCGCTCTTGTTGCCCAGGTTGGAGTGCAATGGCGTGATCTCGGCTCACCGCAACCTCCACCTCCCAGATTCAAGCGATTCTCCTGCCTCAGCCTTCCCAAATAGCTGGGATTACAGGCATTCACTACCACGCCCAGCTAATTTTGTATTTTTAGTGGAGACGGGGTTTCTCCATGTTGGTCAGGCTAGTCTCGAACTCCCGACCTCAGGTGATCTGCCCGCCTTGGCCTTCCAAAGTGCAGGGATTACAGGCGTGAGCCACCACGCCTGGCCTAATTTTTGTATTTTTAGTAGAGACAGAGTTTCCCCACGGTGGCCAGGCTGGTCTTGAACTCTTGACCTCAGGTGATCCGCCCACCTCGGCCTCCCAAAGTGCTGGGATTACAGGCGTGAGCCACCATGCCCGGCCATAAATTTAGGACACTTTTATAAACCAAGCACTGGGCTAGGCGCTGATGTTGGGAGATGCATCAGGCATGGTCCCTATTCCTGGGGGACACTTCTGGTCCAGCTGGGGAAACAAGTTAGCAAATAATTTGGTCTGATGGGTAACATGACATCAGAGGCAGCACAATGCGTGGCTTTGGGGCACTGACTCGTGTGCCATGCTTCTAGGGCCCAAGTCCCAGCTCTTCCACTCACAGGCTCTACAACCTTAAGCTGGGTGCTTCACCTCACTGCTTCTCAGTGCTCTTATCTGTAACATGGAGATAATAAGAAAAGCAGCCTCTTAGGGATATTCTCTAATGAGGCGAGTTAATTGAAGTAAAGTGCTTAGAACACTGTAGCACATGGTAAATGACATATGTTAGTCATTTAATACATGTTACTTATTATCTGAGACAGGGTCTCCCTCTGTCCCAGGCTGGAGTGCAGTGGCACAAACATGGCTCACTGTAACCTCTTGGGCTCAAGTGATCCTCCCACCTCAGCCTCCTGAGTAGCTGGAACCATAGGCACTTGCCACCATGCCTGGCTAATTTTTTGACTTTTGGTAGAGATGGAGGGGGGGGCGGGTCTCACTTTGTTGCTCAGGGTGGTCTCGAACTCCTGGGCTCAAGCGATCCACCTGCCTCAGCCTCCCAAACTGCTGGGATTACAGGCGTGGGCCACTGTGCCCAGCCCATGTTACTTATTATTACAATTTCAAGGTTCTATGGGAGCTCAGAAAAGGAGAATTTCATAGAATCTTGAAACATTTACGATATGTTTTAAGCAGAGCAAAAGCTTAGACAATAGTGCGGAGGTGTGAAAAGTGAGGAGAGTTTCTCTCACAAAAGCCCCTTGGGTATTGTTTTGAGCTATCTTCAGGGGCCAGCCGAGTAAGGATCTCCCAAACTTTATCTTCATAATTCATGCCACACCATCTACTTAATACTTTTTCTCTGAACCAACTCACTTTTTGTAACCTAAGTTTCTTAAAAGGAAACTTTAAATCACATCTTTAAACAGAAAAACACAAGTACAAAGGATCAAAAATAAATAAAATGGCAGGGCACGGTGGCTCACTGTAATCCCAGCACTTTGGGAAGCTGAGGCAGGAGGATCCCTTGAGGCCAGGAGTTCGAGACCAGCCTGGGCAACACAGCGAAACCCCATCTGTACTAAAAATACAAAAGTTAGCTGGTGCAGTGGTGCGTGCCTGTGATCCCAGCTGCTTGGGAGGCTGAGGTGAAAGAATGGCTTGAGCCTGGGAGGTTGAGGCTGCAGTGAGCCAAGATCAAGCCACTGTACTCCATCCTGGGCAAGAGTGAGAACCTGTCTCAATAAATAAATAAATAAATAAATAAATAATTCATTTATTTACTTAGTAATAGTGTTACTAAATTCCAGAAAACTAAGATTGTCTGACTCTGAGGTCTACTCTGTTACAAGGACAGATTATTAGCAAGCAGTAGAGAGGAGTTAATGACACAATAGCACTGAACTGAGACTTTCTCTTTGGGCATTGTTAGCAGGATTGAGAAAAACTGAAAAGATAATTCTTGCCTTCTGCCAGTGCCTGCCCAGGACCTCCTAAACCAGCTTGTGCAGTGTCAGAGAGGGGAAAACATCCCCCACACTGGAGGAGATGAATATCAAATGGATCAATGTGTTGCCAATTTTTTTGCAAAGGTGGATTTTTCAGAGGGGTGGGGTATCCTCCCCGGGGTGCTGCCCCCAGGTGGGCATTGTTCTGAGTCACTGCACTTGAGGAATGGGGTTTCTGGGAAATGCCTTCTGTTTCTTCCATTCTCACTGTTTACCTGGTTATGCTTGGCATCCTGGGCTGATGATCAATAAAGGATTAGATGTAAAAACAAACCAAACCTGCTTGCCCTTAAATAATGTTATTTCAAGGGAAAGGTCTCAACCCTGAAATAAACCAGGTTTCAAGCAAGAATTTGAATTCACTTTGACAACATAATCCAGAGTGCAGGATTTGCCTTCAGGCTATGGGTTTTTTCTGTCAATTCCACTAAGGACAGAAGGAGAACTGAGGAGAGGAAGGATCTTTATTTTCAGGCCAGTGAAAGCTTATTATTATTTTTGTTGTAGTTACTATTAATAGATTATTTGCTGAGCTTCTTTGAACAGAAAATAGAAATGAGAACTCAACTCTTTCTTCCTCCCTCTGTCCTTTCTCCTCTTTCTTCTTTATTTTCTTATTCTCTCTCCCCTCCCTTCCAAATGTCTGGAGATCTACAATGTTTCAGGACAGTGTTTCCAGCTTTGGTTCCTTTGAACACCAGCTTCTCCATTTCTCTATCCAATCAGATGCAGATTTTGAAAAATGGAATTCCCTTTTAATTTTGAAAAATTGAATTCCCTTTTTTTTTTCCTCTCTTTTGAGACAGGGTCCCACTCCAATGTCCAGGCTGGAGTGCAGTGGTGCCATCACAGCTCACTGTAGCCTCGACCTCCTCCTGGGCTCAAGTGATCCTCCCACCTCAGCCTCCCGAGTAGCTGGGACTACAGATGCATGCCACATGCCTGGCTAATTTTTGCATTTTTTTGTAGAGACGGGGTTTCCCTATGTTACCCAGACTGGTCTCGAACTCCTGGGCTCAAGCGATTGGCCTGTGTCAACCTCCCAAAATGCTAGGATGATGGGAGTGAGCCACTGCGCCCAGGCTTCCCTTCCTTTTCTTATATATAAATTTGGGCTGACCGTAAAACAATGAGATTTGATCATCTGGTTGTAAAGCCCCTACAAATATACAATAGGAGATGTAGGTCAGTACAAACTGGGCAGCAGGCAGTTCCTAAAGCCACCTTGTTGACCATGCCTGGTGGAACCCGTGAGGCTTGCCAGGGAGGGGCTGCAGAGGTCTTCCATTACCGTGGGCTGAATGACCACACAGTGAGATCCCCACTTCCTTCAGATCAGTGTTGCTCAAGTTTTAGCCCCAAGAGAGCTTAAGAGATTCCTGGGCTGCGTCCCCAGAGATCCTGACTCAGTGGTTCTGGGCGGGGGCCTGGGATTCTGCATTTCTAGCAAGTTCCCCCAGGTGATGCTGATGCCGCTGGTCTGACGACCACAGTTTCAGGTCTTGGGCCACTGGGCATCCAAATCACTTGCAGGTGCTTGTGAAAAGGCAGATTCCTGGGCACTACCCCCGAGACATTCTGATTCTCAGGTTCAGGGTGGCTCCTGGGAATCTGCCATATCAACCAGCCCTGGAAGGAACCTCTGAAGACCACCCTTTGGGAAGCACTGCCTAGACCATTAGCACCTGTAATGCTGAGGTGAGGAATGCGGAGGTGAAGGGATTTGCTTCAAGGTCACTCTGCAAGTCAGGGACAACTCCCTGGTGCCTGGGCCCTAAATCTTGGAGCACCCTGGGCTCCTCTTTCCTTCCCAGTCCACATTCAGCATGTCAGCAAATCCTGTTGGCTCTTCTTTCAAAACACATTTAGGTTTTCTTGAAGACTCTAGCAAACAGACTTGGGTGTGGGAGAGTCAATGCAACTAGACTGGTAAAATGTGGGTCATTGTTGAAACTGTGAGTTCATTTTATTACTCACAATTTTTTATTTATATTTGAATTCTTCCATAACAAAAAGTTTTAAGTGTTTGATCTAACAAATTCACTTCTGGGAATTTATCTTAAACAACTTTTTTTTTTTGCTTCCCGTCCAACAACTTTATTAATGAACATTTTAAATAAAGAAAAACTCTTACAAATAAAAATATTTTTTCAAATAACAATAGTGAAAAATTGGGGGCACATGAAGTCTCCTTTTTTTTGAGATGGAGTCTCGCTCTGTTGCCCAGGCTGGAATGCAGTGGCACCATCTCGGCTCACTGCAACCTCCACCTCCCAGGTTCAAGCCATTCTCCTGCCTCAGCCTCCCAAGCAGCTGGGAATACAGGCATGTGCCACCACGCCTGGCTATTATTATTATTTTTTTGTATTTTTAGTAGAGATAATTCACCATGTTGGCCAGGCTGGTCTTGAACTCCTCACCTCAAGTGATCTGCCCACCTCGGCCTCGCAAAGTGCTGGGATTACAGGCATGAGCCACCACACTTGGCCTAAATTCTCATAATAGGAAAACAATAAACTATGGAACACTCCTCGACAGAATTTTTTATAATTAAGAGCATTTATCCAGGCTACATACCAACAGGGAAAACATGATACACTATTAAGTAAAACACTAGGACATTAAATTGTATATATTACATGATTAAAACTATGTAAATATTTGTATCTTTGAAAAAGACTGAAAAATAATTACATATGTTCAGAATCTAATCATTTCCCACCTCCTTCAATGCAATGGCCTTTGTCTCTTGGGAGAGGAGGGCACTGGAGTCCTAGTCTAGGGGAGCCCAGCACCCCAGTCTCTCGCCTGCAACCCTGTTAACAGCCCTGCACTGGTCTCTCTGCTTTCACCCTTTCTCTCTCCAACCTCCTCAGCACTGGCCAGCTAGAGAGGTCCTTCAGAATGTGAATCAGCTCATGCCCCTCTTCTGCTCAGAACCCTAGGAGGCTTCCTGTATCTCTCCAACTAAAAGCTTCCTGCCATGGCCGTCCAGGCTGCAGAATGTCAGCTCGCCTGCTCTGACCTGCTGCTCGGTTCCCTGCCTATGCCTGCCTCTCCAGCCATGCTGGCCTCCTGGCTGCTCTTCAGGAACACACTCCAGTCTCGGGGCCTTTGCACGTGCTGTTTTCTCTGCCAGGAATGTGCTCCCTCCCTCCTTCATGACAGCTCTTCAGAGAGGTCTTACCTGGGCTCATCTAAAATAGATCCACTCCCTCTTTTTGCTCCCAAACCCTTTATATTTCTTTATAGCACTTATTAACATGTCCCACAGTACATTTATTACATCTTCTACTTTCTAGAATGCAAATTCCTTGAGAACAAAGACTTTACGCTTGATTCTCTCCTGTATCCCCAGTACCTAGCATAGAGCCTGACACATAGTAGGTGATGAACAAACACCTGCTGAATGCAAGACTGTTGTACTGAGCAACCATCCAACGGGGGCTGTAAGCGGCATGTAGGCTTTGTTTCTTGGGTAACCTCCCCTCCTTAATCCTTCTGGCATAGGCAGACTCACAGCAGGTACCCAGTAGAAGGTAAGGTGGCTGATCATTTTTCCATAGGAGGTCTCCATGGCACACAGGGTAGAAAGTGCATTCTGTGAATTAGAGGCAGCAGAGCATGGCAGCTAATGGAAACTGGCTCTGGGAGGTCAAATTCTGGCTTAACACCACCAGCTGGGCAGCCTTGGGAAAATTATGACAATTCTCAGGGCATTAATTTTTCCTTGTGCAGAAAGAGAAGGATAATGACAGCTCCTATTTCCCAGGGCTGGGGAATAAATAAGAGAATGCCCCCATAAAGCAATTAGCAAGCACAGTGCCTGGCATGGAGGTGACGAGCAACGAGAAGCAGTCAAATTAATCAACAGCCACATTTGTGCCTTTGTCTCTTTCAAGTTTACAACGTGCTCTTATATACATGCTTTAGCTGATCTGGGCCTTTGAACAACCTGTCGGTTTTTATCACCATTTTATAGGTAAGAAAATTGGGTCAGAGGAAAAAGTGCTAGCTCACAGAACACAACTGAATTTTGCTAGAACTTCTGGTGCCCTTTCTTTCAGAACACAAGTGATTATTACTGCTGATATGAATCAAGGTGATTTGGAGCTGGGCATGCAGTCTCAGCTACCAGAGAGGCTGAGGCAGAAGGATCGCTTGAGCCTGGGAGATCAAGGCTGCAGTAAGCCATGATCATGCCACTGCACTCCAGCCTGGGAGACAGAGCAAGGCCCTGTCTTGGGGGGAAAAAAAATTAGGCGGGCCCCACTGGAGCCCCAGACTCTAAAGTGTGTGCCTAGTGTAAGGCTGTGGATGGCAAATGAATTCCAAAATGAAATCAGCCAGCCAGCTACAGGCTTACAACCTAGTGGTGGCAGGGAGTGTACGGGCTCCCTCATCTGCAGCTCCTTCTCTGGATGAGGCTTGAGAGCAAGTCTGGACAGGCAAACCATCTCTCAGTCCACCCAGGACTTAAAACACTTCATTGTTTTCCCAAAAGGGAAAAATAGCAAAGCCCTTTCTGTACAGTTTCTCCTGCTTAGAGTTGGGTGGCAGCTCTATACAGCAAATGCTGACTTTGCTGTTTGAGATCTTTGATACAGTGTGACCTCTGAGCTCTGAACCAGGCTGCCCCTGACAAAAAAAGTGTTTCCTCCCACAGGTAAACAAGGAAGAAGGCACTGCAAGGAGCTCTGGGCCTGGCTCAGTGGAGGCTCTGCCACCTTTCCAGGATCAAAGGCCAAGGGAGGTGACATGGCAAGGAAAAGATCTACAGGGGTCAGACAAGGAATTTTAGAACCACAAGGTCAAAAAACCATGGGCTCTCAGGAGTCACAGATTATTAAAACTGCAGCATTTGAGACCAAAACACTCATGACTTAGAGCACCTTAAGCCTCATGGTGTTGGCAGAGATTACATTGGAAGGGAAGAGTCAAAAGGTGCTTCTCCACTGATAATTCTGATGGCTTCTGGGCCCTGGGCATCTTCTGTGAGGTCAGAGCCTTGGCAAACGTTCCCTCGTGAGAATACGGCCTGAAGGCTCCAGCTGCAGGAGGACGGCTGGGAGAACAGGCTTTGGATATCAACCGAATGCCAACATTCTACCAACCAGGCCCCACTGGGGCAAGAGATCAGAAGAGATCTGATGGTGCCAGGTTTGCAGTGGCCATCAACCACCAAAAGACTGTGAGAACAATACCATGATAGTGTGGCTTGATGGTATGTGCTCCTTGCCAGGAACATGCTGCGTGAGTGGCACTTAGTCGCCCACAGAGCGCTGCACAGCACCACAACCGATAACTTCCATTTGCATAGTGTTTACAGCACAGGACAGCATTCATCCCCCAAGCCCCAGAAATGGCCTAGGAAGTAGGGGACAACAATGGCTCTGGCCAGGCAGTGGGGATGGCTCTTGAGGGCCACATTGGGGGACACCTTGAAAAGCAGCCAAAAGACCCACACCAGCCCCAGCCTCATCCACATTCAGTTAAGGTCACTTTAGGTACCTACATTAATAGAATTCAATGATTTTCAAAAACCACAGAGAGTTCTAGGATAGTCATGACCTTGTATCAAAATTATAGAAATCTCTCTATAAAAAAATCTCTCTGAAGAGTTCAGCATCCCAGGCTGCTCAGAGCAGAGTGGACCAGAAGACGGAGGCTGGACTGCTTTGCCAGTGTGAGAAATTCCCAGAAGAGCAGAAAGCACGTGCGATGGGAGATGCTCCTGCTCCTAGGAACCTGCAAGTCCTATGCCCTGGGATATGGAGCGTCTCCCTCCTTGAGGGGTCCCTGGCACTCTTCTCCATCTTTGGCAGGTGAGAAGAGGAGTTTGCAATCCCGGAGCACCTCTGGCTGCCAGGCCTGGCTGGAAGGACCAGCTCAGACTCTGGTCCCTCCAGGATCAGAGGGTCTGGTGCTCCGGCCAGAATCAGAACTCGTCCCGCAGCTTAGGGGGCCTGTCCATGCCGAAGAAAGAAGACGGCCTCCCCTGGAGGTCCCGCTCCCGCTTCACAAAGGCAGTGAAGGAGGAGACACAGTTGCCAATAAAGTGGTCGGCTTGGCCGAGGATGTACAGGTCGACCTGGGCCACCTCAGGCTTCAGGCTCACCACCTTCACCTGCAGGAAGAAGCACAGAGCATATAAGCTGGGGTGGCTACAGGCCAAGGCCTGCCATCCACACCCCCAACCTTATTCCCTGAGCTGCAGTTACAGACACAAAAGGAGGGGCAGAGAAGAGGAAGATGTGGTTCAGTGTCTGAGGGAAGCATTGCCCAGCTGCTGCCTAGGCCCACCCCACCCTTCCGGGCTCCAGGAGCCTCAGCTCCAAACACACCATTCACACCTTCATGTCTTCACTTGTGCTGTTCCCTCTGCCTGGAATGCTGCTTCAACACCCATTAAAATACCGACCAGACTCTTTTATTTTATTAATTTTTTGAGATGGGCTTTTGCTATACTGCCCAGGTGGGTCTTAACCTCCCAGGCTCAAGCAATCTCCCACCTCAGCCTCCCAAGTAGCTGGGACTACAAGTGTGCACCACCACACGTGGTTAATTTAAAACAATTTTTTTAGAGGAGGAGTCTTGCTATGTTGCTCAGGCTGGTCTTGAACTCTGAGATTCAAGTGATCCTCCTGCCTCAGCCTCCCAAATAGCTGGGATTACAGGTGTGAGCCACTGTGCTTGGCCTGACCAGACTCTTAAGGCTAAGCTCAAATTCTATTTTTCCTAAAGCCCTGGCCTGGTGGACTTCCCCACCAAACCAGAGAGGGGAACAGAGAGCTCCACACCTTCCAATTCTGGGCTGGATGCCTCCATCTCCCATGTACCCCAAATCCAAGCCCAAGGTCCGTCCAATCTACCCCTGAGATATTCCCCAAAGGTGAGCCCTTCTCTTGAGGGAGGGCCACTCCTTGGGCCCAATCATCACAATCTCTTGCCTGATGGACTGCAACAGCCTCTCCCTGGTCCCCTCACTGCCTCTCCTGGTCTGCTCACCACAGAGCAGCCAGAAGAAACTTTTCGAGATAACCTCACACCTGTCCTTCCCGCCCTCCAAGTGGAACACCCTTTAATGATGCCCTATTGCCCTTCAGATAAGGGTGACAAATTGTGAACGTGGCCTACAAGGTCCTCGCTGGGCCTCTTCTTATCCCACCCCCATCATCCAGCCCCTACCCAGGCTCCCGCCCTCCTCAGGACCTTTGTGCGTGCTGTGCTGTTTGGGGTGTACCTCCCTTTACCTGGTTAGCTCCTAGTTCTCCTTCGCATCTCGGCTTCAGTGGTGCCTCCTTGGGGAAGCGCTCCCTGGCCCTCTAGCCTAGGCCAGCATCCTCTGCTCTTCACTCTCACAGAACCCTGCTGCTCTACTTTGGAGCACACATCTCTGCTTATAGTTTCCACTCCTTAGTGATTCTCTGATTAGCATCATCTCCTGCCCCTGACTGGGGCTAGAGCTGTGTTGGTTTGCTCTCCACTGCTGGCCAGGCCCAGCACAGAGCCTGCCCCAGTAAAAATCTGGTGAGTGGACAGGTGAATGAATGGACCTGCCCATCTCTCTAGCAAGCTCCTGAATCCACCTTGTGGCCCACGTTATAGCTCTCTGCAGTCTCTTTTCCTGGGTCTAGAATGTGAGCCCTGGAGAGCGGGACCACATCTTATTTACTGGTACCCTTACTCAGCACTGGACCAGCTTAATGGAGGAGGAAGGCTTAGTTCAGGATAAAGGTGGCCTCTGAACCCATGGAGAAGGGAGTTGAGGGGTGGGGAGGGATGAGAAGACTGGCATAGGGACAGGAAATAGAAAATGGCAAGAGGTTCAAGGTGTAACAGATACACTGACTCCAAAAACTCACAAAAAAACTCCCTGGGACTCTCCAAATGCTTCAGCTTAGTATAGAGGTAGTTGGGGGTTGTAGGTAGGTGGGGGGAATGTGGGCAGAGTTGGGGCTGAAAGTGCTTTGCTGTTCCACAGAGATTTCTGATGTAACAAAAATCATCATCTTGCTATCTGGATTGTAGCAAAGAAATAATACCAGTTTAATCATGGCCAAAATCCCCCAAACAATTCCACTCACATTCTGAAACTTACCCACTCTGTGTCATGCCCATTATAATTAGCTCTGGGACTGCTTGGGTAAACTCTATCCTTTCTTGGAATTTTGGTTTCCTCAGCTATAAAATAGAGGGGTTGGGTTAGACAACCCCTGAGATCTCTCAGCTCTGATTTTCTCTTAATTATATTTTTCTTCTGCTTTTCTTTCTTTCTTTCTTTCTTTTTTTTAAATAGAGATGGGGGTCTCGCTATGTTAGGCCAGGCTGGTCTCGAACTTCTGGCCTCAAGCAATTCTCCTGCCTTGGCCTGGGATTACAGGCATGAGCCACTGTGCCCAGCCCCAGCTCTGATTTTCTGTTCAGTAGGTGGGGAGGAGATTAGAATGTGCTGACTTAGCACTTCCTCTCTGCACTGGAGCTTCCTGTGTCTGGGGTGAAAGAGAAGGGGAGGCCCTTGATATAAAGCCAGCGGTACCCAGTGTCTGCCTCTTAAGGCCTGCACAGCATTTACGGTTTTCACTCATCCTACAAAGTCCTATGGAATGCTTAATACTAATTCAGTCATTTTATCAATACGTACTCACTCATTGCCTGAGTATTACTCTTCACTGATATAGTAAGCACTGACCAAGAACATTCTAGTATTTACTCATGTACTGAATACTCACTATTCACGGCTTCTTCAACAGTTTGCTAAGCACAAAGATCCTTTCCTTCATTCATCAGCCACCAATTTCTACTACTGATGATAGCTAACTTTATTGAGCACTTATTTTGTAGCAGGAACTGTTTCAATTTCTTTACATCTGACCTTCACAACTGCCCTATGAGATAGGTACTATTCAGTCCCATTTTATAGATGAGGAAACAGAAGCACAGAGAGGTCAAATAACTTTTTCAAGGCTGCAGAGTGGGTAAATTCAAGTTCTCTGACTCCAGAGTCTCTGCTATTAACTCCTCCACTATACTGGATCTCTCCCCAGAGCCCACTCTCTACATCCTCATTCAACAAACTGACTGCCTACTAAGTGTCAGGCACTGTACTAGACACTGGTGATGGTAAGGCAGGGTTTCAGTCCCAAAGAGGTCGAAGCACCAGGCTAGACATCAAGGAATGTTAACAGTGAGTCAGCCTTGGACCCTGCCTTCAAGGAGCCCACAGCTCCTGGGAGGAAATAAGACATATTTCTACACCAGTCTCATACAGTCCAGAAAGTGCCCGAGAGAAGAAATGATATAGGGCCACGAAGGTCCCAGCAGGGATACGTGAGCTCCAGGAGTGGATGAAAACCTGGAAAGACTACGGAGGAGGCCTCTGAGCTGGGGTTTGAAGGAGGGTAGGAACTGAAGAGGAATGGTAGGTCCAGGCAAAAGGCTTGTAGGGGAGCCCGTGAAGCATGCAGTGGGCAGTGGGACCATCCTGGCTCCTCCTTTCATTCCCTTCCTACTGCACTCCCACTTGGCCCACACATACCTTCCCTTTGAAGAGCTGTTGGAGCTCAGGCACATAACTCTCGGAATCAGTAGCAACGTAGACCGACTGGGCATCCAGCGACCTCACCCAGAGCTTCACAGCCCTCTGGATCTCCTTCAGGTCAGGCAGGCACATAGTCATCGTGAGGGGGGCCGCTGTGCTGCGGCTGTAGCCCACACACTGCGGAGAGGCCATGAAGTGCGAGCCTGCAGTCCCGTCCTTCAGCATGGCACAGGCGTTCTTCTACGGAGAGCGGGGAACAGGGTTAAATACTGGCAACTGCCCTGGAACCCCAGAAGCAAGACCTGGTAAGTGGAAAAAGACAGGCTATACAGGAAGAACCTAACTACATTTTTTTTTTTTTTTTGAGACGGAGTCTCACTCTGTCACCCAGGCTGGAGTGCAGTGGTGTGATCTCCACTCACTGCAACCTCCGCCTCTGGGGTTCAAGCAATTCTCCTGCCTCAGCCTCCCGAGTAGCTGGAACTACAGGCACCCGCCACCATGCCCGGCTACTTTTTGTATTTTTAGTAGAGATGGAGTTTTGCCATGTTGGCCAGGCTGGTCTTGAACTCCTGACCTCAGGTGACCCACCCACCTTGGCCTCCCAAAGTGCTGAGATTACAGGCATGAGCAGCCGTGCCTGGCCTAACTACATTTTTTTTTTTTTTTTTTGAGAGGGAGTCTTGCTCTGTCGCCCAGGCTGGAGTGCAGTGGTGTGATCTCTGCTCGCTGCAAGCTCCACCTCCTGGGTTCACGCCATTCTCCTGCCTCAGCCTCCCAAGTAGCTGGGACTACAGGTGCCCACCACCACGCCCAGCTAATTTTTTGTATTTTTAGTAGAGACGGGGTTTCACCACGTTAGCCAGGATGGTCTTGATCTCCTGACCTCGTGATCCGCCTGCCTCGGCCTCCCTGAGTGCTGGGATTACAGGCATGAGCCACCACGCCCAGCCTAACTACATTTTTAAAGAAAACACTGAGGACCAGGCGCAGTGCCTCGCACCTGTAATCCCAGCATCTTGGGAGGCCGAGGCAGGCTGATAGCTTGAGCTCAGGAATTGGAGACCAGTCTGGGCAACGTGGCAAAACCCCATCTCTACAAAAAATACAAAAATTAGCCAGGTGTGGTGATGTGCGCCTGTGGTCTCAGCTACCCAGGAGGCTGAGGTGGGAGGACCACCACCTGAGCCCAGAAGGTGGAGGATGCGGTGAACTGTGATTTTGCTTGCCACTGCACTCCAGCCTCGGCAATGGAGTGAGACTCTGTCTCAAAAAAAAAAGCATTGAAGGAGGAGGAGTTAACAGTGGTTCTTTCTGGGCGGTGGGCACAGCACAGAAAGCCTGGCATTTTGAAACAAAAATTACTTTTCTTGGTCTTACTGCATTATCTGGGACATTCACTGAATTCTGAACAGTGGCAGTACTAACGGGCAGCCTTATATGATTCCCAACTACAGTGGGAACACTTCCAATAGCTCCCCAGGAGGTATGCTATCTGCTGTGGTTTCGAGAGATAGCCTTTATCAAGTTAAGGTGGGTCCATTCTATTCCTGGTTAGTTATGAGTTTTTATCATGAACAGGTGGTGACTTTTATCAAATGCTTTCTTGGCCTCTATTGAGATGATCATATGATTTTTCTTCTTTGGGTGTTAATATAGTAAATTTGATTACATTCTTGCGATAGATTTTTACGTGTTTTGTGTTGTGTGCTAATATGTTATTGGCTTTGACCTGTTAATATTTCACTTAGGGCCTATGCATTTGTGTTCATAAGCAAGAACAGGCTATAATTTTCTGAGCTGACCTTATCTGAGTTTGGTATTAGTGTTATGCTAGCTTTATAAAAAATAGAATCTTATATCTCTTGATGTTGTAGGAAAGTATAGATGGGAATTACTATTCCTTGAATGTCTGGTTGGAGCCACTCATAAGACATCCTGGCTCTGGCTCCCTTTCTTTGTGGGGGCTGGGGGAAAGAGGAGAGTTTAGTGGGTAAATGTAAGATTACCTCATCAATTGGCTATGAGTGAATTTTAATTTTAGTATTTTTCAAGTTTTCTGCAATGAGCATTTCTAACATATCTATATATCTTCTTAGGTAAATCAAGGTGACCATCTATATTGATTCTGTTATTTTCACACAGAGGTGAAAACCTCATTGGAATACAAGGATTCTGCACATTTAAACAGCCTCCAAATTCTGTTAGGATGACATCTTCATTTCTTGGGAGCCATGCCTCATCTCCACAGTCAGTTTTTCAACACGGAGTCTACCAGCCAGACACTGAGCTAGGACAGGGGACTCCTGGACTGTGGCCTCTTTATGGCTTGCTGCCTGACCTGGGGTCTGGCTTGATCTCTCAGTTTATCCATCTGTAAAATGAGGATAAAAACAGCTGCTGCTAAAGTGAGACCTGGCTGGCAGGCACTCTGGAGTTACATTTTGATATGTGCTGCAGTGGGATGATGGGACACAATCCCACGAACCAGAACAAGTGAGAGATCTCTGCTCTGGCTGGGACGCGGGGCCGATCCCTACAGGCCAGGGCCATGCTCAGGGACACATCCAAGTTAGCCAGTGAGAGAGGAAGGGGGAAGTTACCCAGTCAGAGCCAATGCGCAGATGAATGCCCACATAGGGCCGGACAAGGTGGGCATGAATCTGGGCCTCTCCCGTCTTCACCATTTCGTCTGACCATACCATGTACTTCTGTAGTGGCCTGTGTTCCTCTAGGACGGGGAACTGGGCTGGGGCTCCTGGCAGGGCAAGCACCGGATGTTCCTTTGGAGAAAATCTAGACAGGAGATGGAATGAGGGAAGTCAGAGGACGCACAGAGAGCCTGGCTGCCACCCCCACGGGAAAAAGGATGGTGTTGCACCATGCCCCAGAGACCCTGCGGAGGGGCCCCTGCAACACGCAAGAAACACGAGAGGTTGTGAAATACCAACGGGCTGATAAGGAACCTTGGTGGCGGCGGCAACAGGCACAATATGCAATACTGTCCCGCCACATGGAATTTACAACCCTCTTTGCTTGTCGAACAATTAAAACTTTACAGGAGAGCATTCCAACCTTTTATATGTCACACTGGCTTCCAATCTGCGGTGCAGTAATTCATTCCAGGGTGGGGTGTCTGGACCAAGCCTTTGCCCTTTTACCTACATGGCAGGACTGGGACATGCAGCTGCTTACAGAAGCAACGGCCAGGTCACACTCACAGGGACTATGTATACTGGATTTGAATCATTCATTCAACATTTAAAAAACATTTATTGATTGCCTACTATGTATTGGGACCTGGAGGAAAACAAGACAGGCATAGTCCCTGCGCTATGGAAGGGAGCAGGGGTCTGCAGGTGCCCCTATCATGCCCTCCCAAGCCCCTGCTTCCCCCTCATACACAGTCCATCTCATAATTATTTCACCTCTGTCCTTGCTGTGGGAAGGCAGTGCTCCAGTATGCGCAGAATAGTGTCTGGCACACCCAAGAGCTTGGTAAATATTTTTCTTTTCTTTTTCTTTTTTGAGATAGGATCTTGCTGTCACCCAGGTGTCACCCAGGCTGGAGGGCAGTGGCGTGATCTCGGCTCACTGCAATCTCCGCCTCCAGGCTCAAGGCAAGACCTTCCCATCTCAGCCTCCTGAGTAGCTGGGACTACAGATAAGTGCCACCAGGCCCAGCTAATTTTTTACATTTTTTTTGTAGAGACGGGGTTTCGCCATGTTGCCCAGGCTGGTCTCGAACTCCTGGACTCAAGTGATCTGCCTACTTAGGCCTCCCAGTGTTGGGATTACAGGTGTGGGCCACCGCGCCCGGTCAATACTTCTTGACTGAACAAATGAGGAGCAAACCTGTGTTCCCTCTTCAGCTAAACCCAGACTACCTCTCAGCAGCACGAAACCCCTTGCTGTTCCATGTTCACAATGCACTTTCAAGTTCTAGATCTCTGTATACTTCTTCCCTCCAGCTGGAGGGGGGAAGTGCCTTCTGCCAGCCAAAATCCTTTCCTTAAAAGTATGAAATGGGAACAGCCATTCTGGAAAACAGTTTGGCAGTTAGGCATGCAGTTACATGACCCAGCAATTGTACTCTTAGGCATTTATTCAAGAAAAATGAAAACTTATGTTCACACAAGCCTATACACCAATGTCCCTTGCAGCTTTATTCATAAAATAGCCCCCAACTGGAAACAACCCAGACGTCACTCACAAGTAAACAGTTAAACAAACTGCTGTACCTCTGTATCATGGAATATGAACCCCACCAAAAAAAGGAACACAGTATCAATACAGGCAACAATTTGGATGATGTCAAGGGAATTATCCTTGGGTCAGGGAGGGTGGGCAATCTCAAAGGTTATGTATTGTATGGTTCCATTTATATAAACATTTTAAAACAATAGCATGGAGAAGAGATTAGTAGTTGGCAGAGGTTAGGAATGGGGTGTATATGTTTAGGGAGGTGGGTGTGGTTATAAACTGGCAACACAAGGATCCTTGTGATAATGGAACTGTTCAGTGTATTAACTATAGTAGTGGATACATAAACCCACACACGATAAAACTGCACAGAAATACACACACACACACACACACACACACAGGCATGCACTCACACACTCAGAAGTAAGTACAAGAAAACTGAGTAAGATGGGTAAATTGTATCAATGTCAATATCCTGGTTGTGATACTGTACTATAGTTTTGCAAAATGTTACCATTGGGGGAAATTGGGTAAAGGGTACATGGGAGGTTGCTGTCTTATTTCTTACAACTGCATGTAAATGTACAATGACCTCAATGAAAATTTCAAATAAAAACTATGAAATATTTCAAACCATCCAGGCAAATACAGAAAATAATTTAATAATTTATATACCCATGACCCAAATCAGCAGAAACTAACTTTGCTTTGTTTCAGGTTTAAAAACAAAACAAAACAAACAAAACAAAAAACACACACCTAAATACAAGCTCATCCTGCCATCATCCTTCCCAGAGGGTAATGTGTTTTAATGTATGATTGCACTTTTACTATAGACATCAAAAAGGAGGGGAGTGTTCTTCTGCGTGCTTTCTATGGAGTGGAATGATGAAGATTGTAGGTTAAGCCAGAATGCTTTGTTCCAATGTTGACTATGCCACTAGCTAACTTGGGCAGGTGACTTTACCACTCTGTGCCTTAGCTCCTCATCCACATAATAGAGATAACAGTTCCCACATCATAAAGCTGTTTTTTTGTTGTTGTTTTTGTTTTTTTTCAATTGTGGTTGGGTGTGGTGGCCACTTCTGTAATCCCAGCACTTTGGGAGGCTGAGGTGGGCAGATCACTTGAGCCCAGGAGTTCAAGACCAGCCTGGGGCAACATGGCAACACCCCATCTATCCAAAAATATCAAAAAATTAGCCAAGTGTTGTGGTGTGTGCCTGTGGTCTCAGCTACCTAGGAGGCTACATGGGAAAATCGCTTGAGCCTGGAAGGTTGAGGCTGCAGTCAGCCATGATCGTGCCACTGCACTCCAGCCAGGGTGGGAGGGTGAGACCTTGTCTCAAAAAAAATTTAAAAAAGTTGACCGGGCGCGGTGGCTCACGCCTGTAATCCTAGAACTTTGGGAAGCCAAGGTAGGTGGATCACGAGGTCGGGAGATCGAGACCATCCTGGCTAACACGGCGAAACCCCGTCTCTACTAAAAATACAAAAAATTAGCCACACGTCGTGGTGGGCACCTGTAATCCCAGCTACTTGGGAGGCTGAGGCAGGAGAATGGCGAACCTGTGAGACAGAGCTTGCAGTGAGCTGAGATCGTGCCACTGCACTCCAGCCTGGGCAACAGAGCAAGACTCCGTCTCAAAAAATAATAATAAAAATAAAAAATAAAAAAAGGTTGTATATATTTACGATATACAATATGATATTTTGATCTACATGTATGTAGTTAAATGAATAGTACAGCCAAGCTAATTAATATATCCATTTATAGGGCTACTGAGAGGATTAATGTATTATCAAAGCAAAGCATTTAGAACAGTACCTTGGCACACAGAAAGCTCTCAAAGAATTCTAGCTCTTATCATCATCACATTGCATGTAACCTAGTTAAAGGTTACATATAAATCTAATCAACTTTCTAAAAATTCAACTTTATGTTTCAGAGACTTGGCCATGTTGATCATGTGGATCATGTGGTTGTATTAGCTTCTCTAAAAGTTTTCCATTTTGTACAAATAAACTGCAATTTACCTACCTATTTCCCTCTTGCTAGACAGTGAGGTCGTTCCAATCTTTCCCTCACACAACAGTGCTGTGACAGACATGCCACTCATTCTCCACACCCAACAGAGACTGCTTGCTCAGCAAACACCTTCCACACCTCCAAGGTCAGTCGCAATTCCCAAGCCTCACCTCCTTAGGGAGTGTTCCCTGTCCCACTTCTCTTGCTGCCTTCTGCACAATGATATGCCCTGCAGCCACTTTCCCTGCCCATGGAACTGTCAGCTGGTGAGGCTGGGGACCCAAGCAGCCTGTTTGCCATTGCTCCCACATACGCTATCCAAGGCCTGTGTCACTTACACAGGCCTCGGACCAGTGACAAGAAAGTGTTCCTTGATGGTCCAGCTGTGCGACACTTATCTTGCTAGACTCTAGTTTTCTTTCCTTTTTTTTTTGAGATGGAGTCTTGCTCTGTCACCCAGGCTGGAGTGCAGCGGCGTGATCTTGGTTCACTGCAACCTCCGCCTCCCAGGTTCAAGTGATTCTCTTACCTCAGCCTCCTGCGTAGCTGGGATTACAGGCACGTGCCACCATGCCCGGCTAATTTTTGTATTTTTAGTAGAGACGGGTTTTCGCCATGTTGCCCAGGCTGGTCTCAAACTCCTGACCTCAGAAGATCCGCCCGCCTCAGCCTCCCAAAGTGTTGGGATTACAGGCGTGAGCCACCGCGCCTGGCCTAGACTCCAGTTTTGTTTATATGTACATAATTGTGCATTGTTTATTGGGCCTCATTATGTGATAGGCAATGCTCCAATTGTTTGTGTATATTAAGTCATTTGATTTTCACAAGAGCTCTGTAAGGGAAGTATTACTGTCATTCTCATTTTACAGGTGAGGAAACTGAGGCACAGAGGTTAAGTAACGTGCCCAAGGTTGCACAGCTAGGAATTGGTGGAGCCAGGATTTAAATCCAGGCAGTGTGCTCCAGATCCTATGTTCTTAACTACTACCCCTTACTCCCATCTCCCCCACCCTTGACAATGAGCTGAGTCTGTGGCTTAATCTTCTGATTCCCAGCCCCAGCATGGACCTTATCACATGGTAGGCATGATAAATATTTTTAGAATAAATGAGAAAGATTTGGGGACCTCACCAGAAAGACCCGATCAGGCTGTCAGGGGTTAGAGAAGGAAGGAATTCATATTACCTGAGTAGCTACTATAGGCCAGGTCTTCAGCTAATCTTTCAGATGCTACCTCAAAAGGATTTTCAAAGGAAAGCCAGAGTAGATCTCCCAGTGGGGCTGGAATATCAGGATAAAACCAGGATCTGCGGCCCCCTGCCACCCCCCGACCTCTTGGAAAGCACCTGCAGCCAACCTTCGGTGAATTCCAGACTTGGAATGTGTGTCCCCTCTACCTGGATCTGGACCAGCAAAGAGCTGTCCCAGTGGGACAACATCAGCTCAGACCCAACAAGCAGCAAGAGGCTAAGGCTGATCTGCTCACTTACTTTTGGTGAGGTAAGACAGCGCTGTCTGGAAAGAATGAGGGGGGAACAGGGATCTTGGCTGGAAAGAAAATCTTGACCAGCACCACCTCCCGGTGACTGCTCACCCTTGGTCAGGCCCTTTGCCTCTTGCTATCCAGCTGAAGTCAGCTGGCTTTCCTGCTGCTGGGCCCAGTGAACCTCTGGGATTCTTCACCACCATGCCTGTGCTGCTGAGATTCTCCAACAAACTAGGACTTCTCTGTATACAGCATCCATTTATGTGTCCAGTATGTATCTGTGGGACCACCAGTGGATGAAACCCATATTGAGTGCAGAAGACCCAGGGACATGAACAAGGCAGGGCTTTGTTCTGGATGTCCCTGCCATGAAGGACTGCCTTTCCCTCCAGCTCTCTGCATGGCTGGCTCCCTCTCACTCTTCCAGTCTCATTCTGGTTCCCACAGGGAGGTGGCAGCCTGGGAGAATGACAAGCCATGCGCTCAAATTCCTGGACCATTATACCTGAGAATGGTTTGGCACGATGGTGCATTGCCTTCCAATAGTCAATGTGCAGTAAGCGTCAGCTGAATTAGAGCTGTGCCAGGCTATTCACAGGCTCAGAACGAGCAGAGCTGGAAGGATCCTCAGAAATCACGTGGTAAAGAAGAAATACCTCTTATCCTCTTTCCCTCGAACCCAGTTTTCAGCTGGATACGTGGCAGCCTAAAATAAAGACACTTCTTATCAGCCAAACATACCCCGGGCGAGGTGGGGGAAAGAAAAAGAAAGACAGACATTTCTAAGTACTTCTTGCAGCTAGGTATGGCCCATGTGCCCTCGTACTAGCCAATGAGATGTAAGCAAAAGGGTTATAATGGACTTCCGGGAAGGCTTCTTAAAAAGGGAGGACATGCCCTTTCGCAACTTTTGTTCCTCCAGTTGGGATGTGATGGCTGGAGCTTCATCTGCCATCTTGGCCCATGAGGTGATAGAAAAGCTAATACTGGATGGCTGAACAAAGAGATGGAAGCCTGATTCTTTTTCTCTTTTTTTGAGGCGAAGTCTCACTCTGTCACCCAAGCTAGAGTGCAGTGGCAGGATCTCCGCTCACTGCAACCTCCGCCTCCCAGGTTCAAGTGATTCTCCTGCCTTGGCCTCCTGAGTAGCTTGGATTACAGGTGTGTGCCACCATGCACGGCTAAATTTTTTTTGGTATTTTTGGTAGAGACAGGGTTTCACCATGTTGGCCAGGTTGGTCTTGAACTCCTGACCTCAAGTGATCCGCCTGCCTCTGCCTCCCAAAGTGCTGGGATTACAGGTGTGAGCCACTCTACCCAGCTGGATTCTTGATGACACTATGGAGCTGGCATTCAGCTCTGGACTGCATACCCAGATCTTCTTTTACTTAAGAAAACAATAAACCCTATCAATCTGCTCTTATTTCGGGCTTCCTGCTACCTGTAGCCTAACTTAAGTCTGACACACCTAGACTTGTAGCCTACAAACTTCTTCTGCCTTACTGAGAACCCTGATATATTTAAGGGTTATTGGTTGAAGGCAATAGGGAGGAAGAATTGAGCCCCTGGAACTTGGTCCCCTACTGCTACCCCCCATAAAGGCCCTAGAGGCATTTTTTTTTTTTAAGATGGTCTCAATCTGTTGCCCAGGCTGTAGTGCAGTGGACAGATCATGGGTTCACTGCAGCCATGACTTCCTCAGGCTCACCTGATCCTCCCACCTCAGCCTCCCAAGTAACTGGAACTACAGGTATGCGCCACCATGCCTGGCTAATTTTTTCTATTTTTTGTAGAGATGGGGTCTCCCTACGTTGCCCAGGCTGGTCTTGAACTCCTGGGCTCAAGCGATCACCTGCCTCAACCTCTCTGTAATCCCTTAGGATTACAGGTGTGAGCCACTATGCCTGACAAGCACTTCTTGAAAACTCTGAAGATAGTTTCAAAACCACTCATCGTGCCCATCCCCTTCATTTTATAGATGGGACATTGAGGCCAGAGAAGGGGAGCAGCTGCCTAATCGCACAGTAAGGCTGGGAAGAGCTTCACTCTCTGATTCCATTCTTCTCTTCTCCCCAAGGACAAATATGCATAGCAAGGAAGTATCCTGTATCTTAAGAAATGTTTAATGTTAAATGTTCATACACATTCAAATTCATCCCTACTAATCATTCACAGGCTTCTTAACAGATTGCCTCACAGGGCCTATAAACCCGCGTGTTTTGACCCCTGCCCACCTCTCTGATCTCTTTTCCCGTGTGGCAGATTAGAAGTGGTCAAGTCTTTGAACCCCTTCCCATTAGGTGGGCTCTGCCTCCTCCCAATAGCACCCGACAGAAGTGACACTGTGCCGGTTTCCAGATTCAGTTGTTAGGGAGCCCGCAGTTTCTATTTCCTGTCTCTTGGGACACTCACTCCCTGGATGCTCCCTCTCAGAACACAGGTGCCATGCTGTAAGAAGCCCAAGCCACATGGAGAGGTCAAGTGTATACATGCTTCTTGGTGGCCCCAGCTTGGCTCCCAGATGACAGCAGCATCACCCACCAGACATGAGGGGGACTTCCTGGATATGTAGCTCAGTCAAGCCTTTTTTTTTTTTTTGAGACAGTTTCACTCTGCTGCCCAGGCTGGGATGCAGTGGCACAATCTCGGCTCACTGCAACCTCAGCCTCCTAGGTTCAAGTGATTCTTATGCCTCAGCCTCCTGAGTAGCTGGGATTACAGGTGTGTGCCACCACGCCCAGCTAATTTTTTATATTTTTAGTAGAGATGGGGTTTTGGCATGTTGGCCAGGCTGGTCTTGAATTCCTGGGCTCAAGTGATCCACCCGCCTCAGCCTCCCAAAGTGCTGGGATTACAGGTGTAAGCCATTGCACGCAGCCTTGGTCAAGCCTTTAGATAACTTGAGCCCTGGATGGGCATGGTGGCTCATGATGTAATCCCAGCACTTTGGGAGGCCAAGGCAGGATAATTACTTGAGGCCAAGAGATCAAGACCAACCTGAGCAACAGAGCATGATCCCCACCCATCTCTACCAAAAAAGGATAACTTGAGCCCTAGCTGACAGCTGACTGCAGCCACATGAGACCACAAGCAATAACTGCCCAGCTAACTCAAGTGTCCATCAATAGATGAAGAGATACACAAATGTGGTATATACATACGATGAACTATTATTCAGCCTTAAAAGGACTAAAATTTTGATACAGGCTACAACACTGATGAATCTTGCCACATGAAATATGCCACATGAAATAAGCCAGACACAAAAAGATAAATATTGCATGATTCCACTTCTATGAGATACCTAAGTACCTATGAGATAGCTAGAGAAATTCAAAGACAGAAAGTAGAAAAGCATTTACTGAGGCTATTCATTGCAAGAATAAAGGTTATTCGTTCCAAGAAATAAGATGTTTAACCTGAATTTAAACTTTGTACAGCAGGGATTCCATAAGAAAACGGAAAAATGAAAACCCAAAAGAATTGCCCAGCTAAGCCCAGTTAACCCACAGTCCCATGAGAAATAATAATAACTTGTTGTTGGCCGGGCGCGGTGGCTCACGCCTGTAATCCCAGCACTTTGGGAGGCCGAGGCGGGTGGATCACAAGGGCAAGAGATCGAGACCATCCTGGCTAACACGGTGAAACCCCGTCTCTACTAAAAATACAAAAAAATCAGCCGGGCGTGGTGGCGGGCGCCTGTAGTCCCAGCTACTTGGGAGGCTGAGGCAGGAGAATGGCATGAACCCGGGAGGTGGAGCTGGCAGTGAGCCGAGACTCCAGCCTTGGTGACAGAGTGAGATTCCGTCTCAAAAAAAAAAAAAAAAAAACTTGTTGTTATGCTACTACGTTTTGTAGTGATTTATTATGCAGCAACAGATAAGAGCAACATCCTACCATTCTCTCACTCACTCCATACCACATTGCCTTCTTTCTGCTCCTTCACCATACCAAGCTTATTCCTGCCTCAGGGTCTTTGCTCCTGACTTCCTGCTGTGAACTACTTTTCCTCTAACTCTGACACAACTGGCTCCTTCTCATCCTTCTGGTCTTAGCCCTGCCAATCACATACCACCTGTTTATATCCTTCTAAGCACCATCTCACTCTGGAACTATCCTATGTAAAAGTTTATTCACTATCTCCCCTGTTAGACTATGAGTTCCATTGGGGCAGGGACCTTATCTGCCTTATTCTGGCCTTGTTCATTCCCTGCCTTGTTCATGTCCTTATTCTGGCCTATATCCCCAGCATCCAAACCAGCCCTTGACACTCAGGAAGTGCTTCTTAAATATGTGTTGAAGGAAGACAGGCAGCTGCCAAGGGACCATCAACTCCCTCAAACTCCCTCTAGGGACCTCATCTTCCCTACTAATTTTCCTTTCCCAAAAACTTGGCTGTAAGGCACAAACTTCTTCAAACCCTCATGTAATTCTTACAACTCAATGAACTCAAACAAAGCTATGGGGCAATAAACAAGTGTTTCAACAACACTCCCCATGCACCATTGTCCTTTCTCTTCCTACTAGGATTGTGTGCTTTTTCTAGCTTTTTGGAATTTGCTTTTGGAGTTGCTTTTAGAGTTGGTGGCTTTTTTTTCTTTCTTTTTTTCCTGGCATATTGTCAATATGGGCAAATCTCCATCCTTTGAGGGCAGGTCTGCCTTCTGGCAATAGCTCCAGGTCATTCGGAGGTGAATGGGGGAGAACCATGCAGGCAGAGAATGGGAGTGTGCTATCTGGGATCAACAATGAGGAAGATTTAAATCTGCCATGACTGAGGATCCTCAGTGGCACATGAACTAGGTCCAAAGCTAGGTCCAAAGGCAAGTCCCAGAAGGGAACTGGCAGCTGTTAAAGGCACAGCTATTTAATCCACTGTGATTAAGAACAGGTGCTTTGGGACTGGGCGCAGCAGCTCATGCTTGTAATCCCAGCACTTTGGGAGGCTGAGGTGGGAGGATCACTTGAGGCCAGGAGTTTAAGACCAGCCTGGGCAACATAGCAAGACCCTGTTTGTACAAAACAAAACAAAATATTCGTCAGGCATGGTGGCACATGCCTGCACTCCCAGCTGCTTGGGAGGCGGAGCGGGGAGGATTGCTTGAGCCCAGGGATTTGAGGTTATAGTGAGTTATGATCATGCTACTGTACTCCAGCCTGGGAGACAAGCAAGACCCATTTCAAATATAAATATATAAAGTAACTGGTGCTTTGGATTCAGACTTCTGGGTTCAAAACCAAGCTCTGCAACTTCAAGCTTTATGACCTTGGGCAAGGGACCTTATTCCTTTCTGCTTCAATTTCTCTAAGTGTAAAGCACAGATGGCAGTAACAACCCACAGACTCAGGGAAAGATTAAGTGAGTCAATACCTGTGAAGACTTAGAACAGTGTCTGGCACATAGAAGACACTAAATGAATCTTAGCTGTTGTTATTTATTAAAGATTTACAAACAGACCTGAGCTGTCCACTCAACAGCTCAATGACCTTGGGAAGTTATTTAACTTCACTGGGCTCAGTTTCCTCACCTATAAAATGGAAATTGATAATAATACCCACTTCATGAACTATCTCAAAGTCTTAAATAAAATAAAGCATGTGAGTAATAACACTGACAGCCAACACTGGCTGGCTGCTTAGTGTATGACATGCACTTCATGCACTACGAGGCAGATACCATCAGCGCTGGCTATCTCACTCCTTGGCCTGTGCTTGTTTTGTTTTGCTGAGACAGGCCCTTGCTCTGTAACCTGGGCTGGAGTGCAGGGGTACCATCATGGCTCACTGCAGCCTTGATCTCTTAGGCTCAAGTGATCCACCCACCTTGGCCTCCCAAAGTGCTGGGATTACAGGCATGAGACTCATTTCTCTACATCTGTTTACCTTTGCCCTATTAAATGCCAAGTGCTTTGACCGCACATGAATTAGTATGTTCCCTGCACCTCCTAACCAATGTCTGCCTTCTAAGCCCATGGTCTTTCCTGCCATGCTATAACATTAAGGACAAGTACACTATGCTGATTATTGTCATTATGAGACCATAGCTCCTAGAAAACCAGAGCTGGTCATCCTCATTTTCACACATCACCATTGGCCTCTGATTACTATGTCTCACACGTGACAGGCGCCCTATAAATGTTTCACGGCCTGTGCCCACGTCCTGCTAACCTATATTTTTTAAAAACAGGGGCTAATGGGGTGCAATTAATAAACACGTCCAATAATTATCAGGATGACGTCATTTCTCGGTCTGCACCTGAAGCTGTTCTCTAGAAGCTGCTTCCAGTTTCACCTTGGGAAGAGTAAGGTAACACAGGAGTGATTCTCACGCCTAGAGGAGGAAATTGAGACTCATGCGACTGCAGAATGTTCTTTTTATGACATCCCTTATCAACCGATGAACTCTTTCTCAATCTCATGGCGGGTCAATGTTCCACCGTGTCAGGCGTGGACATGGGAACAGATCACACAGGATTCCAAGTTCAACAGACAGAGCACCTGCACCTTTGGTCTCATACATCAGAGTTGGGAAGATGGGGAGAGTGCCAGAAGGTGCTGAATGCTCATGAGCTCCATGCGCCTCCCCTAAACCCAGAAACGCTACCCCCTCCAAGTACCTCTGGCTCCATTGTTCTCTGTAGGAAGCACTGAAGGAAATGCCTGTAAAAAGCTCCGACTTGTTGAAACTCACATGAAACTGATCCCAGAATGGGCCAAAGGGGTTTCCTTCCTGCAGAAAGAGAGTGGTGGAAGGCTTACTGATGGGGAGGGAAAGCCATTTGGGGATGGGGCCAGGGAAGTGTAGGTGGGGGAAGCTGGGTGATGTGACTCAGGCCAAAACACTCTCACAGGATGGCCTAGGAGAAATGTCACTCTGCAATTCCTAGGCCAGGGGCTGAGCAGAGTGCCGTGGCTTCAATTCTGGATTCCAGCAGGAGAGTCTTTCCTGTTCACATGTCACATCCTGCTGACCCAGCAGCACTGATGAGGGTCTGGGGAGAAGCAGACCTTGGATTTTGAACCAAGGACTAGAGCTTCAAGAGACATTCAAGATTGGCTAATCCAATGCCTTCATTTTCAAGGTGGAAACCAAGGCCCACTGAGGGTCAGACACTTACCCAAGGTTACACAGCCAGTAAGGGCACTGTTGGGGCTGTGAGCTAGGTCTCCTTTCTCAAATTTCATAGTTCTTCCAACCACTTTCCCAAGACTTTAGCACATACACCGAAAGACATACTTGGGGGTTTATTTCCAAAGTGCCAGAAATGTATAAATTTCTTTTAATAAGATATGACAGCCTCTCATTTACCTGCTGAGATGCAGGAAGGTATTCAAGTTAAGTGGGTAGACAATGGTGCCAAATTACCTAAGGTTGAATCCCAGCTCTACCACTTGTTTGCTGTGTGATCCTGGGTAAGACACTGACCCTCTCTGTGCCATCCTCGGTGTCCTCTCTATGAAGTGGGGATATTATAAGTATTTTCCTCATGGAACAGTGTGAGTATTAAATGAGTTGATACATGTAAAGCTCTTAGCGTGGTACCTGACATACATAGTAAGTGCTACATGAATATTAGTTATTATTACTGATGTGGCACTTTGCAGTTTACAAGCACTTTTTCACCTGGCCCTCATGACACTTTAGGAGTGAGACAGAGCAGGGACTGGCATCTCTATTTTGTAGGTAGAAATGAAGGTTCAGAGAAGCAAAGTCTTCTGCCCAAGGTGATGCAGCTTCGCTAACAAATGCCAGAAACAGGACTTAAATCTCCATCTTTCTATTCTAAGTCCTTCTGGTGCTTTTCCCCACATTTTGCCATGACATAGTCTTGGGGGCCTAGAGGACATGGAACAGGAAGAAAGGGCCCCCGAACCCACAGGACCCACCTTCATGGGGCACGTCTTCTTATCTGGGCTTCGCTGGGCTGCCACCTCAAAGCAGTATGCCACCCGCTTCTCAGGGGGCCAGTGGGTGGGTGCCAGCTTCTCCATGAAATCCTCCAAGCTGATGACCCGATGGTAAGCCTGGAGGGGCTCCAGCTTGAAGTACTTCTGGTAGGACACATGGAGCTACAGGAAAAGGAGGAGCAGAGGTCCCGTCTCAGTGCCCCCGTGGCTACTTTAGACATTTATTAAAACAATACACTCCAGGCCAGGTGCAGTGGCTCACGCCTGTAATCCCAGCACTTTGGGAGGATAAGGCGGGCGGATCACTTGAGGTCAGGAGTTCGAGACCAGCCTGGCCAACATGGTGAAACCCTGTCTTTACTAAAATACAAGAAAATTAGCTGGGGGTGGTAGCGAGCACCTGTAGTCCCAGCTACTGGGGAGACTGAGGTAGGAGAACTGCTTGAACCCAGGAGGTGGAGGTTGCTTGCAGTGAGCCAAGATTGTGCCACTGGACTCCAGCTTGGACGACAGAGCAAGACTCCGTCTCAAAAAAACAAAAACACTCCAAGACCAAGACAGTTCAGACTACATGACAATTAAAAGTTTTCATCAAAAGACGCCAAAGCTAGGATAGACAGGCTAGCAGGAGAGTCTGCAAACTAAAGAACAAACAGTAACATCCCTTGTGTTAAAAAACACCTGCTGATCTGTAACAAAAAAAGACAAATAATGCCAAGATAAAACACAGGCAAAGGTTAGGGGTAAACAATTCACAGCAAAGGAAACCCAAATAGCCAACACACTCAGAAGATGTCTAACCTCATTAGTAATTAGGAAAAAGCAAATTACAATTATAACGAGGCATCAATTACTTCTCACTCATGAGACTAGCAAAAACTGAAAAGCTTAACTTGTGGGGAAATGCGCACTCTTCTACACGGCCGGTAGCAGAAGTCTACATTTTGGAGCAACCAGTTTGGGATCCAATCGGTGAGTATCTAATAGAATTTAAAATGCTCCTTCTGGCCAGGTGTGGTAGCTCATGTCTGTAATCTCAGCACTTTGGGAGGCCGAGGTAGAAGGATCACTTGAGGCCAGGAGTTCAAGACCAGCCTAGACAACATAGCGAGACCCTGTCTCTACAAAAAATAAAAAAATTAGCTGGGCGTGGTGGTGCACATCTGTAGTCCCAGCTACTAGGGAGGCTGAGATGGAAGGATTTCTTGCATTCAGGAGGGTGAGGCTTCAGTGATGTGTGACTGTGCCACTGTACTCTAGCCTGGGCCACAGAGTGAGACTCTGTCTCAAAAAAAAAATTTTTTTTTTTTAATGTACCTTCCTCTTCTAACTATTTGCTCTAGAGAAGTACAGAAGTTCTTGCACTTTGGACCTGGAGATCAGTACCAGGATGCTCAGTGCCACAATGAAAGTATAGGAAGGAACATCAAAGGAGTCACACCAAATACACTATATCCACAACAGTTGTTAAGGGAACAGGGTTAGCCCCAGGGGCCAAAAAGAGACTTCATCTTTTACCAACTTTATCTGTAACGCTTTATTTCTTTTATTAACAAAAAGAGAAGATGAAACAAACATGAGAAAGTGTTAACAATTATCACTTCTAATGGTGGGTATATGGTTGGTGGTTGTATTCATCTGTGTAATTTTCTTTTTTTTTGAGATGGAGTCTCACCCTGTCACCCAGGCTGGAGTGCAATGGCGTGATCTCAGCTCACTGCAACCTCCCCCTCCCAGGTTCAAGCGATTCTCCTGCCTCAGCCTCCCGAGTAGCTGGGATTGCAGGCACGCACCACCACGCCGGCTAATTTTTTGTATCTATAGTAGAGATGGGGTTTCACCATTTTGGCCAGGCTGGTCTCAAACTCCTGACCTCGTGATCTGTCCACCTCGGTCTCCCAAAGTGCTGGGATTACAGGCGTGAGCCACTGCGCCCAGCCTCATCTTTATATTTTTCTACTTTTTTTTTTTTTTTGAGATGGAGTCTTGCTCTGTCTCCCAGGTTGGAGTGCAGTGGCGCGATCTCGGCTCACTGCAAACTTCGCCTCCCGGGTTCAAGCGATTCTTCTGCCTCAGCCTCCTGAATAGCTGGGATTACAGGCGGGCGCCACGACGCCCAGCTAACTTTTTTAGCAGAGATGGGGTTTCACCATGTTGGCCAGGCTGGTCTTGAACTTCTGACCTCAAGTGATTTGCCCGCCTCCCACTGCGCCTGGCATATTTTTCTAGATTTTAAAAAATTTCTGGCTGGGTGCGGTCACTTTCACCTATAATCCCAGTACTTTGGGAGGCTGAGGCGGATGGATCACCTGAGGTCAGGAGTTGGAGACCACTCTGGACAACATGGTGAAACCCCATCTCTACTAAAAATACAAAAATTAGCTAGGCATGGTGGTGGGCACCTGTAATCCCAGCTACTTGGGAGATCTGAGGCAGTAGAATCGCTTTAACCCAGGAGGTGGAGGTTGTGGTGAGCCAAGATCGTGCCACTGCACTCCAGCCCGGGTGACAAGAGCAAAACTCCGTCTTGGAAAAAAAAAAAAAATTCTGGCTGGGCGCAGTGGCTTTTGCCTGTAATCCTAAAACTTTGCAAGGCCAAGGCAGGTAGAATACTTGAGGCAGGGAGTTCGAGACCAACCTGGCCAACATGGCGAAACCTCGTCTTTACTAAAAATACAAAAAATTAGCTGGGTGTGGTGGCACATGCCTGTAGTCCCAGCTACTCAAGAGTAGAGGCACAAAAATCACTTGAACCCGGGAGGCAGAGGGTGCAGTGAGCCAAGATTCTGCCACTGCACTTCAGCCTAGGTGACAGAGCGAGACTCTTCATCAAAAATGAAAAACAAACAAAACCAAAAAAATTTCTACAGGGTGTGGTGGCTCATGTCTGTAATCCTAGCACTTTTGGAGGCTGAGGCAGGAGGACTGCTTAGACTCAGGAGTTTGAGACCAGCCTGGGAAACATAGCGAGACCTTGTCCCTACTAAAAATCAAAGAATTAGCCGGGTGTGATGGTGGGTGCCTGTAATCCCAGCTACTTGGAGGCTGAGGTGGAAGGACTGCTTGAGGAGATGGAGGCTGCAGTGAGCGATGATCATGCCACTGCACTTCACCCTGGGCAACAGTGAGACCTCGTCTCAAAAAAAAAAAGAAAAAAGAAACACAGGCCTGTAATTATGGAGGAGTCTGAGTCTGGGCCACAGATAAATTTGGGAGGTACACGGAGAAGAGTAAAAGCCACAGGAGTCAACAGATATTTATAGCAAAGCAAGTAATGGTAATAATAGCAACTAATATTTATTGCATGTTGACACAGTGCTAGGTACTGCACTCATCACTTTACATAGATTTGCACATTTAATCCTGAGGTAGGAATATAACCATCTCCAGGTTACTTATGAAGAAACCCAAGCATACAGAATCTAGATAACATCTGAGGTCACATAGCTAGTAAGCAAACAGAAAGAGGAGAAACACTAACATCTAAACAGTGGGTGGAGAGAAAGGAGCCCCTGATACAGTGGAAAGAGGAAAATGCTGAGAGGTTAGATTGTAGCAGGGACAGGTGGTGTCTTGGAACAGGGAAGTTCAGGAAGGAGAAGCTTGCAGGGTCAAGTGCCAGTGGGAGGTCAGGTGAGAGAAAGACTGGGAAATAACCCCTGCCAATTTGGAGGTCACTGGTGACCTCAGTGAGAATGCTAACAGTGGCGAAGAAGAGCCTTGTTGGAGCAGGTTAGTAAGCCACAGAAAGCAAGGAAGTGGGGACTTGGAAAGACAACTGGCTGAGAAGGCAAGGAGACAGAGGCAAGCAAGCCAGAGGGAGATGGATGGGCAATGTCTACACTGTAATAGTGAGTGCGAGGCCAGGCGCAGTGGCTTATGCCTATAATCCCAGCACTTTGGGAGGCCAAGGCAGGCACATCATGAGGTCAAGAGATTGACACCATCCTGGCCAACATGGTGAAACCCTGTCTCTACTAAAAATACAAAAATTAGCTGGGCGTGGTGGTGCGCCTGTAGTCCCAGTTAATCAGGAGGCTGAGGCAGGAGAATCGCTTGAACCCGGGAGGCAGAAGTTGCAGTGAGCTGAGATCGTGCCACTGCACTCCAGCCTGGCAAGAGAGCAAGACTCCATCTCAAAAAAAAAAAAATAGTGAGTGCGAAATTATCAGAACATCAATGGTTTCCATTAACTGAGGACTCTAGGATCTGTACGTTGATAAGCTCAGTTGATTCTAAGAGGGAGGCGGCATATGACAACACTGAAGGCGTGTTACTGCCACTGACACATTCAGTCCTTACCACAAGAGGGTAACAAGAATCATTACCAGCTTATTTTTAAAATGAGGACACTGAGGCACAAAGAGGTAAAGTACCCTGTCCAGGCCATGCAACTAGTAAGAACCCAAGTCAGACTATGATCTCTGGTACTCTGGCTTTTGACTGCTGCTCAAAACCTCTGTAAATACTGGCATGCAAAGGAAAAAGTAAAATCTATGCAGAGAAAAGGTTGTAAGAATGAAATTAAGTGTTTTGTTCACACTAAGTATTATTTCTGATGTCTATTGGAAAATTATTAAGTCAATTCATCAAATACTAATTAAGTTCCTACTGCCAGGCTCCGGGAGATACAATATGAACAACGACACAAGGTCACTGGAAGACACAAAGAATAAGCAAGGAACTGGGGGCCGGTGAGCATCGCATGACAAGGGAGCCCCTTGATGGGGTGAGAGGCAGCACTGAAGCCAGACTACCTGGGTTGTGGCCTTGGACATGTCATTAAATAACCTGTGCCTGCATGTCTCCTTTAAAATTGATAATAGCATCTGCCACCCTTGGCCAATGGAATGCACAGAGGGTAGGACCAATCAGGGAAGGAAATGGAGGCTTTAGGTTCAAGTCACAGGCTCTGGAGTCAGACAAAGATAGCTTTGAATTCCAGCTCTCCTACTCACAGGCTGTGTGATCTTGGGCAAGTTACCTAACCTCTGTAAACCCCGGTTTCCTCACAGGCAAGTGATGAGGGTGAAATGAGCTAATTCTCATGCAGCCGCACACAACAGGTGCTGGATAAATAAATGTTAGGCATTGTTATTGCAGTGAAGACAGTTCTGGCTGGAGGTAGGGAAATCTCAGAGGAGTGGGAGGTAAAGCCCAGAGGACTTGAGGGTTAAGTGTAAGTAAGCAAGACTGAGAAAGGGCGGAGAAAGGCCAAGGTCAGTGGGAAGTACTCACGTTGGTGAAAGGAGGCTTGTGATGCTGGTACTCAATCCAAGGAGGGACAGCCAAGGTACGGTTTAGCAGCTTTGCAAATGCCAGAGAGCCCAAGAAGTGATCGGCCTGGTTCCCAAAGCGCCCTGGAAATGGTACATTGCGGGTGAGGTGAGGCCTGGGGCATGGAGGGCATAGAGCATGCAGGGCTCAGAAAGGTTGTGGAGCCAGGGGTAGAAAGTCAGGGATACCAAGGAGAACTAGGGGAGCTGGCAGCATAAGAACAAGTCTGGACTCTTGGGTCTGATATCCAAGGCTCTTCAGGTCCTGCAACAACTGCTTCCGCCACTCCAGGTTTCTTGCTGTTTCCCCAACATGCTCTACAATTCCCATCCCCACCCAATGCCTCTGATCTTGCTGTCCCTCAGCCAGAAGAGCTTCTACCTCTATCTCCATTCACCTGCACATGGACGGGCAACTCGAATGCCTCATTCACTGGGCTCCTTTCACCAATCCCCTGCCATACTCACTCTCCCTCCTTTACCTCCCACCTTGGCTCTGAGCTACTTCAGTTCTTCAATTTTCCTCAAGTATCTTTGCTCACTTCCTGGCCTTCGTACTGGCTGATTCCTCAGCCTGTGAATGCCTCAGAAGCAAGGACCCTGTGTGATTCCTTTTCTTAATCCCAGCATGGCACCTGTTCATTCATTTCACAAATATGATTGAGAGGCCACAATGTGCCAGACTCTGTGCTAGGTGCTGGGATACAGGAATGAACAAGAAGGACAAGGCCTCTGCCCCTAAGGCACTCACAGTTCACTGCAGAGACACTAAACATGTAAACAAATACATGAAAAATGTTGATAATTGCCAGAAAGAGATGAAAAAAGTTTGGTGATAGGGTAATGAGGAGATTACTTGGGTAGAGGTCAGTGAAATCCTTTCTGGTGACATTTAGGCTGAGATCTAAAGGATGGGAAACAGCTGGTCAGGCAGAAATGGAGGAGAGGATTCCAGGCATAGGGACCGCCACCTGCAGCAGTGCAGACTGGAAGACCTGAGCATGTGTGAGGAACGCAAAGGAGTTAAGTGTGGCTGCAGCTGGAGGATCAGCAGAGAAGGGAGTTGTGGAGATGGCCAGTGGAGGCCACATCATTCAGGGCCCTGAAAGTCATGGTCAGGAGTCTGGAAGCCACTGGGGGCCTTAAGATCATCCACTTCCACAATGATGATCCACCATACCCATTTCAACTGTGCACCTGGCATGGTCTTTAGATTCTCCCCTACCCTGCTCTCTTTATTTTCCCTTAGTATTCATCATCCTCTATGAAACTATGTATTTATTGTTTTATGTTTACCCCTTTTTGGGTTTGCTTGTTTCGAGACAGGGTCTCACTCTGTCACCCAGGCTGGCAGTGCGGTGGCACGATCAGAGCTCACTGCAGCCTCGAATTCCTCGGCTCAAGAGATCCTCCCACCTCAGCCTCCCAAGTAGCCGCCCAGATAACTCCCAAGGGACTACAAGCACACGATACCACGCTCTGCTTTTTTTTTTTTTTTTTTTTTTTGAGATTGGATTTTCACTATGTTGCCTAGGCTGATCTCGAGCTCCTGGCTTCAAGTGATCCTGCCTCGGTCTCTCAAAGTGGTGGGATTACAGAAGTGAGCCACCGCGCCTGGCCTACTTATTCTCAATTGTTTGTCTTCCCCAACTAAAATGAAGGCTCTACAAGGACACGGAGTTTATCTTATTCACTGCGGTATTCCCAGTACAGAGAACAGGGCCCGGCACAGAATAGGTGCCCCATAAATATTTGCTGAATCAATGAAAAATCACCAGGAGCCAGCGTGGGTCAGTGACATCAAGTCCTGCCCCACTAACTCCATTTACTGGACCCTGGACTGGCTTAGACCTCAAGCAAGTCACGTAACCTCTCCCAGCCTCAGTTTTCTCATCTGTCAAATGGAAAGTTGGACACGTTGGCCCCTCTGTGCCCTTGCAACTAAGGCAGAGAGGAGAAGAGCATGCCCCGTCCCGCTCTGAGGTTCTCTCCTGGACCTGTGAAGGTGTCTCTGGGCGCATCTGAGGAGTGGCTTTTCCTCTCCCGGCCTCAGTTTCTCCATCTGAGCAGAGGGCTTGGGAGGCCTTACCCATGCAGGGGCAGTAGAGCAGGTAACCGGCCGGGTCCCAGGAGCCCGCAGGCATCCCCGGGAGCGGCAGAAGCAGCAGCAGGAAAGACACGCTCAGCGGCCGTGCCCACGCGGCGGCGCCCATGTCGGCCCGGGAACCCGAGCCAGCCGCGGCGCACAGTCGGGGAGGGAAGGAGGGACGCGAGCGCCCGCCCCGCTCCCAGCGGTCCCTGCGCGCCGCCCGCGCACCGCCCCGGCCGCTCTAGCCCGCGGGCGGGCGGGACCATAGAGATCCCGCGGCACCGCCCCCTCCACGACCCGAGCGCCCGCTCGCGCGGCTCCCACAATGCACCGCACAATGGCCCGACCGCCGCCACTACCGGGGCCTGAGGGGGCCTGGCGGAGCCCGAGCGCGGCCCGGCCCGCAGCGTGGGGCCCCGAGCGCGGTGAGTGCCGGCGAGGGCCCCAGGGGACGGCGGGGAGAGGGGCGGGAGGCCGTCTCGCTGCGTCCGCGCGCCCTGTACCCGGAGCGGCGGCGCGCCTCATCTCGGGCCCCTCAGCGCGGTCGCCCACACCCCCGACCCGGGGCCCGGTCTGCGCCAACCCGGCCCCAGATAGGCCCTGGGGTGACGAAAACTCTCCCTGGACCCCATACCTGTGTCTGGGGGACCCGAGGAAGCCACCGGTCCCCTCCCTTCCGAGACCTGGAGACGCAGTCCTGAGGGTCCCCCATTCCCGACCCCTAGGCTCCCTGGAGACCCAGATAAGGCGCTGCTGACCTTACCAGGGACCCGGGTCTGGGGGACGCAGATAAGCTGCACCTGCTCCCTCCCTCCGACACGCCTACCCAGACCCACATAACCCCCTTTCCTGCTCCAGATAGCCCGCTCTGTACCCTGTTTCATTTTCCAGACTTACATAACTCCCTTTGAGGCTTCCCTCAAATATCTGGGTCTGGAGAAGTCGAATAAGCCCCACCTGTAGTTCCCTCCTCAGTGGCCATACTCCCAGGCTTTCGACATCTTCCATCCCGTTACCCATTTTGAGACCCTCTTGAAATTCAGAGGATACACTTCTGACTATCCCCATCCCCCCAGCCTTCCAGCCCTTATAATCCCCCATTTCATTCTTGTGGGGATCCCTTAGAGACCCAGGAAAGTTGCTCATGATTCCTTCCCATCCTCGCTCTTCCTTCCCATCCCAGAGACTCCCTCCAGACTTCTCCCTGGATTTCCTTTGCTTCTCCAGCCCTCATCCACTCCCATCTCTCCCAGGCTCGGGGAATTGAACCTTTCCCACACCACAGTGGGGTGATCTAAAAGTTGGCCTGGGACCAGGCTGTGGCCCACCTTGGTGGGGAGAAAGGGGCCTGTTAGGTGGAGGATATGGGGACACCTGTGTGGGGGAATCGGTGCTTTCACCTGCAAGCTTAGCCTGTCTCCTGGCTTGTGTGTTTTTCCACCTGTCAGCCATGGGACTGTGTGTAGAGTCTGGTCTTGGGTTTCTAACCTTTCTCTCCTAAGGTGAGGCCACCAGATTGGGAGCGGGGGTGTCGAATCACGTTTTCTCCCCATGAAAATGGGGTTGTGATGAGTTGCAGCCATTTGTTCAAGGCCTCCCCAGGAGTGGGAGGCAGCAGGAATCTGAGGAAATAGTGAATCAAAGAGACTCCAAAGAGGGCCCATCTACACTGACAGAAGAATTAGCAGCCTGAGAGTAAATCCAACCCCTGTTAATCCTGTTTGATGTTTCTTGGAATGGTGCAAGTCATTGAGACTCTCCAGCCTCCCTGTAATTTAATTCTCCCACCACTCTGGAGTGGGCGGGGGGGAAGGGGGCGACAGCATTCCCATTTCCCCTCTTCTCACTGTTTTCCAGCCAACCAGTGTGTTTTAGGATTTGTTTCTGGTTCTGAGATCAGGATCTGTTTTTTGTTTTGTTTTGTTTTGTTTTTTCTTTCCTCTAAGTCTATTTATAATTTCCCAGTTGCTATTTTGGGTTCTGCTTAAGGGAAGATTCTATCCCAAGGAACGTTCTGGGTCTATTTCCTCCGGCAGGTGTTGAATTGAGTTCTTCAGATCCCCAAGTAACTCTTGGGCAGGAGGATAAAAGCTATTTTAGGGTAGTCACTGAAGTGGAGCTGTTAATCCTCTGTGGGTCTCTTTAGTTAAGAACACTCAAAGATTAACCCTTTCCTTGTGCAGGGGTGTTATCTCTCAACTGTTTTTTAGGGGGGAGTGAGGAGAATTTGAGTGTGGCAGCAGAAGGTGGAAACATGCAACTCAATACAAAGACAAAGATAATAGCTCTCTTTTGTTGGGTACTTCTAGCAGGCCAAGCTCTGTGCTGAGCCCTTTGCATACCTCACTAAAATAATCCTTACAGCAAGCCTGTGAGGTAAGTATTTTTAGCTTTACAGATGAGGAAACAGGCTAATAATGGAGAAAGAACGCAGTTTCTATAGAGATGATGTAACACCATAAAAACTATAGTTTCATCAGAGAGCAGCAGGCATCATGGCCCATAACAGGGGACGGACAGACTGGGGAGAAATATGTCTCAGTTTCAGCTTTCAAAGAGGACCATACAGAGTTTTTAGCAAGCATTCCTGTTTGGGATATGGAGCCCTAATAATACAAGAGAGTATAGGAAAGTGGCTCTCTGCTTAAGAGAGAACTCTGGCCCAGGAGATGGTGCCTGGAGGGAGGTAAAGTAAGGGGCTCTTTAAAGGGGATGTGCCGAGGGTTAGTTGTGAGGGAAAAGGGGAAGACTGCATTCTGGGGGAGATGTTGGGAAAGGAAGGAAACTCACTCTGAGGCCTGAGAAGTAACATTAAAGAGGAAAAAAAGAAGTACTATTCAGGCCTCATGCGGAAAAAGAGGCAGACACAGCCGAGACCTCAGAGAAGGCACTGCATGTATTCAGAGCACACATTTTGTATCAGCCACTTTCAAGAGTATTATTTCATTTAATCCTCTATACGAATCTTACAGGTAAGGAAAATAAATCCGTATTTTAGAAATTGAGGAAACTGAGGTTCAGAGAAATAAAGTAACCTGCCTATGGTTTCCCAGCCAGTAAGTGGCAGCTCTTCTGATAGCAAGTCCAAGGTTCTTTCCCCTTTCAGATCAGGCACTAGAAAGAATCTTAGGCTGAAAATATACTGAGTTGTGCCAGTAACTGGGAAGGATTGTGTTTGTTTTATGGAAACAGGTTCTGTCAGCTTCTCTATAGTCTATAGTTGTTAAGATTAAAATGTGAGACCAGAAGAGCAGCTTTGAAAGAGAAGTAGAATTCTTTCACAGTTTTGCTGAGGAAGGACAAGTCTGAAGGAACAGGCCTTCTGCTTATGTAAGACAAACCCAGGAATCTTTCTGGATCAGAGGAGTTTTCAGACAAAGGGCAGAGAGAGACTAGATCCCCAAAAGGGTTCCTAGGTAACACTAGCAGCTTTGGTTATCCAAGAGGCTGCTGGTGACTGTAGGTAGGGACTTCCTGTGCCTTTTGAAAAGTGTAGGAGAGTAGGATCAGGGTGTTGGCTCTTTTCTTTGTGAAGACATAGCCCCATTAAAAGCAGATCAAGGTGAGCACATGGCTGCTGCTTTCCTCCTTTGGTTCTATCAGTACAAGCTCCTTAGCCACCACCAGCCTCTTTCCTAGAAGCCCATTACTCACTCTTTCAGTAGCAGCCTACTAAACTATTGTGTCTTGTTTGTGCTTGTTCAGGAGAACAGATGAGGTGGACGTGTGGGAGGTGGGGACGTAATGTTCTCTTTCTGAGTTTGTGTGGAGTTTCCAGGGCTAGGCTCCTCTCTCACATCAGCCAAATTGATGTGACTTGTTTCCTTCTGGCTGCCATTCCCAACTTTCCAGAGGCTGAGGTGCATGATTTCAAATTGAAGGGGGAGTAGAATTTGACTTTGAAGGTAGGGGTAATTCCCTCCAATCTAAACATGCACACTCGAGCACACTCTCTGCTCAATTCCAAGGTGCATAGTAATTGCTGGTATTACAAACAGGTAATTCCACCCTTGCAAAGGAGGAGGGGACTTAAACAATGAAAGCCAGACGTCACAGGCCTTTGAGGTTTATAGTGAAGCAGGCACATATGCCATAATGACTTGAAGGCTCAAGTGGGACTAGTTTTTAGTGCTACCTACCCCTCCCCAGCATGTGATTCATGCAAAATGCAGCCACCTTAATGCAGATCTTTCTAGACAAATCTACACTCGTGATGGGGACGTGTTTATCATATTACATCGCAGTGTTTCTTCAACAAGAGGAATGGTTCCTGAACAGGACGTAGCTCATGTTAATGATGAGCAAAGCTCTCTGGGGCATGAACCCGCTGATCCCATCATCTTGTTCACGGCCAGTCTGTTGGATGAATGGTCACTGTAAGCAGCAGGTGCTAATGAGCTGAGCAAGCATTCTGTGGCCCACAGCTAGTTTGTGCAGTTGGAGCCCTCCCCAGATTCTCGTGGATAATCCCCAGACACCCCCTTTTCTCTCTTCACATGGAAAAGCCTCATGATCAAATTTTGGCACCATCTCTTCAAAGGGAATCCCCCTGTTGTAGCAGGTTGCATCGTGGTTGGTAATCTGTGGTAAGCTTGGGAGTATGAATGTGGGTCTCTTGTCCCCTTTTGAGAGTCAGTGTGGTAACTCCCATCCTCTTCCTCTGGATTAGTATCTGGAATGGAGTTGTGTCGTTCTTGCACATCTCCCCTTCTATTCAACAAGAGAAAGAATCAGACTTTAAGATTTCGGCTCCCCACTTGGGAATGGCTGCGAACCCAGTTTAAACCAGAACTACCTGGGCCTAGGTTGGTCCCTGAGAATCAACCTGCATTCAGTGACTAGTTTACCTATCTGAAATAAAGTTAGGGTTCCTTTTCTAGATATTAGGTATATAGAGATGAAAGAGAGATGATGCAAGCCCTCAGACAATCAGGCTGGTGGAGAGGAGTAAATTCCAATGCGAGCTCGCTACCGTCTTCTAAAGGAGATGTGCATATGTACTCTGAGGCCCTGTAGGAGGGGCCTCTCAGCACCTAGGGGTGTTGGACAGGCTTTGCTAAAGAGGGATGGTCTGGGCCCTGAGACACAGTGACCCAGAGAAGTGGTGGTGGTCAGGATGGGACCAGTTCTAGTCCTGGTTTAGGGAAAATGCTAAGAATCTGCTGTTGCCTTCCCATATAGACCCTCCTGATGTTGATGCACTGCTAAGAAACACATCTGGTACCAGGACTGACTAGGATGTAAATTTCCTAAGTAGAGGCTTCCCCTTCCTCCTCTCTTGCCTTTTGGGCATTTTATTGCTCCTTAGCACCTCCATGAGGAGGACAATTGTGGAAAGTAGTGGACGAGGAGGTGCCAGGGTAATAAGAAGGAGGAACCGCTATCTCTAGGTTCAATGGAAAGGATATAAAAGTGAGGTCCAGAAGAAAAAGTTTGAAGTTTTGGGGCTTTTGGTTCCTCAGTTTATCTTGTTTCTTATTAGCCTAGATGGTACTAGTAATAGTAGCTACCACTAAGCACTTAATGGATGCCCAGCCTTCTGCTGAATGCTTTATATTCATGATCTCATTTAATCCTCAAAACATTTTTATAATTTAGGAGATTATTATGCCCATTTTATAAATGAGGAAACAGCTCAGGGAAGTAAGTAATTGGCTGAAAGTCACACAGCTTCTAAGTGGAAGGGCTGGGATTGGAACGGGATCTGTCTGCTTCCAGAGCCCATGTTCTCATGGTATTGGGCTCCCTAACACCAGGTGTTCTGATGTTTCAGGTGAAGAGATTGTTTTCTGAAAGCTGCGTTGGAGGCTGTGACAGAGCTGAGAGCCTGTGTGGAGCGGATGGGGAGGCTTTCTCAATAACATGGCCCTTTGCCATTAGCCTTGCCATGACCACATTTTTCACCAGCGTCCCCCCCTGGATTCAAGATGCAAAGCAGGAGGAGGAAGTGGGCTGGAAACTAGTTCCCAGGCCTCGGGGCCGGGAGGCGGAGAGTCAAGTGAAGTGCCAATGTGAAATTTCGGGAACACCTTTCTCAAATGGGGAGAAGCTGAGGCCTCACAGCCTCCCGCAACCAGAGCAGAGACCATATAGCTGCCCTCAGCTGCACTGTGGCAAGGCTTTTGCTTCCAAATACAAGCTGTATAGGTAGGTGACACTCTCATATCTCTTCCTGCCCTGAGGTTCCCAGAGGGAAAAAGCAGAGAGACTCTGCCTAGTGTGGGTTTTTAATCTGTGGCAGAAGAGTGGAGGTTAATTTGTCCTACAAGTATACCCTGAATGCCAAACAGTTGAAGTCACTCACTAAAAAATGATTCAGATTGCTTGATTCAGACACTAGAATCTGATGGGTTGCCTCCCCAAAGTATTGGGATTGCTGGCGTGAGCCACTGCACCTGGCCTTCTTACACCTTCTTAGTGACGATCTGGGTGCCAATGTCAGGCAGCCTTGAGTTTTGTTTGTTTGTTTGTTTGTTTTTTTAAGAAATGGGAGTCTTGCTCTGTCATCCAGGCTAGAGTACAGTGGTGCAATCAGCTCACTGCAGCCTCCAATTCCTGGGCTCAAGTGATTCTCTTGACTCATTCTCCCAGGTAACTAGGATTACAGGCTTGAACCACCGCACCTGGTTGTTTTTAATTTTTTGTAGATATGGGGGTGTGGCTGTGTTCCCCAGGCTGGTTTCAAACTCCTGGGCTCAAGTGATCCTCCTGCCTTGGCTTCCCAAAGCAGTGAGATTACAGGCATGAGCCACCGCACTTAGCCCTGAACATTTTTTTTTAAATATTGCTTTCCTCACCTTTGTCAGGTGATGGTCAGAATTTTAGCTAGAAGTTAGGAATCAGTATTCGAACTTTAGAAGGAAAAGTAGACCTTCTGGCCCAGTCTGTAAATTTTAAAGTAGAGGTTCAGAGTAGGGACATAACTTACCCAAGGTCACACAGCTTCAGAGGTCCTGCAGTGCCTCTTCTACTGAATCAGCCTGCTACTTACTCATTTAACTATGTCTGTCTCCCTGTTGCCCACTGGGGCAGCTGCTTTTCTGAAACTTGTAAGCCCAAGAACCCCTACTTAAAGTGAAATTAAACGTAAAAGCCCTGACATAAGGCAGATAGAGAAGAGCAGCTTTGGTTGCTTTGGTGAGGATGGGGAGGCATGGTCAAAAGCAATTTTGGGCCAGGCGTGGTGGCTCGCACTTGTAATCCCAGCACTTTGGGAGGCTGAGGCGGGCGGATCACTTGAGGCCAGGAGTTTGAGGCAAGCCTGGCCAACATGGTGAAACCCCATCTCTACTAAAAATTTTTTAAAAATTAGCTGGGTGTGGTGGCACATGCCTGTAGTCCCAGCTACTTGGGACTCTGTGGCAGGAGAATCACTTGAACCCAGGAGAAGGAGGTTGCAGTGAACTGAGATTGTGCCACTGTACTCCAGCCTGGGTGACAGAGCAAGACTGTCTCAAAAAAAACAAAAAAGAGCAATTTTGATTTTATCCTTTTCGCATTAGAGGAACCATGAACTTGCCCTTTAGAAATGAGATAGATCAGCCGGGTGCGGTGGCTCACGCCTGTAATCCCAGCACTTTGGGAGGCCAAGGCAGGCGGATCACGAGGTCAGGAGATCGAGACCACGGTGAAACCCCGTCTCTACTAAAAATACAAAAAAAATTAGCTGGGCGCGGTGGCAGGCGCCTGTAGTCCCAGCTACCGGGAGGCTGAGGCAGGAGAATGGTGTGAACCCAGGAGGCAGAGCTTGCAGTGAGCCGAGATCACACCACTGCACTCCAGCCTGGGCGACAGAGCGAGACTCCGTCTCAAAAAAAAAGAAATGAGATAGATTGGCCTGATGCACAGTCATCCAACCATCCATTCATCTATCCAACATTATTGAGCTCTTGCTCTGTACCAGGCACAGTGCTCGGTGCAAGGGGCGGAGTAGTGAGCCAGACAGATGGGGGTGCTGGTCCTCCTTGGGTTTATGGTCTTAATAGTGGGTACAGACAGTAAACAAGTAAATACATGAACAAGATGACCACAAAGCCTCAGTTCCTCATCTGGAAAACAGTTAATAGGAAGGGACTAAAATAGGCAACAGGGTAGCATGGTAGTCAGGATTGCCCTCTTGACAATTCTGTGGTCCTCAGGAGTGCTTAGATTCTCTGTGTGCTCCTATAAGTTAAGGGAACTCCAGTCAAGGCCATACTCTTAGGCTTTCTTTTTTTTCTTTTTTTTTTGAGACAGGGTCTCACTTTTGCCCAAGCTGGAGTATAGTGGCGTGATTATAACTAACTGCAGCCTCAAACTCCTGGGCTCAAGTGATCCTCCTGCCTCAGCCTCCTGAGTAGCTAGGATCACAGGCATGTACCACCACCACACCCGCTAATTTTTGCATGTTTCCTAGAGACAGGATCTCTTCCCTGTGTTGTGCAGGGTGATCTCAAATTCCTGGCCTCAAGCAGTCCCTCCACCTTAGCCTCCCAAAGTATTGGGATTACTGGCATGAGCCACTGCACCCGGCCTTCTTAGACTTTCTTAATGATGATCTGGTTGCCAGTGGGCGGCTGCAGGAAAGGTCCTGGGTCAGGAGGCAGGAGCCCTGACTCATCACATATAATTTACTGTGTGATCTTAGGTGAGTTGCTAGACCTCTTTGGGCCTCAGTTTCCTCACCTGCAAAATGAGGGAAATGAAAAGTGGATCACTCAGCACCTCCCTCTCTACATTACCACGTCAGTTCCATCACAGGAGGTTGACAGTAACCCACATAGGCACGAGCACTCTTGAGCATGCATATGTGGGATGTGGGCAGGGGGTGTGTTTGATACCCTCCAGGTAGAAAGGATCACAGAGTGCTGTACGAGAGAGAGACAGCTGTTGCATACCTGACTGAACATAGGTCTTCCGAAGGCCTGTTTAAATTCAGCCTCTGCTAGGGTGAGGGGGCTGCCTTTTTTTTAGACTCCTTTCCTTGTCTGGAGATCAAGGTTAATGACACAGCTTATGCAGAGCCTGGCAAACAGTGGGTGCTGAGTTGATTCTGAATATGCTCTGGAGCTGTGAATTGCAGTTCCTGGATTCTGAGCCACTTTTCAACCATATAGGATCAGGTAAACCAAGGGACACTGAAGTGCCATACCATTAAAACATTTCTTAAAGTGTTACTGGTTTATATGACAAGCAATTCAAGTGGTACATACTGGCATGCAGTGAAGAATGAATGATCCTCACACTCGAAGTCACTATTCCTCTCCCCAAAGGCAGCTGGTGGGTTGGTTTTTGTGTATCCTTCCTAAGACATTCAAACATGTATATTCTCTTTCTTTTTTATTTTCAAAACAGATTGTATCACATGTACTGTATTGAACTTCCTTTTTTGACTTAGCCCTGTATATCTTGGAAATTTGTTCTAGATAAGGAAGTTTATTTATTTATTTAGAGACGGAGTCTTGCTCTGTCACCCAGGATGGAGTGCAGTGGTGCGATCACAGCTCACTGCAACTTCAAATTCCTGGGCTCAAGTAATCCTGCCTTAGCCTCTTGAGTAGCTAGGACTACAGGTGCATGCTGCCATGCCCATCTAATGGTTAAGATTTTGTAGAGACAAGGTCTCGCTATGTTGTTCAGGTTGGTCTGAAACTCCTGGGCTCAAATGATCCTCCTGCCTCACCCTCCCATAGTGCTGTGATTACAGGCATGCACCACTGTGCCCAGACTGCACGTTTAGGTATATTTTATTTTCTCTTTATTGTATCATTTAAAATTATTTAAATGTAATGTTTAAAAAATGAAATACTTTCACGTAATTCAAAATTCAAAAAGTACCAAAACTTATACGATGAAAATTCTCCATGACACCCATCTATAAGCTGTTCGGTTCTTTTTCGCATAGGCAGCCACTGGTATCAGTTTCTTGTATGTCCTTCCAGAAATATTTTAGCCATATACAAGCAAACATACATATATTTTTCCCCTTTTCACATAGAGTCCTAGTCTACATCCACTATTCTGCCTCCTTGCTTTTTTTCTACTTCCTGTCTCTTAGGAGCATGTTCCCTGTAAGTACACAAAAAGCCTCATTTTTGAAAAGTTGAGTCATTTTATGGACTTATCATAATTTATGTAACCAGTTCCCTATTGATAGATTGGACGTTCAGATTGTTTCTGATTTTTTTTGCTACTACAAGCAATGCTGCAAAGAATGTCGGTACACATTATTTTGCAGATAGGCAAGGATATCTGTAGAATATAACTGGTTTGGTATTGCATTGCAAGCCTTTACCATGGTTTTTATATCTAGTTTCCTGTTAATGGACACCTTTGGTTGTCCAGTCATCCCTTGTGATCTCCCCTCTTTCTGCTTTCTCCCCTATCCCCTGTCTCTACCCCCAGGCACATGGCCACCCACTCAGCCCAGAAACCCCACCAGTGTATGTACTGTGATAAGATGTTTCACCGCAAGGACCATCTGCGGAACCATCTGCAGACCCATGATCCTAACAAAGAGGCCCTCCACTGCTCTGAGTGCGGTAAGAATTACAATACGAAGCTGGGCTACCGGCGCCACCTGGCCATGCATGCTGCCAGCAGCGGTGACCTCAGCTGCAAGGTGTGCCTGCAGACCTTTGAGAGTACCCAGGCCCTGCTAGAGCACCTGAAGGCCCACTCACGCCGGGTAGCAGGCGGTGCCAAGGAGAAGAAGCACCCCTGTGACCACTGCGACCGGCGGTTCTATACTCGTAAGGATGTACGGCGGCACCTAGTGGTGCACACAGGCCGTAAGGACTTCCTGTGCCAGTACTGTGCCCAGCGGTTTGGCCGTAAGGACCACCTGACGCGTCATGTCAAGAAGAGCCACTCGCAGGAGCTGCTCAAGATCAAGACAGAGCCCGTGGACATGTTAGGCCTACTCAGCTGCAGCTCCACAGTCAGTGTGAAGGAAGAGCTGAGCCCTGTGCTGTGCATGGCCTCTCGGGACGTAATGGGGACCAAGGCCTTCCCTGGCATGTTGCCCATGGGCATGTATGGTGCCCACATCCCTACCATGCCCAGCACGGGCGTGCCACACTCCCTGGTGCACAACACGCTGCCCATGGGTATGAGCTACCCTCTGGAATCCTCACCTATCTCTTCCCCAGCTCAGCTCCCTCCAAAATACCAGCTTGGATCTACCTCATACTTGCCCGACAAATTGCCCAAAGTGGAGGTGGATAGTTTTCTGGCGGAGCTTCCTGGAAGCCTGTCTCTCTCATCCGCTGAACCCCAGCCCGCCTCACCTCAGCCGGCGGCAGCTGCGGCCCTCCTAGATGAAGCACTGCTTGCCAAGAGCCCCGCCAACCTCTCTGAGGCCCTCTGCGCTGCTAATGTGGACTTCTCCCACCTACTGGGCTTTCTTCCACTCAACCTGCCCCCGTGTAACCCACCTGGGGCCACAGGAGGCCTGGTCATGGGCTACTCCCAGGCTGAGGCACAGCCCCTGCTTACCACTTTGCAAGCTCAGCCTCAAGATTCCCCAGGAGCTGGGGGACCACTGAACTTTGGGCCTCTGCACTCCTTGCCTCCTGTCTTCACGTCTGGCCTGAGTAGCACCACCCTGCCTCGTTTCCATCAAGCATTCCAGTAGCCCCCACAGAGGCCCTCAGCTCAGTTTTTGGCTCTGTTATGGAGCCTTAGTACCCACCCCGTCTGTGTCCCCCATGAAGGCAGCTGAGCTTTCAGAGCTGGGTTCAAAAAAAAAAATTCCAGTGTCTGTATACAGGAGCACTTGGTTTGGGGGTTCAGGCTCTAGGATCGATTCCAGAAGGAGCCTTGAGCCCCAACCCCGTGAAAAGATCTCATACCGTAGGACTTCAGGTATTATTTACTTTTATTTTTTTGACCTGAATCGGGAGCCACACTTGGCCCTCTTCCTCTCCAAAGCGCCAGAACCTCCTTCTCTTTGGAGAATGGGGAGGCCTCTTGGAGACACAGAGGGTTTCACCTTGGATGACCTCTAGAGAAATTGCCCAAGAAGCCCACCTTCTGGTCCCAACCTGCAGACCCCACAGCAGTCAGTTGGTCAGGCCCTGCTGTAGAAGGTCACTTGGCTCCATTGCCTGCTTCCAACCAATGGGCAGGAGAGAAGGCCTTTATTTCTCGCCCACCCATTCCTCCTGTACCAGCACCTCCGTTTTCAGTCAGTGTTGTCCAGCAACGGTACCGTTTACACAGTCACCTCAGACACACCATTTCACCTCCCTTGCCAAGCTGTTAGCCTTAGAGTGATTGCAGTGAACACTGTTTACACACCGTGAATCCATTCCCATCAGTCCATTCCAGTTGGCACCAGCCTGAACCATTTGGTACCTGGTGTTAACTGGAGTCCTGTTTACAAGGTGGAGTCGGGGCTTGCTGACTTCTCTTCATTTGAGGTCACATTTTTCCCCCGTGGGGAAATAAACTGACTTTGGACTGCTTCAGTCTCTGCCATCTTCCATGACTGCATTTGTTCCTGCCTGCCTCGGCGGTATCCACAGAAGACAGGCAAGAGGATTGGAGCAGTTTTCTCACAGGTCTGCAATTCTGTTTTTCTCCAAGTACATTATGACCCCCTCATCCTTCTCTTGAACTGGAGAGGGGAAGAAATGAAAGGCATGCCCACGTCCGTCACCTCCCCATCCCCTAGTCCCCACCTTGAACATCATGAGCTGTTGTTATTAGTCTTGGAAGCAGAGTCTGGGTTGGTGTGGATAGCAAAGGAGGAAGTCTGAGCCCCTCATTGGTCTTCCTCCCACCTGTCCCTTTTCCGGGAAGTTGTGGAATTGTTGGAAGAAGAGTTTGCAGAAGGTTAGGAATGGGTAGATAGCTAAGTCCTAATCTATGGGTACATTGTTGTGTCCCAAACCAAAATTTTCCTTATCCACAATGTCCCTTCTGTCTCTTCCACTTTACAGTGGACTCGGCCACTGTGCATAGGCTTCTCTGCTCTCCATCAAATCACTTCCACTTTCCTGTGCCCCCACCCCCGCCTCCAGTTTTCCGCTAGTATCCGGCAAGGTTTCTTGCAACAAATGATTAGTTCTTTTCTTCTGACTCGTGGGGCTCCCTGCTGCAGAGAGCACAGCCCTTGCCTGGAGCCCAGGAACCCCATCCTTGCTTCATCTCAGTTCTTCATGGGCTTCACTCTTCCCACTCACGGAAGGGAGGTAGCTCAGGGACCTCCACTGTGGGACCCTTGAGACGCTTCCACTCTGATTCAGAAACACACTTCTACCTCTTTACTGTTAACTCTTAACAGATGCAGTCAGCAGTTTCTGGGCACTTCTCTCAGTAGGTGCCTCATGCTGACTTCTCCAGTAGGGTTTCAGGACAAACTACCAAGGAATTGCCTCAGCCTCCTACCAGTCCTCCCTCACCCACCTTCTGTCTAGGTTCACTTGGTTTGTCATCAGGAACTGAGCAGGTCCAGGACTCAGCTTTCTGCTTCAGCCTAAGCCAGTACTCCTTGTTTGAGGTAAAAGCCTTAAAATTTAGCTCCCTAGCTCTTGATTAGAAGCAATTTGGAGTAAGTGTGTTTTGATTTAGGCAGGGTAGCTTGGGATACCTTTTTAAAAACACCAGATATTAAAATGTCTGGCAAGGTTAGAATCAGACTAGATGATTTGCTTCTAAAAATTAGTTTCAGTGAGTCCCAGGGACTAATTAAGGTTTATTTTAAAAAGTGTCTACCTTGGTACGCAGCCACCTCCTGCATGCTGTGCATGTTATTGGGACTTGTATTATAGGTGATGGTATGTGAGAATCCAGTTGGGACTCGCTGTTGCCATCCTCTTTGTTGTATCTGGTTTTCATCACTAGACTCAGCAACCCTTCTCACCTTAACTGCCACCTTCCCTACACTCTCAGTTTACAGAGGCCACTGGGCCTCTGGCTGCAGAATACAAAGTCCCGGGCTGTTAGAGGAGTCCTTTCCTCTCTGCCTGCCCTTTCCTGTCCCTCCCTCGAATTCTCTCTCCCCGTAAGTGATGCTGGAAAAGTCATAGGACTGGCAAAGCAACTGTTTAAACCCTTTGTAACCGGGGCCTTGCCCCCACCTCCTGTCTTTTCTCCTTGCCTTCCCCACTCCTGTGTCCTCCCATCTATCCTGTCTTTCCTTTCCTCCTCTCAGTGTCCTCAGCACCCACAAGGAATTTTCCTATCACTGTGAACTTTGCTGGTACAGAGGAATAATATCTGCCTTCACCTTTTTTTTTTTGGACCATAGCTAGCCAGTCATTTCTTAAACCTCCCTTCCTAAAATCTGGGGGGTCGGGGGGAAAGAAAAAAAAAGCCTTAGTGGCCTGGTTGTTCAAAGGATAAGAATAGCTTTATCCTGCACTCAGTACCCGAACTCACTTCAGTATGCTTACTGAGGCCATGAGAACCTGAGGGGCATCTGCCCAGGACAGGAGCCATGGCATATGACAAAGACCAATGAGGGACCAGGAAAAAAAGTGATGTCCCCTTTCCCTGCCACCTCCAGCCTCTGCCAGCAATGAGCTGTCCCCCTCCCACCCTACACAGTAGCTGGTCAGGGCTGAGTACAGTCCTGGGGGTAAGGGGATGACATGCCCAGGTGTCAGCTCAAAGGATCTCTGCATCATCTTGAGGTGGGAGGCAGGGAAAGGAGCGCCAATGAGGTTCCCTGCAACCCCCGCCCTCCAGCCCACCGCCCAACCTTTTACAAATGGCATTTTCTTAATTGAAAATCCGGGAAGCAGGTGTGATTACTTTTTTGCTCGTAGATATTGTCCTAAGTTGGAATTCTCCCACTGCCCTAAAACTTTCCCTAGTAGTCCTTTAAACTCCCCCCTCCCTTTTTGGTAGCTGTTTTCTCCGTCCTCTCTCCACCTGCCCTCTTATCTAGGAGCTGTTTGTAAGCACGATTTTTTTAACAGGTTATATTGTACAGGATCAATATTTTGCTTTTTAACAAGGATATTTATGTAATAAGAAACTTTGCCTTAGGCAGGTGTTGGCCAGAAAAGTCCAGATTCCTCTGGGATCCCACCCTGGCCTCTCCTGGAACTCTGAACCTGCTGTGGAAGGAATTGGCCATGACCTTCACCTCTGGAGAGTAGGGTCTATGGCGAGGGAAAAGGGTGTTCACCATGATAACCTAGTGCCTCCATAGAGGGGTTTGGAAAAATTCCAGTCCGATTTCTTTGTGTGTCAGCTGACTTCCTTAGCTGATTGTTCCCACTTGCACCTCTCCACCTTTGGCACTAGAACTCCTGAGACACCACTTCTCATGCTTCTCCCTCCCTACCAGCGGTCAAGGCTTTGGAGCCACTCTTTTGTAACTCCAGATTATTTAAAGAGAAAAGTACAAGACAGAAATCTTCTAGCACTTTGTAAACACAGTGAATAACCTCTTGGAGTATTTTTGGCTTTATATAAAACAAGGTTTTTAATTGTAAAGTATAAGTGCCATTAGAAAATGCACAGGGCATATCTTTGTTAAAGTAGATTTTTCAATGTTTTACAGAATTACATTTTCAAAAAAAGGTTTTTATAATGAAGTTGTTTATTAAAAACTTCTGAATGATGTGTTTGGGAGTTGTGAACCTGTCTGATTGGGAAACGGTTGGAGAGAGCCTCGAATTGGGAAGAATTGGAGTCTCCAGACATCTTTAGCATCCAGGATGATGGTGAGCGTAGGGCAGACAGTAAAAACCCCTCCCATCAGCACCTATAAGCTTTGTACTTTTAAGTTAAATATCATATTTGCATGTCTTTGAGGTAAGTGGCATAATTCTATCAGTTAATCATCTTGGATGCAAGAGTCAGACAGCCAAAATCAAACTGGCTTTAAACACTGAAATTGCATGTAACTGGAAAATGCCAGATGTAGAGCAGTCTTTGGGTTAGGCTTGATCCAGTGGCTCCAACATGGCTGGCCTCAGCATTCCTATTTCTCTCTGCTCTGTCTTGTGTAGTTGTGACTTCATCCACAGGCCCTACAAAGTAGATTTCCCCTTTGTGTGGGAGTGAGCAGAATGCTGCCTGGATTCCAGACCTGCCATTCTCACACATTGCCAGCCAGAAGGAAGCAACCCTTTCTGGGCTCTCAGGAGAGGACTCACCACAGAAGCCCCAATAAGCATCCTGTTTCATTGGCCTTGATGGGATTCTGTGCCATCCCCAAACCAGTTACCATATGCCAGTGACAACAAGACTGAAACAGGAGTGGTTTCTCAAAGGAAATTTGGGGCACTCTTAAGATGAAGAATTGATGCTGGTTGTCCAAGAAAGGACAAATGTTCACCCTAGTCACTGCCCAAGGTGTACAGCTGGTGACAGCTAGGACCTGACCTTACCTATACTTGTGCCCAACCACCGGGTTCAGGCAGACTGCTGAGAGGCTTACATAGCTTCACCTGACTTTGGTGGTCTCTAATGAAGGTCGTTACCACCATCCTGGGTGCCAGCCCTTGTGCTGAGATCCTCCCATCAGGGGCTCAGACTGAACTGGCTTTTCTGTGGTCTGGAGCCAGTGTCTATGGCCAAGCAGTGCAAGTCACTTGCAGTCCAGCCAAGAGCCTATGGGGCCGTTAACAAGTGCAGGTGTTTTATGTACAAAGGAAGTGGGCTGACCCTTCATTTTTGACCTTCCACTTGACAAATGTTCACTGTCCACCCCAGTAGGTTAAAACCCTAGCTAGGACCCTAAGGAAATCCACCTTGCTCCCTAGGGAGTGTATACCACAGTATAGGTCTGAGGGCTCAGATGAGGGAGCTGTTGTATCCATTTGTCAGGAAAAGGCTGAAAGCTTTCTGGAAGAGGTGGCAAGGACTTCCACGCAGAGGTGGAGGGGGATTGGAGGTACTGACCTCCATAGGCCACAGTTTGGGAGCTGAGACCACAGGAACACAGATTTGCAGGATCGAGGACTAAGAGGGCTGGCCAATCCAGCTCTTAGCCTGCCAGGTACAGTTCCTGCACTTCAAGCTAGAGTCCACCTTTGGAAGGGTAGCCTTTGGGCCTAGCACAAAGTGAAGCAAGGTCCACCTCGCTTCTGCCAACCAGCCCAGGAGGAACCAACTCCTGTTGGGGAAACCAGGCAGATGCCCACTCGCTCCCTGGTTTGTAGCATTTAAGACCCTCTCTCACCCCAGATCCTTCCACTCTGACCTTGCTTATTTTCCCCACATGAATATTTCAAGCACCTGCTTTCCCTACATGAACGTGTTGATCACCTTTGTGTGTCAGAAAATTACCATTATCTGCCGCTCCCAGTTTCAGTCTGGTCAGTCTTTGCAGGAGATACCTCTTAAGCCCTCTGCATGTGCCTGAGTAATTTATCCCCTGTAAGGCCGAGAGTGTCCTACAACTGCCCCAAAGCGCCACTCGAGTGTGGAAGCCGGGCGACTCCTGCCTGCCCACCGCAGATGGGGAACACTGAGCAATCGCCTGGCGTGGTGGTTGTGATGGGAAAGTTTTACTTGTCCAGGACCAGCGACTGGGCCTGTCCCCTGGTGTTTGCTCCGAGCTGACTCTTGCTTGGTACACACTTCTCCCCACCTCCACCGCCAGCGCCAACGAATGTGGGGACAGTTCGTCTGGCGCCCGCGGTCGCATCCCCATCGGGCAGTTCCGTACCCCTCCTCCGGGCTTCCAAGCCGCTCGCCCCGGCTGCGGGAGACCCCGGCGAATCACATCCGAGAGGGGGGCGCGTGGGGCGGAGCCTTCCTCCCACTGTCCTCCCGCCACCAGCCGCCCCTGTCGCCGAGCCCGCAGTCGCCAGCGCGCCCCGAGCCCCTCCAGGCCAGAGGCTCCCGCAGGCGATGGCGGACAAGAGGGCGGGGACCCCAGAAGCCGCGGCGCGCCCGCCGCCCGGCCTTGCCCGGGAGGGGGACGCGCGCACGGTCCCCGCGGCCCGGGCCCGAGAAGCTGGGGGGCGCGGGTCCCTCCACCCCGCAGCGGGCCCCGGGACCGCCTTCCCTTCCCCTGGGCGCGGGGAAGCGGCCTCCACGGCGACTACTCCGAGCCTGGAAAATGGCCGGGTCCGGGACGAAGCCCCAGAAACCTGTGGTGCAGAGGGGCTAGGGACTCGGGCAGGAGCCAGCGAGAAGGCCGAGGACGCGAACAAGGAGGAGGGCGCCATCTTCAAGAAGGAGCCAGCGGAGGAGGTGGAGAAGCAGCAGGAGGGGGAGGAGAAGCAGGAGGTGGCAGCGGAGGCCCAGGAGGGCCCGCGGCTCCTGAACCTTGGTGCCCTAATTGTGGACCCACTGGAGGCCATCCAGTGGGAGGCGGAGGCCGTGAGCGCCCAGGCCGACAGGGCCTACCTCCCGCTCGAGCGCAGGTTTGGGCGGATGCACAGGTTGTACCTCGCCCGTAGGAGCTTCATCATCCAGAATATTCCGGGCTTCTGGGTCACCGCCTTCCTGAACCACCCGCAGCTCTCAGCCATGATCAGCCCTCGAGATGAAGACATGCTCTGCTACCTGATGAATTTGGAGGTGAGGGAGCTCAGGCACTCTAGGACAGGTTGCAAATTCAAGTTCCGCTTTTGGAGCAACCCCTACTTCCAGAACAAGGTGATAGTGAAGGAGTATGAATGCAGAGCCTCAGGCCGAGTGGTGTCTATTGCGACTCGCATCCGATGGCACTGGGGCCAGGAACCCCCGGCCCTCGTACACAGGAACCGGGACACTGTCCGAAGCTTCTTCAGCTGGTTTTCACAGCACAGCCTCCCAGAGGCCGACAGGGTTGCCCAGATTATTAAAGATGACCTGTGGCCCAACCCCCTGCAGTACTACCTGCTGGGGGATAGGCCCTGCAGAGCCAGGGGAGGCCTCGCAAGGTGGCCCACGGAGACCCCTTCTAGGCCCTACGGGTTCCAGTCTGGCTAAGTGCTGCCTTGGGATGTGCGGCCTACATAAGCTTCCTCATGCCTCCTACGGGTGGCGGATCTGGGCTCAGGCCCATGGTGGGCGCTCTGTTGTCTGCTGTCTGCTGTCTGCTGTCTGCTGTCTGTTCTGTGCACTCCCGCTCTGCGTGGTTCGGTGGACTCAGCTCTCAAATTGTGGCCCTCGTGGCCAGTCTCTACTGTTTCCATATGGCCTCTTGCTGTTCTGTGTTAACATCACGTGGCTGTCACATGCCGCTGCGTCTACACTAAGCACCCAGTGCTGTGGATGTGCACTGCCATAATCTTTACGGCATGGACCTGTGACCGTGGCCATCCCAGCCATTTTTGACAAGGGTACCCACAAGTCACTACTTGGAGGACAGTGCCTCTTTGAGGCCTATGCTTCAAGACTCCAGCCTGCCGGCCTTCGCATGCTTGCTGGTCGTGCTCACAGTAGCTCTCTACACCCTGGCTGTGGCAAACTGAGTCTCATCACCCAAGATGAAGTGGCTTCATTTGGTGCCGGGTGCCACCCAGGCTTGGACATTCCATGGCCTCAAGACCACAGGCTACCACCAAGTGGACTCTTGGGTATCTGGCAGGATGAGCACACAGCTGGCTGCTGGGCATGGGTGAGGTCAAGGGCATGAAGCAGTGGACAGCACATTCTTTGTGATCATACTGCTCCTCCTGCCCCACGGTGGCCTGACATCACAGCCTGCTGCTAGCTTATGAGGGTCTGTGCCGTGCCCCACCAATGCCTAGCCATCTCCTTTCCCATGAGTTTTGCCCAGACCACCATCAGCCCTGTTGCCCGCCCCCAGGTCTACAGGAACCTCCATAGCCGCTTGTGGACCCAGGTGGGCCACCTGCCAATGCACAGGAGAGCCCCTAATCCCCAGGAACTCTGCCAAACTGGCCTATCTGGGCATGTGAGTGAGGCAGGGGCAAGGATGGGATCCCCTCCTGAGCCCCAGTTACTGGACCCCACAGAATCCAGGTGCTCTGCCAGCCCCCCTGCCTCTACCTGTTAGGCTGCCAAGCTGTGGGTGCTGGGGAGGGGGTCTTCCTGGTCCTGGGGCCTGTCTATCCATACCCAGATCTCACACCATTTTTTTCTTTAAATGATGGCTTAGAAACAAAAAATAACAACTGAAGAAAAAGATTTTTTCTTAAACTCAACAAGAAAGACTTTCGTGTTCAGTTTGCCTCTCTTCGTCTCCAGAGAGGGAGGGTTTGCCCTGTAGACTGCCAGCATTCTCTCTTCCCCTATACCTTACCCTCTTTAGCAAGGCCTAGAATCTTCCAAAGGGGACAGTCCAAGGCTGCTGAACAGAGAGACCAGGAAGTCCCCAGAGCGGGGATAGTTAATATTCCATTTTATGCTGTGTTCTTTTAGACTAACCCCAACTCTTTCTTACCCTTCCACCAAGTCCGAACCCCTCTAGGTATAAGAGCTGAGCTGCCCACCCCCTCCTCCCCCTGCTTGCAGAGCTGTCTGTCTCCATTTCATTTTAGGGGAAGGGGTGGTAGTGGCCATACCCAGGCCCCTTCCCATGGAAGGCCTTATCTTCTGTTCCCTAGGACCTGGGGAGGCCTTATCACAAAATAATGTGGAGGGTGCTTTTGGCAGGGAAGTACAAAAGGAACCAGAGCCAGCTGAAAAGGCAGGATGGCTGAGAGATGGTAGAAGGAGGAGAGCCCTTGATTTTGGTTAATACATAGAGACAGGGTCTCACTATGTTGCCCAGGCTGGTCTTGAACTCCTGGGCTCAAGCGATCTGCCCACCTTGGCCTCCCAAAGTGCTAAAATTATAGGTGTGAGCCACTGTGCCCATCTGATTTTTTTTTTTTCTTCAAGACAGGGTCTCACTCTGTTGCCCAGGCTGGAGTGCAGTGATGCATCATAGCCTCAAACTCCTGGGCTCAAGTAATTCTCCCATCTCAGCCTCCCAAGTAGCTGGGACTACAGGTGTATGCCACCATGCCCAGCTTTTTAAAAAACATTTTTGTAGAGACGGGGGTCTCGCTATGTTGCCCAGGATGGTCTTAACTCCTGGGCTCAAGGGATCCTCCCACCTTGGCCTCCCAAAGTGCTGGGATTACAAGTGTGAGCCACCGCGCCCAGCCCTTGCTAACATTTTTGATTCGCCAATATGTTTTGTAAACTAGAAGAATAACAGAACACTGCAACTTTAGAGGTTTTCTCTCTTGGTCCTACCTTGTGTATGTAGAAAGTTAATGTAAGCTTTTCTTCTGCTGCTTTTAAGTAAGACCCTATGCATCCCCTCCTGTGTTTCAGCCCACTGGGGCATTATGCTGTAAAGGCTTGCTTGTTGCTTTTAGTTGAGAACTTTTGCAAGATTGTCAGTGTACATTTTTTATGCCACTTGGAAACTTATGTGACTATTCACAATTGTTATCAGGTTGTTGGGGCCTTTACCATAATCTTGTACTTAGAAGCAGAGTTCTGGTTTTGTTGGACTTCAGACTGGAAGCTGTGCCTGTGTTCTGCAAGGATAACCTCCAGAAAGAATTCTGTGACCCTGATGGTCTTGATGATTTTGTGCCAGGTTGTAATTGACATCACTGTAACTGACAATGCTTCTTTTAAGCAGAGAAATATTCCTGAGGTGGCTTTGTCCAGTCACAAGGGGATCTGTGACACTTTTGTTTTCTATACGCATGATAAAAAATAAAAAATTGCCTGTCTGGGGAAAAAATAACTTAGATCATGTCACTTCCCCATCCAAAACCCTACACTGGTTAAAAATATGTATCTATAGGCCGGGCATGGTGGCTCACGCCTGTAATCCCAGCACTTTGGGAGGCTGAGGCGGGTGGATCACGAGGTCAGGATTTCGAGACCAGCCAGTAGGATTTCACCAGTAGTGAAACCCCATCCCTACTAAAAATACAAAAATGTGCTGGATATGGTGGCGGGTGCCTGTAGTCCCAGCTACTCAGGAGGCTGAGGCAGGAGAATCGCTTGAACCTGGGAGGCGGAGGTTGCAGTAAGCTGAGACCATGCCATTCGCCATTGCGCTCCAGCCTGGGTGACAGAGTAAGACTCCGTCTCAAAAAAAAAATTTATATATATATATATATAAAATTCCTTATTGCAGGCGACAAAGCCCTGCATTTGCTGGTCCCTCCCAACATCTCCCATCCACTTCTGCTTTGCTCTCTCTGTGCCCCCAACACTGGCCTCTCTCCTGTTCTTTAAACACACTAAGCATGTTCCAGCCTCAGGATTTTAGCACTTGCTTTTTTCCCTCTCCTAGCTAGGATTTTCCTCCTGCAGATATTCTCATCTCATGGCTCCCTCAATTCATTCAGTCCTCAAACGCCACTTCAGAGGCCTTCCCTGCCCAGCCTGTCCAAAATTAGCCTCTACCCCTCCCTTCATGATTTTTTCCATGTCACTTGTAACTCTCTGAAATGATTTTTTTTTTTCGTTTTTGAGACAGGGTCTCACTCTGTCACCCAGGCTGGAGTGCAGTGGTGCTATCTTGGCTCACTGCAGCCTCCGCCTCCCGGGTTCAAGCGATTCTCCTGCCTTAGCCTCCCTAGTAGCTGGGACTGCAGGTGCCCGCCACCACACCCAGCTAATTTTTGTATTTTTAGTAGAAACAGGGTTTCACCACGTTGGCCAGGCTGGTCTCAAACTCCTGACCTCAAGTGATCCACCTGCCTCCACCTCCCAAAGTGCTGGTATTACAGGCGTGAGCCACTGCACGTGGCCTCTCTGAAATGATCTTTTCTTACCTTCTTCCACCTCCTTTCACATGTGGCAGGAGAACAGGGACACATGTTTCTGCTGCTTTGCTTCCCCATAGTTTAGTGTCCAGTGTCTCAAAGATTACTGGTATGAGTGACTGACTTTATTCCAGCATACAGAGTACTGTGCTGGGCTCTGACAAAGGCATAGTTCCTGCCCAAAGGATTTGAGTTGGGTGGAGAACGGTGTGGGTGATGAAGGGTGACTGTTTAATTTGCCATCCAGCTGGAACATATCTGGGAATGAAAGGGTCACGACTAATAATTACACCGGGGCAAGAGGTGTAACTGGTATCCAACGGTCATCCAAGGAGACAAAACCCAACTGTGTTCAACGTGGCTTATAGTTCACCAGGTATGTGATGATGTGGGACCAGAGGGCGGAGACTTCTCTGAAGTTGGGTCACGAGCTGGGTGTTAAAGAATAGGCAGTAGTTTGGAAAGTGGAGCCAGAGAAGGGAATTCCTGGCAGAGCGAACAACATGAGCGAAGGCACTGGATGGGAAAATGTGCGGCGTGGTTAACGTATAGCATGTGCTGTGGGTTTGGCTGCTTGGGAGAGGCAAAGCTGAATGGGTAGATTGAGGCCACTTTTTTCTTTTACTTATCTTTTATTATTTTTTTTTTCAAGAGCAATACCTGAAGAGGCCACTTTCTGAAGATAGGAACTCTTGAATGCCAAGCCAAGGCATTATCCTGTGGATAGTGAGGAGGGGTATCAGGCATGGTTCAGAGGTGGAGTGATCTCACAGGGCATGTCTGGAGGAGTGTCTGCAGTTATAGACCCCTAGTGTCTTCAGTTTGAACCTTATCTGTCCATCTAGGCTATAGCTCTTCTAGGAAGCCCTCCATGATTTCCCCAGCCCACAACAGTGTCTGCCACCTCCCATGTACAGCCTAAAACCAGAATCTGGGCACCAGTGCCTGTCTAGGCTGCACCCTCTGGGTGCTGTTTTGTGCCAGATGACTGCCTCTAATGTTCCCGGGGGGATCAGGGTGAGCCTGTAAGCATCCTGGTGATTCTAGGAGGTGGTGCCCCATGTGGTTTGCCTGACTCTTGCCTGCTGGTTTGCAGGCTGCGTTGGCTCCTGCAGCCATACTTGGGCCCAGCTGCATCCTGCATTCCCCTAGGGCCCAGGCAATGGTTCTTTTCTAAAATGGGCACTTACCTGCCTACCTGTTCTCTCTGTGGCATAGCCAGTGGCTTGCTTCCTTTACATGGCACCAACGGCATGTCCCACCTGCCCTGGGGGCATGAGTCTCCTCCTCAGAACCCACTCCAAGCTTGCTCACTCATTCATGCCCTGAGTCACTGATATATCCACACATCTTAGCACCAGCTATAATAGGCATGGATGACCATTCTGGTCCCTGCCCTCAGTGAGCTCCGGGGTCCAATGGTGCAGCTGAAGAACATTGATAATAATCACCAAAGTTTATTAACCACCTACCATGTGCCAGGGCTTTATATGGGTGCAGCAGGCAGAGTGTGGCTGTCTAAGCCTGAGTCAGACCATGCCCTTCTGCTCCAAACCCAATGGCTGCAATATACAGAGGAAAAGCCAACATGCTCTGCCTGGCCTGCAAGACCCTCCTGATCTGACTTCCAGTCACCAATCCAACTTCATCTCCTATGCTTCTCCGCCGCCAGACCACTTTCGAGCTCCAGCAGCCATTTTTTTTTTTGAGATGGAGTCTCACTCTGTTGCCCAAGCTGGAGTGCAGTGGCACGATCAAGGTTCACTGCAGCCTCAACCTCCCAGGGCTCAGGTGATCCTCCCACCTCAGCCTCCTGAGTAGCTGGAACTACAGGTGTGTGCCACCATGCCCAACCAATTTTTGTATTTTTTGTAGAGATGGGGTTTCACCATGTTGTCCAGGTTGGTCTTGAACTCCTGGGCTCAGGCAATTTGCCCACCTTGGCCTCCCAAAGTGCTAGGATTTCAGGTGTGAGCCACCATGCCCAGTCTACACCAGCCTCTTGCTAGTCTTCAAACCTGGCTGAAGACCTTGCTTCCTCTTCCCTCTGCCTAGACGCTGCTTCTCCAGATGTTTGCATGGCCGGCTCCTGCCTTCATTAAAGTTTATCAGTTCAAACATTAGTTACACCTCTTCCAGGGAAGCCTTCCCCGACCACCCTTTCTAAAACTCACCCTGTCACTCTCTGTCCCCTTTCTGTTATAGCACTTAACAACCACCTGATATCACATTGTATATTCATTTTATCTGTTTTTTTTCTCTACACTCTTCGGGAATTTTTTTTTTTTTTTTTTTGAGACGGAGTCTGGATCTGTCACCCAGGTTGGAGTGCAGTGGCATAATCTCAGCTCACTGCAACCCCCTCCTCCTGGGTTCAAGCAATTCTTGTGCCTCGGCCTCCTGTGTAGCTGGGATTACAGGCATGCACCACCATACCTGGCTAATTTTCGTATTTTTAGTAGAGATGGGGTTTCCCCATGTTGGCCAGGCTGGTCTCGAACTCCTGACCTCAGGTGATCTGCCAACCTTGGCCAAAGTGCTGGGATTACAGGCGTGAGCCGCCACACCCAGAGGCACTTTGTTTTATTCATTGCTAAATCCCCCTTACCTAGAGCAGCACCTGGCACAAGTAGTTCTTTGTGAAATGAATGAATGCATGTGTCACATCTTTGAGGTTCAGGAGGGTCTTCCTGGTGGGCGAGGCGACAGCATGTATGAAGGCATCAGATGCCTGCTGAAGGCCCTTCTGGGGTTTGTATCTCTAGCGATAGGAACTCTCTACTGCCCAAGGCAGTACCGCCCTTTTCCAGGCAGTCTTGGAATTGAGGCAATAAATGTCCCGGAGCCCATTCCCGACTCCTACTACAGAGACATGGCCACGTGGCCTACACATGCTCCAAGCGTGGAGGAAGGAGGCCAGGGTACAGAGGGGGCTTCCTGCTCTGGCGTGGAGAGCAAACACAAGCCTTGGATCCCAGGGTTCTGCTCCCCTCTGTCTCAGGTGCCTGCCCTGTTCTGTTCTGTTGGCCCGGGAAGGAACTTTGGACAGGCTCTTTTAAATCCAAGAAAAACCTGTCCCGAAACTATGGCAATTACTTGTAATCTGCAACTGCCTTGATTACAGCTCGGGGGACTTTGATATTTTCCTCCAAGGATACCATTTCAGCACAAAAATTCAAGGAAGTCCCCAGTGCTTGCTTGCTCTTGCTCAGCAGGAGAACTAAACGTTGACTGGAGTCGGTGAACTTTGAGGCCTCCACCCACAGGCCCCACCATCAAAGCTGACTCAGGATCCTGGGGCACAGGGCTGTAGTGCATCAGGCACCCGCTGGAAGGCTGATAGGCCTGTGCAGGGCTGCTCTTGCCACTTCCCCCTACATGGCCTTAGGCATGTCTTTTCACAGCTATTGGCCCTTTTCTCATCCAAAGGAGAAAGTCAAAACTCCTTAGCAGGAGGTAAAAGTACCTTTAAGGTGCTCCCCTCCATGCACCTCCAGCCCTCCAGGTGGCTGGCTCAGTGACAATGCTTTTGCTTTTGGTGGCATCTAACTGAACCACTAAGTCTTTTTTCCTTATATGAATATTCAGAGGGGAATTGAGGCAGTGGGGCTATTTGATCCATCACCTCAATGATGCGTCCAGGCTCGGGCCTTCTCTGATCTGCCATCCTTCTTGTTAGTTCCATCCTCAGGTTGGTGCCAAGATGGTGGCAGCAGCCCCAAGTGTCCACACTGGAATATGGCAATTCCAGAGAGGGGAGACTATGTCTTACCATGGCTCCTCTTAAAATGGAGGAAGCCTTTCCCAGAAGCCACTGTAGATTTTCCTGGTCCTATACCTTACTGACTAGAACTGGGTCACATGCCCAGTCTTGAATTAGTTATTGGCAAGGGGGAGCAGGGTAGTGGTAGACCAAGCATTGACGCGGAATGGATGTCTGCTCATAATGTCCAGTGCCTAGAGGCAAGCTAAGACCACTGCCTCTAGGCGCTCACAGTCACACTTTGGCTTTTCTGTGAGACCTCACAGCTGGCACTTTCACCCCATGATGGCCCTCAGGGTTAGAGGGTGCTGACTTCTAGGCTAGCACAGGTCCAGTTGCAAGGGTTCTGGACCTAGAAAGTTCCTTAAGTTGAGCCAAGTCACTGCCAAACTAAGATTCCTAGGAGGCAGGCCCTTTAGACTCTCCTTTGGTGAGTGAGGAGAGATTGAGCATCAATTGTGTGAGTGTCTCTTTCACTTCAAAGAACTTGGCTGGGTGTGGTGGCTCACACCTGTAATCCCAGCACTTTGGGAGGCCAAGGTGGGCACATCACTTGAGTCTAGGAGTTCGAGACCAGCCTGGGCAACATTGTGAAACCCTGTCTCTACAAAAAACATATAAAAATTAGCTGAGTGGGGCCAGGTGTGGTGGCTCACGCCTGTAATCCCAGCACTTTGGGAGGCCGAGGCGGGCGGATTACAAGGTCAGGAGATCGAGACCATCCTGGCTAACATGGTGAAACCCCGTCTCTACTGAAAATACAAAAAAAAAAAAAAAAATTAGCTGGGCATGGTGGCGGGCGTCTGTAGTCCCAGCTACTCAGGAGGCTGAGGCAGGAGAATGGCGTGAACCTGGGAAGCGGAGCTTGCAGTGAGCCGAGATCGCGCCTCTGCACTCCAGCCTGGGCGACAGAGTGAGACTCCATCTCAAAAAAAAAAAAAAAAAAAATTAGCTGAGTGTGGTTGTGGGCGCCTGTAGTCCCAGCTATTCGGAGGCTGAGGTGGGAAGATTGCTTGAACCTGGGAGGTGGAGGTTGAAGTGAGCTGAGATTGTGCCACTGCACTCTGACCTGGGCAACAGAGCAAGACCCTGTCTCAAAACAAAACAAAACAAAAAATCACTCATACAGTGCTTCGCAGAGGCCCTGTGATCTTACAGGTAAAAAAAGGCGGTGCAGACCGGGCGCAGTGGCCACACCTGTAATCCCAGCACTTTGGGAGGCCAAGGTGGGAGGATCACCTGAAGTCAGGAGTTTGAGACCAGCCTGGCCAACTTGGCGAAACCCTGTCTTTACTAAAAATACAAAAAAAAATTAGCTGGGCGTGGTGGCAGGCGCCTGTAATCCCAGCTACTTGTGAGGCTGAAGCAGGAGAATCGCTTGAACCCAGAAGGTGGAGGTTGCAGTGAGCTGAGATGATGCCATTGCACTCCAGCCTGGGCAACAAGAGTGAAACTCTGTCTCTAAAAATAAAAATAAAAAAAGCAGTGCAGAGACTTCTGTTTCTAGGCAAGGTGGAGTAACAGAGATCAGATATATTCGTCCGCCTGAAACAAAAGTAAAACTAGACAAAATACATGAAATAGTGGTTTTCAAGGCTCTGGGCGTTGAACAATAAAGGACAGAGATTCCAGACAGATGGGAAACAAAGGTGAGCCCTGTGATTGCCCCCAGCCTTGAGAGAGTTTTCAGGCTGCAACACAGGGAGGGGGAATTAAAGTGGAGCCAGGGAACACCATGAGTTGAGGAGATGGCACTAAATGTCAGGGCAAGGTAACCAAAGTGTGTAGGACAGAAGTGTGTAGGACAGAGTGCCAGAGAGGAGACAGCTGCCTAGAGAGAGACCCCTGGAGAGCTGTGGAGGCATCCCTGAAACCCAGAAGGATACTGATGAGCACATGTGTGAGAGGGAAGGACCCCAGGCCAAGGAAAGGCCCATCAGGAAGGATTTAGGGAACAGTGCCCGCTGCTCACTGGGTGGGGACTGTGTCTGTTCCCACCAGCCATGCTGAGTGTCATGGGGTGTTGAGAGGACTCAGGGAGGCCTTGCCTCACTAAGGGCAAATAATTAGCTTTTGAATGAGCACTGGTTGGATTTGCCTAAAAAAAATCTTGTGTGAGCAAGACCCAAAAGGATTAAACCGTTTCCAAGTAACTCAAATGTCCCAGAAGAAAGCTCAAGAGGATTTACAGATTACAAATATATCCAGCACCCAACAAGGTGAAACTCACAATGTCTGGCACCCAATCAAAGAGTATCAGTTCTACAAAGTAGCAGGCAATGCAATCCATAATGAGGGAAATAAGCAAGCATAACCCACAACTGAAACCGATGTTAAAACGGGCAGGTAAGTACAAGTTACTCTAATTTTATTCCACATGTTCAACAAATTAAATAGACCCTCATATATATGGTTAAAAGATTTTTGACAGGAGTGCCAAAACCATTCAATGGAAAAAGGACAGTCTTTTTAACAAATGGTGTTGGGAGAACTGAATATCCACATGCAAAAGAATGAATTTGGACCACATACCACATACAAACATGAACTCAAAATGGATCAAAGACCTAAGTGTAAGGGCTAAAACTATAATATTCTTAGAAGACATAGGAGAAAAGTTTCATAACAGTGGGTTTGGTGATGATCTTTTGGATATGACACCAACAGCACAGGCAACAGAAGAAAAAAATAGATAAATTGGAATTCATCAAAATTAAACTTTTGGCTAGGCTTGGTGGCCCATGTCTATAGTTTCAACTACTTGGGAGGCTGAAGTGGGAGGTTCGCTTGAGCTCGGGAGTTTGAGGCTGCAGTGTGCAATCACTGCATCTGTGAACAGCCACTGTACTCCAGTCTGGGCAACATAGCAAGACTCTGTCTCTAAATACATTAATTAAACTTTTGTTCAAAATAGGACACTATCAAGAGAGTAAAAAGGCAACCCACAAAATGGGAGAAAATATTTGCAAATCAGATACCTGATATGGGTTTAATATACACAGTATACAAATAGCTTCTATAGTGCAACAAGAAAACAACTTGATTAAAAGAACTTGATTAGACATTTATTCAAAGAAGATATACAAACAGTCAATAAGCATACGAAAAGATGCTCAACATCACTAATAAGTAGATAAATGCAAATCAAAATCACAGTGAGATACCACTTCATCTACACTAGGATAGGTATTATTAAAAAAAACAAAACAGAAAATAAGTATTGGCAAGGCCTTGGAGAAATCGGAGTCTTTGTGCATTGCTGATGGGAGTATAAAATGGCACAGCCACTGTAGAAAACAATATGGCAGTTCCTCAAAAAATTAAAGAATCACCATATGATTCAACAATTCTACACCTGGGTATGTACCCAGAAGAACTGAAATCAGGGGCTGAAATAGATATTTTTATACCAGTGCAGCATTATTCACAATAGCAAAAAGGTGAAAGCAACCCAAATGTCCATTGATGGATGAATAAACAAAATATGACAGACTATAATATAGCCTTACAAAAGGAGTTTGTTTTTTTTTTTTTAATTGAGATGGAGTCTTGCTCTGTCCTCTGTCGGCCAGGCTGGAGTGCAGTGGCTCGATCTTGGCTCACTGCAACCTCTGCTTCCTGGGTTCAAGTGATTCTTGTGCCTCAGCCTCCCGAGTAGCTGGGATTACAGGCACATGCCACCACACCTGGCTAATTTTTGTATTTTTGGTTGAGACCGGGTGGTCTCCGCCACGTTGGCCAGGCTGGTTTCGAACCCCTGACCTCAGGTGATCCAGCTGCCTTGGCCTCCAGAATGCTGGGATTACAGGTGTGAGCCACCATGCCTGGCTGGAGTGAGATTCTGACACAGCTACAACATGGGTCAACCTGGAAGACGTTATGTTAAGTATAATAAGGCAGGCAAAAAGGGCAAATATTGTAGGATTCCACTTATATGAGGCACTTAGAGTAGTGAAATTCAGAGACAAAAAGTAGAATGGTGGTTACCAGGGGTTGGGGGAGCGGAGAATGGAGAGTTAATGTGTAATGAGTATACAGTTTCACTTTTTTTTTGTTTGTTTTGTTTTGTTTTTTTTTTTTTCCCCAAGGCAGAAGAATTTTTCTTAGTGCAGAACAAAATGAAAAGTCTCCCATGTCTACTTCTTTCTACACAGACACGGCAACCATCCGATTTCTCAATCTTTTCCCCACCTTTCCCGCCTTTCTATTCCACAAAGCCGCCATTGTCATCCTGGCCCGTTCTCAATGAGCTGTTGGGCACACCTCCCAGACGGGGTGGTGGCCGGGCAGAGGGGCTCCTCACTTCCCAGTAGGGGCGGCCGGGCAGAGGCGCCCCTCACCTCCCGGACGGGGCGGCTGGCCGGGCGGGGGGCTGACCCCCCCACCTCCCTCCCAGACCCGGCGGCTGGCCGGGCAGAGGGGCTCCTCACTTCCCAGTAGGGGCGGCCGGGCAGAGGCGCCCCTCACCTCCCAGACGGGGCGGCTGGCCGGGCGGAGGGCTGACCCCCCCACCTCCCTCCCGGACGGGGCGGCTGGCCGGGCGGGGGGCTGACCCCCCCACCTCCCTCCCGGACCGGGCGGCTGGCCGGGCAGAGGGGCTCCTCACTTCCCAGTAGGGGCGGCCGGGCAGAGGCGCCCCTCACCTCCCGGACGGGGCGGCTGGCCGGGCAGGGGGCTGACCCCCCCACCTCCCTCCCGGACGGGGCGGCTGGCCGGGCGGGGGGCTGACCCCCCCACCTCCCTCCCGGACCGGGCGGCTGGCCGGGCAGAGGGGCTCCTCACTTCCCAGTAGGGGCGGCCGGGCAGAGGCACCCCTCACCTCCCAGACGGGGCGGCTGGCCGGGCGGAGGGCTGACCCCCCCACCTCCCTCCCGGACGGGGCGGCTGGCCGGGCGGGGGGCTGACCCCCCCACCTCCCTCCCGGACCGGGCGGCTGGCCGGGCAGAGGGGCTCCTCACTTCCCAGTAGGGGCGGCCGGGCAGAGGCGCCCCTCACCTCCCAGACGGGGCGGCTGGCCGGGCGGAGGGCTGACCCCCCCACCTCCCTCCCGGACAGGGCGGCTGGCCGGGCGGGGGGCTGACCCCCCCACCTCCCTCCCAGACCCGGCGGCTGGCCGGGCAGAGGGGCTCCTCACTTCCCAGTAGGGGCGGCCGGGCAGAGGTGCCCCTCACCTCCCAGACGGGGCGGCTGGCCGGGCGGAGGGCTGACCCCCCCACCTCCCTCCCGGACGGGGCGGCTGGCCGGGTGGGGGGGCTGACCCCCCCATCTCCCTCCCGGACGGGGTGGCTGGCCAGGCTGAGGGGTTCCTCACTTCCCAGTAGGGGCGGCCGGGCAGAGGCGCCCCTCACCTCCCGGACGGGGCGGCTGGCCGGGCAGGGGGCTGACCCCCCCACCTCCCTCCCGGACGGCACGGCTGGCCGGGCGGGGGGCTGGCCCCCCCACCTCCCTCCCGGATGGGGCGGCTGCCGGGCGGAGACGCTCCTCACTTCCCAGATGGGGTGGCTGCCGGGCGGAGAGGCTCCTCACTTCTCAGACGGGGCAGCTGCCGGGCGGAGGGGCTCCTCACTTCTCATACGGGGTGGTTGCCAGGCAGAGGGTCTCCTCACTTCTCAGACAGGGCGGCCGGGCAGAGATGCTCCTCACCTCCCAGATGGGGTCTCGGCCGGGCAGAGGCGCTCCTCACAACCCAGATGGGGCGGCGGGGCAGAGGCGCTCCCCACATCTCAGACGATGGGCAGCCGGGCAGAGACGCTCCTCACTTCCTAGATGTGATGGCGGCTGGGAAGAGGCGCTCCTCACTTCCTAGATGGGATGGCGGCCGGGCGCAGACGCTCCTCACTTTCCAGACTGGGCAGCCAGGCAGAGGGGCTCCTCACATCCCAGACGATGGGCGGCCAGGCAGAGACACTCCTCACTTCCCAGACGGGGTGGCGGCCGGGCAGAGGCTGCAATCTCGGCACTTTGGGAGGCCAAGGCAGGCGGCTGGGAGGTGTAGGTTGTAGTGAGCCGAGATCACGCCACTGCACTCCAGCCTGGGCACCATTGAGCACTGAGTGAACGAGACTCCGTCTGCAATCCCGGCACCTCGGGAGGCCAAGGCTGGCGGATCACTCGCGGTTAGGGGCTGGAGACCGGCCCGGCCAACACAGCGAAACCCCGTCTCCACCAAAACCAGTCAGGCGTGGCGGCGCGTGCCTGCAATCGCAGGCACTCGGCAGGCTGAGGCAGGAGAATCAGGCAGGGAGGTTGCAGTGAGCCGAGATGGCAGCAGTACAGTCCAGCTTCGGCTCCGCATGAGAGGGAGACCGTGGGGAGAGGGAGAGGGAGGGGGAGGGGGAGGGGGAGGGGGAGGGGGAGGGGGAGAGGGCTTTTTTTTTTTTTTTTTTAAGACAGTCTTGCTTTGTTGCCCAGGCTGGAGTGCAGTGGTGTGATCTCGGCTCACTTGCAACCTCCACCTCCCAGGGGTTCAAGCAATTCTCCTGCCTCAGCCTCCCGAGGAGCTGGGATTATAGGCACGTGCCACAACACCCAGCTAATTTTTGTATTTTTAGTAGAGATGGGGTTTCACCATGTTTGCCAGGCTGGTCTCAAACCCCTGACCTCAGCTGACCTGCCTGCCTTGGCCTCCTGAAGTGCTGGGATTACAGGTGTGAGCCACCACGCCCAGCCCAGTTTCAATTTGAGATGATGAAAATATTCTGTAGATAGATAGTGGTGATGGTTGCACAACATTGAGACTGTACCTGATGCCACTGAATTGTATACTTACAAATATTAAAACAGTTAATTTTATGTTGTGTATTTTACCATAATAAAATAGAGACATGAACAATATGAAAAAAGATCCAAATGAAATACGTAGACATTAAAAAAAAAGACAATGTCTGAGATGAAAAATACACTGGAGGCCGGGTGCGGTGGCTCACGCCTGTAATCCCAGCACTTTGGGAGGCTGAGGTGGACGGATCACCTGAGGTCAGGAGTTCGAGACCAGCCTGGTCAACATGGTGAAACCACACCTCTACTAAAAATACAAAAATTAGCCAGGTGTGGTGGCACGTGCCTGTAGTCCCAGCTATTACGGAGGCTGAGGCAGGAGAATCACTTGAACCCGGGAGGCAGGGGTTGCAGTGAACTGAGATTGCAACACTGCACTCCAGCCTGGGCAACAGTGAGACTCTGTCTCAAAAAAAAAAAAAAAAATTAAGTGGTCTAAACATACCAATTAAAAAGCAGAGATTGTATGATTGGAAAAAAGAAAGAAAGACCAAACTATATGCTGCCTATAAGAAACACATTTTAACTATACAAATGGAAATAGGTTAAAAGTAAAAGGATGGAAAAGATATACCACACTAACAGTAAGAAGCAAGTGGGATTGGCTATATCAATATGTGACAAAATAGATAAATTACATAAATTACTAGGGATAAATTAATCCAAAAGATAGTATGTACCTAACAAAATACCTATAGCAAAAAATAGAACTGCAAAGAGAAATATAAAAATCTATAATTACCGCCAGAGATTTTAGTACCCCTTTCTCAATCATTGATAGAATAAGCAGGCAGAAAATCAGTAAAGATATCATATACTTGAACACCATTATCAATCAACTTGACCTGACTGATATTTATAGAACCCTGTACCCAAGAACACAGAATACCATTCTTTTCAATTGTGCGTGAACCTTTATCAAGATAGACCATATTTTGAGCCATAAAACAAGTCTTAATAAAGTCAAAAGGACCCAAGTCATACAAAGTCTCTGTCCACAATAGAATTAGAAATTAGACATAAGTAACCTAAGGATCCTTGAAAAAAATCCCCCAATATTTGGGAACTAAATAACACACTTCTAAATAACACATGACTCAAAAAAAGAAATCAAATGAAAATTAGAAAGTATTTTGAATGGAATGACAATGAAAACACAATATAGCAGAATTTCTGGGATGCCATTACAGTGAGACTTTAAAAGAAGTTTATAGCACTAAACACCTACATTAGAAAAGAAAGCCCTCAAATAAATGCCCTAGCTTCCACTTTAAAACACTAGAAAAGAGCAAATTAAAGACAGGGATGGGCTGGCTGTGGTGGCTTATGCCTGTAATCCCACACTTTGGGAGGCTGAATCAGCAGGTGGATCACCTGAGGTCAGGAGTTCGAGACCAGCATGGCCAACATGGCAAAACCCTGTCTCTACTAAAAATACAAAAATTAGCCAAGTCCAGTGGCAGGCACCTATAATCCCAGCTATTCGGGAGGCTGAGGCAGGAGAATCACTTGAACCCAGGAGGCGGAGCTTGCAGTGAGCCGAGATCACACCACTGCACTCCAGCCTGGGCGACAGAGACTCTCTCTCAAACAAACAAACAAACAAACAAACAAACAAACAAAAAAACCCAAAAAATAAAGACAGGTATGTCTACTTTCACCATTCAGGTATTGTATTGGATATTGTAGCCAGTGCAATCAGGCAAGAAACAGAAATGAAAGGCATCCAGATTGGAAAGAAAGAAGTAAAACTGTCTTTATTCACAGACAACATGATCATCTATGGAGAAAATCCAATGAGATCTAAAAAAGCTACTAGAACTAATAAGTTAGCAAGGTTTTAGGGTATAAGATCAGTATTTTAAAAATCAACTGTTATTTCTGTACAACAGTAGCAATGAAAAATCAGAAATACAAACATACCATTTACAGGCCAGGCACAGCGACTCACACCTGTAATCCCAGCACTTTTGGAAGTTGAGGCAGGCAGAACACTTGAGGTCAGGAGTTTGAGACCAGCCTGGCTAACATGGAGAAATCTAATCTCTACTGAAAAATGTAAAAATTAGCCGGGTGTGGTGGCATGCACCTGTGGTCCCAGCTGCTTGGGAGGCTGAGGCACAAGAATTGCTTGAACCCAGGAGGCAGAGGTTGCAGTGAGCCAAGATCCCGCCACTGCACCCCAGACTGGGTGACAGAGCAAGACTCCATCTCTAAATAAATAAATAAAAATTTAAAAACATACCATTTACACCAGGCGTAGTGGCTCATGCCTGTAATCCCAGCACTTTGGGAGGCCGAGGCAGGCAGATCACCTGAGGTTGGAGTTCAAGACCAGCCTGACCAACATGGAGAAACCACGTCTCTACTAAAAATACAAAATTAGCCGGGCGTGGTGGCACATGCCTGTAATCCCAGCTGAGGCAGGAGAATCGCTTGAACCCAGGAGGCGGAGGTTGCAGTGAGCCGAGATCACACCATTGCACTCCAGCCTGGGCAGCAAGAGCAAAACTCTGTCTCAAAAAATAAAAATAAAAAACTACCATTTACAATAGCATCAAAAATATGAAACACTGAGGAATAAATCTGACAAAAGAAGTGGAAGACCTAGATGCTGAAGATACAAAACACTGCTGAGAGAAATTAAAGATGACCTAAATTGAGAGGTATAATTTGTTCATGGGTTGGAAGACTTAATATTGTTAAGATATCAACTCCACAGCTGGGCACAGAGGCTCATGCCTGTAATTCCAGCAATTTGGGAGGCCAAGGCAGGAGGACTGCTTGAGCCCCGAAGTTTGAGGCCAGCCTAGGCAACATAGGAAGACCTGTCTTGACAAAAAATAACTAGCTGGGCATGGCAGTGCATGCCTATAGTCCCAGCTACCTGGGAGGCTGAGGGGAGAGGACTATTTGAGCCCAGGAGGTCAAGGCAGCAGTGAGCTGTGATTATGCCACTGCCACTGCGCTCCAGCCTGAGTGACAGAGTGAGATCCTGTCTCAAATAAATAAATAAAAATAAAATAAAGAGAGACATTCGAGCCAGGTGCATTTTGGCTCAAGCCTATAATCCCAGCTACTTGGGAGGCTGAGCAAAAGGATTGCTTGAGCCCAGGGATTTGAGATCAGCCCGGGCAACAAGGTGAGACACTGTCTCTACAAAAATAGAAAAAAAAAAATTCGCCAGGCGTGGTGGTGCACACCTGTGGTTCCAGCTATTTGGGAGGCTGAGGTGGGAGGATCACTTGATGCTTGATCATGATTGCAGTGAGCTATCATCATGCCACTGTGCTCCAGCCTGTGTCACAGAGCAAGACTCTGCCACAACAAAAAAGAAAAAAAGAAAACCCAGGAGAAATTCACTGTGACCTTGAGTTAAGCAAAGATGTCTAACACCAAAAAGCAAAATCCATGAAAGGAGCTGGGCACGGTGACATGTGTCTGTAATCCCAGCTACCTAGGAGGCTGAGGCCAGAGGATCGCTTGAGGCCAGGAGTTTGAGACTAGCCTGGGTAACATAGTGAAACCCCTGTTTCAAAAATCAAACAAACCAAAAATTCAAAAAAGAACAAATTAAATTGCTTAAACAAATTATTTGTTTATAAATTAGACTTCATCAAAATAAAAAACCTGTGCTCTTCAAAAGACATAGTTTTCAATGAAAACACAAGCCATACACAGACTAAGAAAATCTTTGCAAAGCATTTACCGATAAAGGACTTGTCTGCAGAATACATAAATAACTCTCAAAACTTGACAATAACTCCAAACCCAATACAAATGAACATAAATTTGAACATCTACTTCACCAAAGAAGATACATTTGTCACCAACAATAACAAATAAGCACATGAAAAGATGTGCAACATGTCATTAGGGAAATAGAAATTAAAATCACAAGATGTTATATACCTGTAAGAATGGCTAAAATTAAAAATATTAACCATACCAAGTGTTATTAGGATGTAAAGGAACTGGCACTCTTGTATACTGCTGATGGTAACATAAAATGATACACCACCTTAGAAAAGAGTGTGGCAGTTTAGGTTAAACATACACCTGACTTCCTCTCAAGCCTGGCGTTTGGTCGGTGGGGACCCACGTGGGTTCAACATGTGTCTCAAGAGTGTTATTTCTGTTCGGGGCCCATCTACCCTGGCCATGGCATGATGTCTGTCCGCAATGATTGCAAGGTGTTCAGATTTTGTAAATCTAAATGTCATAAAAACTTTAAAAAGAAGCACAATCCTCACAAAGGTAGGTGGACCAAAGCATTCTGGAAAACAGCTGGTAAAGGGCTTACAGTGGATAATTCATTTGAATTGGAAAAACATAGAAATGCACTTATCAAATATCAGTGAGAGCTATGGAATAAAACTATTGATGCAATGAAGAGAGTTGAAGAGATCAAACAGAAATGCCAAGCTAAATTTATAATGAACAGACTGAAGAAACATAAAGGGCTACGTAGAGAAGTTCAGGATATCAAAGAAGTCAAGAAAAACATCCATCTTTCCGAGCCCCTCTTGTAGGCAAAGGGAAGCAGCTGGAAGAGAAAATGGCACAGAGATTACAACAGGATGTGGACATGGAAGATGCTTCTTAAAAATCTGTAACCATTTCTTTACATACATTTGAAAATGTCCCTTGGAGACGTGGAACTGCTAAACTATTGGTTAATGTTTTACATAAGGTCACTTAAATGAAAAGTGATTAAAATATATCTTTCCTACATTGCTATCTACTTTAAAACATCAGATATTACAGATGTTAGATTGTATCTCAGTGTTAAATCCTCACTGATAGATGTACATATGTAAATCATGAAAATTCTACTTATAACTATAGAAGTGAATGGTGGACATAAAATGGTTATGCCATTTGGCTAATGGCATTAGGCAGCATTTGTATAATAACTAATGGCAAAAATTCATGGCTAGTGATGTATAAAATAAAATATTCTTTGCAGTAAGATATTCCCTTTATTAATGTTATAGAAGGGGGAATACAGCAAGGAACTAACAATTTGTATGACAGCATCAAGTATTATTTTGATTTTAGTATTTCCTGTTTTGGTTTATTTGCATCTTAGAAGAACATAATGGCATTGTTTGATGAAGCCTAATTATGCCGGACTGTTTTGACCTGGTTTAACCCTTCTGATAGGGAGTTGTGAATGTTGGGTATGAGGACTGAATGAATAATCTTTGCCTGGAATGACCTTACACTCTGTAATTTCCACTTTGGAGAATACTCAGTTCTAACTTGTGATTCCTGGTAGAACAAACTTTATTTTTCTAGCCTAGCAATGTATACATACATAGCGTAATATGTAGCGTATGATTCTCCTTATATAAAGCTCTGGGAGATGCAAATTAATCTATAGCGACAGAAAGAAAGATCAGTGGCTTATTGGGGATGGTGTCTTAGTCTGTTTTGTGTTGCTATAAGGAATACCTGAGGCTGGGTAATTTATAAAGAAAAAAAGGTTTACTTGGCTCATGAATTTTTTTTTTTTTTTCTTTTCAGAGTCTTGCTCTGTTGGCTAGGCTGGAGTGCAGTGGTACAATCTTGGCTTACTGCAACCTCCATCTCCTGGGCTCAGCCTCCTGAGTAGCTAGGATTACATGCGTGGGCCACCACGCCTGGCTAATTTTTGTATTTTTAGTAGAGACAGGGTTTTACAATGTTGTACAGGCTGGTCTCGAACTCCTGACCTCAGGTAATCTGCCCGCCTCGGCCTCCCAAAATGCTGGGATTACAGGCATGAGCCACCGCACCCGGCCAGCTCACGAGTTTTTAACAAATTTTTAAAATTTGTTTTTAGAGATGAGGTCTTGCTTTGTTGCCCAGGCTGACTTTCTCCTGGCCTCAAGTGATCCTCCTGTTTCAGCCTCCCAGAGTGTTGGGCTTACAGGCCTGAGCCACCGTGCCCAGTCTGGCTCATGATTCTGACAGCTGGAAAGTTCAAGATTGGGCATTTGCTTCTGGTGAGTTCCTTCTGCTCATGGTGGAAGGTGGAGAGCTGGCATGTGCAGAGATTACATGGGGAGAGAAGTGGGGGTTGCAGGGAGGTGCCAGGCTCTTTTTAACAACCAGCTTTCTTAGGAGCTAAGAGAGAACTCACTCACCTCCTCTGCTCCCACCTCCCCCAGTGCACTAATCTATTCATGAGGAATCTGCTCCCATGACCCAAACACTTCCCATTAGGCTCCACCTCCAACACTGGGGATCAAATTTCCACATGAGGTTTGGAGGGGACAAGCATGATGTTGAGAGGCTAGAGGGCAGGATTATAAAGAAAGGCATGAGGAAACCTGGGTATGCTCACAATTGAGATTGTGGTGATAATTTCATGGGTGTGTGTATCAAGACTTATCAAACTGCAGTTCATTTTACATCAATTACATATAATTTTACACACACACACACACACACAGCCCTTTAAAAAGGCGGCTAGAGAGGTTGGAAGGACAGATTCAGAAGTCTGGCTGTCCCAGGTGAACACTACTCCACCCATCATGGGACATCACCCCCCATCCTGCCCCAGCAGGTTACCTCAACTGCTTGGTGCCTCAGTGACCACCTCTGTAAAAGGGGGCTAATAACAGAAGCTGTCTCAGGGGCACGTTGTTATCTTGTATCATATCCAAGATTAAATGGGCTAACCCATGGAAAGTGTTTGGAACATCAGAACACAGGAAGTACTCCATAAATAGTAACAAGCACCTTTCCCATTGCAGATGAGGAACTGAGGCTTGGGGTTGGGGTGGCGGGGTGGTGGGTAACAGGCCACTGTTTTGGTCTGTTTCGCATCCCTTACCATGGGAAATGGTTCTTTCCTCATCAACCATTCTAAGTAATTCTGGTAGGGCTGAAATTCACAGTATCCAACACCTTCAGGGAAAGTGGCCCCAAATCATACTCCAACCCCCTGGATATAGTGATTGGTGCAAGATGTTCAAATAATAATCCAAGCTGGGCCAATCAGAAATGTTTCCTGAAATTCCTCTATATTGAATAAACTGAAGTGGGAAGGGACATCTTCCCCTACCCCAGCCCCCCGGCATACCCAAGTGGATCATGTAAGTCTGGAGTGATTGGCATCCTGCCCTCCCTGCCTCACCCATCAGGAGGAAGACTGTGGATAACAGGACAGAGTGACGCCGGAGAGGAGCACAGTGGAAAAGGGGAAAGAGCCCTAAGGCTATCCTTTGAGCCCCTGGATCCAGCCAGACCTGAAGCAAAATAAACAAAATCCTTGATGACTTAAGAACCAATCAATTCATTTTTGGGCTAAAACCAGTTTGACCGATGTTTCTGTTGCTTACAATTGAAGAACTGGGTTTCATAGAGTGAGATGAGCTGACAGTAAAAGACTGAAGCTGGGAATCCAAAACCAGATCTTGCTGCTACCAAAACACACTTGATTGTCATTTCCTGCTTGTGGGATCAGAAGAGCAAATGACTGCAATTTAGTATGGAGGGGCTAGGCAATGGACTTGTACCAGGCAGGGAACAACAGTGGCTTGAGCCCTGAAGTGTGACACGAGAATGAGCTTCGGGGGAAACTGTGCAACTCAACCCACTCGGGGAAGGTGTCTCACCTCAGACCTCCAACCCCTGCATGAGATTCAAGACAAAACAGTAGGACAATGGTATATTTATTTACAATCCGACCAAAAAAAGGCATACAGGCATTTTTTTAATTAAAAATAATAATGATAATGATTTAAAAAGTCAGAAAAATTGATGATCTTTGAACCCTTTATGAGGTGTCCGTTTCCCATTCCCCCTAAAAAGAGAATCTCTTAGGGAAAAAAAAAAATCCAAGATTTGAATGAACAAAAGACTCCAATATCGCTCTCTACTGCTTGGGTTCCCTTTTCTCCAACTTGATGCTTGGTGGATGCCGCTTGGCGCTGCAGTCACTGTGAGGCAAGATTGAGAAATTCACTGGTTTGATGGGTGAGGCTGGTAGAGCCACTGGGAGAATGTGGGGCAGTGAGGGGAGGGACATCTTCCTAGCATCACCAGCATCCTGAGCTTTGTCTTGTGTTGGGAGTCCCACAAGGGCTGGTGCAAGGGTTAGCAGCTGCTACTTGAACCCTAATCCCTGGGTGGATGTGGTCTCTTGTAACTTAAGAGCAAATGTTTGTGATGACATGCACGGGTGGGCAGAGGTTGAAAAGAACAGGGGTCTACGGAGGAGCCAGGCCAGCCACGTGAGACCCTTCTTTCTAAGTTGGCTTCTTGTCCATTCCTGGGGATTGGGGAAAGAACGACAGAACTTACCTTCCATCTTCCTTCTCACAAGCAGTGTTTTGGGTGTCCCCAAAAGGAGGAGGCAAGAACTCAGGTGTGGGGTGGAGGGGATGGGGCTGGCTAAAGAAGTGAGTATGACCCCAGAGGCCAGAGAGGGCAGGGAGAGAATGCCTGGCCACTTACAGGAGGGGATCTGTAATCTCTGGGCCTCCCTGTTCTGCCTGAAGTTGGGCAGGGCCCACTGCTAGCACACCTTGGAGAGCGGTACCTCCTGAGGAAAGGGCTGGGGAGTGATCCTGAGGGGTAAGGACCCTAGCGGCCTTGGCCATCCCTTCCCAGACACAGACAAGTGGATGCTTGGCTTGGGAAATACTTGGCCCCAGGTCCAGGGTTTCTTGGCACAAAAACAGTTCACTGCAAGTCTCTTCTCTTCTTCCTTGTGGTCCAGCAAACTCCGGCTGCTCTGAACAGGGGCAATTCCTGCTGTCTGGGGAACCTGGCCCCCAGTACTTCCAGGGGATTTTCTTGTAGCAACTAAGACTTGGGTTTGCTCCTGGTGAAAAGATGACCCCGAGGCCTGGCTGGAAACCCTGCCTTGGGCAGCCCTGGAGGAGGCTGGGGAGAAGAGGGAAAGAGAGGTCTGGCAGAGGCTGGCTGGCACTGAGGGTGCTGTCCGAGCTGGAGCTGTGCTTTGTCGTGGCCTCAGTGGTGAGGATGGGCAGGGAGAGGCTCGGAAACCTCACTGAAGCTCTGGCGTGTCCTCTTCCAGTTAGTCATAGGGTGGCCAACAGCCCTGAGGAACTGAGGTGGAGACAGTGACCAAAACCCTTATCTCGGTGGATTTATCCATCCTGGATCCATTTGTTAAAACAAAGAAGGAAAAAAAAATCCAAACCAGAAATACACCTGAATAAACAGGTCAGAGAGTTCCTGTTGGAGGGAACTTTCTTAGCACTGAAGAAAAAGCAACCCACAAAAAAACTCATCCCCCACAGAACTGGAATAAGATGACGAAAAACGCAAGATTATCTACAGGCCCTCCCGCCCCCCACGCAGCCCCAGGATCCAGGAACACTGTGCCAGGAGTTACATTCCAAACGAGCAGGAGTTATTTTATTTTGCGTGCCTGCAGTCCCCCACGCAGGGTGGCTTCCTGTCCGAGGACGGAGCAAGCTTGGCCGTGGTCCACTCCAATCAGTCTATCTTCACAGCAGCATAGATCTTGCGAACAAACATGTAGGCTGCATAGAAGCCGATGGTACCCGTTAGCAGCCAGAAGGACAAGACCATGAGGGCCGTGTAGCCAAAGTAGAGGAGAGAGGGGATGAACTCCACGATGTCCAGCTGCGGCCACGAGCAGAAAGAAGACAGGGTGCATGCTTAGTGCCAGGCTGCATGGCGAACTGGGGCCCCACTCTCACTGATATCATGGGGAAACTGAGGCCTGGCCAGGGGAAGGGGCGTGCTCCAGTGGGTGGCAAGCGGCAGGCAGGGTTCATGGGCACAGCTCTGCTTCATCTGGACCAGGCCTGTGTATTGCCCTAATGCTCATAGCCTCAGGGGCCAGGCCCAGAATGCCACAAAAGGAATGGCCACAGCTGTGCCCTTCCTGGTCCCCCACAGACCCCAGATCAGTATGGCAACACTCCCGCATGGCTGGAGAAGCAGTCGGAGTGGGTGGGGGAGGGGAGGGGTGTCCAGGATGCCCAGCTTCAGGACCAGGAGCCCCATCAGCCCGCCTCAGCCTCCATTCATTCCTCTCTTCCCCAGAATGCTTGTCACTTTTGTTAGCATCTCACAGAGATTTTGATCTTGGAGCATTTTGGACTCCTTTTTAACTGGGGTAGAGTTTAGAGGCTGGGCAGAGATGCTGGGGATCTGTGTTATTTACAAAGGGAACTAATGTGGAACCTTGGTATCAAGATATGCCCAGGGCCTGAGTAGGGCCTGTCCCAGGACTCACAGGCAGACACATGGTCACAGAATGCCAGTAGCCCAGAAGAAAACAGTAAAGAAACAAAGAAAACAAAATAGGTCACCATTTGAAGCCCTCTCCTAAGCCTAAGGGGTGAAGGCCATGTTTTCAGGCTCAGCCCCGCATCTCTCCCCTAACCCCTTTTCTTTAAAGGGACAGGGTCTCCCTCTATTACCCAGACTAGAGCACAGTGGCATGATCACAGCTCACTACAGCCTCACCCTCCTGGGCTCAAGGGATCCTCCTGCCTCAGCCTCCCAAGTAGCTCAGACTATAGGTGTGTGCCACCACACCCAGCTAATATTTTTTCTAGCAATGGTGTCTTGCTCTATTGCCCAGGCTGGTCTCAGACACTTGGACTTAAGTTATCCTCCCACCTCTGAAAACGCTAGGATTATAGGTGTGAACCATATGCACCCAGCCTCCATCTCTTGTTATATGCATTCTTGTGGCTGGTGGTCGGGGGAGGGGTGGGGGAGGGACAAGGAGCAGAACCGTGGTAAAAGGAGGCAAGGGACGAGGCAAAGAGGCAGAGCCAGAAAGTTCCTCATTTTATACATAAGGCATTGGGGCTGGAGGAAGAGATTTTTTGAGCAGAGCAAGAAGACTGGAGCAGAAGGGAGGAAGGACAAGAGGCTGTGATGTGATCTCTAGTTTTGTTTAACCGTGTTCCTTGTCTTCCATATTCCAGATGTTTTGAGGAACACTCAAAACACCTGGTCCTGTTGGGGCCATCAATCCTAGCACAAAATAGGCCAGGTGCGGTGGCTCACGCCTGTAATCCCAGCACTTTGGGAGGCTGAGGCAGACGGATCACATGAGGTCAGGAGTTCAAGACCAGCCTGGCCAACATGGAGAAACCCTGTCTCTGCTAAAAACACAAAATTAGCCGGGCGTGGTGGTGTGCACCTGTAACCCCAGCTACTCAGGAGGCAGAGGCAGGAGAATCGCTGGAACCCGGGAGGCAGAGGCTGCAGCGAGCCAAGATCGCACCACTGCACTCCAGCCTGGGCAACAGAGCGAGTCTCCATCTCAAAAAAAAAAAAAAAAAAAAAAATTCCTAGCACAAGACCTAAGCCAGTCTGTCTGAATATGTGATGCTATTGGACCTGGAAAACAGTGAGCACTGGGCATGTCACCCGAGCAGAGCAGCGTGTCTTCACTGGCTGACGTATCATGGTAGACGAAAGACAGTCTTTTAGCTCTAGGGCTGCAAAGCTGGAAAGAGTAGACTCTAGGGCTGCCACTGGCCATCTTTCTACTTTGTGAAAAGATCTTGCCTGCAGACTGAGGCCAAAAAAAGATACACAGGGCTAAGGCGTGGGCACAGAGCCCTGGTATGTATGTGTACATACATACATACATACATATATATATATATATATATATATATATTTTTTTTTTTTTTTTTTTTTTTTGAGATGGAGTCTTGCTCTGTCACCCAGGCTAGAGTGCAGTGGCACGATCTTGGCTCACTGCAACCTCTGCCTCCAGGGTTCAAGCGATTCCCTTGCCTCAGCCTCCTGAGTAGCTGGGACTACAGACGTGCACCACCACGCCCGGCTAATTTTTTGTATCTCAGTAGAGACAGGGTTTCACCATGTTGGCCAGGATGGACTCGATCTCTTGACCCTGTGATCCACCCTCCTCGGCCTCCCGAAGTGCTGGGATTGAGCCCTGATATTTTTGAGACTCTGGATCTAAGCATGGTTGAGGCTAGAACTCCAATTTCTTAGTCTTTCCAGTTATATAAGCAAATACATTCTTTTTGCTTAAGCTACTTTTTTTCCCTTTTTTTTTGCTTAAGCTACTTTGATAGAGTTTTAGTCACTTGCCACTTATGAGAGTTATGATTAATATGGGCTATAGAGGAGGGAGATTAGATTTGTTCTAGATGATCCCAGAATTAAGACTAAGGTCTAAAGATGGAAGTCACAGCAAGGGAGACTGCAGTGTGAATCAAGACCTTGATAATGACAGGAGCTGTCCAGAAAGAATGGGAATGTTAGGAGGGAGTGTCTTCTCTGTTGCTGGATGTAGTAGAGCAGGGGTCTGCAATCTTTTACTTAGAGGGCCAGATTGTAAATATTTTAGTTTCTGCAGGCCATATGGTCCCTGTCGCAACTACTCAACTCTGCCATTGTAGTGTGAAAGCAGCCATGGACAGATATGTTAATGAATGACCATGGCTGTGTTCCAATAAAAATTTATAGAAACAGGCCTGCTGGCCCACGCGGGCTGCAGTTTGCTGACCCCTGAGCTAGAGAATCATCTGTTGAGACTGTTAGAGAAGAGGGGCACAGTCACCAGACTGGAGGTAGGGGTACAGCACTACACTAAATGATCCTTCCAGTCTTTTCCAACTTGACTGTTTTTGGGAAACGGCATTCCCAGCTTCGATCAACTGACCTACAACTCTATTTTGCAAATACGCCTGACTGCCACAGAGGACTGCTTGCTTCTGGGCTCTGGAGACCCAAAGTACAGCAGGTCAGAGTAAGTCTTGAGTATTAGTTTTGGAGGTGAGGGGCCCAACAGGGCTCCTCCAAATTCCTCTCAATGGCTCATCTGGTTTGTGTATCATGAATGAATCTAGTAAAACTGTCGTGGGGACATCTGTATTCTTGCCCACGTCTCTCTCTCGGGACAATGAGCTCTGTGAGTTGCCCTAGTCAGGTAAGCCTGGCTCCCTCTTATTATTGGGCCACACTTTACCTATGTGGGGTCACAGAGTTAGGAGGGCTCCGAGGTGCCTGTGAAAAACTTTCCCATCCTCTCCTTACTCTGCAGGATTGAACAGTACTTGCGTGAAGAAGAGAACACCTGCAGAGACAGGATACCTGCAGCCCTAAATTTGGGTTCTACTATTTAGACTATTTCAGCATTTTGTGCTTTTATCTTTATTAACTCCTTTCTACTTTTCTTCTTTCATGTTACTCTTATCTTTTCCTTTTTCTCAAGGTGTTATTAGTCCCTCTTATTTCCTGTGAAGAGCACTGCAGGTGACATATTGCTTTCAAGTCCTGCTTTGGCTATGGCTATACCTCGTAAGTTTTACAAGCATTATTCACATTGTCACGTATCCTGATGGCCTTTGTCTCCCAAACATACAGAATACAGATTCTTTCTTTCCTAAAAAGATCCATCTTCTAGAGCAGGAACAGTTCTAGGTGGCTTTGGTCCTCCCCATTCTGGGTGGAAAAGGAAGATTCAGGCACTTGGGTTTTTCTCCCAGCATCCTCCTCCTGACCTTCCTACCCTATGAGGACTAAGAGGACCTCCTCAAGGAGGGCAGTACCTTGTTAACGAAATAAAAGATGGCATAAACCAGGACGTAGAATGCAGAGCCCCCGGAGACTAGGAAATTTCTCCACCACCAGCGGTAATCCTGAGGAGGAAACAGAGGAAGGTCAGTGTTGTCCTGGGGCAGAACCCCTTCCTACCAATTTCACAGTTGCTTGAGGGGCTGAAGACTCTGGTAAGAGCAGTAACATATGGGGTGATGGAAATGTTTCACAGCTTGACTGTGATGGTGGTTCCAGAACTGTATGCATTTCTAAAAACCACAGAACTGTGGACAAAGAAGGGTGAACTTTACAGTTTATACCTCATTAAAAAAAAAATCAACAACAAAAAAATAATTAACATTTCTCGAGCAAATGCTTAGCATGTGGCAGGCACTATTCTTTTTTTTTTTTTTTTTTTTTTTTTTTTGAGATGGAGTCTCACTCTGTCGCCCAGGATGGAGTGCAGTGGTGCGATCTCGGCTCACTGCAACCTCCGCCTCCTGGGTTCAAGTGATTCTCCTGCCTCGGCCTCCCAAGTAGCTGGGACTACAGGCACGTGCCACCACACCCGGCTAACTTTTTGTATTTTTAGTAGCGATGGGGTTTCACCATGTTAGCCAGGATGGTCTCGATCTTCTGACCTTGTGATCTGCCCGCCTCAGCCTCTCAAAATGCTGGGATTACAGGCGTGAGCTACCGTGCCTGGCTGGCAAACACCACTCTAAGTGCTATAGATGAATCCACTCATTTAATCCTGAGAGCAGCCCTCCAAGTTAGGTCCTCTCACTCACCCCATCATGTGGAGGAGGAACGGATGGCATGAAGTTAAGCAACCCGCCCAAGACCCAGAGCTACTCATGGAGGAGCCAGGGTCCCAGCCCAGAGGGACTGTTCATCCCAAACCCTGGCTTCACCCACTCTGCCAATGGCCAGTTCCCAGAGGGAGGGCAGGCCACCCAGTGTGCATCAGCCTGTTGAAGAAACTACTACTGGAGTGGACTTGGCACTGGCAAATCTACTGTCCTTTCATCTAGCTGTGGTGAGTACCCCACACAACTAAGCTGGAAGGTATCTCATTAGGCCCAGGGTACAGCTGAATACATGGAGGCTGGGAGAGGCACAGCAACGTACTGGCCCAAGAGCTCAGAGCCAGAAGCAGGGGCCACATGAAGAGCCCAGACCCAGCCTCTCCGCAGAGCCTCATCAACCCGTTCAATGCTGGATCCAGTTCTCCCTCCCCCGCCTCCTGGCCCTGCTCTCCTCACCTCTGCACACAGCTGGAAGTACACCATGACGATGCTGATTTGTGAACAGGATACCACCAGGATGATGAAAACAAGGAACAGGAAGCCAAAGAGGTAATAGAACTGATTCTCCCAGATAGCCTGTGGACACACAGTGGGGCTTCAGCTGGCTTGACCACCCTGCTCCCCTTCCCCTGGCACACCAACCTGTCACAAGGGCAGGAGTGGACACATCATCATGACACCATCAGGGCCCGTGGGCCTGGCATGTGGCTCTGGCCCCTCTTCCCCAGAGCAGGGGGTGAGCCACACTGTCCTTAGGGAGGGGCCAGGGGTTGACTGACCTGCTCTGGGTAGACCCCAGCCTGAACTCAGCAGCTTGTAGAAAATAATGATTCTTATCCAAATCAAAATTATAGAGCAGCCACCACCACTTGAGCAGCTTACCAAGCGCTAGGCCTTATGCCACATGCCTCATATACAATTGCTACATGTGTGTGTCTATGAAAGCTTGGCCTGGTAGAGCTAAGAAAGTCAAGGATCAGAGACGCTGGTGACTGGCCCAGAGTCACACAGATGAAACAGAGGGGGCTTCCCTGGGAAGTGCACATGGGCTTTGGTACCATGGGCAGCCAACACCTCCTCTGACCCTTCTCCCAGGCAAACCTGTGTGGGTGAGGTGGTCTCAGCAGGGAGGGGCTGGGCCACTACTCTGGAATAGCAGATACATGTCCGGTACTGACTTGGTACAAGGTACCATCTGTGCTGGGCCCCGAGCTGGGTCAGCCACACTTACATGCCTCTGAAGGGCCTTCCTACCAACTTTCATCTTGGCACTCTTTGGGAGGAGTCATCATCACCATTACAACAGCATTTCCTGAAGTCAAGCATTTTTACAATGACTTATTCCAACTTCACAATGACCCTGACAAGCAGGAATCATTCTGTCCACCCTCCCAGGAGCTGTGAGTAACACAGAGAGGTAAAGATGTGCAAGGACCCAGAAATGAAACCAGGTGCAACGATGCTATTAGTCATGGTGGGGAATGACTGAAGTATCACTGAGGCAGCTTCTATTTACCAAGTCCCCCTTTCCACACACCAGGCTCCCCACACACCACATATCTCATTTAAATTTTTTTTTTTTTTTTTAGATGGAGTCTCTCTCTGTCACCCAGGCTGGAGTGCAGTGGCGCGATCTTGGCTCACTGCAACCTCCACCTCCCAGGTTCAAGTGATTCTCCTGCCTCAGCCTCCCATGTAGCTGGGACTACAGGCGTGTGCCACCATGCCCGGCTAATTTTTGTATTTTCTAGTAGAGACAGGGTTTCACCATATTGGACAGGCTGGTCTCGAACTCCTGACCTTGTGATCCACCCACCTCGGCCTCCCAAAGTGCTGAAATTACAGGTGTGAGCCACCGCGCCCAGCCTCATTTCACTTTCAATGCTGCCCTGAGAGGGAAGGCTGTTGTCCAATTTCAGGGTGAAGAATGGGGCTCCGAGAGGTGAAGTGGCCCATCTGAACTTTCTCAGGCAGTAGGCAGCAGAGCACCCGAGTGGAGTGGGAGTGACCCGGCTAGCATGGGTGGAGGGGTGGGGGAGGCACCAGTACTCACACTGAAGATGAAGAAGAGCTCGATGAACATGGCGCCGAAGGGCAAGATCCCAGCCATGAGGATGCTGCCACAGAACGAGAGGTTGACATTGTTAGAGACCAGGCCACCAGGAAGCCCCAAGCTCCTTCCCAAGCTGGCATGAAGAGAGAGCACCTACACGAGTGTGGTGGTGCTAATTCTTCTGGCATATTTCTGTACTATTATAATCTCTTGAGAGGTAGGCAGGGTGGGCATTATTCTCCTCATTTTATAGATGGGCAACTGGGGTGCAGAGAGGTGGGGTGACTTGCCCAAGGTCCAAGTGATGGTCTTAACCTGTCTCACTATACCCTTCCATCCTTCCCCTTCCTTGTCCTGGTTCCTAGGATGACACCAAGTCTGCCTACAACCTGGTCACCTTGATCTTGGAGTGAAGTTAAGCTTTCATAAACTCTATTAGAGCCGGCTGAAGCGGCAGGAACTCTGGTTGCCGCACCCTTCTGGTGGCGGAGGGGGGCGTACCCTCTTCCACGTTCCCCTGCTCTTGCCTCTGCTGGAGGACTCACCCCACAAATCGGTTCATGTACCACCGCTGCTCGGGGATCTGCCGGGGAATCTGGTTGGTGCGCACAGGGTTGTCATATGGCTGCTTTCGGAAGCCGAAGTAGTAGCCCAAGTAGACGAGGGGCAGGGAGATCCCGAACCACATGCACAGCAGAGCCACCATGGTGGGAAAGGGCACCTGTAGACATGGCACCATGAGGCCCCCACGAGGCCCTGATGCCCGGGATGGGGGCTGCGCAAGGGGGAGGGGACCTTCTGGGCTCCACAGAAGGAGAGGCGACTTGTGCAGCAGAAGCACACTCCCTGCCCCCACCACAGGGCTCCTGGCCAGAATCTCTTGAGGCTGACCCCAGCCCTGATCTGGACTCCCAGTGAAGAAGGCACCTCAGCATCCCAGAGGAGCTCACCATCCAGGGAGGAAGTAGGGGAGGAACAGGAAGGAGTGGACTGAGAACGTGAAGAGATGAAGAGGTCAAAATGAAGAGATTACATGTGGCACATTATGTGAAGAAAAGAAGGGAAAAAACAACACTGTACAAAGTGCTCCCAATCTTGTCAGAATAAAACTACATGATATACTATTAAGTGTAAAAAGGAGGCTATAAACTATGTGTATAGAAGGATTCCATTTTAATAAAAACACAACATAGTCGGTCCTCTGTATCCATGGGTTCTGCATCTGTGGATTTAATCAACTGCAAACAGAAAATGTTCAGGAAGGCCGGGAGCAGTGGCTCATGCCTGTAATACCAGCAGTTTGGGAGGCTGAGGTGGGCAGATCACTTGAGGTCAGGAGTTCAAGATCAGCCTGGCCAACATGGTAAAACCCAGTCTCTACTAAAATTACAAAAAAAAAATTAGCCGGGCACTGTGGGGGGCACCTGTAATCCCAGTTACTTGGGAGGCTGAGGCAGGAGAATCATTTGAACCTGGGAGGTGGAGGTTGCAGTGAACTGAGACCTTGCCACTCCACTCCAGCCTGGGTGACAGAGTGAGAGAGTGAGACTTCGTCTCAAAAAAAAAAAAAAAGAAAATGTCCAGGAAAAAAAAAAATACAATAAAATAAGCTGGGTACAGTGGCTCACGCCTGTAATCCCAGCACTTTGGGAGGCCTAGGTGGGCAGATCACTTGAGCCCAGGAGTTTGAGACCAGCCTAGGCAACACAGTGAGACTGTATCTCTACAATTTTTTTTTTTAATTGCCGAGTGTGGTGGTGACACCTGTAGTCCCAGCTACTCAGTGGGGCTGAGGTGGGAGGACCACTTGAGCCCGGGAGGCAGAGGTTGCAGTGAGCTGAGACCACAGCACTGCACTCCAGCCTGAGCAACAGAGTGAGACCCTGTCTCAAAACAAACAAACAAAAAATACAACAATACAAATTAAAAAACAATATAGTATAACAACTATTTACATAGCATTTACATTGTATTAGGTATTTTAAGTAATCTAGAGAAGAGTCAGAATATACAGGATGTGTGTACGTAAACACTATGCCACTTTATATATGGGACTCGAGCATCCTTGAATTTTGGTATCTTCAGGGGTCCTGGAACCAATCCCCTATGAATACCAAGGGACAACTGTATCTATTTATATTTGTGCCTGGAAAGGCCTATACCAAAGAGCTAACAATACTTCCTTAGATGGGATATGGGGGATTAGAACTGATTTTTCATTTTCTTCTTTATCCTCTTCTCTACACTTACTTTTTACAAGAATCACATAAAAAGAAATATATATATAAAGTGTTTAGAACAGTATTACTACAAAGCAAGCATCATATAAATGTTTGCTGTTATTTTATAAATTTTAAATTATGTAATTCTTTTGTAAGTATATCTATAAAAAGGAAAAAAGACAACATATATTAAAGACCTACATTGTATTTATCTCTGGGTGAGCAGATTTGGGGTTATTTTAAATTTCTTCTTTAACTTCTCTGCACTTTCCAAAATTTCTACAGTGAATGTTTATAATGAGCAGCTGGTAACTGGGAGGAAAATGCTCAAAGGGAGAAGGAACACAGGGATAAAAAAGGTGAAGTGAGAGGAAGGGCATGACTGTGTCTTGAGGGTGGCTTCCTAAGTTGCTGGGAAAGAAACCCCTCCTCTGTAAGCCTGGACGTGAAGCCTCATGCAAGGACCTTTACCGCCACCCCCAGGTGGAGGGCAGAGGGCTCTACGTGCTAAGGCTAGGATAGCAAAATGCCTGCCACATCTCAACTGCAGTCCTGCTAATTGACCAAGACCCCACTCCCCCTCCCCACAACTGAGTTCAAAATCCTCCTCAGTGAGTCTTGGACAGCTGCTAGTAACACACTGGACTGGGGCTGGCAGGATTCCCAGCTCTAAGGGTAATACAACCTGATCCTTCCTTTCCTCTCTCCTCCACCTGCAGGGGCTGGTGCTGAGGGGCAGGGACACTGAGGAGGACAGGCTTGCTTTGGGATAATGACCTAATAAACTCACACTGGGCAGCTCACTCTTGGTTAAGACAAAGGGAAATTCCCCAGTTGGCCGCTGGACTGTGGAAACCTCCCTTTAGAGAAGTGGGCTTGGGTCAGTTGACTGAAAGATCTCACAGGAAGGCCAGGGCCAGGGCATGACACACCAAGGGCAGGGCTGGGGAAACCCCAGCTGGCCCTCTGCCCTCATGGCTGGGAACGTAACTCTGGGGACTCAGAAAAGGGAAGGGAATGGCAGGAAGTGGCTTTTGGGAGTAGGGCTGAGTGCAACTGGTCCTCGCTTGCTGGGGAGGGGCTGGAAGGGTAGGGGAGGCACTTACCGCTCCTGATGAGTGCTTTCCCCAAATGAAGCAATTCAATACGAAGCAGATGCCAAAAACCACACCAGGGTACAGAGTTGCCGTCTGGAGCAAGAGGGGCCGGGTTGAGGAGCAGCATCCAGGGACCTCCCCTACCTGTCCCGGTGGGGCCCCCAGACCAGAAGCTCTTAAGCCCTCCTTGTCTTTCAGACTCTGCTCAAGCATCATTCCTTCCAGAAAGTATTCCCTGACCCTCAGACTGAGCAGGACTCTGTTCTATGCCCTCTCAGGTCCCTAATACTGCCCCTTCTTGCTCTCATCCCAGTTCGTAATTACATATTTTGGCTACCTGATCAATATCCGCCTATCCCCAAAAGACTGTGAGCTCCTTGGGAGGAGTGTGTCTACCTTGTTCTCTGATGTACTCTCATCACTGAGAACACGGTAACTACTCTGGCCAGGCGTGGTGGCTCATGCCTGCAATCCCAGCACTTTGGGAGGCCGAGGTAGGTGGATCACCTGAGGTCAGGAGTTTGAGACCAGCCTGGCCCACATGGCGAAACTCCGTCTCTACTAAAAATACAAAAAATAGCCGGTGTGGTGGCTCATGCCTGTAGTCTCAGCTACTCGGGAGGCTGAGGCTGGAGAATTGCTTGAACCCGGGAGGCAAAGGTTGCAGTGAGCAGAGATCGTGCCACTGCACTCCAGCCTGCGCGACAGAGCGAGATTCCGTCTCAAAAAAAAGAAAAAAAGAACACGTTAACTACCCAATATATACATATGTAAAAAAATTTTTTTTTTGAGGGGGAGAAAAATTACCTCCAGAATCGCTTGAGCTCAGGTGTTTGAGACCAGCCTGGGCAACATGGTGAAACCCTGTCTTTACAAAAAATTAGCCAGGCGTGGTAGTACGCACCTGTGGTCCCAGCTACTTGGGAGGCTGAAACAGATGGATTGCTTGAGCCCGGGAGGCAGAGGTTGCAGTGAGCCGAGTCATGCCACTGCACTCCAGCCTGGGTAATAGAGCAAGACTCTGTCTCACACACACACAAAAACCCTAAAAAACAACTTTAACAAAACACGTATGTCTGGGCCCCAACCCAAACTGCCTAGAAGGATGGTGAAGCTCTGAGTCTTGGGGTGGCAGATGCTGGGTTCCTATGTACCTTGTCTCACCTAATCCTCACGCAAGTCTGGAAGGAAAGTCTACCATTATTCCTTTTAATGAGGACACTGAGGCCTGGCGATGTTAAAGACAACCCCTCACCACCTCCACGTCACCCAGCCTCCTGAAGGTACAGCAGAGGTATAAACGCAGGCAGTCTGACCCCAGAGCCCATGCTCCTGACCTACTGCAGTGTATTCTTGCCAGTCAGAATCTCTTGGGTGGGGTATAGGCACAGGGATTCTAGTCTAGTCAATGCACCAGAGTTACAGTTGAGACTTTTTCTTCTATTTTCTTCAGAGACAGGGTCTCACTCTGTCACTCAGGCTGGAGTGCAGTGGTGCAATCATAGCTCACCGCAGCCTCAAACTCCTGGGCTCAAGTGATCCTCCCACCTCACCTGCCTGATTAGGAGGACTACAGGCACATGCCACCACATCCAAGTAATTTATTTTTTGTAGAGACAGGGTCTCACTGTGTTGCCCAGGCTGATCTCAAACTCCTGGGCTCAAGTGATCCTCCTGCCTCGGCCTCCCAAAGGACTGGGATTAGAGGCACAAGCCACCACAACCGGCATGAACCTTCTTGCCACACTGATCACCAGGCCAGGGACTGCTGTGGCAGCCTGAGCATCCAGGTGGGTCACTAACCACAATGACGAAGGCCCTCCGGAACCTGATGCTCAAACCTCCATTGCCAGTTTCATCTTTGGCTCACAGCCCTGCACCCAACAACTGGTCACTGTTCCTGCACATTCCTGTCTCTGGGCCTTTTTGCATAGGTCATCAACACCTCAGAGGATCCATTTCCTGAGGGCTAATGCTATACCAAGGTCCTTATGTGCAGTTAACCCTAGCTATCTTCATTGGAGAGATGGGGAAACTGAAGCTCAGAGGGCTGTTGAAAGTTATCAACCAATGCAGAGCCAGACTGGGATCTAGGCCATTCCAGAACCTTAGGCCCCACTGCTGGCTGCGTCCCTTCATCTGAAATCCTCCTCAAGGCCCGGCTCAAAGGTCACTTCCTCCCTTCCTTTGTGTTCCTGCATGACTCTGTTGTGTAGCACAGAATTCCTCATCTGCCTTCCTGGCTGAAATTTACTAACTGGGCACTGTGCTAGGTAGGAAAAAAAGCTCCAGGGAGAAAGGCAGACCCCTATGTAGAGAACAACACACCTGCCCCTACTTAGCTCTGCCAAGTGCTACTTAGGTCTCATGAGGGCTCTGCCAGGCTCGGGGTAGGAGGTGGGGGAGGCGGCAGCCTCTGGAGGACTGATGCAGGAGCTAAGACTTAAAGGATGAGGTGACACCAGCCAGGTGAGAAGAAAGGGTGGTGTGGCCCAGGCAGAGGGGATGGCACAGGCAAGGCCGTAGGAGAGTACACCCACACTGCTGCAGGCTGTTGGAGATGACCCCCTGTGGAAAGGCACCAGGGAAGGGTCAGAATCTTGTAGGGAGACCACAGAGGGCCAAGTGAGAGGCAAAGATGTCTGAATCCTTGAAGATGCAGAGATGGGGGTGGGAGGGGGTGGAATTCACGGAACATTCACAGAACATTTGGTAGGAAGATCCTTAGCACTTGATGTCTGAGAAGGAATGAGGCATGAGGAAGGAGGAGGATAGGCAGCTTCAGGTTTCTGGCTTGGGGGGCCTGGATCAATGATGGGCTCACTAGATGCAAGGGGTGGTTTGGGGGAAAAAGACTGGGTTTGATGTAGGATCCATCGAGGGAAATCCTGGAGGGTATCTGGTGACCTCTCCAGGGAAGAATCTTGCCAGGAGGGAGTGGTGAGTTTTACTCCTCTCTAGATCCCTGGCTCTTGGCATATGGTGGCCAGAGAAAAATGCTCAAATCATCAAGAATTCAGGAAGTTGGCTGGGCGTGGTGGCTCACGCCTATAATCCCAGCACTTTGGGAGGCCGAGGCGGGCGGATCATGAGGTCAGGAGATCGAGACCATCCTGGCTAACATGGTGAAACCCCATCTCTACTAAAAATACAAAAAAAAAAAAAAATTAGCCAGGTGTGGTGGTGGGCACCTGTAGTCCCAGCTACTCGGGAGGTGGAGGCAGGAGAATAGTGTGAACCCAGGAGGCAGAGCTTGCAGTGAGCCAAGATCACACCACTGCACTCCAGCCTGGGCAACAGAGCGAGACTCCGTCTAAAAAAAAAAACAAAAAAACAAAAAAACAAAATTAGCCAGGCATGGTGGCACATGCCTGTAATCCCAGCTACTCGGGAGGCTGAGGCAGGAGAATAACTTGAACCCAGGAGGTGGAGGTTGCAGTGATCCGAGATCGCGCCATTGTACTCCAGCCTGGGCAACAAGAGCAAAACTCCATCTCAAAAACAAACAACAACAATAAAAAAACAAAAAACAATTCAGGAACCTTTCTTTGATCCTCCCAAAATAGTCACGGTCACAACTTTTCTTTACCGAGGGCTTACTTTGTGCCAGAAGCGTCGCAGCCAGAACTGATACAGCCTGAGCTCTCCTTGAGCTTTTGACAGCGGTGAGAATGGCTTCAGAATCCTGGGCCCAGAGACTTCTCTGAGTGTGGGCACCCAAGAGTCTTCCTAGTCCTCTAAGAGACTCACTCGCTCTAGGAGAAGGGGCTCGGGGATCCCTGGGAGGTGAGGTCAATCTCGAGACCCCCTCTGGTTGCTACGCGCTTTTCTGCTGCCAAGAACTCTCCTTACCTCCAGGAGGCCAGAGAAGGGCAGCAATCCTCACCAAAGAGAAATGCAGGCACCAGCCTGGAAAATGGGCTGACAGGAACTTGGGTCTGGCCTCTTCAGGCTTAGGCAGGCAATTCCCTCTTTACTCAGGGTGTTCTCTCAGCTGCCCTGCTATTCTAAATCTTGTTATTCTGAATCCCCTATTTCTTCTCTTGCTTGAGCCATCAGACAATGTCAGCTAAAAATGACCTAAGTTCAAATCCCTCATTTTACAAATGGGGCAGTGGAGGCCCTGGGAGGTTCTGCTGCGAGCCTGTGGGTAACAGCCTGGGATTCCTGCCCTTGGACCTGTGCTGCTCCTGCTATGTCTTGCTGCTGCTCAGCTTCTGGCCCAAAAATCCCCACCAGGACCTGCCTACCTTCTCCTGAGGAGCCCAGGAAGAAGCTTCTCTGCTTCCCACCAAACAAGAGAAGGTTTAGGACACTCACACAGAAGGCTCCTTTCTTCCACCGATGGCCTTTTAAAGTGCGGTACAGACGGCCAGCAGAAAATCCGCCAAACACCCTGTGGGAAAATGGCAGGGATCCACACCAAGGGGACCCATTAGCTGGTGTGGAGGAGGCCTGTGCCGCCCCCGGGAGCCCACTCAGACACACCTACCCCATGAACATGAAGAGGAAGCAGGCTGTGGTCATGAGAGCTCCCCGGCTGGAGGGCGACAGCATCCCAAGCATGGCTACAACTGTGGAGGGAGGGAGGGAGGAAGGGCAGAGAAAGGCAGGGTGGCTGATCACCAGGCCTCTAGCCCCAGCCCCAGCCCCAGGCCCACCTTGGACAGGCTGACAGGAGGACTCTGGGCAGATGAGGCTCCCCCTCCCTTGTCTTCTCAACAGCATAGTCCCCTACCCTCTACAGGGGAAGACTGGGTCTTAGTTGGGGTTCGGAGGGGTGCAGCAGCTGCTGGGCCTTGGCTGGCCAAATCTCAACCGCAGCTTTCGGTCCACAGAGCACTTGCAGTGAGTCAGGTGCTGGGCTGAGGGCACCACAAATGCCAGGTCTCTGAATCCACCTTACCAACTCTGCAGGGTGATTACTTTCCCTATTTTTCAGATAAGGAAACGGAGGCTCACAGAGGTCAAGTGGCCTGTCCAAGGTCACAAAGCTTGGAGGCATGAGGCTGAGATGTAAATCTAGGCAGACTGACTCCAAAGCTGTCTAAAATTACTATATATTAGTGGGGTTTTTGTTAAAGAAAAAAATATTTGATTTCAATCCTAATCCTGGTACTGACTTTGGGCAGGTCACTTGGCCTCTGACTACAAAAGGAGGCCAAGCTCACAGCAATGATGTGTTGCCTCATTGATGGAGGAGACATGGTGGGCTCTGTAAATGGCTGTGAGGTGAATCACCAGTCCTGGGCTGGGGCTGGGGCTGTTGCTGAGATAGACGGCCTGTCTGGCCCAGAGATACTGACATGCCCACTTGGTGCCAGGAGCTTGGTTCCCTTTCTCCAGGGAGGGAAGCCCACCCTTCTCTCCTTGAGGCACCTGGAAGAGGAAGCCATGCCCCCATGCCCGGCCCCGCTGGGCACACTCACAGATGACGATGAGGATCATACAGAACAGCTGAATGCCTGAGCCCAGCAGGGAGCTGAGGATCATGGGGTACTGGGGGGGCCTGAAGACGTCGCCGTGCACCAACTTCCACCCAGACTCCTCCATGGTGTCTTCCTGCAGCGAAGGGCCAGAGTGAGGCTGGTTGTTGAAGATGGAGGCAGCTCTTGCAGGGACCACCCCCAAGGTGACAGCTGACACCCTCAGGTGCCAACCAGCGCTGCTCTGACACAGGAGTGTAAGTGATAGGAGAAAGTGCTTATCTGAAACTGTCACAAGAAAAGGAGGCCACAAACCTGATGCCTGTAGATGCGTAAAAGGAAAATCTCTTTAAATTCCACAAACCTCGTTTGTGGGAAAATAATGTAAATACCTCAACTCACTAAAATGTCAACTGTAAGAGTTCTTGGGTGGTGAGATTTGGAGTCAATTTATTTATTTTTTCTGATTATGAAAGAAATATGCATTCTTACTTGTGTAATAAAAAAAGTAAAAATAATTTGGTATGTAGCATGAAATTCAAATGAACAAAAAGTAATACATGTTTATTACAGAAAAATTTAAACAGAACGATATAAAAATAAAATGATTTGATACTCCCACTTAATAACACTGTTTTGATATAATTCCTTTAACCTTTTATGTATATATGTGTATATGTATGCTTTAAACAATAACATTGGGATCACACTATGTACTTTGTTATTTTCAGTTGGTATTTGTGAACATTTCTTCAGGTCAATAAAAGCTTGACATTGTATTTCAAAGCTGTAATATTTCTGGCTGGGCGCGGTGGCTCACGCCTGTAATCCCAGCACTTTGGGAGGCCGAGGCGGGCGGATCATGAGGTCAGGAGATCGAGACCATCCTGGCTAACAGGGTGAAACCCCGTCTCTACTAAAAATACAAAAAATTAGCTGGGCATGGTGGTAGGCGCCTGTAGTCCCAGCTACTCGGGAGGCTGAGGCAGGAGAATGGCATGAACCTGGAAGGCGGAGCTTGCAGTGAGCCAAGATTGTGTCACTGCACTCCAGCCTGGGCAACAGAGCAAGACTCCGTCTCTTAAAAAAAAAAAAAAAAAAAAAAAGCTGTAATATTTCTATACCAAGTCTTGGTGTTTTGAATCTTGCCTTAGAAAAATAATAGAAGAATTGCTGTGCAAAACAAGTTGCCTGTTTTAGTTCTTTTTTGTTTTTGTTGAGGTAGGATCTCCCTATGCTGCCCTGGCTGGTCTTGAACTCCTGGGCTCAAGTGATCCTCCTGCTTTGGCCTCCCAAAGTGCTGGGATTACAGGCACGAGCCACCATGCTCAGCCTGTTTTACAGTTCTTGATATCCACTGCCAATCACTTTTCAGAAAGCTACCAATTTATACTTCCATGGGTGGTATGGAAAGATGCTTAGTTCACATTAACCTTACCAACAATTAGTACTGTTAAAAAAAGAAAAAAAGTCTGTGCTAATATGATGGTCCAAAACGGTCTTCTCAAGATTGTTTGAACCTGCATTTTGTGGGGTTCTTCCTGAGGTAAAAACAGTTTTCTCTTGCTTACTGGGCATATTGCAGTGTCTTGCCTGTAAATTTCCTGTTCATCATTACATTCGAAATTTTAGATTTTTTGGTTTTATTTATTTATTTATGAGACGGAGTCTTGCTCTGTTGCCCAGGCTGTAGTACAGTGGTGTGATCTCGGCTCACTGCAACCTCTACCTCCCAGGTTCAAGTGATCTCCGGCCTCAGCATCCCGAGTAGCTGGAACTACAGGCACCTGCCACCAGGCTCAGCTAATTTTTGTATTTTAGTAGAGACAGGTTTTCACCATGTTGGTCAGGCTGGTCTTGAACTCCTAACCTCAAGTTATCTACTGTCCTCTAGTTTTTTTTTTTTTTTTTCCTTTGGAGACAGAGTCTTACTTTGTTGCCCAGGCTGGAGTGCAGTGGCACGTTCTTGGCTCACTACAACCTCCGCCTTCTGGGTTCAAGTGATTCTCCTGCCTCAGCCTCCTGAGTAGCTGGGATTGCAGGTGCATGCCACCACACCCAGCTAATTTTTGTATTTTTATTAGAGACGAAGTTTTCACATGTTGGTCAGGCTGGTCTTGAACTCCTGATCTCAAGTGATCCACCTGCCTTGGCCTCCCAAAGTGCTGAGATAACAGGTGTGAGCCACCGTGCCCAGCCCCGACCTAGTTTTTTTTAAAACAAAGAGATTTTGCATGAATTCTTTAAACTGTGCCATTTTTTTCAAGTTTGTTGCAGATATTGTTTGCCATTGTGGCCTTCTGTTTTGTTTATGTATTTGGCATGCAGAATAGTTTTACAATTTTTAATGTCAAATCAATCAACTATTTTTTGTGATTTCTTCCACGGTTTTTATGCTTTAAAATTAGAAAGGCCATCCCTATCACTTTGGGTGAATAAAACTTTTTTCCTTACTTTTTTGGTATTACATTTTTAGTATTAAAAGTATACTAGGCCAGGCGTGGTGGCTCATGCCTGTAATCCCAGTACTTTCGGAGGCCGAGGCAGATGATCATGAGGTCAGGAGACTGAGACCATCCTGGCTAACATGGCAAACCCCGTTTCTACTAAAAAATACAAAAAGTTAGCAAGGTGTGGTGGTGCGTGCCTGTAGTCTCAGCTATTCGGGAGGTTGAGGTGGGGAATTGCTTGAACCCGGGAGGTGGAGATTGCAATGAGCCGAGATCACACCACTGCACTCCAGCCTGGTGACAGAGCGAGACTCCGTCTCAAAAAAAAAAAAAAAAAGTATACTAAACTGTTTTAGTATTTTGAGGTTTCCTCTTTGAATGATAATATACACAAACATATGCACACACACGGTCCTCCTCCCCTCCCCATCCAACTTCATCCCTCCCCAGCCAAGACCTCGTACAATGTCATCCTCCTTGTTGTAGTTGGCAATGTCCTTCCGGAGGGTCCGAATGATAATCATGCTCAGGATACCTGAAATAGATGGCGGTGAGGATGAGGAGAAGTTGGCGCTGCCAGCAAGCCCATGCTCCATGCCCTCCTAGACATGATGTTTTACTGTGCGACAGCTGGCATGCACGGCTTGCTCCATTATGAACTGGCTATGCAGCCACCTCAAGGCCTCTTCTCGGGGGAGCTCCACTCCAGCTACCAGGGGAGGAGAGCACAGAGCATGGAGGTGGGGAGGAAAGGGTTGCTGGGATGGGTAGGGGTATCCTGGGGAGAGGAGCATCCCAGCTGTTCCATCGCTTGGTCCTACTGACTTCTCAGCTCATGTGTCCAAGGGCTGCCTGTGGCTCCACCTCTGGCTATCTGCTGCTTCAGTTGGCTCCTGGCCTCACTATGTTCTCATCAGCACGCCTTTCTTCAAGCTATCCTTTTTGCCCAGAATGCCCCGCCATATCCTGACTGACTCCTACGCGTGCTTCGAGGCTCACTCTGGGCATCTTCACGTCCCAGCACCCTGAACAGTACAGAGCCACTCCCACCCCCATTTGTACTTTCCTGTTTCCCTCTCTAGGCAGCACTGTAGTGGTTAAGAGAATGGGCCATATGACCTTGAGTTCACTTAACATTTTCGGGCCTAGTTCACAGGGCTTCAGGGATTGAAATGTTTGTAAAGTGCTTAGTTCAGCAGCTGGCCCTTTGGTAAATGTTTAATAAACAGTATTTAGCATTATCTGTGCTTCTCATATGATAGTGAAACCATCAGTGTCATTCTACCCCTGCCTACCACCCTCTCACCACCCGGTTTCTTGCTGAGCTTATCTCGCTGCAGGACCATGATCCTCACTGGCACAGACTTTTCCCAGGTCTCTGGATGGTGGCTCCTTATCGTAAAGAAAGGTCTTCCCCAAAGAGCCTTCACACTTTCCTCAGCTATTGTGTATTTGGCCACCCTGTTGATCTGCTTCATAGAATGTATCACTATCTGGAACTCCACTACTTATTTGCTTTTTTGTTTCTCTCCCACCACTAGAATATAGGCTCTATGGGAGCAGAGACTGGGTCGGGCTTGTTCATACCATATTCCCAGCATCTGGCAAAGTGCCTGGCACAGAATGAGCAACAACAACATCTTGTTGAATGAATCAAGAATGTGTGCAGGCTCAGGTGTGTCTGTCCTCCATGAATGAGCTCTCCAGAGTTCTAGAGCTCTCTAGAGATGAGTCTTGTTTACCTATGTACACCTGATGCTTAGCAGAGCCCTGATGTCTGTTTTTGACCTACGCCTGACCCTCAGAACACCCTGGAAGTCCCCCATACATGATGTGATGTCTCAGTCCCTCAACCCCAACCCCCATCCCCTTTCCCTCAACCCACAGATCTCTCACCTGACAGGAAGAAGACCACAACAACGGAGTTAATGATAGAAAACCAGTGGATCTGGACGTCACTCATGGTCAGGTAAGTGTCCCAGCGAGAGGCCCATTTGATATCACTTTCCTGGCAGGTGGGAGGAAGCACTTAGAGTCAGGCATCCTGCTGGAGAACCTGACACAGACCAGAGCCCTCCTCCCCTGCCCATGAGCTCCAGCCCCTTCTCACCTCCCAGTGGACAGAGTAGGTGAAGTACAGCTGATTCTCCTTGGTGGGGTCAATTTCTTGGGGCGAGGAGTTGGTACCCTCAGGCAGAGTGCACGAACTCTTCTCATCTGCTTTGAGGTCTGAGAGAGACACAGACTCAGTCTGTTCCTGTGGTGGCCAGTGCCACTGCCCAGGGGCTATTCCAGGGGCTGCCCTCAAGGCTGCCTGTCGCGGAGACCCAGCCTCTAGGGTGGGAGTGGAGACTGGGAGCACAATGGGCAACAATGGTTTTTTTTCATTTTTTATTTTTAAACCTTATTTTTTTAGAGATAGAGTTTTGCCCTGTCACGCAGACAATGGCACAATCATAGCTCACTGCAGCCTCAACCTCCTAGGCTCAAGTCATCCTTCTGCTTCAGCTTCCGGAGTAGCTGGGACTACAGGTGTGTGTCACCACACCTGGCTAATTTTAAGACATTTTTTTGTAGGGACAAGGTCCTTTTATGTTTCCCAGGCTGGTCTTGAACTCCTGGCCTGATGCAATCCTTCTGTGTTGGCCTCCCAAAGCGCTGGGATCACAGGTGTGAGCCACCATGCCTGGCCAACAATGGTTTTTGAAAATTATTCCTCAGAGCCCTGACTTTCTGAAGGTCCTTAGGGGCTGCAGAGAGGCCTGTGCATGGGGGAAGGGAGGGGCCTGAGTCGGAGTTCCTCCCTGAGTCAGTGTTCCTTCACTCAATTCAAACGTTCACCTACCATCCAGCCAGTCCCATTCAACATAAAACCTTGATCCATTCCATCATGCCTACTCATTCATTTAGTCTATCTCTAAAGCCCTGGCACTTTCGTGATCAATCATTCAGATGTTTTCTCCATTCATTTGCTCATCTGTTCATCCTGTTATCCATCTACTCATTCAACCAACAACATATAATAAGCACCAACTATGGGCCAGGTACTGTGCTAGGTGCTTAAGATAAAATGGTGAGCTGGGCGCGGTGGCTCACGCCTGTAATCCAAGCACTTTGGGAGGCCAAGGCAGGCAGATCACGAGGTCCGGAGTTTGAGACCAGCCTGGCCAACATGGTGAAACCCCGTCTCTACTAAAAATACAAAAATTAGCCAGGTGCGGTAGTGGGCGCCTATAATCCTAGCTACTTAGGAGGCTGAGGCAGGAGAATTGCTTGAACCCAGGAGACGCAGGTTGCAGTGAGCGGAGATCGCGCCACTGCACTCCAGCCTGGGTGACAGAGCAAGACTCTGTCTTGGGGGGAAAAAAAAAGATAAAATGGTAAGAAAAGGAGACAGGGAGACTCTAAGCTTGAAGAGCCAGTGGGGGAGCAGGTGGCCTCAAAAGCGTCACACATGCAAACGTAGAACTGCGCTCGGGAAGCTCCCAGGGGAGATGTGCTATGGAGCTCTTGAAGGGCAGGATCTATGTTTGGGACTTCTGTGTCTAATTTTGTTTGAACACTAAGTTCCACAGTGGAAAAAAAAAAAAAGTCCAAATACCACCAACATGGTCAAAATCCTGGGCATGCTGCTTAATTAAAAAGCACACTGTGATGATCAAGGGCCAAGAGGTGAGGCAAAGCCGGACCAGCTCCTGTGAGGCCCATCAGGACTGTGCTGGACTCTCAAACTCCCGCACACCTGTTGACCCTGGGCAAATTTTAGTTTATGCCAATCACTCACACAGCGGGAGAGGAACGAAGAAACCTGCTGCCTACAGGCTTTGTCTGTACCCTGGCCCCTTGTTCTCAACCCAGGGTGAGCTGGCTGGTTCTTGTGAGGAGGCCCAACAAAGCCCCAACTTGCTGTTTGGTCTTGGCCAAGTCACTAGCTCCTTTTGAGCCTCTAGTTCTTCCTTTGTAATCATCACGTACCTCCTGGGGTTGCTGGGAAGGGGTAAACTAGTAAGGTGTCTAGCCCGTGACACTGCAGCTGTCAGCTGCCCCCACACCCCGTCTTCTCTAATGAGAATACCATGATCCTACCTTGGCTGGGCCCACACGCCACACCCGAGCCCATCGGCCAGCTCAGGAGGGAGAAGAGTGCGAAGACCCTGCGTGGAGAAGCCCAGGCCCATCCAGCCCTGCCCCTCCGGCCACACCTCCCCACTCACCCTCCAGCCTGATGCTCTGGGGAATCACCTCGAAGCGGACGACACGGTACGTGTGCTCCTGGTCCTCTTCCATGTCCTCCCGATGATAGTAAAGGATGAATGAGAGGTGGTTGTGCAGGTAGATCTGAAACACAGCAACAGAGAAAGCACAACAGAACATCACTTAGGGATACTCTCCAGGTATTAGGGCCCTTGCCTCACCCAGCATGCCTGGTTGTACCAACCTTCCTAAAACACTGTTCTCATCACTCCCCTACTCAGAAGCTCTTCAAGGGCTCCCTGCAGCTTATCAGACAAAAGCCCATTTCTCAAAGTCTGGCATTCAAGGCCTTCTATCATCTGACCCTGATACAACTGGGTGTAATCATCTAAGTCACATGAGTTCACCTAGACTCCCCTGTGCCCACCGCCCCATGAACCAGTCTCTACCCTGCAATCACTCCAACTAGAATGCCACCCCCAACTCCACTCAGCAAAAGCCCACCAACTTCTCATGGCCCACCTCCTCTGTGACAACCTGAGTGTAAAAGGAGCTCCCTCTGACCTCGCCTGCAATTAATGGCCAGTGAAAGGCAGCTGGGACTGGAGACTTAGAGCCTCCCACTGTCGGTTCTCTTCCCAGTTAGGACAGACGCCCTTTGGGGACAGGGGCTGCACCTCAAAACACATACTTTTGTAATTTATTCCCTAACTAATATCTTTCAGTTTAGAAAGAAAGATAAGAGAATCAGGGCTATAATCATCACATTATTAGCTGATTCTCCAGGGCTGTGCTGGGAAGGGCTCACACGAATGTGCTAATTTACCCCGCCACTGCTGCTGCATACATTTTACAGCTAAGGAACCACAGGCTCAGGGTCACTTAGACAACTAGTAACTGGGAGAGGAAGGATTCAAACCCAGGGAGCCTGCACGCTCTTGACCACTACTTAGCCCTCTCTCCTACATACTGATGAAGTTCCACGGTTTTTTTTTTTATGTTGTTTTAATCTTACAAAAATGGAACCTAACTTCCTAAGAATTGTGGCTTCACCTCCCTGTAGCACCTCCCAGGGACTTGCCCGGAGCACTCGGACCTCTGACAGACCATCATGCCCAGGGCACCTGGAGAAACTTGCTGTGGCCGAGCCCCACCTTTTCTGTGGCCCCAAGTGCTCAGGACTCGTGAGGTGTGGCTCCCGGTCCTGTGAGCACGCCAAAGACACTCTACCTTGTTGACATCTGTGAAGCCGAGCCGGTAGCCGTGTTCAAACTGCACATCTTTTTCCTTCTTCTTGTCATCGCTGTCTCGGTTGGAGTAGAGCTCCAGCCGGGTGGCCACAGGCAGGTTGTCAGCAATGCTGGAAAGTGAAGGCCCCACTCAGTCCCTCTCGACCGCCTCTCCCGTCAGTGTCCTCCCCTGTGTGAGCCTGAGGCAGCAAGGAGCACAGGGCGACTTACAGGTGGACGTAGTAGTCTTCTGTGATCCGCTCGGCCACGAGTCGGCTCTGCTCCACTGTCAGGGTCACTGGCTTGTTGGACTGGCTGCACAGAACTTCACACTTCTTCTCGCTGTTCATGAGAACCTGGAAAGGGGTGTTGACAATCCGGTCCCCTCTCAGCACCTCTCCTGCCGTAAGAGAGACAGATCAAGCTCAGAGCTTCAGCCCTGAGGTTGCTGAGGTCAGCAGAGTCACAGAGACACAGGACTGCGGGGCAAACATGGGCTTTCAAGGACTTCAGCAGTGCCTCAGCCTGGCAGCCAATGCCCTTCCCATTGCTTCACGCCCAACGGTCCCAGCTAACCTCGACCTGCCACCCTCCTCCTTTGGGCTCTAGTGCTACCAGACCCCTTAGCACTCAGCACTCATCAAGCATCACATCCTTTTTTTTTTTTTTTTTTTTTTTTTGAGATGGAGTCTCGCTCTGTCACCCAGGCTGGAGTGCAGTGGCACGATCTCAGCTCACTGTGAACTCTGCCTCCTGGGTTCAGGCCATTCTCCTGCCTCAGCCTCCCGAGTAGTTGGGACTACAGGTGCATGCCACCACGCCCGGCTAATTTTTTGTATTTTTAGTAGAGACGGGGTTTCACCCTGTTAGCCAGGATGGTCTCGATATCCTGACCTCATGATCTGCCCATCTCAGCCTCCCAAAGTGCTAGATTACAGGTGTGAGCCACCGCGCCCAGCCAAGCATCACATCCTTCTATGCCTCTGGGCCTCAGTCGCTTCCTTCTCCTAGAGTTCCCTGCCCCATGCTCCTGGCCTCCCCAGAAGCCCAGTTTCCATTTCACTCTCTCTGGGAAGCCCTCCCTAACCCCTTCAGGACAAGCCCATCACTCCCTCCCCTGACTGCCCTGTGTGAGGGCAGCATTATGCAGTGGAGGGATGACTCTGACTCTCGGCTGCCTGCCTTAGCAGTCTTGGTAAGTCACTCCATCTCACTGAGCCTCAATGTCCTCATCCATAAAATGGGATAATAACAGTATCCACCTCACAGGGTTACAGTGAGAAATAAAGGAAGTCAATCCAATAAAGTAGCAGGCACAGAGTAGGCAGGCATCAAACGCTCTTTTATCATCAGCATCCGTTCCTATGTCAAGGATTTACTTTGCACAATGTGCTGATACAGTCATGTTTCTGGCTCCCCTACCTGACTATGAGCTCGTTACTGTTAAGACTGTTTCCTATTTATCTCTGTGTCTTCAGATCCTGGTTCCAGCAGGGAGGGGAGTGGGGTGAAATCCAGCACCTGAGATTTTCAGGCAAAACGTCTTTTGACTCAATGAAGTGGCACCCCTTGTGTGCCTTTTGCCTCAGAGTAACTGCTGCCAGATGTCACCCTAACAGGCACTGAGCAGTTAGGGACTATCAAGCAAACCCCATGGTGCTTTCATTCTGAGCTGTTCAACAATTGATGGACAAGATGAAGACTAATTAACACCTCCACATGCACTTGGTCTCGCACTTTTCCTCCAGTGTGGATCTGCTCGACAGGGCACTCTCCCTAGTCATCTAGTCATTCATTCATTCATCCGTGAACATGTACTGGGTACTGGCTACATGCCAAGCCCTAAAGATGCAAAGTTGAATAGATGTACTCATAGAGTGCATGGCCTAGCAGGAAGATAGACTTTGCTGAATAATCAGCAAAATGAGAATATATAACTTGCTGCAGACACAGGGGAGTGGGTCTAGGACAGCTTCCCTGAGGAAGGGGTACTTGAAAGGAAGAGAGATGTTAACTGAGCAAAGAAATAGGAGAATATTCCAGACAGGACAGCATGTGCAAAGGCCCCTTTGGGGTGGGGGAGGCACTGAACCTGAAAGGCCTGTGTGGCTACAGTGCAGAAGGCTCAGATGAGCTGCAGAGATGGGCCAGTACTCAGGGGGCCTGTGGGACACACAGTTTGATCTTGACCAGTTTGACCTAGAAAGCAACAAAATCCAATGAAGGTTTCTAACAGGGGTAGAGAAAGACGTTATCTGAGTCTGGTTCCAGAAAGATCATTCTGGCTGTTTTGTGAAGAAAACAGAGGATGCAAGGAACTGGCGGTGAGCAGTGGTGGTGGTGGGGGGCAGTGATGGCAGTCAGTCATGCATGAGTGACACCGGTGACTGGAACAGGTGCTGGTGAGGGTAGAGAAGAGTACACAGATTCAGGAGCTCCAAGGAGGTGAAATCCAGGGGAAGCAGTGCTGACTGTAAACAAGGCATGAGTGAGGGATGGTGCATATTAGGAAGACTCTGAGGTTTCTACAACCAGGTTCTAGGTGGGAAAATAGGAAGAACAGCAAATTTACATCGAAGGCATTTTCAGTTTGGATATATCAAGTGGGCACTTAGATATCAAGATCTGAGGCGCAGAGGAGAGGTCAGGGCACAGATGGAAGTTGGGGGTTATCGGCCCACAGATGGTAAATGGCAGGGCCGCGAGCTACACCGCTGTAGGCGCCAGCACTCTGCTGTGCAAAGTAGCGGCCCTGGCAAGCAATGCTTTCAGTGTGGAGGAGGCACTCAGGAGAGGGAGAGATTGAGGAAGGGCATGGATGAAGGCCTCACCCCTCCACCCTGTTTTGGAAGGCTGGCAATGCAGGTGAGTCTGCAAAACCCAGGGATGGATTGGCCAGTGAAGAGCGAGGACACAGTAAGATATCTGCAGAGCCCACTGCTGAAATGGCATTTTATAGATGACAAGCTGAGGATCAGAGACCTGCTCGTGGTGATATGAGGGGGTGGTGGTAATGCTAAATCCCTGGCCTCTTTCCTCTATACCATTTCCTACTGCCTATTTCATCTCCTGTCAATGAGGATCTTGCTTGAGGAGAGAAAGAGCTACAGAGAGGAACAGGGCTGCAGACCAAGTACAGTGGAATCGCTTCTTGATATTTAAAAATTAAGTTTAGCCAAGAAAGGGGACATAATGGTCAGGAAATGGCTCATTTCTATTTCTTGTTTTTGTTTTGTTTTTGAGATAGAGTCTTGCTCTGTTGCTCAGGCTGGAGCGCAATGGCGCAATCTCAGCTCACTGCAACCTCTGCCTCCTGGGTTGAAGCGATCCTCCTGCCTTAGCCTCCCAAGTAGCTGGGATAACAGGCGTGCACCACCATGCCTGGCTAATTTTTGTATTTTTAGTAGAGATTTACAAATTTACAAATTTTTTTAAATTTTGTATTTTAGTATGTTGGCCAGGCTGGTCTTGAACTCTTGACCTCAGGTGATCCGCCTACTCTGGCCTCCCAAAGTGCTGGGATTACAGGCATGAGCGAAATGGCTCATTTTATACATGGAAGTACTCCTTTTAACAATGAGCAGTAAGCCATGAATGTGGAGCCTCCCAAAGAGTCCAGGGTTCTATCCGGAACACCTGCCAAAGCTGCTCCAATACATACACCATGCCATGGATCTCCATCAATGTGACAACCATTAGCACAGCCCTCAGACAGCCCTATGGGCCTTTCTGGAGAAGGCAGCCTGCGACAACAGAAAGAACTCTGGCTTTAGGGTAAAAGAACCTGAGTTAAAAATCTCAATTTCTCCACCTATTGGCCATGTGACCCTGACTAAGTCTTTCAAACCCTTGAGGCTGCTGTTCCCTCTACTATGAAATACTCAGCTTACAGAGTTACTATCAGAGTCACAGAAGCTGCTGTACAGTGTGGTGCTTGGGCATGGATTCTGGAGCCAGAGTTCCTGGAGTTCCGTCACTTACTAGGTGAGTGACTTCACCTCCTTGTGCCTCACTTCCCTTATTTATAATAAGGAGAGTAAGAGAATCTACATGCTATTGTGAGAATTACTAAGTTAGAGTTGTGAGAATTAAGTAAGTTAAGGCACAGGAATGCTTAGAACAGTGCCCAGCTCATAGGATGAGCCCTCTAGGTATTAATGATGATGATGAGGATGATGATGTAAATGGCTTACAATCCAACAGTCACGCAATCAAGGATGGTTTTGCTCCACTCAGGTAGAACACTAACAATTATCGAATGCCTACTATGTGTCAGGCACTGGGCTAGAAGCTGAGAAGAGAGGGGAATGTGAGACACAATCCCTCCAGTCAAAGAGCCCTTAGGCCATGAAGGCAGGCACTACAAAGACAGAATGAGATGCAATATGGCAGGATAACATTTGTATACAGAAATCTCCATTTCTATGAGGCAGGAACTTTCCCCAGCTTCACGAAGATTTGGCAGGGGTTCAGAGAGGTTAAGGTCACCCAGGATCATACTAAGAGTGCCTAACTATAGAGCCTTGGGTTGCCAAAGGGTCCACAGCAGCTCCCAGGAGAAGGGAGGTACATTTGTGAGGGGCCTGATATCAGGACCCTGGGGCACCAAGTGGGTCAGGCTTCCCGGGGAGAGGCAAGGTGGCTGGAGGATAGCATGGTGTGGTGAGGAAAGGAGGGCAATGGCAGGCAGGCACTGGTCCACAGATGGTAAGTGGCAGGGCCACAAGCTGCACCACTGCAGACAGTTGGTAGAGGCCAGCCCAGGCTCTGAGGCCAATCTCTGTTCAACGCTACAAGGCAAGACTTCGGCACAGTTGGTATTAGGGGGAGATGGTCCTACCCAATTTTGGTTAAACTGGCTCCAAGGCCTGCCTCCAACTGGTCCAGGACCCCCAATACCTGGCAGTAGATAAATTTGTCAGCTAGAGGTTCCAGAAACATCTGAGCCATGCGTAGCCCTGACGGAGAAGGCAGCCCTTTCAGGGGCTTGCTCAAGAACCAGTTCTCTCCTTTCTCCTTCCTAAGGTGTAAGAAAAGAAAGTCTCTTAAGTTCCCTGAGGTCAGGGAGACACCTTTCCATGCTTTTATCTCCAGGACCTAACACAGTCACAGAGGAGGCACTAATAACTGTGTACGACTAGACACCTCTACACCTGAAATTCTGTCAAATGGAGAATTATTTAAATTAGAATAAAATGGCTACTAGTTATGGAATACTTGTGTCAGACACTGCACTGGGTGCCTCACACATTATTTGACATGAGTCCTGCAGAGCTCAGCAAGAACTGTGGTGGCATCTCTGCTTGCATTCAGGGCAGAGGCACTCGCTCTCTCTTTCCATTTAAAGCAGAGGAGGTGATGAAGCCGCAAGAGAGGAGCTATCTAGAAATCAAGAAGAGGCGGTGTAAATAGAAGCCAAGTGCTCCAAGTCTGAAGACTGACTGTGGATCCAAAACAAAGATCACTCTGGCTGTTTTGTGAAGAAAACAGAGGATGCCTTTGCCCACAGTATAAACAAAGACAAGTCACTTAACCTGCAAAATGGGAATAAACACAGCAACTGTCTCCCCGGGGCTGTTATGAGGTTTAAATAAGCTAACAGGTATGCAAACAATGTAGACCAGTGTCTAGAATATAGCAAAGTTAACTGTTGTTATCATTATAAAAATCATGCTGGGTTCCCCCTGGGGACAAGTTGACAGCAGTGTGGGAGAAGAACTTACCCAGATTCTCTGCCTTGTAGGTTATCTTGCTGGGCTGGCAGAAGGGCAGTGAATAGTATTCATAAGGTAGCTGGGTTCGAGAGCTGGTGAGCTTCACAGCCTGATGGGAATCCAGCAGAAACCAAGATGACCAATAATCCTCCCTGGTACCCACACATCTTTAGTACACTTGGTAATATTAACTAATAGGCAAACGAATTAGCAGAAATGACAGCAGTACACTATATAATGTACTGCCCACAATTCTGAATTATTTCACATTTCATTCATTTTAGACTACACTACAGATATAGTTGAGAATCACAACCAAATTCAATACATTGTGAGAGTCTTGAACATGCTACTATCCCTTGACACAGCAATTTCACTTTTGGGCATCTTTCCTAAGGAAATAACTCCAAATAAGGAAAAAAAGCATTTTAGGAGCAACGAAGTTCACTCCTTATTCATAACCATAGTGATCTTCTTCCTTCAGCTCCTCGAGTCAGTCAAGCTCTCTCCTGCCTCAGGCTTTGACCTACTGCTCCTTTCTGCCCTATTGTGTGCTCGCCTGGCTTCTCCTCATATTCAGGTCTCAGCTCTCCCCTTGCCTGTGTCCTTACCTCACCAGGGTATCTAAAGGAACTCCCCGGTATCCACTGGACTGTCAGTCTTCAACTGTTTACTTCATAGCATATCTGATAAAATGTTAATTAGTTTCCCTGTTTTTTAAAAAATCAGTTTCTCCCATTAGCATCTAAGATTTAAGCTCTATAAGGACAAGGACCACGTGTGCCTTGGTCACCTCTGTAACTCCAGTGCTTTAGAGCTAGGCACAAAGTAGGTACTCATTAAATGTTTGCTGAATGAGAGAAGAGAGGAAAAATGAAAAATAACTTCAACTCAAAGCTCCTGCAATGGGAAATTTATCAATAAACTATGATATATTCTTTCAATTAAATATGGTAAAGCCATAAAAAAATAAGGTTTAAGACAATGAAGAAGAATGTTTAGGAAATGCTACAAGCACACAGAATATAGCTCTGGAAACCACAGACAAAATAGAACCCATCGAAATGTTACAAAAAATAAAATTTTAATCCAAATGTAAGTAAAACTACCTTTACTATTTAGGAACTATTGACCATTCCTCATACACCACCTAAAAGTAAAAAAGATTTTTGGAATACAGGTCTACAATCTTTTTTCAACTCTTTTTTGGGATTAGAAATTTTCTGGATTCCCTGTAATCCCAGCATTTTGGGAGGGTGAGGCGGGCAGATCACTTGAGGTCAGGAGTTTGAGACCAGCCTGGCCAACATGGTGAAACCCCGTCTCTACTAAAAATGCAAAAATCGGCTGGGCATGGTGGTGTGCACCTATAATCCCAGCTACTCAGGAGGCTGAGGCAGGAGAATTGCTTGAACCTGGGAGGCAGAGGTTGCAGTAAGCAGAGATCATGCCACTGCACTCCAGCCTGGGTGACAGAGCAAGATTCCATCTCACAAAAAAAAAAAAGAAAAGAAAAAGAAAATTTCCAGATTTTAGAAGGCAATGTGGTATACAAACCATAGCCAAGCTGGGTCTGGACAGTACCTCATATTCGATAACTATTTGTGCAGAGAAATGCAAAGATATTCATATTAAGTGGAATAGAAAAAGTCAATAAACAGCTTCATGTTCAGTTCTGGTCAGTTCTTGCCTTCAGTGAGCTTGGAAAAACTGAGTTCCAGAGCTTTCCGGGTGTGAAACTGCAGGGATTAAGGACCTCTATTAAACATTTCATGAATTGCTTGAGGAAAAATGGCCAAAAAGTCTGTTTTAACAATTTTGTGTTTCTTAGCATTCTCACTCAGGACAATGAGAAAAGAATGCACGTTACAGAGAGATGCGTCCCACCTTTACGTTGCCTCCCACTCCCTCTCTTCCCACCCAAGGCGTCCACCCTCACATACTTAGCTATGTGGGACTGGAAGCCAGAGCAGCTCTGGTACCTCCAGGCCACTCCTCTGCTCTGGAGGGAGCTTTTGACAGAGGTAGTGGGAAGAAGGTACTGCAGTGGTTAAGAGATGGGGTCTTGGGCTGGGTGTGGTGGCTCATGCCCGATAATCCCAGCACTCTGGGAGGCTGAAGCATGAGAACTGTTTGAGCCCAAGAGTTCAAGACCAGCCTGTGCAACATAGTGAGACCTCATCTCTACTTAAAAAAAAAAAAAAAAAAATTAGCCAGGCATGGTGGTGCACACCTGTAGTCCCAGCTACTTGGGAGGCTGAGGCAGAAGGATCACTTTAGCCTGGGAGGTCAAAGCTGCAGTGAGCTATGCTCACGCCACTGCACTCCAGCTTAGGCAACAGAGAAAGACCACGTCTCCTCTAAATAGAGATGGGGTTTGAACTAACCCTATGTCTTCCTCACTATGTGACCTTGAACATGTTAATTTTCCTTCCCAGGCCTCGGTTTCCCCATCTGTAAAATGAATAGGAAATCTGTGTAACATATGGAATTGGCCCCAGTGGGTTCTTGGGGGGCAACCTGAGCTAAGCCATGCACAATGCCTGGCATGTAAATAACCCTCAGTAAAAGTTATTTTAATGACTGTTCCTGCAAGTTACAAGTCTGACTGCCAAGGAAAAGAGACGTTCACAATGTATGAACAATATGAGCAGACACTAGGAGTTATGCTGACAAAGCTGGTAACAGAGAAGATGGAGCAGGTGAGAAAGGGAGGCAGAGATGCTAAAGAAGAGGCAGGTGGAGTAAGACAAAGGCACAAAAAGAGATGGACACATACATGACAGAGACAGAATACTTGAAAGCAAAAGTGAGAGTGAGAAAGAGACCGAGATGCAAATATACACAAGCATACACAGGGACAGAGACACAGAAAGAACCAGAAACAGAGAGGGGACCGAGAACCAGAGGCACAGGGAGAGGGAGAGGCAGAGTTCCGGGGTAACTGGCACTATTCTTTCTTCTCTGCAACCACAGGATGGACACGAACAGCTCACCATGGTGCTCCAGACACACTGCCTAGCACAGAGGCTCCAAAAATCCAGGAACACACTTACCTTGATTTCTACGGGATCGTTCTGGTGGAAGTTGATAGGCGCGACCCCAGGCACATAGAAGGCGCTTGTTTCACACATCAGGGAGAAAAGCAGTAAAGACCACGGCAACCAATCCTGCTCAGAAGAGAGGCCAGGGTTGGATTGGGGAGAAGAAGTGAAGAAGATCCTCTGAGGCAGATCAAGTCATACCACCTTCATGTTGCTTTAATTGACCCAGTGTAGCCACCCTCTGACCCATGAAGCCTGAAGACCTCATAAATGTTCTCTCCCAAATGCTCCCAAGAGTGCCACAGGACAATTCTGCACTTCCAGGAGTTAGCCACAAAGTAATTAACATCTGGGCAAAAGGGAAGACTATCACACAGGAGCCATGTCTCCCCACTTCTGGATCAATGTTCTTTTAACCATTTATAGTGTGTAACTCCCAGGATAGCTGGCAGGAAATAAAGCTCCAGGACATTTAATTAATTCCCATTTCTCTGTATAGCAACTAGTTCACGCTGTCAAAAGCTCCTATGTTACCAAGAGATGTTCCTACAAGTTTCTCCAAAACCGTGCTGGCCTCTCTCACCTCCCACTCTCCTCCTCGCTCAGCTCAGCCACACGGGCCTCCTTGTTGTCCTGACAACAAACCTTTCTGCACCCCTCAGGGCCTTCGTCTTTACTGTGCCTTCTGGTGGAATGCCCTTCCCACAGGCACCTGCACGGCACATCTCTCTTCTTTTTTTTTTTTGAGACGGAGTTACCCAGGTTGGAGTACAATGGCATGATCTCAGGTCACTGCAACCTCTGCCTCCCAAGTTCAAGTGAGTCTCCTGCCTCAGCCTACCGAGTAGCTGGGACTACAGGCATCCACCACCTCACCTGGCTAATTTTTCTATTTTTAGATCAGACGGGGTTTCACCACATTGCCCGGGCTGGTCTTCAACTCCTGACCTCAGGTGATCTGCCCACCTCGGCCTCCCAAAGTGCCGAGATTACAAGTGTGAGCTACCACGCCCAATGGCACATCTCCTTATTTCATTCAGGTCTCTCAAATATCACTTCCTCAGAGAAGTCTGCACTGACCATTCTATCTAAAAAACAACCTCAGGGCTCCCATTACCCATTTCTCTAGTCCCTTATCTATTTCTCCTCATGGACTTATCTAATTGACATGTACTATATGTATATGTTTATTTGCGTATTGCATGTCCCCCTACCCTTGAATGTGATCTCTAGGAAAGCAGCACCACGAACAGTGCCTGGCACAGCATGGGGACTCAGGAAATATCTGCATGCAGCATAGGCACCTGGGAATCAAAGGCAAGAAAGGTCCATTGCATCTCTTTCCCTTAATAATAGTGCTTCACCCCTGCAAGGAACTAGAAAAGCTGCCGGATTCTCTTCTTTCTACGCAGTCTGAACAACGAACTTTTGTCTTCCACACGCCTAAATCACCAACTCAAGTCAGTTTCTGTATCTGACTACTCTCCCTAACCTTTCACTGCTGTTGCATTTCAGATGCTTATTTCCTCCCACCTGGACATTGGCCACAGCCTCCTGATCACCTGTCTCCACAGCCCTCCCATCCATCAAGTTACACCCCATCCAACCAACCAAGCAACCAACTAACCAACACACACACACACACACACACACACACTCTGATGACTCTGTGAAACTCAGTTTTATAGGAAATCAGGATCACTGAGGAGGCTTGCCAAAAATGTAGACTGACCTGTACTTTTACCTGGACTACAAGTTGAGGGAAAAATGGCTTTACAAGTTTCTGAATTTGTAAAAGGTTCTGAATTCAGTACACTTTTTGCAGACACATAGCTTGGTCAAAGTCTTTTAAGCAATATTTTCATGGAGTTTTTCCTCCGATTTGTTGTGAACGTTTACAAGTATCTGCCAGCTGATGTTCATTAGGAAAGCCTGACTCCAGTAAACACAGTGCCATGGCTAAGACAGGTGTATTGTATTTGGCAATCAGGAGGCCAGATGAATCAGGAGAGCAGGAAAATCTTTAAAAGAAATGACAAGACTAGTAGGTAAATTGCCTCATGGGGCAATTTGGATAGGAAGGATAGGAAGACAGTATTTTTTTCCCTCTGTCATTTTTTTTTAAAAGAACTTTTTATTTTTAAGTAAATTTAGATTTGCAGAAGAGTTACACAGACACTACAGAGGGTTCCCATACATTCTTCACCCAGTTTCCCCTAATGCTAACATCCTGCATAACCATAAGCGAGTAAGGCTTTTTAAAAGCAACTAGCGTGAACATTTTTTGAAAAAGCAAACTACAGTAAATAATTCAAACAGTACAAATGGGTATGCCATGAAAAACAAATCCTCCCACTCCAGGTCCCCATGGACAACTGCTATCACCAGTTCCTTGAAAATCTCTCTAGAGACATTCTATGCTGGTACAAAGGGGAGGGTTTCATAGTATGGGTTGGCTTGAATACAAAAACAAATAGATTTTTCTTCTTTCTCTCTGAGTAGTGATGGAAAGCCTACCAACTGCAGGCTGGGTACAGCATCTGATTTCCTCTGCGTCAGAGGACCTCCTCCACCTGACTAGGCATCTGAAGATTCTGGCCCTTCCTCATTGGAAGCTTTTGCCAACCCTCATGTGTCATTGGTTAGAACGCAAGTGTGTCATGTGAGAGAAATAAACCCTGCCCTCTTTTTTCCTCTAATTCCCCTCTGTTCCTGAATTCCAGTTAACCAAAATATAAAGAAGGCAAATCCTGTACTGTTGGCAAAAACAGCCACCCAAAAGTTGTTAAAAAACAAAACAAAACACCTCAAGCTTAAATTTTTGAAAAACAATCCTCACACAAAGATACTATCAACAAATCACACACCAATTTATCTTAGAAGGATCAAGAGATGAAAAACAGCAAAGGATATTTTCGTAATATGCTAGAATCTTTGAATATAATACTGAAGTTGGCAACCAAAAGCAATTCAGAAGTTCAACTTAGAACTAATGGCTGTATCCGATGGCACTGTCTATTTTAGATATTAAAATGTCACCATCTTGGTATTTTCACATGGCTATAGGCATTATAAACTGGAACACTACTGCGGGTTTATCTGGCACTCTGTATCCAAAAGTCCCCCAAAAGTACATACTCTTTGACTCTGTAATTCTGCTTCTAGGCATGTTAAGAAAAATACGTCAGGTATGCCAAAATGTATACATGAAAGGGTGTTCACCAATAACATTATTTAAAATAGTTCACTACTGGCCAGGCGCAGTAGCTCATGCCTATAATCCTAGCACTTTGGGAGGCCAAGTTGGGGGCAAATCACCTGAGGTCAGGAGTTCGAGACCAGCCTGGACTACATGGTGAAACCCCATCTCTACTAAAAGAACAAAAATTAGCCAGGTGTGGTGGCAGATGCCTGTAATCCCAGCTACTTGGGAGGCAGAGGCAGGAGAATTGCTTGAACCCGGGAGGCGGAAGTTGCAGTGAGCTGTACTCCATCCTGGGCGACAAAGGGAGACTCTATTTCAAAAAAAAAAAAAAAAAAATTCACTACTTACAATAGTAAAATGTCAAATGTTAATGGAATGGGTTAAATTATTATATGTCCATTTAAATGGTCATTGAAAGTGATGACATGTTTTTCTTTTTTTGAGACAGGGTCTCACTCTGTTGTCCAGGGTGGAGTGCAGTGGTGCAATCACAGTTCATTGCAGCCTCAACCTCTTGGGCTCAAGAGATCCTCCCACCTCAACTTGCCAAGTAGCTGGGACCACAGGCACACGCCACCATGCACCGCAATTTTTTTGATTTTTTGTAAATATAGTGTCTCCCTATATTACCCAGGCTGGTCCCAAACTTCTGGGCTCAAGCAATCCTCCCGCCTCAGCCTCCCAAAGTGCTGAGATATAAGTGTGAGTCACTGCACCTGGCCGATACATTTCTTGAGTAGGAATGTTCAAGCTTTAGATTTACATAGTAAAAGCAGGAGCTAGAACACTGTGTGGCAGGATTCCTTTTTTTTTTTATCTTTGGAAAAATATTTAGGAGGCAAAATGTCTTAGTGATGAGCTTTTTTCCTTTTTTGTGTATCTATATTTTCTAATTTTCTTAGATGATTATATAGTATGTATGCCACTTAAATAATAAATGAGGCAAAAGAAAACATCACTGTTCTGAACACTGAGGTTAGAGTAATCCTAGCTTGGTATGGAGGAACTTCCACCCACCGGCCCCAGTGCCTTTCCAGCAGCACCTCCCACCTTTTCTTTCTAAGCCTTCAGGGAGACCTAGGACTTGGGACACTGTATAAATGTATACACACACACACACACACACACACACACACACACACAGAATGGAATACTCTTCAGCCATAAAAAAGAATAAAATCATGTCTTTTGCAGCAACATGGATGAAACTGGAGACTATTATCTTACGTGAAACAACTCAGAAACAACGTCAAATACTGCATGTCCTTGCTTATAAGTGGGAGCTAAATAATGTGTACACATGGACACACAGTGTGGAATAATAACATTGGAGGCTCTGAAGGGTAGGGGTGGTGACGGATGAGAAATTACTTACTGCATACAATGTACATTATTCGGGGGATGGTTACATTAAAAGCCCAGACTTCCCCACTACCCAATCTACCCATGTAACAAAGCTGCACTTGGTACCTCCTAAATTTTATTTTAAAAAAGAAAAGAAATGCAGAATCACGGGCCCTACCCTAGAACCTGCATTTCAGCAAGTTCCCTGAGTTAAAGTTTAAGCAGCACTGCTCTAGGTCATCCTAAAGTGCAGTCAGGGTCAAAAACCACTGCTTAGGTAGAAGTGTCTATCCCAGATGATACAAACCTCTCAGAAGGGATGTAGTGGTCTGTATTTCTCTTTGACTAGATTTAAAACTGCATCTTGACAACCAATAATGGGGTGGCTATCATATGCTAGGGAAAGCACTGAGCCTGGGGCCCCAAAATAAGGCCAGGGAGTTATACCCTCCCCTCAGCTGTGCAGCACTGGGCAATCAACTTCAACTTTGCTGGGCTGTGTCCTCATTTACTAGGATGGATTCATGTGGTAGAAGTGGAACTCAAAAAAGAACATGAATTTGAAAGCATTAATAAGCAGTTAGCCACAACCCTTATATGTAAGTATGATTATCATTATTTCTTGCTCATCAATAACCTGTGTTCTGAATGTCTCCTAAGAAGCTGGACACCAGACCTTTTTGTCTCATCTGATAGGTGATTTGAAACCAGTGCAGGGGATCACAATCTCCTCTGGTTATCAAGCCAATTAAGTCTAAGCAGTTACTGCAGTTCTACCTTCTTTTGAAACAGAATCCTCCAGATTTAGTTGAGAGACACCACCCTAGGGAACTCAAGGGCTCTCTGCGAAGCTCAGGTTGCAGAGGAATGAAAAGCAAATCCTGAAAGACTTCAATACACTTTTGTTCCAGTCTCAAACCAATGGAGCAAGTATACACATAAAAAAACAAAAACAAAAAGACACAACAAGAATGCCCGAACAGGAAAACAACACCAAAAAACAACAAGAAGCCAGAGTCACTGAGCACCTCCTAAGCACAAGGCACAGTGACAGACCGGGTTCCTTCTTTCCACTTACCAAGTCCCTGCGCCCTGCTAGGCACTGACAAACATTGATTTGTGGTATCCTCACAACTACAGGTACCTGGAGATTTTGGTCACCATTTCGCAGATGGTGTTAATCTGAGACCCAGAGACCCAGAAGTTAAGTAACTTGCCCATCCAGCCAGAAAGTGGAGGAACAAGGATGCTCTTTTCAAGCAGATGAATTGCATTACAAATGAGGAGACTGTAACGATGATGTTCATAACAATGGCAGCTAACATGTATTGAATGCTAATTACGTGCTAAGCACAATTCTAGGTTCTGTCCATGGAATAACTCAATGAAAACAATCCTATGAGGTAGGGACTCTTATTATTCCCATTTCACAGATGAGGAAACTGAGAGTCAGACAGGCTCTCAGGATTAGCAGTGAACAATATTAGGATTAAACAGGATTTAGCCTGGTTGAGCCCAAAGCCCATGTTCAAACCAGGACAGAAATTAGTTCAACAGGCTGGGTGCGGTGGCTCGTGCCTGTAATCCTAGCACTTTGGCAGGCCGAGGCGGGCGGTTCACCTGAGGTCAGGAGTTTGAGACCAGCCTGGCTAACATGGTGAACCCCGTCTCTACTAAAAATACAAAAATTAGCCGGCGTGGTGGCAGGCGCCTGTAATCCCAGCCACCTGGGAGGCTGAGGCAGGAGAATTGCTTGAACCCAGGAGGCGCAGGTTGCAGTGAGCCAAGATAGTGCCATTGCACTCCAGCCTGGGGGACAAGAGCGAGACTTCGTCTCAGGAAAAAAAAAAAAAAAGAAATTAGTTCACCAACTACTTATTGAGCACCTACTGTGTGTCAGGCACTGTGCCAGCCTCAAGAATACATGCCCACAAGGAGCTTTCAGGCGGGTGGGGAGACACAGATGAGCCATCAGCCCATCACAACACTAGGTCCCAGATGCTCTCAGCAAGTTAAGAGGCTAAGAACAATATGTTGGGGAGTACATGGGAGCAGCAATATACCCAGTCTTGGGGCAGGGAAGGAGTGCAAATCTAAGAACTTAAGTCTACCCTGAAACCTGAAGGGAGGCGAGAGGAAAAAGAGAAGGGTTCCAGAAAGAGCAAAACACAGACGCAAAGGCCTGGTGGCAACTATGAGTTTTTGGCAGGTAATATATAGGCTGGTGCTTCTTAAAGTTTAATGTGCATTTAAATCACTTGGTGACATTGTTAAAATGCAGATTCTGATTCAGAAGGTCTGGGTAGGGCCTGAGACTCTGCATTTCTAACAAGCTCCTAGGTAATGACGACACTTTTGGTTCATGGACCATCCTATGAGTAGCAAGTGTTGGGCTTTGTTCTCAGTGCAGTGAGGAGACTCAGGAATTTTAAGTAGAAAAGGAATAAATCATATCTGCAGTTTTAAAGGTTACTCTGGCTACTGTGTGTGTGTGTGTGTGTGTGTGTGTGTGTGTGTGTGTTTACGGGAAAGAGGGCTGTGTGCAGCACATTTCTGCTCTGGAGACGCAGTAATATCCAGTCCTAGATTTGACATCTAATAACGATAAATGAAATAATCTAGCCCGGTGCGGTGGTTCATGCCTATAATCCCAGCACTTTGGGAGGCAGAGGTGGGTGGATTGCTTGAGCCCAGGAGTTTGAGACCAGCCTTGGCAACATGCTAAAACCCCATCTCTACCCAAAATACAAAAAGTTAGCTGGGCGTGATGGCACGTGCCTGTAGCCCCAGCTACTGGGGAGGCTGAGGTGGGAGGGATCACCTGAGTCAGTGAGCCATGATCACACCACTGCACTCCAGCCTGGGTGACAAAGCGAGACTATGTCTCAAAAAAAAAAAAAAAAAAAAAGAAAAAAGAGAAATCACTTATAAATTCTTGGTCAAATGTGAAGAGAAGCAGCAGCCAGGTACCGAAGCGGAGCACATGACATGCAGTGGTGAAACTTGAGCATGCATGGAAATTACCAGGAGGGCTTACTAAAACACCTGGGTCTGGGGCAGGGCCTGAGAATGTGCACTTCTAGCAAGTTCCCAGAAGATGCTGCTGCTCTTGAAATCACACTTTGAAAACCACTGGTGTACTGGAAAAAGCACAGGCTTTGAGGGCCATACAGACATGAATTCAAATCCCAAACCTACCACTTCCTAGCTGTGTGACTTTGGGTAAATTTGTATAACTCTTTTGAGTCTTGGGTTCTTATCTGTAAACTAGGAAAATACTACTAACCTCATGGTAGGGTGATGGTGGTAAAGATTAAATAAAGTTCACAGAGCACTTGGCACATAGTAGGTGCTTGATAAGGCGGGGTGGACTTGTTTTGGGTTGCACAAGAAAGCAGAACCAAGGAGGACACTGCAAGGGAGATGCAGTGGGCCCACTCTAAGGGCTCTTCTAACAGGAAAGCTATGCAACCGTCACCGTGAGCTGAGTGACCATGGGAGGAGGTGGCAGAGGAGGTCTCTGCCCTGATGAACAGGTTGAATCAGAGGTCTCATGACCTCCCTTGAAGCTCAAGAAGTTCATAATTCCCTTGAGAATATTTGACATTTTATCAACCAAAGTAACGTAAAAGTAAAACAAAACAAAACAAGGCAAAGTTCCATTCCAAGTTGGGTTTGATGGGGTTAAAAAGACAATTTGTAGGGCTGGGTGCGGTGGCTCACACCCGTAATCCAAGCACTTTGAGAAGCCAAGGAGGGTGGATCACCTGAGGTCAGGAGTTTGAGACCAGCCTGACCAAGATGGTGAAACCCTGTCTCTACTAAAAATACAAAAATTAGCCAGGCGTGGTGGCACACGCCTGTAATCCCAGCTACTTGGGAGGCTGAGGCAGGAGAATTGCTTGAACCTGGGAGGCAGAGGTTGCAGTGAGCCAAGATTGTGCCATTGCACTCCAGTTTGGGTGATGGAATGAGACTTCATCTAAAAAAAAAAAAAAAGTTTTTAAAAGAACTTCAGAGGTCATATAATCCAGGGGGTCAGAGAGGGAAACTGAAAGACCCACGGTCACACAGCAAGTTATCTGCAAAGTGAAGTAAGTCCAGTTCCACCCAGACTGGCACAGCCAAGTGAACAGAGGTCTATCACCAGGCTGGGAACCATGCTTAGGGACAGTTTGAGGTCACGATTAGAGGTGTTCAAGAAGAACTGTACTGCCACAGATGAACTGCTTATTTTTCTCCTTTGACCATCCCTTTCCAATTATTTTCCTCTGATTGTTTGTCTCACTTGTCTCTCCCCCAATTCAAAGCCTTTCTTTTAACAAACCATTGTAGTCAATTTGGTATTTGTCCGTTACTTCGGGATGATTTTGAAAAGAGAAATAATGAAGGCAGGCTAGTTTTACTAAACATTAAAATGTAGACCTACCCAGGCCAGGCATGGAGGCTCACACCTGCAATCCCAGCACTTCGGCAGGAGAATCACTTGAGGACAGATGGGAGTTTGAGAACAGCCTGGACAAAATAGTGAGACCTTGTCTCTACAAAATTATTTAAAAATTAGTTGGGTATGGTGAAGTGGGCTTGCAGACCTAGCTACTTGGGAGGCTGAGGCAGGAGGATCACTTGAGTTCAGGAGTTTGAGGTTGCAGCGAGCTATGATTGTGCCACTGCACTCTAGCACAGATGACAGAGGGAGACCCTATCTCTTTAAAAAAAAAAATATATATATATATATATATATGAGAGAGAGAACACGTGAGCTAGAGAGCTATCCAAAGTGTTTGATACTGGTGAAAAGAACATAAAAGACTTACAAGTATAATTAAAATAGAAGTATTAGAAGAAAATATGGATATGCTTTTAAATAATCTTCATGGAAAGTTTCCTAAGAATAAAGCAAAATCCAGAAGGTATAAAGAAAATGTATATATAAATGTATAAGGGAAAAAAATGAAAAAATACACCAAAGAGAAAGAAAAAGAGTTTAGGTAAAAACATTTAACATACTTGACCAAGAACTACTTTCTTCAATATACAAGGACACTTAGAAACTGATAAAGGACAAATAATCCAAAAGAAATACGAATGGGCAGTTAAAAAAAAAAGCTCAAATGGCCAAACACAAAAAGATGCTCAGCATCATTCATAATTTAAAAACTGTAGGTCAAAATAATATCTCATTTTTTGCTTAACAGAGTTATAAAGCTTTAAAAAGTATGATTAGCCTAGATGTAGGTAAACTGGTACAGTCTTTAGGGAGGGTAATTTAGTGATATATACTTACATAGAAGGTAGAACTGTTACTGAAGTACTGCCAACATAAGCTATTACGTAGAAAAAAAAAAGCCTCTCCCTCTCCCTCTCCCCCTCCCCCCTCCCCCTCCCCCCTCCCCCTCTCCCCCTCCCCCCCTCCCCCTCTCCCTCTCCTCATGGTCTCCCTCTCATGCCGAGCCGAAGCTGGACTATACTGCTGCCATCTCGGCTCACTGCAACCTCCCTGCCTGATTCTCCTGCCTCAGCCTGCGGAGTGCCTGCAATTGCAGGCGCACGCCGCCACGCCTGACTGGTTTTCGTATTTTTTTGGTGGAGACGGGGTTTCGCTGTGTTGGCCGGGCTGGTCTCCAGCTCCTAACCGCGAGTGATCTACCAGCCTCGGCCTCCCGAGGTGCCGGGATTGCAGACGGAGTCTGGTTCACTCAGTGCTCAATGGCGCCCAGGCTGGAGTGAAGTGGCGTGATCTCGGCTCGCTACAACCTCCACCTCCCAGCCGCCTGTCTTGGCCTCCCAAAGTGCCGAGATTGCAGCCTCTGCCCAGCCGCCACCCCGTCTGGGAAGTGAGGAGCATCTTTGCCTGGCCACCCATCGTCTGGGATGTGAGGAGCCCCTCTGCCTGGCTGCCCAGTCTGGAAAGTGAGGAGCGTCTCTGCCCGGCCGCCATCCCATCTGGGAAGTGAGGAGCGCCTCTTCCCGGACGCCATCACATCTAGGAAGTGAGGAGCGTCTCTGCCCAGCCGCCCATCGTCTGGGATGTGAGGAGCGCCTCTGCCCGGCCGCCACCCCGTCTGGGAGGTGAGGAGCGTCTCTGCCCGGCCGCCCCGTCTGAGAAGTGAGGAGACCCTCCGCCCGGCAGCCGCCCCGTATGAGAAGTGAGGAGCCTCTCCGCCCGGCAGCACCCCCGTCTGAGAAGTGAGGAGCCTCTCCGCCCGGCAGCCACCCCGTCTGGGAAGTGAGGAGCATCTCCGCCCGGCAGCCACCCCGTCCGGGAGGGAGGTGGGGGGGGTCAGCCCCCCGCCAGGCCAGCCGCCCCGTCCGGGAGGGAGGTGGGGGGTCAGCCCCCCGCCAGGCCAGCCGCCCCGTCCGGGAGGGAGGTGGGGGCATCAGCCCCCGGCCCGGCCAGCCGCCCCGTCCGGGAGGGAGGTGGGGGGGTCACCCCCCCCGCCCGGCCAGCTGCCCCGTCTGGGAGGTGAGGGGCGCCTCTGCCCGGCCGCCCCTACTGGGAAGTGAGGAGCCCCTCTGCCTGGCCAGCTGCCCCGTCCCGGAGGGAGGTGGGGGGGTCAGCCCCCCGCCCGGCCAGCCACCCTGTCCGGGAGGGAGGTGGGGGGGTCAGCCCCCCGCCCTGCCAGCCGCCCCGTCCGGGAGGGAGCTGGGGGGGGTCAGCCCCCCGCCCGGCCAGCCGCCCCGTCCGGGAGGGAGGTGGGGGGGTCAGCCCCCCGCCCGGCCAGCCGCCCCGTCCGGGAGGGAGGTGGGGGGTTCAGCCCCCCGCCCGGCCAGCCGCCCCGTCCAGGAGGTGAGGGGCGCCTCTGCCCGGCCGCCCCTACTGGGAAGTGAGGAGCCCCTCTGCCCGGCCACCACCCCGTCTGGGAGGTGTGCCCAACAGCTCATTGAGAGCGGGCCAGGATGACAGTGGCGGCTTTGTGGAATGGAGAGGCGGGAGGGGTGGGGAAGGGATCGAGAAATCGGATGGTTGCCTTGTCTGTGTAGAAAGAAGTAGACATGGGAGACTTTTCATTTTGTTCTGTACTAAGAAAAATTCTTCTGCCTTGGGATCCTGTTGATCTGTGACCTTACCCCCAACCCTGTGCTCTCTGAAACATGTGCTGTGTCCACTCAGAGTTAAATGGATTAAGGGCGGTGCAAGATGTGCTTTGTTAAACAGATGCTTGAAGGCAGCATGCTCATTAAGAGTCATCACCACTCCCTAATCTCAAGTACCCAGGGACACAAACGCTGCAGAAGGCCGCAGGGTCCTCTGCCTAGGAAAACCAGAGACCTTTGTTCACTTGTTTATCTGCTGACCTTCCCTCCACTATTGTCCTATGACCCTGCCAAATCCCCCTCTGTGAGAAACACCCAAGAATGATCAATAAAAAAAAAAAAGAAAAATAAAAAAAAAAAGAGGCACAGCGGGTTTATGTAGTTTATGTATAGCCTTTTTTCACTTGTCTAAATAAATTTTTAAAAACCACGTGCCAAAGCCAGGCAAAGACATCACAAGAAATGGAAACTACGGACAACTATCCTGTGTGTTCATGATGATGATGAACAGATGAAAAAATTCTTAACAAAATATTAGAAAATTGAATCTAGGTTTATACATCATGACCAAGTGGTGTTTATCCCAGGTTGGCTTAATATTTGAAAATCAATTAATATAATACACCAGATAAACAGAATAAAGGACAAAAATCATATGATCATCATAATAGATGTAGAAAAAGCTGTTGACAAAATCCAACATATTCATCATTAAAACTCTCAACAATTTAGGACTAGAAGGGAACTTAATCAGATAAAGGGCAGCTATGAAAAATCCACAGCCAACATCATACTCAGTAGTGAAAAACTGAATTATTTCCCCTAAGATCAGGAACAAGGCAAGGATGCCTACTCTTGCCATTTCCATTCAACACTATACTATAAGTCACTGCACTAAAGCAAACACATTAATAATTAAGGGCATCCCTGAAGAAGCATAGGGGAAAAAATTAAAAGAAATAAGCAAAAAGTGCTTTTAGTTGCGGATCACATGATTGTGTATCTAGAAAATCCTAAGGAATACACAAAACAACTACTAGAACTAATAAACAAGTTAACCAAGGTCAGACTATAAGATCAATATAGAAAAATTAATTGTATTTCCACATACTAGCAACAACAATCCAAAACTAAAACTAAAAAAAAAAAAAAAAAACGCACCACTTAGTATCAAAAAGAATAAAATATTTAGGAATATATATTTTTAAAAGGACTTGTATATTGAAAATTCTGAAATTGCTGAGAAATGAACAAAGGTAATTGCGGAGATATTCCATGTTCATGGACTAGAAGACTCAATATTGTCAGGATGTCAGTTCTCTCCAAATTGATCTATAGATTCAATGCAATCCTTATCAAAATTCCAGCAGGTTTTTCTGTAGAAACTGACAAGCTGATTCTAGCATTTATATGGAAATACAAAGGACCCAGAACATCTAAGACAACCTTAAAAACGTAATTGGAGGACTTATACTACATAATTTCTAAACATATTATAAAGCTACAATATCAAGACAGTGTGGTAAGAATATGCATAAAGATCAGTGGAAAATAATTAAAAGTCTATAAATAAATCTTTACATTTATACTAAATTGATTTTCAACAAAGCTGACAAGGCAAATTCAATAGAGAAACATAAGTCTTTTCAAAACATAGTGCTTGGACCACTGGGTAGCCATATGCACATGGAACCTCAGAACATACACACAAAAATTAAGTCAAAATGGATCACAGAACTAAACAAAAAAGCTAAAACTCAAAAACCTCTATACGGAAAAAATAAGAAATCATTGTGATCTTGGGTTAGGCAAAAATGTCTTAGATACAACACCAAAACCAGAATCCATTAAAAAAATTATAATAAATTAAATTTCATAAAAATTTAAAAACTTTTACACTTCCAAAGATACCACTAAGAAAATGAAAAGATGGGCCAAAGACTAGTGGAAAATTCTTTGCAAATCACATACCTGATAAGGAACTTATATCCAGAATATACAAAGAACACTTAATAAGAAAATGACAATCCGATTTAAAAATGGACAAGAGATTTGTACAGAAATTCACCAAAGAAGATATATGAATGACTAATAAGCATAAAATATATTTAATATCATTTGTCAATAGGAAAACGCAAACCAAAACCACAGTGAGGTACCACCACACACCCACTAGAATCTGCTTGCCTCGGCCTCCCAAAGTGCTGGGATTACAGGCATGAGCCACGGTGCCCAGCCCTAATTTTTGTATTTTTAATAGAGACTGGGTTTCATCATGTTGCCCAGGATGGTCTTGAACTCCTGGGCTCAAGCGATCCACCTGCCTCAGCTTCCCAAAGTGCTGACATTACAAGCATGAGCCACCAAATCTGGCCAAATAAACCTCTTTTCTTTATAAATTACTCAGCCTCAGGTATTCCTTTATGAGCAACACAGTCTCCCAAAATGCTGGGATTACAGGTGTGAGCCACTGCGCCTGATCCATTTTATAGCTTTTTAAAGACTGACAAGTAAAAATTGAATATATTTATGGTAGGCACACAACATAATGTTTTGATACTTTTATAGCTTTTTAATACTCTTTTCCACATACATGGATCACCCTTATTAAAAATAAATACATTTACGGGCAGAGTAGCTCAGGACTATAATCCCAGCACTTTGTAAGGCCGAGGCAGGTGGATCGCTTGAGCCCAAGAGTTTGAGACCAGCCTGAGCAAAACCTCGTCTCTACAAAGAATACAAAAAATTAATGAGGAATGGTGGTGCTTGCCTGTAGTCACAGCTACTCTGGAGGCTGAGGTGGGAGGATCACTTGAGCCTGGGAGGTGGAGGTTGCAGTGAGCAGAAATCACGCCACTGCACTCCAGCTTGGGCAACAGAGTGAGACCTTGTCTCAAAATAAAAATAAATAAATAAATAAATAAATAAATAAATAAATAAATAAATACAACAAAATAAATACATTTAGGCTGGGCATAGTAGCTAATACCTATAATTACGTGGGAGGATCACCTGAGCCCAGGAGTCCGACGGCTGCAGTTAGAGTGAGCTATGATTCCACCACTGCACTCCAACCTGGGTGACAGGGTGAGACCCTGTCTCTAAAAAAATTAAAAAATTAAAGACATATATTCATTTATATTTTAAGAAGTGAAGGAAATGGGTTGCCTCTGAAAATACTGGGATGAGTTCCACAGAAGATGTGCAGAAAGTGGGCTAAGGTAAGAATTATGCAGAGCGGATTCTGGCACCAGGTATGTGGGTAAGCAGACAGATCAGCAATTTTTAATCTTGGGGAGGGTGTCACAAATCCCTCTGAGAAACTTATCAAAGCTACAGATACTGATCTCGGAAAAAATATTCCAATACACAGAGAATCAAGGACTAGAAGTTCATGGGTTTCTGGTAAAACCCCTGGACACTGTTCCAACTTTTTATGATTCTATGACTTCATCACCTTCTATATTCCTGATAGCCTGATAGAGGATGTTTGGCCTGCAGTTCTTTTCTGTAAGGAAAAAGCAAAGTACCTGCTTCTTAGGAAATTCCTTTAAATTTTCTTTTAATTTTTAATTGATTGCCTCATTAACTCCCATGAGAGGTTCAGTCTGAAAAGTCAATTAAATATTTAGTAATCATCTTCTGCATGTTCAGAGCCATGCAAAGAGTCCTAAGAGATGTGAACCAGCCCATTCAACGTCATTTTGCTTTTGCTACTTGGTTTCCAAGTAGCAAAAGAGACCTCAAAGGCAGCATATCAAGGAACAAGGTGATGGCAATCTAGAAGCCTTTTGTGCTGTAATCTAACACGCCATCACTGGCAAAGATACAGGTGACCTGGAATGTTATAAAGCTCAAGAGAACCAAGAATCAAGGTCTTTCCCTCCCCATCTGTTTTATTCTTGGGGGGGCGGGGGTGGGTTGGGCACTCAGAAATATCTCCCCCAAACAGCTGTCTAATGAAGGGCTGCTAGGACTCAAAAGTACCCCCAGCCACTCCAAATTCACCCCACCCAGTTTGAAAGGTGTGAACAATTAACATCTTCCAAAGAAAACAGGAAGTTTCCCTGAGAACGAAAAATTATTTCATTCACTTGCATTTCTCTGTAACCAGAAGTTAACTTTTTCTGGAGCCCTCTGCCTTGCAATCTCCTTTCCCATAAATAGCATCAACTAGCAGCAATACATCTGGCCAATCTGAACGGCCTTTTTGGTTCCTGTTCCATGCCTTTCCTACTGCAAAAGCAGCATTTTCCTTAGCAATAGACTAGATTCTTCTTTTTCTTTCTAAAAGACAGTCACTTTTTTTTTTTTTTTTTTTTTTTGAGACAGAGTCTAGCTCTGTTGCCCAGGCTAGAGTGCAGTGATATGATCTTGGCTCACTGCAACCTCCGCCTCCTGGGTTCAAGTGATTCTCCTGCCTCAGCCTCCTGAGTGGCTGGGATGACAGGTGCCTGCCACCAGACCCGGCAATTTTTTTGTATTTTTGTAGAGACAGGGTTTCGCCATGTTGGCCAGGCTGGTCTTGAGCTCCTGACCTCAAATGACCCACTCCGACCTCGGCATTTCCCAAAGTGCTGGGATTACAGGTGTAAGCCACTGTGCCTGGCGACAGTCACCATTTTGAGACCATGTCAGTAACTGCTCCCTCAGATTAAGCAAAAAAAAAAAAAAAAAAAAAAAAAAGAAAAAGGAAAAAGGAGGAAAAAAAAAAAAAAGAAAAAGGCTTTGGGCACAGTTTGCCAACAGTTAACTGAAGTCAATTATCCAGTCAGTTAAAGCTTACCAAGAATCCAGCCGCATGTGAATGAAGGCTAATGACAGCTAGAGACAACTTACCAAGCAGGCCCATGGAACTAAAGAACTCACAGAGCAAGAAACAAACAAACAAACAAACAAAAAACAAATTAGCCACAGGAAACTGAAAATGTAGCCTTTATTTCAGAGCCCACAGACACAGAGTAGCTGTTGAACAGAGACACATGAAAGACTCAAAGCTGTAATTTGGGGGTAGGGAAAAACGCACAGCAGGCTGCACTGCGGAAGTCCAGGTGAAACTAATAACCACCCTCACGAAGCAACAGGCAACCAGACTTCAACCCTGACACCACCAAGTGCAGAAACGTACTGCTCTCCTGTCTCCACCTTGGGTATTTATAAAAGAACTCTCAGCTAGCCCAAGCAGCAGGCTTAGATAGCTCACCACGGGAAGACTTCAAACCTTGGAGTAAAGTTACAGAGTGCCCTCTCTGTGCTAGCACTTTCATCTCATATTTCATTTAATCATCACAACAATCCCTTGAGAATATCATCCTTGTTTCAAAAATGAGATGATGAAAAAGTTCTGGAGACGGATAGTGCTAACAGCTGCATATGTGTAAACGTACTTAATGCCACTGAACTGCACACTTAAAAATGCTTAAAGTGGGCCAGGCATGGTGGCTCATGCCTGTAATACCAGCACTTTGGGAGGCTGAGGCAGGTGGATCACCCAAGGTCAGGAGTTCGAGACCAGCCTGGCCAACATGGCGAAACCCTATCCTTACTAAAAATACAAAAATTAGCCAGGCGTGGTGGCACATGCCTGTAGTCCCAGCTACTTGGGAAGATGAGGCAGGAGAATCGCTCGAACCCAGGAGACAGAGGTTGCAGTAATGCACTGAGCTGAGATCGCACCATTGCACTCCACCCTGGGCGACAGAGTGAGACTCTGTCTCAAAAAAAAAAAAAAAAAAAAAAAAGCTTAAAGTGGTAGGTTTTGTTATTACCACAATAAAAAATTTTAATATAAGGTAATTGAGGCTTAAAAGCGCAAACGGTTTTCCCAAAATCACATAACCAATCAGTCCAAAGTCACAAAAGTAATCACAGTGTCAGAGCTGGGAGTCTAGCCCAGATTCTCAGACCAAGCATAAGAGGATTTCAAACCCTGGGAGGTCTGTTGGTTTAAAGCATCAGGCATAGGTGAGAAACCATGTTAGGAAGGGAGAGAAGGAAGCAATGAAAAGGAATGAGATGGAACTGAGAAGTCCTGGGTGTCCCCATCCATGCCCCATTTGGGAAACTCTAGTGTCAGCAAATGGTTCAGGGATCAAAGCAGGCTTGAAGGTGGTAGTGGCTCCTATTATTCATCCGTGGCCAGATGGCTCTTCTCATCCTGGGTCCTTCCCACCTTTTTGCCAGTGCCCAGAGATCAAAACTCAGCCTTCTCCAACATTCTCTGACGTGCTTCTTTAATGCCAAGATCAAAGGGAGACGTTTGTCCAAGTTGTAAAACAGAAACTAAGAGGCAACTTAATGTGATCCCAACCTCCTCTGTACTTCCTGAGGGGGATTAAGGGCATTCCTTTAAAGGGACCCCTCAGAGAAACACATTTAACCAAGGCCCGATGTCAGCACCTCAGCTCCAAGGACACAGTAGCTCCTGCAGAACATGAGCCAGGTGGGGAAACCTGGGTGATCAGACAGACAATACAACCAACACAACAGCTTGGAAAGATCACAGTGACCATCATCATGGAAAAAACAAAATAAGTCTGATTTTATAGGCATATTAGCAAAACTCACCTTAAAGTATTCCAAACTACAAAATTTTCAACTCAGAATTTGGAAATCATCAAGTACAAACCTTAATTTCACACATGACATATGTGGAAAACAGACTAATGAAGCCAAAGTAATTTGCCCCAGGCCACACAATGCATCAGTGGCAGCGCTGGGACCAAGCCCAGGCTGCTGGCTCCTGCTCCAGCGTTCCTTCTTCAGTCAGCTCATGTCCTCCTGTACATGGGGTCCAGAGGAGACAGCAACTTCCTGCACACAAGACTGATGGCACAGTTCAGGCCTCTGGCCTTCTGTTCCAGGACTCTATCATCCAACCTGATTAGCACGCTATTTCACCATTAAAAACAGTTTTTGCTGGGCACAGTGACTCACACCTGTAATCCCAGCACTTTGGGAGGTCAAGACGGGAGGATTGCTTGAGGCCAGGAGTTCAAGGCTAGCCTGGGCAACATAGCAAGACCCTGTCTCTAAGAAAAATATAATTAAAAAATTAGGTGGATGTGGTGCGTGCCTGTAGTCCCAGCTACTCAGAAGGCTAAGGCAAGATGATCGCCTGAGCCCGGGAGGTGGAGGCTGCAGTGAACTATGATCGTGCCACTGCACTCCAGCCTGGATGACAGAGTGAGACCCTGTCTCAAATAATAATAACAAACAAACAAAACCAGTTTCTGTGCCTTTGACTGGGGCTGGAGGGACTACTGGCATTGGCTCCATTAGCACAAAGGAATCTTGATGTCATTTATTCCATTCCTGTTTCTGGAGTGGCTCAAACCCAAGTAACCTCAAAACAGTGTGAACTGATGCAGGAATACACTTCCATACACCCATGGAAACTGAATGTATGTTCACACAAGAACTTACACCTGAATGTTCACAGCAGCATTATACCTAACAACCAAAAAGTGAAAACAATCCCAATATCCATCAACTGATGAGTGATAAACAAGCTGTGGTACATCCATACAAGGGAAGATTCAGCCATAAAAAGGGATGCGGCACTACTGATACATGATACAACATAAACAAACTTTGAAAACATTATGCTAAGAAGCCAGACACAAAAGATCACATATTATATAATTATCTTTGTATAAAATGTCCAGAATAGGCAAATCTATAGGGACAGAAGGTAAATTAGTAGTTGCCTAGGGCTGTGGGGAGGGAAGAGTAGGGAGTGACTCTCTTTTTGGGGTGATGAAATGTTCCGAATTACACAATGGTGATAACCATCACATTTAGTGTATGCACAACCTATAAAAACACTAAAACCCACTAAATTATATACTTTAAAGGGGTGAATTTTATGGCATATGAATTATATCCATAAAGAAGATTATAATAAAAACCAAAACAGTATGAACAATGATGTGAGGGAAGTAGAGTTTTATTCTCCAAACTGAAGTTTCTAGACTCCTGACACATCTAGAAATGTACTCAATGGACATTTCCCAAGTTTCAATGAAATAATATTCCCAAGAACCGTTTTCCATAAAGAGTGAGACATGAGCCCGCATCTCAATTCAGACCTAGCTAGATCAACACTGTATCCTGTAACTTTACAGAGTAGTCTAAATCTAAGGATGGAAGAAGACAGGAAAATCAAAGAGAACTTCAGTTTACACCAGCTATCTTCTATGGAGGGAGAAGTCTTGCCCTGCGGGTTCAGGAAACACCCTCCATACTGACATTGTTCTGGGAGCTGGCGGCTCAACCCTTGGGGAAGAAGAGCCATTCACCAAGGAAAGAGAGAAAGGGAAAAGCTCACATGCCACCGCACTTGCACCCACAACCCTAACTTTCAAAACAAAGGACAAACCAGCAACCCAGCTATTCCCACGGCCACTGGATCCACTAGTTCAGTTCCTCTTTGGCTGTATGACTCACCTCAGAGACCCATACACTCCAAAGTAGGTCTACCGCACCCCCTCGCCCCAATGGTTATGAAATGAGGGTGTGTATGAGGGTGTGGGGACTATTCTGACTTCCGTGTAATGAAGTGCTGACACAGACCAAACTCAAGCCTGTGACTCCACTTTGCCCCTTCATCACATACCCCTGTAATAAATTTGCTTCCACACCTTTTCACTATTGCACCAGATATGAAGTTTCTCCATATGCACCCTTTAAACTGGCCTCTGTGGGTCACTGCATATGTTACATACTCAGTTTCTTTAAATCAGTTACTGTTTTCAGTACAACACTCCCAGGTGGCACAACAAACACTAAATCACCGTACTTGCAGGGTTTTGTTGGTGGTGGTGTGTTTTGTTTTTTGTTTTTTTTTTTTTTTTGAGATAGGGTCTCACTCTGTCACCCAGGCTGCAGTGCAGTGACACGATCTTGGCTCACTGTAGCCTCCGCCTCCCGGGTTCAAGCGATTCTTGTGCCTCAGCCTCCCGAGTAGCTGGGATTACAGGTGTGTGCCACCACACCCTGCTAATTTTTGTATTTTTAGAAGACAGGGTTTCGCCATGTTGGCCAGGCTGGTGTTGAACTCCTGGCCTCAAGTGATTTGCCTGCTTCAGCCTCCCAAAATTCTGAGATTACAGGCATGAGCCACTGCTCCCGGCCTGTTGTTGTTTCTTAAGACAGGGTCTCGCTCTGTTGCCAAAGCTGGAGTGCAGTGCAGTGATCAGGGCTCACTGAGGTTCAAGTGATCCTCCCACCTCAGCCCCGCAAGTAGCTGGTACTACAGGTGCACACCACCAAGCCCAGCTAATTTTTTCTTTTTGTATTTTTTTTGTAGAGGGGTTTGCCATGTTGTCCAAGCTGGTCTCAAACTCCTGAGCTCAAGCGATCTCCCAGCTTTGGTCTCCCAGAGTGCTGGGATTACAGGTGTGAGTCACTGTGCTGGGCAAAAATCACTGTCCCTTCCACTGTGCTTAGACTAAAATCCAAACTCCTTTCCACAGCCTCTGTGCCAACTGAGAACAAGCTGGCTCCCTTCAAGTACTGTCCTGAAGGGGATGGGAAGGGGAAGCAGCCTAATACAACACTATTTCAAAATGCAATCCACAGACAACAAAATGTAGACCGCAGTCCTTCCCATTTCCAGGCATGCTTCTCAAAACAGTTGCTCTTGCTTCCCTCCAGTTTCATCTTGTATCATTCTCTCCTACCCCAACCCTCATCATGCTTCGGCCCCTCCAGCCTTCTGTGTGTTCCTCAAAAACACCAAGCTCCCTTCCACATCGGCCCCTTACACTTGCCATTTCCTTTGCTTGGAACATTCTTTGCATGGCTGGTTCCTTCTTGTTAATTATGTTTTAACTCAAGTCACCTCCTCTGAGAAGACTTCTTTCTGACCACTCAATCCAAAGTAGTTGTGTCACCCAGTCACCCCTAATCACTATCACTTCATTTTGCTGTCCTCACAGCATCTACTGGTGACATTATTTTGTTCACGTATTTACTTGTTCACTGCCTGTCTCCTCAAACCAGAAAGGCTCCACAAGTGTAGGGACCTTGACCCTGTAATTCACAACTACATCCCTAGTTCCTGGAACAGAATTGGTACTCAAATATTTGTTGACTAAATAGATGTGTACCACATATATGTATTGCTAGCTTATAACCTCTTAAAAATCTCTGAACAAGGCAGGGATTTCCCAGTGCAGTGCCGTAAATACCACTTTACTCAATGTTTTCCTTATAGCAAGAGAGGGTGTGATTTCCTTTTAAGTTCTTACACTATCTCTGTTCTGAATGTGGTACCAGAATATATATACATATATGTAGGTTTCAACATACTACTTTGAGGATTTGCCCCACTCGTGGTTCAGCCTGAAGTCTGAAACCACAGAAACCAGGTAAGGCCATGAAATCTTTTTACCTGACCTCTGAAGTTCTAAATAAGGAATCCCTCATTAAACAAAGGTAAGTTCTCAGTCAGCTAAGAGAAGGAGGGAAAATTGCTACCAGTCAATAATATATCCCTGTTTGGAGAAAACCAACACCAAATTATTTAAGCCAGAATCTTCCTTTGCTAAAGTCAAATGTCATTTCCTTTTCTCTGAGTCTTCCTTGTCATTCACTCCCCGGACGAAATTATCTGCTGAGGAGGCAGTATGCAGGAAGACCCAGGAAATCATTCTGGACTAAGTGACTTCAATTTTAGTTCTGGTCTCTTGACAAGCAGAATTTGAACTAAACTTTTAGAAAAAGGGCCAGTCCTTCAAAGATTTACTTCCAAGGTTCTGCACCAGGAGCCCGCAAGCTCTGACCCAACTTCCAAGCATGGCTATTTTACCTCCACCCTCATCCACACACAGACTTCATCCCAACATATAGCTTCATAATAAAGAGCCTTCATCCCTAACGAGCTGTGTGGCCATGTTGGGGAATGGGAAGGAGAGCAGTGAGGTGGGGCTATTAGTGTTTTTCAAAACGTAGTTCACAGACCACCTCCACTATATAATCACTAGAGTGCTTATAAAAGGGCAGATTCCTGGGCATCACCTAGCCCTATGGAATTAGAATCTCTGGGAGTGGGGCTGCTCAGGAAACTGCATTTTTAGCATGCCTCCCCCTACACACCTCGAGATTCTTATGCACAGTAAAGTTTGAGAACCAACAGGGTAAAAGGTCCCTAAGAGAGGGGCAGGGAGTTGACTGAGAGAAGACAGGAAGGGCAGGGAAGCCTCTAGGGATGAAAGATGGGGGTGGGGTAGGTGAAGGCAAGCTCTGGGGTAGCGGCAGTCAAGGGGGTGCGCGATGGGGACAGCTATGAGTGTAAGTGAGGACAGGGCTCTGAAAAGGATCTGAGGCAGCGCTTGGGCTGGGAGGGTGGTCAGAGGAGAGGTCACATCTGCGGACTGGTTATGATGGTGGGGAGGCGGGGAGAGCAGGGTCTGGACGTGACGGGGAGGAGCAAGGATGAGAATAACGGGAGGGGGTCTTCAGAGGGGTCAGGACAGGGAGGTGAGAAATGGAAAATGGGGCTCACAGTGGGCGGAGACCAAAAGTAGAATGGGAACCGGCGAAGGCAGCAGCCGAGGTCTTCCTCCGAAACGGCGCCTCCCCCAAAACTCGGGGCCTTCACAAGCCTGAGTGCAGGGGCAGGGCCAGGGAGGTGGATTTCGGGGAAGACAAGCCCAGTCAGAGGTAGCCCTCAGGCCTGAGTCAGGGGTCCCGGAGGTGGCTCAGGGCCAGGCATGGGGTGCTGGAAGATCCTGGGATACCCCGGAGGGCCCCGCTCCAGCTCCCGCTCCCGGAGTCTCCTTCACTCACCATCGCCGTCGCCATCTTGGATCCACGTGTCGCCGTAATGACGTCAGCGGAAGTGGTGCTCCCTGGTTACGGAGTTTAACTCCACAAGGTGGTCGTCTGGCTTCAACCGCTCCTGTAGTGGCGGTCAGCAGAGGGGAAAAGGAGTCTTAGCTCCTGCTCGACAGTCTGGTCTGGGAAAGTAAGGTCGCTGATTAGGTGAAGAGAGAGAACGGTGTAACTAAGGAAGCCATATTAGCTCCTGGCAGAAACTGAGCCTCCCTTATTCCCGCTGCATTGTGGGTAATGGGGGTGTGCGAAAGTGCGCTCGTGCTCTCAGCGCCATCTTTACTACTGGCAGGAAGACCCATTGCCAGGGTTACCTGAGACCTTGATTTGAGGGAAAGGGTGGGCACTGGGGCTCCAAGAGCAGTACGACTCCAAGAATAATTTGTAATTATATATTTAAGTATTTGTTTGATTTTAAGTATTTGTTTGACTATCCTATATCCTCTTTAGTAGACTGTAATCCCCATGAGGGTGGACCCTGTTTTTTTGTTTGTTCGTTTTTTACCTTGCTCTTCCTCATTCCCATCTGTGAAATGGGAAGGGGGTTGGTTCATCATAGGCTTGTGATGAGGATTCAGTGACACAGTATTACATAGGATGTATTCAATAAATAATTGTCAGTATATGTTTATGTATACTCCTTTGGGCTTGTGGTAGATGCCCAATACATTATTTTTTAAATGAACGAGTGAAAACCAGCATATTCAGTGGAGGGAGATATCTCTGAATGTGGACGTCATGCACTAGCTTAGTGTGTGACTCCAGACAAGTCACGCAATCTTCCTAAGCCTCAGTTTCCAAATCTGTGAAAAAGAGACTCAAAGAATCATGGTATTAAGGTTGGGAAAGAACTCAAAGTTCATTTGACCCATGTATATCACTTTAAACTGAATACAGTACCAGTGCTATCTTAGACTGTTTTAAAAAAGCTATTAAAAGAATAATAATGATTAATAATAATCATCAGCACTTGCCGAGCATTTTGTGTGCTGCAGCACTTAGCATTATGCTAACAGTTCATTAGACTCTTTTTATCTAATTCTAGGGGGCAAGGGACAGTTGAACTCTGATCCCCACCTATGGGCACCACTGTGGTGGATTTTCTGCAAAGATGGCTGCCACGTAGTTCTGTCCGTCCTTGCATGATGAGCATACGGTTTCTCTCCTCAAGAGATAGACTCTGTTTTACCTCCTGTTGAATCTGGCTGGTCATGTTGGTTGCTTTGACCAATAGGATGTGCTACAAGTGATTCTGCCAGTACTGAGCCTAGGCCTTAAGAGGATTGAAAACGTCTGATTCTACCTTCTTGGTTATAAAGAAGTGTAGCTACTCTGCTGGAAAGGCACCTGGAGAGAGAGGGAGGCCCAGCCAACTCCTCAAGACATTCTAGAAACTACAGCTAAGCACTATAATATGTAACTGAAGTCATCTTGGACATTCCAACCCCCACTGAGCTACTAGCTGAATGCAGCTACATGAATAACCTCATGAACACCATGTGGACCAAAAGAACTGCCCAGCTAAGCCCAGCTTTAGAGTGGGGTGGTTTATTATAGATCATTTCAGTAATAGATCATTGAAACACACACCCATTAACTCTTGTGACCTGCACAACCATCCTGAAGATTGGCAGATTGGCTATTAACCCCAAGGAGGAGGAAGCTTGAGAGACTAGGGGGAATTTGCTGCAGTCTCATAGTTTCCAGACTTGGAACCAGTTTTCCTAGAGCTTCGATCCTGAGTGTTTCCCACCATTTCTAGCTGCCTGAAGAAAGATAACTGATAAGGAGCAAAGCTCCATAAATGGCCTATTATTTTTTAGTATTTCCATTTTTTTTCTCATGCTTTGTATTTTTCCCTAAAGGCCTTTCATATCCCAATCTCTTTTGGTGACATATGCCAGAATCCTAGAACTAGACTGCCTGGGTTCAGAACGCATTTCCACCACTCATTAGCTCCATAACATGGGCAAGTTTCTCTTTTTTTTCTGAAAAAAATTTTTTTTGAGATGGAGTCTCACTCTGTTGCCGAGGCTGGAGTGCAGTGGCGCAATCTCAGTTCACTGTAACCTCTGACTCCCGGATTCGAACAATTATCTTGCCTCAGCCTCCTGAGTAGCTGGGATTACAGGTGCATGCCACCAAGCCCGGCTGAGTTTTTGTATTTTTAGTAGAGATGGGGTTTCGCCATGTTGGCCAGGTTGGTCTAGAACTCCTGACCTCGAGTGATCTGCCTGCCTTGGCCTCCCAAAGGGCTGGGATTACAGGTGTGAGCCACTGGACCCGGCCTAAATATTTTTCATTGTTGTAAAATATGCATAACTAAATATTGACTATTTTAATCATTTTTAAGTGCACAAATCAGTGAAATCAACTACATTCACAAAGTTGTCAATCATTACCGTCATCCGTCTCCAGAACATTTTCGTCATCCCTAAAAATGAATATCCACATGCAAAAGAATGAAATTGGACCTTTATCTCACACTATATACAAAATCAATTCAAAATGGATTAAAGACTTATAGGGCCAGAAACTGTAAAGCTACTAGATGAAGACATAGGGAAAACTTGACATTGGCTTGGGCAATGATTTTTTGGATATGACACCAAAAGCACAGGAAACGAAAGCAAAAATAGACAGGTGGGATTGCATCAAACTAAAAAGCTCTGCACAGCAAAAGAAACAACAGAGTAAAAAGGTGACCTCCAGAGCTGAGGAAAATATTTACAAATCAAAAACGATCTGATAAGGGGTTAATATCCAAAATATATAAGGAGCTTAAATAACTCAATAGCAAAAAATCCCAAATAACCTGGTTTAAAAATGGGCAAGAGATCTAAGCAGACATTTCTCAGGAAACAGACAAATGGCCAGCAGGTAAATGGAAAGGTGCTCAACATCCTTAATCATCAGGGAAATGTAAATCGAAACCACAATGAGCAATCATTTCACACCTCTTAGAACCATTATTATCAAAACGACACATAATAAGTATTGGCAAGGATGTGGAGAAAAGGGAACTCTTGCATAAATTGGTACGGTCACTATGGAAAACAGTATGAATGTTCATCAAAATTAAAATTAAAAATGGAACTACCATATAATGCAGCAATCCCACTTCTGAGTATATATCCAAAAGGAAATGAAATCAATGTCTGCACCCCCGTATTTATTGCAGCACTATTCATAATAGCTAAGATATAGAAACACAGCAGCTGTAAACTATAATCTATGTTTAATATAAGTATATAACTATATATTTATAAATATAAAATATATATAATATTATATATAACTTTTTAAAAGGTTTATTTATCTATTTATTATTTATTTGAGATGGAGTTTTGCTTTTTGTTGTCCAGGCTGGAGTGCAGTGGCATGATCTTGGCTCACAGCAACCTCCGCCTTCCAGGTTCAAGCGATTCTCCTGTCTCAGTCTCCCGAGTAGCTGGGATTACAGGTGCCCGCCACCAAGCCAGGCTAATTTTTGTGTTTTTAGTAGAGACGGGGTTTCACCATGTTGGCCAGGCTGGTCTGCAACTGTTGACCTCAGGTGATCCACCCGCTTCGGCTTCCCGAAGTGCTGGGATTACGGGCGTGAGCCACCACTCCCGGCCTATTTATTTATTTTTGAATTTTCTTTTTGAGACAGAGTTTCACTCTGTCGCCCAGGCTGGAGCGCAGTGGTGCAATCTCAGCTCACTGCAACCTCTGCCTCCCAGGTTCAAGTGATTCTTTTGCCTCAGCCTCCCCAGTAGCTGGGGCTACAGGTGTTTGCCACCAAGCCCGGCTAATCTTTTTGTATTTTTAGTAGAGAAAGGGTTTCGCCATGATGGCCAGGCTGTTATCAAATTCCTGGCCTCAAGTGAGCCACCCATCTCAGCCTCCAAAAGTGCTGGGATTATAAGCGTGAGCCACTGTGCCCCGCTATTTATTTATTTTGAGACAGGGTCTCATTCTATCACCCAGGCTGGAGTGCAGTGGCACAATCACGGCTCACTGCAGCCTAGACCTCCTGGGTAGGTCTCCTACCTCAGCCTCCTGAGTAGCTAGGACTGCAGGCACCTGCCACCATGCCCGGCCAATATTTGTATTTTTTGTAGAGATGGGGTTTCACCATCTTGCCCAGGCTGGTCTCAAACTCTTGGGCTCAAGTGATCCACCTGCCTTGGCCTCCCAGAGTGTTGGGATTGCAGACGTGAACCACCGTGCCTGGCCAATATTATTTATTTATTTATTTTTTGAGACAGGGTCTCACTCTCTTGCCCAGGCTGGAGTGCAGTGGTACAATCACGGCTCACTGCAACCTCAATCTCCTGGGCTCAAGTGTTTCTCCTGCCTCAGCCTCCTGTGTAGCTGGGACCACAGTTGCATGCCACCACAACCAGCTAAATGTTTAACTCTTTGTAGATATGGTGGGGGGGGGGGTCCCACTTGTTGCCCAAGCTGGTCTCAAACTTCTGGGCTCAAACAATCCTCCCACCTTAGCCTCCCAAAGTGCTGGGATTATAGGTGTGAGCCACTGCACCTGCACCTGGTCAACTCTTTTTTCTTAGTGCTGAATAATATCCCATTATGTGAATATACCACAAGTTGTTTATCCATTCACCTATTGAAGGACATCTTAATTGTTTCCAAGTTTTGGCATTTATGAATAAAGCTGCTGTAAATATCCATGTGCCATTTTTGTGAGTGTGTGTAGACGTAAGTTTTCAACTCATATGGGAGCACAATTGCTGGATTGTGTAGTAGGTTATGCTTAGTTTGGTAATAAACTGCCAGATGCCTTCCAAAGTGGCTGTACCGTTGTGCATTCCCACCAGCAATGAATGAGAGTTCCTGTTGCTCCACATCCTCCTCAGCATCTGGTGTCATCAGTGTTTTGAATCTCAGCTATTTTAGCAGATACGGTTTTTTTTAATTGTTGGGTTTTAAGAGTTCTTTATATATTGCAGATACCAGTCCTTCATCAGAGATATCTTTTGCAAATATTTTCTACAAGCTTGGGAATCACATTTTTCTTTTCTTTTCTTTTCTTTTTTCTTTTTCTTTTTTTTTTTTTTTAAGACAGAGGTTTGCTCTTGTCACCCAGACTGGAGTGCAATGGTGTGATCTTGGCTCATTGCAACCTCCGCCTCCTGGGTTCAAGCAATTCTCCTGCCTCAGCCTCCCGAGTAGCTGGGATTACAGGCGCCCGCCACCATGCCTGGCTAATTTTTGTATTTTTAGTTGAGACAGGGTTTTACCATGTTGGCCAGGCTGGTCTCGAATTCCTGACCTCTGGTGATTCACCCACCTCGACCTCCCAAAGTTCTGGGATTGCAGGCGTGAGCCACCACGCTTGGCCATGTTTCTATTTTCTTAATAGTGTCTTTGGCAGAGCAGAGTTTTTAATTTTAAAGAGGTACAGTTTATCTTTTTTTTCTTTTGTGGATCATGCTTTTGGTGTTGTATCTATCCCCATGTTTTTACCTGTCTTTTCGGTGACCAGAGAGACAAATCAGTGTTGGTTTGGGCGGTATAAATTGAAAGAGTAAGAAGCAGAAATTGATCTCTTAACCTTGTTCATAAGCAATAGGCTCCAACTCCTGAGATCGTGCCTCAGTTGCTGTGGCTGTCATACTTTTATGTAACAAAACAACCCCAGAACACAAAAGCATCTATTTCTCTCTCACATGTCCACAGGTCAGATGGAGCTCAGTTGATCTAGGCTGGGCTCAGGCCTGCAGGTTGGTCTAGGTCTGCTCCATCTGTCACTCATCTTCCTCGGACCATGTTCTTTTCAGGGCAAAAGACTGGAAGGCAAGCCCAGCCCCACAAGCACGTTTCAAGCCTCTGCTTGCATCACATCTGCTAACATCCCATTGGCTAAAGCAAGTCTCACGGTCAAGCTCAACACTGATGGAGCAGGGAAATGTACTCCTCCCATTGGATTATTATCACAAATCATAAGGGAACATTTCCATCAGAAGACCCTGGGCTCTGCTTTCATGTACCCAAGCCATACCCCAAACTAGAAAGCAAGAAAGAAATTACCAACTAGGTAAATTGAAACACTGCTAGCTTTATTTTCCACTGTTCTTATATTCAGTTCCTAAGGTTAGAACCCCACCCTACTCAGAAGTACAGAATCAAGTTAGTATAGGATTCCATGGGACCCTGGGGGGTGATGTGATGTACAACCTTCAGGGGATGCAATAATATAGAAAGGTGGTGTTTCGTTTTCACCCATTGTCCACCTCTTTTGTCTTTCTCTCTATGATAAAAACTAGCTGCCAGGGTCTTTCAGCTGAGGCAACATTCAGGAAGCCCGCACTGCTTCGTCTTCTCTGCTTCCTACGCAGGTCTCCCACCCCTCCACTGAGAGCTTCCCCTGTAGGGTACTAGACACCTCTCAGCAGCCATATCTCCAGACCAGGATTCCTGCAATGGCAAATACCACTTCGACAAGTATGATGGCTGCTTGACCCATGGGAAACGTCAGGTCTGCAGGCAGCCCCCAGCTCTGGGGAGCTGTAAACTGACCAGCTCTTATAGCAATGTGGCCTAACAGGAAAGTCAGGGTCCCAGATCATGAGAAACCATTCCTGTCATCCTGGAAGACCCATCTCCTTGGAGGCAAAACCCATCCAGCATCTGGATACCAGTGGAGAAGGCAGAAAAGTGCCCCCCGTCGAAAGATGTTCATGTCCTAACCCTCAGAGCGTGTGAAAATGTTACCTCACATGGCAAAAGGGACTTTGCAAAGGTGATTAAGAATCCTGAGATGAGAAGATTATTCTGAATTATCCAGGTGGGTCCAAGGAGTTCTTACAAATAAAAGAGGGGAAGAAGACTCAGAGGAGATATGAAGATGAAAGCAAAGTTTGGAGTAATGAACGAAAGGGGCTGATGAGTGAAGGAATAGGAGCAGCCTCTAGAAACTGGGAAAGGCAAGGAAACAAATTATCCCCTAGAGCCTCCAAAAAGAATGCAGCCCTGCCAACCCATTTCAGTCCCTCTGACTTCTGGAACAGTAAGGTTATACATGTATTGACTGATTGATTGATTGATTGATTGAGACAGGGTCTTGCTTTTCTGGAACAGTAAGGTTATACATGTATGTATGTATGTATGTATGTATTGAGACAGGGTCTCGCTGTCTTGCCCAGGCTGGAGTGCAGTGGTACAATCTCGGCTCACTGCAACCTCCACCTCCCGGGTTCAAGCAATTCTCCTGCCTCATCCTCTCCAGTAGCTAGGATTACAGGCGCCCACCACCATGCCTGGCTAATTTTTGTATTTTTAGTAGAGACGGGGTTTCACCATGTTGGCCAGGCTGGTCTCGAACTCCTGATCTCAAGTGATCACCCACCTCAGTCTCCCAAAATGCTGGAACTATAGGCATGAGCCATTATGCCCGGCCAAGTAATGTTATGCAGTTTTGTTGTCTTAAGCTACCAGATATGTGGTAATTTGTTACAGGAGCAAGAGGAAACTAATATAGCCAGTAACTATTTTAGGGCAGTTAGAAAACCTCAAGCATTGAACCCCAATTTTCTTTCCTTTCCTTTCTTTCTTCTTCTTCATCTTTTTTTTTTTTTTTTAAACAGGGTCTCACTGTGTCGCTCAGGCTAGAGTGCAGTGGCACGATCATAGCTCACTGTGGCCTCGACCTCCTGGGCTCAAGCAATCCCCCGCTCCTCGGTCTCCCAAAGCACTGGTATTATAGGTGGGAGCCACAGCACCCAGTCTGAACCCCACTTGTCTTTGTATTTCTGGTCCCCGGGAGAGTCCTTCACCATTTCTGACTTGTCATACAGCAAGAAGGCAAATAGATATTCAGGAATTGGAAGGACAGGAAAACCAACGTTTTGGTAAAGACTTTGGCATTTATATCTTTTATTTAAATATTCATTTCACTATTTTGAAAGTTTCCCTTCCAAATCACAGCTGTAACTAAAATCCAACCATTCCAGGAAATAGAAATATCAACTTGGGGGCTTCCTGAGAATGTCAGATTGTGGATTGCAAGAGTCAAAAAGAGATTTTCCAGTCCAACCTACCCACTGGACAGATGAGGAAACTGTGGCTGAAGCGAGGGTGGGTGTCTGGGAGTAGGAAGGGGGTGTGGGCCCTGGCGGATGGTGCTGGAGCCACCTTGCAGCCACCACCTGGGCACCCCCTGGCCCTGCCCTGGTCCTCCCTATCATGGCTGCTGTTGGTACTGGCTCTCTGTGGCCGTGTAGAAGTCATCCAGCACACTCTGGATGTATTCGAAGGTCGGCCGCTCCTCCGGACGGTTTTTCCAGCAGCGCATCATGATGTTGTAGAGCTCCTCTGGGCAGTTCTCTGGGCGAGGCATCCGGTATCCACGCTCCAGAGCTCGGATCACTTCAGGGTTTGACATCCCTGAAAAGGAGCCGTGGAATTAGAAACGGAAGCAGTTGGGAAATGAGAGCCCAGGGGTGGCAGGCCCTGTGGCCTCCCCAGCAGGCATCACTCCCCACCTCACCTTGCAAGCTGAGCCCCTTCCACTGTGAAAGACAGACTTCCACCCTCAGCTTCACTTGCAGCTAGGACATGGGCCTGGGACCCAGTTTGGGCCAATGGGAGCTGATGGGGAGGTCTGCTGGGAAAGTGATGGAAAGGTTTTTCCTCCCGCTTAGAGGAGAGTCTTTGGAGAACGCACCCTTCATCTCTTCCTTTGAACACTGTGAGATACTTATGATACTTGGAGCTGACAACATGGAGAAGACCATCATAGAGACAGGAACCCAGAGTCCTGACAGCTGCTGAGTTGCTGAACTAACCAGTCACCAATGGAAGATTGGGAGTAATAGATTGCTTCTATTTCAGTTACTCTTTGTCTGTTATTTTGTTGCTTGCTGTGGAACACATCCTAATGGATTCAGCGTCTATTGTGTGTTGCCTGGTTTTGACTAGTGCACCCTCAAGACAAAACATTCAGGTGGCCAGATTCAATGTTAACCTATGGGTGGGACCATTTTTTTGTTCAGTTCAAGTTTCTATTAGCTATTCATAAGAATAGCCATTCAATGTCTGTGATCCCCAATTTTATATTATTAGTCTCAAACTCCAAACTCATGAACTCAAGTGCTTCCTTTACTTGGATGTCTCTATATTTAAGTCAACTCAAATTTAGCAGAGCTAAAACAGAGCTCTCCAATTTCTATCCCTAGACCATTACCCACCCTGTGGTGCAAAGCCAGGGTAATCATCCTTTATTCTCTCTCTCTCACCTCCTAAGTCAGCAAGTCAGATCTTTTCTCCTTTTGAAACGTAGCACCAGTTCATCAACGTATGCCAGTCACGAATGCCACCACCCTGTCCAGACCATCATCACCTCTGCCTGGGCCACTGCTGTGGCCTCCTCACTGGCTGCCACCCTGTTCCCTTTCCCTCCCATTCACTCTCCATGCTGAAAGCATCGCTTAAAAATGGAAATCACCAGCCCGGCAACATAGCAATACCTTGTCTCTCAAAAAATTTAAAGAATTAGCTGGGCATGGTGGTGTGTGTCTGTAATCCCAGCATTTTGGGAGGCCAAGGCTGGAGGATCGTTTGAGCCTGGAAGTTAGAGACCAGGCTGCACAACGTAGTGAGACCAAGTCTCTACAAAAAAATTAAAAAAATAAAAAATAGCCAGACATGGTGGCATGTGCCTATGGTCCCAGATACTCGGGAGGCTGAAGCGGGAGGATCATTTGAGCCTAGGAAGTCGAGGCTGCCATGAGCTATGATTACACCACTGCACTACAGCCTCAGTGACAGAGTGAGACCTTGTCTTAAAAAAAAAAAAAAAGGTGGAGAAAGGACAAGATCTGATTTAAAGTTTAGAATTATCCTTCTGGCTGCAAGTGGAGAATAGGCTGTAGGACGAGGAGGGAGAAAGCAGTAAGACTGATGAGGATGCCGCTGCACCATCTATGGGAGATGACGCTGGCCTGGATGCAGTGGAGACTGTGGGGTTCAAAGTGGTGAGACTTGGGATATGTTTTGGAGTCGAGTGGCCAAAACCCTGTGACTGCTCAGATGTCATAGGGGTGAGGCCAGGCACAGTGGCTCACGCCTGTAATCCCAGCACTTTGGGAGGCCGAGGCAGGCGCATCACCTAAGGTCAGCAGTTCGAGACCAGCCTGGCCAACATGGTGAAACCCCGTCTCTACTAAAAATACAAAAATTAGCCAGGCATGGTGGTGGATGCTTGTAATCCCAGTTACTCAGGAGGCTGAGGCAGGAGAATCGCTTGAACCTGGGAGGCGGAGGTTGCAGTGAGCCGAGATCACGTCACTGCACTCCAGCCTGGGTGACAGAGGGAGACTCCGTCTCAAAAAAAAAAAAAAAAAAAAAAAAAGTCATAGGAGTGAGAGAGAAGGAAGGGCCAAGGAAGCCCCCAGATTTCAGGCTTAAGACATTAGATGGATGGAGGTGCCTTTAACTAAGACAGGAAAGGTGAGGGAAGGTTGGGGGTGAGGATCAAGAACTCAGTTTGAATGGACATGTTGTTGAGATGAGCCCATTGCCAGACTGGGCCCTGGTAGCAGCCCTGAGCTGATGCCCCTTCCCTACCTGGGTAAGGGATCCGGCCGTAGGTGACGATCTCCATCAGCAGGATACCAAAGGACCAGACGTCTGACTTGATGGTGAAGGAGCCAAAGTTGATGGCTTCAGGAGCTGTCCACTTGATGGGGAACTTGGCCCCTGCAGGGTTGAACAGAGCAGAGTCGGGGAAGGCTGGGGAGTAGTGAGGGTTGGCTCTGCTAAGGTGGGGGAACAGGCAAGGGCAAGAGCTGCCAACATCTGCCCCTGCAGACCTGCAATTTCCCTGATACGTGGCCTCCCTGTGGAAGCAAGGGACATCCATCCTGAGGACAGATGGCTAAACAAGGAGGAGTGGGCTTAGGGGCCTGGGGTATGGTGTGGAAGTTCACTCTAGAATCCTCCTCGTTGATTCAGCTGATACCCCAGTTAACTGCAACTCCGAAGAGTGGAATCCCAGAGGTCACAGGTCTTTGGGGACAGAAGGACTTCAGGGGGCCTTGAGTCCAGGTTGCAGCTGATGCCTCAGTCCTCTCATCCTGGGCGATGGGAAAAGGGAGGATTCTGGCTCTCAGCCCATGAGGTTCCCACCAGTCACTATGTGTCTCTCCCTTTACCCGCCCTTCCTCCCACCTAGTCTGACATGGGTTTAGTTAGCCTTTTCATTTTTTTTTTCTTTTAGAGACAGAGTGCCCAGGCTGGAGCGCAGTGGCACAATCATAGTTCACTGAAGCCTCGAACTCCTGACCTCAAGCTATCCTCCTGCCTCAGCCTCTCAAGCCCCTGGGGTTACAGGTGTGCCCCATTATGCCAAGCTAATTAAAAAAATTTTTTTGGCCAGGTATGGTGGCTTGTGCCTGTAATCCCAGCACTTTGGGAGACCAAGGAGGAGGATCACCTGAGGTCAGGAATTCGAGACCAGCCTGGCCAACTCCATCTCTACTAAAAATACAAAATTAGCTGGGCATGGTGGCAGGTGCCTGTAGTTCCAGCTACAGGCTGAGACAGGAGAATCACTTGAACCCAGGGGATGGAGGTTGCAGTGAACCGAGATCACACCACTGCACTCCAGCCTGGATGATAGAGTCAGACTCCGTCTCAAAAATAAAATAAAATAAAATAAAATAAAATATAAAAAAATAGAAAAATTTGTAGAGACAGTGTTTTATTATGTTACCCAGCCTGTTCTCAAAACTCCTGGGCTCAAGTGATCCTCCCATCTTGGCCTCCTAAAGCACTGGGATTATAGGTGTGAGCCACCGCACCTGGCATAGTTATCCTTTTTTAAAAAGTGTTTAGTTTAATTATATCATGGTTGGTGAACATGGTCTATAGAATATATGTTCTTTGGAATTTGTTGAGACCTGCTTTATGACTGAGTACATGGTCAAGTTTTGAAAATGTTCTATGTGTGTGTTTGTGTGTGTGAGAGTGTGTGTGTGTGTATATGTTTTCTCCCTTCCTCCTTTGGATCTACAGACTTTTCTTGATTTCCTGCTTATCTTCTTCTGGTTTAGAAATTATACATTCTACTTTTATTCCTTTAGTCATTACATTTATTTATTTATTTATTTATTTATGTTTTGAGACAGGGTCTCGCTCTGTTTGCCCAGGCTGGAGTGCAGTGGTGTCATCTCAGCTCACTGCAAGTTCCGCCTCCCGGCTTTCACGCCATTCTCCTGCCTCAGTCTCCCAAGTAGCTGGGACTACAGGTGCCCGCCACCACGCCTGGCTAATTTTTTGTATTTTTAGTAGAGATGGGGTTTCACCGTGTTAGCCAGGATGGTCTCGATCTCCTGACCTCGTGATCCTCCCACCTCAGCCTCCCAAAGTGCTGGAATTACAGGCATGAGCCAACGTGCCCGGCCCTATTTATTTACTTTTTTGAGACAAAGTCTTGCTCTGTTACACAGGCTGGAGTGCAGTGACATGATCTTGGCTCACTGCAGCCTCAACCTCCTGGGCTCAAGCGATTCTCCCGCCTCAGCCTCCTGAGTAGCAGGGACCACAGGCTCACACCACCACGCCTGACTTATTTTTAAATTTTTTGTAGAGATGGGGTCTTGCTATATTGCCCAGGCTGGTCTTGAACTCCTGGGCTCAAGCAATCTGCCCATTTTGGCCTCCCAAAGTGCTAGGATTATAGTCATGAGCCACTGTGCCCGGTCTAAATTTTTTTTAATCGAGTTATAACGTACATGAAATAATATGCACAAATCTTTAATATCCATTTTGCTGCAGCTTTATATATATATATATACCCTTGTAATCACCATCAGATTGGGCTGTAGAACATTTTCAGCATTTCAGAACGCTCCTTTCTGCGTCCTTCCAGTTAATACCCCCTTACTTAAGGTGACTGCAGCCTGTGCATAGTGGCTCATGCCTGTAATCCTAGCACTTTCAGAGCCTGAGGCAGGAGGATCACGTAAGTCCAGGAGTTTGAGACCAGCCTGGGCAACACAGTGAGACACTATCTCTACAAATAATTAAAAAATTAGCTGGGCATGGTAGCACGTATCTGTAGTTTCAGGTACTCAGGAGGCTGAGGCTGGAAGATTGCTTGAGCCCAAGAGTTGGAGGCTACAGTGAGCTATGATCTCACCCCTCCACTACAGCCTGGGCAACAGAGCAAGCACCTATCTTTTTTTTTTTTTTTTTTTTTTGAGACGGAGTCTCGCTCTATCACCCAGGCTGGAGTGCAATGGCACAATCTCGGCTCATTGCTGCAACCTCTGCCTCCCGGGTTCAAATGATTCTCCTGCCTCAGCCTCCCGAGTAGCTGGGACTACAGGCACCTGCCACCACGCCCAGCTAATTTTTGTATCTTTAGTAGAGACAGGGTTTCACCATATTGGCCAGGCTGGTCTCAAACTCCTGACCTTGTGATCCGCCTGCCTTGGCCTCCCAAAGTGCTGGTATTACAGGTGTGAGCCACTGTGCCCGGCCGCACCCGTCTCTTTAAAAAAATAAATAGGACTGGCACAGTGGCTCGCATCTGTAATCCCAGCACTTCGGGAGGCCCAGGTGGGTGAATCACTTGAGGTCATCAGTTCGAGACCAGCCTGGCCAACATGGTGAAACCCTGTCTCTACTAAAAATACAAAAACTAGCTGGGCATGATGGCACATGCTTGTAATCCCAGCTGCTTGGGAGGCTGAGGCAGGACAATCACTTAAACCCAGGAGGTGGAGTTTGCAGTGAGCTGAGATGGCGCCAATGCACTCCAGCCTGGGCAGCAGAGCGAGACTCCGTCTCAAAATAAATAAATAAATAAATAAATAAATAAATAAATAAATAAATAAATATTAGGCTAACAGAAACTAAAGGTGACTGCAATTCTGACCTCTAGTGCTATAAATAAATTTTGCCTGTTTCTTTCTTTAACAGCTTTATCGAGATAGAATTCACAGACCATACATTTCACCCATTTAAAGTGTATAATTCCGTGGCTTTCAGAATATTTACAAAGTTGTGGATTTTAGAATACTTTCATCACATTTCCCTGCAAAAAACCCACAGAAGTCACTCCTCATTTCTCCCAACTCCCCACCACCAGCTGTAGGCACCAATAATCTACTTTCTGTCTCTTTAGATTTGTCTGTTCTGGGCCGGGCATGGTGGCTCACACCTGTAATCCCAGCAGTTTGGGAGGCCAAGGCGGGCGGATCACTTGAGGTCAGGAGTTTGAGTTCAGCCTGGCCAACATGGTGAAACCCTGTTATCTACTAAAAATACAAAAATTAGCTGGGTATGGTGGTGTGCGCCTGTAATCCCAGCTACTCAGAAGGCTGAGGCACAAGAATCGCTTGAACCTGGGAGGCAGAGGTTGCAGTGAGCTGAGATTGAGCCACTGCACTCTAGCCTGGGTGACAGCAAGACTCCATCTCAAAGAAAAAAAAAAGATTGCCTCTTCTGGACATTTCATAGAAGGGGAATTATACAACATGTGGTCTTCATGTTGGCTTTCCTTTAACAAAATGTTTTTAAGGGTCATCTGTGTTCTAGCCTGGCGTAGTACTTCATTCCATTTTATGGCCAAATAATATTCCATTGTATGGATATATCACATTTTGTTCGTCTGTTCATCAATTGATGGACATTAAAGAGTGTTGTTTCCATTTTTTGGCTATTAGGAAGAATGCTGCCATGAATGTCCAATTACATGTTTTGTCTCTTTTAGAATTTCACAAAAACGAAACCAAGTGGCATCTACTCTTTTTTTTTGGTCTAATTTCTTTCATTTTGATATTATACCTGTGAGAGTTACCCATTTTGGTGCATTTAGCATTGGCTTGTGCCTCTTTCTTTCTTTTCTTTCTTTCTTTCTTTCTTTCTTTCTTTCTTTCTTTCTTTCTTTCTTTCTTTCTTTCTTTCTCTTTCTCTCTCTTTCTTTCTTTCCTTCTTTCTTTCTTTCTTTCTTTCTTTCTTTCTTTCTTTCTTTCTTTCTTTCTTTCTTTTCTTTTCTTTTCTTTTCTTTTGACAAGATCTTGCTCTGTCCACCAGGCTGGGTGCAGTGGCATGATCATGGCTTACTGCAGCTTCAGCTTCCTAGACTCAAGTGATCCTCTCACCCTAACCTCCTGAGTAGCCACAACTACAGGCATACAGGCATGTGCCACCATGCCTGGCTAATTTCTTAAATTTTTGTAGAGACTAGGTCTTCCTGTGTTGCCCAGGCTGGTCTTGAGCTTCTGGGCTCAAGCAGTCCTCCAGTCTTGGCCTCCTAAAGTGCTGGGATTACAGGCGTGAGCCACTGAGCCTGGCCAGTTTGTGCTTTTTCATCACTGCGTGGTATTATATTGTGTGAATATACCACAATCCATCCTCCTGCTATGGACATTTGGATACCCTCCCCATTTTTGTCTGTTATGCACAAAGCTGCTCTTACCCTTAATTTCGACATATATTTGCCCACTCCCTCTAAAATCTATCAGTACTTCTCAATCTGATCTAAAATCTCCTCAAAATCTCTGAGTGAGACTCTGAAGTTCAGGACATTATCCAGAAGGATCCACCAAGCTCAAGAATGCACAGCTAGTACTGGGGCAGTCCCTTGCATTTTACCAATCGCTCTCACAAGTATCAACTCTCAACACTCACAAGCATCCAAATGGGCAACGTGGGGCTGCTTGGCAGCGTTCCCTACCTTCCCGAGCCGTGTACTCGTTGTCCTCAATGACCCGGGCCAGGCCAAAGTCAGCAATCTTACACACCAGGGATGCAGAGACCAAGATGTTGGCAGCTCGGAGGTCTCGGTGGATGTAGTTCCTCTGCTCGATGAAGGCCATGCCTTCTGCAATCTGCACCCCAAACAGAGACACCTTTGTCCTCAGACCTGGCCTACGCCAAGATGGCCCCACCCAAAAGCAGCAGAGAGGTGTTCAAGTGAAGAAAATGCGAAATGTCTGCACCAGCCCTCCCTTTTGTGTCGGGAGGGCCCCAGGGCTCAGGGTGGCATTCCTCCATCAACCCATTCAGGTTAGGGGGATCCCTAAGGAGGCCTGGGCCAGTTTGGGGGATTCTCTAGAATTCCAAGACTTCCAGAGAGCACTTTGAAATGTTCTCAGGGAAAAAGCAATGGGACTATTTCTCCAGGACCTATTCTTCCAGGAACACACATACACACACACGTGCACATGCACACACACACACACACACACACACACACACACGAACCCTAGGATACTATGAAGAGCTTTCACCTTCAACTCTCTTTCTGGGGACAACCCAGGTTCATGTCATATTCTGCTATACCTCTCATATCTTCCTCATGCCCCAGCCTGGGTAGGGAAAATTCACTTATTTACTCAACAGAAATCCACTGAGTGTCTTGTGGGTGCCAGACATGTTGCTTGAACAGGTGATGAGCCCGGCAAAGCCCCTGCAGGTGGTAAGTACCATAAAGAAAAGATAAAACAGGCCGGGCATGGTGGCTTACACTTGTAATCCCAGCACTTTGGGAGGCCGAGGTGGGCGGATCACTTGAGGCCAGGAGTTCGAGACCAGCCTGGCCAACATGGCGAAACCCCGTCTCTACTAAAAATACAAAAAGAAGATGAGCATGGTGGTGCACGCCTGTAATCCCATCTGCTCAGGAGGTTGAGGCACGAGAATTGCTTGGACCCAGGAGGCAGAGGCTGCAGTGAGCCGAGATCGTGCCACTGTCCTCCAGCCTGGGCGACAGAGCAAGACTCTGTCTCAAAAAGAAAAAAAAGATAAAACAAAGTAACAAAATATGACCTGTAGAGAGCTTTTTTGGATTGGGCGTTCAGGGAAACCTGCTTTGAGGGGGTGAGATTTTAGCAAAGATCTGAATGATGATAATAATAAGTGTGTCGCATAAGAATATTCTAGGCAGAGAGAACATGAGATGCAAAGGCGTGGAGGTAGGTAAGAGCTTGGGTGTTCATGGAACAGCACAGAGGTCAGTGTGGCCAGCAGAAGATGCCACAGAGAGAGTGGGGAGAGTTGAAGTTGAGAGGGAGGCCGCCAATCATGAACTGCCTTGTAGGTCAGGAGAGGAGGGTGGATTTTATTCTGAGCGTGTTGGGGAGATATTAGAGGCCTTCGAGCAGGAGCGTGACATGTTCTGATGTACATTTAAAGATCACCATGGCTGCTGAGTGACTAACAGACTGCGTGGAGGATTCTTATTCACACCAGGAGCCCTAGAAGCCTCTGATGAAAACACAGGGATTATATCTTGCAGACATTTTTACTTACAAGGGTTTGGACAAAAGCGGTTGAAGATGAACCCTCAGATGCCCAGAAAGCAGCACTTTTGGTTTACAAACTGGGCTTGAGCTCTTTGAGGCAGGAATGATCATAATCTCTGTTTTACAGACATGGAACCACTTGTTCCAGATCACACCACCAGGAAAATTCTGAATGTCAGGCTCAAACCAGTCTGAGGACTCCCAATCCAGTGCATCCTGCTGCCTCTAAATAACCCAGCACTCCAGTGCTCCGGCAGACTGCAGCTGGGTGCAGTCTGATGAAATTATTCTGGAAGTGAGGGCGTCTGACTAGACAGAACAATCAAAGCACCACCGGCCGGCTTCTCAAGGTCTGAGGCAAGTGGGTGGCGCACTTGCAAGGGGTGGACAGCAGGGGGCACCCGAGGCAGTTAGAATGGAGACCCATGCTTTGCTTTTTTCTTTTCTTTCTTCTTTTTTTTTTTCTTTTGAGACAGGGCCTTGCTCTGTCACGGAGTACAGTGGTGGGATCACAGCTTACTGCAACCTGTGCCTCCTGGGCTCAAGCAGTCTTCCCACCTCAGCTTCCCAAGCAGCTGGTACTATAGGTGCATGCCACTATGCCAGATTAAATTTAAAAAGAATTTTTTTTTTTTTTAATAGAGAAGAGGTCCCACTATGTGGCCCAGGCTGGGCTTAAAGGATCCTCCTGCTTCAGCTTCCCAAAGTGCTGGGATTACAGGCCTGAGCTGTCATGCCCAAGGGAGACCCAGAGACCCAAATTTTTCAGTAAAAACTTGGAAGAGACTCTGATTTTGTTTAGAATAGTGGGGGGTGGGGACGAAATGGGGATGAGGTTGCCAGGGTGGAGTGAGACAGCATCTTGGCCCTGGGAGTGTGGGAAATTTATGAGTCCTTAGATGAACAGTTAACAAAAGTTATGATGCTAATGGAAGGCATCATAGCTTATTTATAAGATGATACTTAAACACTTATGTGACATTTACCATGTGCTTTGGAGGAGGCACTTTTGTTATCAGCCCCATTTCCACAGATAAGAAAACTGAAGCCCAGAGAAATAGGTAAGTGGCCCCAGCTTACACAGCTTGCAAGTTGCGGAGCCAGGGCTGGAGCTCCAAAAGCGCTGCTTGGGGTCCACGCACTTACCTGTTACTTGGCCCAGCTTTTTTGCCTTGCTTTTCTTCTGGAGCAAGGACTAATGCTGGTAGTTACCACTGTTTGATGCTCACTGGCAGATGCTCATATGCTACTGATTTTCACAGGAGCTCGATGGGGCAGGGATGACACCCCACTTAGGAGACAGCAGAGGGTAATAGCTAAATGGCTCTGGAGCTGGACCAACTCAGCTTGAGCGCTGCAGCTCTGTGATGTCAAGCAAGTTGTGTCATCTCTCTGTACCTCACTTTTCTTCTCTGTAATAGCACCTGGTTCCAAGGGGTCATGTGAAGATGAATCCCCTAAGCCTACATCAAGGGCTTAGTAGAGTGTTTGGCACATAGTTAAGTATTTATTTAAAGAGTGGCTCCCAGTGCTCCCAGTGGGGGAAAGTGGCACTCAGAGAGGTTAAGCAACTTGCTTGAGGCTACACAGGCAGAGCTGAGATCAAAACAAAACTCTGTGTGACTCCTAAGCCCAGATGCTAATAGTGTTGCTTCTCCAGGGTCTGCTGACTGAATGAATAACGAGTAGGTTTATTGGGCCCAGGTGTAAGCACTGCGGGTTGATAAAGGCGGTGAGATTTCATGACCCCCAGATAGGGTGCCATGAGGTTGGGCACCCTTGGGTTTGCTTCCAAAGAGTATCAGGGAGTCACAGCATCAGAGCTGGAAGGACCTGTAGAGCTCTTCCAACTGAATCCTATGGATGCCTCAAGGTTATATGGGGGTGGGGGAGACAAAAGAAAGGCCACAGATAAGCCCCCCACCCTGCTTCAGTCAGAGCAGCTCTGTTTTGACCTGTTTGTATATATGCAGCTACTGAATAACATTTCATGTCACCCACAAAGCTGTGACTACAGAAACCCCACATGTGTGGTCCAGTTCTCCACCTGCTGCTCCAAGCTGCCTCTCTGAGTCTGGAGGTGAAGACCAAAGCCCCAGGTGGGCTCCTTTCTGTCCCTGGGCTCTGAATCTACCTCTGCTTCTGGACAGATGAAGGCCCAGAACCTCTTTTCCTCCCTTGGTTTGTTTTCCCCTCTGTGAAACGGGCAGAGTGGCTCTTGCCCTGGTCGGTGACTGCTGCCCAGCAGGGCTTCTGCTAGTTTGAAGATGATAATTTAGCAACAGACCAGTCTATTGTCTCCCAGAGGACCTGGCCCATAGGAGTGAAAACACATTTCCATATGCCTCTGGCATTCCAGGCTCTGAAAGTAGAGTCTTTTGTTACACTTTGTGGTGTCCTCTGGGCCCCTGAATTTGCATACTCAAATGAGCCCTGCCCTTGGCATCTCCAGCAGGCCCAGCTGAGGCCCAGGCAGGGTCTCACTCAACTCCCACTATCCCTGGGCTCCTGCTGAGTAGGCTGAACTCCTTCACCTACTTTTGCACAGGCTGTTTCTTTTGTCTAAAAGACCTTTACCTTTTCTCTTCATCTACTGAACTTCTATTCATCCTTCAGGCTCGGCCTAGAGGCCACTTCCTCCAGGAAGCATTCTCTGATTGCTCCTGGACCAGGCTAAATGCTCTAGCTATGCACTCTAATACCACCCCGTCCTTACACTCTGTTTTCCCAGACATCAGAGAGAGCATGAGAGAGGACAGAAGTGAAAAAACTGCTTAGGCTGGGGGTGAGAGGAGCTGCAAGGGGCGTGGGGAACATGAGAAAGAAAATTAGGTTTTCAGCAGTGTTTTTGCGATTTGTGAACATTATTTACTTTGTTAGATACTGTGCTCTTTTGACTCAGCCAGGACCACTTGGGTCATGGTCTCTAAGAGATTTGGTTATTTAATACTCATCTTCCCACCTGGATTGTGAACTCTATTAGGACAGGAACATTTTCATTTTGTTCACTGCTATATCCCCCATAATTAGCACAGTAACTTGTGCAAGCCACTTAACCACACTGGGGCTCAGTTTCCACATCTGTACTTTACTTCTGCTCTATGCTTCAATTTCCTATTCTGTAAAATGGGATGATAATTACCTACTCTGTGGCCAGACTGTTACATTGAGGGGGTCCCTGGGATTTGTGTCCTTGGTCAGTCCCCTCCCACACTGATTCTGGGCATGGCTATGTGACTTGGCCAATGGGCCATTAGCAAGCCTGATGCAGGCAGAGGCTTAATGAGAGCCTGCTCATGAAGGCTTGGCCCCTGGTCCAGCTCTGTCTTGGAACCCAGCTGCTGCGCCGTGAAGAAGCTCAGGCTGGGTGATTGGGTGGTGAGGGGCTATGTGGAGAGACCCTGGAGGCTGAGCCATGTCTTGGACATTCTAGCCTGGGCAAGTGCCAACATCTGCACCTCACTTTACCATGACGAGCAGAAGAACCACCCAGCTGAACCCAGGCAACCCACAGGATCATGAGAAATAACAATTGCTGTTGTTTCAAGCTACTAGGACTTGGATGGTTTGTTATACCAAAATAGATAACAAAAATCCCAGCCTATAAAGCTTATAGGATGATTAAATGAATGAGTACATGTATAATAAAATATATGCAAAAAACATAGTTTTATACTGAGCTCTCAATACATTTTACCCATTATTATTACTGCTATCATCATAGTATGTGGTCAGTAAATATTTGGCAAGTAAAAAAATCGAATTCCTGTTTCCCTTCCCCGTTTCCTCGTTAGGCTCTCACCTGGGCTGAGAAGTCAATGAGTTTTGGCAATGGCTGCTTGCTGCCCTCATCACTTTTCAGAAAGTCCAGCAAGCTTCCTATATGGGGGAGAGGGGAGGAACATTTACTACTTTTACTATTTAATGGCAAAAACCACAATTACTTTTGCACCAATCTAGTACTTTAGTGTGTGGTGAAGATTTTTCATAGTAGTAGATTTAAATACGAATATTTGTTTGCAATTCCTAGTGTTTGAGAAAGAGAATTGAGTTTTAGTGAAGTGACTTTTTGATTGCTAGATGGATTCTGTGACTGAGACAGCCCCTGAGCCTGGATGGCTGGGATCATGCCTTCACAGGACTGGCATAATTGCATAGTTAAAATGAAAAAGGCTTGAGGTTTCAAATCGCACTAAATGGGATTGCATGAGATGATTCTGTTTATCAAAAAATGGGCAGAGTGGCTAGGCACGAGGCTCACTCCTGTAATTCCAACACTTTAGGAGACCGAGGTGAGAGGATCACCTGAGGCCAAGAGTTTGAGACCAGCCTGGGCAACATCGCAAGACCCCATCTATAGAAGAAATTTACAAATATATATGTTAGGCCAGGCTCAGTGGTTCATGCCTATAATCCCAAAGCTTTGGGAGGATCAGTTGAACCCAGGAGTTTGAGACCAGCTGGGGCAAGATGGCGAGACCTTGTCTCTAGAAAAAAATTTTAGAAGCTGGGCGCAGTTGCTCACGCCTGTAATTCCAGCATGGTGGGAGGCTGAGGCGGGCGGATCACAAGGTCAGGAGATTGAGACCATCCTGGCTAACACGGTGAAACACCGTCTCTACTAAAAATACAAAAAAATTGGCCAGGCATGGTGGCAGGCACCTGTAGTCCCAGCTACTTGGGAGGCTGAGGCAGGAGAATGGCGTGAACCTGGTAGGTGGAGCTTGCATTGAGCCGAGATTGTGCCACTGCACTCCAGCCTGGGAAACAGAGTGAGACTCTGTCTCAAAAAAAAAAAAAATTTTTTTAGAAATTAGCTGGGTGTGGTAGTGCATGCCTGTAGTGCCAGCTACTGGGGAGACTAAGTCGGGAGGATCCTGGAGCCTGAGAGTTTGAGGCTACAGTGAACTATGATCACGCCACTGCACTCCAGCCTGGGTAGGCAGAGGGCAACCCTGTCTCTAAAAATAAATATGTAAATAAATAAATAAAATTAGCTGAGTGTGGTGGCATGGGCCTGTGGTCCCAGCCACTCGGGGGGCTGGGGTGGGAGGATCACTTGAGCCCAGGAGTTATGATTGCACCTCTGCACTCCAGCCTGAGTAACAGAGCAAGTTCCTGTCCCTAAAAAACAAACAAACAAAAAATGGCAGGGGTTGAAAATGGTTGTGAAACAGTGGCCTAAAAAAATTCCCCAAGAAATCCTGAGTTGTGGCAGGGCGGGGGTGGGGGCAGAACTGCTGCTTTGCCAGCTCCCTCTCCCAGGGCTTTGGCAAGTACAGGGAAGGTGGCTGATGCGGGAGAGTGGCACCCCCACCACCCATGCCACACCCTGGCCTCTAAGGCTCACTGTGAACCATAAGCCCCTTCTCCCATTGCCCAGGAGTATTCTGGCCCCATTCCCTTCTCCTGGTAGCCCCTTGTTCTCCCTTCCCCTTGGTGACCCCTTAACATGATTTCACCCCACTAACCAGGAGGGCTGGATTGTTCCACATTAGATTCTCAATGAGTACTTGTTGGAAGAGCTCCTGGCCAGATTGGGGCCATCTCAAGGGCAAGAACCATGTCCAAGCCACCCTTGGGCCCGCAATTGACCAGTATAGGCCACAGCCTGCACCCCCAGCCCCAGCACGCAGCACCTTTGGCCATGAACTCCGTGATGATGTAGATGGGCTCCTTGGTGACCACCGCATGAAGTTTGACCAGCTTGTCATGCTGCAGAGTTTTCATCACGTTGGCCTCTGCCAGGAAGGCCTCCACCGACATGCTCCCTGGCTTCATCGTCTTCACTGCCACCTTGGTGTGCTTGTTGTAGGTGGCTGGAGGGGGATAGAGAGCAGGGAAGGTGGTCAGAGCCCACTGGTCTCCCGTACCACCCTAGAAGGCCCAGCTGCAGACCCGCCTCCTCCAGAAAGTCTTTCCTGCTCATCTCAACTCTCAGAGAGGGAAGCGAAATCATGGGCTTAGGCCTCAGACAACTGTGGGTTGAAAGGCGGGTTCACCACTTCCCAGCTGTGCACACTAGGGCAAGTGGCTTAACGTCTCTGAGCCGTGGCTTCCTCAGCTTCCTCATCTGTAAAGTGGAAATGGTAAGCTTTGCCTTTGAAGTGCTGTTGCAAGGATTTAAAAATAGCTCTAAGTGGCTCACGCCTGTAATCTCAGCACTTTGGGGGGCCGAGGTGGGCGGATCACAAGGTCAGGAGATCGAGACCATCCTGGCTAACACGGTGAAACCCCGTCTCTACTAAAAATACAAAAAATTAGCCAGGCGCAGTTGTGGGCGCCTGTAGTCCCAGCTACTGGGGAGGCTGAGGCAGGAGAATGGTGTGAACCCAGGAGACGGAGCTTGCAGTGAGCCAAGATTGAGCCACTGCACTCCAGCCTGGGTGACAGAGCGAGACTCTGTCTCAAACAAACAAACAAACAAAAAACCCAAACAAATAAAAATAGCTTTAAAACACTACTCAGGTTATGTCACACACATACACCGCCCACTTTAATCTTAACACTGCTCTTAAATAAATGCCAGACTTACTATGACCCCCAGGCCCTACATGACCCAGCCTCGTCCACCCCTCTAGCCTCATCAGCCACTAAACTCCCCTTGCCTTTTATGTGCCAGTCACCCTGCAGGTCACTCAGTCCCTCAAGCACCCAACTCACCTCCCACCACAGGGATTTGGCACATGCTGTTCCCTCCCCTCACCCCACCCTGCTTCATTTGGTGGGTCTTGTCAATTTTATAATTGCTTGGGTTTCCATTTTGCCTTGGCTTCCAGGAAGCTCCAATCCAGAACCGTGGGCTTCCTGTAGTAGGAGTCTAGCGTCTTATATGATATTTTTGGCTTTCAAATCTCACCACTCAGATCTGTCTTACCTTCCTCTCCATATTTTCTTTTTTGTCAAATTCTTTTTAATTTTATTATTATTTTTTAGACAGAGTCTCACTCTGTCTCCCAGGCTGGAGTGCAGTGGTGCGATCTCGGTTCCCTGCAACTTCCACCTCCTGGGTTCAAACGATTCTCCTGCCTTAGCCTCCCGAGTAGGTGGGATTACAGGCTCCCACCACCACGCCTGGCTAATTGTTGTATTTTTTCGTAGAGACGGGATTTCACTATACTATCCAGGTTTTTCTCGAACTGCTGACCTTGATTGATCCACTTGCCTCGGCCTCCCAAAGTGCTGGGATTACAGGCGTGAGCCACTGTGCCCGGCCTTGCATGCAGCAGAATCGCAATAAATACAGTCGAAATACATGGATTTTAAACTTATTTTATCTGGCTGAGTTGTTTGCATCCCTGTAAGTTGTCTTCGCTCCCATTTGGAACGCTCCCATTTGGAACGTATTAACACAGCAGGCTGCCCCACACTGGGCTGGCACTGCATCTACCCCACAGCCCTGCAAAGCAGGCAGTGTTGTTCTTAAGTTCTTGGGGAAAATCAGCAGGTGTGAGATGTGCCTTTCTGATTTTCCCACAAGACCCTAACAGTGCTGGGCACACAGCAGGTGCTCAGAATAACCTGTTCATCAGTTGCCTGGAAATCTCCAAGCTGCATTTCCCCATTCTTAATTTTCATCATCTGAAAAGGTCTCTGGTTATCTCAATCCCAAACTGTTAGGCAGTCCCCACTCCGTATGAGGGAGGGATTCCTCATCCATGACACCTGCTTCCCAGAAGGAAGTTTTTGACCACTACAGGACTGGTCTCAAAGGCAAATCAGTGTTTGCACAGCAAGACAATTTGGTTTGCTATCAGGGAACTGCTTCTTTATGGCTATTATTTAAATCTCCCCCTCTGCCTTGGGTAGCATTCCCGCTTTGCCATAAGGTGTTCCTGGAAGCAAGTGGCCTCCCTCTCCCCTCCACCCTCTGGCCCTGTGGGCTGTGGCCCTGGGTCCTTACCCATCCAGACTTCCCCAAACTGCCCAGCTCCAAGTTTCTTCTCCAGCTTGAGGGATTCCCGAGGGATCTCCCAGGCATCTTTCTCCCAAGGCTTCTGGGGCTTGGAAGACATGCAGGGCACCGACAGTTTCTGGCAGAGCCCGTCGTTCCCCTCTGGAACAGAGTCCCTGGTCAATTGAGAGCAACAAGCACCGAGCCAGCCAGAGGTTGCTCCTTGGAGGCCGCCCTACCTGGTCCACTGGATCTCTCCAGTGTTCCACCTGGTTGCCACCATCAGAGACATTCCCAAGCAAGCAGAGTGTGACGGGGTGCCACCTCTACATCTTGGCCACCTCACCCTCCTGCTCAACAGTCCTAAGCCTTCAGAAGCATCCAAAGCAACTATCTGTCTAGGGGATGGCCAAGAAGGACACAGCAGGTCTCAGGGGCCACAGTGCATCCGTGACTAGGAGTCTGTGGGCCCATCGTGGTGGGGATGTCACCCCTGGGGTGGGACTCACTCTTGTAGTGGTCCACCAGCTCCTGCAGAGTGCTGAAGGTGCTTCGGGGGGATATGTAGAAGCCCCCGTTGTCCAGGGTCCGGATCTTGTAATGTTTCACGGTATCTCCCTGCCGAGGGTCGTAGTCTCGCACGGACAAAGAGTAGCTTCCTGAATTGACCAAAGAGAAACCCCTCAGAATGGCATCTTGGAGGCCTGCCACCTTGCATTAGCACTCTGACACCCTGTAAGGCTACCGCTGGCACCGTCCTGACACCTGGGCAGAAGTGCCCGAGGGTCTGAGTGGGCTGTGGGAGCCAGGCATCCTGGGCTCTCATCCAGGCTCTACCACATCCACCCGTGAGACCTTGGCCATGTGACTATGTCACCTCTCTATGCCTCAGTTTTCTCATCTGTAAAATGGGAATAGTTCTCACGCCTCCCTACCTGATCCTATTGCCTGACGGCTAAAAGAAGTAATGCCTGTAAACTACTTGGAAGCTGAACACTCTGCAAATGTTGGCTATCATCATCATCATCTTCATTATTTCTGATCTATTGTTCCATCTTTCTATCATCTACCCTACAAAAAGCCAAGAGACCATAGTATACTTTTTACTTTTTCATAAAAACTCAGGCTATGACTTTTCTGGAAAAAAACCCAGAAATCCAGTCCAGTTATTGAAATGTGAACATGCTGTGGTAGGCTGAATAGTGGTCCCTCAAGATAGTCATGCCCTAAACCCTGGAACCTGGGAATATGTTACCTTACATGGTAAAAGGTACTTTAGAGATGTGATTAAGTTAAGGATCTGGAGACGGGGAGATTATTCCAGATGATCCAGGTAGCCCCAGTGTAATCCCTTGAGTTCTTGTTAGAAGGAGGTAGGAAGGTCAAAGTGGAAGAGGTGAAGATGGAAACAAGAGCTTGGACAGATGTCAGGAAGGGACTATGAGCCAAGGAATGCTGTAGCCTCTGGAAACTAAAAAAGGCAAGAAAATGAATTCTCCCCTGAAGCCTCCAGAAGGAACCAGCCCTGCTGACATCTTGAGCCCAGTGAGGTCAGACTACTGATCCCCAGAACTGTTAGAGAATAGACGGGTGTTGTTTTAAGCCACTAAGTTTGTATTAATTTGTTACAGCAGCAATGGGAACCTAACATACATATTAGGCTGGTGCAAAAGTAATTGCAGTTTTTGCCTTCAAAAGTAGTGGAAAAAACTGAAATTACTTTTGCACCACCCTATATTATCACATAGAGCAGAAACACATAAGTCTTTCAGCTCATGACCACCGTTTTGCTATTTGTGAGCTGTGTGCCCTTGGGCAAGTTATTAGTCCCTCTGTCTCAGTGTTCTTTACCATGATAATAGTACAATGTCATAGGATTTGGGAAGTTTAAACTTTATTTTTTGTGTGTGTGTGTCAGAGTCTCGCTGTGTCATCCAGGCTGGAGTGCAGTGGCGCAATCTTGGCTCACTGCAATCTCTGCCTCCCAGGTTCAAGCAATTCTCCTACCTCAGCCTCCTGAGTAGCTGGGATTACAGACGCCCGCCACTACGCCCGGCTAATTTTTGTATTTTTAGTAGAGATGGAGTTTCACCATGCTGGCCAGGCTGGTCTCCAACTCCTGAGCTCAGGTGATCCACATGCCTCAGCCTCCCAAACTGCTGGGATTACAGGCTTGAGTCACCTCACCTGGCCAGTTTATACTGTTGAATGAATAATAGCTTACCGTACATGCCAGGCAAGTTCAAAGCACTCTGCGTAGATGAACAATGAATGAATAAGAATAATATTCATTATAATGAATTATAACTATATAAATTATAATATTATTTATTTAATGAATGAATAACCTCATGGGGTAAGGGTTTTATAATATCATCATCCTCATTTACGGATGAGGAAACTGAAGCCCAGAGAGGTGAAATAACTCACCTACAGTCACACAGCTGGTAAGTGGCACAGCTGGGATTCAAATCCAGGCAGCTGGCTCCAGAGCCCCTCTCAGCCACTCTGTCCCAGTCAGGGGCGAGACTGGCTTGGTTGCTGCTGGATGGGGTGTGGCAGGATCCAGGAAGCAGCAGGGTGGGATTCACAGGTCTCATGCTGCAACTTTTATTAAATCGGCTAAAATTCCCAACATGCCCCATCTCAGAGAGCTGTGAAAGCTGGACCAGGCTCATTTTCCTGCCCCACAGATCTGTGATGGTTTCTTTGATTTCTCTGCCCTTGTCTGCAGGATGGACCAGCCCAAGCCAAAAGCTGTCCTGGGCACAGCTAGAGAGGAGAAGCGCTGGGCTGTGCACAGCTTTGTCTTTTTATCTCCTTTTCTTCCCCCTGGGGGCTTGAATGGGGCTCGTTGGGTGGGAAGAGACAAAGCCCAGGCATTCACTGAGCTGCCACACTGATTGTGGGTAGCATTATCCTAGCCACATGAAAGCTTCGCCAATTCAGATAGCTGAGGGTCAAGTAGAAGGCCACATGAGGAACATGCCTTTAATCAATGTCCCCAAATCTGTTTGCTTCAGGGTACCGTGAGGTCACATATTATACAATATACTTGGCTTATTTGAGTCAAGCAGTTGTGAACCTAAATGTATTAGTAAAGGTGCACTTAGCACATGAAATCTGAAATCATAAGAATCCTACTGATGTTCATTCCTTTGAGGCAATGAGCCTCAATCGATGCCAGTTTGAGCTACGCGATGTTTTCCAGGCCTGTTCTTGCCATCCATGCACCCAATCAGCATGAATCCACCCTTGCAGCACAGAAATTCCAGGAAGCTGGTCACCTGACATTAAAACTTCCAAAAGCTTCCAAGGAGCATTTTCAGCAGAGTCCCAGAGAAGGCTGGCTTGAGTCTCTTCTGGCGACCTCATCCTACCTCATTTCCTTATGGAGGGAGGAAAGGAGGAATGAGGCTTGTGGATAAGATCTATTGTAATGGGTATTTTGTTTTATTTTTTTAGAGATGGGGTCTTGCTCTGTTGCCCAGGCTGGAGTCTAGTGGCTCCATTATGGCTCGCTGCAGCCTTGAACTCCTGGACTCAAGAGATCATCTGGCCTCACCCTTCTGAGTATCAGGGAGTACAGATGTGCACCACCATGCTTGGCTAATTTTTAAAATTTTTCATACAGATGGGGTCTCACTATGTTGCCCAGGCTGGTCTCGAACTTTTGGGCTTAAGTGATCCTCCTGTGTTGGCCTCCCCTACTTGGTCTGTTACGGGTATTTAAAAAAACCAAAACAAAAACAATCCTGACACTTTGTAGTCCTGACACTTTGGAAGGCTGAGGTAGGCAGATTGCTTGAGTCCAGAAGTTCGAGGCCAGCCTAGGCAACATGGCAAAACCCCATCTCTACTAAAAAGAAAGAAAGAAAAACAGAAAGAAAAGATTAGTCAGCATGGTGGCACGTACCTGTAGTCCCAGCTACTCGGGAGACTGAGATGGGAGAATCATTTGAGCCCAGGAGGCAGAAGTTGCAGTGAGCTGAGATTGTGCCACTGCATACCAGCCTGGGCAACAGAGTGAGACCCTGTCTCAAACAAAACAAAACAGGCCAGGCGCAGTGGCTCACGCCTGTAATCTCAGCACTTTGGGAGGGCAAGAGGGGTGGATCGCAAGGTCAGGAGATCGAGACCATACTGGCCAACATGGTGAAACCCTGTCTCTACTAAAAATACAAAAATTAGCTGGGCATGGTGGCGAGCACTTGTAATCCCAGCTACTTGGAAGGCTGAGGCAGGAGAATCGCTCAAACCTGGGAGGTGGAGGTTGCAGTGAGCCGAGATCGCACCACTGCACTCCAGCCTGGCGACAGAGTGAGACTCCATCTCAAAAAACAGAACAAAACAAAACAAGAACCAAAACAAATGAAAAAACAAGTCAGTGAAGATCAAGCTTCAGCTGGATGTTTCTTTGTTTTCAGGGCCTAAGCCACCTGGCACTAGTTCCACTGACCTAAGCTGGCAGCTATGGTGGATAAGAAGGGCAGAGCCAGGCACAGAGCCTCAACCCTCCCCAGCTCAGGTGGCCAAGAGCAGGAGAAACCTGGCAGCCACAGCACCTGGTTGGGTTTTTCAGCCTTTCCCAGGGCATTTTCCAAGGAAAGGGTGGTGGCCAGCCCCAGCTGGGGCACCTCGGCAGGGAGGACAAGGTGGGGAGGGCTGGTGTCACCTTTAGTGGTCTCGCTATCCCGGATCATGAAGGAGCCCAGCATGTTGCCGGGAGCCAGCAGTTGGCGCTCTGCGTCCTTCCGGCTGATGCCCTTGAAAAACCACCTGATGGAAAAGGGAGGGGACAAATGTGAACCTGGGGTCATGCAGTCCTGTCCGGCCTACACAGGATGCCTGTGGCCATGCAGGTCCCAGGGGAATGTCAGGATACAGAGGGTCTGGCTTCCTGCAGCATCAGTTTTACTCAAAGATTTTTTGGGGGAGAGAAGGTAAAGGAGCCATTCTTTTGATATCAAAATAGACATTTTACCCGAAGTGAATCCTGTTTGCTGAGACTGAAGCCTATGCAATTTGGAGTGGGGGAACTTCCTTTAAGAAAAATAATACAGCATTAACAAGTGCAAAAAGCTGATAGGTCATTTCAGTGCTGCTCGCTGTGAGGGACAGGGAGATGGACAGGAAGACAGAGTGGAAACAGACAGCAGTCTTAACCAGCTGTGGTCAAAGTCTTACTTTTGCAGGTTTCACAAGCATACAAGACCACGGGGAAGATCCTTCTTGGGACCTTGGAAGCCTGTGAAGGGCCTGAGTTTTGTTAGCTTTACAACCAATCCTCCTCCGCATATATGGAGTTGAATATAAAGTTGGCCTGAACTTCTAAGCTACAATGTGAGATTGGAAAGAATTTTATACTTAGGATTATATCCTGGGACATTTTCTTCATTCTTCCTGAATATTGAGATATTTGGGTGGAAAAGTTCAAGCAGCAGCAGTGGAATCCATTCCCACCTTCACTGGGGTGAGGAGCAGTTGGAAAAAAGCCCCAGACCTGACCTCAGCCTGCCTTGGCTCTGCCACAAACCTGCAGTGTGACTTTGAGCAAGTTGCCTTCCTCTTTGGGCCTTTGGTTCCTCTGTTATCAACTGGGGAGGAAGTTAACATCTATCTTGCTATCCACCCAACAGCTCTATGGAGTTGTCACCTTTATCATTCCCCCCCTTTTTTTTTTTTTTTTTTTTTTTGAGACTGAGTCTTGCTCTGTCACCCAGGCTGGAGTGCAGTGGTGTGATCTGGGCTCACTGAAACCTCTGCTTCTCGGGTTCAAGCAATTATTTTGCCTCAGCCTCCCAAGCAGCTGGGATTACAGGCACCCACCACTACACCTAGCTAATTTTTGTATTTTTAGTAGAGACGGGGTTTTACCATGTTGGCCAGGCTGGTCTCGAACTCCTGAACTCAGGTGATCCATCCACCTTGGCCTCCCAAAGTGATGGGATTACAGGTATGAGCCACTGCTCCTGGCCCCATTTTATGGATGATGAAATTGAGGAACAGAGAGGGCAAGTGACTTGCCTAGAGTCACACAGCTGGGAAGTTGTAGAGGCAGGATTTGAAGCTAGGCAGTCTAACTCCAGAACCCAAGCTCTGAATCACCATGCTATGTTGCTCATCTACCTTCTTTGCTTTCATGTTGTAAAGTGACTTGTGCCATGGTAAAATATTCAACTATGTAAGACTAAGAACTGTCTCCCCCGGCTGGGCGCGGTGGCTCACACCTGTAATCCCAGCACTTTGGGAGGCCGAGGCGGGTGGATCACGAGGTCAGGAGTTCGAGACCATCCTGGCTAACATGGTGAAACCCCGTCTCGACTAAAAATACAAAAAAAAAAAAAAAAATTAGCCGAGCATGGTGGCAGGAGCCTGTAGTCCCAGCTACTCGGGAGGCTGAGGCAGGAGAATGGTGTGAACCTGGGAGGTGGAGCTTGCAGTGAGCCGAGATCACGCCACTGCACTCCAGCCTGGGCAACAGAGCGAGACTCTGTCTCAAAAACAAACAAACAAACAAACAAAAAAAACCAACTGTCTCCCTGACAATTCTGGTCCTAGGAAGTTATCCCATAGACCTTGCACAAGGGAGAAATGACATATACACCAGGAGATTCGCTTCAGTACATGACTGGAAACAACTTAAGTGACCACTGTATAGGGCAGAGGTTAAATGGACGGTAGGACATCTACAGGACAGACGCCCTGTGGTATAAAAAGGAAGGAGGTGTCCGGGAGCAGTGGCTCACGCCTGTAATCCCAGCACTTTGGGAGGCCAAGGCAGGAGGATCACGAGTTCAGGAGTTCGAGACCAGCCTGACCAACATGGAGAAACCCTGTCTCTATTAAAAATACAAAATTAGCTAGGTATGGTGGCGCATGCCTGTAATCCCAGCTACTTGGGAGGCTGAGGCAGGAGAATCGCTTGAACCCGGGAGGCGGAGGTTGCAGTGAGCCGAGATCACACCATTGCACTCCAGCCTGGGCAACAAGAGAGAAACTCCACCTAAAAAACAAAACAAAACAAAACAAAACAAAACAGGAACAAGGTGCTGCATGGAAGGTCTGAACGAGAGGCATGGAACAGTGTGTGTGGTATCTACCACTTGTGTGAGATAAGCGGGAAGAGATGTCTTTTCTTATATAAGGAGGAAGCATCTGGGAGGACTCACGAGAAACTGGTTGCTTCTGGGGAGGGGAAGTGGCTGGTTGGGGACAGGGTGGGAAGAAGACTTTTCACTCTTCTGCATGCTTCCCCACATTTGCATTTTGAAACATTTGAAAGTATTGCCTATTTCAAGGGAGAATGAGAGAAACCAAGATTCCATCCCGCCCTGATTCCCAAGGTCCCAGTTGTGCTCCCCAGAGGCAACCTCTGTTAGCAGTTTCTTGATTCAGACACAAGGACCCCTGAGTGCCCTGAAAGGACACATATGTGTATTCATTTGTTATTTTTATTATTATTTTTTGAGATAGAGTCTCGCTCTGTTGTCCAGGCTGGAGTGCAGTGGCGTGATCTCGGCTCACTGCAACCTCTGCCTCCCAGATCAAGCAAATCTCGTGCCTCAGCCTCTGAGTAGCTGGGATTACAGGAGCCCGCCATCACACCTGGCTAATTTTTGTATTTTTAGTAGAGGCAGGGTATCACCATGTAGGCCAGGCTGGTCTTGAACTCCTGACCTCAAGTGTTCCACCTCCCTCGGCTTCCCAAAGTGCTGGGATTACAGGTGTGAGCCACCACACCTGGCCAGATATGCGTATTTAGATCAGTGGTTCCCAAGCTGGGTCCCTGGAGCAGCAGCAGCAGCAGCTGCCTCACCCAAGAACCTGTTAGAAATGCACATTCGGAATCTGACAGTGGAGCCCAGAAAGCACTTGTTAGCCGGCAATCCAGGTGATGCTGTTGCTGCTCATGTCTGAGAACCCCCCATCTAGGTTATTTTGCCTTTGTCTGCAAATGATAACCCCCCATTCATGTTGTCTACACCCTGCGTTTTCCACTTAGCAATTATGTTGCCTTTGAGAAATAATGCCAGCCACGCCTCCTCCATGGTTGCTGCAAGGACTACATGAGGTGACCCAGGGATTCTGTAAGTGTTCAGACCCTGGAGTGGAGAAACAGAGCATGGGATGACCCAGGGCAAAGCCTGGAAGAAGGAGAGAGAAACAGCTAAGAGCCCCCAGTTCCATGATCACTAAGAAGGGGTGACATAATTGTTTTTTTTTGACAGAGTATCGCTCTTGTCCCCCAGGCTGGAGTGCAGTGGCATGATATTTCAGCTCACTGCAACCTCTGCCCCCTGGAGTCAAGTGATTCTCCTGCCTCAGCCTCCCGAGTAGCTGGGACTACAGGCACGCACCACCACACCCAGCTAATTTTTTTTGTATTTTTAGTAGAGATGGGGTTACACCTTGTTGGTCAGGCTGGTCTCGAACTCCTGACCTCAGGTGATCTGCGTGCCTTGGCCTCCCGAAGTGCTGGGATTACAGGTGTGAGCCACCATGCCCAGCCAGAAGGAGGTGGCTTTATAATGGGAAAAGCCTAAGCGTTTTCATTTTTAACAGGCAAGCATCCCAAACCCATAATACCATCTAGCTAGAAAGAGGAGGCAGAAGAGACAAAACAATGGGGACTGTCATTTGTCAACTTTTGATTGGCTGGTTTTTAATGGGATGTATTGCCACCCCACAATGTAGTCATCTTTTTACTCATCAACCTCATCCACCATACAGAGAACATCTCCAGCAGGGAGCCCCATCTAAGTCATCTTCTAACCCTGGAATAGGGAATCAACAGGTATCTGTTGGATGATGGATGGATGGATGGATGGATGGATGGATGGATGAATGGATGGATGGATGGATGGATGACTGAAGTATATTTTTAGAGTCAAGCTAGACACAAGAAGAACCCACAGCCAAGAACGATGGGTTATGGAGAGCTCCTTGAGGGTAGGGATATATCTTATTTGTTTCCACAGCCCCTTAGGCTGGCACAGGGCTTGAAGAGTCATGAGCATGTGCTTGTCGAATGAATCAAATGAGGGATGGGCCAGGTGCAGTGGTTCAGGCCTATAATCCCAGCATTTTGGGAGGCTGAGGCGAGAAGATCACTTGAGCCCAGGAGTTTGAGACCAGCCTGGGCAACACAGAGAGACCCCCTCTCTACCAAAAATACAAAAAAGAAAAAAATTAGCTGGGCATGGTGATGCGCACTTGTAGTCCCAGCTACTTGGGAGGCTGAGGTGGGAGGATCAACTGAGCCCAGGGAGGCTGAGGCTGAAGTGAGCTGTGATGGTGCTACTGCATTCCAGCCTGGGCAACAGAGTGAGACCCTGTCTCAAAACAAAACAAAACAACAAATGAGGGACGACTGGCCAGGTGTGAGCTGTCTCACCTCTCCAGAAACCCTCCTTGGCAAGACCGTGTGCTTCATTCAACAATATTTATTGAGCACTGACTGCATGCCAGCCTGTGCCGAGGATGCAGAAGCAGACAAAGTCCCCGCTCTCACCAGCTCTCTTCCTTGCAGGGCAGGCAGAGAATGCACGTGTAACCAACCAAAGAAACCAGGTCGTTTTGCTAGTAAAACATGTTCAGAAGGGATTAAAACAGGTTTCCACAAGACAGAGTCACAGCTGGGACCCACTTTAGCCTCTCTTCCCTGACTGGAAGGATGAAACCTGAAGGAAGAGAAGGAGCCAGCCAAGCCCAGAGCCCTGGGAAGAGTATGTGCCAGGCAGTGGTACAGTGTGTGCAGACGTCCTGAGTTGCAAACAAGGCTGGCTTTGCTCATGCCTCTTTCTGGAAGGTAGGAAATAGGATACTTACTCCTCTGTCTCCAGAGAGTCAACGCGGGCGACATAGTTGCTTGGGATGTAGCCCTCCTTCCGGGTGGCCAGGGATCGAGCCTTCCACCACTCCCCGGATCTGAGGGACATGAGGGAGTAAAGGTGTTAGGGACAGAAGGATCATTCTCCAGTCTCCTCAAGCTCCCCAGCCTTGACCTAGAAAACTCCCTGCCTCCAGAAAGCCAGTAGGGTGAAGGACAGGGCTGTGACTATGTCAGCCCCAGCATGTGGCCATGATTAGGGTAGGGATCCTTACAACAGTTCCTGCTGTGCATCTGAGGGTCTGGAATCTCCCTGTCCACAGCCCAGAGCCCTGGGTCTCTGGCTCCACTCCTTTTCCCTGGACTTGCAGCTTTGGTCTTATTAGCTATACCCATGGCAGGGTCCTGTGCCTATAGAGACTCAGAATGGTTCAGCTGGGGCTGAGAATAGGGGAGAGTGGGCTTGGGAGTCCGACCAGGCATGACCACTCCCGTTCTCGGGCTTCAGCACATCCTGGACACTATACCCATGATGGTGAAGGCTGTAGGAGATCCGAGGTGGCAAACTCAGAGATCCAAGGATTTCCAAATGCAAGGTCGACTCGATGGGGCCTGGTCCACAGGTAAAGCCGGTGGCTTAATCGCAGGAGCCCTAGAAAGGCTTCCCTGAGAAAGCGTCACCTGTTCATCTCAGGCTGGACGTGCACTCTCAGTAAGTGCACAATCCCCTTCATCCAGGTTGACAGCAAACCCTTCCTCCACTATTGTGATTAGCTTCTCATTAGACATTTATACCCAGGATAAGATAGCCCATCTATCAGGTTCTTTATGGAAGCACAAAAGAGCACATAGTTGAGTAGAGGAGGCAGGTCTGTCTTAGGGGGAGTGGGATGGGGACTCACTCCTCTAGGACCACCATCTGGTCCCCCTTCTGGAAGCTGAGGTCTTCGTGGTGAATGGCCTCGTAATCATACAGGGCAACCACGATGATGTCCTCAGAGCCTGCTGGGAAGGGAGACACACAGAGGGTGAGGTTTCGTCTAAGTGCATCCACAGCCCTTGGTGACCCTCACCCGGCACCTGGAACAGCTCCGCACCCATCGATATGTGGTTCCAAGTATAAGTAGGCGTCTCACCATGCTGGGTGTGATTCTCAAGTTTAAAGCTAAATATGTTTTGTTCATGTTACTAAACAGCGTTCTAGAAACACAATAGCCTGCGCAAAGCACTTCAGAGGAAATTTTGGGGATTCTCGACAGGGGTTTGACTGTTTGGGATTTATGCCTCAAGCTAAGGGAGAACCTAGCGGAGTCCTCTGCAGGACACATGACTCCACTGCATCTGCTCGTAGATACTTACCCTCCCTGATTCCTGGTGTGTTGCTGTTGTGGCTATTAGGCCCCTGTGGGGAAGAAATGAGAGAAGAGAATGAATCTGACCAATGTGTGGGGACCCGTGGAAGGTCTGTGTTGAGAAGGACACCCAAGAGCATCTTACCCTAGCCCTGCATGTCGTGGGAGGAGGCCCACATACGGCAGGGGACATGCCTGGCACCACACGGCACATTAGGGGCAGAGCCAGCAAACAAAATGGTCCAGATTTTTTGTTGTTGCTGTTGTTTGAGATGGAATCTCACTCTGTCACCCAGGCTGGAGTGCAGTGGCGTGATCTCAGCTCACCGAAACCTCCACCTCTCGGGTTCAAGTGATTCTCCTGCCTCAGCCTCCCAAGTAGCTGGGATTACAGGCGCATGCCACCATGCCTGGCTAATTTTGTATTTTTAGTAGAGATGGGGTTTCACCATGTTGGCCCGGCTGGTCTAGAACTCCTGACCTCCCAAAGTGCTGGGATTACAGGAGTGAGCCACTGTGCCCAGCCAGGATCCAGGTTTCTTGAGCTGTGACCTCGGCCTTCGGTCTTGGATGTACCGGGGGATGCTGCTTGACCCCTCCCCTCAACACACAGTGAAGGGGTCGGTCCAGATCAGTGTTTTCCGACTAAGTTTGGAGAAATCACAGGCCCACCAGTGATTTATATTCCATAAATAAAGGCTCTGTTATGTATGTGAAACAATCTAAGTGTCCATGCAAGGGGGAAGTGACACCTAAACTATGGCATTCTAAGCAGCTCTTTTTTTTTTTTTTTTTTTTTTTTTTTAAAGAGACAGGGTCTCCCTGTATTGCCCAGGCTGGAGTGCAGTGGCGTGATCATAGCTCATGCAGTTCGAACTCCTGGGCTCAAGTAATCCTCCTGCCTCAGCCTCCCAAAATGCTGGGAGTACAAGTGTGAGCCACTGCACCTGGCCTGTGTTTTTATTTTCAAGAAGAATGTATTTGTGTGTCACACAATAGGATTATTGTGAGGATTAGGGTGTTAATAACCGTAAAGGCTTACAACAGTGCTGGGTTCATAGTCAGCTTTGTATAAACATAAAAGAAGTTGGTAAATACCTCTCCTAGCATGACTGCTTCTCTTTTTACAACTCTTGCTGTTGTTCCTGCTGCTACTCTTGGTCTTATACTCACGCAATTATGGTTGGTACTATTAGTATGACAATTGTTACTGTATTTTTGCAATGCTGCTGATACTACCATTACATTGTCACTTCAGCTGCTATCATTACTGTTCACTCGTTTCTCAGCACTGCTTTTGCTTCTGCCCAGGCCGGAGGCCTGAGATGCTCACTCACACCTGTTTGGTGGAGCTCAGGCTGAGGGGCCAAGCCTGGGCTGCAGGAAAGAGAGATGACTTCTTTGCCCCTATGCATGCTGGCTGGCGCTGCGTCCCGGAGAGTCGAGTCAGGACACTGTTGGTGGCCAGTCAGCTCCCTTTCACCCCAAGCTCACCCTGCCCAACCTTGGGAAGACAGGAGGCTGTTAGGGCAATGTTGGGGCAGCATCCGTCAGCCCCCAGGGAAACTGGGACCTCCCCTACTCACCGGCTTGATGGTGGATGTGGGATCCGGCACGTACACAGGACAGTGTGGGCTGGCGCTGGTTTCAGTTTTTGAGAATGTATTGCCTCCGACCTGGAGGAACTTGGACTTCATGCACCCCATCCTGCAGCAGACAGAAGGGAGGTGAGCCCCAGTTACCAAGAGCCTCATGCGGGGAAGTCTTCTGATGCTGGCATTCCAGGTCCCCTGCCCCCGGGCTGGCTCCCACTGGCCTTCCCGGTCTTAACTCCCCTGCCAGCTCCATGCACCCTTATCCTCCCCACATGGAACCCACTCCATCCTTGCCACCTCTGGGCTTCCCCATGTCCACGTGCCACAGCACTGGCCCAGGGCTGACAAGCTGTCATTGTCGTGGGTACCAAGGACCAGCGTGATGGATGTTTATTCAGAGGATGGCATGAGGATAACAGAAATGTAACAGGTAGAGCTGTTGGGTGGGCACTGCCAGCTCTCAGGTCAGAAAGCCTCAGCTGATCCTTGGCCCCTCCACCCCACCAGCACCTCACTGACCACTTTCCTGCCCCTACCCACCTCTCAGGTCTTCATCGGCAAAATGGGGACAATAATATGACCTACAGTGGGGAAATACTCAGTGCAGTGTCAGGCTCAGAGCAAACACTACAGAAAAACTGCAGTATTATCAGATGATAAATTGCCATTTTTATATTAAATAACAAGATGAGGTCACATAACATGGCTCAAACAATCTAGTTTGTCAAGGCACCGTATTACTGGTATCAATTTATAAATTGCTTATAACTCCTTCCCTCCCTCCCTCCCTCCCTTCCTTCCTGCTCCCCCTCCTCTTCCTTCCCCCTCCTCCTCCTTCCCCTCCTCCTCCTTCCCCCTCCTCTGTCCTCCCTCCTCCTCCTCTTTCTTCGTCTTCTTCCTCTTCCTCTTCCTCCTCTCTTTCTCTCTGTCTCTCTCTGAGTTGTTTGGTAATTCATTCATCCATTTACACAGCCAAGATTTACTGGGCACTTTTCTAAACTGTGAAGAAGAGAAGCAAGTTCACGCCCTCAGGACCTCAACTGCAGCCGAATGGGAGACAGAGACAATAAACAGGCCAACAAATAAATAACAGGGCAAATTGAGTTAATGAAAAGTGTGAGGACAATAAGAGAGGATGCTGTGGGGAACAACAGGTCTGGCTCTTTTAGGCAGGGCATTTGGGGAAGGCCTGTCAGAGAAAGGGATACAGAACCTGCGGTCTAAATGACACAAAGGAGCCAGTGAGGGGACACTCTGAGGGAAGAGTGTTCCAGGCAGAGGGAACAGCAAATGCAAAGGCCCTGAGGCTGGCATGTGCTTAGAGAGAAGTTGGAGGCACTGAAAGCAGGAGAGTGTAGCTGAAGCTCATGGGCAGGGAAGAGGGTGGTTGTGACAAGGCCACCATATCCTGTAGGGCCAGTAAGGACTTTGGATTTTATTCTAAGGATGATGGAAAGTTTCTGGCAGGAGAATGATGGGATTCAATTTGCACTTTAAATAATCCCACCGGTGGCTGAGTGAGGCGTGGACAGTGGGGAGCAGGGGAGGGAACCCTGTGAGAAATCTGCCAAAATTGTTCAGGTATGAGATGATGGTGGCCCAGGGTAGTGTGGGGGCAGAGAGGAGGTAAGCATTGGACAGGTTTGGGGGACATTTTGGAGGTAGAGCTTGCAGACTTTGCTGCTGTATTGAATTAATTTAAGGATGCTTAAACAAAACACATTTACTCCAAGTAGAGTCAAAACATAATTGTAAAAGTGGAAGAAATGTTTCATTTCTTTTCTCAAAATGTGCACACACATTTGCTGAGAAGGCAGGCTGTGACAACCACATAAGGAAGTGCTTGCTTTTCTCATCTCTGCACAATTGCCATTTTCTTCTAAAGCAGTTAGAACTCAGTTATACTTATCTTGTTAAAATAAACATGTATTTGTGGTTTAAGGAAAAAAACCCCAAACTCCTAGGCTTAGATGAGTTACTTTTAAAAATGAAAAAAGATTCCTTTTATTTACAAGGATTTACCTCTTCTGGTGGGAACTGGGAAAGATTTGCCACCTCAAGACTTGAGCGGTTTTGCTTTGTTTGTCTTTTGGAAATAAAATAAGGAACACATTCAGACTCTTGGAGTGCTGGATCATTAATTTGAAAAATTATCATAATTAAGCACAGATTTATAATGTACTTGCATGCATTTAAAACTGAAACCAGCATCTCTCTTTGAGATAAATGTGTATTACAGTTCTGGGAAATTAAACGGGCATCTTGTGTGACATATATGACATAAAATTATATCACATTTCGTGTGTTTTGGTCAGCATAAAGATGTTCTGGGAAGAGCAGCACTGTGTGAGGTAGGGCAGCTCACTCTACCTCTCTGGGCACCCACTGATCTGCAGCTGTGAGTCTTGTGATTTCCAATCCATGCGCGTTGAGCACCTTGTATGCTTCACTTACGTGATCAATGTACATATTCAAGATGGCCACAGGGTCCCGAGGGAGGGGTCTCAGAAGACCTGTGTTCATTCACAATCCAAGGCCATCTCTGAGAAAGGGTGGCAAGGGTTCTACCTCATAGGGTGGTGGTGAGCACTGAGCAAGTTGATGAGTGTAAAAGTGCCCAGCATGCAGTAAGCGCTGCAGAAACATTAACCACAACTATTTCTGTTTACTGGCAGACGTGACACTGCCCCGGATCATGAAGCAAGCACAGTTTGCAATTCCTCTGGCCCACAAGCCTAGAGATACTGCAACACTGGAGAAGTTCGCTTTTTTTAAAATAGGGAATTCCCATGAGTTCCATTTTTGCACAATAAAGTGTGATTTGTTTTCTCAGAGACAGTCTCGCTCTGTCACCCAGGCTGGAGTGCAGTGGTGTAATCATAGCTTACTGCAACCTCGACCTCCCAGGATCAAGTGATCCTCCCACCTCAGCCTCCTTAGTAGCTGGGACTACAGTTACAAACTACCATGCCTGGCTAATCTTTTAAAATTTATATTCTGTAGAGACAGGGGGCAGAGAGGGGGGGCAGGTCTCACAATGTTGCTCAGGCTGGTCTTGAACTCCTGACCTCAAGTGATCCTGCTACCTTGGCCTCCCAAAGTGCTGGGATATGAGCCACCATGCCCAGCTGAAAGTGTGATTTTTCTGAAAGTGATACACTGGCAGGAGTCAAATTTGTGTAAAATGTGATTGTCTCCCTAAATGAGAGAACCATGTCTGCTGCCTGGTGTGGACTGGGCATCAGAAATGTCCATGTTCATGGTCACTAGGCCCAGAAATGTCATGTGAGCCACAAATATAAGTTAAAGTTTTCTACAGCCAGGTTTTTAAAAATTAAAATTGAAATTTTATTTTATTTTATTTTTTCCTTTTTTAAAAAAAAATTATTTTCATTTTACTTTATTTTTATTTTCCTTTTAAATTTATTTTTAGTTTTTATTTTTTTTTAATTTTCATTTACTTATTTATTTTTTTGAGATGGAGTTTTGCTCTTGTTGCCCAGGCTGGAGTACGGTGGTGCCATCTCCACTCACCGCAACCTCTGCCTCCAGGGTTCAAGTGATTCTCCTGTCTCAGCCTCCTGAGTAGCTGGGATTACAGGCATGTGCCACTACGCCTGGCTAATTTTTGTATTTTTTAGTAGAGACAGGGTTTCACCACGTTGGTCAGGCTGGTCTTGAACTCCCAACCTCAGGTGATCCGTCCTCCTTGGCCTCCCAAAGTACTGGGATTTCAGGTGTGAGCCACTGCGCCTGGCCTATTTTTCATTTTTAAAAAAATTTTTACATCCAGGTTTCTTAAAGTAAAAAGAAACAAGTGAATTAATTTTAAGATGTATTTATTTTACCCAATATATCAAAATTATTAACATATAATAAATATAAAAATTATGAATGAGATACTTTACATTTTTTTTTGTACTAAGCCTTCACATCTCAGTGTGGATTTTACTGTTAGAGCACATCTCAGCTATGACTCCATCTGTGCTCAACAGCCGTCTGTGGCTCAGAGCCACCATATGCAAACATGCAGAGACAGAATGCTCCCATCACTGCAGCACAGGAAAGGCTGGTGCTCACACCTGCGTTCCTCAGTGCTTAGCCCAGTGTCTCCTGGCACACAGTAGGAGTGTCATGCACAGTGAGTGAATGGCTGCATGCCTGGCGTGCCATACTTTATGTAGTAGGAAGTAAAAGTGTCTGAGCACCATAAGACGGGGCAAAAAAAAAAAAAAAAAAAAAGTAAAAGCATCAGGACATTCCTGCTCTATGACCGAGTTGAGAAGGGGAGACTGGACACACAATTACATTCCGAAGCCACATACTAAGAAGCTATTAGGAGATACAAAAAGTAGAATGGTGGTTGCCAGGGGCTGGGGGAAGGGGAAGTGAGGAGTTAGTGGTGTTCAATGGGTGTAGAGTTTCAGATGAAATGAGTTATGGAGATGGATGGTGGTGAGGGTTGCACAACATGCTGAATGGATTGAATACCACTGAAGTGTACACTTGCAAATGATTAGGATGGAAAATTTGTTATGCATATTTTACCACAGTTTTAAGAATGAAAGAAAAATAAGCTACTAGGGAGTGGTAAACATAGGAGGGGCCATGCAAAGATTGCTAAAATACTTATTGGGTGAAAAATGCAAACTGCAAACATGTACATCAAACCACTCTTCTAAAATGAATTTATGTGCCTACGTGTATGTTAGTAAGTTCGTATAAAAAGCAACCTGTTTACAATAATAATTGAGCAGCAAGATAATGAGTTGGGTTTTGAAGAACAGGGAGGATCTGAATAGATAAAGATTGGGGGAAAGTCAAGAATACTCCAAAGAAGAACCGACTTCCAAAAAGGATTTGAAGGAGCTTATAATATTAAACCATACACAGAGCACTGCAAGACTCAAAAAGGGTTACTCTACACCATATAGAAGGGAAAGATTATTGAACCAGAAGCCCAGGGTGGGACTGCTACTACCATTGAGTACTAGATTTATCTCTGAGCTTCCTAGTAGCCAAGATAAAAATGGAAACTTGTACAACATCACCATAAGATCCCAGGAAGCACAACAAATTGTCTGTTGACAGAAACAAATATTTTTTGAGTATAAATTCAAAAGAGAATTTGTTCTGTGGCTCCTCATAAAAAGGTCACTGGGGCTGGGTGCAGTGGCTCATGCCTGTAATCCTAGCACTTTAGGAGGCTGATGTGGGTGGATCACTTGAGGTCAGGAGTTCGAGACAAGCCTGGCCAATATGATGAAACCCTGACTCTACCGAAAACAGAAAAAATTAGCCAGGTGTGGCGGCGCACACCTGTAATCCCAGCTACTTGGGAGGCTGAGGTAGGAGAATCGCTTGAACCCGGGAAGCAGAGGTTGCAGTGAGCCAAGATCGTGCCACTGCACTCCAGCCTGGGAAACAGAGCAAGACTCTGTCAAAAAAAAAAAAAAAAAAAAAAAAAAAAGTCACTGGAGGGCACAATGGACAATTTCTTCAACTGTGATTTGTCAGCAGAATCTATAGTATGTTGGTGAGTGGTTCCCAAACAGATGGTGCTGATATTATTCGGGTGAGTTTGGGAACAGGGGATGGGGTGAAGGTGGGGAGAGAATGGTGGAAGAAAGAGGTTTATGTAGCCCAGGGCCTCTCTGCAGAGTGCCTTGTGACAAAGTGGTTTGAGTGAGTTTAGAAATGCAATATGGTGCTCAGAGTGTGGCTAGCGTGAGAACCAGCAGCCTCAACCTCACAGGGGAGCTGTAAGAAATGCAGAATCTCAGTCCCCACTTCCCAAATCAGAATGTGCATTTTAACAAGGTTCCCAGGCGATTCATGTGAACATTCTAGCCAAGAAGGCTAGAGAACCTCTTTTGCTCCTGCCTCCTCAGCATCTGTCCCTCTTCAGATAACAGTACCTGGATTTTCCTTTGGAGAACCAGCTTTCTCCCACTTAGTGCATGAAGTTTGGTGGGGCCGATCCCACCCTTGCCTTCAGGAATTGGCAACTTGACACAGGCCTGGCCAATCAGAGAATCCCATATCCTCTGGCCCCCTGGCTACAGAGATTGGTTCAGTTGTAGGCATATACGTCCTCCTCACTGAGGCAGTCTGCCCTGGGATTTTGCTGCAAAAATTAGGGAAAAAGCACCCTCTTTCTATAAGGATTGTTGAGATGTAGGAACCTGGAGTTCTTGGAGGCCACCTCAACATCATCAAGGTAAAAGCTGCTTTAGAGTGAAGCCACCAGAGAGGACAACAGAGCTGAGGTATGGAGATAAAGTAATTCCTGAAGATAAATTGAGCACCTGGATCCAGCTATGCCTGAGGCCTATACACCTCAGGATTTTTCCAGTCCACGAGCAAATAAATTATCAATTTTGCTTAAGCCAATTTGAGTTGGGTTTCTGCCATTTGAACTCAAAAAGTCTCCACTGATTCTTGCATATTCTTGGGTCACACTCTGGATTGAATGAACCAGTATCTGGGAGTGAGGTCCTGGAATCTGTAGTTCTAACAATTCTACAGGAAATTAGTATATACACTAAAATTTGAGATCCACCAATGTAGCAGAATGAAGGCTGAACTTGGGAGTCAGAATACTTGAGTTTGGATAGCAGTTCTGCCACTGACTGGGTATGTGACCTTGAGCAAGTCATTTGCCCTCTCTGAGCCTTATTTTTCTTTCCTGCTAAATAGGAGGCCTTGCTTCTCAGGCTTGGCCTGAGGTCCTATGTGACTAGGGATGTGAAGGACTGTATAAAACTTCTGCATACGCATTTCTCATCTAATGTGCTTCAAAAGCACGCTCTGAGAGCAGAAGCAGTCTGCCTGGTTGCACACCCACTCAAAACTGCTGATCCCTGGTAAAGATACTTCCTCGGGCCACTGCCGTCCCTGGGAACCTGAAACCTGCTCCTCACCGCCTCAGCCTCTGCTGAGTGAAATGAGAGAGGTCAGCTTGCTTGTGCCTGGCTGCTTCCCAGGGTTACCATGCTGGCTGTGGAAAACTCAGAGACTCGGCCTGTGCTCTCAGAGTCAAGCTCAAGGGGGAGAGGCCGGGGCCTGCCTGAGCATCCATCCAGTGGGCTGGAGATGGTTTTCTGGGAGCTTCTATGCTTAAGCAGAAACCTGCAAGGGCTGAGGGTGTGAAGCCCTGGATTGTGGTCCCATCTCTGCTATAAGCTCATTGTGTGATGTTAGGCAAGTCTCAACTTGTCTCTGAGCCTCAGTTTCTCCAAATGTGAAATGAGATGTTGGATTAGAAGTTCTCTGAAAGAAGAAGCTGCAGCTCTTTCCTGCATAGAATCCATTCCCCCCTTCTTCTAACAACAGTTCTCCAATTTTCCTTTGGGAATTACTCCGCCCCTAGTCTCAGTTTATGGATTGGGATAGAGTTGACTCCAACCCCTGGCTGTAGAGGTGGATCTGTGACCAAATCAAGCCAATGAGAGTTGCAGTAATAGAAGCAGAGATGGGTGGATGGGCGCGGTGGCTCATGCCTGTAATCCCAGCACTTTGGGAGGCAGAGGCAGGTGGATCACCAGAGGTCAGGAGTTTGTCCAACATGGTGAAACCCCATCTCTATTAAAAATACAAAAAATTAGCCGGGCTTGGTGGCAGGCATCTGTAATCCCAGCTACTTGGGAGGCTGAGGCTGGAGAATTGCTTGAACCTGGGAGGTGGAGGTTGCAGTGAGCCGAGATTGCGCCATTGCACTCCAGCCTGGGTGACAGAGAGAGACTCTATCTCAAAAAAAAAAAAAAAAAAAAAAAAAAAAAGAAGTAGAGATGGGCATGTGATTCAATTCTGGCCAACGAGAGCCAGCCCTTGGTTTCTAGCTGGAAAAAAAGGCCTGCAGCAGCAAGGCAAACCCAAGAAATAGAGAAATGCAGACTCTCAGCCTTGGATTAAGCCTCGCCTGAAGCTGATATCTCAGGGATTTTCCAGTAACCTCCTTCTTCTGCTTGAGCCAGTTTTGAGTTGGATTTATTTCCCTTTAAACATCAAAGAGTCTTGCCCAGTGCAGAGGGAATTCTTATAAGGGATTGTGATTTGCACTCAAGTGCAAATGGCTGATGGCAAAGACCTCCCTGATACCAGGTTTTGGTAGAAGAGAAGGTAAGATGGTACTAGACCTATTAGAGTAGGTGAGGATGGGAGGAATATGGACCTCATTAAGCTGATGGCACTGAAGCCATGCCTTAAAAGGACCTGGTTATAGAGACTGGGTGCAGGGGCTCATGCCTGTAATCCCAGCACTTTTGGAGGCTGAGGTGGGAGGATTGCTTTGAGCCCAGGAGTACAAGGCTGGTCCTGACAACATATCGAGACCCTGTCTCTACCCAAAAAAATTAGCCAGGCATGGCGGCATGTGCCTGTATTCCCAGCTACTTGGGAGGCTGAGGTGGGAGGATCACTTGAGCCTGGGAGGTTGAGGCTACAATGAGTTGTAGTCATGCCACTGCACTCCAGCCTGGGTTACAGAGCAAGAATGTTTCAAAAAAAGAAGCACCTGGTATCTAATAGGCCCCCCATACACATTCGTGTAATGGATATATTATGTTCTACTCTCTATGGACCTCATCATACTTGGCTGAAGTCAACAGACCAGAATTATGAAGTTATTTTTCAGATAGGGAAATGGAAGCCCATGGGAGAGTGGGTCCCCCGGCTAGTCAGTGGTAGGTCAAACTGGCACTCAGCTCTCCTGCCTGTCATCATCCACTGAGGTCAGCCCCAGAGGCTGTGGGCGATGAAGGGGAAGGGGAGAATGAGGAACCCAAACAGAACTCTCAAGAAGGCAGACCGCTGGGGGCCCAGGGCTTAAGGCTGTTCAGTTACAGGAACTTTCCCTTCTCAGAACAGCTCAGCAATGGGGGTGGGGAAAAAGTATTTCCTCAACAGGAGCCAATTCCCTGAGCAGTGCCTTGGGGGTGCAGAGCCCAGCAGCTCCCTCTCCTCGGGTTCCCTGACTGTCTTCTGAATGAACTGTCTTTATCCCCGAGTGACTACTGTCCCTAATAGACAGTTAGGGGTCACTCCTGACTTCTCACGTCTTCCCTTTACTGAGCCTCAGCTTCTTTCTCATAGAGCTCAAAACTTTGATTTTGCAAACAGGAGGAAACTTGGGAGATCAAAATCTTCATTGGACAGGTGGAGTAACAACCCCAAGAGGCTGCGTGGGCCCTGGCTCACACGATGGCGAGCGACAGAGCAACACACTAAAGGAGAACTCAGGGCTTTGATCATTTGCCTGGCTGAGCCATAGGGCTGGCTCTGAGATGCCTGTGTTCCAAACACTTATTCAACCACATATAAAACTCATAGCATGTTCAATGTTACTCTTGGGACACTTGGTCAATTTCAGAATTCCAGAGCAACTGTGAACCTTCTTGGAATGATTTTATCTCTAAGGCAGGCAGGAGGCAGGGCAGTTTGAAAATAGAGCATGAGATTTGAAGTCAGATAGAGCTGGGTTTGAATCTGCATTCTGCCTCTTACAAATAAGTGAGCCTTTAAAAATGTAAGTCATCCTGGGCATGGTGGCTCACACCTGTAATCCCAGCACTTTGGGAGGCTGAAGCGGGCAGATCACCTGAGGTCAGGAGTTGGAGACCAGCCTGACCAACATGGTGAAACCCCATCTCTACTAAAAATACAAAAATTAGGCGGGCATGGTGGCGCATGCCTGTAATCCCAGCTACTTAGGAGGCTGAGGCAGGAGAATCGCTTGAACCCCAGAGTCAGAGGTTGCAGGGAGCCGAGGTCGCACCACTGCAGTCCAGCCTGGGCAACAGAGTGAGAGTCCGTCTCAAAAAAAAAAAAAAAAAAAAAGGTAAGTCAGATCGCATTCCTTCTCTGCTCAACCCCCACCCAGGGTTTCCGTCTCACTTGGAGTAAAAGCCCAAGTCCTCTCCAAGGTGGGTAAGACCTCCACAATCTGATCCCCTCCTCAGCCTCTCAGATCTGTCTCCTTCTAACTCTCCCTTGATCATTCCACTGGAGCCCTCCTTGCTCTTCTTCAACTCACCAACTGTGCTTATACCTCTGGGGCATTGCATGTTCTGTTTCTGGAATATTCTTCACCCAGAAAGGCTCCATCACTTCCTTCAGTCTCTCTAATGATTGTACCTTCTCAGAGCAACCTTCCCTCATCACCCTGGCAAAGACAGGATCCTCTGCCCCCCAACTCCCATCACTGTCTAGCCTGTTCCCAGCTAGTCTTCATGCCCCTAACCACCTCTTAAACGTGGTGGCCATGAGGATGCACCTCTCAGATCTCCAACTGCAGGAGTACGACTGGAGAAATTGATCAGCGGCTCAGCTGCTGTGCTCTGAAGTCCATCACTGCTCTCATGGGCTGCTCCCAGCCAATGACTGAGTGTGGCAGGGAGACCGAAGCCCACCCATGTCTGGGGGACCTCTGTCAAGAGACTTTGGCCAAGGGCTCCTTAACAGCCTTGACAAACTTTCCTTAGAATGGCACGGCAGCTGGGCGCAGTGGCTCACGCCTGTAATCCCAGCACTTTGGGAGGCCAAGGCGGGCGAATCACAAGGTCAGGAGTTCAAGACCAGCCTGGCCAACATGGTGAAACCCCGTCTCTACTAAAAATACAAAAATTAGCTGGGCGTGGTGGCGCATGCTTGTAATCCTAGCTACTCAGGAGGCTGAGGAAGGAGAATTGCTTGAACCCGGGAGGCGGAGGTTGCAGTGAGCCAAGACTGCGCCACTGCACTCCAGCCTGGGCAACAGAGCAAGACTCTGTCTCAAAAAAAACAAAATAAAACAGAACAACAACTACAAAAAAAAAATACGGCATGGCAGTCCAAGACACGTCCTCCTTTTATTCCTTTCTTCTTCCTTCCTTTCTTCCTTCCTTTTCTTTTTCATTAGTGGACAGAGGTACCCCACTATCTGATGGCTCTCCTGTCCTCTCCTGGTTTCTTCCCATTTTCTCTCATAGCCATTTCCTCCAATAAATTTCTTGCACATTTAATGCTATGGGAGTCTGCTTCTCAAAGGACTTGAACTATCTCAGGGTATGCTGAAGTTAAGTATGAAAAAGAAAAGAAAAAATAAAAAAGGACCTGGACTAATGCACCTAATGTATTACCTGTTGATTTGTTTATTATCCATCTGACCAATAGGATATGAGATATGACAGTAAGGTCCCCATTTAGTCTGCTGGATGCCCCCAGATTTCCCGTCTAAACAATAGCTATAAATAGGCCAGGTGCAATGGCTCATGCCTGCAATCCCAGCACTTTGGGAAGCTGAGGCAGGCGGATCACCTGAGGTCAGCAGGCGGATCACCTGATGTCAGGAGTTTGAGACAAGCCTGGCCAACATGGTGAAACCCTGTCTCAACCAAAAATACAAAAATTAGCTGGGCGTGGTAGTGGGTGCCTGTAATCCCAGCTACTTGGGAGGCTAAGGCAGGAGAATTGCTTGAACTCAAGAGGCAGAGGTTGCAGTGAGCCAAGATTGCCCCACTGCACTCCAGCCTGGGCAACAGAGTGAGATCCTGTCTCAAAACAAAAACAAACAAACAAAAAGAAAACCAATAGCTATAAATATATGTTTAAACTGAGAAGGGTGATGCACATTTGCTCGCTTCTGCTGGGAGAGGAGCAGTCTTTCCTTGGCTGCCGCTGAGTGGAAGTTTCCCCCTCCAGACAGGACATGGTGGCCAGTTCACCACCAGGGCCACTTTTCACTTTAACCTGCCGTGGTACTGAGAGATCAGCTGCCCCCAAACCTGTCCTCCACAAATGGAATCCTCAAAGCCTCAGTAACACAGGCGCTGATCCTTTTACATTTTTTTTATAATTGACAAAGCTCCAGGTCTCAGTTTCTTTTATTTTTTGAAGGGTATGTATTTTATTTTTAAAATGACCTTTTACCACCTAGTAAAACATTAGTGCATCCTTCTTGTTAAAAATTAAACCATTAGAGGCCAGGTATGGTGGCTCACATCTGTAATACCAGCACTTTGAGAGGTCAAGACAGGAGGATCGTTTGAGCCGAGGAATTTAAGACCAGCCTGGGCAACATGGCAAGACCCCATTTCTACCAGAATTTTTTTTTATTAGCTGGGTGTGGTGGCATGTGCCTGTGATCCCAGCTACTCAGGAGGCTGAGGTGGGAGGATCGCTTGAGCGCAGGAGGTTGGGGCTGCATGAGCCATGATAGCATCACTGCACTCCAGCCTGGGAGACAGAGCGAGACCCTGTCTCAAAAAGAAAAAGAAAAAAAAAAGAGAGAGAGAGAGAGAAGCAAGAAAGAAGAAGAAGGAGGAGGAGGAGGAAGGGAAAGAAGAAAGAAAGAAAGAAAGAAAAAAGAAAGAAAGAGAGAGAGAGAAAGAAGAAAGGAAGGAAGAGAAGAAGAAAGTGGAGGAGGAGGAAGAGGAGGAGGAGAAGGGGGGAAGGAAAGAAGGGAAAGAAGAAAGAAAAGAAAAGAAAGGAGGGAGGGAGGGAAGGAAGGAAGGAAGATTAAAACATTACAGATACATTTAAGACACTCTTGGATTACTCATTCTATAAGCCCTCCATGGCCACCTCTTTCCCCACCCAGATATCCTCTGCCAGCATTTGGCCTCAGCCTCTGCCTCTGCATTTACACACATGTATGTTGAAGCAGAGGCTGTCAGTGCCCTGCCTCTATCACTCTGCCCTTTACCATTTCTGCACATTCTGGCTGGACTTCCAGCTGCCGGCACCTTCATCTCTTTGTCTGAGAGATTTCTCTGTGGCTATTGGTGCCTGCTCTGCCCATGGGCTTGGCAAGCCGAAAGTGCTAGAGAATTATCACATCCCCAGGAGTAGTTTTCAACAAAAGACAGGAGCGAGAACAGGGTGGACAAATACCCCGGTTCCCTCACCTCTCAAGCCTGTTCTACCCTGGCTCCCAGAGCTCCTCAGTGGGATTGAGCTCCAGGTGCCCGCAGTGGTAACTGGGCTTAGAAGACACCTTTAATGACTACCTCCTGTTCCCTGCCTCACTTCCTTACTCCCCTAGGAGGGTCTCTGGAATCAGCTCTCAAACTATTTGCATTTGAAACCTTGCCTAGGGTCTGCTTCTGGAGAAACTCAAACTAAGACATATACGCCATGATGGACTAGTGTGTGTATGTGTGTGTGTGTGTGTGTGTGTGTGTGTGTGTGTTTTGACATAAAAGGAATTGTGCTGCAGGAATCATGAGTAGTATCCTCCTCAGTTCTCCCCCTTTTTTTTTTTTTTGACAGAGTCTTGCTGTTGTCAGCCCAGGCTGGAGTGCAGTGGCAAGACCTTGGCTCACTGCAACCGTGCCTCCCGGGTTCCAGCAATTCTCCTGCCTCGGCTTCCCAAGTAGCTGAAATTACAGGCGCCCGCCACCACGCCCGGCTAATTTTTGCATTTTTAGTAGAGACGGGGTTTCACCATGTTGGCCAGGCTGGTCTTGAACTCCTGACCTCAGGTGATCCACCTGCTTTGTCCTCCCAAAGTGCTGGGATTACAGGTGTGAGCCACCGTGCCCAGCCTCAGTTCCATTTTTTTTTTGGATTTGGGAACTGAGGCTCAGAAAGGGAAGAGATTTGCCTAGTGCATCACAACCTGTCTTTGGCAGAGCTGGCACTCAGACTCGGGGTCGTCTACTGTACTGTACCCACTGTTCTTCATTTCTATGGTAGAGATGAGGCTGGGATTCCTGTTCTCTTGGCTGCACTTACATCTCCTGGGCCAAAGGATTTCAGGGTGATGCCTGGAACTCAGGGAGGTGACTCGAAGGGAGAGTCAGGAGCGCACGTCCTAGCGCAGTGCCATCCAGAGGATGCAGCATGTGGGACCACAGCCGGGGCCAAGACCAGGGCACATTTACACTTAAGCACAGGCTGCTTCTGCATCATTACCCACGCCTCTGAAAGTACCTTCAAACTCCCAGTCCTGTGGGGGAGGAAACTGGAGAAATGGGGTGGGGACCAACATGTGGTTGGTGCATGTGGTGGGGTTTGTTTAGAAAGGCAGAAGTGATTGCTTGATGACTTGTGGTATAAAAAAAGAAAAATAAACAACAACAAAAAGATGTAAGAAAGAAAGAGGCTGAGAGAGATTGTGCTACTAACTTGCTGTGTGACTTTGGGAAAGTCAATTACCCTCTCTAGGCTTCACATTCCTTTTCTTTTCTTTTTATGAGACAGGGTCTTGCTCTGTCACCCAGGCTGGAGTACAGTGGTGCAGTCTCAGATCACTGCAACCTTCACCTTCTGTGCTCAGACGATCCTCCCACCTCAGCCTCCTGAGTAGCTGGTACTACAGCCATGTGCCACCACACCCAGCTAATTTTTGTACTTTTTGTAGAGACAGGGTTTTGCCATGTTACCCAGGCTGGTCTCGAACTCCTGAGCTCAGATGATCTGCCTGTCTCGGCCTCCCAAAGTGCTGGGATTACAGGGTGAGCCACCGCACCCAGCCCTTCATGTTCCTTTTCTATAAAAAAGGAAGCCTTGTCATGACCCGAAGGGTGGGGTTTGAAAACTCAAATGACTATAGGGATGTGGAGGGTTCTGCGGATGAGGAAAGTGGGCCTGGCAAGGGCTGTGCAAGCTGGACAGCCCAGGTGTAGCCCCCAGGGCAGCCCCCAGCTCCACTGAGGTTGTCTGAAGAGCACTGGAGTCGTGGGTTCTAGTCTCAGGGCTGCTAACTCTTCTAATGTTTTAGGAGACAGAAATCCAGATTATGTGAGCTCTCCTGAGTTTAAATGTTAGCAACTAATTAAAAATAATCGCTGCGGGTGGAGGGGTGTTCGGGGAGGGCAGCTGAAATATCTCAGGCAAGGGAGGGAGGAGGTTGTCCAACATTCATTGCGTTTGTCCCATCAGTGTTTTTTTGAGGCCCTACTATGTGCCAGGTGCCAGGTGTTAGAAGATACAGTGGTTTATAGGACAAACATGTTTGTGCTCTTGTAGAATTTACTTTCTAGAAGAGTTTAAAGTCCAAGCCCTGGCTAGTCCTTAGAATGTAGACAACTTTCTCCTTACTTTCTGAGGTAAGAGCCCTCAGAGGGCAGCCTGGTTTGAATGAGATTAAGATTCGTGCTTTCTGTACCCATTAGAATGGTAATAATAATACTAATAAAATATAAACATAGTAGGCATTGGCAAGGATGTGAAGCCAATTGAAACCCTTGTATATTACGGTGGGAATGTAAAATGGTGGAAAACAGCATAGCAGTTCCTCAAAAAGTTAAAGATAGAACTACTGTTTTTTTTTTTTCTGAGAAGGAGTCTCGCTCTGTCGCCCAGGCTAGAGTGCAGTGGCTCGATCTCGGCTCACTGCAAGCTCCGCCTCCCGGGTTCATGCCATTCTCCTGCCTCAGCCTCCCGAGTAGCTGGGACTACAGGCGCCCACCACAATGCCCGGCTAATTTTTTTGTATTTTTTTAGTAGAGACGAGGTTTCACCGTGTTAACCGGGATGATCTCCATCTCCTGACCTCGTGATCCGCCCGCCTCAGCCTCCCAGAGTGCTGGGATTACAGGCGTGAGCCACCGCACCCGGCCACAGAGATAGAACTTTTATATGACCCAGTAACTCTACTTCAGGTATATACCCAAAGGAATTGAAAACAGGTGCTCAAACAAATACATGTATGCACATGCATGCTCATAGCAGTATTATTTTCAATGGTCAAAATGTGGAAACAACCTGAATTTCCATCTGTGGATAAATGGGTAAATAAACTGTGGAATATCCATACAATGGAATATTATTTGGCCACAAAGGGAATAAAGTACTAATAGTTGCCACCATGTGGATGAACCTTGGAAAACATTATGTTAAGTGGAAGAAGCTAGACACAGAAAGTCACATAGTATGCTTCTATTTATGTTAAATATCCTGAATAAATTAGTCCGTAGAGGCAAAAAGCAGATTGGTGGTTGCCAGGGGCCGGGGGAATGGGGGGTAATTGCTTAATGGGTACAAAGTTTCCTTTTTCAGGGGTGATGGAAATGTTTAGGAGCTACTGACAGGTAGTGTTTGTACAACATTGTGAATATACCAAATACCACTGAATTGTTCGCTTTAAAAATCATATAGTTAATTTTATAAAGTTATGTGAATTTCACCTCGATTAAAATATTTCTAAAAATTTTGAACTATATAAAAGATTGCTCTGCTAGAAAGGTTAAGCAAATTATAATACAGGCAAACAGTGGAATATTATGCAGCCACTAAAAATTTAAGAACATTTTAATGACCTGGAAAATGCTACAATGTAATACTAAGCAAATAAATAGGATAAAAATAATCTATGTGTAGCATTATACTAATTATGTTAATTTAAAAGTGCATAGAAAAGACTACATAAAGATACATGAAAATATTGGTTATTGTTCCCTCAAAAGGTTCATGCTTCCATTTTCTTGAACACTTATTAAGTGCCAGGCATAGTGAGTAAGGCAAGTGAAGTGCCTTACAGCAGAGAACATGAGGCCTGAAAGAAAGGCCATTGATCCAGAGACGGCTGGGAGATCAGCAGAGCAACATTCTTCTCTCTTCTCTGCCCCAGAGTCCCTGGTGACCCTTCTGGGCTACAGTACTCCTCTCACACAAAGGGGAGTGTGACAGGTGCCCTCTCTGGGGAGCCATCCAGCCTTTTGGTGTTTTCCTCAAGAACCACCTGTACATGGGCCGAAAGCTACACATCCAGGATGCTCCTGTCAATATTGTTCGTTGTAGTGAACGCCTAGGAACAACTTGAGTATTTATCCACAGGGGAAAGAGAAATACTGTAGAGTCGTTACCTGCTGGGATACTCCACAGCAGCTGGAAGGAATGAATGAGGCCTCTATTTTCTATTTCTCATCCTGGGTAGATTTTGACAACTTAATGATAAGATGGGGCAAATATGCTCCTCTGCTATCCCCATTGTCAGAATTGCAGAAAAGTCTCACAATTAGATAGTTTTTTGTTTTGTTTTGTTTTGAGACGGAGTCTCGCTCTGTGGCCCAGGCTAGAGTGCAGTGGCACGATCTCGGCTCACTGCAAGCTCCACCTCCAGGGTTCACGCCATTCTCCTGCCTCAGCCTCCCCAGTAGCTGGGACTACAGGCGCCCGCCACCATGCCCGGCTAATTTTTTGTATTTTTAGTAGAGACGGGGTTTCCCCGTGTTAGCCAGGATGGTCTCGATCTCCTGACCTCGTGATCCGCCCGGCTCAGCCTCCCAAAGTGCTGGGATTACAGGCGTGAGCCCCCGCGTCCGGGCTTTTTTTTTTTTTTTTTTTTTTTTTTTTTTTTTTTTTTTTTTTTTTTTTAGGTGGAGTTTCGCTTTTGTTGTCCAGGCTGGAGTGCAATGGCGCGATCTCGGCTCACTGCGACTTCTGCTTCCCCGGGTTCAAGCGATTCTCCTGCCTCAGCCTCCCGAGTAGCTGGGATTACAGGCATGAACCACTGCATAGATAGCATTTTTAAAGCACACAAAACAATCCTACGTGTTGTTTATGCGTACATTTATATGCAATCCATTTTCAGAGGCACATCCTGGAAGGACTGTAACTCATGACAGCGGTTGCCCCTGGGGAGGGAGAGAAACAGGACTGAGAGTGATACAAGGTGGGGAGACTTCAATTTTTTCTGTTACTTTTAGTAAATTAATTTTTTAAAATCTCAAAACAAACACAACAAAATGCTATTATTTGTTAATTCTGGATGGTGGATTCTCGGGACATCTAATATATTATTATCTTCACTTTTCTGTATTTTAACCTGTCACCCCCTCCCCTAAAAAAAAAAGGACCATAAAGAGAAAACCATGGGATAAGGCAACTGATAGGCATTGAGGCCTTTCTCTGTGCCAGGCATAGGCTACCCCAGTGGTTCTCAAAGTGTCCTCCTTGGATCAGCAGCAGCAGCATCACCGGGGATGGAAGTTCTCATTGTCCTGCACAGAGCTACTGAATCAGAAACTCTAGGATTCGGCCCAGCAATCTGTTTTCACAAGCAGTCCAGGTGATGCTGATGTAGGCTAAAGTCTGAGAACACGGGGCCATATGTCTAGCTAGGGCAATGTTAACATACATTAAGCCTGTGTACTGTCAGACAGCATTCTCAAAGCTTTCCTTCAGTAACTTTTTTTTTTTTTTTTTTTTTTTTGAGACAGAGTCTCTCTCTGTCGCCCAGGCTGGAGTGCAGTGGCGCGATCTCGGCTCACCGCAACCTCCACCTCCCAGGTTCAAGTGATTCTCGTGCCTCAGCCTCCCGAGTAGCTGGGATTAAAGGTGTGTGCTACTACGCCCGGCTAATTTTTGTACTTTTAGTAGAGACGGGGTTTCACCATGTTGGCCAGGCTGGTCTCAAACTCTAGACCTCAAGAGATCCACCTGCCTCGGCCTCCCAAAAAGCTGAGATTACAGGCGTGTGCCACCCTGCCCGGCCCCTTCAGTACCCAATTAATCCTCTAAACAACCCTGTGAAGGAGGTACTATTACTCTCCCCATCCTGCAGTTGTGAAAACAGAGGCAAAGAAAGGCCAAATCCTCTACCCCAGCCCCAACAGGCAGTTTGCCCCTAGAAGCCCCCTCCGCTACCCACTAGCCTGTCTCTCACACGCACCACCTCTCGCATACTCCAATTTCCTGCATCCTTGCAAGAAAGACTTCATAGCCCCGTTTTACAGATGAGGAAACGAATTCGGAGGCGGAGAATTCGTCCAAGGAGGAAAGAGACAGGGCATGCATGCAGTGTGGTCTGGGGCCAGGAGGTTTGGGGGTTTGACCTAGACCTGTTGTGGGAGGAGGGGCAGAGAGCCGACCAGCTGCAGCCGGCCTGGGTGTGGCTCGCACGTCACGCCTCCGCCCAACTACCCCCTTCCCCAAGCTGGCTGCCAACCCGGCGTGACCCGGCCCCCACCGGGAACCGTAAGGGCCTTCCCCTTCCCGGGTTCTGTGAAGCCCCATCCCTTCCTTCTTTTTCTTTTTTAAATTAAAAAAAAAATCCCCGCCCCCCCCCAAGAAGGGGAACCTGGACGGCCCAGAGAAGTGGTGGATAAAGTCACTGCACGGGCCCGAGCGTCCCCTTCCCCGGGAATCCAGCAGTCCGCAACAGTGCCGCCCCTCCCTAGGGCACCCTCCACTCGCTGTCGACCCCTCATCCCCCGGGCTACCCGCGGCTCCCCCGACGTTCCGTCTCCCCTCGCTGCCCCCAGCCGCACCCGTAGCCAGCCCTCCCCAGGCTCCTGGGCTCCCTCCGCCTCCTGGGACCCCTCGCGGGCCGGGTATTCCCGGTCCCCTGTGCGCGGCACTCACCTGGGCGCCCGCTCCTCGTCTCGCGGGCAGCCCGGATCCTCGCAGCTTGAGCGCCCCCCCAGCTCGGCAGCCCCTGAGGTTCCGGGGTGCCAGTGCCGGGAAACTGACTTTCTAGAACTAGAGGCGGGGGCGACGCTCTGAGGGGCTTTGGTGCCGCGGGCGTTTCTCGTCCTGCACTGTCTGAGTCCCTTCCCACTCGCCTCTAAGCCTCTGATGTGCTCCCGAGCTGGGACCAGGGACGTGGTGGCGCCCGCAGGCCATCTGGGCGCCTTAGCCGCGCCCTGAGCGAGGCTAACTCCGCCCCAAGTGTCCTAACACCTCCCCGAAGATTCAGACGCCACCCCAGGATCCTAACCGGCTCCCCGAGGGTCATAACCTCCGTCTCCTGCAAGAAGGATCCCAAACCCTCCACGAAGAGAAAAAAAATATTAGCACCATCCATAGGAGGCTTCTAACGCGTCCACCAAGGATGCGAACCCCCATCCCTTCCGCTCCACTTTCCCTAACACCTCCCCATCCCACCGCCCAGCGTCCTACCCCAGTCTCCAAAGGATCCCAAATCCCACTCCTAGGGATTCGAACCCGCCCGTCTAAGAACCCCAGCACCCGCTCCAAGGCTCCCAAGATACTAACCCCGCCCCGCCAAAGGATTTTTAATCCCACCTCTGAAGGATTTTTAAACTCAACTTGCCCCCAAAGATTCTAATCTGCCCAGTGGAAGGATCCGAACTCTCACTTCAGTGGATTCTAACCCTGCCCTAAGATTTAGAACACAAACCCCAGGGTTCCAATACCGCTCCTGCTCCTGCGCGATCTAACCTCCCGCCGCCTAAGAGTTTTAATACCCAGGGGTCTATACCGCCGGTCCAAAGATTCCAACCCTGCCCTTCAGAGATCCTAACCCCACCTATCAAGGGATTCCTGCCACAGTCTTCAAAGATTCCAACCCACCCTGGAAAGGCCTTACCCTACCCCGGAAGCATCGTGATCTCTTTTCCCCACCACTCCGACCCCTCCCTTCTGGCCCGGCCCTCCCCAACTCCGCGGCCCGAGACTTCCAGGCAGGTCTGTGGTCAGCGGTTTCTCTTCCGCAGGCCTGCTCCATTCAGACACCATGCAAAGTTCCTCTCTCGAAGGAACCACCATGGCCATGCAAAGTTCCCTGCCCGAAGGAACCACCCTGGCTTCCTGGCAGCTCAGAGGACTCCCAAGCTGGGGGAGGTGGTCGGGGGAGGGGAGGAGTCGGGCTGGAGGGTGACTGAGGCCCCAAGTGGATGGGATTGTGCCCAGCTCCAGGCAAGGGCAGAACACACCCTCTCCTGGAAAAGACAGGGGCTATCACCCTAAATGCTGTGTAACACACCTCCAAAATCTCCAAAACTACAAGAATTCTACCGCGTCTCTCTATTCCCGTTGCTACCAGCTGATCAGGACCACAGTCATTTCTTCATTCATTCATTCATAATTCATTCAGCAAAGCTGTCCTGGGGGCTGGGGAATGCAGGGGTTCTTAAATTTGGCACTATTGACATTTGGGCCAGGTAATTCTTTGTTGCGGGGGACTGTCCTGTGAATGATAGGATGTTTAACAGCATTCCTGGGCTCTACCCACTAGTTGTCTATAGCATCCTCCTCCCTAGTTGTGACAACAAAATGTCTCCAGACATTTGTAAAATGTCCCCTGGTGGGGAAGGGGGGAAGAACCATGAATGAGAAAGACAATGACCCTACTCTTATGTTTTTGGTATATGTACCTGTATGGGCCTTTTTTCCTTCTCTTTAGCCTACAGTGCTAACTATTTTGAGGGGGTCTCCCATCCAAGTACTAACCAGGCTTGATCCTGCTTAGCTTCCAAGATCAGACAAGATCAGATGTGTTCGGTGTGGTATGGCATAGACAACTTAAAAAAAAATAGAGATGGGGTCTTGCTGTATTGCCCAGGCTAGTCTTGAACTCCGGGGCTCAACTGAACCTCCTGCCTTGGCCTCCCAAAGTACTGGGATTATAGGTGTGAGTCATTGCACCTAGTCTGTATGTGCTTTTTATAAAAACAGATAATGTTCTGAATGTATGTTTAATGTTACTTATTCACTTTTGTACATTCCCTCCCGCCACCCCCATCACTGTTGTTAATATCCAGCCATGTTGCCAAAGGTAGCGGCTGTACGTGTAGTCACTGTTTACATCCTTCACATTTTATTTATCCATTCTCCTAGTCATGGACACCTAGATTGCACACAATTTCCCACTAGTGTAAATAGTGCCACAGTGGACATCCTCATACACGTCCCCTTATCGTCCTACATTAGAATTTTGTTAAGTACTTGCTTTGCCAAGAATGACAGGTGTTTGCAGAATCGCCACTGCCCCACTCTTTCTCCCATCATTTCCCCTTATCTTTACCAACCCTTGGTATTATCCACTGGTCTTAATTTGAGTTCCCCAGAAGCAGACCCTGGACATGGATCCAAGTGAAAATAGTTTATTTAGGAGATGCAGAAGACACTGGTAGGGGAGTAGGTGGATGAGACAGGGAAGGGAGGGAAGCCAGTAAAAAGGAATATCATGAAGCCAGTTACCATTGTGGGCAACTGGAGTTCAATTCTGCAGGGATCTCTGGAGATATACCCACTTCAGGGTTACTCCACCTGTCAGGCGAGGGAGCTGGGGCATTTACACACCAACTCCTGTTGGACACCGGATGAGGGGTACTCCAGGGGTACTGACCTTCCAGCATTTTGGCCTCCCTGGTGCATGCTTCAGCCACCAGAGGGTCTCCAGGAAGAGAAGTGCAGCTCTTACTTAAGGCCCAGGGGGCATCGGAGGGTCCGCATTAGCATCAGCTACATCTCCTTTCAAAAGTTTGCCATTCTGATAGTAAAGAGCCAGAGAGCTGACACATGTTCCTGTTCATGGACAGTTTCCCAAATGTTTTGTCCTGACAGTAATGCTGTAATTGAAATCCTTGTGTATGTTCCCAAAGCTTCTGTCAACTTTATCGTGACATAATTTCGTGAATAAAATCTACCATCATAAATATTCAGCTTGATGAGTTTTGGCAAATATATATACCTGTGTAACCACCACCCCAATCAAGATATAGAACATTTCTATCACCCCAAAAAGTTCCCTTATGTCCTATTGCAGTCAACTCCTCCCACACTTAGGTAGCCTTAGGTAAGCACCAATTGGCTTTTTGCCATTATACATTAGCTTTGTCTTTTCTAGAATTTCTCATAAATGCAGTCATACAGTATGTTTCTTTTGTGTTTGTCTTCTTTTACTCAGAGATTTTCCATGTTGTTGCATGTTCCAGTAGTTCGTTCATTTTTACTGCTGAGTAGTATTCCATAGTATAGATGTAACACTATTTGTTTATCCATTTATTTGTTGAGAGACATTTGGGTTGTTTTCAATTTGGGGCTATATAAATAAAGCTGCTATAAATATTTATGTACAAGTTTTTGTGTAGGCATATTTTTATTTCTCTCGGGTAAATACTTAGGATTGGAATTGCTGGGTCATATAGCAAGTGTGTGTCTAACTTGCAATAAATTGCTGAATTGTTTTTCTTTTTTTTTTTTTTTTGAGGCAGGGTCTTGCTCTGTCACCCAGGCTGGAGTGCAATGGCGAGATCTTGGCTCATTTTAACCTCTGTCTCCTGAGCTCAAGTGATCCTCCCACCTCAGCCTCTGAGTAGCTGGGACTACAGGTACACCACCATGCCCAGCTTATTTTTTTTTTTTTTGTAGAGATACAGTCTCACCGTGTTGCCCAGGCTGGTCTTGAACTCCTGTGCTCAAGCCATCTGCCTGCCTCAGCCTCCCAAAGTGCTGGGATTACAGGTGTGAGCCTTTGTGCCTGGTCTAAATTGGTTTTTGAAGTGGTTACACCATTTTGCATTCCCTCCAGTGATTTATGATTTCCAATTGCTCCACATCCTTGCCAACATTTGGCATTATCATTCTTTTCAATTAAAAAAAGTTCCCATCTAACCCATATTTGCACCAAATAACATTTATACAATTACAAATTGTATTCTAAAACACCCCCTTACCAGTCTTTGGGGGTGGCAAACATTTTGTCTACTCAATTATTCATTCATTCATTGTCATGGAGACTATAGCTGACCACAAAAGTGGTGCTAAGGGCCAGGTGTGGTGGCTTACACCTGTAATCCCAGGACATTGGGAGGCCAAGGTGGGCAGATCACCTGAGGTCAGGAGTTCGAGACCAGCCTGGCCAACATGGTGAAACTCCGTCTCTACTAAAAATACAAAAATTAGCCGGGTGTGGTAGTGGGTGCCTGTAATCCCAGCTACTTGGGAGGCTGAGGCAGGAGAATTGCTTGAACCTGGGAGACGGAGGCTGCAGACAGCCGAGATCGTACCACTGTACTCCAGCCTGGGGGACAAAGCAAAACTCCTCAAAAAAAAACAAAAACAAAAACAAAAACAAAAACAAAAGACTGGTGCTAAATGCTCCATCGTAGGAGTCCAACTAGAGTTCAAACCTGGCACTGCTGTTATCAACTGGGTAATGTTGTACAAAGAGGTGACTTGATTGTCACCTCTTTGAGTCTCAGTTTCCTCATCTGTCAAGTCGGAATAATACTACTACTTACCTCAGTGGGTCATTTTGAGAATGAAATATAAGTAAAGTGCTTAGGTTTGCTATATATAGATGGTCAATTTCATTAGTACAGCCTAATCATTAAGATTTCAAACTGCTGCTTAGGCACTGATTCAAGTATAATTTGGAAATCACCTTTGTCACTCTGCCTTGTTCCAAAGATAAAAGAAGGAGCATATGACTTTAAAAAGGAGACATTGCCCTGTGGGTAGTGGACCCTTTTCAACATGGAATAAAAGGAACTCTGAAATGAGGGTGGACTTTGCTGTGACTGAAGTCTGGAGAACCAAGTGAGTCCTGGGGCAGGAGGCCAATTCTAGATCAGGAGTAACAAGGCCCAGATTCTAGTGCTCCTTCCACCTCTAGACGTGTAGCCTTGAGCAAGCCATTTGATGTCTCTGATTCTCTCATTTGGTCAACAAACATAATAATGGGCACATACTGGGTAATGAGTCTTGAGTGTTAGGGAACACAACAGAGAATGAGGGAGCCGAAATCCCTGGCCTCATGGCATTTTCCACTTACTGGAGGGCATTGGACAAATGGTTGCACCAATAAGGGCAGGTTGGAATTTTGCAACAAGCACTATCAAGGGGTGGGGCTCCATGCAGGGGCTTTGACAGGTTAACAGGGGAAGGTAGGGAAGCCTCCCCAGAACAGGTAATATCTTTTTTTTTTTTTTTTTTTTTTTTTGGAGACAGATTCTCACTCTGTTGCCCAGGCTGGAGTGCAGAGGCGCAATCTCAGCTCACTGTGACCTCCGCCTCCCAGGTTCAAGTGATTCTCCTGCCTCAGCCTCCCGAGTAGCTGGGATTACAGGTGCCTGACACCACACCTGGCTAGTTTTTGTATTTTTAGTAGAGACAGGGTTTCACCATGTTGGCCAGACTGGTCTCGAACTCCTGACCTCAGGTAATCCACCGACCTCAGCCTCCCAAAGTGCTGGGATTACAGGCATGAGAAACCGTGCCCTGCCAATAAATTCTTATTGTTTCAAGCCTTTAAGCTTCGGGGTAGTTTATTATGCAATCTTGATAACCAATACAATACACAAAAGCCTCAAGGAAAGTAGGTGCTTTGTGTGTCTGAAGAACCCCATTGTGTCTAGCAGAGGAGGGAGACCCAAGGTGAGGTCCATGAAATTGGCCAGGCCACTCAGGACCTTGCAGGCCTCTGTGAGGAGCATAGGTTTTATTCTAACATACATGGGACGCTATTGGATGGTTATAAACAGGGGAGTGGCATGATAATTCATTCACTCAACAAATATTTATGGAGCACCTACTATGTGCCATGTGCTATTATTGATGCTGAGGATACAGTAATAAACAAAATTAATTCCTTCCTATGTGCTTAGAATTTACATTATTGAGGGGAAGATGGATAATAAACAGATACTGAAAACTCATCCCATGTTTGGGAATGATATGGGTTATAAGAAAACTAGGGAGGTCAAGGGGAGAGGTAGTGGGATGGAGAGGAGCGATGGTGTAACTTGAGACAGGGTGGTCAGAGAAGGCTTCTCTGAGGAGGTGGCATGTGAGCAAGACCTTTTGAATTGGAGAGATAAGTCATGTGATAATCTGGAGGAATTGTGTTCCAAGCAGAAGCACCAGTAACAGCAAAGGTCCTGAGAGGCAACAGCACGTGGTGTGTTTAGGGAATACAAAGAGCCCATTGTGGCTGGAACACAGAGGGTGCAGACAAGAGTGGTGGAGACAGTGTTGGAGAGGTAGTAAGTGGGGTCATATTGTGAAGGCCACAGACATCTTGGTATCGATATTAAATTTTAATTGACACAAGATGGGAGCTGTTGGAGGGTTTTGTTTGTTTGTTTTGAGACAGAGTCTCACTCTGTCGCCCAGGGTGTACAGTGGCACGATCTCGGCTCACTGCAACCTCCACCGCCTAGGTTTAAGTGATTCTCCTGCCTCAGCCTCCCAGGTATCTGGGACTACAGGCGCCCGCCACCACGCTTGGCTAATTTTTGTATTTTTACTAGAGATGGGGTTTTGCCATGTTAGCCAGGCTGGTCTCGAACTCCTGACCTCAGGTGGTCCACCTGCCTCAGCCTCCCAAAAGTGCTGGGATTACAGGTGTGAACCACTGTGCCCAGCCCTGTTGGAGGGTTTTGAACAGAGGAGTGAGCCAAACTGGCTTATCTTTTCACAGGATCTGTCTGGCTGCTGGGTAGAGAATGAATTGGAGGGGCAAAGGGAAAGGAGGGAAACCAGTGAGCAGGGAGAGAGTCATCCAAGGGCAAGATGATGGGAGCTTGGGTCAGAGTGGTAGCAGCTGACGACTAAAGGAGCTCAGAGAGAGAAAACATCAGAATGCCTAAAAGAATTCATAGTATGTACAGGAGAATCATCGCAGCACTTCTTTTACTAGGAAAAGACAGAAAATAACCTAAATGCCCATGATTTGGGACGTGGGAAAATAAATCTTAATAAAATAATTGAATACTAAGCAGTTGTCAAAAATAATAAGGATATATAACAACCAACTGTACCTGGGCACGGTGGTGAAACCCTGTCTTTACTAAAAGTACAAAAATTAGCTGGGTGTGGTGGCGGGCGCCTGTAATCCCAGCTACTCAGGAGGCTGAGGCAGGAGAATCACTTGAACCCGGGAGGTGGAGGTTGCAGTGAGCCGAGATTGCGCCATTGCACTCCAGCCTGGGCCACAAGAGCGAAACACTGTATTTAAAAAAAAATGTATCTCTATACACTAGTAATAAACAATCTGAACATGAAATTAAGAAAACAATTTTATTTATAATATCACCAGAAGAATAAAATACTTAGGAATAAATTTAACAAAAGTAGTACAATATACTCTGAAAGCAAGAAAACATCCTTGAAAGAAACTTAAGACCTAAATAAAATCATCCCATGGGTTGAGAGAGACATCTCATGTTCATGGATTGGAAAACTTAATAGTGTTGATGATAGTACTCCCCAAACTGATCAATACTATCCCTATCAAAACCCCAGTTGCCTTTTTTTTGGGGGGGGGTGGCAGGAATAAACAAGTTGGTCCTAAAATTCATATGGAAATGCAAGGGACCTAGAACAGCCAAAATAATCTTGAAAAGAACAACAAAGTTGCAGAACTAACACTTCCTGATTTCCAAAACTTACTACAAAGTTACAGTAATCAAGACAGTGTGGTATTGGCATAAGAATAGAAATATAGGTCAATGGGACAGAATTGAGAGTTGAGAAATGAACCCTCACATTTAAGGCCAATTGATTTTCAAAAAGAGTGCCAAAACAATTCAATAATGGAAGAAAACAGTATTTTCAACAAATGGTGCTAGAACAACTCAATATTCACGTGCAAAAGAATGAAGTTGGATCCCAAAATGGATCGTAGATCTAAGTGTATGAACAAAAACTATAAAACTCTTTGTGTGTGTGTGTGTGTGTGTGTGTGTGTGTGTGTGTGTGATGGGGTTTCACTTTGTCACCCAGTTGGAGTGCAGTGGCGCGATCTTGGCCACTACAACCTCCACTTCCCAGGCTCAAGTGATCCTCCCACCTCAGCCTCCTGAGCAGTTGGGATCACAGGCGCACACCACCACTCCGGCTAATTTTTTGTATTTTTGGTAGAGAAGGGGTTTCGCTATGTTACCCATGCTGTAAAACTCTTAGAAGAAAACACAGAAGTAAATTTTCATGACCTTGGGCTAGGCAAATTCTTCTTAGATGTGATACAAGTGACAAAAGGAAAAAATAGATAAATTGGACTTCACTGAAATTGAAAACTTGTGCTGCAAGTGATACTATCCTGAAAATGTAAAGACAACCCACAGAATGGGAGGAAATATTTGCAAATCACAGATCTGAAAAGGGACTGGGGTCCTGAATATATACATAGGATGGCTCAATAATTTAAAAATCCACAACTTAAAAGTGGGCAAGAGATCTGAATAGATAGTTCTCCAAAGAAGCTATACAAATGGCCAATAAGCACATGGAAAGGTGCTTAATATCATTAGTTATTAGAGAAATGCAAATCAATTCCACAATGAGATTCCACTTCACATCCATTAGAACTGCTATAATTTAAAAAGACAGATAATAACAATTGTTGCTGAGAATATGGAGAGATTCCACCTCATACAATGATGGTGGAAATGTAAAAGGAGCAGCTGCTTTGGGAAACAGTCTGGCAGTTCATCAAAAAGTTACACATAGAATTACCTTATGACCCAGCAATCCCACGCCCAGGTATATACCCAAGAAATCTGAAAATATATGTCTACACAAAGATCTGTACATAAAATCTTCATACCAGCATTATTCATAACAGCCAAACAGTGGAAACAACTTCAATGTCCCTCAATGGATAAATGTGGCATATCCACCCAATGAAATATTATTTGGCAATAAAGAGGTATGAAGTACTGATACAGGCTATGATATGGACGGACCTTGAAAACATTATGCTAAATGAAAACAGCTGATCATAAAATACCACATATTATAAAATTCAATTTATATGAAAGGTCCAGAACAGGCAAATCTATAGAAACAGAAAAGAGGTTGGGCACAGTGGCATATGCCTGTAGTCCCAGCCACTCTGGAGGCTGAGGTAGGAGGATCACTTGAACCCAGGAGTTCAAGACCAGCTTGGGCATCATGCTGAGACCTCCATCTCTACTTAAAAGAAAAAGAAAGGAGATTATTGGTTGCATTGGGCTGGGAGCTGAGGAGAAATAAGAAGTGACTGCTAATAGGTACAGGGTGGTTTTGGTGGGTGGGTAATGAAAATGTTCTAAAATTGATTGTGGTGACAGTTGCACAACATTTGAACATACTAAAAACCATTGCATTGTAAAAGTTAAACAGGTGAATTGTATAGTACGTAAATTTATAATTCAATAAAAATGCTTTTTACAAAAGAAGGAGGAAGCCCCTTATGTACTAATAGAGAACAATGCAAAAATATAGCTGTAAATAGGGAAGAAATTGAGGCGTCCAACAGCTTCTATTGTATTTCACTATTTGTGCAGAATAATAGAACAAACACACTAGCATATGGCTGGGCCAAGTGAAGAAGGGCACACATAGCAAACAGCCCCAGTGGTTTCTTCCAGGGAGGGGAACTGCATAGTATCTTTTGTACTCTTGAATGTTGAACTATTTAAATGTATTAGCTATACAAAATCAAGTAAAGTCAACTGAAAATACAATCAGAGACTTCATGGATGAGATAGAATTGATGCTGGCTGGGATTTTTAGAGGATGAAAAGTCAAGAAAGGTGTTCTGAGTGTGCACTTGACTCTGGGGCCAGGGGTGGAAGAGCGTGGGAGCAAAGGCACAGAGGCTGGACTGACCGCCTCTCGCTAGCTGTGACTTTGGGCAGGTTCTCTCTGCCCGTTTCCTCCCCTGCATAGTAGAATAAGAGTACCTCCTGCACCAGGTGGTTGCCCTCACTTACATTATCTCATTTTCTGTCTTATAAATAGGGATGACTATAAAAGGGTTGCTCAGACAGGTAAAGGCAATTGCCCAAGGTCACACAGCCAATAAGTGCCAGAGCTGGGATTTGAAGAACCCACATGGACATGCCTCCAGTGTGCCTCTGACAGCTGTGTTTGTAACCGTTACACAAAATGCAGTAATCGTGCCCAGGAAGTTGAGGAGTATAGAGAGAGATGCAGAATGCAGAAAGGGACCCAGGGCTCTGTCCTGGAAGGAGGGCAGGAGCTAGAACACAATGTAAGCTTCGCTTTACAGTGGGTCAGAGGTTGGCTCTTTCAAAAATGTATTTTCCTATTTCCAGAGGGCATTTGCATTTCATATTTCAAATTCTTTGGGATCACTGTTGATTGTTCTATATTCAAAACATGTTGAAGGATGGGAAAGAGAGCCACAATCATTATTTCAGAGCTCAACCATTTCCCCTTTTATTTGTAAAGTAGCCAGCGTTTATTTCATAGCTACACCCTCCCAGGCAGGAGCTCACTGCTCCCCACCTTTCCCAAAAAGGTCAAATGAAAATCAGAGGAGACTAACCCTTGAGAAACGCCCAACAGCCCCTAGGGGGTCCCTGACCCCCTTAGAAAGCTCCTCCCTCCTCCAGTCTTCTTTAACTCCCACTCGGCCTTATTTTTCTCCAGAGAATTTGTCGCCACCAGGCACTATGTTACATATTTGTATGTTCACCTGTTGATTCTCTGTCTCCTCTACTATATTGCAAATTCCGTGCAGATACTATTCACATGCCCATTTTACAGAGGAAGAAACTGAAGCTCAGAGTTTAGGAACAGCCAGTGAGTGATAGTGACAGTGCTGGCATCTAAACCCTTCGTTCTTTGATTAATTCCATTAATACGATTAAGGGCCTACCATGTGCATTTCTGCCAAGGTCTGGGAGCACAAAAATGGATGAGAGCGTTTTGGCCCTCAAGCAACTTTCAATCCAATTATGGAGACAATCATTTAACCAATAACTTAGATACAGAGTGGAAAATGCTGCTAGAGAGAGAGAGAGAGATAGGCCCATGATATTGTAGGACCAAGTAGGAAGGACACTGAGTGCAGCAAGGACTTCTTGAAAAAGGTGATATGGGCCAGGCACAGTGGCTCATGCCTGTAATCCCAGCACTTTGGGAGGCCGAAGTGGGTGGATCACCTGACATCAGGAGTTAGAGACTAGCCTGGACAACATGGCGAAATCCTGTCTCTACTAAAAATTAGCCAGGCGTGATGGCGGGCACCTGTAATCCCAGTTACTCGGGAAGCTGAGGCAGGAGAATTGCTTGAATCCTGCAGGCAGAGGTTGCAGTGAGCTGAGATCGCGCCACTGCACTCCAGACTGGGCAATGGAGTGAGACCTGCCTTAAAAAAAAAAAAAAGTGACATGAGTTGAGGCTTAATGGATGCCAGAGGAAGATCAGGGCAAAGGGTGTTCCAGACAGAAGGGACAACCTGACAAAGGCTTGAGAGGGAAACAGTCTGACCTGTTTGAGGAACTGCAAACATTTCCATGTTGTTGGTGCCTGAAGCCCCAGGCAGATACCATATTTGGAAGAGGAGGCTGGAAGTGGCGGCAGCAGCTGATAGGCACTGGGGCCAGCTCATGTAGGACTCGGGCAAGACTGTACAAGGCTGGCCTATGGATGCCTTCCAAGCTTACCTACCCCAAGTACCATCCTAGAGGCAGCAGACCTCCTGCTCAGGGGCGGGGTGAGACTGGGTGGGGACGGGGGTGGGGCGGGGGCAGTGCTGGGGGAGTCCATGAAATTGTTTTTCTGCCCCCAGCTGCATGGCCACCCCCAGCTGACGGGTCCCCCCAGGGGGGTTGGGGGACTGTTCAGTTTCACAACACCCCCTTCTCTTCCCCCAGTGTCTCTGGAGGCTAAGAAAAGAGGAAGCGCTTTGTGGACTTCCTCCTGGGTCCGGTGCACCCAAGCCCAGGCTGGTCTTCTCCCAGGGGCAGGGCTGGACCTGCCCACTGTATTCTGCAGAAAAAAAGGGCCTGGGCGTGGCCCTGCCCCTCATTCAGTGGTGGACATGCTCAAGCAGGGTGCGCCCAGGCCTGGGACTAGGAGAGTAGGTTGGAGTCCCAGCTCTTCTAACTTGCTGTGTGTGTCTGACAAACTCTTCTCTGAGCCTGAATCTCAAAGAGGAAGACACATCCTTACTCAGCAATTTGAAACTGGGGTGATGTGCATGAATTAACATGGAGAGATCCCCAAGACATTCTTTCAGAATCGCAGAGTACATTCCTTTTTAAAATAATAACATGGTTTTGTGTTTACCTCTACATGTATGTAAATGCGTAGATAAAAGTCTGGAAGCTAAACAGCCAACAAGAAGCAGAGGTTGTCACTGAAGAGGAAAGGAACATTGGAATTGGTGGTGGGGAAGTGTTTTTCTATGTTTTTTTTTTTCTTTCTTTCTTTTTACTTTAAATTCTGGGATACATTTGCAGAACGTGCAGGTTTGTTGCATAGGTATACATGTGCCGTGGTGGTTTGCTGCACCCATCAACCTGTCATCTAGGTTTTAAGCCCCACATGCATTAGGTATTTGTCCTAATGCTCTCCCTCCCCTTTCCCCCCATCCCCCAACAGGCCCTGGTGTGTGATGTTTCTCTCGCTGTTTTTTTCTTTCTTAACTAGAATGCATTGTTTTTATTTATGGAACTAAAATAATGATAATAAATGAGGGAATTGGAATATATGGTTATCAAGTGTTGCTCCTTCTGAACATTTTATTATGAAAATGTCCAAATACACAGCAAAATTTAAAGACTTTGGCGACAAAATACCTACTCTCACCACTTACATTCTACCATTGACATTTTACTTGCTTTAACCATGTTTGTTCATCTATCTGTCTATCAATTCATCTTTTAAGATGCATTTTAAAGAAATTACCTCAACACACATATTATTAACTGGAGTTCAATTTCAATATTTGTTTACAGTAATTTTCTTTTAATGTAAATTTACAGGCAAAGGGCAAAAGATTACGTGTTCATTTGCTGAGTTTTTACAAATGCATATATATTTATGTAACTTAAACCCCATTAGGAGATACATTTTTATCACTCTAGAAAGTTCCCTCTTGTCCTACTATATATATATATATATACACACACACATTTTTGTTTTTGAGAGCAGGTCTCGCTATGCTGCCCAGGCTGGCCTTGAACTCCTGATTTCAGGTGATCCTCCCACCCCAGCCTCCCAAGTAGCTGGGACTACAGGCCTCTATGGTGTATTTTAATTGCTGACATCCTATGGGTCAACACTAAGCACAGAGCCAGGTATATAGTAAATGCTCAATAATGTTGGTTGAAGTAAGGAATGAGTCTAGGAATGAATGTGCAGGTGGCTTGCTCCCCTAAGGGCAGGACCATGTCTTCTTCTTTTGCAATCACCATGGAATTGATACACATCAAATGCTTAATAAAGGCTTATTGATTGTGCCTGGGCAGGGTGGCTCACACCTGTAATCCTAGCACTTTGGGAGTCTGAGGTGGGAGGATTGCTTGAGCCCAGGAGTTTGAGACCGACCTACACAACAAAGTGAGACCCCATCTGTACAAAAATAATAATAATAATTTAAAAATTAGCCAAGCATGGTGATGCATGCCTATTGTCCCATCTACATGGGTGGCTAAGGCAGGAGGATTGCTTGAGCCCAGGAGGTCGAGGTAACAGTGAGTTGTGTTCACCCCATTGCACTCCAGCCTGGATGACAGCACGAGATGGTCTCAAAAACAAAAACAAAACAACAACAATGACAAAAAAACAAAACAACAACAAACAAAAACAAAAACAAACCTTTGGTGATTGTATTAGTTATATACTGCCGTGTAACAGATTACCCAAAATTTAGCAACTTAAAACTGTGTAATTATACAGAAGAAGCAGGATTGAGATTTAAAAAATTGTAACTATTAAAAAAAATAAAGACAGGGTCTCACTATGTCGCCCAGGCTGGTCGGGAACTCCTGGCCTCAGGCAATCCTCCCACCTTAGCCTCGCAAACTGCTGGGATTACAAGTGTGAGCCACTGCACCTGGCCAACATTTATTATCTCACACAGTTTCTGTAGGTCAGAAATGTGGAACTAACTTAGCTTAGTGGTTTTGGCTTGGGATCTCTTATGAGGCTGCAGTCAACGCCTGATGAGAAGTCATCTGAAGGCTGGACTGGGGCTGGGGGATCTGTTTCCAAGATAGTTCACTCATATGATTGTTGGCAGGAGGCTCTGTGCTTGGTGCTGTGCTGAGCTCCAGGGAATGTAGGAATGAGTCAGAACCAGCCTCCCTTTCCAAGATTCTGTGTGTGTGTGTGTGTGTGCGTGTGTGTGTGTGTGTGCATGTGTGTGTGTGTGTGTAAGCGTGAGTGTTGAGAGTAGGCGTGGGGTTGGAGGGGTCAGACAGATATGGAAACAGATAGTGTCTATAGAGTTCAGTAAATACCACAATACTGGAATAGTGGTTTTTGAAAAAATTGCTCTGCTGTAATTCATATTCATGACATAACATTTAGGACACATCATGCAGAGAAAGTCTCCTTCCCTCTTTATTCTATAGCCACACACTCCTCCAGCTCAGAAGCACAACTATAACTTGTTTTGTGTACCTTCCAGAACTATTCTATACTTAAAAGACATTTCCCGCCTCCTTAAACAAAAATACAGCACTATTCAAAGTGCATTGTTCTGTACTTTGCTTTTTTTTTTTTTTTTCACTTACTCTATCTTGGAAATAATTCTGTATCGGTGCACAGAGCTACCTAGTTCTTATTTATGGCTGCATGGTATTTTATTGCCTGCATGAGCCACAGTTCATTTAACCAGACCCCTATCACTGAACATTTGGTTTATTTCCAAACTCTTGTTATTAGAGACAAAGCTGCAATGACTTTCCTTGCACATTGGTTTCCACTCGTGTGGGTATAAATGCCGGAGAAATTCTTGGCAGTGGAATTGTTGCATCAAAGGGCTCCTGCATCCTGGTAGATATTGCTCAGTAGGGTTTATACCAACTTGCTCTCCCACCAGGAATGTGTGAGAGTGTCTGTTTCCTCACACCTACACCCACATAGTGAGTGATCACACTTTTCCAAACTTTGCCAATCTCTTAATTGAAAAATGGTTGCTCGGTGTTGTGTTAATTTGCATTTATCTTATGAGTGAGGTTGAACATCTTGTCACACGTTTTAGAGTCGTTTGTATTTTCTGTGAACTGTCTGTATAAATAATTTGCCTATTTTTCTATTAGGCTGTTGGTCTTATTTACTTGTAGGTCTTTACACATCAAACGCACTCCCCCTTTGTCTGCATGATAGGCTTTGAAAATATTTTTTTTGAGAACAGTCTGCTTTTAGATATAAATGAGAAGTTGAGAAGTTTCTGCAGATTGCATCATTTTCTGCACGTTGCTGCAGGGCTGCCCAGTGGCTGAGGCATCAGGGATACCGTGTAGGGCTCTTAAAGGTGATGTTAGAAGCCAGGTGGGGGGCCCTGGGGACGGCGGGCAGGGAGTGGGGGGACAAGGAGGTGGATGTTAGCTCTTGCATTGGATAGAAGGGGCTGCCATAGGAGACAGTGAACTCCCCAAGGTAGGAAGTGGGCAGAACAGGCTGGCCTGGCTTTAAGACCCCTCTGCCCCTGCTCTGAAATACCTGAGGATAAGCAACAAGTCAAGTGGGAGGACCCACCAAGAGGGCCATCAATTTCTGGCCATTTAGACCTGATTGGGTCGTTACTGCATCTGGAAGCTCCTAGTAACATTTAATAGTAATATAAACTCCTAGAATGTAAACTCCAAGAGGCCAGGGTTTAAATGCTAAATAAATGGTTGTGGAATGAATGAATGAATGAACGAATGAATTTGGTCAAAGAATGTGAGGGGCTACTATTTCTGAGTGGGGGTGGGGGTAGGCAGAGTTCTCTTTCTCTTCTTTCCTCTTTGAACCTACTCTCTCCTCTTCCTTCCTCTTACCCCAGCTCAGTCAGGTCTTACCATCTCTCATGTGGTCCTGGTTCCAGCCTCCTCCCCACTTCCCTGCTTCCAGACGCTCCTCTGTTTTCCTATTGATCCTCCTCTCCAGCAGCTTGATTCGCTTCAAGAAAATGCAGGTCCCCTGGCTTGTTCCCAGGTGGGGCACCTTTGTTCACGCCTGTAATCTCAGCACTTTGGGAGGCTCAGGCGGGTGGATCCCTTGAGCTCAGGAGTTCAAGACCATCCTGGGCAACATAAAGAGAGCACGTCTCTACAAAAAAAATTTAGAAATAGCCAGGCCTGGTGGCGCACACCTGTAATTCTGCTACTTTGAAGGCTGAGAATGGCTTGAGCCCAGGAGCTGGAGGCTGCAGTGAGCTTTGATTGTTCCACTGCACTCCAGCTGGGTGACAGAGTGAGAACCCGCCTCAAACAACGATAACAAAAACAACAATAACAACAACAAACATTAGATAGCCTCCCATTGCCTATGCTTCCTAGCCTGCCCTTCAAGGGCTTCTAATCTATCCACTTCTCTGGTTTCCTCTCCTGCAACTCCTACCCACCCACCTCGTCCCCCACCTCACACACTCCGTGTTCCTCCAGCTATCACAATGGTCACTAATTGAGCACTTTCTACATATACTTTTACGTGAAATATCTTAAGACTCATGACAATCTATGGGATCTACGAGGGTGAGGCTATTATCAACCCCACTTTACAGATGAGGAAACCAAGACCCAGGGACATTTTAGGGGCTTTCCCAAGGTCACCGAACAAGCAGATGGCAGAGCTCGGATTAAAAACCCTCCGACCCTCTGGCCAGGGAGCCTAAGTGCTGCACGAGTGCTAACCGGTTGCCAGTCCTAGAGCACGCCATGCTCCTTCAAGCTCCCCTGCCTTTGCTTGTGCTGGGTCCCCATCTGGAGGGCTCTCTCTTCTATTGTTCACCCACCAAAAACCTTGTCCTTCAAGCTCTCGCTCATGGCTCACCTCCCCTGTGAAACCTTTTCCAGCTTCCCCAGAAAGAGCTGGTGTCTCACTCTTTGACTTTACAATTGAGAACTTTGTGCTATGATTATCTGGGAACTGTTTTCCCCATCAGTGTGCCCCTCAGTGGGCAGACTGTGCTGTATCTCCCTCTAGTGTCTTGTGCAATGCCTGGCACAGAGCAAGTGCCCTCTAAATGCTTGGCGGCTGAATGACAGTGGCCCCAGGACTCCTGCTCCTGAGCACATAGTTGGGAAGGACTGCTGGGAGCTGCCAGTGGAAGTGGGGAGTGGGTAGGAAGTTTCAGGGCCCCACCTTGGGAGAGGCGTCCATCTACGGCAGCTGGAGACAATTTTACCACTCACGTTTGGGCCAAGACCGTCCCCAGGGGATCCAGCTGGTGGGGAAGTTCCATACTTGCACTACCCCTAGAAGTCCTTGGGAACCAGCTATCCCACCCCTAGGGGGTTTTCCCCTCTTGTGATGTCAGGAACTGAACCAACAAGGGAAGCAATTCCTGGCAGGGTCTCTGGATGCTACAGGAGGAAGTGTGGCCAGAGTCTCCAGACTCAGTGCCTGGGTTGCCCCAGACAGTGCCCTTTGGACCCCAGGAACTAAGGGGTTACATGGCTTTGGTAAGAGGGTAGTTCCGGAGCGGGTGGGGACTTCCTTGGGGTGTGAGGGAAATTACCCCATCCCTGGAGCTGTGGGGTAAGAACTGTCTGTCCCAGTGCCTCTCAGCAGCCCTGTCACTGTGCTGTGGCTAGGATTTTCGGCAGTTTTTGAGCTTTTCTTGGAAAGCCCCAAGGCCTTTAAGAGAGACTCCTATATCTTTGGCCCCTGTCCCTACCCAACCAACTGTTCCCTCTCCGGCTGCCTTGCTCAGGAACTTACTAAGGCTCCCTGTAGCCTCAGGTCGGAATGCCTCAGGCTACGGCCACTACATCCCAAAGTCTCAGAGACAGGACAGTAGAGAGGCTAGGGACATGGGCTCTGGGTTAGCCAGACATGAGTCCAAAGCCCAGCTCACTGTGTGACCTTGGGGTATTCACTTCACCTCTTGAACTCCAGTTCCTTCATCCAGAAAATGAAAATAAATAAAATCGACAACCTCAAAATTAAGGAATTTGCTCAATAGAACAAGTTTGCCCAATGGAAGCCATCACAAATCAGTTGTTCTCAGAGCGGTCCCTGGACCATCAGCATCACCTGGGTACTTGTTAGAAATGCAAATTATTGGCCAGGCACGATGGCTCATGCCTGTAATCCCAGCACTTTGGATGGCCGAGGAGGGCAGATACCTGAGGTCAGGAGTTTGAGACCAGCCTGGCCAACATGGTGAAACCCAATCTCTACTAAAAATACAAAAATTAGACAGGCATGGTGGCGCATGCCTGTAATCCCAGCTACTCAGCAGGCTGAGGCACAGAGGTTGCAGTGAGCTGAGATTGCGTCACTGCACACCAGCCTGGGTGACAGAGCAAGACTCTGTCCCCCCAAAAAAGAAAAAGCAAATTTTCAGGCCCTTCCCCTTCTCTTATGGAGAATCTCTAGGAGTGGGGCTCAGACATCTGTGTTTTAGCAAGCCTTCCAGGACATTCTGATGCCTGCTGAAGTTTGAGTACTGTCACAGATAAACTTGACAGAAGGCAAATATATTAGGTGAATATACCTGGAACATCAACATCCAAAAGGGATTAATATCTAAAATTTATAAACTACTCTTGCAAATCAATGAGAAAAAGACAGGAAGCCCAGTAGGAAATGAACAAAAGATATGAACAAGGAAGTCACAGAAAGGAAAGCTCAAATGGCTGACTAGTATAGAAGGAAGTTATAAATTTCAGGATTAACAGAGAAATGCAAATTAAAACAACTTGCCACCTTACACCCACACTGAATGCAAAGTTACAAAATCAGATGATGAAAAATCTGATGAAGATGTCGGGAAACAGCATCCTTCACTCACCGTTGGTGAAAGCCATTCTGGAAGAAGTTAATGAAATTCAAAACCTGCCCTGTGATCTAGTAATTCCACTCTTGGATTTAGAGCCCAAAGAAATGCTCACATAGGCCCATAAGTTTCATGTACAAAAATGTTCATCAATCACAGTGTTGTTTGTGGTAAGAGGGAGTTGGAAGCAACCTGGGTGTTCATCTCTGGGGAGATGGATAAAGAAAACAGCGGATGCTCAACTCGAAATATTTTGCAGCAGTTGGATGCAACAGTGAGATTTTTCAACAGCACATATGTAGGTATTTAAAACATTATAGGGTGGCTGGGCTTGGTGGTTCATGCCTTTAATCCCAGCACTTTGGGAGGGCGAGGCAGGAGGATCACTTAAGCCCAGGAGTTCTTGCAGTGAGCTGTCACTGCACCATTGCAGTCCAGCCTGGGTGACAGAGCAAAAACCTGTCTCTAAAAATTTTCTTAGTTTTCTTTTTAAATAGAAAAACATTACAGAGTGAGAGAAGGAATAGAGTGAAATTCTTATGTAATATCATTTATACAAACACACACACAAAGCACTGTGTAGTTTAGGTCCAGGGACATATATCAGCACATAGGGTTAGGCGCTCATAGTAAAGAGGGAAAAGGAGTGTGGGGAACATGTGGATCAGGAGAGGGTAAAATAAAACATCAGAAGGGCCCTACATGGACCAGTGATGATGGGATGATCATTTACCACAAACCAAGTATGAATTATGGAACTCTTTGGACCTGGAGTCCTAATAACATTTTTTTGAAAATTGCTAACAGTGCCTATTTTATGGTGTGTACAATGTGTCTGGCCATGGAAGCCTTTGCAAGGTTTTACAAACACATTTTGGATCTCCTATGTGAGTCTCTGGCCTCCTCTCAGGCCTCATCCCTTTTAGCTTTCCAGCCTTTACTCAGGCTGTGCTGAATGCTGTCCTTATCCTGACTTCTCTACCTCTCCAACCTTTCCTTCCCATTTCTTTGACTACCCCAGACTCCCAGATAGCTGCCTGTGGAGTCTTGGCTATTTCTTGTTTGTGACTTGAGCACAGAGCTAGGCTGTAACAAGGCTGCAAGGGAACAAGTACTGTTTCTTCTTCCCAAACAGTGAACTCCCCTGAGGATCTTCTGAATAGCTCACCACCACTTCAGTTGGGGTAGGATGCACCCAGACATCTTTTGCTTATTACAAGGCAAGAAAGGTAAACTGAGTCATAAAATGTTTGATGTGGAAAGGAACAACATTTATTGAGCTCTTATCGGGTGCTAGACCCAGTTCTAAGGTCTTAACCCTCAGTAATCCCTGTGGCCACCCTGTTAGGTGGATGGGGGCTGAGCTCACTGGACAGATGGGGTAACGGGAGGCACACAGAGGTTACGACACTAACCAGATAGAGGCTCCAGATCCTGGAGCTGAAAAAACCCTTGTTTGGGGTCTTAAGACCAGAATGGGACCCAGATCATCCCCCTGAGTCAACCCTGGGTGGAGGAAACCGTCTACTCCACACTGACTGTACAAGTCAGGCATCAGGGGATGGGAGACCCTGACATTTAGAGCCTTAAAAAGACCTTCTACACTGTTTAGTATGGTCAGTTTGAGGTCATATAAGGAGAATCAGGAGATTCCCTCAAGCCCCGTCCTCTCTTCTTGAACCATAGTTTCTCAATCTGTAAAATAGGACCGAGTTCTGGAAATTCTTTTCTCAGTCGGCCAGCAGGTGGAGCCCACTCTTCATGCCTTCCTCAGCCTCCAGAAAGCTGCGGCGTCCCGGGGAGGAGGGTGTGTTCTGGGGCTGATCCCTCTGGACTTCTGGGACAAAGCAGGATCGCTGCTCAGCCCCAGCCCGGCAGAGCGGCCCAGGAGCCCCGGGTGACTGCCCCGGACTTCAGGGCCCGGCTTCGCTTTCCCCCTGCAGGACACTCCAGGTACTGCATGGCCCCGGGCCCCAAGGGCAGGGAGCGAGACCCTGGAGTGAAGACCCCCCGGCCCCGCCAGGTGTGATGGGGGGGCCCTGGGGATAGGGTCCCCGAAGCAAAGCTGAGACTCAGAGGTGGGCTGCTGAGCCACGCCGTCCGCAGGGGCGGTGGCTACAGGTAGTTGTCTTCTGCGGCGTCGCTCCCGCCCCTGGAGCCCCGGGGCTCATCCTCGTCGTCGTCGTCGTCATCGGGGGCCAGCGCCTCGATGTCGTGCGTGATGTCAGCCAGCAGCCGGTGGAAGGCCTGTGCCTCGGGCCGCTGCGCCGCGCCATCGTAGCTGCGCACTGCGGAGGCCGACGTGGAGCTCATGCTGCGCTTGATGCGGCCGAAGCTGTCAGTGAGGATGCCGCCCTCGCGGATGCCCACGCCCTCCAGGAAGCCCTCGAAGTAGCCGATGTCCTGGTCCGGGATGAAGGGCCGCATCCCTGCGAGCCGAGGGGCATGGTGAGTCCCCAGGACACGTTCCCTTTCCCTTCCACAGGGGAAGCGTCCTCTCTGCAGATCTGGGTGCAAATCCCTGCTGTCACTCACTGGCTGTGTGGCCTTGCCCAAGGTCCTTAACTGTCTGAGCCAGCGAATAACGACACAGCGCTCAGCACACAGTGAATGCTCACTACATACTAGATTACTGTACTTTTATTATTATTATTATAGCCTCTGCCTCCCGGGTTCAAGAGATTCTCATGCCTCAGCCTCCCAAGTAGCTGGGATTACAGGCGCACACCACCACGCCCTGCTAATTTTTGTATTTTTAGTAGAGACAGGGTTTCATGTTGGCCAGGCTGGTCTTGAACTCCTGACCTCAGGTGATCCGCCAGCTTCAGCCTCCCAAAGTGCTGGGATTACAGGTGTGAGCCACCTCGCCAGGCCTATTTTTGTTATTATTAGTACCATCATTATATTCCCATTGATTAATTATGTTGAACCTCATTTTCCTCACCTGTAAAACAGATAATTGCACCTGTTCTCTGGGTAGGGATGTGAGGATTAAATAACAAGGTACTCAGCACATACTGAGCACTCTGTAAACAGTTTGTTTTATTTCCATTCCTACTTACTAGCTATGTGACCTCAGTCCTTTACTTTGTAACTCTGAGTCTCAGTTTCCTCACCTGCAAAATGGGGACCATTAATAGTATCTACTTCTCAGAACTGGGGGCATTTAATGAGATGATGCTTGGCACAGGGTAACTGCCAAGCACATGTCAGCTTATTCGTATTATTCCTCCTGTTATTATTAGCCCTCCTTACTAGCTGTGTGACCTTGGACATGTTCCTTAGCCTTTCTGAGCCTCAGCTTCCGTGTGGGGTAAGATGGGAAGAATCAGTCCCTCTCGCAGCTTTGCTGTGAGGATGAAATGGCCACACCACTGCTTAGTTCTTCTTATCAACAGTGTCTCCCAGCTCTGACAAGTCCTTTCCCTACTCTGCACTTTGGGCTCCTCATCTGCCCTGTGAATCTCATGATCTGGGTTTCATCAGAGGCTGAAAGATAAGGAGAAAACATTTGCAGCCTGGTGCCTGACTGGGATGGCATGGACCAAGCAGGGGCCCTAGCTGACCTCTGGGGGTACAGCGGGGGCTCACCAAGGAGGAGGAACTTGCGCCGGTCTCCGTAGAGCTTCAGCAGGCCTGTGCAATAGTCCTGGATGGGCAGCCCCAGCCGGTACTCCCGCAGCAGCATCGCAAACTGCTGGATCTCGAGGGGCCCCAGCTTACTCCGCAACTATGTGGGGGACACCATTCGAGATCAATCCCAGGAAGCAGCGCCACCCAACCCCTGCCTGAAAGGCCCAGAGCCTTCCCTAAGGGCATGTTTGGTCCAGCTCTCCTCTGAAAACCTTCCCATGGGCTATTCAGAGGACATCTAGATCCCTTAGGCTGCATTTAAGAATAGGATGTGGACTCAAGCTGCCTGAGTGCAAATCTTGACCCCTTCACTGGATCAGCTCTGTGATCTTGGGTAGGTGACAACCTCCATGATGCTTGCTTTTCTCATCTGCAAAGTGAGGATAATGATGGTATTTTCTTCTTGGGGTTGTTGAAAAGATTAAAAGAAATAATGCATGAAAGGTGCTTAGAATGGTGCCTGGTATACAGCAGGCACTCAATTAATGCCAGCTGACATTAGTTAAGGCCTTTCACAAGCTGGCCTCAGTTTACTCTCCTAACCTCATTTCCTGCTCTGACCTCTGATGTCTTCTGCTTAGGTTATGTCCAGGGCAATGTGCCATTCCCAAAATGTTTACTCCAGCCTCCAGGCTTTTGCTTGTGCCATTCCCACCACCGGCCCCAGCTCACCGTGACCATGTAATCCTGTAACTGCTCCAAGCCCAGACTGCTGTGGTCGCTGCCGCTGCAGTGGGAGCCATGGAAAGAAGGTGTGGACGTGCCGCTGTAACATGCTTCAAAGGTGTCCTGGGAGCCATTACTGCAGGCACGGGAAGAAGGGCCTTCACTCGCCTCCCTCCAGCTCCTGGCCCTCAGGCAGGCTGAAGGTAGGAGGCCTCATCCTAGACTGCATGCTGGCCTCCAAGGCCTCGCATACCCTGGCCCCTGGCACCTCTCAAGTCTCATCTGTCACTGTGCTTGCCTTTGCCTTTGCTCTTTGTGCTTCGCGCCCCCCACCCCCCTTCTCCTTCTTCCTCTACTATCTCCTCACCTCTGGGTGTTTGCACCTGCTGGTCCCTCTGCCTGGATTGCCTCCTTTCCCCTCCCTTTTGCACAGCTAACTCTTACTCATCCCGTGATCTTAAATGTCATCTCCTCAGGAGAGTGTTCCCTAATTCCCCTAGGTTGGGTTAGAACCTCTGTCGAACATGCTCCCTCAGTCCATGGCCTACCTGTGACATGCATGGCCTTTCCAGGTACCCCCAAGCATCCTCTCTGACCACTCTCTCCCTCACACCATTTGCCACAGCCACAGTGGCCACCTGCTGCCCCTCAAACCCACTAAGCTCTATCCTGTTCAAAATTTTTTTTTTTTTTTTTTGAGACAGATTCTTGCTCTGTCACTGAGGCTGGAGTGCAGTGGTGCGGTCTTGGCTCACTGCAGCCTCCGCCTCCCGGGTTCAAGCAATTTTCATGCCTCAGCCTCCTGAGTAGCTGGGACTACAAGCATGTGCCACCCAGCCAATTTTTGTATTTTTAGTAGAGACAGGGTTTCACCATGTTTGTCCAGGCTGCTCTCAAATGCCTCACCTCAAGCAATCTGCCCACCTCAGCCTCCCAAAATGCTGGGATTACAGGCGTGAGCCACCACGCCTGGTTAGTTCAGGATTCTTACATTTGCTGTTCCCTCTACCTGGAACACTCTTCCCCCTTTCATCCTCCAAGCCTCAGTTCATGTGCCATCACCTCTGAGAGGCCCTCCTGACTCTCCAGCTGAGTTGCGGTCCCCCTCTGCCTCTCTTATAGCACCCTGAGCCTCCCTTTAGTACTTATTACCATTAATGATTGTTACTGTTAAATTGCGATTTCATTGCCTCCTATCCTAGACTGTAAACTTGACAAGAGCAGGGACTTTGGTTTTCTTCATTTGTTGAACACCTACTATGTGCCAGGCCCAGGTTTTGCCCTCTGTCTTGTGTCCATCTGTATCCCCAGCACACAGCAGAGTGCCTGGCACATAGGAGGTACTCAAGAAATATTGCTTAATAAAAACTCAACCTTAGGCTCCTGCCTCCTTGTCTCTAAATTGTTCCAGAACCATCCTCCATTATTACCTACAAAGAAGCCGTGTAGCTTTGTGGTTAAAGGACTGGATTCTGGAGCCAGCCTTCTTCTGTTCAAATCCCATACTTACAACTTACTAGGTGCTTGACCTTGGGAAAACTAAACTTAATTTCTCTATTTCTCAATTTTTCCATCTGTATAATGGGATAATAATAATTAGTGTCATCATGAGAATTAGAGGAGTTAATATTTGTAGAACACTTAGAATTATGGGCTATAAGCAATAAACAGTAGCTGCTGTAATGTTACTATGTTGATGAAAAAATAAAGTGCTTTATAGAACAGCACTTAGTACATAGCAAGTTCAATGTTCAAACGCTATTATCACTATTTTATCTCTTCAGTAGATATCTGGTTGTTTAAAGACTAGCCTAAGGGCATACAGTATGAGGAAGGCAAATCTATTGCCACTAAAAAGGAAAGAAACAATAAGACATATATCACTGGCAGAGACTGCTACATGCCAAACTGAAGCCCTTAGTAATATAACTAGGTGATCAACCAGTAACCCAGGACTTTCTTGGTTTTAGCACTGAAAATCCCATATCCGGGGGAACCCCTCATTCCTGAGCAAACTGGGATGGCTGGTCACCCTAAACAGAACCCTGGGTAATGTTCCCAACTGAATTGTTTAAAATTTTATTTATTTATTTGTTTATTTATTTATTTCAATAGAGACAGGGTCTCCCTATGTTGCCCAGACTGGTCTCAAACTTGTGGGCTCAAGTGATCCTCCTGCGTTGCCCTCCCAAAGTGTTGGGATTACAGGCGTGAGCCACCATGACTGGCCTGAATTTTTCTTTTTTTTTTTTTTTGAGATAGAGTCTCGCTCTGTCGCCCAGGCTGGAGTGCAGTGGCGCAATCTCAGCTCACTGTAAGCTCCGCCTCCTGGGTTCACGCCATTCTCCTGCCTCAGCCTCCCAAGTAGCTGGGACCACAGGTGTGCGCCACCATACCTGGCTAATTTTTGTATTTTTGGTGGAGATGGGGTTTCGCCATGTTGCCCAGGATGGTTTGGAACTCCCAGGCTCAAGCGATCCACCTGCCTCAGCCTCCCAAACTGTTGGGATTACAGGTGCGAGCCACCGCATCTAGCCTGAAATATATTTTTTTAATCCTAAATTTTCCAGCTTTGCTTGCAGCTAGTGATGGCTATGTGACCAAGTTCTGGCCTATGAGATATAAGCAGAAGTCATCAGGTGGGAATCTGGCAAAACTCTTTAAAGAGGCCCCTTAGCATGCTACTGTGATGGCTGGAGCTACAACCACCATCTCGGTCCATGAGGTGACCTTGAGGATGGCTGCAAGTCCTGAAGAGGGTAGGGAAGGAAAAGAGAAGCCTGAGCTCCTAACAACCATGAAATGTTGAATTGCTGCTCTATTTTATGTCAAATATAAGAAAAAAAAGTTCTATCTTGCTTAAGATACTCTTTTTGGGGATTTTCTATTACATGGAACCAAAATTAAGCCAAGATAATTTTTTTGGCATGTAGCTATGATTTTGGTTTCTGCAGACCACTGTGCCTGGATGACTGGGAGAGAACCACAGGACTGTGTGGACCCACATCTGAGTTCTGGTGTCTCCTGGGTCTCTCAAGGGTCTGGATCCTGTGGGTTTCCAGAGTCAGGGAGCTCAGTTTACCTCCCCCTCTTAGTGCCCAGTGTCTCAGCACACATCAAGGTTGGGTCACCTTCTCCTACCCTCTCTAGTCACCCTGTTTGTGCAGGGGTAGGGGAGCAGGGTGGAGTCCCTGACAGGGGCTGTACTCACAAGGAGCTGCAGCAGCTGAAGTCGGCATCATAGGCATACGTCCCATCTGTGTGGCAGCTCTCACCTGGGACCAGCAGACAGAGGGACTGTCAGAGGCAGCAAAGCAGGGATCAGCATCCCCTGCTCCCTGAGGCCCCACCCTCAGTCTCAGCCTGAAGTCTAGTCCTGCCTCTGACACCAACACACAACAGACCCTGGGGAACTCCCCTCCCCTCTCCTGATCCTCAACTTCCCCGATGTGGGGACAATACCACCCCCCACCTACCTCATAGGAGCCTTGGGAACAGCAGATGAGGAAACATGTGAGGGAATATTTTGTAAACTGTGTGTTTCAGGCAAGACAAAAAAAAAGAAAAAAAAATTTGTGGCTCACGCCTGTAATCCCAGCACTTTGGGAGGCCAAGGCAGGAGGACTGCTTGAGCCCAGGCTTCAAGACCAGCCTGGACAACATAGAGCGACCTTATTTCTACAATAACAAAAAAATTAGCTGGGTGCGGTGGTGCATGCCTGTGGTCCCGGCTACTTGAGAGGCTGACATAGAAGGACTGCTTGGGCCTGGGAGGTCGAGGCTGCAGAGAGCCGTGATTGTACCACTACAGTCCAGGCTGGGTGACAGAGCCAGACCCTGAAAAAAAATAAATAAAAGAAAAGAAAAAGAAAAGAAAAGAAAAAGAAAGAAAGAAAGAGGAAAGGAAAGGAAAGGAAAAAAGAAAGAAAGAAAAAGAGGAAAGGAAAGGAAAAAAGAAAGGAAAGAAAGAAAGAAAGGGGAAGGGGAAGGAAAAGAAAAGAAAGAAAGAAAGGGGAAGGGGAAGGAAAAGAAAAGAAAAGAAAGAGAGAAAGAAAGAAAGAAAGAAAGAAAGAAGAAGAAAGAGAGGAAGAAACTTGTGAAGGGGAAGGATCTGAAAACCTTCAGAGCAAAGAAACACCAAGTACGGAGAGCTTGCGCTCTTCCTAGTCCTGTTGTCTCATTTAGCTGGTTATTAGCCCTACCATTTCTGATCTCTGATCAGTGTTGCTTCCTTACCCTCCAGGTGGGGCCAGTTCCTCATTATACATTCTCCCAGCACAGTCTGTGGTTATTTATTTATTTTGAGGCAGAGTTTCGCTGTTGTCGCCCAGGCTGGAGTGCAGTGGTGTGATCTCTGCTCACTACAACCTCCACCTCCCAGGTTCGAGTGATTCTCCTGCCTCAGCCTCCCGAGTAGTTGGGATTACAGGTGCCTGCTACCATGCCCAGCTAATTTTTGTATTTTTAGTAGAGATGGGTTTTCACCATGTTGGCCAGGCTAGTCTCGAACTCCTGACCTCAGGTGATCCACCTGCCTTGGCCTCCCAAAGTGCTGGGATTACAGGTGTGAGCCACTGTGCCCAACCTGTGGTTGTGTATTTATTTGTGTACTTATTTAATCACTGTCAGCCTGCCTCCACTAAGTAAACTTCATGAAGACAGGCCACCTCTGGTTTTGCTCACCAGAATAACCTACTGATTAGCACTGGATCTGACCCACTAGGTGCTCAATAAATATTTGCTAAATGAATGAATTTGTTGAAATATTTGTTGAATTATCTCATTTATTTGCCTATCATCCTTGTGAGAGTTGAACTAACCCAGCCTCCCAACAAGCACAGCTCCCACAGATGCGAGGGTCTTCTGAAGAAAAGAACGAGCACTCTGCTGCTGGTACCATGCTGTGGGAGACAATGGCTGGGGAATTCACCCACTGGCCTGAAGGCAGCATGGGGAATAAGGTTGTTGCTGATAGAAGCTTCAGAATCAGACAGACCTGGATTTGAATCCTGACTCTGCCACTTACCAGCTGTGTGACCTTGAGTAATTTATTGACTAATCTGAGCCTTAATGTCCTCATCTGTAAAACTGGAATCGTGGCCAGGCGCGGTGGCTCATACCTGTAATCCCAGCACTTTGGGAGGCTGAGGCAGGCAGATCACGAGGTCAAGAGATCAAGACCACACTGGCCAACTAACATGGTGAAACCCCGTCTCTACTAAAAATACAAAAATTAGCTGGGCGTAGTGGCGCATGCCTGTAGTCCCAGCTACTCAGGAGGCTGAAGCAGGAGAATCACTTGAACCGGGAGGCAGAGGTTGCAATGAGCCGAGATCGTGCCACTGCACTCCAGCTCAGGCGACAGAGTGAGACTCCGTCTCAAACAAACAAACAACAACAACAACAAAAACCAACCAAACGAAAAAATGGGAATCCTAAGGCCTCAGAGAGTTCTTTCATCCATTCAGAAAAATACTTCATGAGTATCTGATGTACCCAGTCTCGTGCTAGGCACAGGGGATACAGTGACAAAGAGGACAGGCAAGGTTGCTATGAGGACATGGCACATTGGTACGGTGCTTGGCACACAACTGGTGCTCAACAAATGTCTCTATTAGTCTCATTCTCCTTCTAGTCCTTGAGTGCATCCAAGCACCCATCTGGAAATCTTGGTTTTGTGTTAGGGTCCTAGTGGGACCAATGGCTCAGTAAGCAGACAATACATGTGCTTAGGTTGCTGCAATATAGGGACACAAAAACAAAAGGGAGAGAGAAGAGTTCAGCTCTAGGGGGCTTGTTCTGAATTTGACAATCCAAACATCTTTGAAGAAGCTAAGTTTGAGATCATCATGAAAACTGATGGCTGGGTGCAGTGGCTCACGCCTGTAATCCCGGCACTTTGGGAGGCTGAGGCGGGTGGATCATGAGGTCAGGAGTTCAAGACCAGCCTGGTCAAGACGGTGAAACCCCGTCTCTAATAAAAATACAAAAAAAAAATTAGCTGGGTGTGGTGGCACATGCCTGTAATCCCAGCTACTCGGGAGACTGAGGCAGAGAATTGCTTGAACCCAGGAGGTGGAGGTTGCAGTGAGCCGAGATGGCATCACTGTACTCCAGCCTGGGGAACAGAGGGAGACTCTGTCTCAAAAAAGAAAAAAGAAAAGAAAAAGAAAAAGAAAATTGACATTTCACCTACAATTGTGGGGTACACTGTAATTATGGCAGAGATCAGGAGCCCTAAATACCTTCATCAGCCCAAGTCCTGGGACATCTTCCCTCCCCTGGCCTTTTTGGGATGTTTCACAGGAGGGGAGGCCAGGAGTTCTGGTACTCACTGCGGCTGCAGAGCCATGGCCGTTCAGGTGTGGATGTGTAGTGGTAGCCAGCCCGGTCCACACACTCAATACTCTGGTCCCCGTAGATGATCTGGAAGACCTGACAGATGAGTGCGCAGGACTCCTCTGCAGCGTCCTGGCCCAGGGAGGAGGAGAGAGAGCTCAGGTCCTCACCAATGACCAAGATGTTACCCTGCTTCCTAAAACAGTGTGTGAAGATGCGCACAAAGATACACACCTATAGAGCCCTTTAAATTGGCTTTCAAGAATTTTTCCATCAAAATTCGATGGCTACTCTCTGGATCTTAGAACCCCTTTATAGAATTCAGTGACAACTCTAACTCTTGTGCCATGAAAAATGTACCCCAGATTTGTGGAGGATTCATCAGCCTTCCTGATGCCCTTCTAAGATAAGTCCTAATTTAGTTTAATGTATAGATATGGAAACGGAGGCCCAGTGAGGGGAAGTGATTAGTCAGGATTAGAATCCAGTTCTCCTAACACCTAGTAGGAGAAGGGATGATTAAATGTATCAAAATTTTAGGCTCAATATAGTTACTAATACTGGAAGCCATATTTAGATATGAGCTTCCTAGCATTCAGTGTGAAAATGGAAACAGGATAAATAAAATTCAATCTCTGATAGAAGGAAGGAGTTTAAGTTCTTGGGTAAAACTTTTTTGAGACTACAAATGTGAATAGGTATTTAGTTCTTGAATTTACCTCTTTATGCCTTAAGCAAGACACACAGAAAACCAGTAATTGATGAAGACACTGTCTTCATGAACCTTTTCTCTATGTTGTGTCTGTAAAAAGGCCCAAGACAATGGATGGTTGGATACAAAAAATAAAAATAAAAAAGCCCAAAGAATAAATTAAAACGTAACCCAGGATAGGCATTTGGGGATAGTAGGTGTGTCCTAATAATTAAACCAGGTGATCCTTACCATAGACCTACAAAATGGACAGACAAAGATGCTGAGACTTAGAGTGGTTAAGTGCCTTGCCTAGGCTCACACAGCAGGTTCATGGCATTAGTACCAGCACCCAGGTTGTTTTTTACTCTAACTCCTATATCCTTCTTAGGACCAGGATGACTCAGATAAGAAGCCAGATGCTCAGACAACCCTGGAAAGCAACTTTTTTTTTTTGAGATAGAGTCACACTCCGGTCGCCCAGTGGCACAATCATGGCTCACTGCAGCCTCAACCTCCTGAGCTCAGGTGATCCTCCCACCTCAGCCTCCTGAGTAGCTGCATGACAGGCACACACCACCACGCCCAGATAATTTTTTGTATTTTTAGTAGAGACGGTGTTTTGCCATGTTGCCCAGGCTGGTCTGGAACTCCTGGGCTCTAGTGATCTCCCTGCCTCAGCCTCCCAAAGTGTTGGGATTACACTTATTTACTCACTCCACAAATTCCAACTTAGTCCTATTATGTGGCCGACACTGGGCCAGGTTCAGTACCGCAAAGCCCTCACAGTCCAGTGGGATGACTGTTAGCTTTGTCTGGAATCCTATTTCCAGCCACAGAGGAAGTGGGCATGGTGGCTGGAGTACAAATGGCCTTGTAAGCAATTGTAAGGATGTTAGCTTTTACTTGGAGTGAAATGGGAAGCCACTGGAAGATGTGGAGTAGTGACATGATGTGGCTTTCATGTTAACGGGACCACTCTGACTGTGTGGGGAAAGAGACTGTCAGCAAGGGCTGAACCAGTCAGAGGATGACCACATGATTCAGGTGAGAGAAAATGGGGCATGGACCTGGGTGGGTACAGGGGGAGGGTGGGGAGAAGTAAATGGATTTTGATGTTTTTTTGTTTTGTTTTGAGACGGAGTCTTGCTCTATTGCTCAGGCTGGAGTGCAGTGGTGCGGTCTACCTCCTGGGTTCAAGGGATTCTCGTGCTTCAGCCTCCCAAGTAGCTGAGATTACAGGCACCCGCCGCTATGCCTGGCTAATTTTTGTATTTTTCGTAGAGACGGGTTTCACCATGTTGGCCAGGCTGGTCTTAACTCCTCAACTCAGGTGATCCACCCGCCTCAGCCTCCCAAAGTGCTGGGATTACAGGCTTGGTTATGTTTTAAAAATAAGAGCCAACAGGATTTATTGACAGAGTGGATATGGGGTGTGTGTGAGAAAGAGAGAGCGTGAGAGCCAGCCAAGGCCCACAGCAAGGTTTTGGCCTGACCAATGTAAGGACACAGCTGCTATTAATTGTGACAGGGAAACCAAGGGAGTGGCAGGTTTTGGGGGAGGAGGTTGGAGCTCAGTTTTGGATGTGTTGGGTTTGAAACAGTCGTTAGATCTTCAGATGCAGATCACCTAGAAATGGGTAGATGAAGGATAGATGGAGGAGAGAAGAAGATCAAGGACAAAGTCTGGGGCACTCCAACTTCTGAAGAAGAGGAGGAACCAGCTTGGTAGGAGAAAAGCCTGGAAAAGGTGGAGAGCTGGAAGCCAAGTGAGGAAGTGTTTCAAGGGGAGAGAGACAGCTGTGGTGTCTGAGTTTACTGGTTATTATCTGCCTCACCATCTAGACAGGAACTATGTCTGTTTCATTCACCACTGTTTTTATACGGAGGGATCTGGTGGTCCAAGATCAGAGGAAAAGCTTAGAATGCTCAGAACTTGAAGGTGTCTGCTCGCCTGTGAGCTCCCTAAGGGTGGACACCAGATGTCTTTTTCACGTCTGTATCCATAGCACCTAGCCCATTGCCTAGCCCAGAGCTGGCACTCAAGAAACATGGTCGGGTGAATAAAAGCAAGGGTGAATGAAGAGGATGGGGGAGGCAGAGGGGAAGACGGAGGGGGAAGGAAGAATGGCAGGAAGGCTTCTCTCTTGGGTGGCCATCTTAGTTACCAAGAGTACTGGCTCTGAACTTACTGGATTTGAATCTTAAAACCACCACGTGCTTCCTGTGTGACCTTGCCTATGTTACTTCACCTATGGATCTCGGTTTCCTTTTCTATAGAATGGGAATACAGTAGTTGTAATATTTGCCTCCAGAGGTTGCTGTGAGAATTAAATGAGTTGATGCAGCCCTGTGTCTGGCATGAGCTGGCCCTAGATTCACGCTGGTGATTAGTGTCCTCGTGAATGTTACTGTGGTGGGGCCAACACTGACAACGTTGGAGAAGGAACGGGCTGGAGGTTAGATCTAGTTTGTTTTGGCCATTTTGAGAGTTCATCCCATTGAGGGAGTCAAGGGGAGATGCCCTGGAGGTGTCCAGGTCCGGAGTTTAGGAGCCATTAGGTGGGGCAGGTGCAGGGAGAAGGCAGGGGCAGATCCTAGGAACCTGGTGGGTGGGGCGGGGGCAAGGTGGGGGCGGGGAAGCAGCGTTCCCGAAGCCGGGCTTTGGGAGCAGGCTGCCCTCGGGCTCACCCTGTTGGCTACAGCCAGGATGACCAGGTTGCAGTAGGCGTCGGGGCTGGGGTCCTGCGGGTCGAGCGGGTTGGGGCCGGGGTGGCGCCGCTCCCAGCTGCCTCCCCCGCCGCTGCCCGCCTGCCTCCGCTCCCAGCTACCGCCCGGCTTTCCCGCGCCGCCGCCGCCGCCGCCGCCTCCGTGCCGCCGCTCCCAGCTGCCGCTGAACGTCTGCCGTCGCTCCCAGCTGCCCGACGCCCGCGCCCCGGCGCGCTGGCGCTCCAAGCTGCCGCCGCCGCCTCCCCCGGCCCGGGCCTCCGCGGCGCCCCCACCCCACCCCATCCGCCAGTCCAGGCTGCAGATGGTGTGGCGCCGCTCCGCGGTGCCCACCCGCCGCTTCTCGGGCGCCCCGCCTGGCGGGCCGGGGTCGCGTCCTGCGCCGCCTGGGCTGGCATCCACGCCGGCCGGCACCGGGTCCACACCCAGACCTAGGAGAGTCCGGGGGACCGTCAGCCGCGGGGATCGGGACTCAGAGACCCCCCCGCCCCGCCGAGGCCGGCTGGCCACCTGACCTCGCGGCTCTGGGGTTCCACCGCCGCCTCGCCCCCGGCTTTAAAGTAGCGCGGCGGTTCCCCGCCCACTCCGCTTCCACACTTTCGGGCCCGCCCCCGGCCTCAGTCTCCACCCCTGGCCTCTCGGTGGTCTGGCCAGGTGGCTTCCACGCTCCCCACGACGCCTGCGCCCCTGGCCTCAGACCTGCCCTCTGAACAGAGGGTGGTGGTCAGGCTGTCCCCTCCCAAGGGAGCCTTAACTGGGGACCCAGTCCCGGGTTTCAGGGACCGCCCCCTTGGATTCTGACTTCCCGCCTCTCCTCAGCCCCGCCCCTGGAATCAGGCCCCGCCCCCAGCCCAAGGGTCCACTCTAGCCTCAGAGCCGGGTGGTAACTGCGGATCCAGCCCTGGCCTAGGTCTTGGGCTTCTCCACCCTCTTAGTGCTCCACCACCTGGCCTCAGTGTAGTGGCTCAGGCCACCCACCTTCATCCTCAACCTCAGGCCCTGTCTGCTTTCCCAGAGCCTCTTCGGCCTGCCCCTAGTCTCAGGGTAGTATGGTCAGACCTTTTCCATCTCCTCTGCCCCCGCCGCAGGTCCCTCTCCTTCTCCATCCGCACACCTCCGGCCCCTGCCCCTGCCCCTGCCCCGCCCCCGCCCCCGCCCCTCCCCCGCCCCCGCCCCCGCCCCTCCCCCGCCCCCGCCCCCTCCCGCCGCACCGGTCTTGAGCACTAGCAGGTGCAGCGCGTCGTCCTGCAGGTAGGAGGCGGCGGCGATCTCGTGCGTAGGGATTCGCAGAATGAGCTCTTCATTGTCGCGCCAGGTGAGCAGCAGGCAGCGGGCAGACAGGCTCAGGATGCTGTCCTGCTCCGCCGTGGTCTTCAGCGGCAGCTCCTTCAGCTGCTGCAGGGAGGGGCAGATCTCGAGTTCCCGAGGTCCGCAGGTAGAAGAGGGAGAAGGGAGCGAGATCCTGCCCTCCTCCCTCCCCAGAGTCTCACCCTGGCGGTGTCTAGCAGCTGCAGGAGCTCGTCCCGACTGGAGGGGTTCAGTGAGGAAGTCACCCAGGTAAGGTGGCCCAGGAACTGGATGGAAATCGGGGTGAGAGAAGGACACAGAGATGTCACCCTGAAACCTTGAAGAACCCTGGCCTTCTCATTGATGCAGTGCGGATAGATTGAGATAGAAATACATGAATTAATATACCTGATAATAACTTTTACTGAGCCCTTAATAGAAGCTAGGCAAAGTTCTGAGCGCTCTCTATATATTCACTCATTCACCCTTGCTTTAAGGATGAGAAAAACCAAGGCAGGGTGTGGCTAACTAAAGAACTTGCCCAGGATTAGATAGCTAGAGAGGATCAAACTGGGATCCACATGCCAGAGCCCACACTCTCAACTGCTGGCTTATATTGCCTTAACACATAGTCATCTAGCTATAAGATTCCATAGGGAAGCAAAAGTTATTATAACAGCTTGAAAGAACTGACCACCTGTAAATTTCCTCTGGCCTGAGTGGCTCTCTCTACCCCAAGCATCATTGTCAAAGGAATTGCAAATCACTTGCCTTCCTTATGGTCTTGTTGCAGAAGTCAAATGGAAAGGGAAGAATGTTGGATCAAATTAGTATACCATTTTGTCAGGAAAAATGATGCACTAAATCAACAAATTTTTCCTTTACTCTTATATCCTAATGTTAGCACTTAAATGTTACTCAATATAATAGTTAACTTTTTTTTGAGATAGTCTCAGTGTCACTCAGGCTGGGGTTCAATGGCAAGATATCAGCTCACTGCAAGCTCTGCCTCCCGGGTTCAAGCGATTCTCCTGCCTCAGCCTCCTGAGTAGCTGGGATTACAGGCACGTGCCACCACGTCCAGCTAATTTTTGTATTTTTAGTAGAGACGGGGTTTCACCATGTTGGCCAGGCTGCCCTCAAACTCCTGACCTCAAGTAATCAGCCTGCCTCAGCCTCCCAAAGTGCTGGGATTACAGGTGTGAGCCACCATGCCTGGCCAACTTTTAAAAAATTATTTTTAGTTCTATTCCTCTAGGTGAATCCACCAATCAAACATTTTCTCTTCTTTTTATTCTTTATCAAATTTCAGCCCTCAATTTTTAAGCAGATTTATTTGTTAGTTTTTCCCTCCATATAGGGTTGCCAGATAAAATATAGGATGCCAGTTAAATTTGAACTTGAAAACAACAATTTTTGGCGGGCGTGGGGGGGCTGGAGTCTCGCACTGTCGCCCGGGCTGGAGTGCAGCAGTGTGAGCTCGGCTCACCGCAGCCTCTGCCTCCCAGGTTCAAGCGATTGTCCTGCCTCAGCCTCCCCAGTAGCTGGGATTACAGGCACCCACCACCACACCCAGCTAATTTTTTGTATTTTTAGTAGAGACGGGTTTCACCATCTCTACTAAAAGATGGCCAGGCTGGTCTTGAACTCCTGATCTCGTGATTCACCCGCCTCGGCCTCCTAAAGTGCTGGGATTACAGGTGTGAGCCACCGTGCCTGGCCGTTGATCAACAATAATTTTTAAGTTGTTTAGTATTTTTAGTCCCTTGCAATATTTGGGACATAATTATGCTAAGAAAGTATTCATTGCTTATCTGAAATTCAGATTTTACTAGGTGGCTTATTGTTTGCCAGTTCAGACAACCCTACCCCCATATCAATCTTTTTAGGCTAAATGAAGATCCATCATTTCCTCTTCATGGTGTTCATGCCAGGTGTGGTGGCTCACACCTGTAATCCCAGCACTTTGGGAGGCCAAGGTGGGCGGATCACCTGAGGTCAGGGGTTTGAGACCAGCCTGACCAACATAGTGAAACCCCAGCTCCATTAAAAATACAAAAAAATTAGCTGCGTGTGGTGGTGCGTGCCGGTAGTCCCAGCTATTAAGGAGGCTGAGGCAGGAGAATTGTTTGAGCCCGGGAGGCGGAGGTTACAGTGAGCCAAGATCGTGCCACTGCACTCCAGCCTGGGAGACAGAATGAGACTCTGTCTCAAAAAAAAAAAAAAAGAAGTACAGCTCCTAAGTGGTGGAAGTCCTTTGTGTTTTGCTGTTAATCTGGACGCTGTCCGAGTAACAGCAAGGTCACTGCAGTAAAATCTCATGGGAAATGTCAAAGTTGTCAATCAGAATGGAGTCACTTGTGTTAAAAGCCCTGACAAATAGGAGGGAGGATTCTCATGCATGAACGCCTGATAACAAGAACTATCAAAAAGACTGTAAAAACTACAACTTTGCACAAAGGCCATCACAACCTTACACACACACACATATTCCTGCAAGGACAGCAACTGCTCATCCAACTTGGAAATGGTGCCATCCTTGTTATTGATCCTTGCAGCCAGGTATAATTATCTCAAAACAATTATGTAATCCTCCTCACTTTTCCTTTAAAAACCTTTGCCTTCCTTTACCTCCTGAATACACAGTTTACTATGGCACGCATATTCCCATTGCAATGCCTATTCCTGAGTAAACATCATTTTCTTTTAGTGAGTCTCCCTTTCTGTTATGTCAGTTGACAAAAGATAGGACTTTTCCACGCACAGAACACTCTCCCATCCACTCTCCACTGGGGGTAGGTTTTGAGCCTCATGTTGAGATGGGAACACTGAGGAGGCTCAGCAGATGGAGGTCACTTGCTGAAGGTGGGGGCAAGGCTGACATGAACCCAGGCCTCTTTCCAATGAGCCACAACTTCCCCTGTGTGAGATACGGCTGATCAGAACTTGGTGTCAAGGAGAAGTGAAGGTCTCCTCACCCCAAGGTTTTCCCACCCCTTCTCATCCTGCACGCACCTTGACCTCTTTCTCCAGGTAGTCACACAGCAGAATCTGGGGGTCGATGAGGTAGTCGGGGGGATAAAGGGGCATCGAGTGCAGGGGCCGGCGGCTCACGCTGCTCCTACAGGCTGCCCGGCGCCCGGCCTTGGGGAACACCAGCCTTCGGATGGGGGATACAAAGCCCTGGGGAGGAGAGGAGGAATGAGAGTGATAACAGTGGCTGCTTTTATTGAACTCTTACTATGCTCACTTTTACTTACATTACCTAATTTAATTCTCACCAAAACTCTGCAGAAGGGGTACCTCTGTAAGTCCCATTTTACAGATGGAGAAAGTAAACCCTAGAGAGGAACTAACTGATAAAGTCACCAGCTAGTAGTGGTGGAACCAGTAGTTCACCTTGGGCATTCTGGATCCAACGACCTTCTTTCTAAACACCCAGGTGACAGTGTAGCTCCTGCCAAACAGGTTTGAGGAATGAGTCTAGGCTGGGGCAAATACAGAAAAATGTTAGGATTCAAGGCCAGGCGTGGTGGCTCATACCTGTAATCCCAGCACTTTGGGAGGCCAAGGCGGGTGGATCACTTGAGGTCAGGAGTTGGAGACTAGCCTGGCCAACATGGTGAAACCCTGACTCTACTAAAATTACAAAAATTTGTCAGGCGTTGTGCCAGGAGCCTGTAATCCCAGCTACTCGGGAGGCTGAGTCAGGAGAATCACTTGAACCCAGGAGGCAGAGGCAGAGGTTGCAGTGAGCCAAGATGGAGCCATTGCACTCCAGCCTGGGCAACAGAACAAGACTCTGTCTCAAAAAAAAAAAAAAAATATATATATATATATGTACACACATATATATAAATCATATACATAAATATATATAATATAGATTAGGATTCAATGTGGTGGAGTGGTGGTGGGTGCATAGCTATTTCTTAGGCTATTCTCTGTGCTTTCCTAAAAGTTATAAATTATTAATAAGTACATTTAAGTAGAATCCAGAGGCACCTGCATAAAAATGGCCTGGATCAAGGTTAAAGGTGTAAATTCTGGGGCTCAGCCCAGACCAGCCATCTGAATCTCAAAAGAAAGTTTGAGTTCCATCTAGAACAGCATTTCTCAACATGAGATTCCTGGACCAGCAGCACCACCTAGGAACTGAGAGAAATGCAGATTATCAGGCCCCATCCCAGACCCACTAAATTAGAAACTCTGGGAGTAGGGCCCAGCAATTAGGGCTTAACAAGCCCACCAGGTGCTTCTGATACATGCTCAAGTGTGAGACTGCATTTAGAGCAGTCGCTCCCAGCCCTGGCTATCCTTTAGTACTACCTGGGGAAGGCCAGGCGTGGTGGTTTACGCCTGTAATCCTAGCACTTTGGGAGGCTGAGGCAGGAGGAGAGCTGGAGCCCAGGAGTTTGAGACCAGCCTTGACAACATGGTGAAACTGTCTCTACAAAAAATATGCCAAAAAAAAAAAATTAGCCGGGTGTGGTGGTATGTACCTGTAATCCCAGCTACTTGGGAGGCCAAGGTGGGAGGATCACCTGAGCCTGGGAGGTCGAGGCTGCTGTGAGCTGCGATTGCAACACCGTACTCCAGCCTGGGTGACAGAGTAAGACCTTGTCGAAGGAACAAAACAAACAACCCCCACCCCCCCACTCCACACACACACGAACTACGGGGGGAGCTTTTAAAACTTCAGATGTTCAGGTTACACTCCCAACCAACTGAATAAGAAATTCTGGGACTGAGACCCAGGCATAAAATTTTTTATTTTTTAATTTTTTTGAGATAGGATGTTGCTCTGTTGCCCAGATTGAAGTGCAGTGGCACAATCATAGCTCACTGCAGCCTTGATCTCTTAGGTTCAAGCGATCCCTCTGCCTCAGCCTTCCAAGTAATTGGGACTACAGGTGTGTGCTACCATGCCCTGCTAATTTTTTAAATTTTTAGTAGAGATGAGGTCTCACTGCGTTGCCTGGGCTGGCTTGAACTCCTGAGCTCAAATGATTCTCCTGCCTTGGCCTCCCAAAGTGCTGGGATTACAGGTGTGAGCCATTGGGGTTAATGAGCTCGGTCCATTAAGATTTTTTTAAGCCTTCTTAGGTAATTTCAAAAGGCAGCTCAGCTGAAAACCACTGAGTGAATGTGTGGTGTGATTACTTAACTGTGTAACAAGGCAAATGTGAGTAAGACAACCTCCCTGCCTGCAAGGAGCTCACGTTCTTTCCAGGTAAACAGAACACAAGTCCACAAATACATCTGTTCATTTACTCATTCATTCAGTAAACATTTACACCTGTATGGCTGGACTCTGCTGGGTGCTGAGGATTCAGTGGAGACCTGGATCCTATCCTTGCCTCCAGGGCTTGTGATAAATGACCTAGACTAGTGAGTTTCCAACTTTATCTGCCCTGGAGTTTTGATTCAGTACAGTTGGGTTGGAGCTTGAGACTGTGCATTTCTACCAAGCTCCCATCTGGTGCTGATACTACTGGTCTGTGCACCACGCTTTGAGTAGCCAGGATCTAAACCGGTGGTTCTCAAAGTGTGGCCCCACAGCCATCAGCATAACCTGTGGGTTATTAGAATTGCAAATTCTTTCTGACTCAGCGATCCTCCCACCTCTGCCTCACAGTAGCTAGGACCACAGGCATGCACCACCACCACACCTAGCTAATATATATTTTTTAAAGAGATGGGGTCTTACTATGTTGCCCAGTCTGGTCTTGAACTCCTAGGCTCATGCAATCCTCCTGCCTCAGCCTCCCAAAGTGTTGCGATTACAGGCGTGAGTCACTGTGCCTGGCCAGAAATGCAATTTCTTGAACCCCATCCCAGGCCTATTGGCCCAGAAACTGGGGGTAAGACCCAGTGATCTGTGTTTTAATGAGCCCTCAGGTGATTCTTATGGGTACTCAGCTTATGTTAGAACCCATATCATGGAGCCAGGATGGGGTATGTAGCAACTTTAAGGAATGAGAAGAAACTATCTGGGAGAAAGCATGCCAAGCAGAGGGCACAGCATGTGCAAAATTCTGGATGCCTCAAAGGCTGGATGAGGGTGAGCCTGGAGAAGCTGTGTGCAGTCAGTCTGCCGTGGCTAGATTATGAGACGAACATATCTTGAATGCCGGCTATGGAGCTGGGACTTTGTCTTGCGTATGTGTGTGTATTAGGGGTGGGGAGGGGTAAGTATTTTTGTTGGTGGCCCTGAATGGCTCAGCTCTGCCCACCTGTCCAGCCCCATCTGCCTCATTCTTGTCCCCTGGGCCCCCACTACACAGTCCTCCTTCAGTCCCTCTGGCTTGCTATGTGACTTCCCACTGTGGGGTTTTGCACATGCTGTTCCTCTGCCTCAAACACTCTTCCCTACCCACTTTCCTTCCACCCGTCAGTTCTCGACTCAAACTGATCAGTTTCCTCCAGCACTGAGTATGGGACCTCCTATGATTTTTAAAAAATTTTTATTTATGTATTTATTTATTTATTTTAGACAGAGTCTCACTCTGTCACCCAGGCTGGAGTGCAGTGGCGCGATCTTGGCTCACTGCAACCTCTGCCTCCTAGGTTCAAGCTTCAGCCTCCTTAGTAGCTGGGATTACAGGCATGTGCCACCATGCCCAGTTAATTTTTGTATTTTTAGTAGAGACAGGGTTTCGCCATGTTGGCCTGGCTGGTCTCGAACCCCTGACCTCAGGTGATCCACCCGCCTCGGCCTCCCAAAGTGCTAGAATTACAGGTGTGAGCCACTGCACCCGGCCCTTCTATGCAATTTTACATTAACTTATTTATTGCTTTAAAAAAAGAAATACCTGGTGCATAATAGGCACTCAATAAATGTCTATTAAAAGAACAAACTAAGAGAAAACATGCACGTATGTCTTGGCTCCCTTCTGAGCCCTCTGTGATTCATGTGGGCACCTTTTAGAACAGCCCGGACATATGTTTCTGGTGGGGGTGGGGTAGAGGGGAGGGTGGAAATGGGGGTAAGATGGAAGTTAAAATCAGAGCGCCTCCCTGAACTCCAAAGACAACCAGGTGAGACACCCAGAGAAGCATACTAGAAAACTTCAGAGTCAGAAGGGGTGAGGGGAATGGCTTCTGGCTGACGCCTTACATACGCCCTTGTAGAAAGGTGGGAGGGGCAGGGGGCAGGTGGGAGACTCAAGCCTGTGTAGGCAACATCCTATCGGAATTGCCCTGGCTGAGTCCTTCTGTTTGGGGCAGTGACGAGCAGGAGAATGGATCTGCTGGGTGTCTGTCTGTCCGTCTGTCTGAGAGGCTGCAGGAGGGAGCTGCGGGGAACACCAGGGAAGCAGGTGTGGAGAATCTCCCAAACTGAGTCCGTCTGGCCAGGTTTCCTGAGAAGGTCCCTGTCTGTCCACGTTAGGGATGCCAGAGGCCACTGAGAGTGGAGAAACAGGGAGTTTAGAGCCTGACTGTCTGGCTGTCCAAGAGTGGGAAGGAAGTTACTTCCAAATGAGAAGAAAGGCTCCACTTATGCCCCTCGCTACCGACCCCCCACCCCGCCCCAGTTTGCCCCCTTCCCCAGCTTTGGGGACATTCCTCTCCCTTCGTCCCTCCCAACCTCCCACCTACCTTCTTCCCTTTCTTGACTTCATATTCCATGGTGAAATGTCCCCTCTACTCCTGCCACCCTCCTGGCCATCCCTTCCACCCCCACATCCAGTTCCTTTGTTCTTTTTCCTGCCTGGTCGGAAACTCCACCAGCCCTGGAGTTCCTGCCCCTCCCATCTGATGGGGAGGGCAGGGGGTGTGGAGGACACAGCCTTGGGACCCTGCAGCTGAAGGGTGGAAGCCCAGGCAGAGCTGACCTGAGGAGGGAGGCTCAAGGCCTCTAGCCAGAAGGCGGGTTATTGGGGGAGCTTGGGAATTGGCCAAGGCTGGGAAAGGGCCCCCCACATTTGAAGTCCTGGTTTGGAAAATTCCAAGTTCCAGCCCTACTTCTGCCACTGACCTTGTTGTGTGACCTTGGCAAGGCAAGTCAGTTCCCCCTGTCACAGCCTGTTTCCCCCTCCTCTCTATAAGTTGGGAGTCAACACTGCCTCCCTCCCTAGGCTGCTGTGGTGAGAAATGAAAAGGTGGATGGAAAGTGCCTTATAGAGAGTATTGTAGCCAAGCAAGTTATGATTTTAAAAAATTAATCATTACTATTAAGGGAGGCAGTATGCGTGGGCTTTGAAGATAGGCTGCTTGAATTCGAATCCTGGCTTTGGCACTTACTAGGGTTATGACCTTTGGGAAGTCCCTTAACCACCAGTGCCTCAGTTTTCCCGTCTTTAAAATGAGCATAATACTAGTTTAACCTCATAGTGACCTTGCGGGGATTAAATGCACCTAGAAGAACTTCTGGCACATATTAAGTACTCAGTAAGGCTGGGCGTGGTGGCTCACACCTGTAATCCCAGCACTTTGAGAGGCTGAGGCAGGCAGATCACCTGAGGTGAGGAGTTCGAGACCAGCCTCGCCAACATGGTGAAACCTTGTCTCTACTAAAAATACAAAAATCAGCCGGGTGCGGTGGCACATGCCTGTAATCCCAGCTACTCTGGAGGCTGAGGCAGGAGAAGCGCTTGAACCTGGGTGGTGGAGGTTGCAGTGAGCTGAGATCCAGCCATTACACTCCAGCCTTGGTGACTGGCTGAGACTCCATCTCAAAAAAAAAAAAAAAAAAAAAAAAAACTGAAAAAAAATAAGTGCTCAGTAAACATTAACTGTTTACCTGCTTAGTGGTTGTCAAATTAAAGAACAAACAGAGGCTCTCTAAAATAAAAGATGTTTCACTTAGGAATTAAGCATTGCAGTGGGAATTACCCATATGCCATAGTAAGCGATGTGCATTTTCAGGGAGGTGGGGGGAAGACAAAGATTTTTAAAGGAAAAAAATAAGGATTACATTATTGTTTCTGAAATAATTATTCTTGATTGCAAAGATCAATAGCAAGGGTGATGCCAGTCTAAAGTTGGACAGGCAGTTGCTGGGCAGATGTCCTTGCGGAAGTATTTTTTGTGCAAGGTTTCAATGGCCTTTGTGCAAGGTTGTGATTTTTGTAGTCTTTTTTGTTATCAGTCTTGTTGTTATCTGTTTTGTTATCAGTCTTATTTGTTATGCAAGCATGAAAACCCTCTATGGCCTTCCCCAGCTCTATTTGTCAAGGTTTTCTTAACATTAGTGACTCCATTTTTATTCTGACCATGTTCATAGGGTCTTGAGCTGTTTTGCTCTCTTGGGAGTATATTAGGGAGGCAAGGTCCCCTTTGTGGCTCTGTGCTGAACACTTTACATATTTTAACTTACTCACAGTGTTGAGTACCATGATAGTACCTATTATACAGATTTTTGAAACTGAGGCTGAAGTTCAGAGCCTGGTTCAAGGAGGTCACACAGTGAGTAAGAGGAGGACCTGGGATTTCTGGCTGGTCTGGATCTGAGCCTAGCGTTCCTTACCTCTAGGACCTATGCATTCTGCATGCCCCACCCAGGACAGATGGAAAGGTTCTGTGTGGCCCATCCACACCTTGCCAAGACACCTGGGTTCTGGAGACCTAAGCTCTGGAACTGATTTGCTGTATATGACCTGGTCCAGGTTGCTCATTGTAACCTCTCTTGGCGTCAGCTTTCTTATCTCCCATCCAAGTACTAACCAGGCCCGACCCTGCTTAGCTTCCGAGATCAGACGAGATCGGTCAGCTTTCTTATCTTTCCAATGGGAATAATAATTTCCCAAAGCCCTGCTCTGCTCATCAGAGCTGTGGCCAGAAAGACACAGGCCATGGATGGAAGAGCAGTTAGAAACTGTAAAGTACCAATGCACTGGATTCTACTGAAAGGCTTTTTCTGAAAGCCTGGTGTTCAAGATCAGTGCCCTGAAGGGAGGGTCAGAGCTCCCCAACGCGCTTCTGGGTGTGAGAGCTACAGGAGACTCCTAGCCACTAGCCCTTCCTCTTCCTTCCCCTCCCTTGGAGGGGAAATGGCCCAGGTTGCTTAGTGCTGGCTCTCACAGCCACTCCCTCCTGCTCCCCTGCATCCTGCCGGGTCACCCCCCAGCTCAGGAAGTGAGATCTCCACTCAGCCTGCCAGGCGAACAGGAAGAGGCCAGGGTGTGCTAGCCAATTCCTGACTCTGCTCTGGATGTGAAAGCTCCAACTTAACCCCTTGAGCCAGCCCAGAATTCCCACCCTTGGAGCAGCAGCCGGGCATGAGACATGTGGTCTCTTGCTCTGGCATCTCCATGACTGGCTTTTGCAAGCCTTTTCCTCTCTCTGGGCCTCAATTTCCCTGTCTATAAAATGGAAGCTTATATTATTCCTGGACTAGCTCCAAACATCACTGAACTGCTGGGAATCTCAAATAGGACAATAAGTGTTTTGCATGCCACTAAAATTAGAAAACTATCTCTGTATTCCCTGCAGTGCTCCCTGCAGAGCCATAACAGATGAAGTGCTTAGTAAATGTCAGCGGAAGTGGTTGGAGATGGTGGATATAGGCTCAAATGTATATGACCTTGAACACATTACCTCATCTCTTAGCGCCTCAGAGCCCTCACGTGTCAAAAGCAGGATAATGGCAGTACCTGCCTTGGAAGGCTGCTGCAGGGATTGAATGGGAACAGAAGTGCACAATGATAACATATTATTAAAATTAGCTTGTGAATCAAAGAAGAGATGAGCAAAACAAAGTCCCTGCTCTCAAAGACTTAACAATTGTGGCAGATAGGATTCATCTCTTTTGAACCACCTCCAGTTGATTGGCAGGGGCTGCCTGGAGGGCTGCGTAGAGGATTATAAAAACCGGATCTACTCCCAGCAGGAAGAAGGGATTGATTATCAATGCCTGCCATGGGCAGGAGTGGGGATATTAGCAGCAGGTGGTCAGTGCACATGCTGACCATGATCTGGTTAGAGACAAAGACACACAAGCCAAGAACTCTGGTATCAGGCCAGCGACTTGTTTGGGAAAGGCAGAATCAGGAGCCATTCCCCAGGCCGGTGGCATTCAAGCCAAACCTTGAAGGGTGAATGGAAGGAAAGTTACTCTGGGCAGAGGGAACAGCTTGAGCAAACACAGTGCCAGAGTTCTGCCTGCAAGGAACAGACAACCCCGCCAAAGGTGGCTTAGACAAGAAGGAACATTTATTCTCTCTTAAAACAAGTCCAATAATGAGGGTTTTCAGGTTATTTGAGCAGCTCAACACTGGCATCAAATTCCTTTATATTTTTTACTTTGCTGGTGTTATTGTGTCGCTCCAATTTATTTGTTGAAGCCCTAACCCCCAGTACCTCAGAATGTAATAGTATATGAAGATAGGGTCTTTAAAGAGGTGATGAAGTTAAAATGAGGCAGTTAGGGTGGGCCTTAATCCAATCTCCCTGGTGTCCTTATATGAAGAGGAAATTTGCACCTGTAATCTCAGCACTTTGGGAGACCAAGGCACGCAGATCACCTGAGGTTGGAGTTCGAGATCAGCCTGGCTAACATGGTGAAACCCCATCTCTACTAAATATACAAAATTAGCTGGGTGTGGTGGCACGCACCTGTAATCCCAGCTACTCAGGAGGCTGAGGCAGGAGAATCACTTGAACCTGGGAGGCAGAGGTTGCAGTGAGCTGGGATCACGCCACTGCACTCCAGACTGAGTGACAGAGTGAGACTCCAACTCCAATAAAAATAAAAAAAGGAAAGAAAAGAGGAAATTTGGACACACCGAGACAGCAGGGTCACTTGTGTACAGGGAAAGGCCATGTGAGAACACAGTGGGAAGACGGCCATCTGCAAGCCATGGAGAGAGGCCTCAGGAGAAACTGTCAGAAGTGTTTGAACCAGAGCAACTCCATCTTGAATAGAAGCTAGGTAGAATGAGGCTGAGACCTACTGGGCTGCATTTCCAGACAGTTAAGGCATTCTAAGTCGCAGGATGAGACAGAGGTCAGCACAAGATACAGGTCATAAAGACCTTGCTGATAAAACAGTTGCAGTAAAGAAGCCGGCTAAATCCCACCAAAACCAAGATGGCCATGAGACTGACCTCTGGTCATCCTCACTGCTACACTCCCACCAGCACCATGACAGTTTACAAATGCCATGGCAACATCAGGAAGTTACCCTATATGGTCTAAAAGGGGGAGGCATGAATAATCCACCCCTTGTTTAGCATATAATCAAGAAATAACCATAAAAATGGGCAACTAGCAGCCTTTGGGCTGCTCTGCATATGGAGTAGCCGTTCTTTTATTCCTCTACTTTCTTAATAAACTTGCTTTCCCTGTACTGTACGGACCCGCCCTGAATTCCTTCTCGCGTGAGATACAAGAACCGTCTCTCGGGGTCTGGATGGGGAGCCCTTTCCTGTAACAAAACCAACTCTGCCAATGCCTTGATCTTGGACTTCCAGCCTCCAGAACTGTCAGGAAATAAATTTCTGTTGTTTAAGCTGCCCGGTCTGTGGTATTTTGTTATGGCAGCCTGAGCAGACTCACGAACCTGGCAAGATGGCTGCAGTGGCCTTGGGAGCGGCACATGATACCATCCCGAGATAAGGCCAAGGGTTTCCCCTTCTTGTGTGTCTTTCTTTCATGGAGAAAAACCTTTCCCGGGAATCTTCAAAAGATTTCCCTTAAGAAGCCAGGGGCCAGATGCATTTGCCAGGACATATTTGGCTGTGTCAAAGACCGAATAACGGACCTAAACAGGAGAGTTTCTCTCTTCTTCAGGTAACAGTCAAGGGTGGGTGTGGTAGCTCCCTGGGTCCTGGACCTTGAAGTCTCCTATTTTGTTCCACCAAGCAGTGGTTCTGCTATCAACTGCAAGATGGCTCTCTCCACCCAGCTGCAGTCCAGCCAGCAGGGTTAACAAAGCAGAGAACATGATCTGTCTCTTTAAAGTGATGTAAGTAGCACAAATTTCTTCTTGGCCAGAACTTGGTTCATAGCTGAGCCTAGCTGCAAAGGAGGCTGGGAAATGTAGTCTTTTATTCTGAGTGGCTATGTGCCTAGCTAAAAACTCTTTATAGAAAAGGAGGAACATGGATACTGGTGGACACTTAGCAGTCCCTACCTCACCAGAATTGGGTCACATGCCCCTGCCCCCATCAATCCCTGGTCAGGGGAATTATCTTAGACCAATTGTCCTCAAATGTAGGCATGCATCAGAATCACCCAGAAGGCCTGTCAAACAGATTGCTGTGCCCCATTCACATGGTGGCTGATTTAATAGATCTGAGGCCTGAGAATCTGCATTTATAACAAGTTCCCTGGTGCTACTATTCTGGAGACCACAGTTTGGAAACCACTGTCTTTGGTCAATCATGATTTGTCTCCTGGGGCCAGGTCAGGGTTACATTCCCTGGGCACTTTGGAGGGGGACCCTTGAAAAACTGGGGCTCCACCTGCATGAAAGCATGGCCGAGAAAGCCTGTTGGATGGCAATCAGGAGAGTCTTATGGAAACAGGAAAATGGGTGGTATGGAGAGGCTATGGGGGCCAGGTGGGTTATGTCAGAGATGAGACTCAAGATGGTTTTAGGCCCAGTTTCCAAAAGTCAGAGTTTGGCAGAAGAGTTTGACCTTTATCCTGAAGGCACTGGGGAACCATGGGAGGTTCTAAAGCAAGGAAATGCCATGATCAGGTTTATGGAGGGTACTTTAAAGTAGTGGTCCTTGGCTGGGTGCAGTGGCTCACATCTGTAATCCCACCACTTCGGGAGGCCAAGGCTGGAGGATTGCTTGAGACTACGAGTTCGAGACCAGCCTGGGCAACACAGGGAGACCCTCATTTCTATAACAATGTTTTAAAAATTAGCTGGGCATGGTGGCATGTGCCTGCAGTCCCAGCTACTCTGGAGGCTTAGGCGAAAGGATTGCTTGAGCCCAGGAGTACAAGGCTGCAGTGAGCTATGATTGCATCACTGCAATCTAGCCTAGGTGACAGAGTGAGACTCGTCTCTGGAAAAAAAAAAAAAAGAAAAGAAAAGATCTGCAAGGTCCAGGTCCTCAGATCCGCTTGCACCAGAATGCAGGATTCCCAGGCATGTTCTTTAAACACACCTGAAGAACTTTAAAAATGCAGATTTCCAGGCATGTTCTACCTATTCCCTGATTATGGAGGCAGAAATATGCATTTAAAACATATCCCCTCTTCTCCAAGTGATTCTCATGCACTTTGAAGTTTGAGAACCACTGGATTAGGATGGAAGCCCTGGAGACAGAGGCCCTCTTAGAGGCAATACCCCCTAGGATAGGATGTAAGCTCCTTGAGGGCAGGGACCTTGCCTGTTTTATATCTTTCTTGTTCACTATGCCAAGAACTGCCTGGCACCCAGTAGGTTCTCAATAAGTATTGGCTGTAGTGGAGTTAGGAACTTCAGTCTGGGCCCTGATTTTGTCATAGACTCATTCTGTGATCTCTGACAAGTATCCCCACCCTTTATCTCCCCCCACCCACTTTATCTGTAAAATGAGTTTGGAGATAATCTGTAGAACTTTTGGCCTGAGGATTCTGGTTGATTGATTGAAATGCTGCCCAATAAACAGGAGATGTTGTGTAATGTCCCACCCTCTCCCAGCCAAAGGCCTTTCTCTCTTGAGCCACAGAGATTGTGGCAAGTGGTACCCTACCTATCCCTCCTTCCTCATCTCCTTCCCCTGGCCCAGAACAGCCAAAACAATAGGACACAAGCAGCACGTACTGAAATGACTTTTAATATCTCATGTCGCAGCAAAATTAAAAATATACAAAAAGTTTGTGGTGTACAAAAGAGTCTCAGTAAAGAGGCCCCAGCTCGGGGCCCCCTCCCCCTCCCCCTCCTGGGGGAAGCTCGGAGGGTGAATGGGGGTCAGGGGGATGAGGGATGGCACAGATGTAGTAAATACCAGGAGGTGGGACCAGGAAAAGGAAACAGAAGAGGACAGGGGTGAGGGCCCGTTAGGGAGGAAGAGACGACAGGGAGGGGAAGAATCACTCGGAATTGTGCTGACAGAGGGAGATTAGCCCCTCAGGCATGGCTAGTGATTCCTAGAGTTCCAGGGGCATGGAGGGGAGGATCAGGGCTGGGGATATTCTGGTGGGACCCTCAAAAGAACCGGGTTCTGGTCTCACCCTGCCACCAACTTGCTGTGTGACCTTGGGCTGGCCATCTCCCATCTCTGGGCTTGCCCCTTCAGTAAAATAGGATGCTGGATGTCTAAACCATTGATTCCCAACGTGGGGTCCCAGACCCTGAGGGCCTGTGAAGGCAGGAATGAGTGCCCACAAGTGCTTTTGAGAATTTTGTATTAAGCAACTCAATAAAATACATATATTCCCCCACCTTCAAGCCCTAGAAGTTGACTTGAGGCCTTAGAAACATTTATCTGCAATCAGAAGCTCAGCTTGAGTTAATTTAATATGGGAAAATGAATTCTTCTTCAAGAAATGAGGCTGGTTTGGGAGAAAAATCTCCTAAACCACAGGATCCTCAGGGAAGAAAATAATGAGGGAGCTATGGGAACGGTTCAGATACCTTCCAGCTATTTCATGATGGGTTCGGAAAGCCAGTGGGGCTGGGGGCTATGTTTATATGAGGCTCCTCCAAGTTCGGTGGTTTAGCACAATGGAGACCAGGGAAAAGGGTCAGATTCGATCTGGGGGGATTTGGGTGAGAGAGAGATGGAGGAATCACCTTTTCCCCCCTGGCACCTTCTGTACCCCCTCTTTGTCCCAGGATACCCTCCATTCTGAGATTATTGCAGGTGCCCTGGGACCCCCACCCATTCAGCCTGGCCAGGGGTGCCCTTGCAGTGGTTATGCATAGAATAAAGGCCAGGGTTGCTGAGGAGAGGGCAGCCTTCTCCTCCAGAGAAGGGAAGGGTGGCAGAAGCTAAGCACAAGGGGGTAACCTCTCTGTCCCCTGGGGAGTTTTCTGTCTCCAGAAACCAGGCCAGGCCTGGACAGGGCCTTCCTTTTCCACTTCCACATCTCCCACTCTAGAGTTTTTCCTCCCCATACCTCTACCGGCAGCAGCCAAGGACCCAGAAATGTCCTATCCTCTCCCCAACCAGAATGGCACATTGAAGCTCCTTTCCTCCCCAGCCCCAGGTCTCAGAAGCCTCTATGGTTGGGAAGGGGGCTCAAACCCCAACCCTACTACTGCCCATGCGGCTTGACACCCACTTGTTCCCTTCCATTGAGACACTGCAAAGCACTTTAATATAGAAACTACAGCTCCCCCTACCAACCTCTACTGCAGGCCCCACCACAGCTTGAACTGGGAGGGAGACAGGTGCCAAAGGTGGCAGGGGCCAGCACAGAATGGGACTCTTGGGTCCTGGCTTTCAGTCCACATCCTGCACCTGGACTCCCCTGCAACCCAATGTAGATTCCTCCTAACCAGGGGCCCCCAAGCTGGAGAAGACTCCAGCAGCCTCTAACCCCATGAGGCACTGGAGGGGCCTGTAGCCCTTATCAGATGATTCCCAAACCAGGGACCCTGTGGACCCCCCAGATTTCCCTTTTCAGCTGAGAGGGCAGTGGGCTCAGTTCTCAGATAGCCAGGTGATGGGGATTTAGGGTTGGACTAGCAAAGTCTCAGAGGGAGCCACAGCCTCTGTCCCTGACTTCCGCTGAGGGGTTTCCACTTGGCAGGACACTCCAGAACCTTCTCAACATTTTGAACCGTAAGTCTCAAACTGGTGGCACGTGGGCCAAATATGAGTGGCCAGCAGTTTCCCAAACATTTGAATTTTAGTACCTACAGGCAGGGCACACACTCACTCTCCTGTCTGCCAGAGTCCCCAACACTCCCTATTGTCTCCATTACTCTTAGTTTCATTATCTCGAGGCATTTGAGTTTGCATCCCATGCAGCCTTCGTCCCAGAAAACCTTCTCCCTATTGTCTGAGGCTTCTGTGGACTCCAGGTCCAGATTAATTCCAAGGGAAGAACCTGCAGAACTCGAGTACTTAGGAGGGTGTTGACTGCAAGCGAGACCTTCCCTGGATATTCCCAGCTCCCTCAGCCCTTATCCAGAGGCCTGGACTTTCCCCAGGCCTCACCTTCCCTGCCCTCTGTCTTTCCCGACTCTCATGGGTGACATGCCTCTGTGGGACACAGGTGTAGCAGGGAGCTGGCTGGGGGTAAGGCAGATTTGGGGGAGACACAAGAATGAGGCAGATGACAGGAGGGGATCAAGCAAGGCTCCCTCATTGGGGAGCCCTGTGTGGGGGAGTGGGGAGGTCTGTGCTGTTCAGCTGGGGTGACAGTTACAAGGCACATGGCACATCAGTGCCAGGAGGCGCCGTGATGTGGGTGTGTGTGGTGCCTGCAGAGGTTTGGGGAACACAGTCAACAGCGTGGGGGTCAGTTCTAAGAAAACAGGTAGACAGAAGTCTGCCCTGGAGATGGGGACACTGGTCTCCTGGGGTTAGAGGTAACTGAGGGCAGGGCCTGCCATATTTGGTACCCAAAGCATCCTGTTCTCTTCTGTTCCTGGCAAAATTAAGACACACCCAACTACCTCTCATCCCCAGGGAAATCCTAACTGCCACTGACTTCCTGTGTGGCCTTTGGTGAGTCCTTGGTCCTCTCTGGGTCTCACTTTCTCCTGTCTAATGGATGTGGAGGGCAGGTGGCTTAAGGAACCCTCAGGGACCCTCTGGGCTGCAAGGACCCTGGCAGGGTGGGAAGGACAGGGAAGGACTGAACATCCAGACTGGGGTGGGGGTCAGGGGACAGGAGGCAGAGGACCAGGGGGGTCAGTTCTGCTAGGGGAGAGACTGGCTGAGGTAGATTGTGTCACAGAAAGAAAAACAAAACAGCTCCAAGGGGATGGACCCCTCCCTCATCTGACTCCTCTATCCCAGTGAAATGAAGGGACAAGCCAGTGGAGCAGGGGGCCTCAGGCCTGGTCCCGAGCTCCTGGGTGGAGAGTCCTTTAAGGGCTGAGACTCTTCTGAGGGTGAGAAGCAGGAGGAGGTGCCTGCAGCCCTCTCCCTGGGCCCTTTGACTGTGGCCATTCCTGTGCCCAGATGTCCCTGCAGGCAGAAGCCCTGAGGGAAGGGTGTGTGGGGTTGAGAAGAGGTGGGGAGTGGGGGTGGAGTAAAATCCAAAAATGTAGCCATGGCTTCCCTGCGAGCCTCAGACCATGCCAAGCCCTGCCAGCACATCCCTGCCCCTTGGGAGTCTCCTGGAGTGTAAAGGACCCCAGCTAGGACTTTTCCTCTAGAAGGCAGCAGCCAGATGGGCCATTCTGGGATACTGGGGAGGAGAATAACTTGCCAAGGGTGACCCTCATGCTACATCTCTGGGCCTCAGTTTCCTCGTCTGTAAGATGGGTTGATAATACCTCTCTTGCAGGGACGTCGTGACCAGAGGAGAGTGTAAGTGAAACGACATGGGGTGAAAATTCCTGGCACAAAGTTGGCCCTGGAGAAACAGTCTGTTTCTGGGTCTGGGTCCGCATCTTCAGAGCTCCCATCTCACAACGGCTTTGTGTGTGAATTCAGCCTCCAAAGATGGATTTGGAGGATGGATGAACCCAACAGAGTGGGCCTGGGTCAGCCTTGGGCTTCTCCCACCTCCCGTCACCCTCGAGGCCTCGTTCCTGAGGGTGCTTAGCAGCAGAAAGAAGGAAAAGCACTCTTGCTGTGTTGGCAGGAGGGATGATGCGTACACCATCTCGGCCTGTGTGCTGGTGGGGAGGGTGACCCGTATCATGGTTGTGCTTGTGCTTGTGTGTATGTGGGCAGTCTGGCCCTCCCTGCCTTTGGGGTTACCCTGCATCCCCAGCAATTCATCATTACCCATCACCTTTTGATGGGCAGCCCAGAGTCTGGGACCTTGAGAGAGTGGCTGCCACTCTGGGCCTCAGTTTCCCATCTGTAACCCAAGAGAGGCTGAACCAGGGAGGGCTAAGCATCCCTCTAATTTGCATAGTCTAGGATTCTCATGGCCCACCTCACTCCAGGATCAGGTTGGCATCTGTCCTTAACATCCGCTGCTGTCCTCTCCCACCAATCACACCTAAGTTGCTGTGGGAGTGTGTGTGTGGGGGGGTGGGGGGTGGGTTGGGTTCCCAGCTCTGCTAGAGGCTCTGTCTCCTCACCCCATGGAACTGCCTACTTCCCCTCTCCCATACGCCCCCTCAATCCAGCACTGGCTGTCCTAGGTGGGAGGAGGGGCCCTGGGTGAGTCCCCTGGGCACTCCAGGATGTTCAGGCCATGGGAATAGACCACAGGTCCTGGGGAGTCATCAGATCTAAGGCAAAACAAGTCAGTTTCCCAGATGCCGCTCCAGGGAGCCCCATTTGCAGAGTGGCTGAGAGCCAGGATTCATGTCACGTCCCCAGAGCTATTTTTTTTTCCAGCTGGGAACCAGTTGGCAGCTGAAATGTCTCAGGGGTTCTGAGGACAATTTCCTTTTAGAAAGATGGCTATGGACCAAGGTAACAGGGGCCTAGAGCTCCCATGAGCCCCAGAAGTCTAGAATGAGAGCACCCATTCCTAGAAAATTCCATTCACGCTGGGCTCTAGAACCTCTTCTCCCCCACCACTGTGACAGGTGCTAGAATCCCCCACAGCAGAGCAGCAGGCCTCCAGTGTCCTCCTCCTCACAACAGAATACACAGATCAGAGTGGCTCCCTGGGACATTTTATCAGCCTAGCACTCTAGAACTCAATCTAGAACTAAGCCTGCTTCTGGATCAGTTCCTCTGATAACTGTGCTAAAACCTCACCTGCACTTGAGCCCAGAGATCTTTCCAGACATCTTATCTGCTGTGTTGAAGACCTGTATCTAGAAGCCACGTTCCAGGTGCACATCTAGAACAAAAAATGGCTCCTTCAAACATTTCACCTGAGGTGTGTGGAACTTCATCCTTCACAGAGCCCACAACACAACAAGAGACGTCTCCTAAGGAGTTCATTCTTGTTCGCTATGCTCTGGATTGCAGGTTCCCCTCCCCCAAGTCTTCCACCCCTCCATGCTTCTGCCAGCCTAGACCCCCCCCCCAGTTCTTTCTCCTATCCATCTCCAGCACTGCCAGCCCCCCACCCCAACACCCTGCCCCACCCCAACTCCCTTCTTCAGCTCCCTCTTGCCCTGGCTCCAGGCCTCAGATGCTACAGGAGCCACGCCATCCCTGTCCACACAATGCTCCAACCTCACCCCATCCCTTCCACGGCCACCTCCATCCTTCTCAGAGATCTTTTCCCACCATAGAGGCAGCCCACTCTCCACAACCCCTGAGGAGCACAGGGTCTAGGTCATGGACCCCAGACAGTGCCCTTTCTCTGGCAAGTCCAGCAGGGGCAACACATGGGCAACGCCAGGCAGGGGAGAGGTGTGGAGGCCCCATGAAAGCAGGGCAGCTCGAAAAGTGTAGCACCAGATGATTCCCCAGGCCCTGGGTCAGGGGAATTTAGGGAATGGGCCACAAGGCTGAAAACGGGGCCCAGGGCTGGGGCCTCCGCAAGGCTGCCCCCTCCCCTGAAAGAACCCAAGAGTGGGGCCACTCTACCCTTGGACCAACAGATCCACTCCCCCTTAGCCTGGTGGCCCTGAAATTCGGGGCACAACACTGCGGCGGATGTGGGATCAGCCAAGCCTGTCCCTTTTGTGCTGGGACACTGTAGCCTACACTGTGGTCTCATACTCCAGCAGCTCCTGGGAAGTCCCCACACTCCGGTACTGCAACCGGGGCGTGGCAGGTGAGGAGTACTCCAGTGCCAGGATGGTCTTCCGGAGCCGGCGGTCAATAAAATGAGCATCCCAGGCCGGGTACTTCTTGCGAGGCAAGTCAATCCGGATGACAGGCCCCTCTGTCCGCAAGGTGCGGGCCACTGGTGTGGGAGGCAAGCCAGGCCGCACCTGGAAGACAGGTGGGGTGGGGGTCCCTGCACGCTCTCCCGCCGAGGCCCCATCCCGCTCAGCACCTGTAGTCCTTGGCAGGGACCTGGGGGGACTCGTGATGGCGTCAGCGGGTGGGCCACAGGGCTCTGAGGCCTTACGGAAGATGCAACCAGGTGCCTGGGGACCCAGCATGGGCCCATTGGGGTGCAGGAGACAGTAGTAGACACACATGAAGAATATGCCCAGCGCAAAGCTGGAGGCCACTACGCAGACCATGATGAGCGAGTAGAAGTCGGTTGAGAAGTTGCGGCTGGAGTACCAGAAGCCGGTGAGCGCGGCGTTCTCCAGCAGGACGATGCAGTGGTAGAGGGTCATGCGGCGGCGGCTGCGGCCCTCCTTGACGTTGAACCAGCAGAAGATGTAGATGATGCCCACGACCATGTTGTAGATGATCTCCTCCCACTTGGACATGCAGAAGTCCGTCTCCCCTTGGATGACCCAGAAGGTCATGACGCACCAGTGGGCCACGATGAAGATGCCAAAATAGAGCTTGTAGACGCTGGCGAAGAGCGCGAAGGCCAGGCCGCGGGCGGCAATGCTGAACAGGTGCCACAGCACCTGTGCCACGGCGCCCTTGTAGGACAGCGGCCGCTTGTCGTCCCGCGAGTCCCGCAGCACCTTCTGGTAGGAGGCCAGCGTCCAGGCCAGAGACACGAGGGAGGCGGAGGTGGAGAGGGCTGTGGAGACAGGGCAGGGGCGGGGTGGGCTGGGTTAGGGGCGGGCTCGGGTTGGGGTCTGGGGAGAGGCGGAGGGTTCTGGGTCAGGAGCTGGGTTTTGAAGAGGCGTGAGGAAAGGAGCTGTGGATCAGCAGGGGTGTGGGGAAGGTCTGGGAGGTGGGGAGCTTCAAGAGCCATGAAGAGGTGTGGTGAGGGTGCACGGGACTGGGTACTTCTGTAGGGTGGGAGCATAAAGGGAGACGAAGATGGGGGTTTGGCCTCCATCTAGGACTCTGGTGTGGGGCTGTTAGGATTCAGGGGTCTTGGTGGGAGGGTGGGAAATGAGGGTCCGGGACTCTGGGAGTGGAAGAGGAGGTGAAGAGGAGGTCATGATTAGGGTGTGGAGCTGCCAGGAGGGGGCCATTAGAAGTCGTGGGCCACCAGGAGGAGGCCGGGCATGGAGAGGAATATCTAGAGCTGAGCTGAGCAGAGCTGAGGGGCGGGGATGGGGAGACCCAAGGTGGGAAGCGTTGTGATTGGGACCCCGTAACTGGGCAAGGGGTCCCCAGGGCCATGAGGGGTGGTGATAGTCTTTTGGGACACTGAGGATGGGTTGGGCAGGGACTAGGTTGGGAGAGCACGGAGTGCTTCAGGGAGACAGGGGGATGCGGTTTTTCTCTGATATTGAGGGGCTCTGTCATTATGGAAGGGGCAAGGTGGGAAATTAACAGGGCCTGTAGGGAGGAGGAGGGGATGGGTGCCAGGACTAGGCCTGGGAGGGCCCCCCGGGGCCCCCCAGTGAAGGGGTAGGCTCTCTGGAAACTGATGGTGATTGGCCAGGTCTATGAGGCAGGGGGTCCCCAGGAGATGCAGGCTGGGATCAGGTTGGGGAAGGAAGTGGGCAGGGGATTCCCCAGAGGGTCTAAGGTGTTTGGGTGGGAGATGGGGTTTGGTTGGCTCTGGCAACGGGGAAGGGAGGAGGGCAGGAGCGCCCAGGGGGGCTGATGGGTGTCGAGGGAGTGGAGGGGCCAGGTCCCTCCTCACTCTGAGTATAAGTGGGCCATCGAAGGGGACGCGGGGGTCTCGAGAGGCCTGGAGGGTGGTGAGGGTAGAAGGGGCAGGCCTCCCTAAACCCTGACTGAGTGAGCCCTGAGCTGGGGTGGGGAAGCCCACAGGGCATCCCCAGGGAGCCTGAAGCAGGGAGAAAGGCCCGGTGGGGTGGTCCCAGGCGCAGAGGGTGAAGGGGCGGGCTCACCCGGCAGCAGGTCGGGCGCGCCACCGCGGTGCACCAGCAGGCTGAGCTGCAGCACTAGCTGCGGCGCGCTGCGCAGGAAGGTCTCCAGCAAGCGCAGCATGCTCACGTCGGCGCTCTCGAACAGCATCTGCCAGTAGAAGTGGCGCCGCAGCCGCTCCCCGCGCCAGCGGCTCTGCAGCCCCAGGTACAGGGCGCGCAGGTACCTGCGGGAAGGACGCGGTGCTCAGGCTCCCGCGCGCTGGTTCCTCTCGCTCTGTCGCACCAGCCCCGAGCCGCCCACAGGCGCAGGGGGCAAGTCACTCCCTACGCTGAGCCTGTTTCCTCAGCTGTGAAATGGGCATTTCGAAAGGATCACCTTATGAGGCTGCTGTTGAGGAGCACTGAATGGACTCATTAGCTTAGAGAGAGGACTGGCACTAAGTAAATAAAGCCTTTAATACAACAGCGGTATCGCCCTTATTCCTATAACGGTTGGGGCGTGCTTTCTTTGGAGGGTTACTGACACCTTGGAGTGCGCTGAGCTTACAATAGCCCTGTTACCCGACCCTTACTTTGTTTTATTTTAGAGATGGGGTCTCATTCTGTCACCCAGGCTGGAGTGCAGTGGTGCGATCTTAGCTCACAGCAACTTCAAACTCCTGGGCTCAAGGAATCTTCCCGACTCAGCCTCCTAAGTAGCTGGGACTGCAGGCATGTACCACTACACCAGGCTAATTTTTAAATTTTTTTCTGGCTATGTTGCCCAGGCTGGTCTTGAACTCCTGGCCTCATCTCAAGTGATCATCCTGCTTTGGCCTCCCAGGGTGCTAGGAATACAAGCATGAGCCACCGCACACGGCCCAATTCCCATTTTGTAGGTGAGCAAACTGAGACCCAGAGAGATATGTCATTTATCCAAGGTCACACAGCTAGGAAGCAGTAGAACCAGGACACAAACCCAGCCATTCTGGCCTCAGGGCCGGCACTCTAACCATTAGACAACACTGCCTCTGACTGTAAACCATAAAAAGTTTTGCTCACATAGGTTCCTTCCAGGAACAGTCCCTACTGCCTGGTGCCAGCCCCGGTTCTGTTGCCACCAGCAGCTCCCTGGCCTGTTCCCTTCTCAGTGCCCAGATGAGGTGAGATCCTCACAGCTCAGTGCCCAGCTCTCACCCCAGGGTGCAAGGAAGGTGCTCACAGACACTTTTCCTTGGCATCTGAAACTGCTGCTTCCTCTCATGCCACTTCTCCCAACAAACTCCGGCTCTTCTTGGCCACTCTGCACAGGTCACAGAGCCAGAGCTCACAATGTTCTCCCTCCTTGCTGAGGAATTGTACCTATTGTTTCCTCTCCCTAAAACACCCTGCCCTATCCCCTAACCCCATCCCGGCCCCAACCCGGGATGACTCTTGCTTTTCTTCCAAGGCTCAGCTTTTGAACACAATTTTGTCCATAAAGCTTCCGCTGACCACCTTCCACCTAGGGTAAGGGCCTCTCCCAGGCTTCCGTCTAATCTAGCTAGCACTTGTCACAGTGGGTTGTAACTGCCTGGTTATGTGCACATCTCCCCCATGCTGTGAGTACCTGGAGAATGACTAGGCTGGCTTGCTAAGTGCTGCATCCTCAGTTCTTAGCACACAGTAGGTGCTTAATCTATATGGGCTGAATGAATGAAAGTGTGCTTAATCTATATGGGCTGAATGAATGAAACACGACTGCAGGCTTGTTGAACTGAATGGAACTCTAGTAACCCTATAGGGGGTATAGAAGGGACTCTGAAGTCCTGAGATCAATCCCACTTTGCTTCTAATTTACTGTGTGATCTTGAGCAAGACCCTCTCTGAGCCCTAGTTAATCCCTCCCAAAGTGGCGGTGAGGATTAAATGAATGAAAAGAAACTTTGCACACTATGAAGTACAGTGCCCATGTAGGGTGAGAGGGGAACTCTCCACACAGATCTCTGGGTCTGATTTCCCTTCTGCCCTGGTTCCTTGCCCAGAAGCTCTACTCCTGCAGCTACAGACCCTGCCACCTTCCCAGCGCCCCCTACTCCCGCCGGCTCCCCAAACTCTCTGATTCACGGGGCAGGCACACTCTTTGCTGCAAACCAGAGGACTCTTCCAAAAGTGGCTTTCCCAGGAAACTGGGGGTGGTGTGTGTGTGTATGTGTATGTGTGTGTGTGTGTGTGTGTGTGTGTGGAGGGGGAACCCTTACACAGATTCTCTGACCCCGCTGCCTGGATCTGAAACTGGGGAGCCAGAGATTTGGGGTCTATTCCCAGGGTGAAGCGCTGGCATTTCCAGGATGTTGTTTGGGAACCAGGGGACTCACTCTATTCACAGCCCAAGGGAGGAAGTCACAGTTCTCCCTGGATGTGGGGCCAGCTGATACCAAATTTCCTCAAATGAGTATACTGGTCTTACCAGCTGTGTGGCCCTCTCAAAGCCTCAGTTTCTCCATCTGCCAATGAAAGGGATGAGTTTGATGACTCTGGAGATCCTTTCAGAGTGAATATTCTGGGACTCTCTCTGCAAAATGAGGCCAGGAACATCCCATTTAGGACCCTCCTCCCCATCCCTGGGTCATCCTGGCATCAGTCTATGGCATAAACACACCATCAACATAACACATGACAGGATTGGCAGCCAGGATGGGTAAGGGGGCTGTTCCCTCAGAAGCTGACTCTGGAAATGCAAAGCCCCCTCTGTCCAACTCTCCTGTGCCATGCTGGAATTCCTTCAGTCATTTCCAGCCTGGTGTATCTATACCCACTGCTCACACGCTGCCCAGGACAGGGACCTCAGCCTGCTGCATCTACACTCACTGCTCACACGCTCCCCAGGACAGGGACCTCAGCTTCTGAGCAGCTCCAGGTCTGGATTGTATTTCTTCTGATAAGCAGAAATTTGTCTCCCTGTATCTTCCATTTTCTGGACTCCTGCTTACCCCACACATAAGGATCCCTGCAGCCAGAATGATTCATTCATGTAGCAGGTGGATTCTGACCACCTGCTCTGTGCCAGGCTGTGTGCCCATATGTATCTCCCAGTCCCATGGAAGAGAGACAAGATAGGAAGTGAAATAATGCTATAAGATGCCTTGGAAGGAAGAAACATTTGATCTCAGTTTTTTTGTTTGTTTTTGTTTTTGTTTTGTTTTGTTTTGTTTTGAGACAGAGTTTCGCTCTTGTTGCCCAGGCTGGAGTGCAGTGGTGTGATCTCGGCTCACCACAACCTCCGCTTCCAGAGTTCAAGCGATTCTCCTGCCTCAGCCTCCCGAGTAGCTGGGATTACAGGCATACGCCATCATGCCTGGCTAATTTTGTATTTTTAGTAGAGACGGGGTTTCTCCATGTTGGTCAGGCTTGTCTCAAACTCCTGACCTTAGGTGATCCACCCGCCTCAGCCTCCCAAAGTGCTGGGATAACAGGTGTGGGCCACCACGCCTGGCCTGATCTCAGTTTTAAAGCATGGGTTGGCATCTGAAGGCACACAAGAGATGGAAGGTCATTCCAGGTGGGAGAATCAGCTGAAGCAAAGGCTCAGAGGCCTGAAAGAATTTGGCATTTTAGGGGAATGGCCAGAGGTTTGCTGGGCCTGGACAAGGGGTTTTAATGGGCAGGGACATAAGGAGACTAGAATTGTGAAGGGCATGAAATTCTGGACTGAAGAGTTCAGATTTTATTCTCTATCTGAATGCCATCCCAGAATCAGGGGTGATGAGCTTGGCTCAGTGGCTTAGAAAGCTTGCTGTGGAGGCTGGCTTGGAGGAAAGCCAGGAGAGGATGGGGTTTGGTCCAGGTCTGAAATTACAGGGCTGAGCTAAGGCATGGGATACAGGAAGGGCAGAGAGAGATCTGGAGATGGCCAGAGGTGGGGGCTGGGGGAGAAACCAAGATGGCCCTTAGAACTTCTGAGGGCCTAGAACACAGGCCGTCTTTCCTAGCCTCCATCCCCACTGCCGCCACATTCCCTTCCCCTTCCCATGGCTCTGGCTTTGACTAGGAAGGAGAGACCAGCTGGTCCAATGTGAAGGGGCCTGGGGAGTTGGGGGAAGGTGACACCCTGGAAGTTTCTCTCAGGCTGGAAGACCATCTGTTTCCGGGCCCGGGTCAGCATGAGAGAGGCCCTGGCCCCTGGCCAGCATCCATCACTACCTGACGGGCCACCTGCCCACCTCCCTGCCCACTCCTGCCCCCTCCTCTGCCAGCTCCTAGCTAACCACAGACAAAGGGCTCACACAGCCCAGGGCCACAGTGGGCAGGAGCAGGGATGGAGGAAGAGAAGAGAGGAGGGCTCTGAGTACCAGGAATGTGGGGTCAGTGGGGAGTGTGGAAAGACCACACTGTGGTCTGGGGATAAAAGGCCTGGGTTCTGCCTCGCTCTGCCCCTTTTGGCAACAGGAGCAAAACTGTGGCTGTTCCTTCCAGCCAGCACGAAAAGCTCTCTGCCAAGGGCCTGTGAGATTTTCATGGGCCTAGGGAAATGTTTGAAGCCTGAAAAAAAAAAATTGGCTCCAAAACACAGGGAAAAACTACAGAATCAAAATTAATAAATGTTTAATTAAATGTGTGCAAAACAGAACATGATGTCAGCCAGTCAACTACAATTTGGCTTTTATCTAGTCATATATAATTTACATGGGATGTTTGATGTAGCTGCATTTTAATATGCTTGATAGATGTGGTGCCCACAAAGGTCTTAAAACAGTCCTGCCCAGGACATGCAACCTAATTTCCCTGGCCCTCAGTTTCCCTTCTCTAAAATGGGAATGGCACTTGCCATTCTGCTTACACATAGCCACTGGGGTAAGGATGAGGGAGGAAAGGTAGCAATGGCTGGCATGTGGGTTTGATTCCCAGCCCTGTCCCAGACCTGCTGTGTGACCTTGGGTAGTCTCTCCACTTCTCTGAGCTTTATTTTCCTCCTTGTTGTGAGCATTAAATGAGTGTGATGGGGCAGGGTGCAGTGGCTCACACCTGTAATCCCAACACTTTGGGAGGCCGAGGTAGGTGGATCTCTTGAACCGGGGAGTTTGAGACCAGTCTGGGCAACACAGTGAGTCCCTGTTTCCACACACACACACACACACACACACACACACACACGCAATGAATTTAAAAATAGTTTATAAACTATAAAGGGTGTCCATAGAGGGAGTAGCATACACTGGGCAGGGGCCGCTGGCTCCTCCTCACCACCAGGCAACCTCTCTTGAAACCTCCTCTAGGAAGTCCACCCTATCCCACATCCCACTCTATTTGAAATGAAGTTGAAAGAAGCTGATCTTCACCCAAGGGAAGAACACCACACCTCAGGGAAGGGAATCCAGATTGGGGGTGGTGTACATCTGATCTTCTCCAAAATTATCCCCAGGCCAGGTGTGGCGGCTCATGCCTGGAATCCCAACATTTTGGGAGGCCAAGGCGGGAGGATCACTTGAGCCCAGGAGTTCAAGACCAGCCTGGGCATCACAGAGAAACCCCATCTCTACAAAACATTTAAAAATTGGCCGATGTGGTGGCGTGTGCCTGTAGTCCCAGCTACTCAGGAGGCTGAGGTGGGAAGATCACTTGAGTCCAGGAGTTCGAGGCTGCAGTCAGCCATGACTGCACCACTGCACTCCAGCCTGGGTGACAGGGTGAGAGTCCATCACTAAAAAACAACAAAATCCCCAGTCTGTCCATGTCTCCTCTGCTACCACCTGTGCAGGCCACAGTCATCTTGCCTGGGTGACCACGTCAGCCTTCTGTGTGGCTGCCCGCATCCACTCCTGCCTCCCTACAGTCCATTCTCCACATGGCAACCAGCAGGATATTTTTAAAACCTGTCAGATCATGTCATTCCCCTTCTCAAAGCCTTCCAAGGGCCTCCCATCACACTTGGAATAAAACCCACGCTTCTCCCCTCGGCGTGCAGGCCCTAAACCATCTGGCCCTGCCTGTTTCTCTCACCTCATCTCAAACCACTGTCCCACTTGTTCCTGACACTCCAGATGCGCTGGGGGGGGGGTGTCCTAAAACTCAGCCAGACTTGTCCCTGGCTCAGGACGTCTGCACTTGCTCTGCCTGGAATACCCCTTTCCCAGATCCTCCCATGGCTGGCTCCTCATCAGCTCACACCTTCTCAGAGAGGCCTCCCAGGCCACCCTTGCCAACTCACTCTAGTCTACCACACCCCCTGTCTTATTTTCATCTTAACCTACACTATGAAATCACCGTTTATTTATTTATTTTCCATTCTCCCACTGTGAATCCATGAGGGCAGGGATCTCGTCTGTCTTGATCACCCCTGTGTCCCCAGCATCAGTGCCTGTAGAATAGGCACTGATGCATTATTGAGTAGGCACTGACTATTTGCTGAATGAATACATGTGAGTATCTGTGTGCATCTCCCTCCTGACCTTACAGGGCTCTGGGGTTTCTCTGCTTGAAGTTGCAAAGAGCCAGGACACCTCACAGGCTCCTCCTGCCCTCGCTGACTCATTCTTGACCTTCTTCCTACAGGAAGCCCTCTCTGATGCCCCTCTAGCCCAGTTAGGCCTCACTTTCTCTAACAGCTCTCAGGCTTGAACTGCGTGAAGCCTGAAGTGAGCCAGACACTGTAGTCCATGCTGTTAACCTAACACGCAACTTCTGCTGTCCCCATTTCATAGATGAGGAAACAGAGGCCCTCAGTCTATTTGGAATCTAACTTACTGACCCCCAGTCTTGTGCTCAGAGAAGAAGCTTGTCCGGGAAGAAACTGGAAGAGCAGATGAGTGTACATCTCAAAAGTGTACAAGTGGGAGCAAAAAGGCCACACCTAGAGAGAAGAGTAGAAGCTAGAGTATGAAATCCCTCCTGTCAGGGACCCAAAAACCTGTCTCTTCTGAACCCCACTGCCTCTGTGAACAGGTGGCAGGATCGAGAAATGAATAGGAGCTCATTCCCTTCTCCCCAGGCCCATCCTACCCTCCTCACGGGAAATTTCCAGTGTCCCCCAGTCCCCCAGAGTTTGGGGGCTGCTCTCTAATGGGCAGGAGGGGAAAAGGACGAGGGGATCCCATGTTCTTGAGAAGCCAGGAAGCTTCTGGCAACGTCTGCATCACCCCATCTCTCTCCTGTTCTTCGTTCCTGAGTCACCCCAAGTCTCTGGTTCTAGGTCAGAGTTTCTGGCCTGCACCTCAGTCCATTCAGACAGTCAAACCTGGGCCCAAGCCTGGACCCATCCCTTTGACCTCAGATCCTGAGTCATTGTCTCTGTCTGTGGCTCAGATCAGCCTGTCTATTGTGTCTGTCCCTTGAATGCAGGGCTAGCCTATTTACCATTCCTGCATTTCTGTCAGGAGTCTGTTAGTCAGTCAGTCTCGCCCTGGAATCCTGGCTCAGTCCCTGGCTCAGTTCCAAAATCCTGGAATCCTGTCCCTTGGACTGTGGGTCACATAGTCTCTCAGATACTATGTCCTATTGGTCTGACCCTGTGATCCTGGGTCAGCCTGTCTGCCTGCCCTTAGAGGCCAGGAGCTTCAGTCTCTGTCCCCTGGATGCCAGACAGCCTGTCTATCCTGTGAATACGAGGTCTGCTTTTCTGTCTGTCTTGATACTGGGTCCACTTGGTGATCTGTCTCTCTGTGTCTTGAATGCTGGATCTGTTTGGTGGTCTGTCTGTCTGTCTGTGTCTTAATACTGGGTCCTCTTGGAGGTCTGTGTGTCTGTGTCTTGATACTGGGGCCGCTTTGTGGTCTGTCTGTCTGTGTCTTGGATGCTGGGTCTGTTTGGTGGTCTGTCTGTCTGTGTCTTGGATGCTGGGTCTACTTGGTGGACTGTCTGTGCCTTGGATACTGGGTCTGCTTGGTGGTCTGTCTGTCTGTGTCTTGGATGCTGGGTCTACTTGGTGGTCTGTCTGTGCCTTGGATACTGGGTCTGCTTGGTGGTCTGTCTGTCTGTGTCTTGGATGCTGGGTCTGCTTGGTGGTCTGTCTGTGCCTTGGATACTGGATCTGTTTGGTGGTCTGTCTGTCTGTGTCTTGGATGCTGGGTCTGCTTGGTGGTCTGTTTGTCTGTCTGTGTCTTAATACTGGGTCCTCTTGGAGGTCTGTGTGTCTGTGTCTTGATACTGGGCCCGCTTTGAGGTCTGTTGTCTGTGTCTTGGATGCTGGGTCTGTTTGGTGGTCTGTCTGTCTGTGTCTTGGATGCTGGGTCTACTTGGTGGTCTGTCTGTGCCTTGGATACTGGATCTGTTTGGTGGTCTGTCTGTCTGTGTCTTGGATGCTGGGTCTGCTTGGTGGTCTGTCTGTCTGTGCCTTGGATACTGGATCTGTTTAGCGGTCTGTCTGTCTGCTGTGCCTTGGATGCTGGGTCTGCTTGGTCGTCTGTTTGTCTGTGTCTTGGATGCTGGGTCGGCTTGGTGGTCTGTCTGTCTGTCTGTCTGTGTCTTGGATACTGGATCTGTTTGGTGGTCTGTCTGTCTGTGTCTTGGATGCTGGGTCTGCTTGGTTGTCTCTCTGTCTGTCTGTCTGTCTGTGTCTTGGATGCTGGGTCTGCTTGGTGGTCTGTCTGTGTCTTGGATGCTGGGTCTACTTGGTGGTCTGTCTGTGCCTTGGATACTGGATCCGTTTGGTGGTCTGTCTGTCTGTGTCTTGGATGCTTGGTCTGTTTGGTGGTCTGTCTGTCTGTGTCTTGGATGTTGGATCTGTTTGGTGGTCTGTCTGTCTGTGTCTCAGATGCTGGGTCTGCTTGGTGGTCTGTCTGTCTGTGTCTTGGATGCTGGGTCTGCTTGGTGGTCTGTCTGTCTGTGCCTTGGATACTGGATCTGTTTAGTGGTCTGTCTGTCTGTCTGTGTCTTGGATGCTGGGTGTGCTTGGTGGTCTGTCTGTCTGTCTGTGCCTTGGATGCTGGATCTGTTTGGTGGTCTGTCTGTGTCTTGGATGCTTGGTCTGCTTGGTGGTCTGTCTGTCTGTGTCTTGGATGTTGGATCTGTTTGGTGGTCTGTCTGTCTGTGTCTCAGATGCTGGGTCTGCTTGGTGGTCTGTCTGTCTGTGTCTTGGATGCTGGGTCTGCTTGGTGGTCTGTCTGTCTGTGCCTTGGATACTGGATCTGTTTAGTGGTCTGTCTGTCTGTCTGTGTCTTGGATGCTGGGTGTGCTTGGTGGTCTGTCTGTCTGTCTGTCTGTGCCTTGGATGCTGGATCTGTTTGGTGGTCTGTCTGTGTCTTGGATGCTTGGTCTGCTTGGTGGTCTGTCTGTCTGTGTCTTGGATGCTGGGTCTGCTTGGTAGTCTGTCTGTCTGTCTGTCTGTGTCTTGGATGCTGGGTCTGCTTGGTAGTCTGTCTGTCTGTCTGTCTGTCTGTGTCTGGATGCTGGGTCCGCTTGGTGGTCTGTCTGTGTTTTGGATGCTGGGTCTGCTTGGTAGTCTGTCTGTCTGTCTGTCTGTCTGTGTCTGGATGCTGGGTCCGCTTGGTGGTCTGTCTGTGTTTTGGATGCTGGGTCTGCTTGGTAGTCTGTCTGTCTGTCTGTCTGTCTGTCTGTGTCTTGGATGCTGGGTCTGCTTGGTAGTCTGCCTGTCTGTCTGTGTCTTGGATGCTGGGTCTGCTTGGTAGTCTGTCTGTCTGTGTCTTGGATGCTGGGTCCACTTGGTGGTCTGTCTGTGTCTTGGATGCTGGGTCTGCTTGGTGGTCTGTCTGTCTGTGCTTTGGATACTGGATCTGTTCGGTGGTCTGTCTGTGTCTTGGATGCTAGGTCCACTTGGTGGTCTGTCTGTCTGTGTCTTTTAGTCCCTCGACTGCTTGGTCCATCTGCTGATTTGTTGCTCAGCTCGTGGCTTGGTGTGACTGCCAGTTTTCTGGCCATCCTCCCCTGCCTGCTCCTCCTCTCCCTGACTCTGGGTCTCTCTCTGTCTGTCTGTGTCTCTCACATCCTCAGCTCCTCCATCTGTCGGTCTCAGCATTTCCGAGTGTGTGTTCTCGCCCCTCCCCACTCCCCCTCACAGTTCTGGGCCAAACACACAGCAGCTTCCAGTGGCTCCCCCGCTGCCTCTCCATCCAGGAACCACCCTCATGCTGGCTAGCTCCCTAGTCTCAATGCGGGCCAGGGTCTGCAGATCCCTACAGAGTGAACAGGGTGGGGCTGGGAGGCAGATGGGAGAGCCAGGACTGATGGGCAGGGGTAGGACATCCCCCCAGCTGAGCCCATAGTTAGTCTGTAGGTCTGCAGGGGGACAGTGTGCAGTGGTTACTAATAAGGATAACAGCTCACACTTACTGAGTCCCAGCTGGATGACAGGCTGTGCTGAGACTTTTTATACATATGAACGTATCCATCCCTCTTAACAAATCTTCGAAGCAGGGACTACCATTATCCTTATTTCACAGATGAGAAACAGACCTAGAAAGGGACCAGGACTCGTCCCAAGTCACACAGCAAGTTAGTGCCAGATCTAGGACTCAGCCCTGGCTCTTCATGGCCTCCTGAGCCAGAGCAGGGATGAGGAAGGACAAGTCTCATCCCACGGGATTCCCCTGTTGCCTCGGCTGCCTACGTGGCAGCTTCCCTCGCCTGGAAGGTGTGCAGTACGGCTGCCCAGCAGGATCCTGATAGGACCCCGGTAAGACACAATGGACCTCAGGTTTCACTTGGGATTATATGGGTTTAGAGAAAACTGGGAGACAGGCAACAATAGTAAGTGAAGAGTCAGGAGACCAAGGTGATTCCAGGAAAGCCCAGCTCCTCGATGGGCCTCAATCTTCTTCTATAAAATGGGCCCAAGCCCAAGTAACTGATTCTTGTCTACACCAAGGGATGTTCATCAAGCCCCTCCCCACCCATCCAACTCTGATAACATTAATGTTCCACAGCTATGTCCTGAACCCAAGTCCTTCTCTCTACCCTGGTGTCAACACCCTGGTCCAAGCCACCTCATTCCGGCAGCTTCCCTGGGGTGCTTGCTTCCATCCTTGCCCTCTTCAAGCCTTGTCTTCACACAACAGCAGGGGGATCTTGTAAACTCCTAGGTAAGGGCAGGCCACTCCCCACTACTTGTTTTTTTTTTTGAAATGGAGTCTCACTCTTGTCACCCAGGCTGGAATGCAGTGGCATGATCTTGGCTCACTGCAACCTCCACGTCCCGGGTTCAGGTGATTTTCGTGCCTCAGCCTCCCAAGTAGATGGGATTACGGGTGTGCGCCACCACGCCTGGCTAATTTTTGTTTTTTAGTAGAGACAGGGTTTCACCATGTTGGTCAGGCTGGTCTCAAACTCTTGACCTCAAGGGATCCACTTGACTCGGCCTCCCAAGTGCTGGGAGTGAACCACTGTGCCTGTCCACTCCCCGCTATTTATTTATTTATTTATTTATTTATTTATTGAGACAGAGTCTTGCTCTGTCACCCAGGCTGGAGTGCAATAGCACGATCTTGGCTCACTGCAACCTCTGCCTCCTGGGTTCAAGCAATTCTCCCTGCCTCAGCCTTCCAAGTAGCTGGGATTACAAGTGCCTGCCACCATGCCTGGCTAATTTTTGTATTTTTAGTAGAGACAGGGTTTTGCCCTATTGGCCAGGATGGTCTCGAACTCCTGACCTCAGGTGATCCGCCTGCCTCGGCCTCCCAAACTGCTAGGATTACAGGCATAAGCCACCGTGCCCGGCCCCCACTACTTTTAAAATTAACTCTTCACCATGACCCTTGAGGTCCAGGAGGACACAACCTTTGTCCCTCCCGGGGACCCTCTCCCACCACCCTCCCTCTCTCCCATGCTCCAGCTCCTGCTTCCTGAACACACCAAGCTCACTCCAACCCCAGGGCCTCTGCCTAGAAAGGTCCTCACTAACGCCTGTCAAACTCTCATTCTCCCATCTCAGCTCAATGTCACCTCTTCAGAGAGCTTTCCCAGCCATCCCCCTCACCACTGCCTGTAACCCCGCAAAGCACTTCTGCAGCCTCTCTGGTCACTTTCTGTCATGTTACCCTGTTTTTTTAAGTAACACACATCACAACCTGAAACCATCTCATTTACTTGTTTACATATTTATTGCCTGTCTTTCCCCTAGCACTGCAGGCTCCATGAGAGTGGGGACCATGTTTATGGTGTCCTCTGCTACATGCCCAGTGCCTGGCACATCGTTAATGTACAGTCATTTGTTGAGTGAGTGAATGAATGAAGAGAGTGATTATACTTTATAAACTCTGCTTTGTAAACTTCTTAAGTAAAAGTGGCCAAGAACAGAGGGAAAGAACCCAGGTGAAAGAGTCAGGCCTGGGCTCAGATCCTAGCTCCATCTCTTACTGACTATGTAGCCCCAGACAAGTTGCCTCCCGTCTCTGGACCCATCAGCCCAATACCCATTTACAGGGTGGCTGTGAAATCAGAAAGTAGTAATGTGTGTAAAACGCCCAGCTCAGTGTTGGGCACTTGATCAATGGAAGGTTTCAAGGAGCTTTTTGAATCAGAGGCCCCATCAGTAAGAAGGAAGTTTGGTTTCTGGCACAGCTGAGACCCACTTCTAGGCTGGCTTTCCCCTGGTGCTCGTTGAACCTGTCCCCGAGGGACACTGGGTCAGAAAGCACCTTTGGGACAGGTTCACAGGGCAAGTATTCTTTGGGGTCTCTGCCTGCCCCCCAGAAAATAACTACCACTCATCAAATACCTTTTATATGTACTTCGCTAAAATCTTCACTGTGGTCCTGTGAGGTTCATGGACATAATCTCCATTTTCCAGATGAGGAAACTTAGTGTCAGAAAAGGGAAGGTTCATTTGACATTTATTCACCAAGCCTTTTTTTTTTTTTTTTTTGAGACAGAGTCTCTCTGTCGCCTGGGCTGGAGTGTAGTGGCTCGATCTCAGCTCACTGCAACCTCCACCTCCTGGATTCAAGTGATTCTCTTGCCTCAGCCTCCCGAGTAGCTGGGATTACAGGCATGCGCCACCACACCCCAGCTGATTTGTGTATTTTTAGTAGAGACAGGGTTTCGCCATGTCAGCCAGGCTGGTCTCGAACTCCTGACCTCAGGTGATCCACCCACCTCAGCCTCCCAAACTACTGGGATTACATGCATGAGCCACCATGCCCAGTCCACCAAGCACTTTTGAGTACCTTCTATGTACCCCAAACTGTGCTAAAATGGCTCGTGGACACAATGGTGTGCAAGACAGACCCAACCCACTGGTGGAACTCAGTTTAATGGGGACCTGAAGATTAACTAAATCATCAAGTAAACATGTAACAACAAGCATGTTCCATGGGCTCCAGAAATGCTCCAAACAGAGGTCCCTGCTTCAGCACTGTGGATGGCAGTGCTATTGGAGGACAGCCAGGCCCAGCTTGGGAAGGGTGTGGCAGTCAGGGAAGGCTTTCTAGAGGAGGTGACTACTGAGCCACGATCTGAAGCAGACATAGGAGTTAACCAGGTAAAGGAGGCAGGGAAGGTAGCCTCTGGCTGAGGAAACAACATAGGCAAAAGTCCTGAAGTGGGAGGGAGCAGTAAGTGGTCAGAATGGCTGCCGTCAGAGAAGGAGGGAGAAGAAAGGGAAGAAAGCACGACACGAAGTGGAGACGTGAACCATGGTATTTGGCCTTTATCTTTTGTTTTTTCTTTGTTTGTTTGTTGGTTTGTTTGTTTTTAGACAGAGTCTCACTCTGTTGCCCAGGCTGCAGTGCAGTGGCACGATTTCGGCTCACTGCAACCTCTACCTCCCAGGTTCAGGCGATTCTCCTGCCTCAGCCTCCCGAGTAGCTGGGATTACAGATACATGCCACCACACCTGGCTAATTTTTGTATTTTTAGTAGAGACGGGGTTTTGCCATGTTGGCCAGGCTGATCTCAAAATCCTGACCTCAGGTGATCCACCCATCTCAGCCTCCCAAAGGGCTGGGATTACAGGCGTGAGCCACTGTGACTGGCTGGTCTTTATCTTTTTTATTGTTGTTGTTGTTTTTGAGACAGGGTCTTGCTCTGTTGCCCAAGCTGGAGTGCAGTGGCGCCATCTCAGCTCGCCGCAACCCCTGCCCTCTGGGTTCAAGTGATTCTTCTGCCTCAGGGGCATCCCAAGTAGCTGGGACTTCAGGCGTGGGCAACTGCACCCAGCTGATTTTTGTATTTTTTTTTTTTTTGTAGAGACAGGGTTTCACCATGTTGATGGGGCTATTCTCAAACTCCTGACCTCAAGTGATCACCTCCCTGTGCCTCCCAAAGTGCTAGGATTACAGGCATGAGCCACAGCACCTGGCCATTTTTTTTTTTTTTTTTTGAGACAGGGTCTCACTCTGTTACCCAGGCTGGAGTGCAGTGATGAGAGCACAGCTCATTGCGGCCTCGACCTCCTGGGCTCAAGCAATCCTCCCACCTCAGCCCCCTGAGTAGCTGGGAACATAGGCATATACCACCATGCCAGGATATATTTTTTTAAATTTTTAGTAGAGATAAGGTCTCTCTACGTTGCCCAGGCTGGTCTCGAACTCCTGAGCTCAGGCAATTCTCCTGCCTTGGCCTCCCAAAGTGCTGGGATTACAGGTGTGAACCATCATGCCCGGCCTGGTCTTTATCTTAAGAGTGATGGAGAGCCACAGGAAGGTTTTAAACAGGAAAGTGACAAGATTAGATACCACTTCTGCATGTCAGAGGAAGCATCCTGGCTGTGGGGAACAGATTGCAGGAGGGCAAGAGTGAAAGACAGGAGACCAGTTGCCAGGTGAGAGGTAAGGATGGCCCGGACACAGGGGAATAGAGTCTAGAGCCATTAGAGAAATGACTTGCCCAAGGTCACATGGCCAGAAAGCATCAGAGTTGCATCCCAAACCAGGGCTGGCCAACTCCCCCATTTCACCGTGGGGCATGGGAACCCAAATCTGGTCTATGGGTTCTCTAGGAAACATTGGGTTCCCAGCTATATAGCCTCCTCACCTGCAATGAAGCCCAGAAACTTTTGCGGGGGGTTGGGGGGATGGCCCTGAGGCCCCCTCCCCATCTGCCTACCCCTTAACGTTGAGTGCTCCTGCAAGAATACAAAATAGGACCTTCCTGGGGTTGTCAGCCAAATGAGTCATAAATGTCAGTAAAGAATGTGATTTTACACGTTTGGCTCCCATTTCATGTGGTGCTGGGAGCTGGAGCTGGGCTGTCTCCCTCCTCCTTAGCAGCCCCCTACAGAGTCACAGCACCTCTTTTTTTTTTTTTTTTTTTTCTGGGCTAAAGCCAAACATTTCCCAGCCACTAATTTTAGGCCCTAACTGAGAAGCTGAGACCCTCTCCCATCCCACTCACCCTCATCAGCTCCCAGCCAGCGTCCCTCTTTTGCACAGCAGAGGAATGGGCAGCCCCTCTTCAGCAAAGCATTTGGGGACTAGGTTCTGGCCTCCCACATCCCTCACTGTATGAATGCAGCCAGCTCTCCTCTCCTCTCTGGACCTCAGTTTCCCCATCTGTGAAATGGGTGCAGAGAAGAGACTAAAACCCAGGACCCCATACTCTAGCCCAAGGCCTTTTGTTCCCCCTTTCTCTCTTTGCTTGATATCCTCATGTGGATTTGGTATGTCATAAGCCAGTGGGGGAGGGGGTTAGATTCCATCCTCCCGATGGCATCTGAAGGTATCACGGGACCAAGGCAGGGAGAAAACATCACTTGTATCTGCCCCTAGTCTGGGTGTGAGATTCTACATGGTAGCCAGGGTCTCAAATGCCAATGCTTAAAGGGGCTCAGCTGCTATCATTATGAGGGACTGGGGAACTATGTGGCCTGTCTACAGAGGCAGCCACCTGTCAGTTCCAGCCAACTGATGCCCTGGGAGAATATGAGCCCAACATGGCTGGAGTTTCAATTTTTCAAGAATAGGTGGATATTAGGATATTTATGCAAAAAGAAAAACAAGGGGAAAATCTCAATTTGGAAATGTTCACAATAAATTAAAGAAATACCATATGAATTTTTAAGAAATTAGGCTGGTGTAGTGGCTTATGCCTGTGATCCCAGCACTTTGGGAGGCCAAGGTGGGAGGATCTCTTGAGCCCAAGAGTTCCAGGCTTCAGTAAGCCATGACTGTGGCACTGCATTCTTGCCTGGGTGGCAGAGTGAAACCTTCTCTTTAAAAAAAAAAGAAAAAGAAAAGAAAAAAAGAAATCATAATTCCATTTTGTAGGTGTGATAGCAGTATTACATATTTTAACAATTTTTTTTTTTTTTTGAGACAGAGTCTCACTCTGTCGCCCAGGCTGGAGTACAGTGGTGTGATCTCAGCTCACTGCAACCTCCGCCTCCCAGGTTCAAGCAATTCTCCTGCCTCAGCCTCCTGAGTAGCTGGGACTACAGGCGTGTGCCACCATGCCCAGCTAATTTTTGTATTTTTAGTAGAGACAGGGTTTCACCATGTTGGCCAGGCTGGTCTTGAACTCCTGACCTCAAGTGATCTTCCCACCTCGGCCTCCCAAAGTGCTGGGATTACAGGCATGAGCCACCATGCCCAGCAACTTAGCGATGTTTTTGAAGTCTATCTTTTTAGAGATGTTTGAAATTTGCTTGAAAATAACACGGAAGGGAAGGAAATGGGGTGGGGCCTGCAACTATGCTCTCTAACACCTACATGTTCAATGCTTGCCATGTATGATTATTTAGATTTTGATTAATTACAAGTAAATAATTACAAGTAAAGAGTTTAAAATTTAGTTCCTCAGTCATACCGGCCACATGCCAAGTGCTCTATAGTGGCTACTATATTGGATAGTGCAGATATAGGACATTTTCATGACTGCAGAAAGTTCTACTGGATGGTGCTGCCCTAGATAAAACAAGGTTGGCCAGGAATCAATAATTGTTGAAGAGAGGTGGTAGGGGATCATTATCCCATTTCCTCAACTTTTTCAAGTGTTTAAATTTTTCTGCAATAAAAGGTTTTAATAAAAAGTAAGAGAAGAACCAGCACAGTGGCTCACGCCTGCAATCCCAGCACTTTGGGAGGCCAAGGCAGGAGGAACACTTGAGCCCAGGAGTTCAAGACCAGCCTGGGCAATATAGTGAGACCCTGCCCCTACAAAAAAATTGTCTTAAAATTAGCTGGGCATGGTGGTGTGTACCTGTAGTCCTAGCTACTCAGGAGGCTGAGGCAGGAGGATCGCTTGAGTCTGGGAGGCGGAGGCTAGAGTGAACTGAGATCGTGCCACTGCACTTCAGCCTAGGCAACAGAGCGTGACCATCTCAAAAAGCAAAAAAAATAAAAAAAAAAAGTAGGAGAAAAAAGTCCTTTGCGGACCAAACCAACACTCTTGAGGCTGGATTTGCCCATAGGCCACTGATTTGCAACCTGTGGTCTGGTGGTTAAACATCATGGAAGCGAGTATCATAAAGTCCCAAGGATAGAGCTACAGACACAGAACTAAGGGGCTTTAGAGATCATCTAGTTTATCCTCCAGACTGAAGCAAGAGTCCCTGATACAGCATCCCTGCCAAAGTTAGCCACTTCCATCTGGACACCTCTGCTGATGTGGAGTTCACACCCTCGGGAACAGCCTGATTGACAGTGTGTTCTTGCTTCTATTCCAAAGACTGTGCCTCCCTTTACTTTGAGTTCGCATCTGCCCTCACAGTATCTCTGGAGCCATAGAACAACTCTCCTTCCTCGATAGGGGGTCAGTGGGTGAGAGTTAGGACCCCTTATGCCCCTGTCCTAACCCCATCTTGTTACTAAGCAAGTAGGATGGGCTGTGACTTGGGCCAATAATAATAGTCATTGTAGTAGATGTTTTCTGGGCATATACTATGTGACAAGCCCTGTGCATTTACATTATCTCAAGACATCCTTATAAAAACCTTAAGATGTGGATACTATCACTATCCCCATTTCACAGATGAGACAGGAGCTGTGGCTGGTGGAGCAACTTCCCCAGGGTCACGCAACTAGGATGTCATGGCTCCTTGATCTGCGCTGGTGCCCCAAGCTCTCAGCTACTCTGCTTTCTTGTCCAAGTCCTAGGAAAACTCACCAGAATTCTGAAGTTACTTTACAGATGGAGTAACTGAACCCTAGGTGCGAAGTGACTTGTCCAAGATTCTGATCTCAAAGGTTCAATCCAGTTCACACCAACATTTATTGAGTACCTACTGCATACAAGGAACTTGACTTCCTCCATCTCCTAAGTCAGCCACAACTGTATCATTCTGGGAACCCAACCCAGGGTTGTTCCTACTACCTCCTCTTTCCTTAGCCTTAGGCCGTGGACAGTTTTAAAGGCTGTGGATGTAGGCCTAACAGACCTCAGTGCTGTGTCCACAACTGCAGAAAGCTCGCACATTCAGCACCCTGCCAAATGCCAGCTTCAACTGGCTTCATGTTGCAAGAACCCACCATAGACCTCACTAGAGCTGGCTGGGTGCAAGACCACCAACAGTAACAGAGGATCTAATCTGTGCTAGTCACCATGGGAGACAGAAAGAAAAAGCAACAAAGCCTCAACTCCCCAGGGGTTTGTGATCCAGCGGGAAAGCCAGCCAGGTGGGTAGATGATCACAACAAAATGTGATCAGTGCTGTGGGGTAAAAAGGAATGAGTAATTGTGCCTGGGGAGGAAGTCTGAGGGGAAGAACCCAGAATGTTAACAGTGGGGACTTTACATTAAAATACAAATTTAAAAATACTTTTCTGGCCTGGTGTGGTGGCTCACGCCTGTAATCCCAGCACTTTGGGAGGCCGAGGCAGGTGGATCGCCTGAGGTCAGAAGTTCGAGACCAGTCTGGCCAATATGGTGAAACCCCGTTTCTACTAAAAATACAAAAATTAGCTGGGTGTGGGGGTGGGCACATGTAATCCCAGCTACTCGGGAGGCTGAGGCAGGAGAATCGCTTGAACCGGGGAGGCAGAGGTTGCAGTGAGCCGAGATCGAGCCACTGCACTCCAGCCTGGGAGACAGAGCGAGACTCTGTCTCAAAAAAAATAAAAAAAAATAAAAATACTTTTCTGATATTTTTTCTTCTGCTTCTCTAAACAATACATGATTGATTGTTTGTAAGAATACACTTAACTAGCAGAAGACAGTATAGTTTGGTGGTTCCACATGTGGGTTTGGGAGCCTGACCTCATGGCTTCAAACCCTAGCTTTGCTCCTTATGAATTGGAAGGCCACTCTTCTCTGTGCCTCAATTTCCACATCTGTAAAATGGGGCCAATAATGCTAGCAAACACTAACTGAGCACCACTATGTGCTGAGTACTGTGCAGAGCACATATATATTAATTGAATCAGCCTTCACAATGGAGACCTGGGTAGGGATTGTTATGATGCCCATTTCACAGATGAGAAAGCTGAGGTCCAGAAAGGTTAAGTGACTTGCTCAAAGCCACACAGCTCATATGTGGCAGAGCCAGGGTTTTGGGTCTACAGTTCTCTTCTTCATCCTCGCAGTCTCTACCTGGCAGGATTGTCAAGAGAAATGATCGAATCTAAGTCTTAATAAACAGTAAGTATAATAAATTTCATTTTTATACTGATTTTTAAAAAATAGACAAATCTATACATGCATTTTTTTAGCTAACTGAAAACCAGAGGCAAAATCTTCAAGCAATGCAAGAAATATCTACTTAATAAGTGGAAATCTCCCCTGACCCCACCCCTCCCGCCCCAAGAGATAATGAGCAGAGGGGAATCTCTTTATGCCTTTTCTATATTGCCTGAGGTTTCAACAAGAATGTATAGCTTTTTGATCAACAGACAAAACAGCCAAACATTTTCCACTTTAGAACAATGACTTTTGCCTGGTTGAGTGAGTGGGAGGTGGTTTCTGGGGGGCAGAGGGTAGCATGTGTGGGATTTGTTCAGAGAAAGCTTCTTAGAAGAGGTGGCATTTGAGCTCAGCCTGGAAGGACGTGCAGAATTTCACTGGGAGGAGACTGGAAACTGGTGTTGGGTGTTGCTGGAGGAAGGACTGCAGGCAATGGAGAGCAAGGGGGTGGGGAGCAGGTTGTCATGTGGGTAGAGCAGGGAGGAAAGACAAAAGATCAGGGGGCAAAGGGCCTCAAAGCCAGGCTAAAGCACAGGGACTTGCTCTAGGGACATAGGGGAGCCATCGCTCTGCCTGCAGGTGGAGGCGGGATTGGGGGTTGGGGGTGATAACCGGAGGCTGATAGGATTTCCCAGGGGAGGAATTTGGATGCCCTAACAAAGGCAGGGTGGTGAACAGAGAGGCCAGAGAAGATCCCAACCATCCTCCCTCCTCTCCCCAGGGACCTGCGCCCCAGATGCTGGGTTCAAAGCCATTTCCTGGCAGCCCTCCGCCCTCCCACTCCCCAGAGCTTCTCCTGTGTGGTCTTTATAGATCAAACAGGGGACGCTGGGCCCAACCGCCGCCGCTGTGTCTGTTAGGAGCAGCTCTAATGGTCCATGGCAGCTGGATGGGCAAGGGGAGGAGGCAGGGTGGGGGTGGAGAGCCTCCTGGAGAGGGGTCTCCCAGGAGGTGAGTGGTGAGGCCCAAACTGGAACAACCCTACAAAGGCAGAGCAGGGAGGAACCTCATGGATGGTCACTGAGTTCAGGGGACTGTAATCAAGTGTCAGCTGTAGGACAGATTATTCAAAACAAAATCTTAGACATGTCATAAAAGAGACATTCAGAGATACTTGGGTTAAAATGATGGAGACAGGGCTATAAAACACAGTTTGAAAATGATGGAATCCAACCCCTGACCTGTTTTACAAATAACAATGTCTAATTATCATTGTTGAGAACTTCCTATGTTCCAGGCACTGTGCTGAACACTAAACATTATTTAATTTTCTACTACCTCAAGCACCATGCGATAGGTGCTATTATTAGAGTGTCCATTTAGCAGATGAGAAAATCAAGGCACAGACAAGTCATGCCACTTGCCCCAAATCACAGAAAGTGGCAGGTGCAGGATATGGCTGATTCCAGAGAGTGGATGCTGAACCATTAACTCTGGCCCCAGTGGAGAGACTGAGGACCAAAGAAGGAAAGAGGTCGCATTAGCTCAGCCTGAAGCAGACCCCCATCCCTGTTGCTACAGTTTGATCCAGTCTCCATTGTCTCTCTCCTGCATCTTTGTAGCAGCCTCCTCATGCATCTCCAGGCTTACTCTGCCTCCCTCCAGTCTATTCTCTCTCTTTTTTATGCTTTTTCTCTTGAGATGGAGTCTTGCTCTGTCACCCAGGCTGGAGTGCAGTGGCTCACTCTCGGCTCACTGCAACCTCCACCTGCCAGGTTCAAGCGATTCTCCTGCCTCCGCCTCCCGAGTAGCTGGGATTACAGGTGCGCACCACCATGCCCAGCTAATTTTTGTATTTTTAGTAGAGACCGGCTTTCACCATGTTGGCCAGGATGGTCTCGATCTCTTGACCTCGTGATCCGCCTGCCTCGGCCTCCCAAAGTGCTGGGATTACAAGCGTGAGCCACTGTGCCCGGCCCCTCCAGTCTATTCCCCACCCAGCAGCCAGAGTGGACATTGCAAAACACAAGTCAAGATCATGTTCCTTCTCTGGCCAAATTATCCTGGGCTCCCCGTGTCATGAAGAGTAAAAGCCCTAGTCCTTGCCATGGCCTCTGAGGCCCTGCATGACCTCGCCCCTGCCAATCTGTCCACCAGCATCTCCAAACATGCTCCCCTCACTCTATTTCTGCCACACAGGCCTTCTCCTTGCCCTTCCCTTTTCCTTTGCCTGCAAAACCCTCCCCAAGACCTCTACACAGCTTGTCCTCACCTCGTGCAGCCCTTTGCCCACATGCCACCTCCTTGGAGAGGTCCACCCTGACCACCCTATCTCAAAGAGCCACACCTCTCCCTGGCACTCCAGTAGCTCCCTGCCCTGTTTCATTTTTTTCCCCATAGCACTTATCACGATCTGGCCCAGGTATTATATATCCCATATAATATATATCATAGTTTATTTTCTTATTGGTTCCTTCATTAGGCTATTGAGCTCCAAGAGGGCAAGGACTTTGTCTTGTTCACCACTCTATTCCCAGCACTTAGAACAGTGCCTGGTATACAGCAGGTGCTTAATAAATGTCTGCTGAATGAATGACTGCAGATTAAATGAATGACTGCCATGTCATTATGGCTTCAAGGGACTTCAGGACCCCCTTGCTGTCCTGCCATGTGCTCCGTGAACAAAGCTTTGTTCCACAGGGAGCAAAGCCCAAGCTAATGCACTAATCATTGCCAGCAGTTTCTGAGCATTTAACGATGGAATGAGCCCTTTGCTGAACCCTTACACATTATCTCATTAAACCTTGAAACAACCTAAGAGGCGGGTGGGTACAATTTTGGTCCCTAGTTTACAACGGATGAGAGATTATTTGCCTTGTCAAGGTCACATATAAGAAGTAGTAAAGTCTGGATTTAAACTGAGGACACTTGAATCTAGAGTCCGTGCTCTCAACCCTCTCAACCGTTATGCCAAGAATGTAGTTTCCCAGAGGGGAAATCCAGAGCCTGACATTTCCTTCCAATAGGTCACTAACTCATTCCAGAACTTCTCTGTCATGCAGGGCTTCTTAGGTGACATAGAGTGCAGTGTCTGGGCCTATGCATAGAGAGGGCATTAGAGGGAGGGCCCCTAAATCCCAATTGCCTAATTTTCTCCCCATTTTGGGGTTCCCAGATCCCGAAAGCCTGGCAGGAATCCCATGTCAGATCGTCTCCCACTAATTGGCTTAGCAAACCATGCTTATCTGGGTGAAGCTGGGGCCCACTGAGCTCAAGATTAGGAAAAGCAGGATTCATGGCTTACTGCTCTGCTGCCTACAGGGTCAGAGGGGACAGGGTTAGGACTTTAATTAGCTTAAGAACCCTGGGCAGTTTAACAGCTCAGAGAGTTTAAAGGGAAGGGAGGGATGAAGTTGCAGGTTGGTGTCCAGGCCACAGCCAGCTTCGTGCCCCGCCAGAGGATCTGTTTGCTGTTCCCTCAGAGTTCAATCTCTCTGTGCACAAAGATATTGTTCTGGCATGTCCCAAAGTAGCCAGTGTGTGGTGTAAAAGATAGAGCTAGGTTTGGGACTGATCACCTTTCCTCACTTCCTCAGTGGGTGACTTTTGGACAAGGTTCCTTATCTGATAAATGGGTATATCAATAGTCACCAGGGGGGAGGGTTTCAGAGTAACATGAGATCACATGCCTGAAACACTCACACAGGGCCTGTGGGGACACGGTAGGTGTGCAGTGTCTGTGTATGCTTTCTCCTCCTCTCTCTCTTCAGAGCTTCATTTTATGTTTAAATTAGTAATAAAATCTTCTGTGTGAAAAGACCTTATCAATTTGAAGAGCTAAACCAGAGGTTACAAAGAAGACAGGCTAATAAATATGTTTCCTTTGGTTGACACTATTTTTAAACATTTTAATTAGTAGTTAAATTTTGGAGAGTTCACGGAAAAATCCCAATTTCCCATTTCTCTTGAGAAATCAAGACTGGGTCCACGATTTCTCATGGCATGATCAGCTGGAGCTTCCCTTTTCCTCGGACACTACTTGCCCCTGAATGTCCTCTTGTCTGACACCCCTTGTATCTTATGGTCTTATGGTCTGTTACCTGCCTGGGTCCTCAAAGCATTTGAATTTTTAATTCAGGATTTTACAAGTCTAAGAGGTTGAAAAATATCTTCATGATTATAATTATTTTATTCAGAATTGAGGAAATGGGATCAGGAGGTGAGTGACTGCCTAGCCTCCCAGGTGTGATTCTGGAGGACTCAATCACACATCTCCCTCTTCATTACCCCAGGCCCCACCACTCAGAACATCTGTGGGAACATCTCACGTGGTAAGCAAATGTGCTGGGCCAACATTGCTTAATTTCTAGGAATGCCAGCCCCTGCAGCTTCTCTATACCTTCTCTGGGTTTTCCCTCCATTTATCCAGGCCCTTAGCCATTTTAGAATCCAAAGATTTTGGGGGCAAGGGCCCAGAGGCTTTTGCTTTGGCAATAGACCCAGAGTCAGAATTTCAGGAATGGGAAACTCTTAAGGTCATCACATTGAATCTCATTTCACACACAGGGAAACCGAGACCCAAAGATGGAAAGAGCCTTGCCCAAGGTCACCCAGCAAACTATAGTTACAAACTAGGATAAAGATGTCAGCCTCCTGACCAGACCACCCCCGAATCCAGCCTTTTCCCCACAATACACACTGTTCCCGTCCTCACCCACATAGTTCAACTCCCTGCCCCTCTTTTCACATTCTTATCTCAGTGCAACAGAAGCCCTGACTTTCTATCATACTGGAATCTTGGAATCTCAGATTCATACTTCTTTAAGCTTGAGGGACACTTTAGTGGCAGAATTACAAGGTGGATAAATTGAACTCAGGCTTTAAAGGCAGAGAGCCTGGAGTCTCAGCTCTTCAAGTTCCTAGCTGTGTGACCTTGGACAAGGATGCCCCCTCTCTGAGCCTCCATTCCCTCATCTGTCAAGTAGAAATTATAATGCTAACCACATGACAGGATGATTAGAAGGGGTACAGGAAATAAAGCAGGTAAAAAGGCAACCAGTAGGCTTGGCACAAAGTCAGTGTTTAATAAAATAATTGTTATAGAACTGTAAATTAGGGCTTTCATGTCTAAGTGAAATAGTACAGATATGATCAAAGGGAAAGATGGACAAATTAGAGCACATAGACTCTTTCTAAATTGTTACAGGATTGATACTGCTAGATCCAATTTTTTTAAAGGGAAGCTACGACTCTGGGTTTTTAAAATACTATGCAAGCCACACAAAACACTTCCACAAGCCACATTCAACCTAAGAGCTATTAGATTGTTATCCCTACAAACTTATCTCATCCCAGCCTCCTCATTTTGCAAATGGGAGATAGTAGAAATAGCTAGTCCTTTTATCCATATCCAAGAAACCATAGAGCTGAGGGGATCCTTAGCAATTCTAGCTACTCCCCTGGGACCCCACACCCATGGCCATTTTTGCCCTATTTGAGGGAAACTCAGTTTATGCTTAACAAAGAAGAGAAGTATTAGTTTCTTGTAAGTGGATTCTGAATGGGGGGATAGCCAGTGAGTCGAGGGGCATCTGGCCCACTTTAGGCTGAAGGAAAAGGGGGATGAAGCTTCCTACCAAGAATAGGAAGTTACCATTTCAGAATCTAAAAATATCTTTCACCATCTGTCCACTCGGGCACAGAATGATAAATGCAGATTAGTTCCTGGATGTAGACATGAATATTTTTATGTGTCACGCTAATAATAATAACACCACCTTGTGTGGATAGAGCTCCGCCCCCTTTTCCTCCAGGATAAGCTAAGTGGAATATACACATCATCTTGGCAGGAATAGATAGGGAAACAAAGGCAGAGAGATTCGACAACACAACAAGAGTGACACAGCAAGTGAGCAGCTGGGACAAACCCTAGGAGTCCTGTTTTCAACCCTCAGCCCCAAACTGAATCTTCTGAGTTAGGCAGAATGTGTTAACAAGTAGCAGAATAAATATAACAACAGCAGTAATCACCCTTTATATCTCTAGAGTGACTTTTTCCATGCTTTCCCCACACTCTTAAAATGTTACAGTCTGCAGGGCCCTCATGCAGACCTCTCACCTGACCATCCCAACAGGTAAGAATAATGCAATGATAAGACAATGAGATAAGAGGAGTAGGGATTCTCCCTCATTTCACAGAAGAGGAAACTGAGGCTTGGAAGGAGGAGGGCGGCTTGCCTAAGATCATATAGTAAGCAAGTTCATTCTGTTAGAGCACAGAAGGGCCTAAGCTACTAAATAGCAATTCAGATTCAAGAGGAGCCCTAGGTTTAGAATTCCTCCTCTCTCCACTTAACTCAGTGCAGCAGGCACCCTCAGTTCTGGCAGAGGAAGAAGACTGAAAGTGGGCAGCTTGAACAAAGCCTCAGTTTTGCCTTACCAGTTCGGGATTAAAGGGCAGCCAGTGGCCATCTAATCTCAGATTCAAGATTCCAAATCCCCTTGGCCCTGTTGGAAGGGGAGGACCCTTAGCTGGGGGAGAGGGGGTCATAGGAAGTAGAAGGAGCCTGAGGGCTCCCCAGTTGGGTCCAGCATATCTTTCTCCAAAAAGTCCAAGAAGTTTAGGCGGGATATTCATTTAGCTGTCTCAAATTCTGTGACTCTCCTTGCAGGTTGTGAATGAGCTGCAATTCTGAACTGAGGATCTTTGCGAGCAGGAAAGGACTTCTGAGATCTTTCCTGAGCCCAGGCTTGGCACTCAGGCAGAGAGGAGTGGGTTATGGCAGAATAGGGCCCTGTGGTCCTGTTTTAAGCTTCACATTTATCTTCATGAGCCCCGGGTCCTCCCCACTCACGCACACCCCTGAGGATCTCTTTCTCTCCTTTCTTGAACCATCCCCTCCCCTCTCGAAGGCCAGGTCAGACCGGATGGCACTGGGGTTGGTCAGGGCTTGGGGGCAGAGGTCAGGGAGAAGCCGACTGAGAAGAAATTAGAGCTGCAATGGGGTGGGGAGGGGGGGAGGTCAGGACAGGAGGGTAGCCCGGAAAGGTCAGATCAGGGCTGGGACGTCAGGTAGCCCTTCGCCACCCCCACTCCTCGGGCTCAGGTCCCTCCACCTGCGCTTCTCCTACCTCCAGACCTGGCCGAGCTGCAGGAGGTGGACGAGGGTCTGCAGCAGCCAGATGCAGAGGCGGCAGCAGCGGCGGCGGTAGGCGCTGGCCGAGGAGGGCGCAGGCTGGGGACCCGGCTCGGGGCTGCCTTCTTTGGTCCGGAAGGCGCCGGCGCTGTCCTTGGTGCTGATGGCGGCTCCGCCGGCTACGCTGTCCTTGGTGCTGACGGCGGGTCCCGGGGACCCTGCGGGCTCCGAGTAGTCGTAGACGAACCAGCGGAAGCTCAGTAACTGCACGACCAGCGAGGGCAGGAGCACGAACAGCAAGGTGAGGCTGAAGTAGGTGTGTTGATTCTGCAGGTAGTAGGAGGCCGCCAGCCACAGGTCCGTGGCACCGTCGGAGAAGAACACGAGCAGCGCGCACAGCACCCAGCAGCAGTCCCGCAGCTCGTAGCGCGGCCCCGGGCCGCCCGCCCCGACGACCCCCGGGGGCCCGGCCGCCGCCGCCGCCTCCCCGCGCCCGCCGGCACTGCCCCGGGCTCCACCGGCAGCCCCCTCCGGGTCCGGGCTGGCCGAGGCCGCCGCTCCATCCGACTTCGCGGCCATGTTGGCGGAGAGGGAGGCGGGGAGCGACTTCCGGGCGGCGGAGGGGGGTGCGGCGTGGGGAGGACCCTGCGCGGGCGGCTCCTCTTCCTCCTTCTCCTCTTCTTCCTCCTCCCCTCCACTTCAATTATTCATTCTCCTCGGCGCCGCCCCGCCCCGCCCCCACCCGCCTGAGCTGCGGCCGAAGGGGGGGCAGCCCCCGGGAATGCGGAAGCAGGGGAGGCGGGGCGCACCCCAGGTCACCCTCTCCCTCCTTCCTCGGAGGCGCGGGGCTCCAACCCCATGCTTTCTGTCTCTCATCTCCCCTCGGACTGCACTTCCTTCTTTTTTGTTTATCGCCTCCCCCTTCCCATTCTCTCCACTTCGTTTTTCTCCTGTGTTCACCTCCAGTGGCCTGGGTCTGACGGGGGGGTGGGTGGGGGACTTGGAAGAAAGGAGCTGGGGGACTTGGGCGGGCCCCCCAGTAACCCTTTAGCAGTCACTCCATGCTAACGCTCATTTCCAGTTTCCTGAGTGCTCACATATTGTTCCATCCCCTCCTTTGATCTTGAGGGGTCCCCTTTTCTTATTGTCTTCGTTTTGAAGCTGAGAAAGCTGCAGCTCTGAGTTGCTGTCTCTTCCTTACTCTCCGCTTTCCCTCTCTCGGGGACTGCCTTCATCTGGCTACAGCCCTAGTAGAGTAGGGGGAGGGAAGGGGACAACATCCAACATCAAGAGGAAAGGGATGGGAGGAAACACCGGGTGGAGGAAAGAGCAAGTGCAAAGGCCTGGAGGCCTGAGACTGGAGGGCATATCTTCAAGCAAGTCTGGATCTCAGATCCAGGGGAGGAGAAAGATGGGGAAGATAGGGCTGCAGAGTTCTGAGGATGAGATCCTAAGGGGCCAGAAGGTGGCCTTTATCCAGCAGGCAATGGGGAACCACTGCAGTATTTGAGCAGGGGAGTTATGTGGTCACATCAGGATTTAGAAAGAAGACCCAGCAGCCAGAGTAGAGAAGCGATCACAAGGAAGCAGCCTGGGGCTGGTGAGACCAGAAGGAGATTATAGCAGTAACCTATGAGAGGGGGTGGAGTTCCCACACATCCTGGATACCCCAAGCTCATTTCCCATCTCTGCCTTTGATCAGATTGGATGTATCCAGGCATTTATTATACAAACATCCATATAGTAGTGTCTCTTTGCCTGGCACTGTCCAAAACACTACAATTACTAACTCATTCTACCCTCACAATTTGTGAGGTAGCTCCTTTTTTCCTCCCATTTTACAGATGCAGAAACTAAGTCACAGAGAAATTAATTTGTTCAGGGTGACACAATTAGTAGCTACAGCCAAATTCATGCCCATCATCTGGCTCCAGAATAGGCTTTGCTACCCTTCAAGGGGAGGGAGAGAGGAGGGGCAAAGGGTAGGGGTTGAAGAAAGAGGAGCTGAGGAAGGGAAGTGGGAGAACCAACCTGCCTCAGAGTGGCAGGGAAGAGAGGATGAAAGGAGAGAGCTGCCCTGGGTCAGGAAGGAGAAGCCAACTGCAGTCCTGCAGCCTGGCATCCTTTTCATGCCCAGGGACTGTTTTGGTCTCAGCATGCTTAGGAGGTTGGGGTACCAGCTGTTGCCCAAGGCTGAAAACAGAGGGGAAAGAGTTAGGGATTAAGGGAGTTTTCCAGGATGGATTCAAGGCTGACAGTTGCCTATTGACAGGCATGTTTAGTGAGCAAGGGTGTTTGTGGGTCGGGCTGGAAGGTCTGAATCCCAGTGTAATTTAGAAAGGAATATCTCTGATTTTTCTTTCTCTCCCACAACCCTAGGCAGGGAGACTAATGAAGTGCACAGAGCCCTGGATGGTAGCGGGCAGGAGAGAAACTCTGGCCCCAGCCACCCTGAGGGTCCTCAGTCAGTTCTTGGATGTGTCTGGATCTCTTCCTTTTCACTGGTGTCTGGATAGGATACGGCAAAGTTAGAGTCCCACTTCTGGGCCCCATCCAAGTGAAGGCAGCCTCTCTACTTCCCATGATGCTCTATATCCCAGGATTTGCCTATTCAAAGAGGCAGCAGAAGACAGGTTTTTAGGTCGGAGACTCCACAGCCAGGAAATCTGGGTTTAAAACCCATGCATCAGCCAGGCACGGTGGCTCACACCTGTAATCCCAGCACTTTGGGAGGCCGAGGCGGGTGGATCACGAGGTCAGGAGTTCGAGACCAGCCTGGCCAACATAGTGAAACCCCGTCTCTACTAAAAATACAAAAATTAGCCGGTCATGGTTGTGCACACCTGTAGTCCCAGATACTTGGGAGGCTGAGGCAGGAGAATTGCTTGAACCTGGGAAGCGGAGGTTGCAGTGAGCCGAGATCAGACCACTGCACTCCAGCCTGGGCAACAGAGTGATACTCCATCTCAAAAAACAAAAACAAAAACAAAACAAAACAAAACAAAAACCCATTCATCCCTTCCTAGCTCCATCACCTTGGGCAAGTCACTTAATTTCTCTTAACTTCAGAGAAAAGTAAAATGAGAGATAACCAGTGCCTTCCTTCTAGGGCTGTGGTGAGGATAATTAAAGCTAATTATTAGACTAGGGTGATGTCTCCTTCAGGAAACCCTCCTGGCTTTCCCACCCAGCCATGCCCTGATCCTTATCTCACAGAGAAGTTTCCCTGACACAACCCTGTTATGAGCTTCCATAATATCTTTGTTTTTTCCTTCTTCATATCAGCACACTGGCAATTTATCTTTGTATGTTTGCCTGTTCGGAATTGCCTGGGAGCTCCATGAGGGTTGGAACAATTCATCTATTTTCTTCACCACCAAATCTCCTTGTGCCCAGTGCTATGCTGGGCACTCAGTAGGTATTCTACAAAAATCATTAAGTGAATGAATGAATGAATGAATAAGTGAGTGAGTGATCACCCCTATAAATTCTGAGGCTGGACATGGTGGCTCATGCCTGTAGCCCAGCACTTTACGAAGCGGAGGTGGATGGATTGTTCAAGCCCAGGAGTTTGAGAACAGCCTGGGCAATATGGCCCCATCTTTACAAAATATACAAAAATTAGCCGAGTGTGGTGGCATGCACCTGTAGTCCCAGCTATCAGAGAGGCTGAGATGGGAGGATCACTGGAGCCCAGGAAGTTGAGGCTGTAGTGAGCCATGATCATGTTTCTGCATTCCAGCATGGGTGACAGAGTGAGATACCATCGCAAAAAAAAAAAAAAAAAAAGAATAGGTTCTATAAGTTCTCTCCATTTTATAAACAAGGTAACTTATTCAGACAAGGGCAGTGACTTATGGAATTATTAAGCCTTTCTGTGTGTCAGGAGCTGTGCTAAGAACTTTACTAATACCATCACATGTTATCCTCAAACCAGCCATTTTTCAGGTAGAAATTGAAATTCAGGGAGGTACTGTCACAAGGCCATTTGTTAGGAAGTAGCAGAGTTGGCATTCAAGAACTCTATGCTAAAAGTTCAGGTGACTTAGGGGAGTGACAAGGAGAAGGATTTGAAGTGTGGATCAGGTATGAGGGTGACCCACCTGTCTGGGGTATTGTACAGGGGACTCTACCCTGAAGGGGTTTGGGCTGGTGTGTTCCGAGTGGCCTGCCAGTTCAGCAATTCAGACAAAAACCAATAGGAGTGCACAGAGGTGATGTTCCAGTGGTGGGGGCCAGGGTGGGATCAGTTTGGGCAAGCACTCTGCAATAGGATGGAGCGAGGCAAGTTCAAGGGCTGAGAAGAGGCTGAGTCTGTCTGGTGTGGAGACAGAAGGTGGCCACAGCTGGTCAGAACTGGAAAAGTCCTTTGGGATTTCATCCAGCTCTCCAAGCCCCTCTCTCATTTTACAGGCAGGGACTCTGAGGCCCAGAAAGAAGTCCCATATTTTTGCAAGCGGCAGGAGCCAATCTGGGAGCCTTTCCCTAGTCCCCCACATCCCTGACCTTTGTTGGGAATCACTCTTTATTGTTGCCTAGGCTGGAGTGCAGTGGCGCAATCATAGCTCACTGTAGCCTCAAACTCTTGGACTCCCACCTCAGCCTCCTGAGTAGCTGGGACTATAGGCACATACCACCATGTCCAGCTAGTCTTTAACATTTTTTTGTAAAGACGAATTTCGCTTTGTTGCCCGGTCTGGTCTCAAACTCCTGAGCTCAAGCAATCCTCCTGCCTTGGCCTCCCAAAGTGCTGGGATTACAAGCGTGAACCACTGTGCCTTGCCAGGAATCACTTTTACAAACAGACCTCATCACGTTTCCTTGCTTAGCCTTGCTTTGGGATCCTGCTGAGGGTTCAGCTCTTGCCTACTGCACCCTCTGCTTGAACCAGCTCCTAATAATCTTCCTTTAGTTCCGACTAAAATATTTGCACCTGTGCAAACTATGCATGAGAACACTGATACAGCATTGTTTATAAAAGCAAATAGTGGGAATGACCCAAATGCCCATCAGTGGGAGACCAGCTAAATAAATCATGAGACTTCTGACAATGCGATGGCGTGTAGCAGCAAGCTCCCTATGTCCTAATACAGAAAGACCTCCTCAGGGAAAAGCAAGGCAGAGAATAGGGAATGAAGCTAGGTGAAAAGGGGAATAATAATCTATATTTTTATGTGTTTATATATGCATAAAGAAACTTTGGAAATTTACATGAGAAAATAAAGAGATTACTGAATGGGGAACTGGGGAGAAGGGCAGACAAGGATGGGAGGGAGACTTCATGATACATGCCAATTTATGATTTCTTTTTGGAATCATGTGCATGTATTTACTTATTAATAAAATAAAATAATAATAGGGACAGCTGCTACTCAGCTCCTGTGGGGTGTTGTAATTGGGAATGGGTGGTCAGTCTGGTCAGATTTTTTAATTATTCAAGAGAAGTCAGAAATCTGGATTTTACTGTAAAGTTCCTTGATTTTTAAGCATTGGCTCCAACTTTTCTCAAACACTTTTCAGGCCAAATAAAAAAGCCAGCAGGTTAGACGCAGCCTGAGGGTAACCAGCTTTCAGCCTCAGCCCTAATAGCTTCCTGGAGTCCTCAGCACCCCAGGTTACTGAACCCCTGTGGGCAGCTACAGGACTGAAAAGCATCTTGCCCTACCCCTCTTTTGCCACCCTCCAACCCATGCCCCTTGGAGCTGTGACATGTGGGGCTTTTAACTCAAGATCTGGAAGGCAGAGCAGGGTTATGAACTCTTAGATAATTCCCTCCCCCAGGGCCCTGCAGGCATCAAGGCCCAGCTGCTCCTGCCGCCCACCCATCTGTCCCTGGGAGGTGGGGACAGGAGCAGGCTGGCAGGGAGGGGTGGGCAGGAGTCCCCGATCTAAGCCTCAGATCACTGGGTCTGTTCAGACCCAGAACCCAAGGGGAGAAACCTGGAGATTGTGAGAAAAGAAAAACAGTGTGGCTGGCTCACCTAGTTGATATGTTCTGAGGTCGTTCACCAAATTACCAAATCCCAAAGCTGCAAAGGCCCTAAAGGAACATCTTGTTCAACTCCCATATTGGACAGATGGGGACACCAATCTCTGCTCCCCACCACACTGCCCCAGGCTTGTCACCTCTCTCCAGGACAACTGGACTGCCCCTGCCTGCTCACTGGGTTCCCTGCAGCCCCTCTTTCCTCTCCTCATGTTCAATCTCCACCTTCAACCAGAGGGGCCTTTTAAAAAGGGAAATCTCATCAGATCCCACATCTGCTTAGAACCTCCGACTGCTTCCTGCCTCACTTTGAGCCAAAGTCCTCAGCCCTGTGTACATTCTGTCTCCTGGCCCTTTCTCTGACCTCATCTCCCACTGTCTTTCCCTTGCTCACTCTGTTCCAGCCACACTGTCTCCTTTAACAAGCCAACCTTCTTCCTTCCATGGGGCTTTTGTTCCTGCTGTGCTCCCAGGTATTCACAAGGCTCCATCTTTCTCCTTTCTAAAATGTTGCCTCTTCAGAGGGATTTTTCTCGATCATTTCTCCCATTCCCCTACATTCTCTATCCTTTCACTTGCCTTATTTTTCACTGATAGCATTGATCACTACCTGATATTATAATACATATTTATTTGTTTCTTGCCTAAAATGTGAGTTCCATGAAGGCAGCAGTCATGCCTATCTTGTTCACCACTGTATCCTCAGCACTTAGTGGGGCCCAGCATATAGCAGATGCTCAGTGTGACAGAAAAGGGCACCGCACTACAATTCAGGTAATAGCCAGTCCTAGTTCTGCCATTACCTGCACAGGTGATCTTGAGCAATTCACCTCGCCTCTGTAGGCCTCAGTTTCCTCATTCGGAAAAAAGGGAATCACTAAGACATCTTCAACTCAACAAGCCTGGGATGTCTTCTTCATCCCAATGCCTCTTTCTTACCCATAGAGTCAGAAAGTCCTTTCAATAAACATAATTGTATTTATTTATCTAGTGAATGGTCAATATATTCACATGCTTAAAAACTCAAAGGTACAAAAGGGACACACTGAAAAGTGTCTCTCCTACCCTATCCTCCAGCCACCAGCTCCCCTTCCCAGTGGCAATCAATGCTATTAGTTTCTTGAGTCTGTCTCTCTCCCTCTCTCCCTCTCTGCCTGTCTCTTCTCTCTCTCATCTTCCTATTTGTATACCTACCACCACCATTTTAAAACAAATGATAGCATAATTATATACAGTCCTATACTTTGTTTTCCCCACATAACAGCATTTTTGGAGACTGCTTCCTATCAGTGCATAGAGGGGCCCTTATTCTTTCATGGTATGGCAACATTCCATTGCATGCATACACCACAATCCACTTCATCATTCCCCTAAATCACGGGCAGCTAGGTTTTCTCCAGCCCTTTACAACAATACTTCAGTGAATGACTTTGTGGACACACCACTTTGGATATCTGTAGAAGAAATTTCTAGTGATAGACTTGCTGATTGAACAGCATGTGTGTTTTATAATTTTGATAGTTGCCCTCTATAGGGGCTGTACCAAGTTATCCTCCATACACCAGCATTGAGTGAGGGTGCTTGTAAAAGGCCTTTTTAAATGGCCTGCAATAAGTCCTCAAGACTCCTCAAGGTGGGTAAATCACTACACCTTGCTAAGCCTCAGTTTCCTCTTCAATAAAATGGGTATCCTGCTTCATAGGGTGGTGGTGAGGATGAAATGAAATAGTGCATGCAAATAGTGCATGCAAAGTGCTCAGCACAGTTCCTGGCACATAGTAGGGCCTCTATAAAGGTTAGCTATTCTTTCTCTGTCCCCAGGGAGCTCCGTGGGGACAGGGACTTTGTCATGTTCACTGCTATAGCACAGCTTCTGGCTAATAGTGGGCATCCAATAATTATTTATTGAGTGAACGAGTCCATTTTCCAGTTTTACTTTGTTGACCAGGGCTTTCTGTCTATCTTTACAGCCTCTCTTCCCCTTTTTTTCTGTTCTCCTTGGACTCCAGACACACTGGTCTTCCCCTGGCTCCCTCCTGCCACAGTGCCTTTGCACTTGCAGTTCCCTCTGGCAGAAGCACTTTCTCTACCCCCGCCCCAACCCCCCACCACCCATAGCCTCTCCATTTGCTTAGTTCATTTCTACTCATCCTTAAATCTTGCTTAAATATCACTTTCTCAAGAAAGCCTCCTCCATCTCCATCCCTGATTTAGGGTAGGATCGCCCTCTATATAATTTCACTGGACTCTGAGCTTTTCATTCAAGCATTATCACAATTAGGAGGGTGCATGCATGGTGTCAATCTTGTCCCCATGGCTGAAAGCCTGTGAGGTCCAGGACTGGGCCTGTCCTATGTACCACTGGATCCCAGGGCCTGGCCGAGTGCAGGTACTAATAGCCATTGACCTGAGGGAATAAGTGAGGCCCACATTAACTTTCCAGATGGGTGGAGCTGCCTGTGCCCACCCAAGAGAGGGGGAGTCTTGACTGAATGTTCCATCCTCTTTCCAGTGGAACTAGCTACTCCTGAAAAGTTCTGGTTGGTTAAGGGGTAGGGATGAGAGGCAGGAGAGAGGGGAGAAGAAGAGGGAGAGAGAGAAAGGGAGAATGTACCCTTAATTCCCATGATTAGGTCATGGCTTCAGTCATTCGACAGACCTCTCCTGAGCCCCCCTGAGCACCTTCGAGGAAGCTTGTGGAACCCCTGGGCTCAATGGGCTTTTGGGCTGGTGAGAAAGCCAAAACCATGAACAACAACAAAAAAACTGCTCTTGTCCAAAACAGGAAAGTATCTGATGCCAGGAGAAAAGGGAATGAAAGTCCCTCTGGGAGAGCTGAGGAAGAGCAACCCTCTTGGTGGCAGGGGTGGGGCAGGGCCTTCTAGGAGGAGGGTCCTTAAGGGAAGAGTAAACACTTAACAAAAGATATTTCTGGCAGAAGGCACTGCCTGAGCTCAGGGAAAGAGCTGGGAAAGTTAGGATGTGTTTAGGAACTGGCGTTCAAGAAGAGTGGAGGAAGATGAGGCAGAAAAGAAATTGAACTCAGAGAAAAGTACAAAGAAGCATGTCCCTGAAGGATGATTGCAGCAGTTTGTATCATCTGCAAAGGTGGAAACAACTTAAATGTCTATGCACAAGAGACGGGCTGAGTAAATACATTACTTACAGCCACCACACTGGCAGGCCATAGAGAGGTGGAAATGCCCAAAGTTGGCGAAGATGTGCATCACTGGTAGGAGTGAAAATGAGGAAGCCATCCTGGAGAGAAAGGTGGCAGCATTTAGGAAAAAGAAGGCTGGGCACGGTGGCTCATGCCTGTAATCCCAGCACTTTAGGAGGCCAAGGTGGGAGGATCGCTTGAGCTCAGGAGTTTGAGACCATCCTGGGCAACATGGTGAGACCTTGTCTCTACTAAAAATTTTTAAAAATTAGCCAGGTATGGTGGGGTGTGTGCCTGTAATCCTGGCTACTTGGGAGGCTGAGGCAGGAGAATCACCTGAGCCCGGGAGTTTGAGGCTGCAGTGGGCTGTGATCAGGGCACTGCACTCAGCCTGGGCAACAGAGTGAGACCCTGTCTCAAAAAAAAAAGAAAGAAAAAAAAGGAAGAAGAAGTGTGTGTGTGCCCTATGACAAGGCAATACCACATAGGATGTCCAGTGTGGCACTGTGTGTGTTGATAGGGGCAGAAAGCAACTCAGGTGTCCATAATCAAGAGAGTGGACAAGTGAAATGAGGTAGAGGCAGCTCTGCAGTTCTCTGGAGCTGGAGGAGTAAGGAGCTAGAGGTACCTAGAGTGCTAGAGTGCATGGAGAGATCTGAGAAACATCAGGAGAGGCAAAAATAAAAAATAAAAGGAGGAGACGAACATGACTTACAACTCAATAATGTTTATGTGGATTCAAAACACATGCCCAGGGTCAGGAGCGGTGGCTCATGCCTGTAATCCCAACATTTTGGGAGGCCAGGGCAGGAGGATTACTTGAGGCCAGGAGTTCGAGACCAGCCTGGCCAACCTGGCGAAACCTCATCTCTACAAAAAATACAAAAATTAGCCAGGTGTGGTGGTGCATATCTGTAGTCCCAGCTACTTTGGAGGCTGAGGCACAAGAATCGCTTGAACCCGGGAGGCAGAGGCTGCAGTGAGCTGAGAACATCTCTGTGTGTGTCTTTGGGTACATGTATGTATGCGTTTCTATTGTGTGGAATTACACCCAATGATAGGACTGGAATTGTCAGGTATGCTCAGTTTTAGTTGATACTAATAAACCGGGTATGTGGTTTGGTATTTATTTATGTATTTTTGTTTTGAGACAGAGTGTCGCTCTGTCACCCAGGCTGGAGTGCAGTGGCACGATCTCAGCTCACTACAACCTCTGTCTCCTGGGTTCAAGCGATTCTGCCTCAGCCTCCTGAGTAGCTGGGATTACAGGCGTGTGCCACCACACCAGGCTAATTTTTCTATTTTCAGTAGAGATGGGGTTTTGCCATGTTGGCCAGCCTGGTCTCTAATTCCTTACCTCAGGTGATCCACCCACCTCGGCCTCCCAAAGTGCTGGGATTACAGGCGTGAGCCACTGCTCCTGGTCCCGCTAAGAAGTTTTAAAACACAGAAACACATAAAACAACATGACGCATTTTGCAAGAAATTCTGAGTATTTAAGGACATATCAAATACAGTAGAGAGGGTTTCAGTGAGGTTAAAAGTGAGTGGAGGTGGGAGAAAATGATATAAACAAGAAAGAGTCCTTGCAGACTAAATCATGACCACGTGCTAAGAACTGAGAGGCAGGATTAACTCAACCCACTGTACTACAGTGTATGAAAATGAAACGTAAATTTCAATGTAGAAAATGAGATAAACAAATGGACTATATGGCTAAAATACTACAGAATATATATATATATATATATATATATATATATATTACAGAATATATATATATATATATATATATATATTACAGAATATATATTTATATATTTGAGGCAGGATCTTGCTCTGTTGCCCAGGCTTGAGGGGAGTGGTGCAATCTTGGCTCACTGCAACTTCTGCCTCAGCCCCCTGAGTAGCTGAGACTACAGGTGTGTACCACCATGCCTGGCTACTTTTTGTATTTTTTGTAGAGACAGGGTTTTGCCATGTTGCCCAGGCTGGTTTTGAATTTCTGAGCTCAAGTGATATGCCCCCCTCATCCTCCCAAAATGCTGGGATTATAGGCGTGAGCCACTGTGCTGGCCTCACTATAGAATATTTTGCAGCTATTAGAAAATAGAAAAGAGATCTAAATGTCAATCAAAGCTGTCCAAGAGCAATGCTGCGAAGCACTAGGTTTGTGTGCAATGCCCTCCACCTGCCTTCCTGTCCTACCATCTCACAATAGTCCTGTGGGTTTTCTCTGGGTTGACAGCTATGTCTTTAAATGCATATCACAGTTTTGAAAAGACACACCCAAACTGGGATACTAGAGGGAACTGAGAAGAGGGGGAGGGGGGTAAAAAAGAGCTTAGTCTTCTCTGTAATGTTTTGAGTTTCCGTAAGAAGAATCCATTTATAGAAATTAAAATGAATGAATTTGGTATTAAAAGGTAGTAGTAAAAACCAGCTCAAGGAGGGCTGGAATGTTCTGGGCTTGCACTCTCTTTGGGATCACTTAAGATTTTTCAAGTCAAGCCATGGGCCATCTGTTGCCTGGTGAAAATGGAGGCGTGGGGAGTTGGGAGACATGTCCCCACCTGGTGTCCCCATCTGGCTGCATGACCTTGGGAGGGTCCCATCCCCTTGCCTGACCTCAATGTCCTCATCTGCCCAGTGGGATTCAGATTTTTGTGTTACCCAGGGATGTGGGAGGATGAAGTGAGGGCGCGAGGAGAATCACATGAATGTAAGGGATTATTCTCGGGGTCGGGGAGGAGACAGGGTGGAAGCCTGTCTTCCACCCACCAAGCCCACAAGGGTGCAAAGGAAGTGGAGGGAGGAGCTAGGGACCACCCAGGCGAGCACACAGCCCATCTGCAGCATAGGAGCATGTTCTCAGCAGCTGGGAGGCCCAGCCAGAGCTGGTAGGGCAGCCACCCAGGCTGCTTGGAGAATCCGGACATTAAAGGGGTTCCTCTCACTGCTCTCTCAGTGCAGCTCCAGCCCTGTCACCTCCCCAAGCCCCCATTTTCACCCTCCTGTCCGCTCAACACATACACACGTATCTCAGAGGAATGCACTGCACTTGCCCCTCTTCACCCATCCTATCACCAGAGCCACAGGGGCTTTCACAAGGTAAACCCAATCATATCTGTGCCTGCTCAGCACCCTCCAGCAGCTTCCCAGCATATGAGAACAAACCCAATCCCCGTACTTTAGTGGATAAGGCATGATCCCAGCCCTCACCTTTAAGAATCTGGCCTCAGAGAGAATCTGCCTTAAGTAGAATTCTGACTCTGCTCATTAATTCATTCATTCAAAATTGTTTATCAAGCACCTACTGTGGGAGCCAGGCACTGTTCTAGACATTTGAGAGACATCAGTGAAGAAATGAATGAAAGATTCCTGCCCTCAAGGAGCCTCTCTTCTAGCAGAGGGAGATGAACAATAACCATAAGTAAATTATAAGGCATGCTGGGAGGTGACAAAAGTTATGATGAAAAGAAAGAAAAAGAAAAACTAGAGCAGAGGAAGTTGATCAGGAGTAGCAGGAGGGGCAGAAGTTGCATTTTAAACATGGTGGTCAGGGCAGGCTCCATTGAAAAGGTGCCATTTAAGAAAAGACTGGGCCAGACGTGGTGACTCATGCCTGTATTCTCAGCACTTCGGAAGGCCGAGGCAAGCAAATTACCTGAGGTCAGGAGTTTGAGACCAGCCTGGCCAATGTGGTGAGACCCCTGTCTTTACTAAAAAAATACAACAATTAGCTGAGCATGGTGGCACACACCTGTAATCCAAGCTATTCAGGAGGCTGAGGCAGGAGAATCACTTGAACCCAGGAGGTGGAGGTTGCAGTGAGCCAAGATTGTGCCACTGCACTCCAGCCTGGGTAACAGAGTGAGACTCCATCTTAAAAAAAAAAAAAAAAAAAGCTGGTAGATGGTGAGGGAAGGAACCATGTAGACATCAGGGAAAAGTGCAGGCAGAGGCAGCAGCCAGTGGAAAGACCCTGAGGCAGGACCACGCCTGGCTTGTGTGAGCAGCAGCAGGGAGGTGGGTGATGACCCAGAGAGGGGGACACTTTTCCAGTGAACAAGACAGACAAGGTCTCTGCCCTGGGGAGCTCATGATTACAAAGCAAGGTGTTTAGAGAACAAAGATGGTATGGGAAGTACAGAGACAAGGGAAGTCCAAAAAACTGTGGGGGCCCAGAGAGGACTCTTGACCCTCAGGAGGAGGTAACCCCAAGCTGAGCAGTGGGGGATATGGAATAGTGACACGTGAATAAAGGCATGGGAGAAAATTAATCCAGAACGATGGGGGAGTATGTGCAAAGGCCCTGAGAATCCCACCACTGGTCACCACCCCCACTGCTATCTCTTGGTGCAGTGGCCACCCTCTCCTGCCTAGATGATTATAGCAGCCTCCTCTTGGGTCTCTCACAGAGGGGCAAAGAAGCTAGAGTATACAGTCACTAACGACTCTCTTTTCTTGGTAGGAGTTCACACTCGTGGATATTAATTCACTGCATTCCCCTCTCAACCTGCATCCATGAGCAGAGAGAAGCAGGAAGCCACAGGCATACACAGCAGTGTCTGCAGGTGACCTCTGGGGAGGCCCTAGTGGATTTTGGGTGGGGCACTGCCAGCACCTTCCACAGCCCTGTGTGCTCAATGTCTCCTTCTCCTCTCTGTCCTACCCTCTCCCCCTCACTAATTCTATTCAAATACACTGGCTGTTCCCTCTGCCTGGAATGCTCTTCCCCTAGATATCCACAAGGCTCACCCCCTCATCTCCTCCACACTTCTGTTCAAATGCCATCTCCTCAAAGACACCCTCTCTGACCAGCTTATCTCAAATAGCCCCTCCATTATTCCACCTCCACCTTGTCCTGTGCTATCTTTTCTTTTCTTATCTTTTCTTTTCTCCTTCCTTCCTTCCCTCCTTTCTTCCTTCCTTCCTTCCTTCCTTCCTTTCTTTCTTTCTTTCCTTCTTTCTTTCTTTTTCTTTCTTTCTCTCTTTCTTTTCTTTTCTTTTTTAGAGAAAGGGTCTCACTCTGTCACCCAGGCTGGGTTACAGTGGCACGATTGTAGCTCACTGCAGCCTTGAACTCCTGTGCTCAAGTGATCCTCCCACCTCAGCCTCCTGAGTAGCTGAGACAACAGCCGCACACCACTACATCTGGCTAACTTTTTAATTTTTATTTTTTTGGTAGAGATGGGGGTCTTGCTATGTTTCCCAGGCTGGTCTCGAACTCCTGGGTTCAAGTGATTCTCCACTTTGGCCTCCCAAAGTATTGGGATTACAGGTGTGAGCCCCCACATCAAGCCGCTATTTTTTTGGTAGCACTTTTTACCACCTGACATATGATATATTTACTTGTTTTATGTTGATTGTTTCTCTCACCAGACTGGGAGATTCCTGAGAGCAGGGACCATGTCCAGTTTTGCTCATGGCAGAATCCCTATCACAGGGCCTGGGAAGTCAATACATAATTGTGAAATAAATGGCTCTGAAATTGAAATGCTCTCCGAGAGTCTTTCTGGGTCTGACCATTTCAAAGTCTTGGAAATGACTATGATTCCCCTCCCCAACATTTCCAGTGGCCAGGGGTGGCCTCTAAAGGCCAGTTACCGCCAAGAAGCTGCTAATGTGGGAGCCTCCCTCAGCCTCTCCCCATCCAGGCCCATGTGGTAGGGGTCAAGGGTCAACCTGGTCCAGCCCTCTGTGGGTCCCAAGGTGGAGGAGACGCAGTGCTGGGGTCCAGGCCGAGGGATGCCTGGTGAGCCCCATTTCTGCTTTGGCAAACATCCCCCTTTCCTTCTCAGGGCCTGTGCCTGCATTTCTGAACCAGAAGGTGTTTATACAAAACATCCTGGGTTTGGCGACAAATTCACCCTCAGTGAGGAATCCTTAATGAATCTCCCTCCTTCCCCACACCAGGTGGCTGAAGGAAAAATTAGCTCTGCCTCTGGTAGTTGAAGGCAGCCAATGGCTAGGCAACATAGAGGTGCTGCTGGGGCTTCTGGGGCCACAATTTTTGGGGAGGGTTTTTTCAGGGTCCGGAAATGGCATGGACACCAGGCACTCCTGGCTTGCTGTGTGATGAGGCACTGCCTTTCTCCTGGCCTCAGTCTGCAGCTGTGAAATGGGGCAGTAATAATCCCATCCATACAAAGGTTGCTTTGACACTCAAGTAAGGCAAGGGGTGTGAAGGGGCTTGGTTACAAGAGGTCAAAAGGAGAGAATAAAACGCTGGAATCAGGGAGGCGAGACATCAGAGTGATAATATCGGTTCTGCTCTTTAGACTTTCAAAGTCCTTTCCCAGCGCCTTTTACAGCCATGTGGGCTCAATGCCTCCTTCCCTCTGACCTCCTGCCTGCTTCCCCCCCGCCCATTCTGTTCCACATACGCTGGCTGTTCCCTCTGCCTGGAACACTCTTCTCCTAGGCATCCACATGGCTCACCCCTCACCTTCTTTTCAAAGCCTTGCCTCTCTCTGAGGTTTGTTTTTTCCAGCTATCCAATGAGGAGTTTGGGCGTGAAGACCTCGTGGGAACCCTCTGGTTCTGATGGTAACCATTTTCCACCTGCCTGCCTTCTCTGGGAAGTCCTCCCAATCCTACCACCCACACCCACCTGCTTTTCTGAGCTAGCACTTCATTGCTTACTGCCCATAGTTTTCAAGTCCCTTCCTTATGTATAGGCCAGCTACTCTGGACATTGGGCCCAACACAGGGGCTCAAGTGAACTCTGGTTAAACGGAATTAAAAGTGATTACTGCTTCCTTTGTTTTTTGAGACAGAGTCTCGTTTTGTCACCCGGGCTGGAGTGCAGTGGTGCCATCATAGCTCAGGGCAGCCTCGACTCCCCAGATGCAGGTGCTCCTCCCGCCTCAGCCTCCTGAGTAGCTGGGACCAACGGGCGCGCCCCCCCTCACCCAGCTAATTTTTTTTTTTTGTATTTTTAGTAGAAACGGAGGTTTTACTGTGTTGCCCAAGCTGGTCTCGAACTCCTGGGCTCAAGTGATCCCCCCGCTTTGGCCTTCCAAAGTACTGGGATTACAGGCATGAGCCACTGCGCCCAGCTGATTCCTGCTTCCTTCCGATCCTGTGGAGAGACACTGAGGCGGATTTTTATTCACCCCCTTTTTATAAATTAGAAACTGAAAGTGTCAGAGATTAAACATAAGTCACACTGCCACATGGGCCTTCTTGGTGTTTCTTAGCCAGGGGAAGAATAATATTTCCCAGATCCTAATCACTACCTGCCACGGTATATAATTGTTTTGCCATTAATTGTCGGTGTTTCCCACTAGGATGAAGTTCCATGAGGGCAGGGATTTTGTTGTGTTCACTGCTGCATCCTAAGCACATAAAACTGCTTGGCACATAATAAGTGCTCAAGAAGCATGAACCGAGGGAGTAACGGGTCAGAGGCAGCCCGAGGACTGAGCTCTCTGAGCCTGCAGAGGGCGCTCCAGCCCCGCCCCCAAAGCTAGGCCCCGCCTCTCGCAGCCGGCTGGCGCACTAGTGTTAGAGCCTGCGCACCACCGTTCTTTTAACTGCGCAGGCGCGCCGGAAGCACCTAGAGAGCGGCGCGTGCGCAGCGGGAGTCGAAGCGGAGATCCCGGGGTCGCGCGAGAGCCGCAAGCGGAGTTGGTGGGCGCTATGCTATCACCCGAGGCAGAGCGAGTGCTGCGGTACCTTGTAGAAGTGGAGGAGCTCGCCGAGGAGGTGCTGGCGGACAAGCGGCAGGTGAGAGGCCCCTCCGCGGCGCTGGGGCCTGGCGGCCGGCGCCGTGGGAAAGCGCGCGGGGTCGCAGTGAGTTGACCTGGACAGGCGGTTAACGGCTCCGAGGCGACAGACCTGGGCCGATAAATATTCGGCCGCTACTAAGTGAGCGCCTGCGCTATGCTGGACATTCCTCTCTCTTCATCCTTTCTCTGCCCCTTGCCATGCTCTGTGGATCTCGACCCATCATGCTCTGGGCCGTTTCCCTGAGCACCTGTTTCAAAATGCACTTCCCGGCCCCATGGTTGATCTAGGGGCACCGCCCTGTAAAGGCCCTCAGGGGAGAGCTGGAACCGAAAAGAAGCCTGAGGGGGCCTTGTGACCGGGCAGGGGTGGGGACGTGGGGGAAGGTGGCGCCCTGTTTATGGGGTGTCTTGTTTTAAGTGCCAAGTTTTTGAGGGGAGTTCCTGGGGGAAGGAGGGTGACGTAATTGGATTTAGGTTTTAAAAGGATCCCCCCTGGCTGCTGTGTGGAATACAGAATATAGGTGGGCAAGGGCGGAGGCAGGGAGATGGGTGAGGGGCCATTGGTATGGTCCAGACCAGAGATGGATTTGGACTAGGTAGTGGTGGTGGAGAGAAGTGAAGGGGTCAGAAATGTATTTTGGAGACAGACTCAGTAGGCCGTGGTAGTGGAGCCGGGGGAGTCGTGACTCCCTCTCATCTCCAGTTAGAAGGGTCAGGTATTTACTGAGAAGGGGAAAACTTGGGCAAGATCCTGTCAAATTAAGTACTGGATCAGGGTGTGCTGGATGAGAATAAGAGCAGTTAAAGTTTATCAGCTACTTACTATGTGCCAGGTACTGTGTTAAGTCATTTAATTGCTGGCTCAATAACCTGTAAGGTAGGTACTGTCCGTAGCTCCATTTTGAGGAGGAGTAAATAGGAAGGTGAAATTACACAGCTTGAGGCAGATAGCAGGATTCGAACCTGGGTATTCCAAATCCAGAACCAGCACTCGTGCAGTATACTGTACTACTGCGTCACTTCCTTAGTAGCTATTGTGTTGTTACCACTGTCTCAGTGCCCCCAATCCTGCTGTTCCAATCTAGTATTGTTGGGTTTCTCATATTACTAGTTCAGAATCAGCTGGAGAAGTTTGTCCAAAAATAAACATTAGGCCTGCTTAATCACAGTGTGTAGGGGAAGGGTTTCCACTCCCCTGGTGATTCTGATATGCCCTAAAGTTCGAGTGGATAATGCAGAATTTCCCATTTAGTCAGCACATGTTTTCTCAGCATCTTTTCTGGGGAGAGGGCAGCTGCACAAAGCATTGTCTTTAAGACCAGGAAGCTGAGTGAGAGAAGAAATACATTCACACATCAATCCATTTTAGGCAGGACGTTGAATGTAATCAGGAATAATGCATTGCCTCTGCAACCCTTGTCTGTCAAGAGGTGACAGCTTGGGGCAAGAGATAGCTGAGTTCCCTCCTGTCCCTGTGGTTTTCAGATTGTGGACCTGGACACTAAAAGGAATCAGAATCGAGAGGGCCTGAGGGCCCTGCAGAAGGATCTCAGCCTCTCTGGTAAGTTGAAATTTTCTCAGTGCAGCCCTGGAGGCCTGTTCCGTTTTCCTTTAAGGCCTTTACCTTGTTCCTGATAGAGATCAGGCAGGAGGTCACAGCTGTATAACTCAGCCTTGTGGGAAATTGAAACAGTCCGGGGAGATGGGGGAGCAAATTTTGCAGTTCTGGCACAGACTGTGGTTCAGGATTTTGCCTGCTCACTTCAGTGACAGGTCGTTAGCTCCTGGCTTATCAACGATGGCAGACACTGAGAGAGTGCCGGGGGTGTATAAAACTGATGGTTCCTGCCCTTGTGCTTTACAGATGAGGAAAACAACGTAAAATGCGTAATTGAAAATTGTAAGAAAGCCAGAGATGGAATTGGACTTGGGGTGGGTGTTGAGAATATATATCCAGAAGAATGGGACACTTTAGATGAGGCCAAGTGGCTGTGGCAGTGGAAGCAAATGGGGAGTAAGTATGGCTGGAGAGAGGGACAGAGACCAGGCCATAATGAAAGGTCTTGGGGGCTAAGGGAGGAAGTTTACATTTTGTTGAAAGTACACTAGAATGTGCAGAATCTTCCAGTTGCTTCTCATCTCACCTGAGTAAAATCCAGAGGTCCTACAAGACCGAGTAATCCAGCCCCCATGAATCCATGAGTGTGCCAATATCATCTCTACTCCCCCCACCCCCAACATGACTCCACCTACACTGGTCTCCTTGCTGTTCTTTTATTTATTCATTTATTTATTTATTTGGAGACAGAGCCTTGCTCTGTCACCCAGACTGGAGTGCAGTGGCATGATCTTGGCTCACTGCAACCTCTGTCTCCCAGGTTCAAGTGATTCTTGTGCCTCAGCCTCCTGAGTAGCTGAGATTACAGGCGTGTGCCACCACACCCAGCTAATTTTTGTATTTTTAATAGATACAGCGTTTCGCCATGTTGGCCAGGCCGGTCTCGAGGTCCTGGCCTCAAGTGATCCACCTGCCTCGGCCTCCCAAAGTGCTGGGATTACAGGCGTGAGCCACTGCGCCCGGCCCCTTGCTGTTCTGAACACCCCAAGCACACTACTGATCTTTGCTGTTCCTGTTGTTTCCTCTGTTTGGCTCACTCTTTCCCCAGATGTCTGCAGGGCTCACACTCTCACTTTCCTTAGGTCTCTGTGTAGATAGCATATAATCAGTAAGGCCTTCTCAGACTACCTGCTATGATTAACAAGGTCCTCCTCTGGCATTCCCTAGCCATCTTAGCCTGCTTTATTTTTCTCTACAACTCTTAAGGTCTGACAAATCATATCTTTATTCTCTCTCCTCCACTGTAACATAAGCTCCAAGAGGGCAGGAACTTTTTCTTGTTCTGCTCTGTTGTCTGTATCTAAAACAATGCCTGGCAGATAATAGGTACTCAAAAAAAAATTGTTGAAGGAATTACTATTTGCTCTTTCAGAAGATGTGATGGTTTGCTTCGGGAACATGTTTATCAAGATGCCTCACCCTGAGACAAAGGAAATGATTGAAAAAGGTAAGGCCTCCTGGGGATGGGTCAGGGGTGTGCTGCCTCTCCCACCAGCTTTGGTCTTAACCCAGAACAGGGAGTCAGGCTTCAGGCAGCGTAAGGAGAGGCAGTTCTGTCACAGGGTTCAGACTGCTGTGGGTTTTAATTCCACCTCTGCCACTGTGGGTTATTTCCTCATCTCTAAGAGGGGGATGCATCTGTGTAGCATAGCTGTGCAGTTGAGGTAAAACAATATGTGTGCCTAGCATAGTGCTTTCTTATTAGTGAGGAATCAGTTGGGCTGCAGATAACAAAACCCAACAAATTGAGGCTTAAGGAAATATGCTTCTTTTACTCTTGCATAAGAAATTGTCCAGAGGTGTGTACTCCAGTCCTGGCATAGATGCCCAGCAGTGGCACCTTAGCATATTCTCCTGGTTGTTGTTTCATCGTTGCAGGCCTCATGTCCTCATGCCAGGCTGGAGGAAAGACAGAAGGCTTTCGCCACATAGAGCTTTGCCTTCTATTTTGGAAGTAAGGCCATCTCCTCAGGGACTTCCTGCCAACATCTCATTGGCCAGAACTAAGTCACATGGTCACCCATAGCTGCAAGAGAGCCTGGGAGAGTGAGCTTTTCTTTTTTACATGCCCTGCAATAGAGACTGGGTTGAAAATGGAGGTTTGGGGAGATTAAACCTCTAGGGTCTGCCATAGCCTAGGCACTCAGTGTACTCAGTTTCCACAACCATAATCTGGAAGCTCTTTGGAAAAGCATCTTAAAGCAAGTCAGGCTGCAAATGGATTATTGGCTAGAAAAAGAACAGGCTACACATACTTTTTCTTCCATAACCTTGAAAATGGCCAAAAGGACAAGCAAGGTTGCCTCAGTCCCTGAAGACAGGATGTCTTCATACCTCATGAAATAAAACTTTTTTTTTTTTCCTTGAGACAGAGTCTTGCTCTGTCACCCAGGCTGGAGTGCAATGGTGCTATCTCGGCTCACTGCAACCTTTGCCTCCCAGGTTCAAGCAATTCTCCTGCCTCAGCCTCCTGATTAGCTGGAATTATAGGTGCATGCCATCATGCGTGGCTAATTTTTGTGTTTTTTTAGTAAAGACAGGGTTTTGCTATGTTGGCCAGGCTGGTCTAAGTGACCTCAGGTGATCCACCCACCTTGGCCTCCCACCAAAGTGCTGGGATTACAGGCGTGAGCCACTGCTCCTGGCCAGTGACATAAAACTACTAACAGGAAGCTATATCCAGCCTGGAGAAGTTTCCAGCTGTTGTGTTGAAAAAATACACTAATATTATGGTTATAAAATTAAACTGCACTTGGTGGTGGGCTGGAGGCTAAGCTTTCAGAGGGTCCCTTGCCTGGGTTCAGGATCTTGTTGGCCCTTTTGGCCCCCAAATGTCGTCTTGTCACTGTACCTAGAGGGGTTCTGAGACATTATCAGATTTCTTGGGGATCAACATAGGCTAAACAAGCTCATGGACATTGGGGTTACTCATTCACAATGAGAAATAGAACCAGGCTGTAAGGCTTGGCCATTCAGGGTTTCTCCCCCATCTGAAAGAGTGAGTCTGTGGGGAAGACAGGCTAGCCAGAATGTCACTCATGAGCAGGTGGAATTGGCTGGGTGACTTCAGTCAATTGGTCAATCAAGCTTTGATAGCCACCTCTGTCATCACACCAACTCTTCTCAGGGGCAGTCCATGACACTAGAAGACCCTTTTCTGTTCACAGTGGCTAATTAAGTTAAGCTTGAGCATTGCTTGCGTGTTGATTGTTTACGTCACATGTTTACACAATCATGTTTTTCTAAAACCCCCTCACCTTGATGGACTTGGGTTTGTAAAATTTCTTAGGCATCCATTTTCCAGCCATCTAGGGTGGGCTGAATCTAGAGATGCTTATTTTGTTTGTGCATTTGAATTTTCCATAATTTCATTGTGGGAGGGCAGCCTAAAGTCCTGATGTTGCCTTCTCCATCCACTGACCACCCCAAGGTACTTTGCATAATGCAGAAAAGGCCAGTGTAATGGGAGTTGGGACTGCTGTGTCCTGGGCTCTCTGAGTGGTCCTGAGCAGGTCATGTCCCTTCTAGACTTTAATCCTTCCTCAGTTGGCCTCTGATGTCCCCTTTTCCTTCCTGAAAGCTACACGCCCTTGCTGGGGAGAGGCTGGCCTCTCCACTACTGGGATCAAGTCTGTCTGGTACAATCTTATCCTCTGCTTGCCCCCCTCATTTTTTCAGATCAAGATCATCTGGATAAAGAAATAGAAAAACTGCGGAAGCAACTTAAAGTGAAGGTCAACCGCCTTTTTGAGGCCCAAGGTATTGGCTTAGCAGGGACTGGAGATAAGAAGGGGAGGGAATCATCAGCATGGACTTTGAAGGGCAGGGATGGGAAGTCCGACCCTCAGAGATGGGCAGTGTCCGGGGCAGCCTGTGAGTGGCCCTGGAGGTGTGCACAGTGGTTGGTTGTAGCTGCCCAGGGACAGAATGGACAGGGGGACTTCTACAGTCCTAGTCCTGTCATAGTTTCTTTTCCAGGTCCCAGGAACCGCTTGGGGTGATCTCACGTTATACATCGGGGCATGGCATGGGGATCAGATAGCTCTGACTGAGGAAACTCAGAAGGCTTCAGTGAGTGAGTGAGGTCAGAGCTGAAATTCTTGATAAATGCAAGCACTCTAGATTGGTCACAGGTCTTGGAAAAACCTGAGGTTCTTTGGGCAGCAGAGTTACGCGTTTGCAGGCTCTTGGTGACACAGGAGCAGTGGTGATGCCTCATCTGGTGCATTGCAGAATTGGAGGCCCATCCCTGCCAGACCTCCAGGCTGAGTTTGGCAGCATTAGTGCAGCGTCAGCCCCTTTCCTGGGCCTGGCTCCAGAGCCAGCAGGAGGCCCGACGTGCTGATGGATCATCTTCTCTCCTAGGCAAACCGGAGCTGAAGGGTTTTAACTTGAACCCCCTCAACCAGGATGAGCTTAAAGCTCTCAAGGTCATCTTGAAAGGATGAGACTCAAGAACCAAGATGGGGGACCAGCAACCCCCCAGGGTCATGGAGGACCCAGGACCCTCCAACCTTGACACCTGTAAGGACAGGATCTGCCCTGTAAGGGGCCAGCCGTCAGGAATCTGGCCATGAAAACCTCTTTGTAGTGCTTGGCTACTCTGTGATGGCAGGAGGGAACCTTCAGCCTGTCTGGCTGCTGGACCTGGACACCAGGGCTCGGTGGACACAAGATCTATTGACGGGCCTTGGTAGCCACCAGTGGGTGTGTGGGGCAGTGGCTGTGGGGGTGTAAGAATGACTGCAACAGGCACTTCCCAACAATGGCCTGCTGTTCACATGGACCCTGAGCAAGGAAGGAGGGAGGGAGGGGCAGAGTGGAGTGTCATTCCAGCATTCCTCTCAGAAGGGAGAGAGGTTTTCAGGCTGGTGCCATGCGATTGGAATAAAGCAGGAGGCTCATGGGTGGTTGCTGAATGAAGAACAGAATCTTGGTGCTTTGTGGCTCACCACAGCCATCTGTGGGGCAGGCACACACACCTCCCGCCAGCTCCAATTTTGCACTTTTTCCCTGCTTGATTCCAAGAGTAGGTGCTGCCTAGCAGCCCTTCGTGGCCACTCTTTACTCAGGAGGGCCTTGCAGAGTCCTGCACCAGGCCTGGGTGAGTGGATGCGCCTCTTACCATATGACACGTGTCAAGATGCCCTTCCGCCCCCTCTGAAAGTGGGGCCCGGCCAGCACTGCTCGTTACTGTCTGCCTTCAGTGGTCTGAGGTCCCAGTATGAACTGCCGTGAAGTCAAAACTCTTATGTGTTCATTAAGGGCTCAATAAATGTTAGCTGAATGAATGAATAGCAGCAACTAGTCTTTATTTGCCTCATCTAGTCCTTCAGTAAGGGCACGCCACTCCATTTAGAATACAACCTATGAACATGGTTCTTGCCTTGAAATAAACCTGTGATTTGACAGGCGGGTGATAACAAATGGCAGCATGGCAGGGGCACACCTCTCCTGGTCCCCCCGCTCCTTGGCTCTGGCTCATAGTTACATAGAAACACAGGCTGTCATGGCCAGTTCTTACGTGTTTTCAAGAGAAGCTAGACATATGGGTTGTGAAGTTGAATCTCCTTTTAAATATTTTTGACTAATGCAGAAACTTTTAAAACATGAGTGTGGGTCACAGGTGTTAGCTCCAGATAGTGCAATACCATACAACTATAATCAAGAATAAGGAACAAGCTCCAAGATACATCAAGTGAGGAAAGCAAGGGGAAGGCTGGTGTCTTATAAGCTAATAATTTTTGTGCAAGCACAGTGTGATTCCCTCAGAACAGCACCTGCAGGGTTGGGGCGCACAGGTGGGAGGGAAGGAGATGTCACCCTATACCCTTTTGTAAACTTTGGATTTTAAACCGTATGAATATATTGCTTATTTTAAAATGTAAATAAAGTAGGGAGTTGCAGAATTCACCTTGCTAGATGTTGTCCAGTGTGACTGCCTGATTCACAATTTCATCACTGGAAAATTGCCCCTTCCTCCCTGGCAGGGTGGGTGCTGGGCCAAAAAAAGCTAATCGCATTCCTTCTGGAAATAGGGAACCTGGAGTCCATGCCTGGACCTGTCTGGGTTGGTGTGCCTCAGGTACAGGGATGAGTGGGAGAAGTCCTCATGCTCTGAAGGCAGAAGGTCTAGAGTAGCCTGGCTTCTGGCTTTCCTAAAGTCGGCTGGTTCACTTCTTGGATTTGCCAGTATTTTCCTTCCAAAAGTCTTCCCTTCGGGCTTGACCTAGGCAGGCAGATTCAACCATTTGCAGCCAGAGAAACTACTCTGAAGCAGGCGGAGTGGTAGAGGGAGTAAGTCCCCCCTGGAACAGTTACCCCAACAGCCCCGAGTCTTGTTGCAACCCCTCTTAAACCAAGAGGAAGCTTAGCAATGTAAGATGTGAAAAGGCAGATTTTTACTCACACTCAACTCCCGAAGCTGTCCTGCCCATGAGCCCAGGGTTTTCCGGTTTCTGGCTCAGCTCCCAATCTCAAACACAAGGCCTAGAGAAGCACTTAAGTCACCCATCTGACTTAGATAAATGCACCTTTGCAGAGACCCTCACTAAGCTCTGCCTCCCTGGTCTGTCTTGTCCATCTGAGAAATGGGGATGCCCTGTCCCACTGGTTTTCAGATGATGGTCAGGGAGCCCCATGGGCTCCCCTGACATGCAAGGAGAAGAGGATGTGTTTAGGGCTCAGTACTTCCCCAGGCCCCCAATAAACACACAATCTAATAACTGCTTGCTGTGTAAGCACAGCTTAAAGACGAGTTCCTTAGCCTCCAAACTCTTGCTCCTGAAGGACCTTTTCAGCACTGACTTGGGAGGTATCCAAGTGTCAAAGCCAGGAGGACTTGGCTGCAGCCAACAGTATCCCCGGAACCAGGCCTGGTGCCCAGTGACTCCAAGTAGGGCCTGTGCTCATTTATTAGATATGATCTCCTGGGGGTAGCAGAACTTGCTGTATTTGTTCTCTTTGGGCCTAACTGCCAAGTCAGTTTGTCAAGGTTAAACCTCCCCCAGTCCCAGTGATTGGCTGTCTCCTGGTGCAAAGATGCCTGGGGATGGGCTGGAGGTATCCAAGGGGCCCAATTCAGGTAGTAAGCTGCAGCTGCTAAGCCAGCAAAGCTGGTGCCAGGCTGGAGGTGGGGAGGCGAATGCTGTGAGGTGCTGTGCTGGGATCTGGGAGTGGGGGGGAGGCCTGGGTGGCACCTGCTAAGGCTGATTTCCTCCTGGCAGCTGGGGATCAACTGGAAGCTTTCTTCTGAACTTGAAGGGAGCAGAAGAGCTGCCTCAGTTGTTTCTTCCGATCGTTGACGCAGCCTGGAAAGGAAGTGGGGTGTTGGCTGGGATGACCTATGCTTGGGAGGAGTGGAGGGGCCTGTGCCCCAACTCCCTGCTGGGAAGAGGGGACAGCGGGAGTCAGACAACCACACACAGCCTGTGGTTTATATCCTGGCTCCATTCCTAAACTGCCATGGCCCTCAAGCAGGTCAGTTACCCTTTTCAGCATCGGTCTTCTCATCTGTAAACCAGGATACTACTGCCCACCTTATGGAGTGAACATGAGGACTGGGGGCTTACCTCAAGCCAGGAACTGCTCCAGATGCTGAATGTGGATGGATTTGTTTGGCCCTCGCAGGAATGATGTGTAGAAGGGAAAACAGGCTCAGAGAGGTTAAATCATTTGAACCCAGACTACCTGGTGCCAGAGCCACACTCTTAACCACTACCCCACGCTGCTGCTTCTCCTGGCTTTGCTCAGTGAAAATGCATTTAAAGCTAGCACAGTGCCTGGCACCTCATAGCTGCCCAGTACTGTTAGCTTTCTTCCCTTACCCAACCCATGTGCCAGGCACAACTGGCTAAGAGATGAGTTTTCCGTACATGTGGCCCCCAATCCCAGGCAGTTCGTGCTGAGGCTGCCGTGAGCTGCTGAGACGTCTCTCCCAGGACGTTCATGGTGCTACATGTTGGCTGTTTGCTCTCAGAGCTGATCCTTGAGGTAACTATGGTCATTTAACCTCATGCCAGGCACATTGCTGGCACTCAAAAATGCTGCTTGAATGACTGAATCTCTGTGGCCACTAGTTCTGACCTGTGGGTGTCTGCCATCTTCCACATCCCCCCAAACCCTGTCCCTGCTTCCCAGACACTCACTCAGCCATTCACTGAGCTGAGAGCCTACGATGCACATCCTCAGGGTTTTCCAGAGTGAGTTCCATGCAGCCCTAACTTAAACTCTATTTGGCTCATTCCTAACTCTCGAGTCTTCTTGTCCAGTGCAAACTTCTTGGAGTTCTACACTCATCTCTGAGTTATCTGCTGACCCTTTCACCTGGATGTCCCTGAACGCTTCCCTAACTCAGTTCATCAGTACTCTTCCTACCCTAACCAGCTACCCTTGTGTTTACCACCATAAACCCAAACACTTGAAACAGGAATAATTCTAGAGACTTCTAAAGCACTGGCTCTCCCAGCCTGGTCAATATAGTGAGATTTTGTCTCTACAGGAAAAAAATCACACACACAAAAATAAAATTAGCCAGGTGTGGTGTGTGCCTGTAGGCCTAGCTACTCAGGAGGCTGAGGTAGGAGGACTGCTTGAGCCTGGGAGTTTGAGGTTAGTTACAGTGAGCTATGATTGCACCACTGCACTCCAGCCTGGGCAACAGAGCGAGACTCCGTCTCAAAAAAAAATAATAAAAAAAAAACAGTAGCTCTCAACTTGGGCTGCATATTGGAATCACCTGGGAGCTTTAAAAGCTACTGATGCCCACACCAACCATATCTTGATCTGGCAGGCGTCAGTAGTCTTTAAAGCTCCCAGGTGATTCCAATGGGCAGCCAAGATAGAGAACCGCCGCTTTCCATCTTTGCTACTCAAATGGGGGTCCAGGAAGTAGCGCATTGATATCTTTGGTGCACTGTTGGCAAAGAAGGCTGCAACAATGTTCCTATATGCACACCTCTGTGCAAGGTGACTTTGCTGCTCCTCTCATCAAAAGGTGGGGTCTATTTTCTTTTTTTTTTTTTTTTTTCTTTTTCTGTGTGAGACAGTCTCGCTCTGTCGCCCAGGCTGGAGTGCAGTGGCGCAATCTCGGCTCACTGCAAGCTCCGCCTCCCGGGTTCACGCCATTCTCCTGCCTCAGCCTCCCGAGTAGCTGACTACAGGCGCCCGCCAGCACGCCTGGCTAATTTTTTTGTATTTTTTAGTAGAGACAGTGTTTCACCGTGTTAGCCAGGATGGTTTCGCTCTCCTGACCTCATGATCCGCCCGCCTCGGCCTCCCAAAGTGTTGGGATTACAGGCGTGAGCCACCGCGCCCGGCGAGGTGGGGTCTATTTTCTTACCCAGTGACTGGGCTACACCAGCAAATGCTTTGATTGTAGCAGAATGACTTTATGGGACTTCTGAGTCCGGGCCGCAAAAGGCTTTGCAGTGTGTTTTCTCACCCTCTTAGAACCCCGAGTCTACCACGTGAAGAAGCCAGGGCCAGACTGTTGGAAGACGAGTGGCCACATGGAAAGAGAGGCCCAACTGACAGCCAGTATCAACCCCCACACCTATGAATGAGGCTGTCGTACACCATCAAGTCTCCAGTAAATCTGCCAGGTGCCTGCAGCCCTATAAGTGACCCCAGGAGAGACCTGAGGAAGGATGAGCAAATAAAATAGTTGCTTTAAGCTGCTAGGTTTTGGGAGGGCTTGTTACACAGCAATGGTTAATCAATAGAGCATCACCCAGGAGCTTGTTAGAAATACAATCTTAGGCCCCACCCTAGACCTATGGAGTCACAATCTATAGTTTAACAAGATTTCCAGGTGATTGTATGCATATTAAATTAAGCTTGGACAGTGTTATATAGTCATCTGAAGCCTTATACATTTAGAAAACTAAACAACCCATAGAAAAATGGATAAAGAGTATGGACAGCTTACAAAAGAAGAAATGCAAATTTAAAAAACGGAAACCTCACCAGTAATCAATGGAATGCACATAAAACAACGAGTCAGTATGTTTTACCTCACCAGTTGGCACAGATTTCTTTTTTCTAAAAATTCAAATCTGACAAATTCGTATAATCTTTCTGGAAAGAAATTTGGTTGTAATAATCCCATCCCTTTGGCCCAATAATTCTGCTTCTAGGAATCTGTCCTCAGGAAATGGCCAGAATTTCAGCCGAGCTTAATGTGAAAGGATGTTCATCATGGTATAATTTATAAAAGTAAAAAAAAAATAAAATGCAATTGTGCCAAATGTCCAATTATAAGAAATTGGTTTAGTAAATTTTGGCATATGTACAAACTGAAATATTTTGCAGCCATATGGTAATTTTTTTAAACTCTGCCAAGAGGCAGGAGAGTCTAGCGGACAAGCACTCAAGTTTTGGAGCCAGGCAGATGGGAGTTTGAGTCCTGGCTCACCACTTATGGCCAAAACCTTCATTCAGCAAGTTACATAGCACCTGGATATCATTTCCTCATCTGTAAAATGACAATAAAAACTCCTTAAAGATAAAATGAGATAATGTATGTAAAAGATTTCATCCGGACTGGACCAAAAAGTGCATTCAAGAGGGAGGCTCTTAATATGCTTGAATGAAAAATGCCAAGGGGAAAAGAGGGATTCAAAACTCTAGCCCAATGCCAATTTTATAAAAGAAAAAGTATGAATATATGCATTTTTTAAGAACTGGAAGGAAATACACCAGATTGTTAAAGATGCTTATGTCTGGATGTTTTTATTTCTTTCTCTAGTTTTCAAATATTCTACAATGAGTGTGAATCCCTTTTTTATAATCAGGGAAAGTTTTCACTTTTTAGAAACCAAGTTTAAAAACGAGGAACAGAGGTTAAGTCCCTTGCCCAAGGTCACACAGCTGGTAAGTTGCAGATTGAATTCAAACAATCTAACCACTATCCCAAGCTGCCTCCTAGACTACCTGGTACCTCCCATGACCCCATCCCTTGTGCCCACTCCCCACCTGGCCCTACATACCGAGATGTGTGTTGGTCACAAAGTTTCCCATTCCCGACAGGTCAGGAGCCCCCTCCTCTCTGCTAACAGGGCCATCATTCCACATGAGGTCAAAGCCCCCGACTCGCTTCTCCCTTCCCGTGAGCCTGGACAGGAAGGAGGCCCACAGGGTTAATGAAGGTGCACCTGGCAGAGCCCTAAGACCCAAGTGAGGTCCCTGATCTCTCCCTGAGCCCAACTGATGTCCGTCCCTCAGAAGTCCTTTTTCCCAACCATTCATTGGCTGTTTCCCAGGTGCCTATGTAGGTCTCTGAGGGGTTGTTCCCATTTTTCCCCCAAGGCTCCTCCTACTTGCTCTTGGTAACATGCCCCTATTTGTTTTTTTTGTTTGTTTGTTTTTGTTCTTGTTTTGAGACAGAGTCTCTCTCTGTCACCCAGGCTGGAGTGCAATGGCACAATCTTGGCTCACTGCAACTTCTGCCTCCTGGTTCAAGTGATTCTCCTCACTCAGCCTCTTGAGTAGCTGGGACTACAGGCGCACACCACCACACCCAGCTAATTTTTGTATTTTTAGTACATATGGGGTTTCACCATGTTGGCCAGGATGGTCTCAAACGCCTGACCTCAAGTGATCTGCCCGCCTCGGCCTCCCAAAGTGCTGGGATTACAGGCGTGAGCCACCACCCCCGGCCGCTATTTGTGATTTCTGGTTTAAAGTCTGCTTTCCTCCTCAGACCTTAAACTCCATAAAGGCAGGGACTAGTTCTGTTGTGTTCCTTACTGTGTCCGCAGGGTATGGCACAGGGCCTGGTACAGAGCAGGGCTCAAATGTTTGTTGAATGAATAGGTGATGGTAGGAATAGTGGATACCTGAGGTTTCTGCCTGCTCAGCATCCATTTCACCTTCTTTCAGTCCAAGAGTACCTTGGGTTTTCCTCTGAGAACCACTCCTCCCTCCCTCCCTCACCCCATGGCTCACATGGGGTTGACCCCACTCCCTAGGAGGTGGGCACAAGAACTATACCTGGTCAAGCAGAGTCACAGTGAGTGGTTTAGGAATGGGAATGTGTCCCAGTTACCAGCAAGGAGAATCAGCCCTCAAACTTCTGCTGGAATAATCGGGGAAAAGCTAATACAGAGGAAAGAGAAGGGAGGGAGGGAGAGGGAGAGGGAGGGAGGGAGAGGGAGAGGGAGAGGGAGGGAGGGAGAGGGAGAGGGAGGGAGAAAGGGAGAGAGAGAGAAACAGAGAGAGAGAAAGAGAGAGAGAGAATAGACCAGCCAACATTGAGCACCTGGATTCACCCATTCCTAAAAGTAGCTCTGGGTTTTTTTTTTTTTCTGCTATTGCACATTGTTAAAACAATAGCTTTGTATTGAGCACTTACTGTTAGCTAAGCACTAGATAGTAAATTATCTTTGTAAATTAACAACTCTGAGAGGCAGACATGGCATTTCCTATTTTACAGATGAGGAAGCTGAGGCTCAGAAAGGTGATGTGACTAGTCCAGAGCCCCACAGTCAGGAGGTTTCGAGGAAATCCTGCTGGACTGTCTCAGAAAGCTGTAGTTGGCCCTGCTCTGCCCTGGAGAGGTCAAGTCCTTGGGTCAGGACCCCACCCTCTGTGGACATCTCAGCTTCTCCATCTATAAAGTGGTGGGGCAGGCCAGAGCCATCGCTGAGGGCCACTCAGGCCCCAAGGTTCTAAGCTCCCCCTCTTCCTTGGTGGGAGCCTCAGTTGTCATGTACAAGGACATGTGATCAAGGCTGCCCTCCCTCACCTCGCTTCCATGTCCACAACATGCAGGGTGTCTTCCAGGAGGCAGGTCTTGAGCTCATAGTCTTCCTGGCTGCTGGCTGTCAGTGATGGGGACGCATTGACCTCCAGGAGCCACCTGGGAAGGGAGGGGAGTAGAGAGTCTTAGGGTTACTCGGTCCCTGGAGCCCCTAGGATTTCACTGAGAGGCTAGATGGATGCATGGACCCCACCGTCAATTCAATCCAGGCTACTCTCTCTACCTTTCTATTTTTTTTTAATTATTTTTATAGAGATAGGGTCTTGCTAGGTTGCCCAGGCTAGTCTCAAACTCCTGGCCTCAAGTCATCCTCCTGCCTTAGCCTCCCGAAGTGCTGGGATTACAGATGGGAGCCACTGTGCCCAGGCCCCTCCCACTTTTTTTTTTTTTTTTTTGGAGAGGGAGTTTTGCTCTTGTCGCCCAGGCTGGAGTGCAATGGCATGATCTCAGCTCACTGCAACCTCTGCCTCCCAGGTTCAAGTGATTCTCCTGCCTCAGCCTCCCGAATAGCTGGGATTACAGGTGCCTGCCACCACGCCCAGCCAATTTCTTTGTATTTTTAGTAGAGATGGGGTTTCACCATGTTGGTCGAGCTGGTCTCAAACTCCTGACCTCAGGTGATCCACCCGCCTCAGCCTCCCAAAGTGCTGGGATTACAGGCATGAGCCACCTTTCCACTTTGAAGAAAGGTAACTCAAATGTAGAAAGCTGGCATAGGAATGATTATGGTGCTTTCGTGGTGTTATTGTTTTCCCTTCTTCCAATAGAGATGTGAATGCAAGAAAAACTTCCCTTTCTTAGTGAAAATTTGCACACTGTAGGTGGCACCCAACCTGCTGTGTCAGGGGGTGGGAAGCGGTGGGGAGGGGTGGAGACTGTGGTGAGCTGGAGAGGGCATTCCAAGTCTAAAGGGGTGGCTGTGGCCAGCCCCAGGAGAGTGCCGCCCTGTGGGAATGTGAGTCCAGAATTGCGAGATCATCTGATTTTTCCAGAAAAGCCAAAAATAGACTTTTTTTTTTTTTAAAGAGTCAGAATCCAGTTCTGTCACTCAGGCTAGAGAGCAGTGGTGCAATCTTAGCTCCCTGCAGCCTTGAACCCCTGGCCTCAAGTCATCCTCCTGCCTCAGCCTCCTGAGTAGTTGGTATTATTATTATAGGTGTTTGAGTCACTGTACTTGGTAATTCTGATTTTTATGTAAACATCTTCCAAATTTTAGAGCCTGTCAATAAATTGAAATTAAAAACAAAAACAGTCTAAAGGCCAAATTCGAAGTATCTGCAGGCCAAAAGCAGCCCAAAGACCTCCCGCTAGCCACCTCTTGTCTTGTTCAACCCCATCCTTTTACAGACAGAAAGCTGGGGCCCAGAGAGGGAAGGGCTCACCCAGCAGGTCTGTGGGAGACCAAGCCCCTTTCCACTACACAGCAAATTATCTTGGTAAATTACTCTAACAACTTGGAGAGGTAGACATGGTGTTTCCCATTTTACAAATGAGGAAACAGGCTCAGAGAGGTGACGTAGCCATCTGTGGTCCTGTGCAGCCAGTCCTCTTGGACCTGCAGAATTTTTGCCCATACGGAGGGGCACAGCCGGAGTCATCCTAATCACAACACTCAGGGCTGGACCCCTCTTGTCCAGGCCTAAGGGCAGCACTGAGGGCAATTGTTTAGGGGTCTCAGCAGGCCAGGTGGCGATTAACTGAGGTCCCTCCCCTAACCTGACTACCCAGGCCCCAGGGCTGCAAGTGGATGCTCCAGTGCTTCCTGCAGTAGCTGGTGTCCAAGCATGGGCCAGAGCTTATTCCTCCACCACGTCCACCTTAATGCCAGCAGTCACATCCTGCTGCAGGGGACAAAGGAGAGAGACCTGCTGGTGCCAGGACCCTGTTTCCGTTGAGCAAGGGCCTGACTTAGGTCTTGCTCTAGGGCTCCTCCTCCTGGCTTAGAAAGCCCCTCAACACTTACATGGTGACCCTGAATAGGGGGTTGGCTCCTGGAGCTGGCAGTGCTGGTGGGGAGCAGCTCAGCCCAGGTCCTTGGACCCTGGGCCTGGCTTTGCCCTTGACTTGCTACATGACCTCAAGCTCCCTGACCCTCACTGGGCTTCTGTGTCCTGTTGCATCATGTGAGGCCATCGTGGTGGTCCCTGCCAGGTCAGGCTTGTTCTATTCGTCAGCTCAACCTCCTCCACGGGCATCTTGGGAGTGGATCAAAGTCTTGGCAGAGATCGACATTGTAACAATATTCCATTATATGGCTCTTTGCATCTTCAAAGCTCCAAGACTTACAGAGGGGAAGTTTCTTGCTTGGTATAGGGGAGAATTCCTGACTCAGCAGATGATCAGGAAGGGCCTCCCAGTGCCAGGCTCGGTCCTCAGTGCTCCAAAGACTATATCTCACTTATTCCTCATAACGATCCTCTAATGACCTATGGATAGATCCTGTCATGACCAACCCCATTTACAAATGGGCAAATTGAGGCACAGTAAATGTAAGTGTGCACAAGGTTATACAACTAGGAATTGGCAGAGCTGGGATTCAAACCTGGGCAGTCTGGGTGCCGAGTATGCAAACTATGACCTCCTGGCTCTCCCACCCACCCACTTACGGCTTGAGGTCCTGGTCGATGAGGATGTCATAGCCGTACAGCTCGAAGCAGTGCTTGTCACTGATGATCACCTTCTGCACACTCTGCAGGCTTTTGACAAAGATGTTGTCGATGTCCCTGAAGAGTGTCTCCACTGCCTCGGGCCCGTGTTTGGACGCCAGGTACTGCCGGAAGCGCTGCAGCGTCCACTTGCAGCCCTGGGCCCCGGGCAGCCGGGTCGAGAGAGGAGCCTCAGTTAGTCAGGACCTGGCCTGCTAGGACCCTTACACAATTGCTCTCAGTGTTTCCCTTAGACCTGGGCAAGAGGGGCCCAGCCCTGAGCCCTGTAATTAGGATGACCCCAGGTGTGCCCCTCTTTGAGGGGCAAAAATTCTTCATGTCTAAGAGGACTGGCTATGCAGGACCCCAGAAGTCCCTGCCCACATGGCCTGCGTAGGCCCCTTTTCTGAGCCTGACTTGCTAAGGACAGACCACACTGACCATGTGTGCATCCCAAGGCCAAGGAGTGACCGACAGGCTGCCATTTTCAGGGCTGTGTATGCACAAGGGCCCCACTGTGGGATGGAGCTGGGGAGGGAAGAGAAGGGAACAGGTGTGAGCTGGGGACCTGCTCTCCTGTGTCCCCTTGATCTGGCCCTTGACTCTGAGAAGTCTGAGAATTCTGTATTTGAACCTGGCCTTGCAGGTTATTTTACATAGACAGAGAGATAAAATATATCTGTATGATACATTACATTAATCGATTAATCCGTTGACCAATAGAAGATATCTGTCAAGGTAGGAGGATAGGACATATTTTGTTTAGGTGTGTGTTAGTGTGATTTGCAACTTTTAAATACTGAGACACATGATATGTGGGCCTCCATTTGTAGTCCTGCCCTGAGCCCTGCAAGTGGGATGGGTAGGCCTGCCTCACTGGTGAACACAGGCTCAGACAGGCCTGTCCTGGGCTCCTTGCCACTCCACCCTCCCCACCCCGACCTGGCGCCAGAGGGCTGTACCCGTGCATAGCCGAGCCCGGCTTCCTCACCTTCTTTGGGTGGTAGTCGGGAGATGTTTTTTGCACAGCCACGTTGGTGAGGTGAACATCTGGGAGAGGGTGGTGGTCAAGGGTCAGCGTGAACAAAAAGGGTGAGCTCTGCCCCACGAAGTCCCCAGGACTGAACTGAGAATTGATGGGGAAGGCTACGAAATAGCTCCACGGTCGTGTGTGTGAGCTTTGGAGTCAGATGGGCCTGGATTCAAATCCTGCCTGCATCTTTCCTGGCTGTGGGCTCCTGAAAAGCCATTTCACTTCCCTGGGCCTATTTCCCCACCTTTTAATGGGGGTACATAGCAGTATATTGACCTCACAGGATTTTTCAAAAGGTTAAATACTGTGCCTCTTCCAGTGCCTGGCATAGCTATTATACTACGGTTTTTCTTTTCTTTTCTTTTAACCTTTGTGGTATATTATGATTTTTTTTTTTTAATTCAAGAGGAGTGGTTCTAACAAGTAAAGGAACCAAATACAGAACAACCATCTCAGGACACAGTAGGCTGTCTGTCATTAGAGGGGTCCAGGCTGGGCGGCCACTTTGTAGGAATATTGGCAAAGGGATCCAGCACTGGGATAGGGTCAGGGTGGCCTTGGAAGGCCCAGCCCTGAGATTTGGCCTCTCAGTACCATCACCATCGTCACCACCAGTGACATCAGCAGCACTTTGCAGCTCACAGAGCATGTTTACACACATTATCTCATTTGTTCCCCAAATTATTCCCATCTCACAGATGAGACCATGGAGGCTCAGAGAAGTTAAGTGACCACCATTCAGAATACTCCTTCCTCAACATCTTCACCCCACAACTAAGCAGGATGGCTTCCCCAAACCTTGTTGTATTTGTTTGTTTGTTTGTTTTGAGACGTAGTCTTTTGCCCAGACTGGAGTGCAGTGGCGCAATCTTAGCTCACTGCAACCTCCGCCTCCCGAGCTCAAGCGATTCTCTTCCCTCAGCCTCCTAAGTAGCGGGGATTACAGGTGCCCACCACCAAGCCAGCTGATTTTTGTATTTTTAGTAGAGATGGGGTTTCACCATGTTGGCCAGGCCAATCTCAAACTCCTGACCTCAAGTAATCCACCCGCCTCGGCCTCCAGAGTGCTGGGATCACAGGTGTGAGCCACCACACCCAGTACCAAACCTCATGAAATGACCATAAGACCTGACTTTCTCCAGGACTTACTTGGGGCATTTCTCAGATGGGGAGGTAGAGGTTCTAGGTCTCTGACTCCAAGTCTAATTCCCCTAAATGTATGGTTCTGCCAGTCTGTGGTGTATTGAACAGAGTAGGGTGGTTTCAGCCTCTCTGGAAAAGGTATCCTCTTTACTCTTTAGCATCTTTTTCCTAGACGTCTTCTTTAGACCTTTTTTTTTTTTTTGAGACAGGGTCTTGCTCTGTCACCCAGGCTGGAGTGCAGTGGTGCCATCTCATCTCACTGCAACCTCCGCCTCCTGGGTTCAAACGATTCTCCTGCCTAAGCCTCCCAAGTAGGTGGGACTACAGGCAAGCACCATCATGCCCGGCTAGTTTTTGTATTTTTAGTAGAAACAGGGTCTCACCATGTTGGCCAGGCTGGTCTGGAACTCCTGACCTCAGGCGATCCACCTGCCTCAGCCTCCCAAAGTACTGGGATTACAGGCATAAGCCACCATGCCTGGCCCAAATTTATTTTTTGCAGAGACAGGGTTTCAACATGTTGCCCAGGCTGGTCTCAAACTTCTGACCTCAAGCAATCCACCTGCCTTGGCCTGCCAAAGTGCTGGGATTACAGGCATAAGCCACTGCACCCAGCCCAAAAATTAATTTTGAATGGACCACAGACCTAAATATAAGAGGCAAAACTATGAAATTCATAGAGAAAAATAGAGGAATAAGTCACTGTGACCTTGAGTAGGCAGATCTTCTTAGATATGACACCAAAAGCACAGATGGCAAAAGAAAAAGTAGATAAATTCAACTTTATCAGAATTAAAAACTTCTGTGCTTCAACGGAAATTATCAAAAAGTGAAAGAAAACCCACAGAATGAGAAAAAATATTTGTAAATAATGTATCTAATAAGGGACTAGTATCCAGAATACATACAGGATTCTTATAACTCAACAATAAAAAGTTAATCCAATTTAAGAATGGGCAAAGGATTTGAAGAGATTTATAAGTGGCCACAAGCACATAAAAGGTGCTCAGTATAATTAGTCATCAGGGAAATGCCAATCAAAACCACTGCACATCCACTAGGATGGCTATAATGAAAAAGACAGATAATAGCAAGTATTGGCCAGGCATGGTGGCCGCGCCTGTAATCCTAGCACTTTGGGAGGTCAAGGCAGGCAGGTCACTTGAGTCCAGGAGTTCAAGACCTGCCTGGGCAACAGGGTGAAACCCTGTATGTACACGAAATACAAAAATTAGCCAGGCGTGGAAGCGAGCATCTATAGTCCCAGCTACTTGAGGGGCTGAGGTGGGAGGATCATTTGAGCCCGGGAAGTCGAGGCTGTAATCCCAGCACTTTGGAAGGGCAAGGCAGGAGGATCGCTTGAGCCCAGGAGTTTGAGACCAGCCTGGGCAACATAGTGAGACCAGTCTCTATAAAAAATTTAAAAATTAGCTGGGCATGGTGGTGCGTGCCTGTGGTCCCAGCTACAAGGGAGGCTGAGGTAGGAGGATCGCTTCAGCCCAGGAGATGGAGGCTGTAGTGAACCGTGATTGTGCCACTGCACTCCAGCCTGGGCAACAGAGCAAGACTCTGTCTTGAAAAAAAAAAAAAAAAAAGGAAAAGAGGATGCTGGGGCAAAGTAAGTTACTGGCTGAAGAGGGGAAATAGCTCTCTTCAGATGAAGGAAGTACGACTCCCAGAACTTCACACTTCACACACTGCTCCCGCCTGCTGTGGAGGAGACAGCGGGCCTCCTTAGGAGCAGAGGAGAAGCAGAGGCTGAAAGAAAGGGGTGAGAGATGGGTCAGCCAACCTCAGAGCCTCCCGTCTCTAGAGAGGAACCTAAAACCAGGTCTCAGTGGACCAATGGTCAAGTAGCAGAGTAAACATACAATCAAAATAAATCCACAGAGAAACAGAACTGATTCACTGCAAAATATTTAGGAGAAAAAGACTTTTCTTAGTTTAGAAATGATGGTAAAAATCACAGAGGAAACCAATGGACAAGTAAACCAATGGACAAGCATGTGAAAATAAAAATGAACAGATGTCAATGCAAAAATTAAAGAATCAGTGACCACAGAAAAGATGTGTAGCAAATGCAATAGTCTGTTTCTGTCACATGAAAATCCCACATGAATTAACAATAAAATGTATGACTGTTTATTTACTAAGTAAAGGATATGGACAGACATAAAAGAGAAAATAAAGCTGGTAGGACCCCATCTGGGAAAAAGCTCAAAGTTCCTAGTAATAGAAGATATATAATTTCAAAGGCACGCAAATGGGGGAAAATGAAAATTGGAAGAAATGCTAATTCTAAGGCAAAATTCTGCTCCCTCATCAAGTCAGTTGCATTTAAAAAATCTTTTCATTTTGAAAACTTCAAAACTCACAGAATATTTGCAAGAATCATATAATGAATGCCCCTATCTGCTTCACCTAGACATGCCCAGTCGTTTCAGAAATGGCTGTTTAAAACAATTGTCCCCAGGACTGGGGAGTTGGGATGAAATGGACCAGTCAATAGGAGGGTAAAAATATTTTATTTTTATTTATTTATTTTTAAGATAGAGTCTTGCTCTGTTGCTCAGGCTGGAGTGCAGTGGCACAATCTTGGCTCACTGCAACCTCCACCTCCCGGGTTCAAGTGATTCTCCTACCTCAGCCTCCCGAGTAGCTGGGATTACAGGCGCCTGCCACCATGCCTGGCTAATTTTTGTATTTTTAGTAGAGATCAGGTTTCACCATATTGGTCAGGCTGGTCTCAAGCTCCTGACCTCAAGTGATCTGACCGCCTCAGCTCCCAAAGTGCTAGGATTACAGGCGTGAGCCACCACACCCAGTGAGGGTAAAAAGATAAAAGGACTCTTCTGGGAAGCAATCTGGCCAGATGGGCTTGACTCAGTATTTACATCTTTGTGACACCATCCAAAGGAAAAATCTTAATACTGTAAAAGGTTTATGAAGAAATATGTTCCTTTGCAGCATTATGTGTCACTATAGCAAGAAATTGAATACTTCCCAAATGCCTGCAGCATGGGGGATTAGAAAACCAGGAAACCTACTCAGTGGAATATTTTCATTAATGAAAAAAAAAAAGTCTACAAGGAAAATACTGCTGATAATGTTTAGTGCAAGAAAATGTTGTATTTATACAATGGGATCATTTATATATAAAAGGTGAATGACAACAAAATTCCCTACAAATGAGCCTGGAAGGAAATACACCAAAATAGTAAGAAGTTTCTGCTAGAAAATATGCCTAGAGAAGGTTTCTCTTTCTTTTTGCACTGTTCTGAATATTCTGATTTGATTTTCATGAGCTATACCACTTTTATTATAAAACTATATCCTTTCAATGTTTTATTATTTTATTATTAGAGTAAGGCCTATCCATTGTAGAAACAATTCATAATAGACATGTATAAAGTTTAAAATAAATGTTTCCTGACCTGGTTCTAATTCTCTGCAGTTTTCAGAGTTAATAGATTAGTGAGGCTGGGCACGGTGGCTCACGCCTGTAATCCCAGCACCTTGGAAGATCAAGGTGGGAGGATTCAAACTGTTGAATCAAGGTCACACTCTTGAGCCTAGGAGTTTGAGACCAGCCTGGGCAACATAGCGAGAACTCATTGCTACAAAAAACAAGTTAGCCAGGCACAGTGGCATGTGCCTGTGGTCTCAGCTGCACAGGAGGCTGAGGTGGGAGGATCACTTGAGCCCAGGAGTTCAAGGCTGCAAAGAGCTGTGATCCCACCACTGTACTCGATCGGGGGCAACAGAGAAGGAAACTGTCAATCAATCAATCACTAAGATAGACTGGTGAATCACGAACATCCTTTCATACTTTTTCTTAAACATAAACATTCTTCCTTAAAGGCAAAAATGGGAACATGAATATACCAGGTTCTCCATCTTACATTTTGTTTTTCACTTAATCATCTGTTTTAGATATCTTTCTATGTCATGATATTTTGACCTATCTCATTGCTTTCAACAGATGCACAAGATCACATAGATGCTTTATCATTCATTTCACCATCCCTCAAGGGAGATTTAAGGGATCAAGGGTGATGACTGTATACTATTATATACAGTGTTTCAATGAATATTTTTGTATTTAGTGTATGTATAGATATACTATATGCAAATATATATTTGAATAATTATGTATAAACTATATATATTATATATAATGAAGTCAGGTTAAAAATGTTTATTATTTTGTGATCCAAAATTATTTTAAAAGTTAGTATGTAATATCTGATGCGAATGTGGTAAAATATTAATCTGTTAAATCTGGATGGTAAATGCATGGGTTGTTATAGTCCTTCCTGCAGTTTTCTATTTATAGAAAATTATTTTCTATTAATATTTCAAGATTAAACATTTAAAACAATATAAAAGAAGGGGTGGAAAATGTGTATTTACTCACTGTGAAAACAGCAAAGCCTCATTAACTAGAAACTAGCCCCGGGAGAGGGCTTGATTTGTTTAAAAAGTCCCCATGATGCCCAGAGCTGTGCAAACATTTTTAAGTGGGAGAGGAGGACCACTAACATTTACTGAGAGGTCACTCTGGGCCAGCCACTGTTCTAACTGCTTTACATGTATTATTTAACTTTAGTTAAAAAAAAAAAAAAGTAGGTGGCAATTAAACTAAACTCGATGACTTGCATATGATAAATGCTTGTTAGAATTACAAAATAAAATGAACGTACTGGAAGTGCTGACGTTGGCAAAATAGAAAAAAACAAATTGCAAAAAATACTCAGAAAGGTCTAATCGCAGTTTCACATGCAGGCAATGCACATGCATCACCTTGGACACGCACTCAACTGAATGGGGAAATTAATGCAGAGAGATGCAAATGGGCTAAAAGCATTGGCTGGGTTGTCCACACCCGAAGCTGGGGAGCGTCACCCCCATTTCCATCTTTCCCATGTGCAAGTCATCTGGTCCCGCCCATTTGCCTCCAAAATATTGCTGGATTGTCTACCTCTTTTCTTCTGAGGCTCAGGCCTAAAGATCTTTAAAACTTCTTTTGATGTGTCTATTTTGACCAGATAATACATTCACATGGCTCAAAAGTTAAAATGCACAAAATGTGTGTAAGGAAACATCTCCTTTCTACCTCTGTATCCACTAACATTTCTCTTCCCAAAGGCAACATCTATTTCCAGTTTCTTTTTTTTTTTTTTTTTTTTTTTTGAGACAGAGTCTTATTTTGTCACCCAGGCTGGAGTGCAATGGCGTGATCTCGGTTCACTGCAAACTCCGCCTCCCAGGTTCAAGGGATTCTCATGCCTCAGCCTCCCTAGTAGCTAGGATTACAGGCAGATGCCACAATGCCCAACTAATTTTGTACTTTTAGTGGAAATGGGATTTCACCATGTTGGTCAGGCTGGTCTCCAACTCTTGGCCTCAGGTGATCCACCTGCCTTGGCCTCCCAAAGTGCTGGGATTACAGGTGTGAGCCGCTGCACCCAGCTTCTTGTCTGTTCTTCCAGAGTTGTCTATGTACAGATAAGCAAACATATATATATAGACAGAGAGAGAGAGATTTTTTTTTTTTTTGACATACAGTCTTGCTCTGTCACCTGGACTGGCATACAGGGGCAAAATCACAGCTCACTGCAGCCTGGAACTCCTGGGCTCAAGTGATCCTCCCACCTCACTTGAGTGGGTAGCTGGGAGTACAGGCATGTGACACCACATCTGGCTAATTTATTTTTATTTTTATTTTTTTCATAGAGACAGGATCTCACTATGTTGCCCAGGCTGGTCTTGAACTCCTGGCCTCAAGTGATCCTTCTGCCTCAGCCTCCAAAGTGCTGGAATTACAGGTGTGAGCCACCACATCTGACCAGATATAATTTTTAACATGAACGAGAACATACTTTCAAACACTGTTCTAGACATGCTTTGTTTTTTCCCAATTAACAATATATCTTGGAAATTGTTTCATATCAGTACATAAAGCACTTTCCCCATTCCTTTTTAACAGCTTCATAGTATTCCACTGTATAAAGGAGCCATTCATTTCAATGTTCCCTATTTTTTTCTCTCACAAACAAGGCTGTGCAGTGAATGACCTTGAAGCCTGTCTTGTCTTATACCGCAGATGTACTTGTAAGATGATAAAATCCCAGAAGAGGAATTGCTGGGTCACAGGGCATGTGTGCATTTGTCTTTTAACAGATCTTTGCTAGATTGTCTTCAAAGGAGTCATACCAATCAATTTACAATCCCGCCAGCAACGTATGTATTCTCCCAGCCTCGCCAGGACACTGTGTTATCAAATTTTTGGTCTCTGCCAATCGGATGGGTGAAAATAGCATTGTACTTGAATGAATGAGTGAGCCAATGACTAGGCACTGAAGAAAGAGGCACATAAAAGGATGCAAATGTTCTCCAAAGGGGCTAAAACTGTCCGACCCTAGGAATATAAGTAAATGTGAATGTTAGGCATAGCACCAAAACTATCATCAGGCAGAGCAGCTTGCAGTGAGCTGCTCTGAGCAGAGTTGGCCTCTCCCATGGAATCACCCCCACAAAACTGGAAGCTCCCGGAGGGAAGGGACCAGACCTATCTCATACCCTGTCTCCTGTGCCCAGACCACAGCAGGCATTCAGCAAACACCTGTGGGACAAAGGAGTTCACTTGGGACTGGCCAGAGTGTGGGAAGGGGTAGGTGTGTCGGGGGTGGTTAGCCAGGATCCCAGGATACACTGGTCATCAATGCTGTTCAGTGTGAAGCGGGTGTTGGAGAATCGGGCAAAGCCATCCCGGTAGAGCCAGGCCCGCAGCGGGATGTACTAAGGCAGAGGTGGGAAGAGAGAGAGAGAAGGGAAAGGGAATATATACAGGCACTCTCACACCGCCTAGCTCTTGCACCTACCGTTTCCTCCACCCGGAGTGCCCTTATGTCTTTCCCAAATCATCCTTCAGGCACCTGCTTTTACACCAGGCTTCTTTGATTCTATCCCCTCCTTTCCCCAGGTGGAGGGGGATACAGAAGGAAATAAAATGAAGGTGAAGTCCAGGAGAACAGGGGTGGAGTCTGTCTTGGACACCCCTGTATCCTGTGCCCAGCAAAAAGATTTGAACATTGGCTGGATGAAGGAATGCATGAATGGGTGGAGGGAATATAGCCACTCCCTGGTTAAAAGAGTAGGCTCTGAGGCCAGGCTGCCTGGATTTGAATGCCAGCTCTGCTGCTCACCAACTGTGTGACCTTGGGCAAGGTACACAACCTCTGTATCTGTTCCCTCATTGTAAAGGGAGAATAATAATAGAACCTGCCTCCCTGGGTTATTAGGAGGCCTGAATGAGATAAAACCTGCTAAGTGCCAGGGCCTGGTACTTAGTAGGTGCTCAATAAATGTCTGCTGTGGATGACCGAATGAATAAAGAAGGGCAGAGAGAGGGCAAATCTAGACTTTGGGGCATCTAAGATGGTAAACCTCAGATAAGTCTCCCTGCCCCCACCCTATCCCTAGATGTCCCTCGGGGATCTCCCAGGGAGAGATAAAACCAGACAAGCTCACACAAGGTACCCCCAGGCCTCTTCCCCCCATCTCCCTAGCCCAGCCACCCTTTAACCCCTGCTGGAGGAGGGCCCCCACCTTTGTTACTCACCGACATCACCAGCACATAGACACGCAGGTCAAACTTGCGGCCTGTCAGGCAAGGAAAAAATTAATTTGTGCAACAAATATTGATCGTCAGACATTGTGCTAGGTTTTGGGAAAATAGCAGTGGACAGACAGGAAACCCCGCCTTCATGAAGCTCCTGCTGAAACTACACAAGGGGCTAGGCGCGGTGCCTCATGCCTGTGATCCCAACACTTTGGGAGGCTGAGGCAGGAGGATCGCTTGAGGCCAGGAATCCAAGACCAGCCTGAGCAACATAGTGAGACTCTGTGTCTACAAAAAAATTAGCCTCGCATGGTGGTGCACATCTGTAGTCTCAGCTACTCTGGAGATTGAGGCAGGAGGATCGCTTGAGCCCAGGAGATGGAGGCTGCATGAGCTATGATCGTGACCCTGCACTCCAGCCTGAGTGACAGAGCAAGACATGGTCTCAAAAAAACACAACAAAAAAAACGCACAAGGTATAAAGAGAGAATAATGGGAGGTGGGGGAGGGGTGCGTGGGGGTCAACTTGGGGGAAAGTCTTGAAACTCAGTGGTCAAAGACCCCCATGGGGAGTGGTGACCTTCATGGAGACAAGGTGCCTGCCCAGCCCAGAGTGGTGCAGGATCTTGGGCAGAAGGAACTGCGAGAACAGTCTGGAGGGGGAAAGAGCTTGGGCCAAGGGCAGAGTGGAAGGAGATGAGGTCAGTTAGGCTGGCAGAGGTCAGGTCCCATGCAGTTTTGGGGTTTTGTCTCACAATCCATGGGAAGCCATGGAAGGGTGTCTCCTCTCTGGCTGCCACGTTGGGGTGGAGTGAAGTGGGCAGAGCAGCGGCAGGCACCAGTGAGGGGGCGGGCGTGGTTGTCTAGGAGGAAGAGGATGGTGGCCAGGCCCGGGGTGGAGGTGAGAGGAATGGCCAGATTCCAGAGCTTGTGGGAGCTTGGTGAGAACCAGATGTGGAAGGGGAAGGGGGACACACCCAGAATGGCTCCTGGCTTCTAGCTGTGTCCCCTAGAGAAGCTGAGGCATGGTGGGGGGATGGGAGGGCAGAATTTGGGATGTGTTGGGTTTGAGTGGTTGGCAGATGCCCAAGACGGATGTCACAGGCTGCTGGACATAAGGATCTGGGGTTCAGGGGCAAGGTCTCGGCTGGGGACAGAAAGCTGGGAGTCACTGGCCTTTGGGTGGTGTTTAAGCCACAGACAGGATGGGGTCACTGTGGGGGAGAGAGGAGAAGAGGCCCAGGGGCTGCCCCCTGGGGAAGGTAATTGCCAGAGGACGTGGGAGGAGACAACTGGCATTAACGCTATTGCAATGATGTCAGGCATGCCTGATGTGCCTGCAGTTCCCAGAGCCCGAGTGAGAAAAGCAGATGTTGGCCCGCCTGGGGAAACCCACCAAGCTTGCGGGGAGGAGGCTGGGTTCCACCTCAGGGCCTTTTGCCCTTGTGATTCCTCCTCCCTGCATTTCTCTCCCTCCAAATCTACCCACAGTGACTCCCAGTTGTCACTCAGGTCTCAGCTCACATGTCCACCTCCTGGCCCCCATGTCACTCTCTGTCCCATTGCCCTGCTTGACTGACTTCATAGCACCCAGCACTGCATGGGACCGTCCTGTGGTTTGTATTCTGGTTTATTGCAGCCTGCTCATCACAGGTGTAAGCTCCAGGAGAGCAGGGTGAGGGGCAGCCAGTATTCAGGGCAGTGCTGCCACCAAGTAGGTGCTTTATAATATTTGTTGGATAAACGCATGAATAAGTTGGTTTTTAAAGGAGGAGAATTTTTCTGAACCAAGAAGGGAGTGGAATGGACATGCCGGGCAGAGGGAACTGTACAGGCAATGGCTAGGAGGTGGGAGACTGCAGAACCCATCTCTTTCCATGCATCCCTTCATGCCTGGTGTCAGGCTGGGCCCTTGGCAGGCTGCTGGTCAAAGCTTGTTGACTGACTGTTTGATGACCATGCAATGGAAGAGCAGGAGCAGACACAGCCATCTCACCTCCTATCAGGTAAGGATTTTCAATGTAACGCTGAGCCACATAGTTCTCCACGGGAATATCATCTTTCTGGTCGTCAGAGCTTCTTGTGTCCTAGTTGTAATAATAATAATAATTGAACATTTATTTATGGAACATTTCCTGTGTACTAGGTATTCTGTTAGACACTACTTTGGGTAGCTCACTGAATCTTTAAATCAACCCTGTCAGGTAAGTACTAATGTTATTTCCATTTCACAGATTAGAAACTGAAGCACAGAGAGGGAGAGTAACTTGTCCAAGGTCACACAGCCAGTTAGTGGTGTTGCTGGGATGTGAACCTACATGGTCTAGGCCCAGAGCCTGAGTGTTTAAACTCTAGACTGGTGCTGCCCAGTAGGGCAGTCACTGGCCGCAAGACGCCATTTACATTTACCTTGATGAAAAGTAAATGAAATTACATGCTACAACATGGATGAAATTCGAAGACATAAGGCTAAGTGAAATAAGCCAGATACAAAAGGACAAATATTGTCTGATTCCACTTAGATGAGTCCCTGGAGTAGTCAAGTTCATAGAGATAGAAGGTAGATGGGGGTTGCCAGGGGCTGGGGAGAGGAGGGAACGGGGAGCTTGTGTTTAACAGTTACAGAGTTTCAGTTTGGGAAGATGAAACGTTCTGGAGACGGATGGTGGTGGTGGTGGTTGCACAACAATGTGAATGCACTTAGTGTGATAAAGCCACACACTTAAAAGAAGTTACAATGGTAAATTTCATGTTACAGATTTTACCACAATTTTTTTTTTTTTTTGAGAATGAGTCTTGCTCTGTTGTCCAGGCTGGAGTGCAGTGGCATCATCTTGGCTCACTGCAACCTCCACCTCTCGGGTTCAAGCAACTCTTGTGCCTCAGCCTCCTAAGTAGCTGGGATTACAGGTGACAGCCACCATGGTTAATTTTTGTATTTTTAGTAGAGATGGGGTTTCACCATGTTGGCCAGGCTGGTCTCGAACTCCTGACCTCAAATGATCTGCCCACCTCAGCCTCCCAAAGTGCTGGGATTACAGGTGTGAGCCACCACGCCCGACCCACAATTTTTTTTTATTATACTTTAAGTTCTAGGGTACATGTGCACAACGTGCAGTTTTGTTACATATGTATACATGTGCCATGTTGGTGTGCTGCACCCATTAACTCGTCATTTACATTAGGTGTATCTCCTAATGCTATCCCTCCCCCCTCCTTCCACCCCAAAATAAGCCCCGGTGTGTGATGTTCCCCTTCCTGTGTCCAAGTGTTCTCATTGTTCAATTCCCACCTATGAGTGAGAACATGCGGTATTTGGTTTTCTGTCCTTGCAATAGTTTGCTGAGAATGACGGTTTCCAGCTTCATCCATGTCCCTACAAAAGACATGAACTCATCCTTTTTTATGGCAGCATAGTATTTCATGGTGTATATGTGCCACATTTTCTTAATCCAGTCTATTATTGTTGGACATTTGTCTTGGTTCCAAGTCTTTGCTATTGTGAATAGTGCCACAATAAACATACGTGTGCATGTGTCTTTATAGCAGTATGATTTATAATCCTTTGGGTATATACCCAGTAATGGGATGGCTGGGTCAAATGGTATTTCTAGTTCTAGATCCCTGAGGAATCACCACACTGTCTTCCACACTGGTTGAACTAGTTTACAGTCCCACCAACAGTGTAAAAGTGTTCCTATTTCTCCACATCCTCTCCAGCACCTGTTGTTTCCTGACTTTTTAATGATCGCCATTCTAACTGGTGTGAGATGGTATCTCATTGTGGTTTTGATTTGCATTTCTCTGATGGCCACTGATGATGAGCATTTTTTCATGTGTCTGTTGCCGGCCCACAATTTTTAAGAAGGATATGAAATTATAAATCCAGTCCTCAGTCACACCAGCCATGTGGCAAGTGCTCAACATCCTGCATGTGGCTAGTGGTCACCGCATTGGAGAGCACAGATATCCATTTTCATCCCTCTAGAAAGTTCTGTTGGACAGTGCTGCCTACACCACCCATGGGCCCCCGAGGACATTGCTCCTTCTTCTCTACCTGCCAGCCCAGCTCTGGAAGACAGCAATGCTCTCATGCATCTGCACAGCACCTCGCAGGTTGCAAACACCTCTCCCACCTATTGTCCCCTTCACTCAAAGACAAGGGTCACACACTTGATGGGGTGACACAACAGCCCCAATAATGGCAGGCAGCACTAGCTCTCAGGGTAGACCTGCTTCACCCACCATTGTTCCCCACTCAGCTGTGTCAAGACAGAAGCAGCCAGGTCTTCCCTTCCTGGGACCTGGGCCCAGCCCTACCTCCACTCACGTGGCTGCCAGAGGGACTGACCGTGCTCCAGGCAGGCTGGGCCTCCAGGCTGCTGAGCTCTTTCCTGTAGTGCCCTGACAGTTTCATGGGAGGAGTCAAGACATTGAGCACTGCTGTGCGCCTCCTGGTACAGCAGGGGCTGGTCCTATAGGATTTCAGCCATCCTGCTCCTCCCACCCACCCTGCACCATCGTCACCGCTCAGGTTCAGAGGGCTTCGGTCATTTTCCCAAGACCACACAGCTGCTGAGTGGGAGAGGCAGGATTTGAACCAGGATTTCTACTGTACTGTGTCTTGGGACAAGAATGGATTGGGGTTGGGAGGTAGCTGCCCCCGAGGCTCAGTCTAGGCCCTGAGGAAGAGTCAGCCAAACTCTCCCCAGCCACGTGAGCAGGAGGCCCAGATAAAGAACGTGCATCGAGCGCTGAGTGCCAGGCACTGTGCTGGGTGTGTGGGTGTGTGTGAGAATGTGTGTGTGTGTGTGTGTGTGCGCGTGTTTGCTTATTAGCTCACTGCATCCTTAGCAGGTATAATTACCATCCCCATTTACTGGGGCACTGACAGGTGAAGTAACTTGCTCAAGGGCACACAGCTATTGAGTGACTGAGTGGCAAGATCAGGATTTGAACCTGGACAATCTGGCTCTGGAGACCCTGCTCCAATGGGCAGACCTGTGGGCAGAGTTTCTCTGCCAGCCCTCTGAGCTTTGATTGCAGGAAGGAGTGGCCCCTCCTGCTGGCAAGGTCAGAGGAGGGTTCAGGGAGGAAGGGGGAAGAGGCAGGCTCACCTTCCTCCAGTCCACGATGTCCTTCAGCCTACGGAAGAGGAAGATGCCTTTCCCTTGAGACCGGGCTACCTGGGGTGGGATGGGGGCAGAAAGCCAGCTCTTAGCTCTGCGTGGTTCCTTGTTGGCCCCCGTGGCTGGGGGCTCTCCCCAGCATATCTGTCTCTTTTTCCTTATGAACCCCCAACTCTCCCCAGAGGAAGGCTAGCTGAAGGGGCTGGAACAGAGAAGGTGCTAACCCTGGCAGAGGGAGAGAGGGAAGGGAGGGGAAGGGGGAGACTGACTTAGCTCACAAAGACATACATTTGCATGAATAATGCAAAAGAACAGACAATTAAAAAGCCATTTCTAACAGTCCTGGGAACATATCATCCAAATCTTTTTTTGGAAATCAATTTGCCTTCCTAATTAGGGTTTGCTCCGGCTAATACTGAAATCAGCCTGCCTTTACTGAACCCCAGCATGGATAATTCATAGCTTCACACAGTCTAGGGGCTGAGAGAATCTTTGATCTCATATGGAGTGGTCCTCAACAAAGGCATTACTCCCCTTCTACCATTGTAGAAGGACAACAGTCCTCCTGCCTGGCCTTGCACACTCACAGTGCCTAGCAGCTCACTACCTCCCCCACCAATGCCAAACAGCCCATTTTGTTACAGGATAGCTTTGTTAAGTAGTCATCCAAAAGGTATATATGAAGTGCATACTGTATGTTGAGCATTATGCAATGGAACGTTCACAGCCTAACCTGTGTTGAGCTAAGACTGGCCAGTCTGGCTTTGGCTTTTAGGACCTCCTAGAACAAAGCTGATTCCTGGGTGCCAGAAGAGTCCTTTAGGTATTTGCAGCCACTGAGCAGATCTCCCAAGTCATCTTACCTCCAGCATAACTGCAACTCTCATTTCCTTCTGTTCTCCTCTGAGCATGGCCCACCTGGCCCACCCGAGGCTCTCTGTACAAGATAGGGGCATGCAGGGCTGCCAGGTGTGGTTGTACAGGTTGTCTACTGCACAAAGAGCCCCTGCTCTGCCTGCCATGCTGTGCACCATGGTTCAGGGTTGTGTGGGCCCAGAAGACTGGGTGCCAAAAACTCTATGGAGCACTGGTGGTGGCTCAGGGGCAGCCAAATGTGCACAGCAATTTTAGAAAGCAACTAATAAGTGTGCATCAGGAGCTTCCAACAGTTCACGGCCTTGCAAAAGACTTGAACAGGCATTTTACGAAAGAAGATTACCAGTGTAAACATACAATAGCTTGGGCACAGTGACTCACATCTGTAATCCCAGCACTCTGGAAGGCCGAAGTAGGAGGATTATTTAAGCTCAGGAGTTCGAGACAAGTCTAGGCAACGTAGAAAGACCTTGAGATCACATCGCTACTAAAAATAGCTTTAAAAATTAGCTGGGTATGAGAGTGCACCCCTGTAGTACCAGCTATCTGGGAGGCAGAGGTGGAAGGATGACTTTAGCCCAGGAGATCAGGGCTGCAGTGGGCAGGGATTGCACCACTGCACAGCCTGGGCAACAGTGTGAGACTCTGTCTGTTAAAAAAAAAAGAAAGAAAGAAAAGAACGGGCACTCAACTTCATCAGAGGGTTCACCAACAGAGAAGTGCTAATTGACAGAACAAGAGCACCGTCATCTCGTCATCTCGGACAAACACTGCCACTTTAAGTTCCAGTTCCCTTTCTGGCCTCATGCATTTCAAGGAAATCACTTCTCTTCTAACTACAAGCAGACAGAAAGAGCAGACAGTAAAACACAGATAAGACAGCTCGGGCACAGAGGGAGGTGGGGGGAAAGTCTCTTGGGTAACTGCCAAACTTCGCCCTCATACAATGGGCCCCAGTAAAACAGTAGATCTTAATAAGCACATTCCTTTCCCTTCAGGTGCACTAAGATAGGAAAGCTAAAAGCAACCCGGGGGATATGCCTGCAGCTGCAGAAAGATGTATGGGAACAGACACACAACTCTCCCTCCCAGATAAGCACAATAAAGAGACACAGAAGCAGTCCAAGCCTCTAATAAACTCTCCCGCCCTGAATCCTTAAAAACTCTTAGTCTGTAAGAGAGTGTGGCTCTGACCTAACTCAGCCAGAAGGTTCCTCTCAGGTTTGTTTTCTCTAAAATAAACCTGTCTTGACGGGCGAGCCACCTTTCGTGTTTCTCTCCTCTTTCTTTAATTCTTACACTAATGAAAATCACAATATGATACTACTATATACTACCTGAGAATAGTTAAATTAAAGACAGACAATACCAAGTATTGGTGAGGATGTGGAGAAACTGGAACTTGCACACACTGCTGGTGTGAGAGTACGTTGTTTGGAAACTGGCAGCATCTGCTAAAGCTGAACATAGGCATCCTCTATCCTATGTCCCAGCAATTCCTCTCTTAGGGACCTACATGACAGAAATGTCTGCACATGTCACCATGGACATGGCCCCAGACACCCACAGCAGCACTATCATAATAGCTCCACCCTGAGACTCCCCAATGGATGAATATTTAATCAATGGAATAGTATACAACGATGACAGTTAATAATGTACAATTACCCACATCAGCAGAATGAACTGCAAAACATGTCAAGGGAGAGACACCAGACACAAGGTAGTCATCCTATAAGATTCCAATTATATAAAGTCCAAAAGCAGACAAAGCAAACCTACGATGTTTAGTGCCTTGGGGGGTTGTGAGTGAGTGGAAAGGGGCCTGAGAGGGCTGCTGAGGGTAGGGAACGCTCTGTTTATGACCTGGGTGCTGATTATTTGAGTGGATTCACTTTGTGAAAATTCATACTGTGCCCCTATAATTTGGCTACTTTTCTATATTTTATTAAACTTCAATTAAACGGTATCTTTTCAGGTTCATATGCTTTGGTCTAGGAACCCCTATCCCCAACCCTGTTGGCTGCCTTCCCTATGGCCACTTTCCTTCCTCTTCTTCCTTGCTAGCAAAGCCCACCTCTCATGAGGGAGGCTAGAAAGACCAGATGTAGGTTTTCCCAGCTTCCCTTGCAGTTGGTGGAAACCACATGACCAGTTTTGGCCAATCAGACCTAAGGAGACATTTGCTCAGAGATTCCAGGAAAGATGTTTCTCCTTGTTAAAAATATTAGGGAAGGAGCTGGGGAGAAAGGGGATCGGGAAGAAATATCCCGGGCTCCTTCCTTCTTTCTTTGAATGCTACAGTCTGCGGAGATGATGCCTGTGACTGCAGCAGCCATGTCACATCCATGAGGTGACAAGTCTGATGACAAAAAGCCAGCACACAGGATGCAGAGTCGATGGAGAGAAGGAGCCTGGGCCTCTAGTGGCATCATCTAGCACATCCCCAAACCTGGATATGCCTACCCTCAGCCTTCTTGTTCTGTGAGATAACAAAATGCCTTTATTGTTCAGGCCATTGTTAGTAACTTGACATGACTGTTCCAGGAGGTGCCTTCCTAAGGGACTAACCCTAAAGAATGAAAGATGAACCGCCTGCATGGTGTTACATCGGGGCTGATGAGATGGAAATCACCTAATACCTAGTTCCAGCAGATGGCAGTTTCCAAAAACAACCACGACAATATTTCCTGTCCCATATGTTCTCCAGAACCCTGTCAAAAGGTAAATCAATGTCCCCTCCCTTGAATCTGGAAGTGTCTCTACTAATTGCCTATGGCAGAAGTGATGTGTGAATTCCAATGCCAGGTCATAAAAGGCAATATAGCTTCTGCCTGGCTCTCTCTTTCAGGATGGTTGCCCTCAGAACCCAGCAGCCATCCCGTGAGGAAGCCCAGGTCACAGGGAGAGGCCCACCTGGAAGGCAACTGAGTCTTCCAGCCCTCAACTCTGGCTGAATTCCCAGCCAACAGCTGGCACCTACTTGCTAGCCCAGCCAGTGAGCCAGCTAGGAAGGGGATCCTCCAGCCCTCAGTGGATGCTGGAGCAGCCTTCCTTGTCAAGCACTGTCCAAGCTGGGGGCTCACATGAACTAAATAAGGCATTATTGTTGTTTCAAGTCACTATGTTTGGGAGTGGTTTGCTACTCTGAAATAGATAACCGGAATACGAGCTTTAGTAGAATGGTTCATAACAATGGCAATACCAGCAGCCAATACTTACCAGGTGTTTACTCTGTGCCAGACACCGTGATTTATACACGTTACCTCATTAAAGCTTGAAAAAAAACACACACCCTTTGACATAAACATTAATGTTATCCCCATTTTGCAGCCAAGAGAACCAGCGAACAGACAGGCCAAACACATTGCCCAAGGTCACCCAGCCAACAGGTGACAAATCTGAGATAGTTAAATCTGTGCTACACAAACCTGGGGCTCATATACCTCTTGAAAAGTGCCGGGGATACACAAAATCACAGGATAAACACTGCTAGTTCTGGGGGCAGCTCTATTACTTGATGGTTTGGGAGGGATATATTTTTATATTATGCTTTTTTCTTTGAGACAGGGTCTTGCTCTGTCACCCAGGCTGGAGTACAGTGGCAGGATCTCGGCTTACTGCAAGCTCAGCCTCCTGGATTCATGCCATTCTCCTGCCTCAGCCTCCCAAGTAGCTGAGACTACAGGTGCCTGCCACCACGCTCTGCCAATTTTTTGTTATTTTTAGTACAGACAGGGTTTCACCATGTCAGCCAGGATGGTCTCGATCTCCTGACCTCGTGATCCGCCCGCCTCAGCCTCCCAAAGTGCTGGGATTACAGGCGTGAGCCACCGCGCCCGGCCGATTTTCACATTCCTTTCTATTAGGAATGCAACAAATCATAGGAGTGTTAGCCATGCCCGTGACTTTGCCATCTAAAGAGATCACAGTGATTTCGACATCACATTACAATTGTTGCAGATATCTCAAAATATTGTTTATGCTCCTCCTGACTTTGAAATTGTGGTAGCTGTGAGGCCTGCTGTTAGATCCTCTTTAATTGTTAATGAAAAGCGCACATATTTCTATAGCACAAATAATTTTGTAATCGCTTGTGTGGTGGCCATGACAATGCACCTTGCAGGCCTCCAACAGAGTAACTGACTGAGAGTGCCAGCGGCTTCCAGTTGAGGTCTAGCAGTGTTTGCCAGGGCGTCTTGCTAGGGCTGCTCCCAGTCAGTGACTAAGCCCCAGGGGATATGAAGACCGGCCATTCCTGAGAGACAGGGGACTCCTGACAGCCAACTTTGGCTGAGGCCTCCCAGGGGCCTTGATGAACTTTCAAAGGCTGCTCAGCAATAGAAACTTCCAACCTTCCTCCCTCCCTCCCTCTCTTCTTTCTTCGCTTCCTTGGAGGCCTGATTCTCTCCCAGCCTCACCTGCTAGCTCCCTCCCCATTTTTTCTCACCAGCCAAACTGTTTAATTTTGTCTTGGCATCCGTTTCTTGGGGAACCCAGATTAACACAGTTTGATAACGGGTTTTCAGTATAGTTGCCTTCTTTTATAATGGAATGTACTGTATTTTATGTTTTTAAAACCACAATTCTTTCATGGGTACATACTTATCTCCAAACTCATTAAGCTGTCCACATTAAATACGCACAGCTTGTTGTACGCCAATTATGTTTCAATGAAGTGGTTAAAAAAACACCACTATTCTGTGATAGGGTCCACACATTTCACCAGATGTCAAAGAGGCCCATGGCATAAAAACAGTACAGAAGTCTTGCCCTCTTGTTTAAGCTACTGTTATTTGGATTTTCTATTATTTACTGAGTAAAGCATCCCGACTCTTAGAAAGTCTCAGTGAAAAATTCTGAGAAGTTCTGGTTGGGGTAAACTAGTGTGATGGAATGTTAAAATGTGGCTCTTCCTGCCTTGCAGTTTGGAAATAGGCCCCCAAGGCTGAGAACAGCCCCCTGGTTGCCAAGAACGCTCGCTGCCGTGTGTGAAGTGTTAGACCAGCTTGGTGGACGCAGGGTGAGCAGATAGATAGGCCCTGTCCCTGAGCAGCTTGGGGGGCACACAGAGAGACTGACAGGCCCCATCCGTGACAGCCAAGCAGTCGCCTCCCCGCACCACGAGGCGGGCTGGAGCCACAGTTGTCCCATGACCTGTGTCAGTGTCCTGCCCACCTCCCCACCAACCCTGACGGCCTGAACTGCTGGCAGGGGAGAATGCTTCCATGGGAAGAAAGCTAAGAGCGATGCAATGTTTACACTGGACTTTTAAATGCCAGACCCAAGAGCCTGTTCTTATATTCCCCTAAAAGCTCCAAGATGGGCTGGGGCTCTGGCCTGGTAGGAAGAGGGTCCCCACAGGGTGGTGTAGACGGAATGATGCTGCCTGCTCCCTTCTGAGTCCTGGGCTGCTCTGCTGCCACTGATGAGGAAGATGAAGGCTCGGCAGACACCAGGAAAACAATGCAGAGGAGATGCCCGAGGGCTGCCCTGTGACTGGCTGGGCCACACCAACTATGCGAAAACTTTTGCCTGTGGGTGGGCAAAGATCAACCATGTCACAAAGACAGGCCTTGTGGGAAGAGTGGAGGGATTCAGGGGACTCTTCTCCCTCTATTCTCCAAATTTAGGGCAATGTTCTGTTTTTAACACTCTCTCCTCCTGAAAGGAATCCAAATAAGGTCCCGGAACTAATACTCAAACCCAGTGGTTCTCAGAAACTGTGGTACTCAGACCAGTAGCACCCTCAGAACCTGGTGTGATGGTTAATTTTACGTGTCAACTTGATTAGGCTATGGTGCCCAGTTGCTTGGTCAAATGCTAGATGTTTCTCTGAAGGTACTTTGTAGATGTGATTAACATCTACAATTATTAATTTTTTTTTAGATAGGGTCTCACTCTGTCACCAGGCTGGAGTACAGTGGAATGATCTCGGCTCACTGCAGCCTCAACCTCCTAGGCCCAAGTGGTCCTCCCACCTCAGCCCCCAAAGTAGCTGGCACTACAGGCACTCGCCACCACACTCAGCTAATATTTTTGTATTTTTTGTAGAGACTAAGTCTTGCTATGTTGCCCAGGCTGGTCTCAAGCTCCTGGGATCAAGCGATCCTCCCACCTTGGCCTCCCGAAGTGCTGAGATTACAGGCATGAGCCACTCACCTGGCCTGCAATCATTAATTTTAAGTTATCACCCTTGATAGCATGGGGAGGGGCTTCATTTAATCAGTTGAGGGCTTAAGAGTAAAAACTGAGTTTTCCTGAAAAAGAAGCAATTCTGCCTCAAAACTGTAACATAGAAATCCTGCCTGAAGCTCCATCCTGCTGGCCTGCCCTGCAGATTTCAGACTTGCCAACCCCCACAATATTGTATGAGCCAATTCCTTAAACACACAGACATACACACACACACACACACACACACACACACACACACACACATACACATACACGCACACACACACACTAATGCTTTCCTTTCTCTGGAGAACCCTGACTGCTATACCTGGGAACTTGCTAGAAATGCAAATTCTCAGGCCCCCACCAGGCTGACTGAATCATACTCTGGGGTGGGTGGGATGCTTGAACAAGCTCTTCAGGAGATTCTGCTGCACCCTCAAGTTTGAGAACCGCTGCTCCACAATCTCGATACTCAAAGTGTATGCACAGACCAGCAGCACTGGCATGTCCTGGGAGCTGGTAGAAATGCAGGTTCCCAGGCCCCACCCAGACCTGTGAATCAGGCTCTGCATTGCACTAGGTCCCTGGATGCTGCACGGGCACTGTAGCGTTTGAGAAACACTGACCTAGTGCTTTCCCAGGGACAGAGCAAAGAGACGGTGTTTCCTGGACTCGGAAATAACAATGAAAATGGTCAATTATCAGGCACCTAATGCCAAGCCCTTGATATAATTTGTAAATTCATGTGTCGAACGTGTGTAACTTCACTGTATTCTCTCACAACCCTGTAAGGTAGACACACTCATTAATTCCATTTTACAGATGAAGAAATGAGCCCAGAGGGACTTAAGGGGGTCGAGTGACCTGCTCAGGGACATACAGCTTGTAAGCAGTGGACACAGAATTAGAACCCATGCCAGAAATGACTAGAAGCACAGAAGCGCCCACTCTCCACCCGAGACAGGGTGCCTCGCAATTTGGGAAAGAGGACACACACACACACACACACACACACACACACACACACACACACGCACAGACACACCGAGCCAAGATGCCTCCTCTAAATTACAGCTGTAGCTGCCGTTGTGTCTGCTGCTAACAAAGGCTGTGGGCTGGGAATGGAATCAATTTAATATGCAAGTGCTGTTCCCAATTAGCACAAATTACCATTTGTCTGAGAGGATAATGCTGGGAGCTGGAATCCGCCCTGGTGGGTCACAGCACTCCGTGCTCATCAGCCTAATCCCTACTGCTCCAGCCACGGCCTTCCTCACTGCGCCTTCCCTGGACACCAGAGATGCAGGATGGGCCAGGGGAAGAACCTGGGAGGCCTGGGTACACCTTGGCTTCGTGCCTGTTGGGAGCATCCATTGTTTTTGTCAGCCCCATGTCAGTTTCCCCTCCAAGCACCTGTGTTATTGGCTAAATCTGCATCAGCCAACACCAGACACCAGTCTTCAGCTCCACAGGAAAGGGCTGCTCCCTCCACCCTCCTGCTCCCTCCCTGGCCTGGAACATTCTCAGGCCTGGAAAACATAAGAGGGCTTTGATGATGCCATTCAAGGCTACGGTGGCATGTGGCTTTGTGGTGAGTGACAGTTGTGGCACCAGAAAGGGCTGAGTGATTGGTAGGTGCGCTGTTGTCCTCACCTTTCTTCAGTTTCTTTTTCTTTTTTCTTTTTTTTTTGAGACGGAGTCTCACTCTCTCACCCAGGCTGGAGTGCAGTGGGGCGATCTCGGCTTACTGCAACCTCCACCTCCCAGATTCAAGCAATTCTCCTGCCTCCGCCTCCCAAGGAGCTGGGATTACAGGCACCCACCATCATGCCCGGCTAATTTTTGTATTTTTAGTAAAGATGGGGGTTTCACCATGTAGGCCAGGCTGGTCTCGAACTCCTGACCTCAGGTGATCCACCTGCCTTGGACTCTCAAAGTGCTAGGATTATAAGCATGAGCCACCATGCTCGGCCCCACTCAGATTTTTGAGCCCCAATAGGCTGCCTCCTGATACCAAGCCTTTGCATATGCAGTTCCCTCAGCCTAGGATGCTCTTCCCTATCTCTACTTTTTTCCAGGCAGACTTGTATGCATCCTTCAGGTTGCAGCTCAATACTAATTCTGATTATTATAACAATTCTCATTTATTGAGTACTTACTATGTGCTTTACCTGTGTTAACTCATTTAGTCCCCTAACACTAGGTGATAGGTATTATAACAATCCCACTTTGCAGATGGGAAAACTGGAGCACAGAGAAGGTGCGTAAGCTGCCTGAGGCCACACAGCTAGTAAGTGTATCAGTAGTATTTGAACAAGGGGGTAGGCCTCAGAATCCAGTCTCTCACTTCTTCAGAGAAGCCTGCCCAGCCAGGAAGAGCCTCCTGTGGATCCCTCTCCTGACACCATTCTCCTTAATAACAGCACAACTGCAACTGCATAGGTCTCCTTTGTTTGCTTATTGTCTGCCTGCAAAAAGGGCACAGACCCAGGCTGACTTGCTGAGGGCTGTGTCTTCAGCACCTAGGTCTGTGCCTGGCACATGGTACATGCTCAGTAAGTATTTGTGAAATGCTTGAATAAGCAAGCCTCAAGTTCTTCATTGCTAAAATGGGGCTGTTGATCCCTCCCCCGAGGGTCACTATGAGGACTGGGGTAACGCAGGTAAAGCACTTGGCATGTCAGGAAGACAGGTTCCAAATTCCCTGCCCTGGCGTCCTAAACATCACTTGTGCATTCAATAAACACTCATTGAGCACCTACTGTATGCTGGCAGTCATAGCTGCTGGGTCCACACACTGCAGAGAAGAGGAGCTAAAGCTGGCCCTTCGGGAAGGCAGACAGCATCTAAGGCTGAATTCCCAGGCAGTGTCTGCACCTGATCCCTGCTATGGCACCTGGGACTCATTCCCTCCCACCCAGCCCCTGGCACTGGGCACTCACAGGCTTCATGATCCAGGTGATTCCTGGGTTTTTGCGAAACTCCTCTACAAACAGGTGGTACTCGCAAGGCATCTCAAAGGTTTTGGGGAAGAAGTCACACTTGGCTGCCTCCAGCTTTCCTGCCTCACGCTCCAGCTGCTTCCGGAACCGCTTCAGGTTCTTCACCATGTAGTTCTTCCGGGTCAGCTGGGTGGCGGGAAGGACAGGCGGCCATTAGCTCCTGCTCACAGCCCCGCTCCCCTCCCAGCCCCACACATCCACCAGCCACCCTGCAGCCTCCATGCTCTGGCCCACAAAATAGCAACAGTAAGAGTAACTTTGACCCAGAAAGAGCTTGCTAGTCAAGAATTATCCCCACTTCACAGATGAGGAAACTGGGGCTTAGAAAGATTAAGTCAATTGCTCAGAGCTATCCAACGAAGGTGCTGCACTGCCCCAGGATTTGACCAGGGCCTGTCTTGACTCCAAAATTCATGCTTTTGGCCGGGCGCAGTGGCTCACGCCTGTAATCCTAGCACTTTGGGAGGCCAAGGTGGGCGGATCACAAGGTCAGGAGTTCGAGACCATCCTGGCTAACATGATGAAACCCCATCTCTAACAAAAATACAAAAATTAGCCGGGCATGGTGGTGAGCACCTGTAATCTCAGCTACTCAGCTACTTGGGAGGCTGAGGCAGAAGAATCACTTGAACCCAGGAGGCAGAGGTTGCAATGAGCCGAGATCATGCCATTGCACTCCAGCCTGAGGGACAAGAGCAAGACTCTGTCTCAAAAAAAAAAAAAAAAAAAAAAAAAAATCATGCTTTCAACCGCTAAGCTACACTAACCTTTAAAAATCTCCCACCACTGCCTCCTCCAGTCCTGTCCCTTCTAGACCTCCTTCCCATCTTTAGACCCCAAACTTCTCAACTTGCCTCCACCCTGAAATCACCATAATCATTCATGCATCCTCTCCCTTCAGACCCTGCACCCTCAAACCATCTTGCTCCTCAAATCTTGGTGCTGAAACTCCAACCAGCCTGTGACCTCCAGTCCTCAGGCCTTGGATCCCTATACCCTGAAACCATTTGGCTCTCCATAGGTCTAGCCCGCAGACTTCCCACTCGGCGTTGCATCCCACATTCTAATACACTTTTCTGATCCTTGTACCAGCTCCAGCTCATGGCCACACCCAGTGACATGAGTTGGTTGGCACAGTCCCTCCCGCCTGCCCAGCTCACCTCATAGTGGTTCCGGAAGTGACTGATCCGCACATGTTCATCCATGTAGGTGTGGTCGAAGTTCTCCCGGAGCCAGCTGACGTCACACCAGTAGAAATCCCACTCCCCTTCGCTGGGGGTGGGGTGGGGGCGGGGATAAAGGTCATGGTCTGAGGACCTTGGCACTGCAGGGCCCAGGGAGGTGCTGCCGAGGGGGCTTGAGGAAGGGTACACAGCACTGTGTCCCTCTAGAGTCTCTTGGAGGTGGCCATGGGTGCCACTGGCCTACATGTGCTTTGTTAGACCAGAGCAAAAGCCAGGGAAATGTTCCCACAAAAATCCAGGTGGTTGGCTTCCCTTGAGCTATCACTGAGCCCAGAGTGCCTCCTGGCACCTATTAGCTGGGCTGAGGAGCAGCCACCCCTTCAGACAGGGCACGCCCTCCTCAAACCACAGTCCCCATGACTCTCTGTGGTGTGACAGCCACTCAGCCTCACTTGTTCTTGCCAGTTGCCACGCGTGCAGCCCGCAGTGGAATGAGATAACCTTTGCAAGCCCCTCCCAGTTCACAAAACTCTCCACTCACTAAATCCTCAGAGCAGCCCCCAAAGGTGATCTTGGATCATCCCCAGAACTCTAAGGCAAGATGGCCTTGCTCACTGAGGACATGGCAGCAGCAGGACCCACACCCAGCTCTGCCGGCTCCAAATTCTGATCCCATTCTCCACCACCATGCCAGGGAGAGGAAACCGGGCCAATCTACCAAATCTGGGTGCCAGAGCTGGGGTGCGGGGAGGAGGTGTTTGAAAAAGATGCCACAGGAAATAAAACACTATCATGATTGTTCACAATTATTTTTAAGTAAAAAAGTACAGATACAACTGAAGCCCCCTGTCTATCCCTGCCTGATTGTATCTCCTTCTGTTCTGCCGCGAAGGAAACCATCAGCCTGAGTTTGGTGTGTTATCATTTCTATGCAGTGGTTTTTTTTTTTTCTTTTTTCGAGACGGTGTATCACTTTGTTACCCAGGCTGGAGTGCAATGGCGAGATCTCAGTTCACTGCAACCTCCTCCTCCCGGGTTCAAGCGATTTTCCTTCCTCAGCCTCCCGAGTAGCTGGGATTACAGGTGCCCACCACCGCAACTGGCTAATTTTTTATTTTTAGTAGAGATGGGGTTTCACCATGTTGGCCAGGCTGGCCTCGAACTCCTGACCTCAGGTGATCCACCTACCTCGGCCTCCCAAAGTGCTGGGATTATAGGTGTGAGCCACCGTGCCCGGCCTGCAGTGGCTTTATAGTTTCATCATGTATATATGTGTGTATCCATGCATCATGGCACATGGCGTTGTTTGTCATGATTTTAAACCTAACGCTAATACTTATTGCTTACCATGTACCAGGCACTGCTCTAAACACTTCACAAATATTCATTCACGGATCCTCAGTGCAACCTGAAGTGTTAGGTTCTGTTATTATACCCATTTTACAGATGAGAAAATGGAGGCAGGCACACAGAGAAACTCACCTAGTTCATGCAGTTAGTAAGTGGCAGAGCAGGATTTGAACTCAGGCCTCAGGCTCCAGAGTCCAAGCTCTGTGGTTAGAACCCCTCCTGTCTGTTTCTTTTCACAACATGCTTTTTTCCCACCAAACTTTTGTTCTGGAGATCGATCCTTTTGATACATAGGGGTCGAGTTATTCTAACTGCCATTTCCCATTCCATTGGGTGAACACGCCACAGTATATCCATTTTCCTATTAAAAGGTGTTTGGGGCTGGGTGTGCTGGCTCACACCTGTAATCCCAGTATTTTGGGAGGCCAAGGTGGATGGATTGTTTGAGTTTGGGAGTTTGAGACCAGCCTGGCCAACATGGTGAAACCCCATTTCTACCAAAAACACAAAAAATTAGCCAGGAGTGGTGGCATGCACCTGTAGTCCCAGCTACTCAGGAGGCTGAGGTGGGAGAATCACTTGAGCAGGGGGGTGGAGGTTGTGGTGAGCCAAGATCATGCCACTGCACTCCAGCGTGTGTGACAGAGTGAGACCCCATCTCAAAAAAAAGAAAAAAAAGGTGTTTGGTTTGTCTCCCTTTCTCCCCACCCCTTTTCTCTAATATAGACAAGTAGGCTGAGTTTTAAAAGACATCTGGAGGAGGTCTGAGGCAGAAATGGAGAAAAATGAAGAGACATCACCATCACCTTGGGATGATGAAGGAAGAGGCCCTGAACAAGACCAATGGGGAGGATGCAGGGGCAGACTGTAGTTCCAAAAGATTCCTACACTATATCCCTTATCCAGAGGCTGCGGGGCCGTGAGGCCGCAAGGAGAACCCATGAGAACCTTCTTCGGCTGTCTGCCCTAGTGAGATCCCCACAGACAGCTAGCATCGACTGCCACACGTGTGAGTCAGATGCCCTCAGACAACTCCTGCCACCAGGTGACCTCCAGATCTGGACTCTTCCCAGCTGATGCCCCCAATGTCACAGAGACAAGCCAGTCCCACTGTGTCCTGTAAGAGTCCCTGACTCAGGAGCCCCGCGCCTAATGCAATGCTGTCTTAAGCAGCTAAGTTTTGGGATTTGTTACACAGCCATAGCAACTGGAACAATGGCCAAGCAGTTGGGCCTTGTGTTGTAAATGGAGATCCCTTTGGAATTTTCTTTCCTTTTTTTTTTTTTTTTTTTTTTGAGATGAAATTTCACTCTTGTTGCCCAGGCTGGAGTGCAATGGCACGATCTCGACTCACCGCAACCTCCGCCTCTCGGGTTCAAGCGATTCTCCTCCTTCAGCCTCCAGAGTAGCTGAGATTAGAGGCGTGCACCACCACGCTTAGCTAATTTTGTATTTTTAGTAGAGACAGGGTTTCTCCATGTTGGTCAGACTGGTCTCAAACTCCTGACCTCAGGTGATCCGCCTGCCTTGGCCTCCCAAAGCGCTGGGATTATAGGCGTGAGCCACCGCGCCCGGCCTGGAATTTTCAAAGAACTAAAGATTTAAATTGCTTCTCCTTGTGGCTGCTGGGTTGGTGTTTCTCCTGAATGTCACACCATGTGCAGAGGGGCTTTAAGGCAGGCAGACAGACCCAGCCTTTCACTGAGCTCAGAGATGTCCAGAGATGGACATCTGTGCACACACCGTGCACAGATGTGGTGACGTGAAGCACGTGGTAATGGAATGACACTGGAACCAGAAATCTACGGTTTCCAAATTTTGTCCTAAGTTACTCATGAAAATCTGGGGCCTGGTCCTTCTCCAAACCTCCCTTGTGGCTGTGCCCCAGGCACAGTGGTTCGGAAGAACGGTTTCAAGAACTGATGGAAACCCACTGGAGAAGTGGCCGTGTGCTGGTTGGGCACGGTGGCTTATGCGTGTAATCCTAGCACTTTGGGAGGCCGAGGCGTGTGGATCACCTGAGGTCAGGAGTTTGAGACCAGCCTGGCCAACATGGTGAAACCCCGTCTCTGCTAAAAAAAAACACAAAAACTAGCCCAGCGTGGTGGCAGTTTCCTGTAATCCCAGTTACTTGGGAGGCTGAGGCAGGAGAATCACTTGAACGCAGAAGGCAGAGGTTGTAGTGAGCCGAGATTGTGCCACTGCACTCCAGCCTGGGCAACGGAGTGAGACTCCATCTCAAAAAAAAAGAAATGGCCATGTGCTCTATAAACCCTCAGATACCATAGTGCCACAGATTCCCGGCTGGCTGGCTGGGGCTTCATCTAGATGCCCAGTCCTGCCTTTTCTCCACCCTGATGTTTGTACCAAGCCATGTCACACAGTGCAAGGAGCACTAGACCAGGAGTCAACACAGGCACTGGCACTACGTGACCTTGCCCTCTTCTCTGGGCCTCAGCTTCCTATTGGGAAAATCTAGGTGTGGTAACCTCTAGGCAAGATGATAGACTGCAATGAGCCAAACTGATACTAAATAATTAAATGAGGGACAGGAAGAGAAAAACTTTCTCTACAGAAGAATGCCACCTAATACATGTAGAAGGAATGACAGAGAGTAACCATTTTGCAATTATTGTAATAATAATAGATTTAGGCAAGAATCCTTAAAAAAGGCCAGGCACGGTGGCTCAAGCCAGTAATCCCAGCACATTGGGAGGTCAAGGCAAGAGAATCACTTGAGCCCAGGAGTTCGAGATCAGCCTGGTCAACGTGGTTAAACTTCATCTCTACAAAAAATACAAAAATTAGCCAGGCATGGTGGCATGGGCCTGTAGTCCCAACTACTCAGGGGGCCGAGGTGGCAGGATCACTTGAGCCCAGAGGGTCAAGGCTGCAGTGACCCATGATTGTACCACTGCACTCCAGCCTAGGCGGCAGAGTGAGACCCTGTCTCAAAAAAAAAAAAAAAAAAAAAAAAAGAATTATCAAAAAATGCTAGAACCATTGTGTGAAAGTTTGTTGGGAACAAGATATTTGCATAGTCTCAGATTATCTGCCCACAAGATACTTATTATTTTTAAAAAAAGTTAATTTACACTGGAGAAAGCTGGCAGACACCACCTTAATCTAATGGTCAATCAAGGTACTGTCACCAGTGATAAGACACATCAGCATCACAAACCCCCGATGAGTTCCACTGAAAAGGGCACAGCATCACTTCTGTGGTATTCTTGCCAAAATGCATAACCTCATGGTGAGAAAACATCAGACAAATCCAATTCAAGGGACATTCTACAAAATGTACTCTTCAAAAGTGTCAAGGGCATGAAAGACAAATAAAGACCAAGGAACTGAAATATATTTGAGGTAAAAAAGGTCAACTAAATGCAAAGTGGGATCCTGGATTGGATTCTGGAACAGAAAAAGGATGTTAGTGGAAAAAAACTGGTGAAATTCAAATGATGTCTGCAGCTTAGTTAACAGTAATATATCAATGTTAATGTCCTGACTTTGACAAATGTACTGTGATTACATAAGCTGCTAACAGGGAAAGGTGGTAAAACTGCTAAAAGAGGAAGCTATGTATGATTTTTGAAACTTTTCTGTAGGTCTAAAGTTATTTCAAAATAAAAAAGTTTAAAAATAAGTATTTTAAAATATTAAAGTTGGACACCTACCTCACACCATATAAAAAATTAAATCGAAGATCTAGATGTAAGAGCTAAAACTAGAAAACTCTTAGAAGAAGACATAGGAGTAAATCTTTGTGACCTTGGATTAGGCAATGGTTTCTTAGATATGATACCAAAAGCACTAGCAACAAAAGAAAAAATAGGTGAATTGGACTTTATCAAAATGAAAAAGTTTTTACCGCAAAAGGCACAGTCAAGAAAGAGGAAAGATAACTCACAAAATGGAAGAAAGTAAAGTATTTGCAAATCATATATAAGAATACCCTTATAAGATAAAATTCTTATAACTCGAATATAAAGAGACAACTAAATTTAAACATGGGCAATAGATATTTCTTCAAGGAAGATTTATAAATTGCTAATAAGCACGTGAAAAGATGCTAAAAATCATTAGCCATCAGGGAAATGCAAATCAAAACCACAATGATACCACTTCATACCCACTAGGATGGCCATAATAAATGTGAGGGTGGGTACGGTGGCTCACACCTATAATCTCAACACTTTGGGAGGCAGAGGCAGGAGGATCACTCAAGTCCAGAAGTTCAAGATGAGTCTAGGTAACATAATGAGACCCCATCTCTCCAAAAAAAAAACTTAAAACATTTAGCAAGGTATGGTGGTGTGTGCTTGTAGTCCCAGCCACTCAGGAGGCTGAGGTGGGTGGATCACTTGAGCGCGGGAGGTCAAGGTTGTAGTTGGCTGTGATTGTACCACTGCACTCCAGCCTAGGTGACAGAGAGAGACCCTTTCTCTAAATAAATAAATAAATAAATGGATGAATAATAACGAGAGTTGGTGAGGATGTGGAAAAATCGGCACCCTCATACACTCCTGGTGTTAATGTAAAATGGCATAGTCACTTCAGAAAAGTCTAGCAGTTCCTTAAAAAGTTAAACATAGAGTTATCATATCACCCAGTCACTCCACTCCTATGTATACACCAACAAAAAGTGAAAACATATGTCCATTCAAATTCATACATGAATATTCACAGCAGCATCATGTATAACAGCCCAAAGGTGGAAATAACCTAAACACCTATCAATTAATGAGCAGATAAATAAATGTGGTACTCCTACACAGCAGAATATTATTCAGTCATAAAAGGGAATGAAGTCCCAGCTACTCAGGAGGCTGAGGCAGGAGAAGGGCATGAAACCGGGAGGCAGAGCTTGCAGTGAGCCGAGATCGAGCCACTGGACTCCAGCCTGGGCGACACAGCGAGACTCCATCTCAAACAAACAAACAAAAAGGAATGAAGTACTGATACATACTGCTACATGGATGAGCCTTGAAAACATTACGTTAAGTGAAAGAAGACAGGAAAAAGGTTACATATTGTATAATTCCACTTACATGATGTGTCCAGAATAGATAAATAGAGACAAGGCCCAAGACAGAGGCTGGAGGGAGGGAGAAATGGGAATGACTGCTAGTGGGTATGGGGTTTCTTCCTGAGATGATGAAAATGTTCTGGAATTAGATAGTGGTTTTGACACAGCAGGTATGTGGGGGAAAAAAAAAGTGGTGATGATTACACAACTTTGTGAATATGCTAAAAGACACGAAATTCTATATATATACATTTTTTGGACTTATCAAAATTAAAAAGATTTTATATATTTTTTCTTCCAACATGTATGTGTTGAGGTTATCTCTGTGTCAGAGACCATGTTGGATGCCAGTGATACAGGAGGAAACAGAATACCTTGCCAGGTGGTGCGCACAGTCTTGTGGGGAAGATTAACAATAAACAAGGAAACAACTCTATAATAAAGAATTGTGAAGTGAGCCGCCACGTGATCCAGTAGAGGCCATGAGGCGGGGTAGTTGAGGGACCTACGCTGGGTGGAGTCACCCTGTGGAAGGACCTTTCAGCTGAGATCTGAAGGATAAGGAGGTGCAGCCTAGTCAAAAGCAATGGGGAAGGTTCTAGCACTGGGAAGAGCAGGGACTGGGGCCCTGAGGTTGGGAAGAGCATGTTCAAGAACACTAAGAAAAGCCAGGGCGGAAGGAAAGAAGTCAGAGACCAAACTGAAGAGTTGGGAAGGGCCCAATCAAGCAGGGCCTTGTAGACCACCGTGTGGATTTCGTATTCTATTCTGATACCAAAAGTTCATTCATTTGCACACCATTTTCATGATTGTCACAATCAAGTTGCTCTTAAATCACCCAGGAAGACATCAAATTGCCTCTTAACAAGGTCAGTGGAGATTCAGGTTCTTTCCACCTTCCCAGTCTCCGACCATCATAAATTACACAATCGAGTTTCCCACATTGGAGAAAATCGCAGGGGTCAGCACATCGGGAGAGCAATACATGAGCCTTGCCCTGAGAAAACCTCCTTCCACTCATGGCATTTCCCCTGCCAGGTAAGTATCCATTCTGCCATCCTTAACGTGTCCTCATGCTCATCGTGTCGGGGTCACAGTATGGTTGCTATAGTTCCAAGGCTTCATGTATCTTTCTCAGGGGGAAGCAAGGGAAGGGACAGCTCTGGCCACATCTGTTCTAAACTGACCTGATGGGTTGGCAGTCTGAACTGAGACCTGATTCTGTCTGGAAATTCCAGACCCAGCTTAGGTCCTAAAGGATGAGGCCTTGGATTCACAGAGCTGTGTTGAAGGAAAAGGCCCTGGCCTCTGGGCCCTTCCTGATTTAAGGATTCTTGAGACAATCTGGGACCAGCCATGGAGCACCCTGCTTCTGGGCTCCCACACTGTTAGCACCAGACAAATCCTCAGACTCTCTTCCCCTGCCCATTGAGCAGAGGCAGGAGAGGGGCAGGGAGTGGACAGAGGTCACACAGCAGATGGGGACATTGCTCTCTCTCCCCTACACCACCCCCACCTGCTAGTCACCTCACTCTCTTCTAACTCTCCTCCCAACTCCCCCCAAGCACTTTTCATGACACCCGTTCTCTGGATCCAGGGAAGGAAACCCTGTGCGGATATTAGCATGATCACAAGAGAACCAAGAAGGCAAATCCACAAAGGCTGCCATCACCACATCCTCAACATCACTGTCATTGTTGTAATATTCCCCAAAGCCCTAAAGAGAAGACGCTGGTGTCTTGAGTTACCTGCACCACAGCCAACTCCTAATTTTTCATGGGATGATTTAGTAAAGCCTTCCCAAGCAGTGGGAATCACAGATTCATAACATCTGCTCATTTGTTGCTTCAATCCACTGAGAAGCCACTATAAGATGAGGCTGTGGCTCTGCAGACAGCAGACTCAATGCAAATCCCAGCCCAAACCCTCACAAGCTGAGTGACCTCAAACATGGCATTTTCACTACTTTGTGCCCAGTTTTCTCATTAGTAAAATGGGGATGATGATAACACCTACCTGAAAGATTTGTTGGGATGATTAAAAGATCATGCATGCGAAATGTTAGAGTGTCCAGCAGACTTAGCTAATGGTAAGCAGCAAATATTTCCTGAGCACCACGCAGCAGGGCAGCTACCCCTCCTATCCCTTTTCCCCTTTCTCTACAGTAAAAGAATTTTCAGCATTTACTTGGGAAAATGTAGCCTGTATTTCCCTGAATAAAAACTACATTTTCCAGATTCGGCCAGGCACAGTGGCTCACGCCTGTAATCCCAGCACTTCAGGAGGCCGAGGAGGGCGGATCACGAGGTCAGGAGATCAAGACCATCCTGGCTAACACAGTGAAATCTCGTCTCTACTAAAAATACAAAAAATTAGCTGGTCGTGGTGGCGGGCACCTGTAGTCCTACTCGGGAGGCTGAGGCAGGAGAATGGCGTGAACCTGGGAGGTGGAGCTTGCAGTGAGCCGAGATTGTGCCACTGCACTCCAGCCTGGGCGACAGAGCAAGACTCCATCTCAAAAAAAAAAAACAACATTTTCCAGATTCCCTTGTAGCTGGGTTTGGCCACATGGTTAAGGTCTGGCCAGTAAGCTGTGAGAGACTCCTGAGTTGTGTCCTTCAAGGGATGGGCTTGCCTTTTCTTTCTCTCTCTCTCTTTTTTTTTTTGAGTCAGGGTCTCGCTCTGTCACCCAGGCTGGAGTGCTATGGTGTGATCACAGCTCACTGCAGCCTCGACCTCTTCGGCTCAAGCAATTTTCCCATCTCAGCCTCCCAAGTAGCTGGGACTACAGGCACACACCACCATGCCTGGCTAACTTTTTAAAAAATTTTTTGTAGAGACAGGGTCTTGCCATGTTGCCCAGGTTGGTCTTGAACTCCTGGACTCAAGCAATCCTCCTGCCTTGGCCTCCCAAAGTGCTGGAATTATAGGTGTGAGCCACTGCACCTGGCCTATGCCTTTTATTGCCTCCTGCCTACCTCCTGCTGTTTGGAATGTGAAAGCAAGACTGGAGCTCTACCTTGGACTATGAAAAACAAGGACCTCACCTAAGGGATAGTAGAATGGAAAGACAGAAGCAGATGGATCCCACATTTCTGTGGGGCCCCCTTACCATCTCTGAACTTCCTACATATGGACTTCAATGAGACAGATAAACTTCTAGCATGTCGAAGCCTCTTTTACTTTGGGTTTCCATTGCATACATCCAAACCTTAGCCATAACTAATAGCACCTACTCTGTGCCAGGCATCACATGCTGGTTTGTCTCAATCAGTATCCCCAGAGGCCAGCATGAAAGAAGAAAGGTAGGCTTACAGGCCAAAGTCACAGAACTAGCAAGTGGCCAGGGAAGAGCAGTCCTTGATCTGGACCCGTCACTGGAGGATCCAGGCCACAGGTCTGTGGTAGCTACATTCCTAGTTTCTACTGAAAACCACAGGACACAAACGTGCCTGGGTTTGAATCCTGCTCTGATGCTTACAATGCTGTGTGACCTTAAGCAATTGGTTTCCTAACTCTGAACATAATCTTATCTTACGGTTTAGTTGGAAGGCTTAAATAAGACAGAGATGATAGTGATAATGTGCCTGGCACATTGTGGGTGCTAAATAAATGTCACAGCCACTTTGGGACAAGTCCCAGTGGCCACCCAGGGGAACTGGGAGAAAAACAAAGGAAGACAAGGACCTGTGAGACAAAGGGAAGGAGGGACAAGGCTGGGGGGAGGGTCTTACTCCTTCACTTCCACCCATCCTGGCCTGTGGCGAAGGACGTCCATGAGTGTGTTCATGAGGGTGGTCTTGAACCGGATCGATGCTCTCTGCTCTCTGCAAGACAAGGCAATGAACATTTGCTCAGGATCAATGATTTTCCTAGGATGGCGCAAGGAGAGGAAAAAAGGAGGAAGAGAAGTCAAGTTCCATACCTGGAAAGTTCCACACTGTATTTCAGAATTTAGCATTAGAGCATGATAACACTTAACATAATCAGATTGAGAATTACAGAATCTTCAAATCATTGAAAAATAACGATCATTGTATCCAAGCCTACTATGTGCCAGGCATGGTCTGGTTGCTTTCCATGTGCTATGACTAATCCTTACATGAAATGATAAGTATTTGCAAAGCCCTCTCCTGGCAATCATCTGGGAAGATGAAGCAGATGTACTTTTTCCTATTCCTCCTACTGATACAACTGAAAACTCAAGATACTATCTATAAAACAAATATAAGACTGAAAGAGAAGAAGGCAGACTGGCTGGAGATTTCAGGACCACGGGAACTACATGGTGGTGAATTCCCTGGGTTTCCTTTTTGTCTCATATAGTTCAGATATGGAGATGAAAAGCCACCAACCCAGAAATGCCAATGGGCATAGACGACAAAAGCTTCGACAAAAGCACCCCGTCCTAGCCAAAGGACCAAGAAAGGAGCGGCCTAGCCAGACAGAGGACTTGGGCAATCACTGCTCTACTCCAGCCAGACCCCCAAGAACACATCTGTGGCCCACTCCCAGTGATGCCAGGAAAGGCCGAGTAGGGAGTCCAGACTTCCCCTGAGTTTGCAGCAGGGCACCCAACACCCCCGCTCGGTGCTGTCAGAGAAGGCCACAGACAGAGCCAGGCTTTCATCCCTGCCAGGCGGTAATGAGCCTCCCACCCCCACTGCAGCAGTGGAGACCATGTGTGGAGCCTGGACTTCCTCCCCAGTCTGGCCGTAATGAAGTGCCCCTCCCACTCTGGGGTGATGTTAAAGGGGGCCTAGAGGAGAGCTGGAAATCAATAAAATCAAAAACAGAAAAACATTATAGCAAATCAGTAAAATAAAAGGCAAGTTCTCTGGAAAGATCAATAAAATCTACAAACCTATTTGTCAGCAAGACTGACAAAGGAAAGACTCAACTACCCAATATGAGGACTGAAACAGAGGCTACCGCTATGGAGCCCGCAGGTATCACAGCCACAATAAGGAAATGCTACTAACAGCTCTACACACCTACATTTGACAGCTTAGATGAAATGGAACAATTCCTCAAAAAGCACAATTACTACAACTCATCCAATATGAAATAGGTAATTTGAATAGCTCTATAGCTATTAAGGAAATTGAATTCATAATTCAAAACCTCCCAAAAAAGAAATCTCCAGGCTCAGTGGTTTCACTGGAGAATTTCCCCAAATATTTGAAGAAGGATTAACACCAATCCTACACAATCTCTTCCAGAAAATAGAAGAGGAGGGAGAATTTCCTAATTCATTTTGCCAAGCTAGTATTAACCTGATATCAAAACCAAAGACAGTACACAAGAAGTAAACCACAGACCAATATCCCTTATGAATGTAGATGGAAAAATCCTTAACAAAATGCAATCAAATAGAATTCAGCAATATATAAAAAGGACTATACACCATAACCAAGCGGAGTTTATTCCAGTAGGCAAGGCTGGTTCAATATTCAAAAATTAATCCATGAGCCAGGCATGGTGTCTCACGCCTGTAATCCTAACCCTTTGGGAGGCTGAGACAGGCAGATTACTTGAGGTCAGGAGTTCAAGACCAGCCTGGCCAACATTGTGAAATCCCATTTCTACTAAAAATACAAAAATTAGTCAGGCGTGGTGGTGGGCACCTGTAGTCCCAGCTACTCAGGAGGCTGAGGCAGGAGAATCGCTTGAATTGGGGAGGCAGAGGTTGCAGTGAGCCGAGATAGCACCACTGCACTCCAGTGTGGGCGACAGAGAGAGACTGTCTCAAAAAAAACCAAAACAACAACAAAAAAAACAATGTAATCAGTCATATTAACAGACTAAAATGGAGAAATCACATGATTATATCAATTGATGCAGAAAAGGCATTTGACAAAAATTAAACACTCATTCATTTAAAAACTCTGAGAGGAACTTCATCAACTTGATAAAAGCATCTTAAAAAAACTCGAGCTAACATTATAATTAGTGGTGTGTGAAAGTTGTCAGATTCAAAATGGAATCACTTGTGTCAAACCCTGGCAAAATAGGGCCAGGGGGCCGGGCTAGGTGGCTCACGCCTATAATCCCAGCTCTTCGGGAGGCTGAGGCGGGCAGATCATTTGAGGTCAGGAGCTGGAGACCAGCCTGACCAACATGGTGAAACCGCGTCTCTACTAAAAATACAAAAAAATCAGGCCGGGCGCAGTGGCTCATGCCTGTAATCATAGCACTCTGGGAGGCTGAGGCAGGCAGAACACCTGAGATCAGGAGTTCCAGACCAGCCTGGACAACATGGTGAAACCCCATCTCTACTAAAAATACAAACATTAGCCGGGCATGGTGGCTGGTGCCTGTAATCCCAGCTACTGGGGAGTCTGAGGCAGGAGAATCGCTTGAACCCGGGAGATGGAAGTTGCAGTGTGCCGAGACTGTGCCACTGCACTCCAGCCTGGGCAAGAGAGCGAGACCCTGTCTCAATAAATAAATAAATAAATAAATAAATAAATAAATAAATAAATACATGAATAACCTTACTGTTCCAGAAGGCAGAGGGACTGAAATGGGTTGGCATGGCTGCATTCCTTTTGGAGGCTCTATGGGAGAATTTGTTTCCTTGCCTTTCCCAGCTTCTAGCCGGGCATGGTGGCATGTGCCTGTAATCCCAGCTACCCGGGAGGCTGAGGCAGGAGAATCGTTGGAACCTGGGAAGCAGAGCCTGCAGTGAGCCGAGATCACACCACTGCTCTCCAGCCTGGGCTACAGAGTGAGACTCCATCTCAAAAAATAAAAAGTAAAAAAATAAAAATACAGAGCCAGGAAAGGTCATGAAGGGAGGAGTCTCATGCATGATTTGCCAGATAATAAGAACTTTCACAAGAACATTTTCCAAACCACAGCTTCCCACATGAGACAAGAGTACTGCTAACAGCACAAGGGCAGCTAGCAGCTAACACAGGAACACTAGCCTGACACGGTTTCTCAGGCCCAATCCAAAACTGCAAGGGCCTAACAAGAACTCCGAGACTCCAAGTCCTACCTAGCAACTACTGACACTCACCAATCTGCTACTGAACTCGCCAGCTCTCATAAAAAACACTGCTAGCGCCAATGAACTTTCTTTTGAAACAACTTACGTAAATCTCCTCTTTCCCCAAGAGAACCCTAAACTTTTCCTTTGTTCTCAGACATGCTGGGGGCTGCCCTAGTCTATGTGGACATCCTGGATTGCAGTTCTACTTCTTGTATATTATTCCCAAATAAAACCTTTTTACTTGGAGATTTGTCTCTATTTTTTTATGTTGATGGATGAAAAACTGGAGTTGGAGACCAGACTGGGCAACATAGTGAGACACTGTCTCTAAAAATAAAAATAAATTAAACAATAATCAGCACTGCAGCCCCACATAGCTCAAATACTAACAAGCTCAAGACGGCAGTGAAGGAGGTTGGATTGGAGTACACGCAATTTAATTAAAGCTGCAGCCCAACCCATGTTCAACTCAGCTTTAGGAGGAATCTGAATGATCAGCCCCTAAACCTGCTAGTCAGAGGAAGGAGCTCGCATACTCTATAAAGTGTGTGTACGTATGTGTGTGTGTGTGTGTGTGTGTGTATATACATGTATATATATATAAAGTGTGTGTATGTATGTGTATATATGTATATGTATATAAAGACTAAAAAATTATGATATACAATTGTTTTTCATACACAATATCCAGAGTGCAGTTCTAAAAATATAACACATGCAATAGCAAAGCAGGGAAATGTAATACATAATCAAGAGGAAAAAGAGCCAACTGAAATAAACCCATAAATGACCCAGTTATCAGAATCATTAGAGAAGAAATTTAAAAATTATTATAAATATGTTATAGGATTTATGGGAAAAGATGGATACAATGTGTGAATAGATGAGTTACTGCAGAAAAGAACCAAATGGCCAAGTGGCTCATACCTGTAATCCCAATACTTTGGGAGGCTGAGGTGGCAGGATCACCCAGGAGTTCAAGACCAGCCTGTGCAACACAGTGAGACCCCATTTCTACACAAAGTTTTAAAATTAGCCAGGCATGGTGGTACGTGCCTGTAGTCCCAGCTACCTGGGGAGCTGAGGTGGGAGGATCACTTGAGCCCAGGAGGTTAAAGCTGCAGTGAGCCATGATCGCACCACTGCACTCCAGCCTGTGTGACAGAGCAAGACCCTGTCTCAAAAAAAAAAAAAAAAAAAAAAAGAACCAAATGGAAATTCTAGAAGGGAAAACTATAATATCTGAAATTGAAAGTTCAATGGATGTGCTTAACAAGAGACTAGGCATTGAGAAGGAAAAACCGTACATTTGAAAACAGTCTAATTGAAATTGTTCAAATTGAATTAGAGAAAAAATTTATACATGAACAGAACCTCAGTGACTCGTGAGATAATATCAAGCAGTCTAACATACATATAACTGAAGTTCAAGAAAGAGATGGGGAAGAGATAGGACAGAAAATATTTTTTGAAGAAATGATGGCTAAAAAATTTTCCAAATTTGATTAAATTATCAACTCACAGATCCAAGATGCTCAATTAACCCCAAGCAAGACAGACACAACGTAAACTACACCCAGGTAAACCATAGTCAAATTGCTGAAAAACAGAACAGTCTTAAAAAAAAAAAAAAGCCTGAGGAAAAAAGACACATCGCATAGAGGGGTGAGGGTGGTGGAGAGTGGGAGTGGAAGACAAGAACAGCTGACTTTGGCTAGGCGCAGTGGCTTACGCCTGTAATCCCAGAACTTTGGGAGGCTGAGGCAAGCGGATCACCTGAGGCCAGGAGTTCAAGACCAGCCTAACCAACATGGAGAAATCTGGTCTCTACTAAAAATACAAAAATTAGCCAGGCGTAGTGGCGGGTACCTGTAATCCCAGCTATTCAGGAGGCTGAGGCAGAAGAATCCCTTGAACCTGGGAGGTGGAGGTTGCAGTGAGCCGAGATTGCACCATTGCACTCCAGCCTAGGTGACAGAGCAAGACTCTGTCTCAAAAAAAAAAAAAAAAAGAAAAAGAACAGCTGACTTCACATCAGAAACAACATAAGCCTGAAGACAAAGGAATATCATCTTTCAAGTGCTTAAAGAAAAAAAGATCAACCTCGAATTCTATATCCAGTAAAACTTTACTTAAAATATGACAGTGAAATAAAGACAATTTTCAAATAAATAAAAGCTGAGAGAATTTATTGCCAACAGATCCACACTATAAGAAACACTAAAGAACGTTCCTCGGGCTGCAGGAAAATTATACCAGATGGAAATTCAGAAGGAATGATGAGTGGGGTAAATATGGAATACTTTCTTCCATGTCTTAATTAAAAAAAAAATTCAAGTAGCTATTTAAAGCAAATATAGTGAGAATGTAATGAAGGGTTTATAACATATTTACAAGTAAATATATGACAAAAATAGCAGCACAAACGATCAGAGGGGAGCAAACAGAAGTGTGTTGCTGTAGGGTTCTTAGTTGTGCATGAAGTGGTGTAATTATGCTTCAAGGTAGACTGTGATAAGGTAAGGATGCATATTGTAATCCCCTAGAGCCATAGGTTGTGAAGTGTGGTCTCAAGTATTCCTCAGGGTCCCCAACTCTTTTTCAAGGGTACACAAATCTTCCCTTTTCCAAATACTATCTTTGTGAGGCTAGATTTTCTTCCTGTCCTTCAACCAAAACAATCTATCACAGCAGATTGAACACAGAAGATCTGGAAAGTCAAATGTTTTCTAATAAGCCAGACGTTAAAGAGAGTCACAAAAATGTAAAACGACTACTACTCATCTCAGTACATTTTGGTGGGGAAATATAACTATAACTCACAAAAATGTTGGGCCGAACACAGTGGCTCACACCTGTAAACCCAGAGCTTTGGGAGGCCGAAGCAGGTGGATCACTTGAGGTCAGGGGTTCCAGACCAGCCTGGCCAACATGGTGGCCGTCTCTACTAAAAATACAGAAATTAGCCAGGCGTGATGGCCTGTAATCCCAGCTACTTGGGAGGCTGAGGCACGAGAATCACTTGAACCCAGGAGGCAGAGTTTGCAGTGAGCTGAGATCACACCAGTGCACTCCAGCCTGGGTGACAGAGTGAGACCCTGTCTCAAAAAAAAAAAAAAAGAAAGTTTATGCTACCATGTAATGAGTATTTTTTTGCTTTTTAAATGAATTAATAAGTATTTTAAAAATTTATCGGCTTAGGCCAGGCATGGTGGCTCATGCCCGTAATCCCAGCACTTTGGGAGGCCAAGGCGCGTGGATCACCTGAGGTCAGGAGTTCAAAACCAGCCTGGCCAACATGGTGAAACCCCATCTGTACTAAAAATACAAAAATTAGCTAGATGTGGTGGTGCATGCCTGTAATCCCAGCTACTCGGGAGGCCGAGGCAGGAGAATTGCTTGAACCCCAGAGACGGAGATTGCAGTGAGCCAAGATCGTACCACTGCACTCCAGCCTGGGTGACAGAGTGAGACTCCATCTCAAAAATAAAATAAAATAAAATTTATCAGCTTAAATTTTTAATATGGTACACATTGTTAGATGTATGCCACATATACAAAAGTCAATTGGGTTCACAATTATTTTTAAGTTGTAAAGGGACCCACCCTGAGCTTAAACTTTTAGAACCACTGCTCTAAAGTAACCATTTAAAATATCAAATAGGCTGGGCATGGTGGCTCATGCCTGTAATCCCAGCACTTTGGGAGGCCAAGGTGGGAGGATCACTTGAGCCCTGGAATTTGAGACCAGCCAGAGCAACATAGCAAGACCTCATCTCTACAAATAATATGAAAAAAAAAAAAGATAAAATAAGGAGGTTTAGCTAAAAGTCAATAGAGGAGACAACATGAACTACTAAAAATACATGCAATAGACCCGAAACGACAAAGAGATACAATTTCAAAATCCATCAGTTTGCAGAAAATATTAAAAATCAGACAAATACCAAATATTCACAAGAATGTGGAGAAATGACAATTATCTTACAATGCTGATGGGGTGCACATTGGACATACCTTTGGAGAGCAATTTGGCATATTACAAAGATCAAGGACTATGTCACACACATCAGACTGGCAAAAATATAAAGGTCCAAGTTTTGGCAACAATGGAATACAATGGAAACTCCTCCTCTGCTGGTAGAACACACTTTGCAGGGTCACCGGGCGGTTTTTAGTAAAGTCGAATATGCACGTACCCTAAACTCAGCAACCTGTCCTAGCTCTATACCCTGGGTTTGTACTCTGCATTTCTACCAGGAAACACGTGAGCAAGGATGCTTATATGTAATTGTTAATATTTTTTATAGAAATAACCTGTGGCACAACTGTTGGTGGTCCACCCATATCCCTTTGGCATTCACCACTCCTGTGCATGCAAATCAAAGAGCTTCCCACTGCCAGCACCTTCGATGCTACCTGAGGGTTTTCCCTGGCCCCCGGAGTCTGCTCAGCCAGCATGTGGAGCAGATTGGAAGCACCAGCGTGAACTGACCCTCTGCCAACAGCATACAACCAGTGACGACTGGAGTTGGTGGATAAATCCGCTAAGTCTCTCATCTCTCACTTAGGATAAGTCTGCAGTGCATTCTACGTTCTCCCAGGAATTCCCTGGGGGATTCAGCCCACTGTCCACAGCAATTACCTGTCGATGATGCACCTTTTACTGGTTTCTCTCCTTAGCTGTCTTATTTCCCCACTTCCCTGTCAGTGCTCACTGGAATTACCTTCCAAATAAACCACTTGCTCTCACATCCTTCCCTCAGGGTCAGTTTCTAGTGGAACCAATACTTCGTAAGTGCCTTTCCACAGGAAGATGGGTAAATAACTTGCGATACACAATGAAACAGAGGTAGCAGTTAAAATGCATTCAGAGCTACAGGTGCCAATGTGGATAAACACCAAACATATCATTTTGTGTGACAAAAGCAGGGTGCAGAATAGTAATAACAGTACAACAACACTTACATAACTTGTATTCCTAGCTACTCATGCAGTTGGGGTGGCCATGTGACACAATTCTAGTCAATAAGATAGAAACATAAGACTGCTAGAAAGGGTAAGTTCCTGGGAAAGTTTTGCTCTTTTGATGAAAGAAAGAGAAAGAAAGAAAGAAAGAAAGAAAGAAAGAAAGAAAGAAAGAAAGAAGGAAGGAAGGAAGGAAGGAAGGAAGGAAGGAAGGAAGGAAGGAAGGAAGGAAGGGAGGGAAAGAAAGCAAGAAAGCAAGAAAGCAAGAAAGAAAGAGAAAGAAAGAAAGAAGGAAGGAAGGAAAGAAAGAAAGAAAGAAAGAAAGAAAGAAAGAAAGAAAGAAAGAAAGAAAGAAAGAAAGAGAGAGATGTGGCTTGATTCTTCCCTCCCCTCTTCTTCCTGTCCTGATCATGACATGAAGGCTGGAGCTGTAGTGGCCATTTGGTCTCCATGAGGAAGAGGTCAAGACAATCATGAAGGCTCATGCCTGTAATCCCAACACTTTGGGAGGCCGAGGTGGGATGATCACTTGAGGCCAGGTGTTGGAGACCAGCCTGGGCAACATAGTGAGACCTCATAACTACAAAAAAAAAAAAAAATTAAAAAAATTAGCTAGGCCGGGCACCGTGGCTCACACCTGTAACCCCAGCATTTGGGAGGCCAAGGCAGGTGGATCACAAGATCAGGAGTTCGAGACCAGTCTGGCCAATATGGTGAAACTCCGTCTCTACTAAAAATACAAAAATTAGCCAGGTGTGGTGATGGGTGCCTGTAGTCCCAGCTACTAGGGAGGCTGAGGCAGGAGAATCACTTGAACCCGGGAGGCAGAGGTTGTAGTGAGCTGAGATCACGCCACTGCACTCCAGCCTGGGCAACAGAGCAAGAGTCTAAAAAAAAAAAAAAAAAATTAGCCAGGTGCACTGGCATGAGCCTGTAGTCCCAGCTACTCAGAAGGCTGAGATGGGAGGATTGCATGAGCCTGGGAGATCAAGGCTGCAGTGAGCCATGATCGCACCACTGCACTCCAGCCAACAGAGTGAGACTCCGTCTCAAAAAAAGAAAAAAAAGGCAATCATGAAGATGCTGGCTCTGACATTATTGAACCACTGTACCAGCACTCCAGACTCTTTTTCTTCACTCTTTGTGAATAAAATAAATACAATTTGTTTAAGCTACTATTATGAGTTTTCTCTTACTGGTAGTGGAACACATATCTATATGTGCCCTCAATAAGGCACATAAATAAAAAATATTTTATGGTAAATATATGTGTGTGTGTGTGTGTGTGTGTGTGTGCCTTTATAAAATAAGTAGATGGGGCCTTGATATGGTTTGGATGTTTGTCCCCTCCAAATCTCAAGTTAAAATGTGATTCTCAATGTTGAAAGTGGGGCCTGGTGGGAGGTGGTTGGATCCTGAAAATGGATCCCTCATGAATGGTTTGGCAACATCCCCTTGGTGATAAGTGAGTTTTCACTTAGTTCACGGGAGATCTGGTTGTTTAAAAGAGCCTGGGACCTCTCCCTTGTTCCCACTCTTGCCGTGTGACATGCCTGCTCCCCCTTTGCCTTCCACCATGATTGTAAGCTCCCTGAGGCCTCACCAGAAGCTGAGCAGATGCTGGTGCCATGCTTGTACAGCCTGTAGAAACATGAGCCAATTACACCTCTTTTCTTTATAAATTACTCAGTCTCAATTAGCCAGGCGTGGTGGCGGGCACCTGTAATTTCAGCTACTCGGGAGGCTGAGGCAGCAGAATCGCTTGAACCCAGGAGGCAGAGGTTGCAGTGAGCCGAGATCAGGCCATTGCACTCCAGCCTGGGCAACAAGAGCGAAACTCTGTCTCAAAATAAATAAATAAATAAAAAGTCTCAGGTATTCCTTTATAGCAATGCAAAAACAGCCTAACACAGGCCTGTTAAGTGCTCTTTGTTTTGTTAAGGTGGGCATGTATGTTTAGGGCCAGGATTCAGAACATTGCTGAATTGCACTACATAAGAGAGTGAGAGATTTGAAGTTGGTGGGATAGTCAGTATGGAGAGAAAGAAGGCAAAGAAGATGGGCACTGCATGAGAGAAGCATCTCAAATCACACATGCCCTCCTCAGTGGTAGTATAGCCAGGAGGGACTTTAGAAATAACAAAAATATCTGGCTGGGCGTGGTGGCTCACGCCTGTAATCCCAACACTTTGGGAGGCCGAGGCAGGCAGATCACCTGAGGTCGGGAGTTCGAGACCAGCCTGACCAACATGGAGAAATCCTGTCTCTACTAAAAATACAAAATTAGCTGGTCACGGTGGCGCATACCTGTAATCTCAGCTACTCGGGAGGCTGAGGCAGGAGAATCACTTGAACCCGAGAGGCAGAGTTTGCCATCAGCTGAGATTGTGCCATTGCACTCCAGTCTGGGTAACAAGAGTGAAACTCAAAAGAGAAGAGAAGAGAAGAGAAGAGAAGAGAAGAGAAGAGAAGAGAAGAGGAGAGGAGATATCTAATGAACCAAAGAATAAACTATCTAAAACATTTGCTATGTAAACTACCTCCTCTAACTCCCCACAAAAATCTTCAGTAAAGTCTACGTTGCTCACTCCTCCTTTGTGCAAGTGGATTCTCTTTAGGAGATCCAAAGGGGTGCTGGGTTTGGCATGCAGGTTATCCATGCAGAGTGAAGCAGAAGATCAGAGCACAGCTGACATGCAAGTCATCAAGTCATCACAGGGTTGTTGAAGGAGGCAGGAGAGACCAAAGTTAGACAGTGGGCCCTGGAGTCCAACTAGCTCTGCCCCTAACTGATCATGTGATCTTGAGCAAGTCACTTAGCCTTTTTGAGCTTCCGTTTCTCCATCTGTAAAATGGACACAATAGTAGTATCTACTTCAAATGGTTGTGGTCAGGATTCAATGAGCTAATACAGGTAAAGTGACAGGCCCAGAGCCTGGCACATGGTAAGTGCTCAATAATGGTTTAGCATTACTCCTTCTACTATCATTTTCATTATAATTGTTGAAGTAGAAAAGGGAGAGAGGGATTGAAAAGGGGAGGGAGGGAGAGAAGTTGGTTGCGCTGTGATTGTTGGATTGGATGGGACCACTCACCGCTCTTTTCCCTTTGACAATCCATGGCCCTTGTAATTTTGGTTCTGCAATGAGGAAAGGAAAAGGATGTAACTGGTTTTGTATATCTGCCCTGTTTTCCCAGGTTAACTTACTGCAGATATTAAAATGCCCAAACCGTCAGACTCAACAATGCCTAGGTTCTGAGACACGAAGGTCCAGCCTGATCAAGTTCCCACTGGCCACCATGTCCCCAGCAAATGGACCAGAATTTATCTGCTGTGAATGAACTCCCAAGTATCCAAGGTACCACCTTACTGCAGGTTTGCTCCACAGGTATGACCAGTATAGCAAATGCCTGGTTTTCAGTACTCCAAAGGTCAGCCCTGAACCCCAGTTTTGAAAGCTCAGTTCAATACACTCTGTGAGAAGAATCTGAGCTTTTGTTGTTGTTGTTGTTGTTGAGATGGAGTCTCGCTCTGTCACCCAGGCTGGAGTGCAGTGGTGTAATCTCAGCTCTCTGCAACTTCCACCTCCCAGGTTCAAGTGATTCTCCTGCCTCAGCCTCCCTAGTAGCTGGAATTACAGGCACCCACCACCACACCCAGCCAATTTTGTATTTTTAATAGAGATGGGGTTTCGCCATGTTGGCCAGGCTTGTCTGGAACTCCTGACCTCAGGTGATCCACCCACCTCAGCCTCCCAAAGTGCTGGAATTACAGGTGTGAGCCACCGTACCCAGCTGATCTGGACTTTTTACTCTTAACTTGGAATGTTTGATTAAATTGAGGATCCCAGAAGGGGCTAGGTCAAAGACTCAGAGCAATGTTCATTCCTTTCACCCCAATTGGACCTTTCAAATCCTCAGTGGGTGGTGGGTATTATTTCACTTCAACCATGTCCAAAACAGCTTGGCCCTCTGTCCTGGGAAGACCAATTCCTAAGGCACGTATGAAGAGAGAAATCGAAATTGGTCCTGTGCAGGATGACATTTGCAGCTGGGACAGACCTGCCATCTGCATTCATTTTCTATTGCTGGGTAACAAATTACCACAAAATCAGTGGCTTAAAATGATGGGAATCCATTATCTCAGTTTCCATGGGCCAGGAGCGTGGGCATGACTTAGCTGCATCATTGGCTCAGCTCTCACAAGGCCACAGTCAAGGTGATGGCTGGGGTTATGGCTCTCATCTGGCGTGTGGGGTCCCCTTCCAAGCTCATTCAGGTTGTAGGCAGAATTCAGTTGCCTAGGGTTGTAGGACGGAGGTCCCTGTTTACTTGCTAGCTGTCTGCTGGGGACTGCTCTCAGCTCCTAGAGGCTGCCTGCAGCTCCCTGCAGTGTGGCCCCCACAGGCACTTCACAACATGCAAATTTGTTTTCCTCCAGGCCACATGGAGCACGTCCCTCTGACTTCCAATCCTCCCCTCTCCAAGTCACCTATGATGGAGTCTTAAGTAATGGAAGGTAACCACCATAGTAACCACACCATCAAATTCACAGACTCCTCCATGCTCAAGGAGAGAGAATTGTACAAGGCATGTACTCTAGGGGGTGGGAATCTTGGGGCCCATCTGAGAATTCTGCTTAGCACACCAGCCTACCCCTCAAAGAGCGGCGGAGAGGAGTGGAGGAAACTGCTTTACAAAACTGGCAGAAGCAAGCCCCACTGAAACACAGTGAAATCTTGTTTCATTCTTCCATTCAAGCCCTTCCAACTCCCCCAACACTAGTCAAGCTGTCCTTGTCTTTTTGTATTTTATCTTTAATCCTCTCTCATGCTTTCAATTCCATTTTCCATATGTTTATCCAGTTGCTCCAGAGCCTTTGGTTAAAAAAATTTTCCTCTCCTCATTGAATTGCATTGGCACGTCTGTCACAATTCAATTGACCATGCATACGTGGATCTATCTCGAGACTGTGTTTTGTTCTATTTACTTGTCTATCCTTATGTCACTATCATATTGGCTTAATTACTGCTGTAGCTTTCTGGTAAATCTTGAAGTCAGGTAGAGTAAATTCTGATTTCAAGATTGTCTTTGCAATTAGGGGTCCTTTGCACTTCAACATAAATTTCAGAATTGGCTTGCCAATTTCTACGAAAAAACATGTTGAGATTTTGACTGGGATTGCATTGAATCTACAGATATTTTCAGGAAGTGACATTATAAAGTACTGAGCCTTCCAATACATGAATAATATGGTCTCTCCATTAATTTAAATCTTTTAAAAATTTTTTTCTATTTTCTAGTTTTCAGTATAGCAGCCTTGTACATTTTTAATTAAATTCATTCATAGGTATTTGATTTTATGATGCTATTGGATACAGTATTTTTAAATTTCGTTTTCTACCTGCTGATAGTAAATTGTAATAAGCAGAAAAAGGCCACCTCCAAAGATGTCCATGTCCTGATCCCTAGAACGCAAGGGGGATTTAAAATTGCAGATGGAATTAAGGATGCTAATCAAAGAACCTTAAAATAGAAAGATTATTTTGTATTTTTTGGGCAGGCCCAATGTAATCATAAGGATCCTTAAATGTGGAAGAAGGCAGAGTCAATGTCAGAGTGTCAGAGTCACGCAATGTGAGAAGAACTGCCATTGAACATGAAAGGGGACCATGAGACAGCCTCCAGAAACTAGAAAAGGGGTTTCTCTCCTAGAGCCTCCAGATATGAAGGCAGCCCTGCTAACACCTTGATTTTAGCCCAGCGAGACCCCTTTCAGACTTCTGATCTCATGAACTGTAAGATAGGGACCAGGTTCGGTGGCTCACACCTGTAATCCCAGCACTTTGGGAGGCCGAAGCAGGCAGATCATTTGAGGTCAGGAGTTCAAGACCAGCCTGGCCAACATGGTGAAACCCCATCTCTACTAAAAATTACAAAAATTAGCTGGGCATGGTGGCACACACCTATAATCCCAGCTAATCAGGAGGCTGAGGCAGGAGAATCACTTGAACCCAGGAGGCGGAGGTTGCAGTGAGCTGAGATTGCGCCACTGCACTCCAGCCTGGGTGACAGAGTGAGACTCCATCTCAAAAAATAAATAAATAAATAAATAATAACTATAAGGTAATAAGTTAGTGCTTTAAAAAGCCATTGAATTGGTGACAATTTGTTAAAGCAGACATTGGAAACTGATACATATATAGAAGTATAACTGATTTTGTATATTGACCTTGTATTTGATGCCCTTGCTGAATGATTAGTTCTGGTAGTTTGTAAATCCTTTGAGTTTTCTCTGGATACAATGATGTCATCTGTGAATAAAGGCAGACTTACTTACTTCTTTCTTTTCAATATTTATGCTTTTTATTTCTTTTTCTTGCTTTATTGCACTGGTGAAAACTCTGGTTTGTACAAAGTTGACTAAAAGTGGTAAGAGCTGACATCCTTATCTTGCTCCTGATCACAAGAGGAATGCATTCTCTATTTCAGCTTTTAAGAATGATATTGGCTGTAGGTTCCTATAGTTTCCTGTACTATATTGAGTAAATTTCCTACTATTCCCTGGTTTTCTGAGGGTTTATCATGAACAGGCTTTTTTTTTTAACTTATTTAAAACATCTTTTCTTATGTAATTATGCAATTATATAATTCATTTAAAACATCTTTTATTAGGTAATTATTATGTAATTTGACCATTATAGGAGTCAAAGATGTTTGACTCAGAGATGTTTAACATTTACATCTGCCTGGGCCCCCAAGAACAGTAAACTTTATGGTAACATTTTATTAAGCATTTCTCAGATTAGCCTGAGGACTCATCTAAGATTAAGAATTCTTGCTGGGCACAGTGGCTCAGGCCTGTAATCCCAGCACTTTGGGAGACTGAGGCAGGTGGATCACAAGGTCAGGAGTTCAAGGCCAGCCTGGTCAACATGGTGAAATCCTGTCTCTACTAAAAATACAAAAATTAGCCAGGCATGGTGGCGAGGAACTGTAATCCCAGCTACTTGGGAGGCTGAGGCAAAAGAATCGCTTGAACCCAGGAGGTGGAGCTTGCAGTAAGCTGAGATTGTGCCATTGCACTCTAGCCTGGGTGATGGCAAGACTCTGTTTCAAAAAAAAAAAAAAAAAGAAAGAATTCTCAGGAGAAAGGTTTTTTCCCTGCACTGAAGCTGACTAGCTTCCTAGCTGTCTCCCACTGCTGAAGGGTAAATTGGTTCTAATTACACCTTTACTAAGGGTGGGGGTCTCTGAAGGGTCCAGCTTTATGGTGAGGTCTCAGTTCCAACTCCTTGCCCAGTGGGCCCCATGACACTCTCCAACTCCTGTTTGTGAGACAATCAATGTCTTCCCCAAGGGAAATGACGAATGAAGAATCAGTTAGTGACAATTCTGTTTTTTTATTTTCCTTTTTGTGTGTGTGTGTTAGGGTGGGGGTTCCTTGGGGATTTTTCTTCTACCAATCCTTACCCCTCCACATAAACAGGTCAGCTATACAGTTCAAAGGATGTTTGTTACATTTTGCCCAGCAGTTTTAAGTGTGTTGTGTTAATAAGCTTTTCAAGAAATCTCATCTGTCATATTGCCTGAGATAGAAGTCCTATTACTATCTTGACCCAAAAAACAGCCCAGGGATATAAATACTTTCCCCAAACCACTAAAATAATGCATTTAGAAAAGACAAGGCTACAAGAGTTTTTTTTTAAAAAATTATCTTATTGAGAAAATGATTCAAAAGTGGCTTAGTTGCTTGTATGGGCTACAAACAGAGAACTTTAATTTTATTTCTCGTTGGTGCCATTCATGGAAGGTAGCACGAATGGCGCCAGTTGGTGTTGAGTCAAAAAGAGCATAGGCTGGTGACATTGCCACCTGCCTTCATTCCTGTCTCTATTCCTGGAGTCCTGCTCTGAGCTCCCTGGTAATACCTACCAGGTGGAGACAGCCATGCTGAAACCAGTTTGCCACACCAGCTTACCCAAGACTTTGATTATCTAACCAGAGATCAGCTTCATTGCTTAGCTGGTTCCACTAATCCCAGCTTCATTCCTGCCTGATCCAATTCCTCATTTCCCCTTAGCCCTCTGGAGAGTTCCCAGCACAACTCAGAGCTGAGGTCTTGGCGACCATAACCTTGAGGAGATGGGGTCAAAGGTTGGAACACGCGGTATTCTGACCTCTGGCCTTCTCTAGGCATATTTTCGTGAGGGTACACAAAGTATATCCTGGCATGTTCTCTTAAGGCTGACATGAACGTTCCTGCTCAAATAAGTTCATACTCCTATTTCCCCTGGGTCATTTGAAAGAAACCACAAAGTCCTAAGTCAATATACAGGAGACCTTTCTTTCCCTTTCCAACAACAAAAACAAAATTCATAGCATCACAAAGAAGTAGTCCACTATTTTTTTCCTTCATCCAACATGGTCTGCTACACCCATGTCTATACTATATTCACAGTGTAGACTGCTAAGAGTTTGTGCATTCTTCAGCAACCTGCAGTTCGTCCTTCCTTTCAAAGGAATCAGTCGGGTTCAAGGGAAGGGACTATTTCAGTAGATGTTTGTTTTCTTTTTTTCTAACACTTTCATAAAGTGATATGCAGGAAGCTGAGGCAGGAGGATCACTAGAGCCCAAGAGGTTGAAGCTTCAGTGAGCCGTGTTCATGCCACTGCACTCCAGCCTGGGCAACAGAATGAGACACTGTCTCCAAAAAAAAAAAAAAAAAAAAGTTATATGTGTCCCAATCTGTGTATTTAAAGAGTATTAATTTTTAAAATTTGAGAGTTTGGTCATGATTAGCATAGTGGTAGTTGAGGTAGAGGAAAAAATAAATTCAAGACATATTTAGAAAGTTAAAGGAAGGAGGCTTTTATTGGATGTGGGATGTGAGGAAGATGGAGGAGTCAACAGTCCCAGTTTTTTAGCTGAGCATCTAGACAGGTAGTTCAATAGTCATTCAACATGTATCAACTGTAGTCAGCTCTGCTGAGGACCAGGGATACAGGGAAGAACAAGTCAGATTAGATCCCAGAGCAGCAGGGAAGACAGATGTTAAACAAATAGTCACATGAATAATGAATTGTAGTAAAAAGGCAAAGTTCAAGGCACTCTGAAAGCAGATAAACTCATTTTTTGTTGTGAGAGGGAATTAAAAGAAATAAGAGGTTGACCAGGTGCAGTGGTTCATGCCTGTAATCCCAGCACTTTGAGAGGCCAAGGCGGGAGATGGGTTTGAGGCCAAGAGTTCCAGACAAGGCTGGGCAACATAGCAACATAACATAGAGACTCCTCTGTCTCTACACAAACTAAAAAAGAATTAGCTGAGCATGGTGGCACACACAGGTAATCCCAGCTACTTGGGAAGCAGAGGGAGGAAAATCGCTTGAGTCCAGGAAGTCGACTGAGCCAAGATAACACCACTGCACTCCCTCCTGAGCAACCAAGTAAGACCTTGTCTCAAAAAAAAAAAAAAAAAAAAGGAAAGAAAGAAGAGAAATGAAGGTGCCATTCATGAATGAGAGCTGGGATTAAGAAGTAAGATGGAGGCTGGGCGCAGTGGCTCACGCCTGTAATCCTAGCACTTTGGGAGGCCGAGGCGGGCAGATCACGAGGTCAAGAGATCGAGACCTGGCCAACATAGTGAAACCCTGTCTCTACTAAAAATACAAAAATTAGCTGGGCGTGGTGGCGAGCGCCTGTAGTCCCAGCTACTCAGGAGGCTGAGGCAGGAGAATCGCTTGAACCCGGGAGGCAGAGGCTGCAGTGAGCTGAGATAGCGCCACTGCACTCCAACCTGGCGACACAGTGAGACTCCGTCTCAAAAAAAAAAAAAAAGTCGGTTGGGGTGCGGAGAGCTGAATTTTACTGTAATTCATTTTCCCTCTTGGACTTTCATTTTTCCCATTCTTAAAATGGGAGAGTTGGTCTGTGCCCTCTTGGAGGGCAGAGGTTTGTCTGATTCACCTGTGTCCCTTGGCCGGCACTGAGCTTGGCTTGGAAAAGACACTAATTAGCGTTGTTTTGAATGGATGAATAAACGGATGGATGGATGGATGGATGGACGGATGGACGGGCAGGCGGGTTTCGCCAAGTCAGGAAATCTGAAATTCTGAGGTTCAACTTCCCCTGGGGTCACGGAGCTTAGAGTCCCACTGTTGTGTAAACTTCCCGCCAGCTGGCCGGGCTCGCGGGACTTGCGCAGCAGCTTGGGCGGCGCGGTGCATGCCGGGACTTGTAGTCTTTCCTCTGAGTTCCTCGGCTTTTTTTCTTCCTGTTTTCGGAATTCCTCCGCGAGAACAACCCACCCCGCCCCCCCGCCCCACCCCTACCCATTCCGCGAGGAACACCCATCCCCAACCGATTTTGAATCCCTCTGCTGCTTTCCTCCCTTTTTCTAGGGACGATAAAAGCATCTGGGTCAGGTCGACTCCTACCTTCGGTCGCGACATAACGCGATTCCCCAGGGGCCAGATCCAAACCGCCACCGCGCGCCTCGCGTGCTTATGCGTCCCGTTGCCAAGGCGACAGACAGGCGCCTGGATCCGCCGCTCTGATTGGATGAGCCAAGGGCATGCTCTCGGCGGAGTGCGCAGGCTCTGGTCCACCAGAACCTCTGGAGGCTATTGGGCGTCCTGGCAGCCTAGGTCCCCCGACTTCCTCAACCTTTCTTTTCCAGCCTCGCCTCTCCGCGACCCTGGGGCAGTTCGTTCAGAGGCTGGCTCCCTCTGCCCCACGCCGCCTCCAACTGCACTTTCCTTAAACTGGGAGCGCTGCATCTGAAAAGTTGTCAGCTTTCGGTAAATGTAATGGTACTGAGTTTCCTTACTTAACGAAGTTACTCACTAAGTCACCTGGTCAGTTGGTCAGTCGGTAACGCGGCCAGTCGCCTCTGCTATCCCAGCCGCTTTCTAATCTTAAGGGCTATAGCCTCACCAACATTAGATGTTGTCCATCTTTTTCCTTTTAGTGATTACAGTGATAGCTCATTGTAGTTTTTTTGTTTGTTTGTTTGAGACGGAGTCTCGCTGTGTCGCCCAGGTTGGAGTGCATTGGCGCGATCTGGGCTCACTGCAGCCTCTGCCTCCTGGGCTCAAGTGATCCTCCTGCTTCAGCCTCCCGAGTAGCTGGGATTACAGGTGCATGCCACCATGCCTGAGTAATTTTTGTATTTTTAGTAAAGACAGGGTTTCACCATGTTGGCCAGGCTGGTCTCGAACTCCTGACCTCATGATCCACCTGCCTCGACCTCCAAAAGTGCTGGGATTACAGGCGTGAGCCACTGCACCCGGCCAGCTCATTGAAGTTTTAAAAGTACTGAGGGGTTGACTGGGAAGGACATGAAGGAACTTTCTGGAGTGATGGGGATTTCCATCTCTTAATAAAGATGTGGGTTACATGAGTATATGCATTTGTCAAAATTGACTAAACTGAAAACTTAAGATCTACGCATTTCATTATTTGAATGCATAGATCTTATTAGATCTATAGATAATATATATGAGATATATATAAGAAAGAGACAAAGTTATCATTTGCAGATAGCATGAGAGTTTAATTGTTCAGAGTCCTTGGTTACAAAAAACTATCTTTGATTAACTGAAATAGAAATGGAATTCATTGGTAGGATATTGAATGAGTCACAGAGTTGTTGGAAATCAGAATTAAAAAATGGGGAAGGAATTCAGGGAGTCTATCTGATCAAAATTATGGTCAAAATCAGAGTTTGCAGAAACTTTGATTGGGGTGCCATTTCTGATTATTACTGGACATCCCACACCACTACTGGCAAGACTGCTGCAAATAGTACTGGATGCTGTTGCTGGTACTAGCACCTCTGCTCAATAGATACCACTACTAGTACTGGAATTGGCCAAATGAATACTCAACAGACACCTGCTTTGTTGTACTATTTGCTTCAGATTTAAAGTCCACAAACAGCTTTAGCTGCTAGGACTAGAGTACCTGCCTCTTCTAGCTTCATACAGTAGTAGTGTGGAAGATGCTGCTAGTTGCCTACACAATATCCATTCTTCCCTTCTGAAATAGATGTCCATCAGAACTGTCTGCATTTAAAAATCCAAGATAATCTACAGAGTATTAGAACAAATAAAAGGGTTTTTTGTTTTTTAAATCAATCCAAAAATGACTCACTGTATATTGAATTTCTATATACCAACCATAGCTGATTGGAAACTACAATAAAAATATATAGCAACAGAAATATAAGATATGTAGAAACAGATCTAATAAAGTATATGAAAGACATTAAACCACAAATTCTTATGCTTCTACTCTGTGTCCTGCTCTGTTCTTGACTCTAAAAATACAGCAGAAAGGAAAACTGACAAAGCATTTTCCCTAATAGAGTTTATATTCTCATAGAGAAAATTATAAAATATTATTAAAGGACATCAAATAAATGCAATGATATACCATGTTCATGGATGGGAAGGCTCAATATCAGAAAGATGTGTATTTTCCCCAATCCAATCAGGATTTTTGAGAAATCTTGTCAAAATCAAAAGAACAATGTGTATATGTTGGGGCAAGGAGACACTTCTCTGCCTACCAAGCCAATGAGGAGTAGAGCTTCAAAACAGACACAGGAGAGAGTGTGTGTGTATACTTGATGTATAATAGAGGTGGCATTATAAATCACTGGGGAAAAAATAGAGGACTCAGTAAATGGCACTGAGAATTTACTTTCCATAGGGTTGAAAAATAGATGCCTAATTAAATGGATTAAATAAATATAACAAATATTTAAGACATATACATGTTATATTTATTATCTTGGGGTGGGAAAGGACTTCTTAGATAAACAATAATAATAAAGCACTATTCATAAAGGAAAAAGATGATCAGTTTAAATCTGACTACCTCAAAATTTAAACTGCCAGGCCGGGCGCGGTGGCTCACGCCTGTAATCTCAGCACTTCGGGAGGCCAAGGCAGGCAGATCACGAGGTCAACAGATTGAGACCTGGCCACCATGGTGAAACCCCGTCTCTACTAAGAATACAAAAATTAGCTGGGTGTGGTGGCACATGCCTGTAATCCCAGTTACTCGGGAGGCTGAGGCAGGAGAATCACTTGAACCCAGGAGGCGGAGGTTGCAGTGAGCCGAGATCATGCCACTGCACAAAAGACATGGTAAATCTGATTAAAAGATAAGCTACAGACTGGGAGGAAACACTTACAACATATATAACAAAGGATTGGTGCTCAAGGAACTCCTTCAGACCATTAAGGAAAAGATAACCCCACCCTCACCCCTACAAAAGAAAAGAAAAATGGGCAAAGGATATAAATAGGGAATTTTCAGCAGAAGAAACTCAAATGGCCAGTAAGCCAATTGAGAAATGTAAATAAAAATAATCGTATGATTTGAAATACATCAACTATACAAAAATAAAATATGTCAATGTTTTTCATGAGGTCAGATGTTAGTGAGGAATGTAAATAAAAATAATCGTATGATTTGAAATACATCAGCTATACAAAAAATATGTCAATGTTTTTCATGAGGTCAGATGTTAGTGAGGACGTGGGGAAACGGGAGCCTTTACATGCTATTCACACCTTGGGAGGCAATTTGGCAATATCTCATAAAGTTGAAAATGCACACACCTTACAACCCAGATATTCCACTACTAGACGATATCTTATAGGCCCACATCTCCATGGAATACCTTTCATCTTGTAGTTAATGTGCAAGGTGACAACCTTCCTAAAGAAATTTTTACACCACTACATAGGTCATATGTATAAGGATGTTGTTTGCAATGTTCTTGATAACAGCAGAAAATACTAGAAACAATCTAAATGTCCACTAGTAGGGTGATAGATGAATAAAATGGGATATATTCCTTTTTTCTTTCTTTTTGAGACGGAGTTTTGCTCTTGTCACCCAGGCTGGAGTGCAATGGTACGATCTTGGCTCACTGCAACCTCCACATTCCTGGGTTCAAGTGATTCTCCTGCCTCAGCCTCCCGAGTAGCTAGGATTACAGGGACCCACCACCATGCCCAGCTAATTTTTGTATTTCTAGTAGAGACGGTTTTGCCATGTTGGCCAGGCTGGTCTCGAACTCCTGACCTCAGGCAATCCACTGGCCTCAGCCTCCCAAAGTGCTGGGATTACAGGTGTGAGCCACCACACCCGGCCAAGATATTCTAATAATAAAATACCATACAGTGATAAGAATGATCCAGATTTATATCAGTATGTACATATCCCCAAAACCTATTGAGTGAATAAAAGAAAGTTGTAGAATGAGAAATGTTTTTTAAAGGTTACCATTTGTGTTAATTATAAACACATATAAAAGTATATTTCATATTATTTTGTATGTATAGGTAGTAAGAGTTTAAAAACACAGACTCAAAAGATATGCACCATAGCCAATCCTCGTGAGTATAGTGGTGAGTATCCCTGCGTGTCAAAACATATGCACTAAATTTATGATACTAGTTGGGGAGAGAGTGAAGGAAGTGGGGAGAGAAAAGGGAACTTAACTACTTCAAGTTTATTTAGAATGTTTTTGTTTTATTTAAACAACACAATGGAAGCAAATAGATCAAAATATCCTTACCTGGATTTAAGATTTTTTTCCCCAATGAAAAACACACAGGCCATAACAATAATATGATAGAGGAAGTTTAGCATTCTTTTTGAATGCATAATAGTAGGATCTAAACAAGTCTAATAGGAGTCAGTAAAGACTTCCAGGAGGAAATGAGAGTTAGCTTGGTAAGGAGGATGGGAAGAGCATTCCAGGCAGAAAGAAGAGCATTAGGCGAAGTTGGAAGTCAGAGAAAGCAAAGCATGACACGGATCAGTAACTAGGAAAGAGTGGAGTAGAGGGGAGAGACGAGGTTTCCAAACCTGTTTGGTCTTGTTTCCTTTTTCACAGATGTGGAAACATAGCCCTAATGAAGGGAGTAGAGACAAGGGTTCCTACTCTGTCAACTGTTCCATGATAATAGTAATGCCAATGGTAATAATAATAATAATGTACTGTGTTCCAGTCTTTCTACTAGGTATTTGAAACATGTCCTCTCATTTATTCTTACTACAGACCTACAGAGGGTTTTTTTTCCTCCCTATTTCATAGATGATGAAACTGAGGCCCAGAGAAATTTAAAAACTTGCTCAAAGTCAGTGGCAGAAACCACATCCCACAAGGCCTCCTTGTGTGCCATGCTAAGCAGGTTGGACATTTTCCTAAAGGTGTTGGTGAGTGTATGAATTTCCTGTTGCTGCTTGTAATCACAACAAACAAAGTGACTTAAAACAACACAAATGTAGTATCTTAGAGTTCTTGAGGTCAGAGATGTGAAATGGGTCTCACTGGGCTAAAATGAAGGTGACGGCAGGGTTGAGTTTCTTTCGTAAACTCTAGGATAATCTGTTTCCTTGCCTTTTCCACTTGCATCCCTTGGCTGTGGGCCCCCTTCGATCTGCAAACCCAGCAATTACACCACTCCGACTTCTGCTTCCGTCATCTCATCCCCTCTGATTCCTACTCTCCTGCCTCCCTCTTTCACTAATAATGACACTTGTGATTATGTTGGGCCCCTCTGAATAATCCATCATAATCTCCCCATCTCAAGATCAGCTGGCTGGGCGCGGTGGCTCACGCCTGTAATCCCAGCATTTTGGGGGGCCAAGGTGGGTGGATCACTTGAGGTCAGGAGTTCAGGACCAGCCTGGCCAACACGGTGAAACCCCTTCTCTACTAAAAATACAAAAATTAGCCAGGCATGGGTGGGCACCTGTAGTCCCAGCTGCTCTTGAGGCTGAGGCAGGAGAATAGCTTGAACCTGGGAAGCAGAGGTTGCACTGAGCCGAGATTGCACCATTGCACTCCAGCCTGGGCGACAGAGTGAGACTTTGTCTCAAAAAAAAAAAAAAAAAAAAGATCAGCTAATTAGCAACTTTAATTCCATCTGCAGCCTTAATTCTACCCTTTGCCATGTAATATAACATTCACAGTTACAAGGAAATAGAGTGTAAACACCTTTGGGGGGACCATTATTTTGTCTACCACAGTAATCCACTAAAGGGCTTTAAGCAAGGGAATGACAGGGTGAGACCCACATTTTAGCATCTTCCTATTATTGGTTTTGTAAAATGGTCATTTCATGATTTAAGACAGATTGGGCTTTGTAATAACTAATACTTCCAAAGGCTGAACAGTACATAGATATTAAATATGTTAGGTCTAATAACACATATGGGCTTTTAACTTGAAAGAATTCTTTCCTACATGTAATTTGTATCTTTCCCCTTAGCACTCAGTGGGAACACAAAGGACTGTTACAATTGCCCCTCTATGGGTAAATTAAGGGACATTGGCTCACCCGCCTAGGATCGCAGAGCTGCTAAGGCCAGGGCCATGGTAAGGAGCTAGTCTTCAGGCTCGTTTATCAGTGTTTTCTTTCTCTTTCTTTCTTTCTTTCTTTCTTTCTTTCTTTCTTTCTTTCTTTCTTTCTTTCTTTCTTTCTTCCTTCCTTCCTTCCTTCCTTCCTTCCTTTCTTTCTTTTTCTTTCTTTCTTTCTCTTTCTTTCTTTCTTTCTTCCTTCCTTCCTTTTTCTTTCTTTCTTTCTTTCTTTCTTTCTTTCTTTCTTTCTTTCTTTCTTTCTCTCTCTCTCTTTCTTTCTTTCTTTTGTCTTTTTTTTTGACAGGGTCTCACTCTGTCATCCAAGCTGAAGTACAGTGATGTGATCACAGGTCACTGCAGCCTCAACCTCAAGCAATCCTCCCACCTTGGCCTCCAAGTAGCTGGGACTACAGGTTCGTGCCACCACACCCGGCTAATTTTTTGTTTTAGTTTGTTTGTTTGTAGAGACGAAATTTCGCCATGTTGCCCAGGCTGGTCTCCAACTCCTGGGCTCAAGCGATGTTCCCGCTTCAGCCTCCCAAAGTGCTGGGATTACAGGCATGAGCCACCACGCCCAGCATCAGCATTTCTTTACAGCATCCATGGGTCGGGCATTTGGGGAAACTTAAGTCAGCACATCTTTGGCACAATTTCCTACATATAGCTCAGTGCCCAATAAACGTGTTGAATTGGTGAACACCCCTGCTTTCATTTCTGTGACACAGATAGTGACTTTCAAGGCAGGAAGCCTGGGGGCCATCCTAAAATTCCTTCCTTCCCCCCACATCCAGTCAATCTGCAAGTCCTTTCAGCTGCCCTGTGAAAATATTCATATATGCTGAGTCCATCCCCTTCTTTCCAGCTTCTCGGGTCCCACTCTATCCCAGGTCACTGTCACCTCTTACCTGAGCTGCTGCAGTGGCCCCCATAAAGGAAAGGGTCAGTGAGGGGTCGAAGTATTTGACTTAAATAAATCAGATGACCTGGCCTCCCAGGTTAAATTTTCCTGTTGGATTTTTATCCGACAGAAGAGAAGGAAAACTTTAACTCCCAATCATGGCCATATGTGCTCCTGCATGCTCCGGCCCTGAACCGTCCTCTTAACACCTCCTGTAGCTCCCTCTACTCCAGTCCCACTGGCTTTTTACAGAGGCCAAGCTATTCCCATCATAGGGCTTTTGCCCATGCTGTTCCTTCTGCTGGAAATACTCTCTCCACTCTTTTTCTTTTTCGTGTGTGTTATTTTTTATTTTTTTGAGACAAGGTCTCGCTCTGTCACCCAGGCTTGAGTGCAGTGGTGCGCTCATGGCTCACTGCAGCCTCCACCGCCTGGGCTCAAGTGATCCTCCTCCGCCTGGGCTCAAGTGGTCCTCCCACTTCAGCTTCCTGAGTAGCTTGGACTACAGGTCCCGGCTAATTTTTTTTTTTTTTTTGTAAAAGCAGGGTCTCCCTATGTTTCCCAGGCTGGTCTCAAACTCCTGGGCTCACACAGTCCTCCTGCCTTGGCCTCCCAAAGTTCTGGGATTACAGACCTGAGCCATCATACCCAGCCAAATTTATTTTAGAGATGGGGTTTTAGTATATTGCTTAAGCTGGTCTCAAACTCCTGGGCTCAATTGATCCTCCCACCTCAGCATCCCCATGTGTTGGGATTACAGGCATGAGCCACTGCGCCTGGCTTTCCACTCTTTAAACAGCTGGGTCCTTCTTATATATCACCTCTCAGCTCAAATGCCACTTATTCAGAGAGGTTCTCCCTGTCTGCTTTGTTTCCTTCATAGAAAACTGGGACCATTTGTAAATAATTTATTTGTTTGCCTATCTTGTTTGCCTTCCCTCCTAGATCTGAGATGTCTAATATGTAGCTACTAGCTGCATATGGCTAGTAAGCATTTGGAATGTGACTTGTCTGAATTGAGATGTGCTGTAAATGTAAAAGACACCAGATTTTGAATAGTTAATACAATTTAAAAAGGATATAAAATATCTCATTTATAGTTTTAAAATACTGACTATATGTTGAAATGATATTTTGGATATATTGAGTTAAATAAAAATATTATCAACAATTAACTTGTTTCTACTTTTTAAATGTGGCTGCACATGTGGCTGGCATTATATTTCATTTGGACAATGCTGGTCTATACCATTAGCTAATGAAGGTAGGAACAATCTCTACCCACTGCTGTGTCCCTAGTCTCTATCATATACTAGATGCTCAGTAAGTATTTACTGAATAATTTGGTATTTATGAGAACTCTGGGCTTTTATGAGAGCTGAGACGGGCAGCCCCATGTATGCTATGAACTTGAGGGAGGAAGAAACAGTTTTATTTTTCTCCAATCACTGTATTTCAAAGGGCTCTGTGGATTCTCTCTGTCCTGCTCTCTATCCACAATCCCCAGTCACCTACTACTATAGATTGAGGGGTGGGGGTGATGGCTGAAGGAACAAAGCTGGTGCAGCTGCTTCTATTTCAGTCCTATAGGAAGTGTCTTGATTATTTTACATTCTCCAGCTTTGGTCCTAGAAGCCAGGAAGGGCTCACCTCAACATCCTCAGAAACACAGATAGGGTTAGCTGGGGGTCACGGGGACTTTCCCAGGGTCATCTAGCAGGTCAGAGGTGAACAGGGCCTCAAACCTTGGTCTCCAGACCCCTTCCAGGACCCTGACCTCTAGCTATTAATACATCCTGATGTAGTCTCCTTCAGACTGGAACCCTCCCTCAAACCCCTCTCCCAACATTCACCTGTAATTTCTTGGGGCACCTAATGGCAGTTGTGCCTGGTCCCAGCAGAGCTTCCCTGGATGGCACCATCCCTCCTAGGGGCCGAAATGGATGGAAGGAAGGAGTGAGAGGATGGATGAATGGATGGGAAGATGGACGAGTGAATGAGTGAACAGGAGGGTGGGAGAATGGATGGGAAAGGAGGAAGGCTGGTTGGTAGGGTGTCTCTGCACGGGTGGAGAGGATGTATCGGAAGGAATTACCCACTTATCCCGTTCCAAGCAGACTCTGAAGAGCAGAGAGCCCTCGGCGATCAAAGTCCAGCCCCGTCACGTTTCTGCTAGAAGCCGAGGCGGGAGAAGTTGGGTGCTTTCCCCCGGGGCCCGCAGGGACGTCCAGGCAGAGCCGGAAGGGGGACGGGAGTTTGTGGGCCGGCCGGGGGGCTCTAGGCGACATCCCCCCATCCGCCCGCGCCTGCCGGTGCCAGGGTGGGGTAAGGCCCCCGCCCCCACCTCCGGAGGTGGCGGCCCCACGCGGCCCCAACAAACTGCCGTTGTCCCGCGGGCCGTGGGCCCGGCACACTGGGGCTTTGTCCGGCCCCCCGCCGCGACCCGAGGCGGGGGCCCCACATGACCGAAGGGGTAGGAGGAGCCTGCGGCGGCGGCGGTGGCAGCGGCGGCTCCACCACCATTTCCCTCCCGGGCCGGGGGTCGGCGGGCGGTGGCGGTGGCTGGGCAGGGCTGGGCAGGGCCGCGGACGCCAGGCCCCCCGTTCCCCGCCAGGCTGCAGGCGTCGGGCCTGGGCCGTCAGGGCAGCTGTGACCGGATCGCTTCCCGGGCGGCGAGCTGGGGGTGCACCCGGACCGCCGCCCCCGGGATCATGGGCAATGGCATGACCAAGGTAGGGGGCGGGCCCCGCGCAGCCTCCCCGGTCCCCGCCCCGGCCGCCGCGGCCCGGCGCTGACCAGCTCGGTCCGCCCGCCTCTGACCTTCTGTTCTCGCCGGTCTCCGTGCGGCGGCATCTCCGTGTCCCTGTGACTCGAGACCGCGGCTGTCGGGTCTCCCCCTCTCTGACCCTGCGTCTCTGTCCCCGCTGTGTCCGCCCTCTCTCCGTGACTCTGTGTGTCTCTCGCTGTCTTGCTGTGGCTGTCACTCCCAGGCTGTCTCCCAGTGAGTCCTGCTCTCCGTCTGCATGTGTCCCTCTCCCTTGTCGCTGACTCCTCGGCTCTCTCCGGGGCTGTTTCTCCATCCTGTCCCGCCTCTGCCTGTCATTGCCTTTCTGCCTCCCCAGCCCCAGAATTTCCATCCCTGCACCCTGCAAGTCTACCTCTCTCCTCTCCTCTCCTCCTAAGACCTGCCTTCCTCCTCTCCCCTCTCATACCCAAGCTGGCCTCCCTTGGTTCCCTCGGTTGGTTAACTGGCCCCCTAGCCTACCCTCCCCAGAGCCCCAGACCCCTCTCACAGAGGACTCAGGGCCCACAAAAGGGAAGAGAGTGCTCCCTGAGCCCTGAGGTCCATACCCTTCATGGGACAGAGAGGGGCTGTGGGCCCCCCAGCTGCCCTGGGGGTGGAAGGGGGTGCAGCCCCTGCCCCACTGACCCTTGCCTGTCCTTCCTCTAGGTACTTCCTGGACTCTACCTCGGAAACTTCATTGGTGAGCACTGCCCACTCTGTCCCGAGGCCATGGCACTCTGCCTGTCTCAGGCCTGTGTCCACCATTCATGCCCTGGCCCATGCATCTCAGGAATGGGGTTGGGGGCAGGGAAGCGGCCCCAGGCTGGGAGGGGGAAAAGGCTGATGGAGGACAAGGGGTGCACATGCAGGCGAGTGTCCCCAGGCTTGAAGGGACATGGAGGGAGCATGGGGGCCTGACACTGACATCCCTCCCCGCCATTCAGCCTTCCCCAGTGTTCTACCACCAGACCAAAGGGCCAGAGCAAAGGGCTCGGGGCCTGGGCTGTGGACCTGAGCAAGTCTACACCTGCGCTAAGCCTCAGCCTCCTCCTCAGCACAAAAGGTCCACCAGCTGCTGAGCACTCTTCTGGCCCTGAGGTTCTGGGTTGAGGTCTGTTTGCGGGTGCTGCTTCTAGCGGGGAAGCTGGGAACTCTTCCCCCCATAACTTCCTCCTTGTCAGAGGAGAGGTCCCTGGAGATGGGCTGGGCCTTCTTGTGAGCAGGGTCATGAGCACCAACACTGTCGCACCCCAGAGCCCTGGAGCAGCTGGGCAGCCTAGAGCTGGAAGTTGGGGGGGCGGTGAGCCGGCAAGCTTTGCATTCCCCACTCTCTCATCCATTCCTTCCACAATCTTCAGTCAGGAGGAGGGGACACCCATGTATAGATACCTTGTTCTTCAGGGGCTTCCAGGCTGGTGGCAGGCAGGCAGAGCTGAACATAGACCTTGGGTAGAAAACATGCTGGGTAGAAACCATGCTAAGGGGGCTGGGCGCAGTGGCTCACGCCTTTAATCCCAGCACTTTGGGAGGCGGAGGCGGGCAGACCACCTGAGGTCAGGAGTTCGAGACCAGCCTGGCCAACATAGTGAAACCCCGTCTCTACTAAAAATACAAAAATCAGCCAGGCACGATGGCAGGCGCCTGTAATCCCAGCTACTTGGGAGGCTGAGGCAGGAGAATCACTTGAACCCGGGAGGCGGGGGTTGCAGTCAGCCGAGATCGTGCCACTGCACTCCAGTCTGGGCAACAGAGCGAGACTCTGTCTCAAAAAAAAAAAAAAAAAAAAAGAGAAAGAAAAAAGAAAAGAAAACATGCTAAGGGGCAGACTGATCCAGGGCTTGGGTGACTCAAAGTGGGAAAATCATTTCCATCTGCAGAGTCAGAAAAAGCTTTAGAGAGGGAGGGGCTCAGGTGCTTCACCCTTGTAAATCCTGGTCCCTTCCTTCCTGGGAGCTCCCTCAGCCGCTCATGCCACCTTGATTTCTGTGAGTATTTGGCCAAGTAAGGTCTGAACCCTCTGTAAGTGTGCAGGCCCCATAAGGGCAGGAGCCACGAAGCTGGCCCCAGACCTCCAGTGCCCAGCCAAAGTATACACATGGTTAGCACTCGGTAAATGCTCATCGAATGAGGAAGTGGAGATAGAGGGGACATGTGTTATTCATTCTGAATATAAAAGATCTGCATATGCTGGGTATGCAGCCCCTAGAGAGGGCCACTGTTGGGTACATCCTTGTTCATATATCTTTGTAGATAAGGACATAGTATTTAAAACAAAAGTGGAAGCTTATTCTGTATCCTTAAAAATACATTGTGGGCATCAGCCGGGCACGATGGCTCACGCCTGTAATCCCAGCACTTTGGGAGGCCAAGGCGGGCGGATCACGAGGTCAGGAGATCGAGACCATCCTGGCTAACACGGTGAAACCCCGTCTCTACTAAAAATGCAAAAAAATTAGCCGGGTGTGGTGGCGGGAGCCTGTAGTCCCAGCTACTCCGGAGGCTGAGGCAGGAGAATGGCGTGAACCCGGGAGGCAGAGCTTGTGGTCAGCCGAGATCGCGCCACTGGACTCCAGCCTGGGAGAGAGAGCAAGACTCCGTCTCAAAAAAAAAAAAAAAAAAAAAAAAAAAAAAACATTGTGGGCATCATTGCACATCAGCATATAGAACTCTTTTTAATGGCGGCACACTGTGCCAAAGTATGCCTACACCATTAATCATCCAGTCCCTTTTTAATGAACACCAGGTTGTTCCCATGTTTAAACTATTTGTGATATAAGCAGGACTGCAGAGAACATCATCCTCCACACACAGCTTTCTGTGTGAGCAAGCGCTTCTGTAGACAAGATTCCTAGAAGCAGAATTGCTGGGTCAAAGAATATGCCTGGGAAGGGTGTTTTGGATGGAAAGAACAGAATGAGCAAGGATGGGGATATGCTGTACTGTTACTTGCATGTGCCCCAGAAGCAAGAGGATCAGGGAGCCGGCAGAGCGTGGGCCAAGGTGGAGTGGTGGGGTGAGAGGGAGAGCTGGGCAGGCAGTGAGCTCCCTCCGCACTTGGCCATCAGGACATCCCGCCAGCCAGATTGGCTCAAGCATCCTGTTTCTTTCAGATGCCAAAGACCTGGATCAGCTGGGCCGAAATAAGATCACACACATCATCTCTATCCATGAGTCACCCCAGCCTCTGCTGCAGGTACTTCTTACCCCCATCCCAGGGCTATGCGGGGGTGGGAGGGTGCAGACCTGTTTATCAAATATCTACTATGTGCTAGGTGCTATGCTTCCTTCTTGACTCATGTTAACTCATTTGGTCTCCACCACTGGGCCATTTTACATTATCATCCCTATTTGGCAGTTGAGGCCCAGAGAGGTCAATTAACTCACCTGAGGTCACACATCCAGGAAGCTGAGGAGTTGGGGTATGAACACAGGCCATCTAGCACCAGAAGTCTCACACTGAACCTTAAAATGGCCCCCATATGGGCTTCCCATGACCCAACTGGATGGATGAATCCAAATGGATGACTGTGGGCTCTGTATCTTGCTATGCAACCTTGGGCTGTGACTTCACCTCTCTAGGGCTTTGATCCCTCAGCTCTGTCTGCCCCCAGAAGGCTGCTGTGAGGATGCAAAGGGACTGCAGGATGGTGAAGATGCTTTGCACACTGTAAAGCATGGTCCCCTCTAGGGCGGTTGGTGCTGGTATTATCAAGTCCTGGGAAAGGGGCATGAGGGTGTTAGGACCCAGCAGAGGAAAGTAATAAATCCAGACTACACGTGCTTATGTCAGGAACATCTTCACTGTTTATTTGCTCTATGACCTTGGGGACAGGACTTTGCCCCCTCTGAGCCTCAGTTGCCTGATCTGTAAAACGGGAACTTTATAACAGTACCCACTTCACTGAGTGGTTGGGAACCACATAAATAGATGCTCAACAAATCACAACTGATACTATAACAAATTTAATCATATTCTTATCCCATAAACAGAGCCTCTTCACCCTTATCTATTAGAGTCTGTATCATCCACTGGAGAGAAAGAACCATGGGTGGGAAAAGGTCCTGGAGATCTGAAATGAAGACCCGGTTCTGCCATAGACTTGCTGTGTGATCTTGGCCAAGGTCCTTCCCTTCTCTAGGCCTCAGTTTTCCCATATGTCAGATTTGATATTCTCTAACAGCAACCTCTAATAATCTATGATTTTCAATGTCATTCAGAGAAGAAATTTCCAGGCCATTGCAGTCTTATTTTGCCTCATAGGGCAGCCTCGTTTGGGAGTATTTGGAGTAAACAGTCACTAGAGTGCATGGGGAAGGTTGTCAAGTCATGAGTGTATTTACTAATGAAATGACAGCCTACACAATGAGTCTCTGCTCCTACGGCCCTTCCTGCTTCTCCCAAGCATCTCTCCTTCCCCCCTCCATCAGCAAATTTACCAGGCAGGGTTTGATAGTACCACACAAACCCAAGGCCAAATGTGTTGCAAAGTGAAATTGCAAACCTTGCCAAAGATGCAGGATGTCATGACCTTGGGGAATGTGAGTGAGAGAAGGGCTGGAATCTCACACAAAGCCATGGACAAATGAGAACCTGGCTGGTGGTCCCTTAGTTACTGCCAGTGACGGGCCTGGCCCCTGAAAAGAGCCATTTGAATATAAAAATGTTAAGACAGTTTCTCGAGAAAAGCAAGGAGGTCCTCAGGAGGCGGGCAAAAATAATCTTCATGATATTGTGTGGCTAATCAGGAAACAAAGGACATCACAGCAAGTTTGCTGGAAAAAATTCCTGACAATTTATTCCTTGATTATTCTCATAATCAGCACATCATTTTATAACCATGATTCCTGAAATGTATACTTGTTTTCATGATTTTTGTTTCTTTTCAAGATAATCAAATCTGCTCTACCTTTTTTACGATGTAATTTTGTAATTCCCATTTGGAGTGGAGTCCCTTTAAGTAGCCCTTTCCTAGCTACTTGATAAAGGTTCCTGGGTCCCTGTTGGGAGGGATAGGTGACGTCATGCCCACGCCGCTGATGGGGTTAGGAGACACCATGTGCTTAGAAGGTTCAGGAATCACAAGTGGTCACAGCTGGGAGGCCTCAGAGATGACAACTACTTTCTTTGGACAGAGAGGACCACAGTGGGCCAGAGAAGGGCAGGAACTGGGCTGGGGTTATGCCCTGCCTGGGCAGCTCGGACCAGCATCAGGGAGGGTTGCAGGCAAGGTCCCCTGCCTGAGTGTATTTTGTACTTGCAGGATATCACCTACCTTCGCATCCCGGTCGCTGATACCCCTGAGGTACCCATGTAAGTTCCCCTGGATGGACCCATAGATGGACAGACAGCTGCCTTCTGTGGTGGGGGAGGGGGAGGGGGTTTGAAGGAGGACAAAGTACTCAGGCCAGAGAGCTATCACAGGTGTTCAACTCAACCAGTCCCAGGTTTGACTCTGTCTCAACCATGCCCTTGTGATAGGCCCTTGGCCAAGACTCTCCACCTCCCCGAGCCTCAGTCTCATCAGCTATGAAATGGGAAAAGGACACTCTGTACCTTGGGACCAGCTACACCAGCTGATTTGAAAGGGTCATATTCAGCCTGTTCCTGGCCTTGGGGTTAAGACATCTGAGTTCCGGCCAGGCTCTGCCATTTACTTGCTGTGTGACCTTGAACAAATCACTTCCCCGCTCTGGGCCTCACCTGTAAATCAGGAGTGCATGATCAGAGTCAAGGAGGCTTTCGAAGATCAGATGACACAGGTCAAGGATCTAGGATAGGGCCTGGAGTATAACTGAGCTCAGAAAACGGGATTTTTGTTTGTGGCATCAGCAGTAGTGCCTCCCCGCTTGGGATGGAGCCAAGCAGACAGTGCTGCCCCTTGGGAATCTTGCTCCCAGCCTGCTGCTGCCCATCATTGTGCCCAGGTGCTCTGATTGCAGACCCCAGAGGAGTGGGACCCCTGTGTTTCCTCCCACCCATTTCTCTGAAAGGCCACAATAAACCCAACATGAAAACAGGGTCCACAGGAGGAGTGCTCCTGCCTAGATGGTGAGATTTGTCCTGACTGGTCTCTCTCACTGCCTGAAATGCCACCATTCTTGCTTCACACAAACACACCTCCAGCTCATACTAAGTACTGGCCCATATTCACTGCATGTGCTGGCTGACCTGGGGACCCCAGGGCTCTATGTCCCTTGCTATCCTGTAATTGGGGTGGGGGCGGAACAACTCCTGAGAGGTCTGCCCTGCAGTGCTCCCTACCCTATTGCTTTCTCCTCTAGCAAAAAGCACTTCAAAGAATGTATCAACTTCATCCACTGCTGCCGCCTTAATGGGGGGAACTGCCTTGTGCACTGGTGAGTTAAGCGGAGGGGGATAAGGTGGGGGAGGAAGGAAGTGGCTGTGCCCTCTGCTGAACACACACTCCCCCTGTGGGAAGGTTGGACCTGTGAGGGATCTTCTCCAGCCTGTCACAGTGCCTGAGGGCCCACCATTCACTGGAGAGAGGCCAACCCGGGACTCTATTCCTTATGAGCTGTGTGGCCATAGCCAAGTAGCTGTTTCTCTCTGAGACTCAATGTCCTCATCTGTAAAATGCGGAAAAGAAAGCTGACCTGATGGGACTGTTGGGAGGGATAGGTGAGGTCATGGAGGTAGCTCATCACCCTCCAGTAGTTCTGGGCCTCCCTCCTCCCCTCCAGGCCTTGGAGGTGATGGTGCAGGGCAGTGGGGAACCCCGAGCTGGGAGACAGGAATTCTGGGTCTTCCCAGGTGCCCCTCGCTCAGTTGATGTCATTCATTCCTTAACTTCTCACTGAAGGCCCATCCTATCCAGGCTCAAGCTGGCTCTGCTGGAGGCCCAGCAAGGAGGCCGGTTTCCCAAGCCTCATTTCCCACCCTCTCCCTCCTTCCCCTTTCCAGCTGTACTAACCTCCTCCCCATCCTCCAAATCTACGAGGCTTATGCCTCATGGTCTTTGTACACACTGCCCAGAAGGTTCCTGACTAACCCTTATTCATCTTTCAAATTTCATTGATATCTATTCCTTGGGAACCCCTTCCCTAACCCCACCCCACCTATAGATTAATACCTCTTCCTATGTGGATCTCCTAGCCCCCAGACTCATCCTCAAAGCTATTATCACCACCTGGAATTGATTATCTGATCAACGTCTGTCCCCCCCCCCCAGCCATACTGTAAGCTCCAGGACAGCAAAGACCATGCCTGTTTTATACCCGCTACATCCCCAGTGCCTGAAAAAGAACAGATGCTCAGGACATATTTATTGACTGAATGAATGGTGTTTCACTCAGGCTTTTGATGTGGGAGAACCCAGGGGATGCTCTAGACAGAGGGAACAGCATGGCAAAGGCCTGGAGGTGGGATGGCAAGTCCTGACAGGTCCCTTATGGTTGGAGCTCAGGAGGCAAGGGTGGGGGAGTTGAAGCAGGGTGGGGTGCCTGGGGGCATGGAGGACATTGGATCTTACTTGAAGCCTGAGGGGTTGTTGGGGATCCCAGCTTTGCAGGCATCTCTCGCAGCACCACGATTGTGACAGCGTATGTGATGACTGTGACGGGGCTAGGCTGGCGGGACGTGCTTGAAGCCATCAAGGCCACCAGGCCCATCGCCAACCCCAACCCAGGCTTTAGGCAGCAGCTTGAAGAGTTTGGCTGGGCCAGTTCCCAGAAGGTAGGGATGGGGTCAAGGGCTGGGTTGGGCCAGGGGTGGGAGATCCTTCTTCCCACTCGAACTGATCACTGATTGGAACATTTTTAGCCTGTGCCTCAGACCCGGATTTTTCTAGGGTCTCAAACTCATGGCCTTTGAGCTAATCCACCTCCTAGGTGTATTTTGTTAGACAGCCAGGTGTTTTCTTTTTCAATTTAGAATTTGAATGCCTTTAGATCAGTGCGGGCCCTTCCATTTGACCAGGTCTTCCAGCCCTCCCCACTGCCTGCCCTACCTGGCTGGAACCTGAAGGATTTGAGTGTTTGACCCCATCGGGGAGAATTGTCCATGTCCTACTCCATCCCTGTGTCCTTGATGAGACCACAGCAGTTTCCCTCTTATACCTCTCGGGCAGATGCTACGTAGAAATGTCAGGAACTAAGCCTCCCTGGGAACAAAGGATGAGAGGGGGAGGGCTCTCAGCAGGTTGAGGGCGGTACCCAGAGGCTCATCTGCAGCACGGCGTTGGGAAAGAGTCGGGCAAGGAAGAAATCTGTGGGAATGGGGTTGTGAGCACAGAGGTGCAAAGTGGGAGGAGTTACCCAGAAGTGCAAAGCGGGAGGAGTGATCCCCGCTGGGCGCCTGGGGGTCACTTTAGCAGGTCTGGAAGCTGGCGTGTCAAAGGGGGAAGAGGGGTCAGGGAGAGGGAGGGGCCTCCTAGAAGGGAAGAGGGACTCAGTGAGGGGATGGAAACCCCGGAGAAGGGAGGCAAAGAAGACGCTCAGGAAGGGAGGGGCTCAGCGAGGTGTGGGACGCTCGGAGAAGGGCGAAGGTCGGGAGGGTGGGGGCGGGGCCGGCTGCCTTGACCCCGCCCCGCGCCGGCCTTGACCCCGCCCACCTCACCCGCCCACCCCAGCTTCGCCGGCAGCTGGAGGAGCGCTTCGGCGAGAGCCCCTTCCGCGACGAGGAGGAGTTGCGCGCGCTGCTGCCGCTGTGCAAGCGCTGCCGGCAGGGCTCCGCGACCTCGGCCTCCTCCGCCGGGCCGCACTCAGCAGCCTCCGAGGGAACCGTGCAGCGCCTGGTGCCGCGCACGCCCCGGGAAGCCCACCGGCCGCTGCCGCTGCTGGCGCGCGTCAAGCAGACTTTCTCTTGCCTCCCCCGGTGTCTGTCCCGCAAGGGCGGCAAGTGAGGATGCAGTCCAGCCGTGGCTCCCCACTTCCGACTGGCTCCCTTCGGGGGCTGTCTGCGCCTTCCACGCCCCCCAGGACGGGCCCAGAGGCTGGGGGAGCCCCGCGGCGGCCTGAACCCTGCCTCCCGCGCCCGCCCTGCTCGTCCGCGTCTGCAGTCAGCGTCCCCAACCTGTGCGTCTCTGTGTCCGGGCCGGCCTGCTGCAGCCACCTGGTGCCTTAGTCCTTGGGCTGGGGGAGGGGGCCCACCCTTAAAGGCGGCGGGAGGGGAGGGAGGGAGAGTGGAGGGTTTGACGGGCCTGGAGGGTATTAAAGAGACACAGAAGAAGCTGCCTGTCCGAGTGCCTCCCAGTCATTCAACAAAGGCGGGGCAGCAGGATTCTGCCAGGAGCCAGCAGGACTGCCAGGGGCCAGCAGCCTGCAGAAAAGGGGATGCGAGGGAGCCTGCATCCCCTGGGGGCCTGAGGAGCCCACCACCCTCCCGCAACTGCAGTCTGCGGAGTTGCCTCCTGGGACCCCACCTCCTTCTCTAACATCTCCCCTCCCCCAAAGCCACGGTGTCCCGCCTGACAAGGCCCAAGTCCCTCCTTCTCTCGGAACCCCCTTCCACCTTTTGAACCCCTCTCCTCCACCATGAGGGGCCCCTCCCCTCCCCGACTCCCTTCCCTTCCCTGTGCACAAATAGTAGCTAGGAAGGTGAGGTAGCGCCTCCCTCATCCTGACCTTTTACTGCATGAGTTCACTTAATCCTCAGGGAGGAAACAGAGGCTCAGAGAGATCAGGCAGCTTGCCGGAGCACACACAGCCAGAGCAGGGAAAGCTGGACGCTAGCTTAGTCAGTCTGAGTCCCATGACGGTAGGTAGTTAGGAAGCAGCTCCTCTGGTTTGGGAGGTTCCTGACAAGGAGGCTCCACCCCCAGCTAGTGGGAATGACCCTTCCTGCCAAGACTTTAAAGGCCAGGGCTGCCCATCAAAGCGGTAGCTGGCTCTGAGGATGAGTAGAAGTCACTGCAGCTGATACTTCCAAAACTAAAGTTAACCCAAAGTTGAGAGGGATCGAAAATAGCTATAACCCAATAAGCCACTCGTATGGGGTTCTTAATATGCACAAATCACTGTGCTCAGGGCTGTCGGGGAGGCACCGATTCCAGCACTGGAGTTGGAGGATGGACAAAATAACCTTCAGCTGCCACCCCAACTTCCTACTCCTCATTCATTCAACAAATGTCCATTGAGTACCTACTGTGTGCCAGCCATTGTGCTCGGCCCTGGGTATACAGCAATGAGCAAAACCTCTGCCTTCATGTTGCTGACATTCTGGTCGGGAAGACAGCAAATAAAAAATATGTCAGGTGGTGAGGGAGTGGACCGTTTGGTTATCTGGGGGAAGCATTCCAGGCAGACAGAACATTAAGGCCATGAGTTAGTAACCTCCTTGCCAGTAACCTCCAAAAACAGAAGGAGCTGCTTCCTAACTACCTACCATCATGAGTTAGGGTCTTTCCCTTCACAGTTCATGTGAAGAGCAAAGTGGCTGGACTCACCAGAGTGCAGGGAGCCCGCAGTCCTCCAGGCTGGTTAATGGTGCTGCCAGACGCCCCATTTAAAACACCTTCTACCTCTGATGGTGTCTTCCCCTATTTAAAAGCCTCCATGGAGGCGGAGGCTGTAGTGAGCCAAGATTGCGCTACTGCACTCCAGCCTGGGTGACAGAGCGAGACCCTGTTTGAAAAAAGAAAAATAAAAAAAGCCTCCATGGCCCCCATCATCTATAGGACTGATCTGATATTCCAGATCAATCCTTCAAGATGCTTCAAGAGCCAGGTGGCTACTGGAATATGGGAGCTAGAGGAAAGGAGGAGCAGGAAGAAAGCCCTCCCAGCAGGTACACATCAGGAACAATGCTTCCAGTCTCTGGTCAATGCTGGCTGGGTGCCCAGCTTTGTGCCAGTGCTGTGCAAAGGTGCAGGGAGTGGGGGGCATTCTCTCTCAGAGCCTCAGTTCCATGAATACAGCAAGGAGTGGAGCAATCTGAGCAACTTGATCTTTTTCATATCCCACATCTCCTTTGACAATTTAATGAAAGATGCAAATCCCCCCCCCCCAAAAAAATGCATAGACATGAAATTTACATTCACTTTTAGGGGGTCAGAGACCCCCACCAAGAATCCACAAAGTACAGGTGTAGCTGTCGGCAGGCAGTGTGGGGCACTGCTTAGGCTCCCGGGCTCTAGGGAGCAGAGAGACACATTTTGGCTCCTGGCTCCACCACCCACTAGCTCTGTGACCTTGTTAGAGGGCTTTAACCTCTCTGAGCTCAGTCTTAACATTAAAACAGGGCTTTTACCAACCTCATAAGCTGTTGTGAGAACCAATTGAGACACTGCAGGAAAGTGTTTAGCCAGGCCCAGCACTGATGAGCAGTCGGTAAGTGGGAACTCCTAATATTTACAGAAATAAGTGTGACCCCTGGACTACCTGCATCAGAACCTCACGGGGGAACTCATTACAATGTGGGTTTCCTGGGCTTCCTGCCCAGAAAGTCTGATTCTGCAGATCTGGGATGGAGGTCATGAGTATGCATTTGAAACGAGTTGCTGCCTCTCAGTTCTGGCAGGAGTTAGTTTGAGAATCCCTGTGCCTTTCCAATCTCAACAGTCCAGGTCCTGAAAAGAGACTGACAAATTTCCAGGTGGGCTGGGAAGAGCAGGTGACAGTTGCAGACTGGGGCAAAGCTGTGTCTCTGGATGCTCATGGGGGCCGGCCTCCTGAGACCCGCAGAGCCCAGGCTACCCCACTTGCGTGGGTCTTGTGTCTCACAGCGCCTCCTGCCACCCCATAAAAGAGGATCAATGCCCTCCAGGCTAGGCTGCTATGGGGAGGTGCAAAAGGAAAGGGCCTCCCAAGAGAGGGGACAAAACAGAAAGTGAGACCTGCCTGCCCAGACTTTCACTTTCATAGCCTCCCAGCATCATCCAGGTGGCCCGTAGTCCCCAGGCCCACGTGGGTTGAGCCACTGCAAGCCCAAGACCTGGCCCCTGCATCCCTGATGGCCAGAAGGAAGGAAAGGTCCCCGACGGCAGGTGACCCATGGCAGAGCCAGAGGTTCCCTGTGCCTCTGGGACTGGGGGGGCACAGATTGAGAGTGGGTGCTACGTGGGGTTATGCTGGGAGGATGCGGGCAAGACCCTCTTTCGCATCCCCTGGAAGCATGTAGCCAAGCAGGGCTACCAGGTGCAACAGGACTCAGCACTCTTCAGGGCAAGGGGACAGGGGACTGGAGACGCTCAGCACTGGGCAGGCTCTGGACACAAGTTGCCCCAGCACTGAGACTGACGGATAGCCTTGTGACCCTGGGCCACTTTCTGGCCTCTAGGGCTGAGGGTAATGTTCTCTACATATGAGGGACTCTCAGACACTTTCTTAAAACAATCAGCCAAGGCTGCCACGACCTGCACCACCGGCCCCTCTCAGAGGGCCTCTTCTCCCACTCCACCAATGCACTAATGGGAATTCTGTCAGCCTCCCACCCCTAAACCCATCAACCTCTGCAGCTCAGGAAACTTTTTGGTGCTCCCAACACCAGCCCTTCTCAGGGACCTCCTGCAGGAATGTCCCTCCTTTCCCCAGTCATCATTAACTTCTTCCAAACTGGCTCCTTTCTTGAGAAAGAGATGGTTAAGCTGAGGATGGTGGGAGCATGCCAGGTAAAGGTGAAGAGGCGAAGGTATTGCAGGCAAAGGGAACTGAATGTGCAAAGGTCTAATGGAGATAAAGACATGAAGCATTTAGAGATGAAAAGAACTAAAGTGGGGGAGGAGAGGGAGTGGAGGCAGATGAGGCCCAGGAGGGGCAGTTCATGCATGGCTTTGAGGCCATCATGAAGAGTTGGAACTCTTTCACAAGGGCAATGGGGAGCTATGGTAGGGGAGGGTCAAAACCAGATTTGTGGCCAGGAGTTGTGCCTCAACTGTAATCCTACCACTTTGGGAGGTCAAGGCAGGAGGATCACTTGAGCCCAGGAGTTCGAGACCAGTCTGGGCAACATAGTGAGAGCCCGTCTCTATAAAAAGAAAAAAAAAAAAAGACCAGATTTGCATTTAGAAAGATCCCCCTGGAGGACCTCCTGGCATTGTGGAGGGACAGTTGCCGTCATTTCAATTCTGGGCTCTCTTCCCTGAGCAATAAGCAACCAACCGCACATCCACACACTACCACCCCAAACACCAAAGTCACCTCCAGCCCCTCCTTCTGTGGCCTCCCCCTCCTTCCACAGTGGGAAGCACCTGGAGAGTCTCCTTACACCAACTCCCTCCCTCTCAGCCTCCCAGCCCCCCATGACCAGTCCGGCTTCTGTCCCTCTTGATAATGCCTCTAGTTGCCAAATCTAAGCATATGTCACTGTCTTCATCTTCTTTGGCTCCTGGATGGTGTTGGGTTGGTCTGCATCTTGTAGGCCCTCCCTCCTCCTTGAAACACTCCCATCTGGCTTCCAGAATCTCTGCTGCCTGCCCTGCAACCCCTCCCAGGCCTTTGTTTCTCAACCTCCATCCTGTCCCCTCCTCTACTGGGGCTCCCAGCACTCACTTCTGAACCTACTTCCTCATGTCCCACTGTCCCCTTCCGTGGCCTCAGCATGGTGGCTGTGGGTCTTCCTCTGAACCCCAAGCCTGCTCATCAAGCTGCCTGCTGGCTACTGTCTCCTGGATGGCCCCCGAGCACCTCAAACTCAACACACCCCAAACATCACACTCATCAGCTCTGCCCCACAAACTTCTGCCACCTGGGTATCTGAACCCTGGCCACTCCCCACCTTCCAGCTTCATTCTACTCCATTACCAAGGCCTGCTGGCTCTCCCTGCAGAATGTCTCTTCGGTCCCTCTGCTGAAACCCATTTCTGTCAGCTCTCACAGGACAACTGCAGTGACCTCCCTGGGCTTCCTGCTTCCCCCATCCCTCAGCAATCCCCGCAGTCCTTAAGAGGGATCTTTCTAAATGCAAATCTAGCCTCGACCCTCCCCTATCAGAATCATTCCATAGCTCCCCATTGCCATTGTGAAGGAGTCTCAATTCCTCACTCACTATACCCTCAAAGCCATCCATGAACTGCCCCTCCCTGGCCTCATCTGTCTCCACTCCCTCCCCTCCCCAACTGTAGCTCCTTTCATTTCTAAATGTTTCATGTCTTTATCACCGTTAAACCTTTGCACATGCGATTCCCTTTGCCTGCAATGCCTTCTGCTCTTCACTTTTACCTGGTCAGCTCCCACCATCCTCAGCTTAACCATCTCTTGCTCAAGAGAGCCTTCCCTGGGAGGTGAGGAATAAAAGACTACAAATTGGGTTCAGTGTATACTGTTTGGGTGATGGGTGCACCAAAACCTCACAAATCACCACTAAAGAACTTACTCATGTAACCAAATACCACCTGTTCCCCAAAACCTATGGAAATAAAAATTTTTTTTTAAAAAAGAGAGAGCCTCCCCCGATGCATTCATTTATTTAATGCATTTATTAAGCTCCAACTCAGTGCTTCTTCCAAGTCATCACTGACTCCAAAGGTGAAGGCTCATTGAACAACTTTCCCTGTGAATTTTAAGTGTCTGGTGTGAGTTTGTCTTCTCCAGCAGACCATGAGCCGCTTGAGGGTGGTGTCATCAAGCACTGTGCCTGGCACATAGTAGGTGCTCAATAAGTGTTGAATGGGTGGTTGCATGGCCTGTCCCTTAAGACGTATGCATATACGTGAACAACAGCATTGTTGTTCAGAGGCAAGAGATTCTGGGGGCTGGCCTCCCCATCCTTTTGGCTGCTCTGACCCATCCCTCAATCCACCACTGTCACACACATGTGACTCCTTGGCTTCAAACCCTTCTGGTGCCCAAAGCTCATGGAATAAAGCTTGGCCTTCAAGGACATTCATGATCTAGCTTCAGCTTATCTCTTCCTCCTTAATTTCTCTTGCTCTTTCCCCCACCACACACAGTCGACCCTCATTATTCATAGATCCTGTCGTTGCAAATTATCCTATTTGCTATGATTTATTTGTAATCCCCAAAGCAACACTTGTATCAGTTTCATGGCCATTCATGGATGTGCGCAGAATGGCAAAAAAGGTAAGTTGCCCCCCAACCACCCAGGAACATTCGAAGCTCAGGTCAAACAAGGCAATTCTCTGCCTTCTTATTTCAGCTCTCATATGTAAACACGTGTCCTTTTTACAGTCTGTTTAGTGCCACATTTTTTATGTTTTTGTGCTTTTTTGTTGGTGATTGAAAATGGCCCCCAAGCATAAAGCTGAAGTGTGGTCTAGTGTTCCTGAGTGCAAGAAAGCTGTCATATGCCTTCTGGGGAAAATACAAGTTAGATAAGCTTCGTTCAGGCATGAGGTTTAGAGCTGTTGGTTGCGAGTTCAGTGTTAATAAATCAACATCATATTAAATAAAGTTCCTCAAACAGAAACACACAGAAAACAAGGTTATGTGTTGGTTGGTTGATGAAAATGGTATGACCAGAAGCTGGCAGGGACCTAGCCCTGTATTTCCCCTAGGAGCAATGGTTCCTTAGTCCCTAATTTAGTGTTTATGGGAACTTTATAGAACATAACTAAACTCCCTCAAATAACGAGAGTTGACTGTACCCTCAGACACACACACCCAGCAAGGGCAACACCAGGCTGCTCACTGACCCCTGAGTGCACCACGCCCTTCTATACCTCCAGGACTTTGCTCAAGCTCTTCCCTCTTCCAAAAATGTCACTCCATCTCTCAACTTCCTACTGACCCTTCAAGGCCCAGCTCAGTGCATTCAACAAATACATACTGGGGGTGTCCTGTGTGCCAGGGACCATTCTAGTCGCTTGGAGACCACAGCCATGAACAAAACCAATACACCTCTAGTCATGGTGATAGCACCCTCTGCCCTGTGCCCACGTCATCTTCATGTTATTCTTAATACAATAAGTGTCACAATAAATTACCACTGTGTGCCAGGCACTTATCTAAGCATTTTACATGCACCAGCTCATCTTATACCCACCCCAACCTCACGAGGTTAGGTGGTATTGACACCTACAGACATTTGCAGACAATAAAATCAAGCCTCAAAAAGTCTCACTCCTGGCACCCACAAGGAACTGTGGCTTTTCTGTTTTGGTGTCCATGTTTCCAACAAGACCTGGAGTCTCTGAGAACAATGATTGAGTGCAATTCATCAGTTAAATCCCCCTCAGTGCATGATTGAGTGCAATTCATCAGTTAAATCCCCCTCAGTGCTGAACGAGAGAAATGTAGCAATACATCTCCTGATGGCCTCCTCTTTGACCACACTGGCCTTGCCTGAATTATCCATCTCTTTTTCACTGCAGGCCCTTTGCCTTTGCTGTTCCTTTTACTGGAACACCTTTCCCCAGCTGTTCATCAGGCTCCATCCAGGTTTTAGCACAAATGTTACCTCCTGAAAGAGGCCTTTTCTGACCACACTCTTTAAAGTAGCCTCCCAGGCTGGGCACGGTAACTCACACCTGTAATCCCAGTGCTTTGGGAGGCCGAGGTGGGAGGATCACTTGAGCCCAAGAGTTCGAGACCAACCACCTGGGCAACATAGTGACACCCCCATCTCTACAAAAAATATTTTACTATTAGCCAGACATGGTGGGGTGCGCCTGTAGTCCCAGCTACTTGGATGAGGTGGGAGGATCACTCGAACCCAGGAGGTCGAGGTTGCAGTGAGCCCTGATCACCAGGCTGGAGTGAAGTGGTGTGATCACGGCTTACTGCAGCCTCGACCTCCTGGGCTCATGTGATCCTCCTGCCTCACTCTCCCAAGTAGCTAGGACTACAGGCATGTACTACCACACCTGGCTAATTTTTATTTTTTATTTTTTTTAGTAGAGACAGGGTCTCACTCCTTTTACATTTTAAGAAATGTTCTCTGACCCTAAAAGATTTTCTCCTACATTATTGTCCATTAATTTTTTATCATTTTTTCTCTTACCTGTGGTTTTTAAAATCATCTGGAGTCCACTTTGTGTATGACAATAGGTAGGGATTTCATTCTATGGCTCGGCAGATAGCAAACCACTGCCATGATTTTATATCCCATCACTCTATTTATTTTTTCTTTTATTTATCACAAACCATAATTTGGAATATAGTTATTTCTGTTTAACTGATTACAGCTGTCTTCTCCCATTAGGCTTGAGAGCAGGAACCATGTCTATCTTATTCCTCATTCAATCCCCAGCCCTAGCTGGGGTCCTAGTAGGAGCTCAAATAATATGTGTTGTGGGGAGGGAGGGAGGGAAAGGAAAGGGAAAAGGAGGGAGAGAGAGGGCAAGGGGCAGGGCAGATTCTCATCCCTCTGCACGGCCCAGTGCCCTAGCTATTCCTCCCCAAATGCCCCCCCAAGGCCCCCATCCCCAATCCTCCAGGCCTGGATGGTGCACAAGGGCAAGCATTTGGAGGGCACCAACAAAGAGGCCCCTCCACCTGGAAGAAACGATTCCACTCTGCCTTCAACAAGAGCGCCACCTTCTGGGCTGCAAGAGTGAGTGCAGCCAGCTGGACGCCTCCAAGTTCTTTTTTTTCTTTTGAGACGGAGTTTCGCTCTTGTCACCCAGGCTGGAGTGCAATGGCGAGATCTCGGCTCACTGCAACCTCCGCCACCCAGGTTCAAGCGATTCTCCTGCCTCAGCCTCCCAAGTAGCTGGGATTACAGGCGCCTGCCACCAAGCCCAGCTAATTATTTTATATTTTTAGTAGAGACAGGGTTTCACCATGTTGGCCAGGGGTCTCAAACTCCTGACCTCAGGTGATGCACCCACCTTGGCCTCCCAAAGTGCTGGGATTACAGGCATGAGCCACCATGCCCGGCCAACATCTCCAACTTCTACAAGACCACATTGTGTCTGCCGCTGTGGCCCAGGTACCATCCTGCCCCTGGAGGTAATGGCCAACGATGGCTGTCTGGCAACAAGGATCTCTTTGCTCATCTATAAAGTGGGTGGTGGACTCATTGAGCTTAAACTCATGTGCTGGTCAATTTAGGACGCCTAGACCACACAGTTTATCTCCCCACTAGAAAAGGAGGAAACTGGCTGGATGCAGTGGCTCACAACTGTAATCCCAGCAGTTTGGGAGTCGGAGACAGGTGGATCACCTGAGATCAAGAGTTTGAGGCCAGCTTGGCCAACATAGTGAAACTCCATCTCTACTAAAAATACAAAAAATTAGCCAGGAGTGGTGGCGGGTGCCTGTAATCCCTGCTACTCAAGAGGCTGAGGCGGGAGAATCACTTGAACCCAGGAGGTGGAGGTTGCAGTGAGCCGAGATCGCACCATTGCACTCCAGCCTGGGCAACAAGAGCAAAACTCCATCTCAAAAAAAAAAAAAAAAGAAAGAAAGAAAAGGAGGAAACTGAGGCCAAGAAACAGGTGGACCTTGCCTGAGGCCATACAATGAGCTGGGGTACTCATCTGGGATCGTCTAAATTGAGGGGGTTCCTCCTGGGGCCCAGGGAATAGCAGGCTGTCTCTTGCTTGATGCAGTTACCAGGGCCTGGGCGCCCCCTGAAGAGGTAGGCATGCCCTTTAGTCCGAAGGAAGCTCCTGGGAAGTGGCTGAGCCTGCCTGCAGGTCAGACCTGCTGAGTGTGTTCTTCCAGCCCCTGCAGCCTTGCCAGCTCAGTCACCTCTCAGCAAGTCACCCACTGGCCCCACCCTCTCTGGCTATGACCTCCAGCACCATCATTTACCTCATCCCTCCAGAGCACCAGCTCCAGCCCTGTCCCCATGCTCCCACCCGCTCCACCTTTTTCTACCTCTCCTGCAGCCCTCCCTCCATCTGCAGCACCACCAGGCCATTCCCTTCACCTCCACCATCTTCAGTTTCATTGCCCTGTCTGCAGCCACCCCATCTTCTCCACATTCATTCCTTTGTCCTCCTTGGGTCCATCACTCCACCCCCATGCACCCCATCGGGTCCAGCTCCATCACCTCCGGCTCCCTCACTGTTCCCATCAGCTCTGTCTCCCTCATTCTGTCTGTATCACCCCTATTATCTCCACCCCATCACCTTTCCGCCATCGTCGACAGCTCATTGCTCTGTGCTCATCACCCCCACCCCCGCATCAGCATCTGGCTCTGTCCCGCATACCTTTCATCTCCAGCTCCCTCACCTCCGCATTTACCCCCAGCACTTCTCTCCCTATCACAGTGACCCATCTCTGGCCCTAATACCTACAACATCTTCATCAACTTTCTCTTTACCTCCATGGGGGCGGGGGAGTTTGAGCTCTGAAACTTCAAAGTTCTTTTCTCAAAAGCCCAGTGCCATAATATTGACTTCTAATACATTGGACAGCCAGCCCTTTTACTCAGAAACACTGTCAACCCCAGCTGGCCTTCAGTCCGCCCAGACCTCTCTGCACTGGTGGGAACAGTCTGGGAATTCCTGAGGAGTCACAGGCCTCCTCTCCCACCCTCACAGCCTCTTCTCCCAATGCTCAGGATGGCTCCGGATTTGCCACAGAGGATGAGGACAAGGAGTGGCCCCACAGGCTGGCCCAGCAGGGTTCCTTACTACCACCCATCCTCCTCCAGGCCCTTTGGTTGACCACAGTAAGGACTGGGTCTCCTCACCCAGCCCTGCCTCCTCCCTGGCCTCCTCCTTATCTATGGGTCTGGGGTCAGGGTGAGATGGTGCCTGACTGCTTCCTCTCCTTCACCAGGGTGCCAGACATAGGACCTCAAAAACCTCTGGTGCCCAATGCCCTCCGATGACTTCAGCAACCTGGTAAGGAATCGAAATCCCCTCCCCTCCGACCAGTGTGCTGAACTGGGGACGGCCGCGGGGTGGGGCCAGCCCACCTCTCTCTCCCACCCAAAGCACCCAGCCCAGGCTCCCAATAATAGCCACAACAGTCAACATTTCCTGAGGGCTTAGTTTATGCCAGGCACCCTTCCAAGCTCCCCACAGCCCCCAGATGCTGCTATTATTCCCATTTTACATATGCCCAAACCAGGACACAGAGGTTAAGAACCTTGCCTGAGGTCACACAGCTGGTAACCCTGGGAAAGCTCCTAAGTGGCAGTGATAGACTAGAATCCGAGGGCCTGGCTGCAGAGCCCACAACCCTAACCACTGAGCAGGATTGCTGGTTTCTCATGAGACGCTGCTAGGTTGTTGTTATTGTCGCTGTTATGGTTATTTCTACCTGCATCAAAATCTTTGCTGGGAGGAAGCTCCTAGAATCCCAGAAGATTTGCTGGGAGGGTCATGCCCTCACTGTACAGATGGCCCCAGCTTTTAACCGCAGAGCTCGACTATCAGTTCGTTTATACTGGAAGCTATTGTTTACTACTATTATTACTAGAATTCTTATCATCACTGATAGGGAGAGAGCACCCAAAATTTCCGAGGTAGAGGCTGGGACGACCTCTGGGTCCGGCAGAGTTTGAAGGGGAGGGTAAGAAGGCGAGGGGAGCTAGCGCCGCCCACGTCCAGCCCGTGCACCCTCTCTCGCCCCACAGCCTGCTGGCTGCACGTGTGGCTCTTCTCTCCGCAGCGCTGGTGCGCGAAGCCACCGGGCGCACAGCCCAGCGCTGTCGTCTGAGTCCGCGGGCGGCCGCCGAGCGCCTGCTGGGGCCGCCACCTCACGTTGCAGCAGGTTCGCTTCCCCGACCCATTGCCCAGCGCCCACGTGTTGCAGGGCCTGCCGCCTCACCTGGAGCGCGGTGTGCAGCTCTGGGTGGCTCCGGAGGGCGTGTTCACCAAGCGCCTGTGCCAGGGCCTGTACTGGCGCAGCCCAACAAGGTGGAGCGCAGGCGCACCTGCCACCTGCTGAACACACGCGGCTTCCTCCAGGCGGTAGGACGGCTGGAGGAGTGGAACAGAGTGGCGTGGGAACGGGGGCATAAGGACGCGGTGGGCAAAGGAACATGAACAGAGGAGAGTGGGCACATTAAATGCAGGCCCAGGGGGATGGGCCTAAGGGTGCTGGGCATGAAGTGGACATTGACACAAAGAATATGGCACAAAAGCACCAGGGATGGGAAAGAATACAGGCACCAGGAGGGCTGGGGGCACATATACGGATACAGGCGTATATGGGGTGCTGGCATGGAGAAGGCTTGAGGCGTTGGGTGTGCAGCATAAGAATAGGGCTTCGGTACATGTGTTGGCTTAGGGCATAAGGTGGATGTGAGGTGCACCAAGCACGAGATAGGTATAGGTGAGTGGCAGTGGGCATGGGTTGGGCATAAAGGCATGGGGTGGGCATAGGGGCCAAGGAAGAGACATAAGACCTGGAAGTGGGCACAGATGTGGGACATGGGACAGGCATAGGAACGTGGAAGTGGGCCTAGGGTACAGGCACACAATGGGATGTGGGCTTACAGGACTTGGGCATGGGAAATGAGCACAAGATGGGCACCAGTGGGTTGCCTAGTTCTTGCCCAGTCCCTATAGTCTCAGTGTCGTATAATTGTGTGCCCACCTGCAGGATGGTCACCGGACCCAAAGTACCAGATCTGTCTGTGCTTCGGTGAGGAGGACCCGGGCCCCACACAGCACCCCAAGGAGCAGCTCATCATGGCGGACGTGAGTCACTCCTTCCACTCCAGCCAAGAAGCACGCCCTCCAGTCCCCTCCAGACAGCCCTTCCCACACTCCCTCCAGTCCCAGCTCTGCCTCTGACACTTCTAGCACCCTCGGGTCTGTAGGACCCTACCTGGAAAATGGGGGTAGGGATGGGGCTGTAACTAGGGCTGTGACTTCCCATGGGAACATCCGAGGCGGGAAATGGAGAGGGTCTGCTCATCGCCCCACCCGCCCCCGCAGGTGCAGGTGCAGCTTCGGCCTGGGAGCTCGTCCTGCACTCTAAGTGCCTCAACCGAGCGCCCAGATGGGTCCTCAACCCCTGGCAACCCCGATGGCATCACTCACCTTCAATGCAGCTGCCTCCATCCTAAGCGAGCCGCTTCCTCTTCTTGTACCCGCTGAAGGCAGCCCCCAACAGGGGGGCTCCCTACTCCCACCCAACCCTGCCCACACTAAGCCCATAGACTTGGGGCCTCCCCCGGCACATCACCCAGGTCTGCCGGACGGCAGAGGTGGATCGCGGCCTTCCACTCCTCTGTCACGGGGCCCCGGAACTCGAGAGTAGGCCACACCGCCCCCCAGCTGGGCATGGGGCTTCGGCAGGAAACTGAACTTGATCTTGAGGCCCCAGAAAGGCAGCAACTGGAGCAGAAGCAAGACTTCATCTCTTGCTGACAGCCCAATTTGTCAATAGCGCTTTCCTCAGAGCCAGCCTTAACCTGCTGTTGAGTCCATTAAAACGTTTGCTTAAAGTTTTTACCAATAATTAGATCATCAGGGTTGTTTAGTGTGGGATCAAGCCATAACAAAACTGCCTAGCCTCTCAGGGGCCTAGAATTTACAGAACCTTCCTCCTCCCTGCAGCTAGTCTCTCTTCTTTATTCTGGGGGCTGGGAAGGATCCCAAAACAGGGAACTTGGCCGAACCCTGGGCTTTGGATGCTAACCACTGAAGTACCAGCACCTGTAGGATGCTGTCTTTGAAGAAACTGAGGCGGACCTCCAAATGCAGCCCTAAGGCAGAGGTCAACGTGGAAGACCAGCCCTTCTCCAAGCCCCACTGGTCTTTGCAAGCTGTACGTTGTAGGCAATCTGAGAACTGGAAAGGGGGACTACAACCAGAAAGTTGGTTACCCTGCCATGGGAATAAAGTAGCTGTTTTCCACCCCACATATCAGGCCTTTTATTCTTTTCTGAGTTCTGATTTTATTTATAGGAATCCTCTTACAGATGCCAATATTGTAAGTCTCTTTTAATGATACATTAATAAGCCACCTTCATGGGGGGAAAACTGTGATTCGATAAAGGACAGAAATCAATCAATTGCTGTTTGTTTAGTCATTTAGCAGACATTTCTTGAACACCTACTCTGTTCCAGGCCTCTGTTCCAGTGTCCAGTGTGTGACTCTGGGGGTACAGCAAAACAGCATGCTCTTTACTCTCTTGGAGTTCACATTCTGTTTTCTAGTGGGGACCCAGCGACTCTCCGCTACCCCTGCCCCTCACTGAAGAGGCAGTATTTAGGAATTACAGAATCCTAGGCTCATATCCAGCTTTGTCACTCACTAGATGTGGGACATCAGGGAATTTACTTACCTTCTCTGAGCCTCAGAGCCCTCATCTATTCAAAAGAAGCAATGAAGCCCTCCAGAGCAGGGTTGGTTGAAGAAGTAAGTGTAGGGTTGGGGAGGTGAGCTGGCCTGGTACAGAGTGGGTGAGCAGTGACTTGGGAGTGGGAGAGCAGAGAGGATGCCGTCCCCTCCTCCAGAAGGCCTGACTGTTCTGGGCCTGACTCTCTGGACCTCCCGACCCCAGGCTGCAGCTGGGGTAGCCTCAGTTCAGAGTGACAATCCGCAGCCATGTTCATATCCCTACTCCATACTAGGCTCTTGATGAGGGTGCTGCATTCTGTGTAAGGGGAACCTGTTGCCTCCCCACCATGGCCTGGACAGCTGAGGAGTCACCAGCTCCATGTTAGAGATGGGGAAACTGAGGCTCAGCCAAGGTCTTGAGGTGCCTCTTGGGAGGGAGAATGTCTCTCCCCAGATAGCTGTCCTTCCCACACCAGTCACTAGGGGGCGACAGGGATGCAGCAGAACTGAATTTCATGGGCTCTCCTTACCATCCTAGGTGCCCCTCCCTGCAGACACCCCAGAGCTAGGAGGATGGGGTAGGAGTGGTGTGGCCCCAAGGCCTCTGCACCGCAGGAGAAGGCAGTAGACCACAGGCCTGGGAGAAGAGGGAAAAGCAGGAGTAGAGGTAGGGATTAGAGAAGCCCCTGGGGCTTCTCTCACTCTAGGGGGACTGGGCTCAGGCCCTGCCTCTCTCTCCTCTCTCTCTCTCTCTCTCTCTCTCTCTCTCTCTATTCATTCCTTTCACTCCTTGTGTTTGCACCTGTGTCTCTCAGTATCTCCTTTCTCTCTGGCTTTGTGGATTTCCTTGTTTCTGCCTGCTCAGTGATTCTCACTTTCTCCGTATACTACGTGTGTGTGTGTGTGTGTGTGTGTGTGTGTCTGTGTCTGTGTCTCTGTGTTTCTGTGTGTGTATGTCTCTGTGTGTCTGTGTATGTGCTTGTGTGTGTGTCTGTGTGTATGCCTATGTGTCTGTGTGTGTCTGTCTCTGTGTATATGTGTGTGTGTGCTTATGTCTGTGTGTGTGTGTCTGTGTGTGTGTCTGTGTCTGTGTGTCTCTGTGTGTCTGTACGTGTATGTCTGTGTGTCTCTGTGTGTCTGTACGTGTATGTCTGTGTGTCTCTCTGTGAGTGTCTGAGAGGCTCTGGGTGTCTCTGTCCGTTGTGTCTGCCTCTGTCTTATCTTTGTCTCTCCCTCTTTCTCCCTCTTGTGATGTCTCTACCTCTCTCTGTCTCTATCTCTTTTTTCCCTGTCTCTGTTTCATATGTTTCTGCCTCTGTCTCATTTTGTTTTTGTCTCTGTCCCGCTCAGTTTCACATCCTGTCCCTCCCCAGCCACCACCACCCAGCACACGTGGGCTGAGGGTCTCAGTCCCTTCCTTCCCAACTCCTCATCCCTGGCAGCTGCTCGGCTTCCCACTACTGGCCTCTCCTGCCCGCCTCTTTTGGGCCTTGTGGGAGTGGGGCGAGGGAGGAGGGGAGGATGGCTCAGCAGACCCACCCCTTTTTGCCTTTCCAGGCTGGGAGGCTGGGCCAGTGGACCTTTTAACCAGCCTGGGCAGGCTATTCCGGACGCCAGCCCTGGAAGCTGAGCCTGACCCAGCAGGTCCCAGCAGCCTGGCAGCCCGGCCAGCATGCAGCAGCAGCCTCTGCCCGGGCCTGGCGCCCCCACAACTGAGCCAACCAAGCCTCCCTACAGCTACATCGCCCTTATTGCTATGGCCATCCAGAGCTCACCGGGGCAGCGGGCCACCCTCAGTGGCATCTACCGCTACATCATGGGCCGATTCGCCTTCTACCGCCACAACCGGCCCGGCTGGCAGAACAGCATCCGCCACAACCTGTCACTCAACGAGTGCTTTGTCAAGGTGCCCCGCGATGACCGCAAGCCAGGCAAGGGCAGCTACTGGACGCTGGACCCTGACTGCCACGACATGTTTGAGCACGGCAGCTTCCTACGCCGCCGCCGCCGCTTCACCCGGCAGACAGGTGCTGAGGGCACCCGGGGCCCCGCCAAGGCACGCCGTGGACCCCTCAGGGCGACCAGCCAGGACCCAGGAGTCCCCAACGCCACGACCGGCAGGCAGTGCTCATTCCCACCAGAGCTGCCAGATCCCAAGGGCCTAAGCTTTGGGGGTCTGGTGGGGGCCATGCCAGCCAGTATGTGCCCAGCAACCACTGATGGCAGGCCTCGGCCACCCATGGAGCCCAAAGAGATTTCCACGCCCAAGCCTGCATGCCCAGGGGAGCTCCCCGTGGCCACCTCATCTTCCTCATGCCCAGCGTTTGGCTTTCCTGCCGGCTTCTCAGAGGCTGAGAGTTTTAATAAGGCCCCTACGCCCGTCTTGTCCCCGGAATCAGGCATCGGGAGCAGCTACCAGTGTCGGCTGCAGGCACTGAATTTTTGCATGGGGGCTGACCCAGGCCTTGAGCACCTCTTGGCCTCAGCAGCCCCCTCCCCTGCACCACCCACCCCTCCAGGCTCACTCCGGGCCCCACTGCCCCTGCCAACTGACCACAAGGAACCCTGGGTTGCAGGTGGCTTCCCTGTCCAGGGAGGCTCCGGCTACCCATTGGGGCTGACCCCCTGCCTATACCGGACGCCAGGAATGTTCTTCTTTGAGTAAAGGCAGCCTCACCTCGGGCAGTCCCTGCAGGTCCCTCACCCTCCGGGCTGAGCCTGGCTCTAGGACCTGAAGAACTCTCGAAGGACCCAGCCCTGGTGAGCCAAGGACAACCACACAGAAAGCCAGGATTGAAGCGGTGCTCAGCCAGGCCCCTGGGGCCTCCGGACAAACTTGGGGGTGAGGGGAAGCAGGGCCTCTTGGGATTTACTCTGTGGCTCTCAGGGCCAATAAAGCCATGTGATGATGAGGGTCAGCTTGCCTGATGGCTGGGGGCTGAGGGCCAGGGTGCCTGCTTGTATGTGGGGGTGGCTGTGGCTGTGGGGTTGTGCAGCGGGGGCAGAGACCCTTGGTGGGAATATCTCACATGAGGTTTTCTCCTGCTGGGGACTTTCTCAGGGAGTTTCCTAGAAAGGGAGAGGAAGGGGAGGTAGGGAATGGGGAGCAGGGAGAGGAGGATACAGGCAAGGGAGAGACTGGGCAGGGGCAAGACTGGGCTGGCCTGAGGGACTGATTCTCCAGTCTCAGATGCTGGGACTTAGCCCCCGTAGGTGCAGTCATCATAACCCTGACAATTTGTGACACTGATCCTGTCCCGGGCTTGTATGTATCATCTCACCTGTGTGATTTGGAAAGTTGGCCCCGTTTACAGTGGTGGAAACAGGCTCGCCAGCTCCAACTCCAGAGGGCAAATGGGTGGCAGAGGGTAAATCAAAACCACATCTGTGTGGCTCTACCCTCCAGCCTCTGACCTGCAGCTTGAGTGAGGACATAAGGGTGGAGAAGAGGGTCAGGGCAGAGCTGGTGGTGGCCCCCAGAGGTGGGAGGGCTTTGCTGCAATCCTGGAAGGCCAGGGCTAGAAAGGCACCCTTTACCCATTGTGCAGACAGGGCACCTAGGGTTCAAAAGGCAGCACCTACCCCCTGTTTGGACTTCCCACATTAATGTGGGAGCTTCCCTGAGCCCCCAGCTCCATGAGGTCCTCTGGTGACTCTTTAAGACGGCATTTCTTGGGGCCAGCAGCATGGGCTGTGACTGTCCTAGGTACCATTCAGAAGTGACTGAGCCCTGACCTTTGACCTTCTCTGACTATCCCTTCGCGAGGAAGCAGGAGAAATGGGGATATTCTTGGTCCTCGTTAGAGGAACAGAGAAGGAATCTGAAACATCGCTGTCCTCACAGACCCCAGCACTGGAGGAGCAGAGGCGAATGGCTTCCTCCCCAGAGCCTCAGTCCTCCTATCTGGATCATGGGCATAGGGAGAGGAGGGAGGGATGCTGGGGCACCCCCATTCTGGTTTTTGGCATGTGGTCTAGAGTGTCTTATGTCCCACGAGGTTACACTCAGGGGGCTGGAGACCCCTTCTTGGGCAGGCAGCCCTCTCCCCTCCAGAGGCCCTCCCTTGCCCAGGCAGCCCCGAGGACTCCAGCCTTTGCTGCTCCCTCCTCCCCCGACAGGTCCCCTGGGGCCTGGGAGGAAGCGAGCCCGGCTGGACAGCCCGAACTGTCTGGTTCCCACAGTCTCAGAGCTGGGGTGGAGGAGGACCTGCAGGGTGAGAGGGGCTGGGAAAACGCCTGGCCAGCTGTGGGGCCCCTCCCCACCATGCCTGCTGAACCCCAGCCTGGAACCCATCAAACAATGGGGAGGAGGAGCAAGGGTCTGTGCAGCCTCCTATGGGCAGCTTCATGGGGCAGAGGGAAGAGGAAAGGCCCTCTGTGTGCAGGGCATGGTGAGGAGGGGGAAGGAGGCTCTTGTGTGAGTCTGTACCATGGCGTGTGCCTGTGTGGATCAGTGTGTCTCAGGCTGCGTGTGTGTATATGACAGAGAAAGAGAGAGATGCAGAAAGACAGACCCTGCAGAGGCAGACAGACAGATTCAAAGGGGTGAGAGTTCTTTCTCAGTTGGGTCAGGGAAGGAGGCCTCTGCTGGGCGCTGTTCCCGTTGCACATTCCTGTGGAGCCCTGGTGACCCCAGTCCCTTCCCAGCCTGGGTTCTGAGCTACTAGGAGGATGGGAAGCCGGCTGGGCTGGGGGAGCCCAGGCCTCTGCCGCTGTACTCCCCAGCATCCCCCTGAATCAAGGAAGTTTAGCTCTGCACTAGGGTGGGGACTTGTGGAGAAGGAGGCTGAGTCTCCTGCTCATCCCTTGCCCTGGGGGAATGTGCGAAAGGGTTGCCCACATGCAGGCTCAGAGCCCCCTCTGCACATCTCCCTCTGGCCTCCGACATAGTCATGAAGAGAAGACAGGCCCCCTCAGCCCCAACCCCCCAAGCAGGACCCTGGACTCAGCACATGCCTTGGACTCACTGTATGAGCCTGGACCAGTGCCCACCTCTCTGCGTTTCACTCCCTTTGCCCGGTGGTTGTGGGGAAGGGCAGCCTGACTCACGGTCTGAGTCCCAGGAACGGATCTGACCTGGAGGAGGTCCCTTCTCTGGAGGTGCTGGGCAAGGAGACACCATGATCTCATGCACCCTTGGCTAGCTGCCCAGCCCAGGGACCCCACCCACGGGGCCTCCTGCCTTCACATTCTTTCCATGACCAACATTCACCTCCGGCTCCCACCTGACCACCCTCATCTGGACAGGGGTTGCGGGGACAGTGAATGCCTCTGTCGACCCAGATAGAGCCCCTTGGCACAGATGGAGAGACCAAGGCCAGAGAAGAGAGGTAACATGCCCAGGGTCACATGGCAAGGCAGGAGCAGAGCCGCTTCTCAGCCCATCCATGGCACCCCCTCTGATGCCTTAATGTAGCTCTGGAGGGGAGGGATGGGGCCATCTCGTTGGACCAAGGACCTCCTCATAGGGAGCGTGTCCATCTCTAGGAGGGAATCCCAGTCCCCATTCCTCCTCTTTAGCAGGTGAGAGCAAAAAAGGTTATTGAGACCCTTACAGAGTTAGACGAATCAAATCCTAAAATGGCAGAATCAGAATCTGAAATGAATATTTCAGAAACTTCCAGAGTTTTTAATCATAGCAACTCAGATTCCTGGAATATCAGAGCCGGAAGGGCATCTCCTGCCCGATTTCTGAATCCTCTCTACATTAAAATGGTCGACATCACATGGGGTTCCAGGAACTGGGAGCCCACTGCCTTTCCAGGTGGCCGGCCCCTTCCCACAAAAGTGTGGTAGCTCTGAAAGACCATTAGGAAGCTTCACCTGCTGGGCCTCGGCCTTTGTTCTCCCAAGAGAGGAAAGGACTCCTGGCCCCTGGGAAGGCCACCCTCACCCACCCACAGGGCTGGCCTTAGCCAGCCCCTCCTCCCCGATGCTTTATCTCCAGCCTGCTCCCTGCCCACCCCCTTCCTTCCCTGGTTTATGGCATTCCATGGCCCAGAGTTAGGCACTCCTGCCCACACCCCAAACAGTGCCTTGGCCGAGGGGAAGGAGACCCTCTCCCTTGGAGGGCAGGGCCCTGCAAGGCTGCCACAGTGATGAGAAAAAGCCGGGAGGTTGTATCGGCCAGCCTGGCATGCCGCCTGCTGGGAGAGTATGCAATCCAGGAATCCAGGCCTCAGCCAAAACATCCCTTCCACACCCAGACTTCCATCCACCCATGGACCAGGCGCCACGTCCTAACTGTGTGACCTTGGGCAAGTTGCTTCCCCTTTCTGGGTTCCCCCCATCTGTAAAATGTGGACCCTAACAGTACCTACCCCCATGATGTTATTGTGAGGATTACATGAGTTAATACTGGCAAAGTGCTTAGAACAGGGTCTGGCACATGGCAGCTACAATATCAGTATTTGTTGGCCGGGTGCGGCGGCTCACACCTGTAATCCCAGCACTTTGGGAGGCCAAGGCAGGAGGATCACTTGAGGTCATGAGTTTAACACAAGCCTGGCCAATAGGGTAAAACCCTGTCTCTACAAAAAATACAAAAATTAGCCGGGTGTGGTGGCACATGCCTGTAGTCTCAGCTACTCGAGAGGCTGAGGCAGGAGGATCGCTTGAACCTGGGAGGCAGAGGTTGCTGTGAGTTGAGATCATGCCACTGCACTCCAGCCTGAGTGACAGAGTGAGACTCTGTCTCAAAAAAAAAAATAAAATAAAATAAGTGTTTGTTAAGTACAATAAATAGGTATTTGGGTACTGGACATGTCTCCCTTAACCTGATTTATGCCCCAGAAGAGTGTCTAGCTGCTGTGGAGGCAGGAGGACAGGATTTAGGGGGAGGAAGGACTGTTACACAGACAAGGCTTTTGACTCAGTTCCTGGCATCTTCACTTCCTTGCTGTGTGACCTTGAGCAAGTGGATTCACCTCTCTGAGTCTCAGTTTCCTCATCTGTAAAATGGGAGCAATGATTCCAGTCCCCAGGACTGGTATGTGGAAAGCCTTGTCCTGCACACTACCTGTACAATTCAGTCAACAGGAATGAAATTAGAATTAATAAAACAACTCCGTTGGAGGACCTCATGCCCTCAGCGTAGTCCTCTCCATCTCTCCCTTCACACAGGGCAAAACCCACATCTTCACAGGTCCAGAGGTGCCTAATCTCTTGTTCCCACACTTCTGGTACTAGGTGGTGACTCAGGGAGGCAGCTGGTGGGGCAGAAGGAAACGGTTCCATGGCTAAAAACAGGCCACTGTCAGCCAGAAGCCAGCCTGGTGTCCCGGGAAAGGCCAGGGCTGCCTCCTCTTGACCACAGCCCTCAGGGCCAGTTTTGAGGTTGCCCTGAGCATACAAACAAGAGAGGGCTGACCCTCCCACTCCCTTAGGACACTTGCCTCCCCGTGAGTTTCTTTTCCATCTCTAGGCCTTTGCAGCAGCTGTTCCCTTCGCCCCCACTGGCTGCCTCTCTACATCCACCACCTACATCACATCACCTTCTCTGAGAAGTCTTCCTGCACTTCCTTATCTAATTGGATGCCCCCAGATTATTCTCCCTCTGCATCCCATTTATGTTGCTGACATAGCATCTGCTGCAATGTAGAATCACGCATGTGCACATGTACTCATGTTTTATTGTGTCTCTGCCTTAGAATGTAAACTTCAGGGGCCAAGGGTTGGGTCTGCCTTATGCGTTTTGTCATCTTCCCTAACTCGATGACTAGCACATAGTAGTCCCTCCATGAAGGTTTAGGAGTGGATGGATGGAGTCATGGTCACCATTCATTCATTTGCCATGAATTAAATCTCAAGGCTGGGCACGGTGGCTCACGCCTATAATCCCAGCACTTTGGGAGGCCAAGGCTGGTGGATTACCTGAGGTCAGGAGTTCGAGACCAGCCTGGCCAACATAGTGAAACCCCGTCTCTACTAAAAACACAAAAAATTAGCTGGGCATGGTGACGGGCGCCTGTAATCCCAGCTACTCGGGAGGCTGAAGCAGGAGAACCGCTTGAACCCAGGAGGCAGAGTTGCAGTGAGCTGAGATTACGCCACTGCACTCCAGCCTGGGCGATGGAGCAAGACTATGTCTCAAAAAAAAAAAAAAATTCTCAAAGACCTCCCCAACAAGGCTCCCTGTTTCGTTAATAGGCAAGGGCCACTGTGGTCTGGCCCCAGCTCCTCCTTCCTTCCCCCTCACTCACTCCAAGCAGCCTGTACACTGGCTCTGCCTTATCTTCCGTGAATGTCCACAGGCTTCACTCCCTCATATCCTCCAGTTTCTGTTCAAATATCCTCAGAAAAGCCCTGCCTGGCCACCACATTCCCCATTTCCCCCACCACTAACACATTCTAAATTCATTATTGCCATTCAGTGTGTCTCCCCCACTGGCATGAAGCTTCACCAGGCCAGGAATTTTTGTCTATTCATTGCTTGTCTCCAGCACCTAGGGCAGTGTCTGGAACATAGCCAGGGCCGGAGAAATAGTTGTGAAAAAAACATAAGCTCAGTAGCCTGTACCAGGCTCCACCTACAAATCCCATGTAACTTTCTCATTATCCTGGGAAGCAGGTACGATTCTTACCCCATTTTACAGACAGGAAACTGAGGCTCAGGGAGGGCAAATAAGTAGGTACGAACCCTGTTCTGTCTGACCTGGAACCCAATCTCTCTGTCATCAGCCTATCTGTCTAGAGGCATCTCCCCCATCTCCTCCCCACAGCTAACAGCCTCTCAAGCAGACATGGCTCAGCCTCCACCGGGTGTCCCTGCCTCCAGCCTCTCTCTCCCATTCACTGACCTCCCTGGCTGCAGGGATCCTTTGTAAGCATGGATCTCTGACCTCCCTTCCACAGCTCCCCATTGTCCCATGTCAGCCTGCCATTCGGGCTCCTGCTAACTTCTCCAGACCTATTTCCTGCTTCGTCTCATGCAAAAGCCCTACTGGCCTGCTCCAAGATGAGCTTATACTCAGCTGCAAGTCTCTGGACAGCAAGCAGTCCCCTCTGCCTGGAACACCCTCCTCACTCTCTGTCTGGAAAAGCCCTGCTCCTTGTGTGCCCTCAGCTTGGATGTGACTCCCACTGAAGAGAAGAGAATAGGGGTTAGTGTCTCCTTCCTGTTCTCATGGTTTCATGAGATTCCTTCCAGCTTCACCCTGATCCCCATCCTCCCACTGGGGTTCCAGAGGCTGTGAGCTCCCCAAGGGCAAGGGCCATGACTCATTCATCCCCAGGCTCTCGCTGGGGGCCAGGCCCAGAGCTGGGCTCAACAAATGGTTGTGAAGTGGTTGCTGTGTGGGAAGTCAGATGGCCTGCCTCACATCCTGATTCCCCTATTCATCAGCTGGGAGCCCATGGACTTGTCCATACACTCCTTGTGCCTCAGTTTCCTCATCTGTGAAATGTTGATAATGAAAATACCTACTCATAGGGTGGGGACAAAATAAGTTAATTGATGGGAATCACTTGGTATAGTGCCTGGTGGCCAATAAATATTACCCATTAACATGAAGGAAGAAACAGATGCGTAGGCAGCTTCATAGGTAGGAGATGGTCCAGGTGGGCACATCCTTCAGGACAGCCCTGGCTCCTCCATGCCCTCGGCGCAGCCCTATCACTGGCTGAATCTTTACCTACCACTGTCTTATTGGGTCCAAGGTGGCCAGTGGAATACAAGGCCACTGGACCCAGAAAGGGAAAGGCAGTGTCACCAGCCCTGATGTAATCCAAACCAGATGTGGGCTTAGTGGCTTCCAGACCTGTGGGGGGTGGTCACTGTGGGCCTGGCTAAGGCCTTGAGGCAGGAAATGGTCTTGGAGGAAAGCTCTCTGGGCTGGGACCAACTGGGAGGAGCACTCCCATTGACAGTGTTAATTAACCCTTCTTAGCTTACAAAGAGGGCCCAGGACCCCGTTCAGGGGAAGCCCAGGCACAGAGGTGCCTTGCAGGGGAAGAACACAGCATCAGCGTTGAGATGGACACTGAGCAGGAGGGGCCCATGGCCCTGGTGCCTGTGGTGGGCACAGCAAACCATGCAAGGGACAGGGAAGCTCAGCCTGACACCCAGAGAACTGATGCCCTGGGAACCCTTGCTCAGTCCTGGTCCAGCTTGGCAGTCCCAAACCAGCTATGGTCTCCCGCCCTCCATCAGGGCAGCTCCTAGCGTGAAAAATCTTTCTTTCTTGTAGCTGCCAGGGATGGGAGCATTCTTGAAAGCAATGGGGCTGGGGCCTAAGCCTGCAGAGAGGCAGACCCAGCTGTCCACAGGGGCAGTGGCTGCAGCTTTGCCCTGAGTGTGCTCCGTGGCCCTCAGTGGGAACAAGGTCTCTCTGAACCCACATTCCCCCTTCCACATTATTGAATCTATACTCTCTGCCTCTGGGGACAAGGGGAGGCCCAGAGGAAGCACCTGATGAACCATAAAGAGCTTTCTAAGGTGTGCTCCTGGGAAGGGGTGGGGCTGGGTTCTGAATGGGCTTCTTGCACAGGACATGTTAATTTGCTGTGTAGCCTTGGCCAAGTCACTTTCCCTCTCTGAACCTGTTTTTTCACCTGTAAAATATGGTGCATGAGCACCCCATCCCGTCTCTCAACTGTCACAATGGCCCTAGGAGTGGCAGAGGAGAAAAGAGCCGAGGTTATCAACTTCATATTACAGAGGGGGAAACTGAGGCATGCACTGGGAGTCAGGAGTCCTGGGTTCTAGTTCCAGCTGTTACTGTCTCTGATGAGGGACCTTCCCCATCTTGGCCTCGGTTTCCCCAGCTGGATCCAGGCCCTGGATCTCTGCTGTGGCTGGACTTCATTTCCTTCCCTCCCCCCACGGTGGTGACTCATCCCTCATCAACATGCTGTGTGGCCGAGGCTCAGCCTGGGTGGGGGCCAGCGAGGCCAAGAAAACCACTCAGAGGAAACCACAGGCCTGGCCCAGCTGGCAGGTGGCGGACGGGCAGGCAGGCAGGAATCCACAGCCCTAGGGGCCCTGCCTATAAGCGCACCTCCCGCCAAGAGCCCAAGCCAGGTTCCCCAGGACCCCCAAGCCCCAGACTGTGAGTCAGGCTCAGACTTCAGAGTCACCCATTCACCACCCCAAGTGATACTGCTGCAACCGGACTCTGAACTCCCCAGCTCAAGCAGGGCGGGGATCGCAGTGAGGACCAGTGTTCATGGAGGCAGGAGAGAGGGGATGAACTGTCAAGGTTTCTGTCCGAGGGCAAGCCTAAGGTTTCTCAGGAGGCAGGCAGTGGTGAAGAGCAGGGGCTCTGGGCCCAGACCATCTGGGTACAAATCCTGGCTCTGCCACTGACTATGTGGCCCTGAGCAAGTGGCTGAACCTCTCTGAGGCTTGGCTCCACACTCTGAGAAATGGACACAACACCTCGCAGAGTCACCGTGTGCAGCCGATGTGACCATCAACACAATGCGGCGCCCAGGGCCAGCAGCCGGCAGGTGCTCGATGCATGTTAACTGCTGTCTCTGCTCTTCCTGCTGGAACCTCTCTGTTCCCACAGGCCAGTCCCACTTCTCAGTCGTCCTCACAGCCAGAAAGGCTGCACTGTATCAGGGCTCAGCTCTCTTGCCCTCTGGGCTGCCCCCAGATGGAGCCTCCCCTGCCCCTCACTGCTGGCTTGTGGTGAGGTGGCCGTGGCCACTGGGAAAAATCAGAGAACAGTCCTCTCCCCTGAGGCCCTCATTGTAGACCCAGCAAAGGCATCGCAGGCCTGCCAGACCTGGCCTCCACCTGGAGACCGGACTCTCTGCTTACACCCTGTCCTGGTGAGAGGCAGAGGGAACGCATGGGCACATCCTTGCTCTGGGAGACAGAAAAGCTCCTTTCAAGCCCCAGTCCCTGACTTGTTGAGTGGCATTCAAGTTCCTTCTCTCCTCTGAGCCTCAGTTTCTTCATATGTGGAGTAAGGATAAGAACATTATCGTTCCCTGGGCCGAGCACAGCCCTAAGTGCCTTACCTCAGTCTGACTGATGCTGCAGCCATGGCCCCACCCTATGAGGTAGATCCTAGCGCTGCCCACTCTCTCTGGCTCAGTTTCTCCCTCTGTAAAACAGGAATAATAATACCTGCCTCATGAGAATCACCTGAAGCCGGGAGGCGGAGGTTGCGTGCAGTGAGCATAGATCACACCACTGTACTCCAGCCTGGACGACAGAGTGAGACTCCATCATAAATCAATCAATCAACCAATCAATCCTGCCTCGTAACTTTGCTGTGAGGAGTAAATGAGTTAACACAGCACAGGCGCTTTAAGTAAAGCTGGGCACGCAGTAATCACACACCCGGTGTAGGCTGTTGCTGCGACCTCCCTCTCACAGGTGAGGATACTGAGGCACAACGTGCAGAAGCCACCTGCCCACATCATGTGCTGGGCAGACTGGCACCTGAGCCTGCATGAACCACCAAACTGTGAGCTGACGGATATTGCTAAAGTGTCCGGTACACAGTAGGTGCTCAGTGAACTGTGGTCATCAGCGACCTCACACCAGTGCAGGCACACACAGAGGGAAGGAGGCCACATCCAACCTGTACATTTATTTACAAGGCACAAGCTGAGAGCAGACTGGAGGCTGCCCCATGGCCTTCCTAATTCTCCTGGGCCTGCTGACCCCATCATCTGAGGCCATGGGTGACCCCCAAGATGGGGGCCCCGAGTGGTTGGGTTGGGCCGGCTTGGCCCTGAGGCAAGCTCGGGGGTGGTCTCCTGTGTCCCTTGGCTTCTCCCCTCCCCCTCCACCAGGCCTGGGCTGGGCGCCCTCTCTCTCACACAGAGTTCCTGTGTGTTGGTGGTCGCAAGGAAGGTGGGTGGGGGCCAGCCTGGGCCAGATGGTGTGGGCTCGGCCTTATCTGCTGGAGTGGGGAGGTGGCGGGGGCATGGAGGTCCTCTCTCACAAAGCCTGCTCTGTCTTCCCTGGCAGCTGGGCCTTAGGAATCAGCGTTGCAGCCTTTCTGCCCCACCAGGAGCCTCCCATCCACAACCACAGAAGCCCTACATGCTGAGACCCCCCAGCCATGGCACTCCAGCTAGGAGGAGGCCCAGGCTAAGGACTCTCCCAGTGGGGCAAAGCAGGGGTCACCACGGCGGCGGCAGTTCAAAGACGAGGAGCTGGGGAGGGAACCGGGAGCGGCTTCAACGGGGGCCTGGAGTCTGGGGTGTGGCCGACAGGCTGGAGCCCTGTCTGGGGAGGTGCTAGCAGGATGGATCCAGGCCACACTCCGAGGCGGCTCACATCGGGGAAGCGGTCACTGCATGGGGGCGTGGGGAGCCCCGAGCCTCCCAGCCTGGCACAGCCTTGTCCTAACGAGGCTGCCCTGGGGATCTGGCTGCCTTTTCTGGCCTTCTGGGCTGTGTGGCTTCAGCCCCGGCCACTGTGTGGCTGCGTCCAGGCTTCAGCTGCGCCCAGGGCTCAGACCCCCAGAGCCATCAGTGCCCCCGAGCTGCTGATCTTCTTGAAGCGGTTGGCAGCGCTGACAGCAATGAAGTTTTTCTAGAGGGCAGAAGAGAGGGAGTCCCAGTCAACACCAGGGCAGGGGGGCAGCTGCAGGGTGTCTGAGCAGCCTGTAAGTCCCCTTCAGTCCAGGAGGGTCACAGGCTAGAGAAGGTGCAGTGCCCAAAATGGCCACGGGAGGCGCCATGACACTGTATTGTCCAGGAGTCCCCTCACTCAACGGATAGGTCAGCCAGACCTGAACCAAGGACCGCTCTGCTCCAAACACTCCCATGGCTCCAGTTTTGCTCCAAGTAAAAGATAAACCCCTTGCCATGGCCGATGAGTCCCTCCAACTCCTGTCCCCCTCTTCCTCTCTAACTTCATTCCTTACCTCCTTGCTCACTCCACTCCATCCATACTGGCCTCCTACCTGTTCCTCAAACTCTCCAACCACACCTCTGCCTCAGGGCCTTTGCACTGGCTACTCCCTCTGCCCGGAATACTCTTCTCCCAGTATTGGCACGGCTCACCCCTCCCCACCTTCAGGTCTTTGTTCACATGCTTCTCAGTGAGCCCTTCCTGACCCCCCCTATTTAGAAGTGCAGGCTGGGCACAGTGGCTCACACCTGTAATCCCAACACTTCGAGAGGCCAAGGCGGGAGGATTGCTTGCCTGAGCAACATGGCGAGACCTCATCTCCACAAAAATATTTTTAAAATATTAACTGGATGTGGTGGCATATGTCTGTGGTCCCAGCTATTCAGGAGGCCAAAGGAGAGGATCACTTGAGCCCAGAAGGTCAAGACTACAGTGAGCCATGATAGCGCCACTGCACTCCAGCTGGGGAGGCAGAGTGAGACCCTGTCTCTAAAAAAAATAAAAATAAAAGTGCAACCTCTCCCCGGCAGAAGGCCCTTATTTTTTTTCTAAAGTCTTCTTTAACCCTGCCTATTTCCACAGGGCTCTAGAAAATGCCCCACCTCAGCCAGGCACAGTGGCTCACGCCTGTAATCCCAGCACTTTGGGAGGCGGAGGCAGGTGGATCACGAGGTCAGGAGTTCAAGACCAGCCTGGCCAACATGGTGAAACCCCGTCTCCACTAAAAATACAAAAATTAGCCAGGTGTGATGGTGGGTGCCTGTAATCCCAGCTACTTGGAAGGCTGAGGCAGGAGAATTGCTTGAACCTGGGAGGCAGAGGTTGCAGTGGGCCGAGATCACGCCATTGTACCCCAGCCTGGGTGACAGAGCAAGACTGTATTGAAAGAAAGAAAAAAAGATAGAAAATGCCCCATCTCTCACCAAAAGTAACTCCACAAAGACTGAGATCTTTGTCTCTTTTGTCCACTCCTATATCCCAATGCCTAGAAGTAGTAGATGCTCAAGAAATATTTGAAAAATGAAGGAGGGAAGCCAGAGCCCCAGATGGGTGGGGCTGGGTGGAAGGCCGGGTAGAGGTCTCCACTCTAGGACAGGAGCCAGCCCAGGGCAAAAACAGAAAAGTCAACCCTGTCTTCCGGACAGGGCCCAGCCTGGTCAACAGAACCTGCCAAGGCAGGGACGGTGGAGGCTGGGATCTGGCACCAGGAGCTCTTCCCACTAGCAAGCCCTCCCTCCCCACCCTGAATCCAGCGGTACCTTCCAGCGCCTCTTCATGAGGTATTTCTTAAGCAAGATCTGGGACTTAAGGCGTCGGTTACAGCGTTTGGCTTTCTCCGCCAGGTTGTTGAGCCAGGGATGGGCGAGACACTGGGCAGCGTTCATCCGGGCCCTGGGGGAGAGGCAGCATGGTGACGGTGGGCTGCATGCTCGTGAGGCCCCAGGGGCTCAGCTGGCCTCTCTACCTGGCTCCCGCCCTGCCAGCACTCAGACACACTAAGCTTGCACACATACAGTTCAGGTTCTGGGGTGAGCCTCACCTCTGGTCCTTGACGATGAGGTTGGAGACAAAGTCTTTGGCCTCGTCTGATACGGCCTCAAAGGTCTCTTCATCAAAGTACCAGTTGCCAGATAGAACGTTGTTTAGGGTCTCTGTGTCATCATCTCCCAGGAAGGGGGAGAGGCCGCTCAGCCTAGAGGGAGGGGATAGCAGGGGGCAGGGAGGTGAGATTGGAGGTGCTGAGTCACCTTCAGAGGGGTAGGGAACAGGGGCAGATCCTAGGAGGCAGCACCGTGTGCTGAAAAGACCCCCAGCCTCTCGTGGGACAGACCTGGGTTTGAATCTGGCTGGGTGACTTTGGGTAAGTCATCTCCCCTCTCTGAGCCTCACTCTTCTCATCTGTAAAATGGGCATAATCATCCCAGCTTCCTAGGTGGCAGTGATGAGGAATGACGAGTGCAAGGTATGTGGTGAGCACATAGGAAATGTCCACTGCCCCTCTGCCCGCCCCAGGTCATCCGAGATCTGCTGTCCAGATGCTATGCCTTTATAGGGACCTTGGTTTTTCCATCTATGAAATGGGTACCACGTTCCCCTTTCCTGTTCTCCCTAGCACTCCCAACCCCAGCAAACCCCTGACTGAGGGATAGGGGAGGTGGGACCACCTTACCAAGACCCTAGGGCCAATCTTGGCCTCGGCCGCTCGCCCCCATGCCCCACCAACCCCATAAACACGACCCGCCTGGGAGCTCACAGCATGTAGGTGATCACCCCCATACTCCACATGTCTGTCTTATCGGAGATTTGGTCATAATTCACCACCTCAGGTGACAGGAACTCTGGGGTCCCAAAGTTCACCTTCAGCTTCTCGTTGGGGTTATACCTGGGGGTGAGACCAAGGGCTGAGAGCACAGCTCCTGGCCTATACCCATGCCCCCTCCACCCCACCCCTGTCCCCTGCCAACTCAGAGGCTTGTCTTGCCCTCCCCACCCACCCAGGTGGTACCTCCGTGCCAGGCCAAAGTCAATGATCTTCACCAAATGCCCGGTGGTGTTGACACACAGGATGTTCTCTGGCTGAGGAGAAAGGGGGTGGCCTGGGTGGGCCTCTGACCAGCTCACCCTCCCTCTCCCACCAGGCCCGTGCAAACCCCAGGCTCCTTGAGGCAGAGGCCCAAGCTGCCAGAGTGGGCAGCTGCCAGAGACCCTCCAGCCCTGCCTGCTCTGGGCACAGAGAGATCTTGAGGCAAGTCCCCCACGAGGGGCTTATGCGAGGCCTTGAAGCACAGGACCTGCCGTGATGGGTTCAGGTGAGATTTCCCTCCATCTAAGGCCATGAAAGAACACGACATTCTAGCAGTTCTGAGGATGGGGAAACAGAAGCCTGTGGAGAGGAGGCATGACAGCCTGCTATCCCCGCCCCCAGGCTGGGGGGCCAGTGCAGGACCACCACCAGATACATGAAGCTCCAGAGAACAGAGAAAGAAGATGCCAGCTCAGTTCCTGACAGGAAGCCTCTTGGGAACACGGGGCTTCACACTACTCCAGGGTCACTGGAAGATGCGCTACTCTTGTCTCCCCAGTTAGTGAGGATGATGAGCTACAAAACATCAGGCCCAGTCCACTCACTTTCTCACTTTAGCTCCCCAGTCCTTCCCAAAGATCTAGGAGGCACACACTGTTATCTTGAGATGAAACTGTGACATTGAGATACTATTACCATCCATTCCCATTTGGCAGCTGAGAAAGCTGAGGCTCAGACACAGAAGTGACTCGGCCACAGTTGCCCAGCAAGTAAGCGACGGAGCCAGGAAATGAACGCATGACTGACTCCAGCACTGGCCTTGTGATGTTCCGCTACCACCACTGATCCTGCACTCTGGGGTGAATATAACACTACAGGGTTGGCTCTTCCAGGCCAGGGATTGTCTTCTCCTGGCCTCCTGGGTCCCACCCTCAGGGTCTAACAAAGGCACCCAGTAGGGGCTCAGCCAAGTTAACACATGGATGACGTTACTGTAAGCCCAGTTCCTCTCCACTCTGGGCCTCTGTTTCCTCTTCCTATCACACAAGGACACAGGACTAATCTGAGGTTGCAGGGTATAAACATTTTTAAGTTAACAATGGTTCAAAGGCAGGAGATTCTGCACAAAAACCCTGAATTCCAGCAGCTCCTGAAACACCGGAAGCCCTGGCCACATGGGCCATATGCCTTGGAACAAGTTGCCACTAACAGCCTGAGATGAGACAAATGTCCTCCAACTCTCCCATGGTCGCCACCACCCCCTGATCCCTCCCATTCAACATGTATTTGTTATTTGTCTGGGCTCTGTGGGCATTTGACTCAAGTCCCCTAAGGAGACGCTTTCTGAAGGCACTCTTAAAACTGATAGATTCACTCAGAGCAGATACTAATGATTTTAATAGTTTGGCCTGGTGTCCCACAAAACAGGAAAGAAAAGAAGGGTCCCAGGGTACAAGCATTTGGGGAAATGAAGCAGACTCAAATTTCCTTTCAGAGATTCTCCATCTACACACAGGAGGCCCTCAGAAGCCCTGCAGCCAAGAGACCCAGGACATGGCCTGTGGGCTGGGGTGCACTCAACCTACTTGACCGTGAAACACTTTTTTTGACAAAAAACGTATTATTATCCTGAAAAAAACACATTTTAGGATACAGAGGCTCACGACTGAGCTTCTTCCCAGAGCACTGCATTTTAATTGGGGGACCCTATTCTGCCCCAAAGAAATTAGCCTTCACTAGGGAAAGGCAGTCTTCCAATGTCATCATGCAGGCACCAACTGCCCCCAGCTCAGTGAAGGGGCCACCATCTGTCCAGTAACTCAGGACTCACCCTTGATCCTTTCTTTTCCTAACCCTCACACATGCAAACCCTCAGCACATCAGATTGGCTCTATTTCCAAAATGTATCCTCCATCTGGCCCCTTTCCCTCCCCTCTCCCACTGCCACTCTGGCTCAAGCCCCTGGCATCTCTCTCCTGGCTTACTTACTCCATCAGCCTCTAAATTCCCTGCATCCACTCTGGCCCCACTGAAACCCACCTCCTCACCCTGTTTGTGTCCTCCTCTGTCAGTGGCAGTGATATTAACACACCTAACCCAGGGGACTGTTGGGAAGATGGCACCCTCACTCAGACAGTGTCGGGCACAGAGCAAAACTGGGACAGGTGTTAGAGGCGGCAACAGCATCTCCCTGCCTGCTTCAGACCCGTGCTGACTTCAATTTCACCCAGTGCGATTCCGCATTACTCTCGTGTATTTTCTCAAACACTTTTCATGGCTTAAAATGACCTATTTAGTTAGGAATTGTTTTATGAATGTCTGTTTCCCCTGGAGGCTCCATGAGACAGGGACCATTTCCTTCACAGTCCCTATGCCTAGCACGGGGCCTTCCAGGAGCAGGTACCCAGCACGTGCTTATCGAATGAATTAAGGAAAGTACCCAGCATATGCTTATGGAATGAATGAATGAAAGTACCATCCACTTTGCTGATGGGTGCTCACGCGCCTCCACATTAAGATTCCATGTCCCGCCACTTAACGCACAGCATTAACACCTGCCATGAGGACTGCCAACCCCCTGCACTCCTGCTGCCCTTCCCTGCTCCACACCCAGAGCTCCACACTCAGCTCCGGACAGCTACGGACAACTGACTGGAGTTGCTGCAATGTATACACCTATCTGTGGCCAGGCACGGTGGCTCACACATGTAATCCCAGCACTTTGGGAGGCTGAGGCAGGCAGATCACCTGAGGTCAGGAGTTCAAGACCAGCCTGACCAGCATGGCGAAACCCCGTCTCCACTAAAAATACAAAAATTAGCCGGGCATGGTGGCACACGCCTGTAATCCCAGCTACTCGGGAGGCTGAGGCAAAAGAATTGCTTGAGCCCAGGAGACAGAGGTTGCAGTAAGCCAAGATCACACCACTGCACTCCAGCCTGGCCAACAGACCAAGACTTTCTGTCTCAAAAAAAAAAAAAAAAAAAAAGCAGATCTGCTCTTCCTGACCTACCATGTGCATGGTAGTGAGCAAGGTCAGAAGAGGGATATCAGGCCGGGAACAGTGGCTCATGTCTGTAATCCCAGCACTTTGGGAGGCCGAGGTGGGCGGATCACTTGAGGTCTGGAGTTCAAGATCAGCCTGGCCAACATGGTGAAACCCTGTCTCTACTAAAACTGCAAAAATTAGCTGGGTGTGGTGGCAGGTGTCTGTAATCCCAGCTACTCGGGAGGCTGAGGCAGGAGAATCGCTTGAACCCAGGAGGCGGAGGTTGCAGTGAGCCAAGATAGCGCCACTGCACTCCAGCCTGGGCAACAGAGTGAGACTCTATCTCAAAAAAAAGAAGAAGGATATCAATATTCTTTCACGAAACATTGTTGTTAGCGCCTACCTCATGCACATTGCCACGCTGACACTATACTTATTTGAGAGCTCCAAGAATGCAGGGATTTTTATCTGTTTGGTTCACCACAGGATCTCCACCACCTAGAGCATTGCCTGGCATAAAGTAGGCCCTCAAGAAATATTTGTTGCTTTTGAATAAATGATCAGACACTCCTAGTACCTATCATGGGCCAAGGCTGAGGCAGGTGCTATTGCAACACTTATTAGCCACTTGTCTGTGTGACACACTGAGCTTGGGGCTCACAGGACTGCAAAAGGCCCTTTCAACAAATACTTAGTACTAGACTAGAAGTTCCATGAAAGCTGGTACCACGTCTTTTTTTTTTCCCCCCCTCTCTCTCTTTGCTGTGCCCCCGGCTCCTGGCACTTGGTAAGTATTCCATAAACCCTTTCTGAATCTATGAAGGGAAGGATGGATGAAGGAAGAGATGGAGGGATGGGAGGGCAGAGGGATGGCTGGTGACAGCACTGATCTCAGGGGGTCGGAGGCTGCCCCTGACCCTTCCCAGGAGGCCCCAGTCTGGTACCTTGAGGTCCAGGTGCAAAACCCTCATCTTGTGCATGAAGAGGATCCCGTCACAGATCTGCCTGACAAACACCATGGTGTCCACCTCGGTCAGATGGTAGTCCTCATCCACAATCCTCTCGAAGAGCTCTCCGCCCTCGATGCTGTGTGCACAGACCCCTCCACGGCTTGCTCCGTGCCTGGTGGTACCCCCACCCAGCCCCTACCACTACTTCGGGCACTCACTACTCCATGAACAGGACGATCTCATGCGGAGTCTCGATGGCTGCATACAGCTGGATCAGATTGCGGTGGTTCAGCTGGTTCATGACCTCAATCTCCAGCAACACCATTTCCTGGGGACCAGGGAAGTCAAGGGTACCAGCTGGGCACCATCACTCCCTGCCACCCACCCTCCATACCCGCACCCTTGAACAGGCCTGCTAGCCTTGCCCAGATCACTGCTCAGCCTCCTCCTTGCCTCTCCTCTCTCCCCCACCCCCACATCTGTGGTCCTCACCACTCCCAAGTCATGCCTGCTGGGACATCTTCCTTTTGCCGGCTCTTCTCCTGAGTACTGACATGCCAAGATCTCCATCCTCCCCCCTCACCGCTTCCCTCTCTCTGCTCTCTCCCTGGGCATCTGCATAAAGTCTCATGACTTTACATTTTATCCAAAGTCATCAATTTCCAAATATACATCTCAACCTCTGAGCACTCCATTGAATTCTAGACTCCAATATCTCCAACTGTCTACTTGCCTTAGTTGTCTAATAGACATCTCAAATCTATCATGTCCAAAATTAGACCTTAGACATCGTCCCTTCCCCACAATTGAGTTGCTCTCGGCTTGCCTGGCAGCAAAAGTACCCCCACGCTTCACCCAAGGGTGCAGGACAAAAAGTTACGAGCCATCCTAAGTTCTTCCCTTACTCTCGCGCCCTCACACCCCACCTCCGACCCAACTCTTCAGCATCATCTACCTTCAAGCTAGATTATACATCCAATCATTCGCACCTCCTCCACCACTGCCTTCCTAGTTTAAGACACCATTATTTGTCACTTTCAGAAAGTCGCAAGCCAGCTGTCACATCGGTAGGCTGATATATCGGCTATAATAGGAATACTTACACCATGAGAAATGGCAAATGCTGTAAATCGGGCCTCTCTCCACACCTGCCCTACCCAGATCCAGTGGTTAAACACTAACCCTTGTTTCACTGCCAGGATGGCTCCCCTTCTGCCTTTACCCACCCCTTCATTCAGTTCTCACCTCACATATGTCTTTCTCAGAGAGGACTGATCTCACCTCCCTATCTAAAAGCGCCCCCATCAGCCCTGTACCCCCTCTACCTTACCTGGCTTTATTTTCCCTCCTAGCACTTCTCAGTACCTGATGCCAGGCCTTCTTTTCTTCTCTTTTCTTTTCTTTTTTCTTTTTGCTTTATGTTTTAGTTGTCTCTCCCTCCACTGTAGCATGTCAGCCCATGAGGGCAGGGGTGTTTTTAGGTCACTGACATTTCCCCAGCCCCTGACCCACTGAATGGCAGAGAAGTGCTCAATAATTATCAACTGAAAACTGGCCCCAGTTAATTGAGCCGCAGGTAGGTACTGAACATCTATGCTGAGCCAGAGCCTGTGACAGAGGCCTGGGACCTAGGAGACAATAACACGGACCCAGGCCCTGTAAGTGGAAGAGACGAAAAAGGACGTTGTCACATAGAAAATGCACTCCTTCCAGTGTGCTTAGAGCCATAATGGGGACCCAGGGCTGCAGCGGCTAGAGCTGCTTCTCACGCTTTCACTGGGGTCGGGCCTGTGCCCACACTGTGGCTTCTGCCTGGGATGCCCAGAACCTCACTCCCCAGCACCTCCTGCTATCTCTGGCCCTCGAGCCTTTCCTCCCATAGTCCCCTCTGCCTGAAACTCTGCCCCTGCCTTCTCCACTGGAACGTCTCCTCAAAGCCCTCGCTCAAAAGGCAGCTGGTCCAGGAAGCTTCCCTGACCCCTCGGCCTGAGTCAGAAGCTCTCTTGAACCCCAAAATGCTACCCCGCAGTTTCCCTGAGTCACAGCTGTGGTCACACGAGGTTGCTATTACCTCCTCACACAGCAGACTCCCTCACTCTACCTGCCTGCATCCTTTCATTCCTTCAACAAACACTGCTCGTGGCCTCCTCTGAACCCAGCCCAGGCCGTGGGTACTAGAGGCAAAGCTCTAGGCCAGGCTTGTTTACCTTGGCTTCAGCTCCCTGAGGGTGGAGACCACACCCACTTCACTCCCAGACCCCCAGTGCCCAGCACAGGGCCTGGCCCAGAGCCCACACTCATCAGTGTTTGTTGAATTGAACCAGAGGGCATGAATATCCCATGCCTAAAAGGGAAGTCCCCAGATAAGTTCACTAACTGAAGTATCTGGTTATGGGTAGGGTCCTCAGGCCCCTGCTGCAGGGCTGTCCATCCATCTCTCTATCTGTGTAGTATTTTCACTGCAACAAACTCCCATACCAGGCCCCAGGTTCAGCAGCGCTGGTGGAGGGAGGCGAGAGGTGCCCACTCCAAGGATCCCCTCCCCATCCTGGGCAGCCACCACCCCCGCAACCTCACTACCTTGTCTTTGGGAGTCTGTTTCTTGATGACCTTGGCTGCCAGCTTGAGGCCTGTGGCTTTCTCCATGCAGGTACAGACTGCCCCAAACTTGCCACTGGAAAGAGAAGAGGCTGTAAGTGAGGGGACCCCAGAGCCCACCGGGGTCAGTGGCATCCTTTGCTCTGATCCTAACTTGGTCCCAGACCCAGTGGTGCCTCTGGATCCCCTTTGGTGAGATGGGAGCACTCACCCCAGCCAGCCCTGACTCCCTCCTGAAGCTGTGAGCTGTTCTGCCAGGACAATGGCTGAAGCAGGTTCTTTGAACCACACAGACCACGTGCACAGGAAGAGCAGGCGTGTAGGGAGGATGGCCCTGGGATGCGACCCTTAGAGGTTTAGGGCAGGCAGGCCCTGGGCCCTGGGGGAGGGCACCTTCAGGCAGAGGGAGGATCTGCAGAGGTATAAGACTGAGTCAGGGCTTTTTACAAAGCAGGAATCACCATGAGGGGGTCAGTGTGGTGCCTGGAGCTGAGACAGACAGAAAAATGCTGTGTATTTCCTACGGAAGCACTGAATGGCTGACGGTGCGTCTGAGTAAGTGACAGCAACACTGAGTGCACATCAGCATGTGACAGCTGCACACAGTGTGTGTCCCACACAGAGGTGAACATGTCCATGTGGCCATGTCTCAGCGGGGTGTGTGTCTGGGCCTTGCACAGGGGAAATGTGAAGCCACAGGAGCCCGGTGTACTCTCTGTCCATGAGTGCCCAGCTGGGGTCCCAGATCTCACCCTCCGAGCGCCTCCTTGGAGTTCATACTGAATTCACTGCTGACATTCCCGGTCCTCAGCTCCACCATGCGGTGAGGGAAGGGGGCCGGAGGTGGCGGGCAATCATCTGGGGGACAGAGCACAGCCCTCATGGTCAGTGCCAGGGGCTGCTGAGGATTCCCCTTGGCACCACCCCTCCTGCTGGCCTGGGCCCCATCTAGGGAAGTTAAGTTCACCAAGTGATACCTGGGGGACACCTGGCTCCAGGATAGGGGCTATGGGGCCCAGTTTCCAATATCAGTTCTGCCACCAACACAACACTCCTATCAGGGAGGACCAGCTTCTCCTGGCAGAACAAACGGGATGGGAGCTTGGACTTTTTGGACCCTCTGCATTATAAGACACAAGGACTCCATCCCAAGCTATCTGCATTTCCACCAAAAACAATCAAACACAGCAGCTATAAAGCGGAATGCCAGGCAGTGGGGTTGCTATGTCTGAATAATGGGGTAGGTGGTGGGACCTGCCCACCCTCCATCCTAATAACACCGCAATCTGGCCAGACCACCCATGGCGGGGCGGGACCGGGGACCGTGCTGTTTGGTGGGGAGAGGGCGCCACCTAGCGGCAAGTGTGGGGAACCGCTCGCCCTGAAGGCTGGCAGGCCGGCAGGCGGTCATCAGGAATGGAAACCTCTTTATAAATAGCAAGAGGCGGCAGGGAAGCCGGGCTGGTGATAAATCAAACGGCCTTTGGAGGTGGTTCAGATCCTGTCACTCTAGGATGCGATTTCGGGGCGGGGCGGAGGTCTCTGCGGCTGCTAGGGGCGGAGGCAGGGCTCCTGGCTGCCGCCCAGCCGCCAGGTCCTCCCACCCTGTCTGGGTGGCACGGTGCCGCTCACCAGGCAGGCTGGCGGGTCTCCCAGGGCACTTCAGCCTGGAGGCAGGGGGGTGTCAGGACACTCTGGGTTCTCCTGACCCCATCTCACCCCACCCCCAGCCCTGCCGCACCCCTGCCCAGGCCCTTTCCCTATTCACCTGCTGGCCAAGCTCACTCACACTCAGTGCTCTCTGCAGCCCATGAACAAGCCACGGGCTGCTTGTCTAATCATCAATGAAGGCCACTCCACAGTCCTGCCCCATTGCACATGCCCAGCTTCCTTGGTCACTGCTCCCACACACAGGCACCTGTGCTCCTCAGCGCATGAGCCCTCTATAGCTCCCACGACCCCACCCCACTATACAGTTTAGCTACTAAGCCTGGCATTTGAGCCCTTCTACAGATTGACTCCAAATTCCATTGCCCAGGGAGTTTGTGTTGCTCCAATAATCTGCCTGATTTTTCTTTTTTTTAACTTCATTTTAGTCAAAGTAGAAAAAACTCAAAAGTGGGTTCTGGAGTCTGGGTGGCCTGACAGGTTCAAATCCTGTCTTCACTGGATATGTTTGGGCACTTCATTTTCCTTTTTCTGAGCCTTCCTTTCCCCATCTATCAAAAGGGAATACTAAATTTAAAAATAAAAATACATCTTAAAAAATAAGATTGAAGAAAGCCAGGTATGGTTGTACACGCCTGTAGTCCCAGCTACTCGGGAGGCCAAGGTGGGAGGATCACTTGAGGCTGGGAGTTTGAAGCCAGCCTGGGCAACGTAGCAAGACCCTATCTTTTAAAACAAATAAACAAATGAATAAACATACGTTAAAAAAGGAATACTTTCTGGAGTTGTGTGACCCTTAGATGAATGGGCCTGGGTAAGGCTTGGCTCAGGGCAGTTCAGACCTCCGAATAGGTAGACTTGGGACTGACAGCCCCCTTCCCTCCCCCTGGCCCCAGGGCAGCCCCAGCCCCCACCTGCCCCTGGCCTACCCAAAATCTGGAAGCAGTCCTCCTCCCTGGCTGTGAGACAGAGGGCCTGCCCCACCTCGGATTTCTCTGAGGGAACAGCCTGGAACTCAATCCCCCTCGAGGTGTCCCCTTGCATCTTAGCCTGGCCAGCCTGGCCTGGGGTTTTCTCTCCCACTTCCTTCTGGCTCTCTGCCAGGATGTTCTTTCCTTCTTCTGCCTTGGCTGGCCTGGGATCCGTGGGGCTGTGGGTCATGGGCACCCCTTCAAAGGTGAGCTCTGATGCCTCGCTTGGGGGCTTCTTGGCCAGCAGCTTCTCAGAACTAGAAGGTGAGAACACAGAGGTGAAGCCCTCAGCGGCCACAGCCTGTGGCATCAGGCAAGTCTCAATGCAATCTGCAGAGCTAATCCAACCCCACCCCAAATGCATGGTGTAATACAGCCAAATTCACCTGGTACAAAATTAAGGGATGTTCATGGCTGTGGTCATTATCTTGACTACCAACACACTAATACATCATTAATAACTATTAATAGGATTGTTGATATGGTTAATCATCATGTGGATACAACTAGGGAGTTATGTAGCTCTTGATTCATAAAATCTGTTGTGATATAATTGATACATAATTATCAAAGTGATATGGTAAATGTTCTTATTGTGGCTTACAATATATCATTAATGACCTCATTAGCATTCAGGTAAGTATAACTGATGGCATCACACATGTGCTATATTATGGTTATGAAAATATTATCAATGATCCTCCAATCTGGTTATTAGTCATCTTTTCATATCTTACCAATAATTATATTAAGAAGAACAGGAAAATACTGGATGTCCTAGGAAATACACAGCCTTTTGCCTGACACCTTTAGCCTTTCTGCCTGCCATCTCAACCCTGCCCTTGGCTAGACCCAAGCCCATGGAGTAAGGGGAACTTCGGACCCCAGAAGCCTAGAGAAGATATGTTCAACCTAGGCAGTCTTTGAGGGTCTCTCTTACTCCAGTCTTGTATGAATTGTGGCAGGGTTCTGGTTTCTGCAGGGGACAAGGCGGTAGAGGCAATTCACAGGACAGAGGAAACTGAATGTCAGAACTACACTCCCCAGCACTGAATGTGATGATAACCATGCCTAAGACAAGGGAATTAAGCAGGACCCCTAGGGACAGAACCACAGGACCCCTCCCCACTCCCAGGAGGGGATATTCACCTGGAGATGATGGCAGGACAGCTGGGGCTATGCAGAAAGGCAGGTGAGCCCCTCCTGGCTGCTGCTTGGCCCTCTGCTGCCTTCTTGCCCACCCTGGGCTTTCCAGGATCCTGGCTGCCTGAGGCTCCCTGCTCAGCCTTGGGCTTCTTGACGCTGGTCTCAGGTGTCGCAGTCTGCTGGGGCAGGGCTGCCGGGGGCCCAGCACTGCCCTCCGCGGGCCCCCCGCCCCTGTCACCCTCTCCTTTGGGGCCTTGGCTGCTAGTTGAGGGTTGGGCCAGGGTACCATCCCCTTTCTCTGAGGCAGGGGCTTTGGCATCTTTCTTCAGGGTGGGTGGATCCGGAGCTTTCTTTGGGTCTGGGGGGCCAGGGTCTTTCCCTGCAGCCAGGGGTCTTTCACCTGTGGGACCTTTAGGTGCCTTGTCTGCAGAGGAGGTGAGACACCCATCAGGATCCACCCTCCTTTCCTTCCCTCTCACCCAGGCTGGGCAGAGACCAGCTCTGGGCCCAGGTTCCCACCCAGGCAACAACTTGCAAATGCTTGTCCCACTGAGTCTCTGGGGCCACTTGATGGCCCCTAGAGATGAGCTGCCACGACCTTGGAGGGCCTCTGTGGGAGGCTTCCAGCCCTTTGGGTGGGCCTTGGTGGCCCCCATCATCCTTGCCCTGACTGTTTAGGTGCATCCCCAGCAGCCATCCCTGGTGGCTTCACATTTTCCTGGTCTCTCCAGGAAGGGCTTCATACAGGCCCTGGACCCAGCCCAACCCTAGCCAGAGATTCCTCTGATTTCTGGGTCCCCCGTGCACCATGCAAACAAGGCTGGGGCACAGAACTCCCACTGAGGAACCTGCCCAGTCCTGGATTCAAAACCCCCCTTCCCAAGCTCCTCCCTCCATCTCCTGCCCCAGCTTGGCACCTGTTGATGGGTTCTGAATTCCCAGCTCAACTGCTCCATTTTCTGTCGCCATGAGGTAGGGAGGCGTGTGCTGCTGCTTGTCTAACTCAAGTCTTTCTAGCTGCAGAAACAAGAGTGGAGTGTGTCAGGCTGTCCAATTTCCCCTCTCGTCTGGCTGCAGTGAGACAGGAAGCCGAGGCCTGCTAACTGAGGGGAGAGAGGTACCTGGAGCAAAGAGGGGCAACCTGGTTGCCGTCTGTCTCCCAGCGGCTGCTCAGGAGCAGTCCTGGGCAGTTGTAAGGGATTGGGCCGGGTGGGCAGAGGCGGAGGCAGGGGTGTGGGCAGTGGAGGCGGGGACGGAGGAGAGGATCTCTTACACCAGGGGCCATGCAGCTGGGACTGCCGCCACCTGTCACTCTTGGCCCCAGTTCAGAGGACACGGCATTCTTCCCATGGCCCGACTGGGGGGAGAATGATGTTGGAACAAGCGAGAAAAGGGAGGGGTATCTGGGACGCTGGGGGAGCAGCCCTTTCCCCAGGCCTTGCTCAGTATCCCTGACTTGGACAGGATCAGAGGGGGCCTGGAAGAAGGGGAGTACTCAGGCAGGCCTGAAGGGCAAGAGTATGCCCAGGCTGAGCCCTGGTCTGCCCACCTGTGTGCCACATCTCCTGGGGCTCCCCAGAACCTGGCTAGAGCCACAAAGTCCCAGGGATAATCTCCCTGACCCTAGTGCCTAGCTCTGTGCCTCGACATCTGGACCTGCTTGCGTCACCTTTGGGTAAGAAATTGTCTCGGGGGCACTTTCTCAACATGTCCATAGGCCTGGAAGCTTTTTCTTTTGAAACTGTCCTTTTCTTGGGCTCCTGGGGACACGGAGGCTGCCCTGAGTAGCCATGGGAGATGGAGAGTGCTCTGTGCCCCTCCCCCAAGCTCATCCAGTTCTCACCCATGACCCACATGGAAGAAGGGGGCTGGCAGAGAGTCTTTTCAAGGATGCTCCACTACAGGGGTGGCCCGAGGGGCACTCTAGCCTGAGGTGTTCGAGATAGGATGAGGACAGCTATGATCCAAGGAGCCTTCCATCACCCAGAGCCTTTCTCAGAGGGGGCTCTTGAGAACTGGCCAGACCTGGGTGCATTAGAAGTAGCTGTAGAGGCCAGAAGCAGTGGTTCACACCTGTAATCCCAACACTTTGGGAAGCTGAGGCAGGAGGATCACTCGAGGCCAGGAGTTGGAGACTGGCCTGGGCAACATAACAAGACCCCGTCTTTATATTTTAAAAAGTAAGATAAAATGAAGTAGCTGTAGAGTGGTTATCCAGGTTCAGGTCCTGACTGCAGCAAACCAGTCACTTCACTCCATGGCCTCGGCTCCTCTGTCAAATGGGAAGCCATTGGAAAAACGCTTGATGAGAGAAAGGAGGGAGAATGCAGCCCCTCTAAGCAGTGGGGAAATAGGAACCTGTAAAAAAAGATTGAGGAAGCTGTTAATGAACTGACAAAAAGTGACCACCAAAGTGGGGGGAATAAAAAAAGCAAGATGCAAAGTAGCATGTAGAGTGTGCTATCCATTTGTGCAAAAAAAAAAGGGAGAATAATATATGAATAATATATATTTCACTTTATGCACATAAGAATTTATTTGGTAGGATAAGCAAGGAACTGGGCCCCAAGGGTGGGAAGGAGACATCACTGTATATACTTTGACTTTTCTGTTTGAACCATGAACTATGTGAACAGGCTACTATTCAAAATGAGTGGGATGTTTTGTTTTGTGAGCAAATGTCAAGGGTTTTTGGTATAAGCTGGTAAAAACCATAGTTGGAGCTCTTTCCCCAGTCTTGACTACTTTTGCTCTGCCTGGCCCTCCTCTCCAGGCCCGGTCCTCCTCTCCTCCATTTCTCTTCTTTAAGGTCCAGTTAACAGTCTGCCTCTTCCAGGAAGCAAAAGTAACAGCTGATGCCTATACGGTACTGACCACGTGCCTGGCCTCGCTCTGCATGCTCTCATGTTGATCCACCCAAATGGTCTTCAGAAGAACCCAGTGCGGTAGGTACTAGAGAGATGGGGAAACCAAGGCATGGAGAGGTTATGTAATTTACTCAAAGTCACAGCTTGGAAGGGGCTGAACTGAGCTCTGAACCCAGGTCCCCTGCAGAAAGGGAGCTTCCACTTGCTGAGCACCTGTCATTCGTTTTAGCCATCTTGCCTTTAAGCATCATCTTGATGATAACTCTGTGGGGAGCGCTCATCTCATTTTCTGCATGAGGACGAGGAGAGTTAAAGGAATCAGTAGCTTGCCCAAAGTCACTCAGCAAGGAAGGGAGTTGAGCTTGGAATGTCGTTCTTCAAACTCCAAAGCCCTCTTCCCTTCCTAAAATGTCCCAGCCTGTGCCTTGCCCCCTTCTCCCTGCTGAGTAACCCCTTTGTGGATCTTGCAGCATTCAAAAGGTTGAAATGTTTCCTGTCCTAATGCGGATCATTAGGACCTCCTGGCCCTCTATCTGGCCCAGAGCATGTTTTAGTTTAATTTGGAATGTTGGGTCCCCTGCTTCTGGCCTCCCCACAGTGCCCCAGCTGATCCCACCATTGGTTGACACTGTCTGGGAGCCCCCTGAAGGCCAGGGGCTAAACACATCCCCAGCACAGAGTGGACTTGCCCATCAGTGTCTGATGAGTAAATAACTGATTAACCAGAAGGCTCCAGACTGGAGTTTGTTACCTCCCTATGCTGGACCTTGCTGGCATCTCCTTGTTATTATTGTGGTTATCAATACCAGTCATTTATTGAGTGCCCACCAACGGCCAGGCCAGACTATGCCAAAGATCCAGCTCCCTGGATCCTCAGAAGGGACTGTAGGGGCCAATGTTACACCATTTTAAAGGTGTGGAAACTGATGCTCACAGAGGGAAGTGGCTTGTCCCCACAGTCACTCAGCTAGTGAATGGCTTCAAACTACCCACATTCAAATCCAGAGCCACCTCCCAATGAGACCAAAATCCAGCCTGGGACAACTTCAGGGGCATTAGTGCTACTTTTGTTATAATTATTATTCCCAAATAATTACTCTTATTGAACTCTTTCTAAAATGGACCAGGCCCTGGGGTAAGCAGCTTCATGAGTATCCTTCCTTCGAGTCTTACAACTCCCTACCATGCAGTGATTAGGAGATCTGTCAATGAAGCGCTGCGACCAGTAACTGTGAGCTTGGAACAATGTCTTCACCTGTTTCCTCATCCGTAAGGAGAGCATCTGCCTCCCAGGAGGTAGATAAAGCATTACAACAGTGAGTGTGAGCATAGCGAGTGCTGTATAAATGTCAGCTCTTTAATCCCCATTTCACAGATGTGACAGGAAAACTGAGTCACAGGGCAAAGTCATAGAGTTGGGATTGGACCCATCTAACCCAAGGCTCTGCTCATAACTGCTCTGCCCCATTGCCTCCCTCTCACAGCATGGCTGCGAGCATTTAGCCAGCACACATGTAAAGAGTGCCCAATGGCACAGTACCTACAGCACTGTGGGGGCCTGATAATGTCGTGGACACCCCAGGTAGAGGGTTCATCTGTTCCCGCCAGCTCCCCTGCAGTGCCTCCCACTGGGATGAGAGTCTGGCCTGGTTCCGAATCTACGGGACTGCCTGCTCCAGCCAGCTGCTCCCTGGGAGTCCCCAAGCTTCTCAGCACTCCCTTGGAGGCACAGGGGTGGGGCACGGGGAAACTTCCTCCACCCACCTAGGGGCTGCCAGAGCCCCTGCCCACCCTCAAGAAGGGGCTTCCCCGCCCTGCACCAGCTGTGCAGACACCCTCTTTGCCTCTACAGGGGCAGGACAGGAAGTGGGGCAATGCCAAGACCAATTAAACCCGCCAGGGGAATTAAGGTCAGCAGGATGCAATTATGCCTGTTGGATTTAACAAGGCCAGAGGGAAGGTTTCTCCAGCCAGAGTTCACGGCTCCTTAGGCCTCTTGCCCTGTGTAGCTCTGCCTTCCAGGAGCCTAGGCTTCCAGGCTCACCTAGCTCTGGAAGAATGTGTTGGGGGTGAAGGGGTTAACTTCACCCAGGCACTGCTTCCTTGGCTCTGGAGAGGAAATCAGTTCAGCCAAGAGGCTTTAAAAGGACCTGTTCGGAGAAGTCATGCCCAGTCTGACCCTCTCCCTGCCCAGCTGTGATGGAAAATCCAAAGAGTTGAGCAACAACCTTTCTGACTCCAAAGAGAGCAGCCAACTCCCCTCACAGCCTTCCCTCTGCTCCTGTTTGAGAGCCACTCAAGGCTGCATTAGCACGTTGTTTTCTCTCGCCCTCTCCCACCTTGGACCCCTGAGCCCAGGGCCTTGGCAGGACCTCTCAGGCCTCTGGAAAAGCCCTAGGTAAGGTTGCTGTCCTTACAGCAGACCCTGTCCTTCCAGCCAAGCTAGTAAGCAGAGGTCTGTGGGCGTTCTGTGTGCAAATTGGACATAGGTTTCTCCGAAAACGCAATTGACACACTGTTCCATCCCACAGTTATAGAATTTTATTGCTAAGATTAATTACTGGGGGCTCTACTGTGACAAGGACTAAACTGGTCACTTTCAGGACACAGAGATGAAATTGGGGGAGAGCTATAGAATCACTGCATATTACATTTTAGGTGAAAAAAGACTATAAAAATCAACCATGCCTGTAATCCTAGCATGTTAAGAGGCCGAGGCTGGAGGATCACTTGAGCCCAGGAGTTCACGACCAGCCTGCGCAACATGGTGAGACCCCATCTCTGCAAAAAAATTTAAAAATTCGCCAGGCGTGGCAGTGCACACCTGTGGTCCCAAGCTACTCAGGAGGCTGAGGTAGAAGGATTGCTTGACACCAGGAGGTTGAGGCTGCAGTGAGCCATGATTGTGTCACTGCACTATGGCCTGGGTGACAGGGTGGGCCCCTGTCTCAATAAATAAATTAAATAAAAATCAGCCATAGAGCGGGATCCTTTTTGTTCAAAATATTTACAAAGAAGATGGCTGGAGGGATATAAATGGACATATTTACAGGCGTAGAAATAGAGATTATTTTTATTCTTTATTCATCTAGATTTTCCAACTTTTTTGGAAATGACTTGTAACTCTTAATCAGATCAATAAGTAATTCCAAATATATCAACGTGGACACAGATTTCTTCAGAGAGAAAATGGTAAGAGCTATAAAACACCATGAAAGGACTTCTTGGCTCAGGGCCTCAGAGAACTCGCAATTCAGCTACTGCAAGGCTTTCTCAGTAACTAAGCCCCAGAGTTGGTTTAAAATGAAGCCTCCTGGCTGGGCGAAGTGGCTCATGCCTGTAATCTCAGCACTTTCGGAGGACAAGGCAGGCGGATCACTTGAGATCAGGAGTTCAAGCCCAGCCTGGCCAACATGATGAAACACCATCTCTACTAAAAATATAAAAATTAGCCGGGCATGGTGGTGAGCACCTGTAATCCCAGCTACTCGGGAGGCTGAGGCATGAAAATCACTTGAACCCAGGAAGCAGAGGTTGCAGTGAGCCAAGCTTATGCCACTGCACTCCAGCCTGGGCAATAGAGCAAGACTAAGTCTCAAAAATAAAAATAAAATAAAAAATAAAATGGAGCTTCCTTGGAATGAGGCCCCAGAAATGTCTATAAACCAGCATTTCAGGTGATTTTTCATGCACATCCAAGTTCAAGAACCACCAAGTCAGAGAGCCAGCTCTCTAGAAAGCATCCTGAGAGCCTTGGAAGAGGGAACAGATTTGAGGCACTGTCCTGACAGTCACCCTGGTGCAGTCAGTGGAGAGCTTCCAGGATTCATATCCCTATAACCCAGGGCCACACTTCTCAACCCTGATGCACACTGAAAACACCTGGAGAGTTTCTACAACTCTTGAAGTCTGAGCCCCTCCTCAGCTCAGACCAATTAAGAACATTTGGAGTGGGGCCCAGAATGTTGGTATTTTTAAAAATCTCTCCAAAAGATTCTGATGTGTGGCAGGGTGAAGAGCCACTGATCTAAGGCTTTCCTAGGACAGGAACTTCATTTTCTTTTTTGTATGTTTCTTTTTTTTTTTTTTTTTTTGAGCCGGAGTCTTGCTCTTTTACCCAGGCTGGAGTACAGTCGTGCAATCTCTGCTCACTGCAACCTCCACCTCCTGGGTTCAAGTGATTCTTCTGCCTCAGCCTCCTGAGTAGCTGGGATTACAGTTGTACACTACCATGCTCAGCTAATTTTTTGCATTTTTAGTAGAAACAGGGTTTCACCATTTTGGCCAGGCTGCTCTCAAACTCCTGACCTCAAGCAATCCACCCACCTTGGCCTCCCTATAATCCCAAAGTGCTAGGATTATAGGCGTGAGCCACTGCGCCCAGCCAGAAACTTCAATTTCTGTTTCCCTTGAATGCCCTCCAACATAAGGTAGGAAAAATAGTACACACAGCAGGTATTCTTTCTGACGGTGTTGACTGGGTACCCCATCCCAATATCTGAGACCCTTGGAGTCCAGATGCCAGTGCAAAACAGATGCAGACTACATCACATTCAATTTCATATCCCAAGTACCTAGTACAATACGTGGTGCTGTTGTGGTTAGTAGTAATAGCCACTAACGTTCATTGTGTATTTACAATGTGTCAGACAGAGATATTAACTCTTTTAATCTTCAGAGCAACCTTATGAGGTAGATACTATAATCACTCCCATTTCCAAAAGGAAACTGAGGCACAGAGGAGTTTCAGAGGTAGTAAATGGCGGGCTGGAATTTAAATCCAAACTCTCTTGCTCCAGAGCCCTCACATTTAATTACTACTCCGTACCACAAAGCAATGCCCATTGAAAAATAAATTCATAAGTGAGTGAAGAATCAGTTTGGTTGCCCTAGGGCCTGACATTCAGTAGGTGCTCTGTAAATGTGGAAGAATAAATGCACCTACTTGGTAGGACCCTGGAACAATGGGAAACCAAGAGCAGCCCCTCCTTCATTCCTCCTCTCCCATTCCAGCCCAACTTCTGCAGCATAAACAGCAAAGCCAAAAATAGCGATCTAATGACGTCAGACGAACAAGGTCATCTGAAAATTGCCCACAGCCACTGGACACCTCCCTATAGGATCAAGTAGCAGGAGGGTACCCCAGGCTGGTGCAGCTGTTCCAAGAACAGGAAACGTCCCGGGAGCAGACTTGGAAGCACCATCACATAAAGGCAGAAGCAGTAGGGGGAAACCACAGACATACCAAACAGTAGAAGCAAGACCAAGTGTGGAGTATAGACCTAGAAGATAAGAGTAATTCGACTTTATCTGCACTAGAAGTCACTCCCATCACCCGATCCCAGGAAATGGCTCGAGGAGCAGAGAATGCATGTTCTGTCCTCTTACACAGGACAGCTTCCCAGCCTGCCATTGCGCTATTTATAAAACTTCAGGTCCGTTTGCTAAACTGGGCTACCATAAGAACCAGGGGGTGCATGGCAAGCTCTGAGCAGCTGCTGGGGGAAGAAGACCCTGCCTGAGATGGTGAGGGGCCTCCAAATAAAGGATGAGGGGTGGGCTAGGCAAGGCACCTCCTGGCTGCAATCCACTTGGCACGGTGACCACCTTGGCTATCATTCAGGCCTGCTGAGGCTTGTGACTTAACTGACTGGCAGCTGCCACATCCCTGACGGGATCCAGCATGGTCCGAGATGCCCGCTGTGCTGACAGGGTGAAAGCAAGGAGAGGACCTGCCTCCCAGTGTCTGAGAAGCTTAGCTGGAGGTTCCCACAGCAAGGTCAAGAGTTCAGTGAGGGCTCCAGCTCAAATCCAGAAAAAGCCAGGCCCTATCCTCCTGGAGCTGGCTCTGGTCAAGGGATGCAAGTTGCTGCGGTAGAAAGGACACTGGAGGGCAGATGGACGTGGGTCCAAATTCTGACTCTGCCATTTATTAGCAGCATGACTTTGGATGAGTAACTTAAACTCTGAGCCTCGGTTTCCTCATCTGTCATATGACTTGTTGGAAGAACATATGGAAAAGCATTCTTCCCTCCGTCTTCATTCTGGGAATGGAGTCTTGGCTAAGGAGATAAAACATCCACTCAACAAGCTCAGCAGCTCTCCCGTGTCTAACTCAGTCAGACTGTACAAAGGTGACCCCTCAAGGGGCTGTGGAAGGGAGGAAGATGTTCTCACCCTGAGACAGGCTCTTGACTGGCTGGGCACTAAGGTCACAGGAGAGTGGCTGCTGGCTCCTTGGCCCATGGGTACCTGCATTAGGAGACCTGTTGTCTGTCAGGATTTGCAGGTCCCTCTCCTGGCACAGTGGTCCTCACACTTAGGCACGCATCACTGTCCCCTGGAGTGCTTGTTAAAATATACGTTGCTGGGCCCCACCCTCAGCGTGCCTGACTCAGTAGGTCTAGTGTGGGAATAAAGAATTTGCATTTCTAGTCCCTGATGATGCTGTTGCTGCTGGGCCACAGACCACACTCTGAGGACCACTGTCTTAGAGAATAAAAGTCCCACAGGCCAAGATGCTTAGGCCTCTGAGTAGCTCACAAGAGTAGCGTTGTGGTGTATGTGGGGAAACACAGAACACTGAGACCCAGTCATCAGTACAGCAAATGTTCCAAGGAGAGAGAGATGCACAAAAAGTGAAGCTCTGGCCTGGCGCGGTGGCTCACGCCTGTAATCCCAGCACTTTGGGAGCTTGAGACCAACCTGGCCGACATGGTGAAACCCTGTCTCTACTAAAAATACAAAAAAAATTAGCCGGGCCTGGTGGCAGGCACCTGTAATCCCAGCTACCCGGGAAGCTGAGGCAGGAGAATTGCTTGAACCCAAGAGATGGAGGGTGCAGTGAGCCGAGATGACACCACTGCACTCCAGCCTGGGCGACAGAGCGAGACTCTATCTCAAAAAAAAAAAAAAGTGAAGTGGTTTCATGAAGGGGAGGCGCACTGGCAACCCCTCCCAGCTCCTGAGTGACTGTGTGCTCTGTGTTGCTTCCCCCATTCGTTTTCTATTGCTGCAGTAACAAACTACCAAGAGAGAAAAAGCCTCTCTTGCTTGAACAAACTCCCATGAACCTCCTCCCCTGCAGAGATGTCTCCCTGCTTCTTTTGGCCAGCTGTTAACTAGAAGCTGCTGACCCTATCCTGTCAGGTTGTTAGCTGTGGGAAAATAGCAAAGGCCTCTGGCAATCCTTGGTGACACAGCCACTGACAACACTGAATATGTGACTCAAGCACGGCCACTCTGAGTCACACTGGCTAGCTGGGTGGGTAACAGTCACCATTGCTGCCCACAGTGCCTTTGGGGCATGGTAAGGCGGGAGAGAAATTCCCCTCCACTGTGCTAGAGGAAGGGTCCTTTCTAGCAAGATCATTCTAACTTCTATGAGGAGACTGAGACCCAGAGAATATAAACAACATGTTCAAAGTCACAAAGCGAGAGCAGCTCTCCCAGTTCCCAATCTAGGGTTTATTCCATGAAATAATTCTGTATTTCTCTTGAACCCTGTGCCAGTTATCCAAAAATAACCCAGGTCTCCTTGTCCATGAACACGTAAAAACTGAATCGCAACGGAGAGAAACAGAAAAAGAACAAGGTAAAGTCCATTTTATGGTGACATCCTTAAACTGCCTCCAACAATAGAAGGATTACTTCCAAAATAATCTCAATCTTGGGGGGGAAATCATATCTTGGATGGGAAGGACTTCTTTGTGGCAGTCTGCAAGAATTCACTGAACATTCTATGCAGTCTTTAACCAGTTCCAAGGTCAAGAAAAACATCAGAAAATATGTGTGCGTGTCAAGGGGACAGAATTATTCAGGGATTAGTCCCCTGGAGTGATCTGGGCTAGATTTCCGTTTCCAGAACAACCCTTGGAAAGTCCTCAACAAGATAGAACACTGGTCTCCAACATACTTCGTTGAAGTCCACATGGAAACCCAGGGACAGGAGAGCTTGCTCTCTTGCAGGGATTGAACAACTGGCTATAGAAGACATATAAATATAAAAGTAGGGCTGGTTTGGCTTAAAAAACTGCCTAGAAAAAAATCTAAAAATATTTAAGCTGAAAGGAGCCTTATTAATTGTTCCAGCTCAATCTTATTTGACGGATGTGGAAATTGAAGCCCCCAAAAGAGGAATAACTTGTTAAAGGTTACCCATCATTTCTCTAACCGGAGTGAGATTATAATCCCACCCTTCTTCCCAAAAGACACATCACAGCCCCAGGTAGAGTCTTTGTTTTGTTTTGTTTTGCTTTGTTTTGTTTTTCTAGATGGAGTCTTGCTCTGTCGCCCAGGCTGGAGTGCAGTGGCATGATCTTGGCTCACTGCAACCTCCGCCTCCCAGGTTCAAGCGATTCTCCTGCCGCAGCCTCCTGAGTAGCTGGGATTACAGGCGCCTGTCACCACGCTTGGCTAATTTTTGTATTTTTAGTATAGACAGGGTTTCACAATGTTGGTCAGGCTGGTCTCAAACTCCTGACTTTGTGATCCACCTGCCTCGGCCTCCCAAAGTGCTGGGATTACAGGCGTGAGCCACCGCACCCAACCTCCTGGTAGAGTTAAGAAAGACTAAGAGCTTTCTCCTTTCAAATCTGATCTAAAGTAGAGACAACAAATCTACTTGAAAATGTGGCATCCCAAGACTTTAAAGAACATAACTAGAATTATCTCCAGAAAGGCTTTGTTAAATGCCAATGAACGTTGTCTCTGGACATGGGTGTTAGTAATGTTGACATCATATCAGCCAAAAAGAGCTTTCCATTCAGCAAATGTGCAAGCCAGGATAATGTCATTAACTATGCTTTTGGGAAGGGCTTCTATTCACTTTCAAGCTTATATTTTAATTACAAACATAGACTGGTAAGTGGTTTGAGAACCACCATTTAAAGTTTAGAGACAGCAGACACCAGGACTCCACAATGGCATCAGTCATACCAATGAAGAAGAAACTCATTCATGGATGTCATATTAGTAGAGCTGCCAAGCTGGATACTGATTTTACCACCAAAGGCATTGTTGAAGCGTTTCAAAGAGGTTACCACAGATACTATTAAATACAACAAGCATGACAACATGAAAAAAGGGAGTGTCACCAGGGTTTCCATGGTGCTGGCAGCTTACGTGCCTTTTGGCCACTGCCTTTCTTATAAGGAGCTCAAACATAAGAACCACCGAAGAGGGGCCAGTGTGGAGAGCACACTCCGCACTCTTGACCATAACCTCCTTGGCCCAGAATCCCTCCATGAGGAATGTGATCATTGCTGAATCTTTTTATCCAAATGAAAATAAACCTCCAAATAAAAGATGACTAGTAAACAATAATAATAATAAAGTTTAGAGACAAACATGATGTGTTAGGGGGAAGCAAATGCAGACAATTCTGTCCTGCAAATAGAGCTAAGAAAAATCCTTTGTAAAATAAGCACTTTCAATGTGGAGAAGCAAACTCAGAACAATGGAATAGCATCCTGCTGTTAAAATTGGTATTTACAAAGTATGCAATAATACAGGAAAAATGAGTTACTATTATGCTAAATGAAAAATAATACCAGCTGGGTGCTGTGGCTCACGCCTGTAATCCCAGCACTTTGGGAGGCCGAGGCGGGTGGATCACGATGTCAGGAGTTCAAGACCAGCCTGACCAACATGGTAAAACCTCATCTGCACTAAAAACACAAAAATTAGCCAGGCGTGGTGGTGCGTGCCTGTAATCTCAGCTACTCAGGAGGCTGAGGCAGGAGAATTGTTTGAACCCGGAAGGCGGAGGTTGCAGTGAGCTGAGATCATGCCACTGCACTCCAGCCTGGGCAACAGAGGGAAACTCCGTCTCAAAAAAGAAAGAAAAAGAAAAGAATACTATATATATACATATACATATATATATATACATACACACACACACACACACACACATATATATATATATAGAGAGAGAGAGAGAGAAAAGCTCTACTATGTATAAAACCAAAGTTTTACAAAAGAAAAAAAAAAACCCCACTCATCTGTGTCACAGAGTGTCCCTGAGTATGGTGATAGAGGTGCGTCAGTGCAAGGCTACAGCCTTCTCCTCTCTCTTCACCACTAAGCAAGCTTAAATAAGGCTGCCCCAGACTGCTTTTCACATTACAAGTTATGACCACTGACTAGTATCTTGACCCACTGGAAATGTCTCCCACCCTTGCTCCTGAAAGAAGACCTGAGACCATCAGTGCCCAAACAAGCTGGGCAATAGCACTTGGATGCAACTCTTCATGCATTCACACACCTGCAATGTTCTGGGACACCAGTCCCATGCTATGTGGGTCTCTTCAGATCTGACAGCCCAAGTTTCTATTTCCTCTCTGACCAATAATGCTTTAAAAAAAAAAAAAAAAAAAGGTGGGGGAAGGGCATTTGATGCCATCAGACCAGGTTTAGTCTGTTGAAATCATTCTTTCATGATAAAACCTAGTACTTGCTTAGGCCTTTCCCCTGACCCTCCTGGTCTGAGTGAAATGTCAGCATTTGTGAAGCTGTTTCAGGAAGCTGATACTTTCAGCACATAGAGCCATGGTTTGGCCTGAGCCCAGACTCTTATTCATTTACGAGGAGAATAGCAAAAATCATCAAACATTTCCAATGTCAGCAACCTTTACTACAGCTTTAGAAAATAGAGTAGGTGTGCAAGAAGACAGGGAAACAAGTAAAAAGCATGCTTTTGTCCCCAGGCTTTTTTGTAGCAACTACACTGGCTTCAGCTGGATAACAAATTGTCCTGGAATTCTTGGCTTTGGAGCAAACATGTCAGCTCCCTGGTTACGCCTTCGTCATTGCCCAAAGTACCACACACTTTAACCTTCCTGCTCTTTCCATAGGCCTGGGTTTGTCCCGTATCCAGGAAACTTTATATGTTGTCTAAACTGAGCATCCCAGCAGGCTACGAGGCAGATGGCAGCTCAGGATTCAGAATGTTGACCAATTCCTACCTGGATCCACACCACCAAGCTGTAACTCAGCCTGCCTCTGCAGAAATAGGAGCCCAGCCACGTGGCTAACAGCTTTTTTAACTGCTGCTCTCAGCAATGAGGAACTTCCCCAGCAGACAAGATTCAGTAAGACGGCCTTCATCGAGAGAAATGAAAAGGAAGCAATATCAAGATTGATCCAACAGGATATACAGGTTCAACCAAACACTCAAGACAATACGCAAGCCCCCAAAGCTCAATTAAGCCAGGAGGAGATGAGGACCAGGTGCTGCTACCTTGCCCTCTAGTCCTTGGGACCTCAGGTCACAAACCCAGGACATCATGCAGGTCTGCCTCCATGTCACTAGATTGTCATAAGAGGCTTCATACTTGTCAGGAAGGAAGCCAGGACATGCCTGAGGTGGCACCTGAACTACATCTTTAAAATGCACAACATGTATGAAAAAACCAAGGTACAGAGTGTAAAGTATGATGCTATTTGTGTAAAAAAATAAGAGAAGGAGGGTAGGTAGGAGTATGTATAGGAAGAAACAGTCTCTGCAAGGGAACTTAAGAAACTGGCAGCACTATCTCTGGGGAGGGGAGCTGAGCAGTTGGGAAGAAAAGGCAGGAGGAAGACTCTACGTTTGTATCTTTTCAATTCAGAACTATGTGAATGTATAACCTTTTAAAGAACAAATTAAAATTTTTAAAAATGCATAATGCTACTACTATCTTATTTCTTTTAAAAAAAATGCTCTATGTGTGTGCTCAGAGAAAACATTCTGGAAGAATCCTATTGCGAACCATGGGTTACACTGGGACGTGGGAGTAGGGGAAGGAAGGAGACTTTCGTGTTTTATTTCATACAGTTAGTAGCATTTTACTTGTTTCCAAAAGGCAGTACTACTTTTGCAAATTTTACTTTAAAAAAAAAAAAAAAAACCTTTACAAACTGCAACCTCACTTTCAAAAACAATCCCTAAACTCCCACAGCACTCTGTCTCACATTACTGAATCACATCCCATCTTGTGTTACGATTATTCGTGTCCAGGTCTCATCTCTGTTAAATGCTGGAGCAACTGCAACTTTGTTCTGTCTACCATGCTGGCTCCACTTCCCAGGGACAAGACTCTAGAAAAAAGACCTGGTAAGGAATAAAACAATCAAAATGGTAACCAAGCAATTACACAGGACAAAACAATCAACCAAAGCTAAGAGTGAGCAGTAATCTTATACATATATTAATTAGTACAAGAATATCGCTGGGCGTTGTGGCTCACGCCTGTAATCCCAGCACTTTGGGAGGCCGAGTCAGGCAGATCACCTGAGATCGGGAGTTCAAGACCAGCCTGACCAACATGGAGAAACCCCCTCTCTACTAAAAATACAAAATTAGCCAGGTGCATGCCTGTAATCCCAGCTACTCGGGAGGCTGAGGCAGAATTGCTTGAACCTGCAAGGCAGAGGTTGCAGTGAGCTGACAACACGCCACTGCACTCCAGCCTGGGTGACAACAGCAAAACCCCGTTTCAAAAAAAAAAAAATATCAGCAATAGGAAATCATGGCCAAGTTAAAAATGCACTGAAAACAAAGCAGCATGCTTCCCAGATTTCCCAGAATTCCCAGGAATTCTGACAATCTGCATGTGTGTATGTGCTAGGAGCTTTGCAAAATAGCCAAGCAAAGGCCAGGCATGGTGGCTCACACTTGTAATCCCAGCACTTTGGGAGGCTGAGGTGGGCAGATCCCTTGAGGTCAGGAGCTCGAGACCAGCCTGGACAAAATGGCGAAATCCCGTCTCTACTAAAAATACAAAAATTAGCTTGGTGTGGTGGCATGTGCCTGTAATCCCAGCTACTCAGGAGGCTGAGGCAGGAGAATCGCTTGGAGGCAGAGGTTGCAGTGAGCCAAGACAGTGCCACTGCAGTCCAGCCTGGGTGACAGAGCGAGATCTCCCAAAAAAAAAAAAAAAAAAAGGCGAGCAAAAAGTAGCAGCTAAATTCTTAAAATTCAGTAAATTCTTATCTCAGGATATGTTCTTTATTTAGGAAAATTCCTGAGTGACCTGAGTGTGGAAAGATGATGCTCCTATTAGCACATGGCCTGAAGGGATGAATAAAATAATTTTTCTGTAAAATGCAAGCAGAAAGTTTGAGTTTCTGGGAAAAATGGGAGAGTGTGCTAGAAAAATGAAGGTGATGTGCGGTGGTCCAGAAAAAGAGGGCTCAGTACTAGGCAAGAGACCATGTGGTGGAGGAAAAGATTGCCCCTGGGAAACTGAGAAATTTTGGGAAGCAAGAGGCACTGAATGTTGACATCTCAGTGTTAAGCTACTTTCTCTAAAGTAATGTAACTCCTCTTTGTGGCCTCTAACAGACTGTCACTTATTACCACTGACATGAGTTTGCACAGGGGATTATCCAGAATGGAGCAAATGGGGCAGAAGGATCCCTCACATCCATAATTCTCAGTAACACTCCCAAAACCCTCAATCTGAGGGCCGGATTTATTCCCCTGCCTGAAACAACAACGAACAAAACCAGACAAGGTATATGAAAAAATGATTCCAGATGGAAATACATGAATGATAGTGATAGAGGAGAAATGCTGATACCAGTAGAGAGAAAATCTACAAAGAACAGACACAGAGATCAAGAGATAAGCAGAAGTGGAAAAAAACAAGAGGAAATCAGAAAAAAAATGAATGCTGCTGTGAACCCACAAGAAATAAAAGGACTAGGGTAGAACTGGATTTCTCACAGTACAAGGGATGGACCCTGTCTCTGTTTGGGGCTGACACCTGGGTGCCCTCTATAAGAAAGAAAGGTGCCCACCTTTCTTTCACTCTCCAAATCCAATCTGTTAGGAAGTCTTGTTAGTTACAACTTTAAAACACATTCAGAACCCAACCACTTCTCCTCTCTGCCACTGCTACCACCCTAACCCAAGTCACTGTCAGCTCTCACCTGCACAACAGCCGAGAACCTCCTCGCCTTCCCAATTACAATTTCACATGCCCCCGACTCCCAACCCATCTATTCACATAGCAGTCAGCACGTCTGTCACCTTACACAAGAGCTTAAATTATTTGCTTACTGTCTCTCTCTCCTACTAAAATGTTAGCTCCATGAAGGCAAGGTCTTTTTTTTTGTTCATTGACGTATTCCCAGAGACTAGAACAGTGCTAAGGTATACACAGTCATCCCTCAGTATCCGTGGAGAATTGGTTCCAGGACACCCCTTCATTCTCCACTCTTCACGCATCAGTTTATGGGGGTTCAGGAGGACCAGGATCTGCAAATCATACTGTGAGAAACACCATCTTGCTTTGTCAATTAATGCTGGGACTACAATGACTTGTACATAAGAGATTCATATATGCTCACTGAATAAAAAAATGAATATAAAATAAGTTTCAGGTCATATATGGTACCTAGGACTAGCCTGGGCAGAATCCAGATGCTTTTGTATCTCCTAGCACACGCAATGAATGATAGAGTTGATACTCAAAAATGATGTGAATTCTAAAAGAAAATATATTGTTTAACATGGACCTAAGCCAATTCTGTGCCAGCCACAATAAACAAGAGATGGCTATGGCAATTCTTGTCTTCAAGGAACTTACATATCTGTATCTCTATTAATTTGTGAACAAGTTCAAGTAACTCAGATATAGTATAACTGCTCTACTCGAGATGTATACAAGAAACATTTACGAGTCACAGCCAGGCGCGGTGGCTCATGCCTGTAATCCCAGCACTTTAGGAGGCCGAGGCGGACGGATCACGAAGTCAGGAGATCGAGACCATCCTGGCTAACACAGTGAAACCCCATCTCTACTAAAAACACAAAAAATTAGCTGGGTGTGGTCACGGGCACCTGTAGTCCCAGCTACTCGGGAGGCTGAGGCAGGAGAATGGCGTGAACCTGAGTGGCGGAGCTTGCAGTGAGCCAAGATCACGCCACTGCACTCCAGCCTGGGCGACAGAGTGAAACTCCGTCTCAAAAAAAGAGAAACATTTGGGAGTCACAAAGAAGGAAGTGACCATCTTTACTGAGGAGGTCAGAGGTCAAGGAAAGATTTCTAAAAAAGATTTAACTTAGGCCGGGCGCGGTGGCTAACACCTGTAATCCCAGCACTTTGGGAGGCCAAGGTGGGTGGATCACTTGAGGTCAGGAGTTGGAGATCAGCCTGGCTAACATGGTGAAACCCCATCTCTACTAAAAATAGAAAAATTAGCCAGGCATGGTGGCACACACCTGTAATCCCAGCTACTTGGGAGGCTGAGGCAGAATCGTTTGAACCCAGGAGGCGGGAGGCTGCAGTGAGCAGAGATTGTGCCACTGCTCTCCAGCCTAGGTGACAGAGCGAGACTCCATCTCAAAAAAAAAATTTAACTTGAGCTGAGTCTTTAGGGAAGAAGGTACAGTCTGTGTGAAGGCATAACATACATGATTAAGTGGTTACTGAGAGAGAGTTAACAGAATATGGAGATATTCTGACATAAGACAGAAAAAAATTACAAAGTACTGTCCTGGGCCGGGCATGGTGGCTCACGCCTGTAATCCCAGCACTTTGGGAGGCCGAGGCGGGTGGATCACAAGGTCAGGAGATCGAGACCATCCTGGCTAACACGGTGAAACCCTGTCTCTACTTAAAATACAAAAAAAATAATTAGCCGGGAATGATGGCGGGCGCCTGTAATCCCAGCTACTCGGGAGGCTGAGGCAGGAGAATGGCGTGAACCCAGGAGGCAGAGCTTACAGTGAGAAGAGATCGCACCACTGCACTCCAGCCTGGGCGACAGAGCGAGACTCCATCTCAAAAAAAAAAAGTTCCTGGACCCACCTCTCAAACTACCCATTTCCCAATAAGATGTGACCTCCAAAGGGGCTTAACAGATTTAAAAACATCAAATAACACAATCAGGGAGGGAAAGACAAAACGTATTTATTCCAGGCCAGGTCTTAAAATGCACACTGCACGGTTCCCTGTTGTTATCAGCACCAGTAAGGAAAGAACGTGCCTTAACGGCAGCCCCACCCAGAGCCTGCTGCGTGGCTGCTGTGAGGCTCCCCATGAATCCACGCAGTCTTCTTCCTCACTGGTGCAGTTGGTGAGGTTTTCTACCCTCACAGCAAAGGGATCCTTAACTATAAATTCACGGTATGCAGAGAAGAGGACAGAATCTGATTTACTGATTGTTCCTCATTTAAACCATGACTTAATCTCTATCTTAGGATTTAACTATCTTTATTTTCTGGTTAAAATTTTTAAAAAAAGTGGGGAGAGGGTGAGAGTCGTAAGGGGCAATAGCAATAGAGATTACACTGTGCTGACACAGAGACTAAATTCTAGTCAGAGTGAAGACCCATATAAAAGGCCGGCTGATGGTTTAAAGGAAGTAACTACATGGAGTCTAATCGAGACATTCATGAGTTACATCTCATTATTAGCCTTAGTAATGTAAGAAAACAATTCTCAACAAAACTGGAGTCCACAGTTGTCAAGTATGCTTTCTCAGGCACGGGTAGGTAAAAGTCTGGAGAAATGGGTTCTCTCCATGCCCAATGACAAAGCAAGACGGTCCTAGGTTTGAGGTTAAGAGCAGGTCCCATTGCCGGGCGGTATCCGCAGCTCACAGCTGAGTTTAGCAGTGGAATCGAGTGGAGAATTTGGGAGATACAGGCACAGTCAGAGGCTGGTCACTTGACTTTATCTCCAGACCCTGGTACTTGCGTATTGGATTTGCCTTATGCACCTGCAAAGTAAGGAAAAGTTACCAGTGAGAGGGATGTCAGAGAACTACGCTTATAATTGCTTTTATTTTTTTCTTTTTGAGAAAATGTTTGTAGAGTTTTACAGGTCCCAGTCACTAGTTTCAGGTGTGGGGAGTGGGGCCTGGGGGGCAACACGGTATGATGGAAAAGTGTATGTGCTTTGGAGCCCAAAAGGGTTTCTATTCAGGTCTCTATTGGGTCCCCCAGCTTTCCTTTAGGCCACAGTCTCCTCAAGTCCCTCAGCTTTCACTAAAGAATGCCAAACCTATGTCCTGTGTGATTTACTAGGGTATAATAGGGCTGTACTCAAGTATAGCAGAGAAGTTACAAGCTAAGAATTTCCCAGAGTACAGTCTTAAGTTTACTGACTATAAATATTCACCAAAAGCCTGAATCCTGGGGAAAAAGCAAAAACAAAACACAACAACCATACCAGGAAGGGTGGCTAAAGAAGGCATGGTCCCATCCATCCTTTAGGGTAGTCTAAAATCAATCCTAAATCAAGCCAGATTAGTAGAGAGTTAACCAGCATTGACTGAATTGTGCTTTACAATGTTGCCATCAGTTATGTTGAGAATTGCTGCAAGAAGCAGTTCTATAATGGGGACAAACACAAGAGGCAGGTACCAAATGCTAAAGAAAAATCAAAGTTGAGGCCGGGAAAAAAGGCTGATTGTATGAGTGTATATAGAGTGGGGATTATACTATTTTCTCATTCACTCAGCAAATGGTAGTCTAGATTTTACCAAGAGGCTGGTCTCCTAAATAGTGTGTCCGTGGAACCTTCCTATGGGCATAATCACCTATGCCAATAGCTGCCAATAGCTGTTTCAACTGCTAGTCTAGCATTTTATTTATTTATTTAAAATAGAGATGGGACTTTGCTATGTTGCCCACGCTTTTCTTGAACTCCTGGGCTCACGCAATCCTCCCACCTTGGCCTCCCAAAGTGTGAGGATTACAGGTGTGAGCTGCCACATCCAGCTGTAGTATAGCACTTTTAGACAAAACCTCAACAACTTACACTTCTTTTTTTTTTTTTTTTTTTTTTTTGAGACAGTCTCGCTCTGTCACCCCCAGGCTGGACTGCAGTGGCACAATCGGCTCACTGCAACCTGGGCCTCCCAGGTTCAAGCAATTCTCCTGCCTCAGCCTCCCGAGTAGCTGGGATTACAGGTGCGTGCCACCATGCCCGGCTAATTTTTGTATTTTTAGTAGAGACAGAGTTTCGCCATTTTGGCCAGGCTGGTCTCCAACTCCTGACCTCAAGTGATCCACCCACCTGGGCCTCCCATAGTGCTGGGATTACAGGTGTGAGCCACCATTCCTGGCCTTCTTTCTTTTTAATTGACAGATAACACTGTATATTTTTATTGTGTACCGCTGATGTTTTAAAGTAGACATACATTATGGAATGGTTACTATGTGAGATAATGCATTTGTTAATTAGCAAGATGCTAATTAACATTGTAGTGTGAGCACATAACATCCACTTATTGTAGTGTGAGCACATAACATCCACTTTCTTTACAGTTTTCAAGAATACAATATATCATTAACTACAGTCACCTTGTTATATGATAGATCTCTTGAAATTTACTCCTCCCATCTAACTGTAACTAAGTAACCTTTTACCAACATCTCCCCATGACCCTTTCTTTTTTTATTTATCATACGAAGTTCCATCTAAAACTGTCTGCTTCTTCATTAACACAGTTAACACAACTTGCTGCCCTCCTAGCAGATTGGTCCTTAATGTGGAGTTCAGGTTTCTTTTTGGATAACCAACATCTAAATAATTATGTTAGTAGAGGATTACCTGGAGCGACGAACACTGTAACTCCAAGGAGTTTGGGCTCAGTATTAAAACAAAAATACAGTTGCCATTTAATTCCCATGTCCTTCGCTATGTATTCTTGTCTAATTACAAAACTCAGTGGTGCTTCTTAACCCCAGAGGAAATAATAAGTTACATAAATAAAATAAACAAATAAATAAAAAACAGTCCTAGGAAAGGCATCATGGTTATACCACATGTTGTCCTCCTTATGAAAACTTCCGGAAGAAATTCTGTCTAAAAATTCACTATCAAAGGGATAAATGTATTTTTTGAACAACTGTCTTATGTCTCATGAACACTGCGAGTTTTGTAACTGACAGGTTGGTTCCTAAAAAGGGCCAAAATTACAGCTCCTACTTAGATCACAATGTACACATCGTTAGCTTCATTCACAACTCAACTTCATCACCACCCTCAGTTTGTGCAATTCCCCCTTTCACTCATTGTCTTTGGTACAGCCTTGCGGGCTACCTTAGATCCTGTCTGGTACAAGGTAAGGTACAGGTAAAATAAAACAGAGGCATGTTTGTGTTCGTCAGTGCTCATGCTCCCAGTTACCAGTTCTCTCCGTAGCCTGGCCAGCTCCTCTTTTTTCTGCTCTTCCTCCTGTAGTCTGGCCTCCTCCAACTGCTGGGCTTTCTGGGCTTCTACCTCAGCCATTCTCTTCTCCAGCTCCTGCCGCTCTTTGGCTCTCTTCTCAGTAGCCAGCTGAAAAGGTTCCTGAACTAGAGAACCAGAAAGGCCCTCTAAGTACAGAAACAGAAAAAATATTGGTGCACAAGCAGGACTTGCATAAACCTACGCCCCCTGGAATGAGCAAGTGGCACAGACATGCACACTAACAGGAAGACTGTGCTCTAAACAAGCCCCATTGGGAGAAAGGTAGAGCCAACTAAATACAAAAAGTTTTAGAATTTTAAGAGTTCAAAGGGCCCCTGGAAATCGTCTGGTGTAATTGGGAAAAAGGCAAAGACATAAAGTAGCTTGCACAAAACTATATAGTGATTGATTTTGAGGCAGACATAGAAGAAAGATCCCAATATTCTTTTTTTCCCTTTTTGGAAAGATTTTTTTGAAAAAGAGATGGGGTCTTGCTATGTTGCCCATGCTGGTCTCAAATCCCTGGGCTCAAGTGATCCTCCTGTCCGGGCCTCCCAAAGTGCTGGGACTACAGGCATGAGCCACCACACCCGGTGGAATCCCAGTATTCTAGCACACTGCCCAGTGTTTAAGGAATCAAATGTTTTATATCTAAAGTTTGCTTCAGGGTGAATTCCAGAAAGCCATACTGGCTCTCCCTCCCTCATTTACTTGTTTCTCTGTGGATGGGGAAAACCTATCATTGTTGTTGAAATGCCAGCTGCTTCTGCCAAGGTTCATGTTAAATGAATCTGGCCCTAACACATCCTGCAACTCAACATAGCTGCTGGGTTCAATAAAGGCAAAAAACTGGGTCTAGGGGAAGAAAAGCTACCATCTGCTAAAGTCAAATGCTTCTAGTTGACACAGCATTGTACTGACACACTGAATTCCAGCATCCCACTGGGAAGTCTGACAATTCTGCCCGAGTCCCATCAGAGTACATATAATACTACCAGCAACTGATTTCTTCTCTTTCTTGGGAACAAAGGGCTCCTGAGAGATGACGGTGTTTGGACGAGCCTTGAAACAAGCTGCTTCTTTCTGCTGTCTCAGTTCTTCTTCCAGCTATTAGAGAGAAAGTCAGTCAGATGAGCAATGTCTCACCTTTCTATGACCACTACCTCAATAACTTAAGTTCTAATGTCTGAACTGCTTCATCAATAAAAATAGCAGATTTAATATAAACCCTAGTAAAAATCTTTCACACAAACTTTACAATGAACAGATCAGTCTGACAACATTTGAACTCACTGAGAACTAGAAAGCATTTTTAAGATACTTTTAAGATTCCCAAGTTTGCATTTTCGACATTAAAGTTTACTTTTTTTTTTCTTTTTAGTTTATGTTCACATTTATTTTTCTTATTATTATACTTTAAGTTTTAGGGTACATGTGCACAATGTGCAGGTTTGTTACATATGTATACATGTGCCATGTTGGTGTGCTAAAGTTTACTTTTAAATTAAAAAAAAAAAGATTCCAAACACAAAGAAATGATAAATGTTTGAGATTATGGATATGCTAATTACCCTGATCAGATCATTACACATTATACATATTGAAACATCACTATGTACCCCAAGAATATGTACAACTATTATTTGTCAATTAAAAAAAACAAAAAATTTTAAAGGTACTTTTAAGACCTATCTTTATATCATAAAAATAAACAACTAGACATTTTCTGCCTTCACACATGATTCATTAGGAACTATACAGTATCACCTATAAAGTATTCTTCCCACCTCCAAAAAAAAAAAAAAATCTAACCAGAATTGAATCAAGCCTCCAGATCTTACTACTCATTTATAGGAAATACAAGCAACAGAGGAACATGTTAGACAACTGTGTGGGAACGCAATCAGCAAAATCCAGATTGTGGAAAATCTACAGTACAAACAATCCAGTTTATTCAACAAATAAAATGCAAAGAGAGGAGCCTATAGATTGAAAGAAGATTCGGAGATTTAGCAAACAAAGGCACTATGTAGACTATATATGGATATTGATTTTAACAATTCAACTGTTTAAAAAATTATGAGAAATGTGCAGATATTTGATTATTTTTAATCTTTTTAAGTGTGAGAATATTATTGTGGTTATAAGTCTTTATATTTTAAATATATACACTGAAGTATTTTTGGATGAAAAGGGATGTTACATAGAATTTGTTTCAAAGTAATCTTACACAGGTAGAAGTATCCAGTGTAAGATAAGTGGGTAGAAGTTGGGATGAAACAAGACTTTTCATGTTTTGATCACTATAGAACCAGGTGATGGGTTCATGAAAATTCATTATACTATTCACCCTACTTTTATATTTCTGAAAAGCTTTTTAAAACAATTGTTTTTGTTGTTGTTCTTTGCAGAAAATGCCCTACACAGACATTCTGTGTCTTGGTCATTGAGAGGGGAAAATTCACTATTTCCAAGGCAACAGTCCTAAGGTTTCTTAGAGAACCACACTAACAGGGGACCAACGTTCAGTCATGTAAGCCATTACAACTCTCGGGCTTCAGGAGGGGTAATTCCTACAAACAAACAATAGCCTAGAGCTCCTTTTGGAAAGAATCCAAGATTAATGATGACATAAAAATCCAAAAAACTTAGAAATTCAGGGGAAATTTTTTCCAGCCACGTAGAATTAGATCCCAATTAAATCAGCAAATAACCAATTAATTGTTTTAAATCACCTGTCATTTATAAAGAGCAAATAGCACATCATGCTGAGAAAACAGCATTGTATATTTCAATCTATTCTCCCATACTGTTTCTTACCAATGCATCAACAGAAAGGAATAAACACAATGAATGAGTCTAATAGATGGAATAGATAAGATCTTAAAGAAACTCCCAACTCCAGAAAAGCCTGTCGGTTCCCACATTCCCCGGGTGATCACTTGGAGCAGGGGACATTCCCAGGTGATCACTTAGAGCAGGGGTCAGCAAACTCTGGCCTACAGGCCAAATCCAGCTTGCAACCTGTTTTAGGACAGCGCTTGAGCTAAGAATGGTTTTTACATTTTTAAAGAGTTGATTGGGCACAGCAGCTCATGCTTGTAATCCCAGCACTTTGGGAGGCCACGGTGGGCAGATCACTTGAGATCAGGAGTTTGAGACCAGCCTGGCCAACATGGCAAAACCTTGTCTCTACTAAAAACACAAAAATTAGCTGGGCGTGGTGGCACGCGCCTGTAATCCCAGCTACTCGGGAGGCTGAGGTGGGAGAATCACTTGAACCTGGGAGACGGAGGTTGCAGTGAGCCGAGATCGCACTACTGCACTCCAGCCTGGGTGACAGAGCGACACTCTGTCTCAAACCAAACAAAAAAAGAGTTGAAAACATGTAGCTGGGTGTGGTGGCTCACACCTGTAATCCCAGCACTTCGGGAAGCCGAGGCGGACAGATCACGAGGTCAGGAAATTGAGACCATCCTGGCTAACACGGTGAAACCCCATCCCTACTAAAAATATAAAAAAATTAGCCAGGCTTGGTGGTGGGCGTCTGTAGTCCCAGCTACTCAGGAGGCTGAGGCAGGAGACTGGCGTGAACCCAGGAGGCGGAGCTTGCAGTGAGCCGAGATTGTGCCACTGCACTCCAGCCTGGGCAACACAGCAAGGCTCTGTCTCAAAAAACAACAACAACAACAACAAAATGTGTGCGTACACACACACATACACACACACACACACACACACACACACACACACACTATGCGACAGAGACCATATGTAACCTACAAAACCTAAAATATTTCTTATCTGGCCCTTTACAGAAATAATGTGCTGACCCCTGATTTACAGTGAGAGCCCCTGAAACAATGTAGCATGTTAACCCAGGTGATTTCAGTATGGTGGGTCTGCCTGTACAATCAACCAACCAAGCAATTAACATTTTGGCTGCTCTCCCCATCCCCTACCTGGTGCTTCCAAGTCTGTGCCTTCAGAGCACCTCTTCTGTCAGTCTCCAAGCAGAAAGGTTCAATCTGGGTCACATTCTTTACCTTCTTCTCTGGCAGGTTAATGGTGTCAAAATGAGGCAAGGGAAGTGCCTTGAACTTGGGCACCTAACAGAAAAGAAAACATGAGGTTTAAGATAAAGACTAGCTGGAAAGCAATAGCTGCTCCAGAATATCTGGAAGAATCTGAAAAATAAGGAAGGAAACCTTTCAAAGCAGCATGAAAGAATGAATAATGGGTTCAAAAGGAAATCTAGGCTTTCCTCCTAATATTGCCTATAACCAGCAGTGTGATCAGAGGCAAGTCACTTAACCTCCTTGTGCCAGAAGGATTATTTAAATTACTTGTCCCATTTATATTTTATAGGGTTCTTAGAAAGATCAAAAGAAGTCAGTGATTTTATAGTTAAAAGTGCTACAGAAAAAACTGTCTTTGAGGGATCAAAGAATAGTATTACACTACTTGCAGAAATGGAAACACCTACCTCCCCTTTCTGCAGTTCTTTTATTTTCTTCTCCTTCTGTAACTGACGTTCTTTGTCTCGAGAATCAAACGAGAAAGGGCATATTTCCACAGTTCTTGCCTCTGGGATTTGGGGCTTAAAAGGCACCCCATAATGTGGCACAGGTTGAGCTTTTATCACTACCGGTTCGTCCTCTTCCTAGGGAAAAAATTGCAGTTTAGAAATAAGACTCCTCACTCTCTCCAACTTCCCCAGAATGTGGAGTCAGAAGACATTATATTAATATGTGGCATTAATTAAAACAAAATTAAAGGAAGTCTTAGCTTCCTTTTCTATCCAAGAAGGATGATGACTTAGGTAAGTCATCTACCACCAAGGGCTAACACAATTACTCTTAAAAGATCTAGTTTTCCACAGGAATGTTGTAAAAACTAAATAAGATCTAACATTATGAATAAAATGAACATCAGAAGATCGGTCCCAACCAAGCATATACCTTAGTCTCTTCTTTGACCCAGCCTCTAGACTTCATTAAAACATGTGACTGGGACTTAATGGTTGCCAAACCCAGAATAGGATTGCCAAACCCAAGTTGTTTGGGTTCAAGCTGGTAACACAAGATTACTGCGTATTTTAGTTTCAAATGAACCTATAAAAAGGCTTATGCTTGCAATCTGCTATAAAATTACCCTAACTCTGGATATTTATAGATAAAATGGGAGATGTAACAAGAAACTGGCCTGACCAATGACAGTTTATATATTACAATTCCATAAACGATCACCACAGTCACCTTTGCAACTCCTCTGGGTTAACGGAGATAGGACAAGGTGGATGTAATTGCTTAGTATGAATTTTCAAAGTCCATCACTGAATAGTGACAATCTAAGGCAAAATAAAGTGCAACTTTTGATCCATGTTACAAAGAGCAGCTGATTTTCAATGCTACAGCAGACAAGCCTCCAATGCTTAACTGCTCCTTACTGTTTCCATAAATTGTAACTAGTTATCACTAAGAGCAGAAAATTCATACCCTTACCAATTACTTTGTTCTTGGAGGAACAAAAAAAATGAACAAATGTTCATACCCATTCTTAAAGACAAGTCCAAAAAAGAGTGGTTGCCTTTGAACTCCATTAAGATTAATAAATGATAAGGCTTAGATTGACTGACTATATAGAAGGAAAAAGAACCCCCCTACTCCCAGGGAATCACCTCATCTTCTTTGGTGGGCATTCGAATTCTGTTCTTCAATGCAAAGGCTGGTGACTTGGGGACGGTGATTGGAAGTACCTTCTTTTCAGGAACACCCTGAAAGGAGTAAGCAACTCAATTAGATATCACAAAATGATCTCCACTAAGCTGTATGAGAAGATTAAATCCTTTTTTCCCCTTTGGGTAGAGACAGGGTCTCACTATGTTGCCCAGCTGGTCTCAAACTCCTGGGCTCAGGCAATCTTCCTGCCTTGGCCTCGCAAAGTGCTGGGATTACAGGTGTGAGCCACTGCACATGGCCTAGAATGATATTTTTGAGTTTTTAAAATATAATTAATCTAAGCACAGAAAATAAAAGAACATAAAAGGGAAAGAACACCAAATTGTCAACTCTCATATCTCTTTGAGGGTGAATTAAGAGAGAAATTTAATTTTCTACATCTCATAATCCTTTTATTTGTTTGTTTGTTTTGAGACAGAGTCTCACCCTGTTGCCCAGGCTGGAGTGCAATGGGGCAATCTCGGCTCACTGTAACCTCTGCCTCCTGGGCTCAAGTGATCCTCCCACCTCAGCCTCCTGAGTAGCTGGGACTACAAGCGCGCACCACTTTGCCCAGCTAATCATTTTTTGTAGAGATGGGTCTCAAATTCCTGGCCTCAAGCAATCTCCTGCCTTGGCCTCCCAAAGTGTGAGGATTACGGACGTGAACCACTGTACCCAGCCTTATATCTCATAATTCCAACACATTCAACTACCCTGAAGATTTTTCCTTAATGATTTTAAAACACTGCTAACATTTCAAATCGTTGTGGAATAAATGACATGTATCATATTGTGCACATAATTTAAAACTAACACATTTTAGAGAGTTGTTCCACAGCATTTTTTGATTCACACAGAGTTTATATTCTATCACAAATCTGGCAATTAATCCTAACTGCAAAATGGTATCTCTTGGCTGCTGTTTTGAATGAAGTGTACGGCCAGATCGATTAAGAACAAAACAAAACCTCAGTAATTTCTTGTTACACTCGTGTCCACATCCTGCCCCCATCAGCTCTCTATTCTGCTCTTCCCTAAAGTTTCATTGCCAGACCTACTTCAGCTATTGCCTGTGCCATTCTGCTAGTCTCCTAACAGTCTTTCAGCTCCACAACTCATTCCTCCAATTCATTGTCTGCATGTAGTCCACATTATTACTCTAAAACACATTTGATCACATTACTTCCTGACTTAAAATTCTTTAGGCCAGGTGCAGTGGCTCATGTCTGTAATCCCAGCACTTTGGGAGGCAGAGGTGGGTGGATCACGAGGTCAGGAGATCGAGACTATCCTGGCTAACACGGTGAAACCCCGTCTCTACTAAAAATACAAAAAAATTAGCCGGGCATGGTGGCGGGTGCCTGTAGTCCCAGCTACTCGGGAGGCTGAGGCAGGAGACTGGCGTGAACCCAGGAGGCGGAGCTTGCAGTGAGCCAAGATCGCACCACTGCACTCCAGCCTGGGCGACAGAGCAAGACTCCGTCTCAAAGAAAAAAAAATTAATTCTTTAATGGCTCCTATTGCTTACCTACAACAGCATAACAAATTCCTTTTCGTGAAACACAAGGCACTTGCTTGAATCTCACTCATAAATATCGCCTTCATGGCCTCCTTAGTAGTAGCATTAATCTGGTACCCTCCTGACTCTCCCGCCTTACCTCTCACCCCTCCTTACATATCACGTTGCAACCACAACGAACTACTGATCGCTCCCCAAATGGTTCCTATCTCATTACCTTTGCTTGTGCTTTCTCTGTCTGAAATGCCCCGGCTGCTTGAAAGCACCCAATTCATCTTTTCAAGCCTCCACTTTTATAAAGCCTTTCCTCTTTTATAAAGCCTTTCAATAGATCTCTCCACTCCCAGGACCTACAGAACTGACCCCTTTATCCCATTGTATATGGTTTTATCACAGTCCATACAAAACTTAATTGCACTTATTTATTTAGATGTTCATTTCCCCCTGCTAGCCTGAGTGCTTCGAGGATGGAGACTATTTTACTCCATCAGACCCAAGTACCTAACATAGACCTTGGCAAGTATAAAGCACTCAGTAAATGTTTGTTGAATGAATGCAGTAAGAATGAATGAACACATGAGTAACAGAATTTATACCTTGGACTCTAGGAGGATACCTTGGGAGCCTTCTCCTTAATCCCAACAATGCTGCAACCGTTCGAAACATGTTTGGAATGTCTTTCTTGGAGTGGCTTTCAAAGGCACTTTCTGGACCATGCAAGACAGTTGCTCAATCTTTACTATTCATTTAACAAATAGTTTACACCTCTATTATCTTGGACTACTCAGAAGTTTTAGTTCCAAATAACCTTAGACTAGATCCTAAAAGCAAATTAATGTTTAAAATACACGTGAAGATTTGTCATCCTGGGAGGGATCCCAAAGGCTCATCTCAGGATTCAAGATGCATGGCTTTTCCAAAATGCTTTTTGCAGTATCACAATCATTGGAAGGGATTTACAGTCTCTCAAGGTGACCACTGAGAATGCTCATTCTGCTGTGAAATTTCTTATATGTTTTCTAAAGAATGCTAGAATCATTAGCATAGTGAAATCCAATATAGCAGATCTTGTATTCAGAGTGACAAAACTCCAAGAAATGGGTTGTCAAATGATGTTTACCATAAAACAGCAACAACAACAAAATCTGCTCTTCTATAGACATGTGGACACTAGCATCTTGCTTGAATGCACCAGGGGCAAGTGGAAGAGAGACAAATAGTGAGCAAGAAGCCACGGGTCTGTCTGTTCCAGCCCAGCTCTGCTTCCAATCTGTATAACCTTAAACACATCAGATATCCTTCTAGGCCTTGGGGTTTTTTAATAAAATAAAGTAATTGAAATAAGTAATTGAGGATTCATTTAGTTCTGAAATAATTCCCTCTCTCTGCATTCACCCAACAGAAATGTCTGCATTTTAAAAGAGAAGCAAGGGAAACCTCTAATAAGTAGGCCATGAAGGAGATATGTATGAGTGAGCTCAATCTCTTAATTAGTTGGGGGAGAGGAAAAGATGATTTATGAAAATCATCTTTGCAGCAACTATCCACTCACACCCCAGCCCCCCTTCCATCAAAGTTAACTAGGGGCTCGATTAGAAATAATGAAAAGAAAATTGGGTTTACAGAAACAAAGAAAGTTTTTTTTTGTTTTTTTTTGTTTTTGCTATTTTAAGTTTTTTAAATTATAAGCTCCTTGAGGACTGGAATATTGTCATTTGCATTCTTTTGTCTTCCCATATCACCTACTAGAAGACCCCGTAGTAACTGTTCAATGAACATATGTTGGTTAATATTACCATATTTACTCATTTACACATCTATATGCTCTACCAGACTATGAAAGCTTTGAGGACAAGGGCCGTGTCTTATACCATCTTTGAATTCCTAGTGTCTAGGTGCATGTCAGCTTCTACTATTACTCACTCAGTTATCCGATATCAGAGTGCTTGTGCTGTGGTGGTCACTATGCTAGGGGCTAGGGATACAGAGTGAATAATATAGATACACACGGTCCCTGTTCTCAGGGAGCTCACATTCTAATGGAGGAAAGAGACAATGAAGATTTAACAAATTAAATACTTCCAAATTTTCACAAGTGCTCTAAAGAAACCCAGCAGAATATGGAGCTAATGGTTATTAGAGGGATGCTCCCTCAATGAAGGGGAAGGTATCTCTAAAGAGGTGATATGTGGTTAGAATGGGGCAATGTGGGTGGATAAATGATGCATTTAGGAAAAGCAGCCAGGACTGGGGATGGGAATGGGGAGGTGAATACCTCTCCCTAAGACAGGATGTGCCCCCCAAGTACCCTGGGACAGGATCTCAGGCCTGTCCCAGGGCAGTTAGGAAACTACTCTGAAGCAATGTTATTTTGGGAAGTATATATATTTTAAAAAAGCCTGCTGCCCTCCCCAAGTCATCCCTAAAGTATCTCTGCTAAAATTACTCACTGGTCTCACTGACACCACATCCACCTCCGTGGTGCCCCGGCTGCCCAATAGAGGTCAGCACCAAGTTCACATTTCACACCCTCGTGCTCAAGGCTTTGTCACTCCACCTCTGCCCCAGGAGTCCTTTTCTCATTTCTGCCTCACTTGGGCCCACTGCTGCCCAAGCCCATCTTTCATCAACTCTATTTATTGTCCCCCTGCCACTTATCAACCACAAGTGGAAGTGCAGAGGAAACACTGTAAGGACACACGAAACAGCTTCAGCACTGGGGGGGACGTGGATGGGGAACAAAAGCATCAGACAGACAAGCTGCATCAGGCTCTGGAAGGTGGGCTCTTAAATTCTGCTGTAAAAGTCCAACACTAGAAGTTCAAAGACTTTTTTTTTTTTTTTTTTTTTTGAGACAGAGTCTCGCTCTGTTGCCCAGGATGGAGTGCAGTGGTGCAATCTCAGCTCACTGCAACCTCCACCTCCTGGGTTCATGCAATTCTCCTGCCTCAGCCTCCTGAGTAGCTAGGAGTACAGGTGCCTGCCACCACGCCCGGCTAATTTTTTTTGTATTTAGTAGAGACAGGGTTTCACCATGTTGGGCAGGCTGGTCTCCAACTCCTGACCTCAGGTGATCAGCCCACCTTGGCTTCCCAAAGTGTTGGGATTACAGGCGTGAGCCACCGCGCCTGGCCGACTTACTCTCTTATAAATGTTTCTTTTAAATGTTTCCATAGGCAAGCTATAATCCCCTGTGAAAGGAAAATAAATCTTGGGACCCCCAAAATCAGTAAGCCAAGGAGAAAAGTCAAGCTAGGAACTTCAACATGCAAACCTGCCTCCCATTCAAAGATGAAAAAGGTACATACCTCCCTCACAATTTGCCCACTTGAAAATTCCTTGGGGGCCCCAAGTTCTTCACCCTAAAACAGTTCTGTTGAATTTCACCCTGACAATATAAATTGATAGCTTATCTTCACAGGTACAGGACAAAGGACAGAACTCAAAGTCATCCCTTGGCTCACCTGAGAAATGCGTATCTGATTGCTTCCTCTGCCCTAATTATCTTATGTAAAAATGCAGATTCACTGAACTAGATGAATGCATAAGTAACTATTCCTCTACCCCCTCTCACATGTGAACAAAGAATGCAACCATTTGCCTCTTACCTACCCATACCTTTTCAAAATCTCTTCCCCTTTCCCCACTATCCACCCTTTCCCCTTAAAATATGAAGCCCTCAAAATCATCTTTGGAGAAAGGTACAGACCTGTCTCCCAGGCATGCATCCTTAACCTTAGCAAAATAAACTTCTAAATTGATTGAGACCTGTCTCATACTTTTTGGTTTGCACCCCTTTCAAAACCTCCCTTTCTGAAAAGTGAAGCGGGTAGAAGAAAACACATCTAACATCTCTTCCTATGCTATGCTTCTCTAGAAACCAAGAGTTGAAGTCAAATCACTGGAAATTTTAGTAGGGAAACCTGCAAACAGCCAGTGTCAAACTCAGAAACCTCATTTGCCAAAATAAATATGATAACAGTAAGCATTGTAGGGTACAATAATACAGTGTTTAAGGAGATGATGGGCTCAGATTCTGGTTCTGCATACTAGATACCTCTCAGTGTTTATTCCCTTGTCTGAAAAATAGGGATAAGTATAGACTCCACCTCTTAGAAGTGTAATCAGACATAAATAAGACAATCTACATAAAGTACTCAGGACAATGTAAGCACTCAATAAAATGACAATTACTATTAATAATACCCCTGCTTACTGCGTGTCAGGCACCATACTCAGTGCTTTATCTGGGCTCCCTCTGTGATGTACCCAACAAATCTGTTTATGTAATAAGAGCCCCAGAGGATTCTGAGAACCAGCTGGATTTGGCAAACACTTCCATTCCGCAAATCGTATCAATTCGGTCACACCTTACCTAGTGCTTTGCAGATCTGTTTACACAGAATTTTCACAGGTATAACCTGGTACCCAACTACTCTAAGATCTCAACTAACTCCTAATGAACTCTGGTCACCCTTCCCTACTTACTACTTCACCCTAGCATTTCTAGAGTACACACAACTGACAAACCAATTTCCTAATCAGTGTTTTCAAAAATGTAGTTCAGCTGGGTGCAGTGGCTCACGCCTACTATCCTAGCACTTTGGGAGGCCAAGGCAGGTGGATTGCTTGAGACCACGAGCTCAAGACCAGCCTGGGCAACATGGCGAAACCCAGTCATTACTAAAAATACAAAACTTAGCTGGGCATGGTGGTGTGTGCCTGTATTCCCAGCTACTCAGGAGGCTGAGGCATGAGAATTGGTTGAACCTGGGAAGCAGAGGTTGCAGTGAGCTGAGATTACACCACTACATTTCTGCACTCTAGCCTGGGCAACAGAGTGAGATTGTCTCAAAAAAAAAAAAAAACAGTAGTTCAGGTGTGACTGATGCTATGAGAAAGGATCTTAGGTGAGGTGTAGACTGTTGTTTTTTTTTTTTTTAAATAAGCACATACTTCCTAAGAACCTTCTATTTTAAAAGGTAACCTCTATTTTTATATAACAGCATGGACCCTGGAATCATATCACCTAAGATTCGTATGCTAGCTCTGCCGCTCACTAGTTTGTGATTTTGGGCAAGTTATTTAACCTCTATGTTTCCTAACTGTAAAATGGATTAAGTACCTACAGTGCTTACCTCATAGGGTTGTTGTGAGAATTAAGTGCATTATTATATAAATGTAAAAAGCTTAGAATAAAGACCTGGCATGTAATAAGCATTATATAAGTATTAGCTATTATTGCTGTGTTATTTGTGGCAAAAGGTACTGGTTTTCCATTTACATATTTATTTAAAAGTTCCCTTTAAATTTACGTTAGGTTACAAAGTGAGTTGATTTTTAAAATAATAATATTGGTATGTAAGGTACAAGGATATAGGACAAATTGAGAGAGTGGTACATAAATAAAAACAAAAACTTAGGTAGGGGGAAAAGCTTGGAGGAAAATATGTTATTAAAAGCAAGGTGCCAGCCAGGCACGGTGGCTCACGCCTGTAATCCCAGCACTCTGGGAGGCCAAGGCGGGTGGATCACCTGAGGTCAGGAGTTCGAGACCAGCCGGGCTAACAAGGCGAAACCCCGTCTCTACTATAAATACGAAAATTAGCCAGGCGTGGTGGCATGCGCCTGTAATCCCAACTACTCGGGAGGCTAAGGTGGGAGAATCGCTTAAACCCGGGAGGCGGAGGTTGCCATGAGCCGAGATCACGCCATTGCACTCCAGCCTGGGCAACAAGAGCTAAACTCCAACTCAAAAAAAAAAAACAAAACAAAAAACCAAAAGCAAGGTGCCAAAAGAGTGTTATAGAAACCCTGAAGAAATAATTTCTCTTATCTGGGGCTCCATTATCTTGTATGTAAAACTAAACGTTGAGCCCTTCTGGCTCTACAACTCTGAGGTTTGCATATAACCTACTTTTCCCTTGTTGTATTCACAACACTGTTTCCTCAATGGGTAAAGACAAAGAAGGCACAGCCCTTGGAGATTAATCACTTGGGTGGGGGAAGATTTCTTAACAGTTTATTGTAACAGAGCTTGGCATATAGTACATATGCATCATGGCAGGGAAAAAAAAGCATCGTGAACAGAAGTCACGCAAAAAGCTCTCAATCAAAAGTAGGTATCAGGGAGGAGAACCATTTCTAAGCATAATCATGATTTTTGTAAAGCCTGGAAAATATAACTTCAAGTTGCTTCTGATTTAGTGCTAAGAAAATACAATAAACAAAACTAGGTACTCAGTCAAAGGTAATACATTGGTGCAGTTTCCCCTAAAAGCATGGTGACTCTAAAGCAAGCAAAAAGAAAGAAGATAGGAAAACAGAGTGCTTCTAGAGTTATCCCGGACCTGCATCAATCCAGGCAATCCAAACCAGTGGCGGCGGGTGAGGTCCTCATCTGCACTGAAATGTAACTAAAAGCCGCTTTCGCATTTATGCAGGTGCTTAACTCCATTGCTTATTCTCTGACTGTAGCCTTGCTTCCTGATTGCACATTTTCTCTAAACTTGTGGTTGTGAGCCTATTATCAAACTACAACTCACTTCTCTGAAACAGTTTCCAGTGGCTCTTGATAAACTTTTCTCCAGCTTAACTGACCCACTAACAGCTCCCAGTAGAAGCTTCTTGTTTCCCACCGTCAGGCTTTTTATCATGTAATTCCTACTGCCTGGAATGTTCTGCCAATCCAGTCCATTTGCATTTCTGCAAGTCAAAATTCTATCATGTAATGGAGAGGCATATAATGAGGTATTAGGATCACAGACTCTGTAGCTAGAGTGTCTGAACTCTTACTTGCTCCACCATGTACTAGCTGAGTGCTCTAGGAATACTACATAACCTCTGTGTGCCTCGGTTACCTCATCTGAAACAGGTGATAAAATAACCCACCTAAAGGGGTTGTTGTCAAAACTAATGGGCTAATATATGAAAAGGGCTTAGAGCAGTCCTGGCACACAGTAAAATTGTCAGCTATTATGACAACAATAGCAACACAATAACTATTACTACAGTACATCGTCAAGGCTCAGGTCAAATGTGCCTCTCTACAAAGCACACCCTGAACTTTCTATCTGGAAGAAACCATTTTCTCCTCTGAATTCCTATTTTAACTGTCATCTCTCTCAGAACACTTCTGTCCATTTTCTATTATTCACACATATATTGTCTCCCATACCAGACTTTGAGTTAACTAAAAGCAAAATCCACTTCCGATAAGTCTCTTTATCACCTGCAGTTCCTAATATGATGCCCTGCTCATAATATCTACCCAAACTTTTGTGTGAATGGGTGGATATCTGGTCATGAGCAGTACACTTCTGCCAGCACACATAGCCTCAACCTTACCACAACATCTTCCAAAATCTTAGTAGGGCAAGGTCTGGAATGAAATTCAAAGTGTTCATCCTCTGTTTTCTTCTTTGATTCTCGCTCCTGGATTCTTTTCTCAATTTCCAAATCAAAGCCAATAGGCTCGGTGGGTGGTTTCACAGGTGGTTTCTTGGGCAAGATGGGCCCACCTTCAAGTATTCTGGGATCAAGTTCACGTGCTTTGAATTTGTATCTGTAAGGTGAAAATTTAAATAACCACAAAAAAAATTTTAATAAAATGAAAACTTCACAAACAAAGTAAGCCAACCACAAAGAATAGTAATCATTAAGATTATGCTCCCATTGACTGGACAACAGAATAAAATAAATAAAAACGAAAAACAATGGGCCAGGCACGGTGGCTCATGCCCGTAATCCCAGCACTTTGGGAAGCCAAGGTGAGCAGATAATTTGAGGTCAGGAGTTCAAGACCAGCCTGGCCAACACAGTGAAACCCCATCTCTACTAAAAATACAAAAATTAGCTGGGCGTGGTGGTGCACACCTGTAATCCCAGCTACTAGGGAGGCTGAGGCAGGAGAATCTCTTGAACCCAGGAGGCGGAGGTTGCAGTGAGCTTAGAGGCACCACTGCACTCCAGCCTGAGCAACAAGAGCGAAACTCCATCTCAAAAAAAATAAATAAATAAAAAATAATAAAAGAATAAAAGAAGAAAGAATAAATCAGACAGTCCTAACATCCCTACCACTTAAGAATTGAGGCTTCACTTCACAGAAGAAGCTCCCCCTCCTCAAAAGAAGCACAAAAAGGAATGGAAGAAGGATACAGGAAATAAACTCCAATGCTACGAATCACACTAAGTTTCCATTTCCCTCCACTAATAATAGCTGTAACAATCCCTTGGGGAGTCACAAAAGGGTGGGATCTACCTAACTTAACCTTAGAGGGCATTCCTTAATTGAAATCCTAAGTAAGTTCTTCTACTGCAACCTCTGGATTAGATTTTGTGTGTGTGTGTGTGTGTGTGTGTGTGTGTGTGTGTGTGTGTATGTGTGTATGTGCAAGACAGTCTCGCTTTGTCACCCAAGCTGGAGTATATTGGCGTGATCTTGGCTCACTGAAGCATTGACCTCCTGGGTTCAGGCTGCCCCCTAGTAGGTGGGACTACAGACGCATGCCACCATGCCCAGCTAATTTTTTTTTGGTATTTGTTGTAGAGATGGGGTTTCACCATGTTGCCCAGGCTGGTCTCAAACTCCTGGACTCAAGTGATCCTCTTGCCTCGGCCTCCCAAGGTACTGGGATTACAGGTGTGAACCACCACACCCAGCCTGGATTCAATTTTTACCAGTTTATACTCCAGAACATCTCCATATTCCCACTATAGTCCTTAAATCATATAGGCAGGGGCGTAGCCTGCAGAGCCTACTACTCAAATGCCATAAATTTTTACGGAAAGAAAAATAGCAACTGTCACCCTAACAGAACTGAAAATAAAGTAGGCAGGTTCGTGGAACTCTTCCTCAGATACTGCCAGTGGGACTTACTGTTGCAATTTCTCGAGCTCCTCAGCCTCCAGCTCTGCTGTACTTTTGCAGGTCACAGCCCGTGCACGGTGTTTGGTTTGCAGTACAGGAGTCTGTGGGTCTCTGCAAATCTTGGTCACAGAAGATTTGGAGGGTAACAGGTCTGTAAACAGAGATGACAGATGTTCATCTAGATCCGCAAGACCCAGTTTACTTGTAAGTGGTGATTCACCTATGTAGCCCAGAGAGGGATAAACCAACCACAGAGTGGTGGGCCCACAACAGTCAGCTCAGCTTACATTGGTCAAACCAACCAACATTCAGTTACTTCTCCCCTATTCCTCTTTTATTGAGGGGTATGACTAAGGTAGCCTTTGGGTAAACTCTACTGTCATCTTCTGAACTGAAAATCCATCCATGTCTGACAGGTTCCTTATCACTGCACGGGCCTAGACTGACTTTCTTTTTTTTGAGACAGGGTCTCACTCTGTTGCCCAGGCTAGAGTGCAGGGGCATAAAGGCTCACTACAAATCCAACCTCCCTGGACTCAGGTGATCTTCCCACCTCAGCCTCCCAAGCAGCTGGGATTACAGGCATGCACCACCATGCCCAGCTAATTTTTATATTCTTTGTAGAGACAGGGTTTCACTATGTTGCCCAGGCTGGTCTTGAACTACTGGGCTCAAGCAATCCACCCACCTCAGCCTCCCAAAGTGCTGGGATTATAGGCGTTAAGCCACTGTGCCTGGCCAGGCCTATACTTTCTATTGACAATGCCAATTATTTTGCTTGTTATTAACACAAAAAATTTTTGCTTATTCCAGCTTTAAGATATAAGGCCTTCCTGGCCGGTCACAGTGGCTCACGCCTGTAATCCCAGCACTTTGGGAGGCCGAGGCAGGGGGATCACGAGGTCAGGAGATCGAGACCATCCTGGCTAACACGGTGAAATCCCGTCTCTATTAAAAATACAAAAAATTAACCGGGCGTGGTGGCAGGCGCCTGTAGTCTCAGCTACTCGGGAGGCTGAGGCAGGAGAATGGCATGAACCTGGAAGGCGGAGCATGCAGTGAGCCAAGTGAGCCAAATGAGCGCCACTGCACTCTGGCCTAGGCGACAGAGCGAGACTCTGTCTCAAAAAAAAAAAAAAAAAAAAAGATATAAGGCCTTCCTAAAGACCAAGTAAAGCCTGAACAGAATGGCTCAAACCTGTAATTCTAGCAATTTAGAAGGCCAAAGCAGGAGAACTGCTTGAGGCCAGGAGCTCAAGACCAGCCTGGGCAACATAATGAGACCCTGTCTCCTAAGAAAATATAAAAATTAGGTAAGCATGGTGGCATGCACCTATATATAGTCCCAATTACTTGGAAGGCTAAGGCAGGAGGATTGCTTGAGCCCAGGAGTTGGACACTGAAGTGAGCCATGATCACGCCACTGCACTCCAGCCTGGGTGACGGAGCAAGACCCTGTCTCTAAAAAGCAAAACAAGAAGGAAAATAAATAAATAAATAAATAACAAAAGAAGACCAAGTGAAAACTCCCAATTTTATGAAATCAATATAAAAGCATCAAGACCACATCTTACAGAAAATCAAATGGAGAAAGTTAAAAACTATGTTAAAGCATCAATATTAAGACATCACCACCACTCATTGAAAATATTAATTTACCTGGCCAGTGAAACCTTGTCAATTTTCATAACTAATATAGAATGAATCTTTCAATTTAGGTCTTGTCACATAACAGTGGTAGATCAAAACCAAATCTATTTTAGAAATAAGCCATGTTTCAAAGATACATGTAACCATTATTTAGCTGTAACTGTACAAAGTTTTAAATAAAAATTGCATAATATAATTTCTCTTTCCTTTTGCCAGGACTAGTATTCTGAAAGCAGGACATATCAGACTCTGAGTCATATATTATTTGAAAAGTTATGCTTAATATTTAAATTTCCATTAGAATAAAGAAGAATATTTCATTATTTTCATACTATAAAATCTAACAAAATCATTTTGGCCACTAGAACATAATAATAATATTAAAAAATGCTGTACTTGGCCAGGCGCAGTGGCTCACACCTGTAATCACAGCACTTTGGGAGGTTGAGGCGGGCGGATCACTTGAGGCCAGGAGTTCAAGACCAGCCTGGCCAACAGAGCAAAACTTGGTCTCTACTTAAAATCCAAAAAGTAGCTGGGCATGGTGGCACACACCTGTAATCCCAGCTACTCGGGAAGCTGAGGCACGAGAATCTCTTGCACCCAAGAGGTGGACGTTGCAGTGAGTCGAGATCGCGCCACTGCACTCCAGCCTGGGTGATGACACCCAGAACGAGACTCTGTCTCAAAAAAAATGCCTATGCAAGGATATAAAAAATTTAGAGATCCTCAAAGGTAAAACAACCACATTCTGCTTTATCCAGAATACTATCCCTATACTCCCAACAACTATTTAATACCACCTCCACCCTTCAGATTTCATCTTCCTTCTTGCAGAAATTATTTCCATAAAGATAGAAACTATTACATTAGAATCCGCTCATCTGCTCACCACCAAATCTACAAACTCCCCCAGTATTTGCACCCATTCCTCCCACTCTTCCATCCTCCTTTTAAAGAACACTCACTCCACCTGTGCTAAGTATCCCTCCAATACCTGCCTGCTCAGGGACTTAATCCATTAGTTATCTCCTCTCTCTCGTACCTTCAGCTTCTTTATCTCTGACGAGACTTCTCAACATTCAGACATGCTCTCCCTATCTCCCACCTCCTTTGACTCTTGCACCTCCCTCCTCCTCAAAATCCCCTGCCATAATTTGTAGTGACCTGTTTATCTAATGACAGTTTAAGAATGCAAAGAACTAATTAGTGTATCTCTAATGACAGAGATAAATAGGTCACTACAAATTATGGTAAAGGCTTTTGAAACTTGATGTCGAGTTTTGAAACTTGAATTAGAAACCTGATGTTGAGTAGCACCAAGTCTATTTTATTTACCTCTATATACCTAACACAGTGTGCCTGGTTAGTAGTAGTAAAAATTTTGGTGGACCACTGAATAAAAAGCACATAGCCTTGAATGAATGAAATGCCTTCATTTTCTATAGGTAACTAAATGCAATGTGACACTTTGACACATGGCAAAAAAATGTCCGTTAAGGATGTGTAATGACATCTCAGGTTACCTTAACTCATTCCCCTTGGCCAATTATTGATGAGGAGGATCAAGACGGTTGATGGGTATAAGACAGACAGCTGGGTGGTTTGAAAAATTCTGAAGGATACATTTGTTGTCTGCATAGTCACACGCCATACTTTAATTGAAAAACTAGGATTTCAGCTAAAGACAAATCTGTGCCTAAGATGTAAGCAGAGGGAATGTAGGAGAGGTTCCATCCAACTGTGATACTGGTAGGAAACTTACTAATATCATCCTTCTTGCTCCTCAAATGATATCTGTTAGGGGTTCGTTTATGGAAGTCTTCAACTTGCTGTGCAAGGGGCACATATGTAGAAACTGTTTCATCAAATGTTCTTTTCTTTCCTTGGGACAGGTTGAAAGGCTTAACAATGGTACATCCCTTAGTCACTCGGGCCTGTAAAGAGAAAAGTTGTTCCCCAAATGAAATGTCACGGAAGAGCTCACATCTACCATAAGCCACATATTCGGCACAGAGGATCAATAAAAAAGGCCTGTGTAAAACCAAGATTATTATTCTGAAGTTTGTCAGTCCTTGAGCAAGGGTTATAACTAATCTGTTCTCATTAAAAAAAATTAAAAATGGAAGAAAGGATCTAGCACTTAACAAATCTTATGTTCTGGAATAGTACATAGGTAATTTCCCCCCAACCATGTCAATGTTTTGAAGGAATCCAGAGTAAGCTATCTTAGAATTGAAGACAAAAAGCACTGCAAAGAAATCTCACCCTCAACTCCACTTTAAAAAAAAAAATTGATTGGGCCTCTGGGTATGCATCAGGTCAGGCAGCTTCCTGAATCAGTGGAATCTCTCCATACATCCCCTAAAGAGACTGATGAAGAAGCCTATTCCTATTCCTTGGACCAGTAATTTTGATAAAACTGGTCTCTAATTGGAAGCAAAACCCTTCAAGGACCTGTATCTCAAAGAAAGAAGCATAACCTCAGGGTTTAAGAATGCAAATAACTAATTTCAAAAAATGATGATACTGACTACAAATGCAAGTGGAGATTATTAGTACTAGCATTTTTACTTAACGATTATTACTGATTTTGTTGGTGCTCTGGTAACAAAACTGCATGAGATTTGACTGGTCTGCCCCAACCCTATTTTTCCTATAAGATCTGTTATATTGGCCAGGCATGATGGCTCACACTTGTAATCCCAGCACTTTGGGAGGCTGAGGCAGGTGGATCGCCTGAGGTCAGGAGTTTGAGACCAGCCTGGCTAACATGGGGATACCCTGTCTCTACAAAATACAAAAATTAGCTGGGAGTGGTGGCAGGCGCCTGTAATCTCAGCTACTTGGGAGGCTGAGGCAGGAGAATTACTTGAACCCGGGAGGCGGAGGTTACAGTGAGCCGAAATCGTGCCATTGCACTCCAGCCTGGGCGACAAAAGTGAAACTCCATCTCAAAAAAAAAAAAAGATCTGTTATATTTTACACAACTTTATAGACACAAGGTTTTTTTTCTCAATTATACTATTATAAACAGTGACCACAAATGCTACACGTAAAATCCTAAATGAATATTAGTAACAGAAATGTTCATTTAGTCCATCAACTTACAGGAGATGAAGGATGCTTTCGTAGTTCAGATGTAAAGTTCACTTCCTTATATTCCTCCTGGTTCTTAGGATGTTGTTTGATTCGCTCATCTGTGCGGAAGTGGAAGTCAACTGATTTGGTGACCTGGCTCACTGATTTCTTCACAGGTTGCCCTGAGAGATGAACACAGTAAAACATACAGACAACATTAAGATAGGGAACACCAGTAAATCCCCTTTACTCCAGTCCTTTTGCTATTTCTGTCACCATGGATCTAACTTTGCTTACTATCTACCTGTAACCCAAAACTTGAAGTAGTCCTCAGGGACACTAATATATGTGTCATATTCACTGAGTACTATTAGGTTTGAGGCCTTTCAGTCAGATGCAAACTAAAAAAAAGTAGTAGCACAGGGTAGAAGAATCCCATCTCCTAGGTGTGGTCATAGCTATGGAGAAAAAGAATAACTGGAATACTTTTGATAAGAAAAGCTATGGATTGACTTTGAAAGCACAGTTAACTCAGCATCTCTAAGAGGAAAATCCTATAAACTCCAGGGGTGCTTTTTCAATCCAGTAAGGAGAACTTTATAGTTATGACTCCACCAATAACAACTCTATGCCCGAGCAAAGCAGAACTGTGACCCCTTCAGCTCTCTCAGTCATATTTTTCCTCCACAGGTGAATTGGATTTGACTGTTTTCTTTTCCTTTGCCTTTAGAAAAAAATAGGAAAACAACAAACTGGTCTGCCCAATTACTTTATCTTCTGTCTCAATCCAAGTTCCTTTTTTTCCCTAAGACCAAGAACAGACTTTTAAGAAAGTACCAGTGAGCCAGGCACGGTGGCTCATGCCTGTAATCCCAGCACTCTGGGAGGCTGAGGTGGGCGGATCACCTGACGCCAGGAGCTCGAGACCAGCCTGGCCAACATGATGAAATCCCATCTCTACTAAAACTACAAAGAACTAGCCAGACGTGGTGGTGGACCCCTGTAATCCCAGCTACTCAGGAGGCTGAAACAGGAGAATTGCTTGAACCCGGGAGGCAGAGGTTGTGTTGAGCGGAGATCACGCCACTGCACTCCAGCCTGGGCAACAAGAGCAAAACTCTGTCTCAGAAAAAAAAAAAAAGAAAGAAAGTACCGATATATTTAAGTACCAATATATGTAAAATACCAATATATGTAGAAAGTGCTAAGGAATAAACACATCTTTTTTATGCTGACTACTAAATGAGAAAGCCTTTTTATTTACTTCAGAGACTTCAAAAACACCTACTGGCCGGGTGCGGTGGCTCACGCCTGTAATCCCAGCACTTTGGGAGGCCGAGGCGGGTGGATCATGAGGTCAGGAGATGGAGACCATCCTGGCTAACAAGGTGAAACCCCGTCTCTACTAAAAATACAAAAAATTAGCCGGGCGCGGTGGCGGGCGCCTGTAGTCCCAGCTACTCGGGAGGCTGAGGCAGGAGAATGGCGTGAACCTGGGAAGCGGAGCTTGCAGTGAGCCGAGATTGCGCCACTGCAGTCCGCAGTCCGGCCTGGGCGACAGAGCGAGACTCCGTCTCAAAAAAAAAAAAAAAAAAAAAAAAAAAAAAAAAAAAAAAAACACCTACCAAGAGTGTTAAGAACCACCCCTCATGAATCAGACTCAACCACAGCCAAGCTCACCTATTCCAGCCAGAGCAAGTTTCTTGAATTCTTCATTCTTTTTCCGCATCTCCACCACCTCTTGCTGCATTTTCATACTCTTCTCCAGCTCTTGCTCCTCAGTACTTTTTAGAAACTTCTGCCTAAAGAGAAAATCAGTAAATGAGAAGAGAGGAGAGGAGAAAGGCACCCAGTGACTCAAAAGAATCTACAGGCATTATATAATATTTTTAACCTGTGATAAGATAATCATCAAAACCAAAAAATATCATCTAATAAATAGATGCTAACTTAATTAGATAACACCATGAAAATAAATAAAAATGCACACTTTGGCCAGGCATGGTGGCTCATGTCTATAATCCCAGCACTTTGGGAGGCCAAGGTGGGCAGATCACCTGAGGTCAGGAGTTCAAGACCATCCTGGCCAACATGGTAAAATCCTGTCTCTACTACAAATACAAAAATTAGGCAGGTGTGATGGCACACACCTGTAATTCTAGCTACTGGGGAGGCTGAGGCAAGAGAATTGCTTGAACCTGGGAGGGGGAGGTTGCAGGGAGCCAAGATCACGCCACTGCACTCCAGCCTGGCCACAGAGCGAGACTCCATCTCAAAAAAAATAAATAAATAAAGACAAGAAAATGCACACTTTATACCAAAATACTGAAAAAATTTCAGAAGAAAATAACTAAAATAGATTAAAATATATTACAAAATATCCATAAATATGATCATAAACGATGAGATTGGACTGGGTGCAGTGGCTCATGCCTGTAACCCAGCACTTTGGGAGGCCGAGGCGGGTGGATGACCTGAGGTCAGGAGTTCGAGACCAACCTGGCCAACATGGTGAAACCCCATCTTACTAAAAATACAAAAATTAGCCAGATGTAGTGGCAGGCACCTGTAATCCTAGCTACTCGGGAGGCTGAGGCAGGAGAATCGCTAGAACCCGGGAGGTGGAGGTTGCAGTGAGCTAAGATCACGCCACTGTACTCCAGCCTGGGCAACAGAGTGAGACTCCATCTCCAAAAACAACAACAGCAACAACAACAAAAAAGATTAGGTTGTAAGCCACAAGAAAAACTAAAAGACCAGTAGAAGCCTAGTGCAATGGCATGCCCTTGTAATCCCAGCTACTTGGAAGGCTGAGGCAAAAATATTGCTTGAGCCCAAGAGTTCAAGACCAGCCTAGGCAACACAGCAAGGCCCTGTCTCAAAAACAAAAACAAAAAAAGACCAGTAGAATGAGGAAAGTATCTACAACCTAGGGTTAATACACATAAAACACATGTAACAGAAGGAAGAAACTCAGAAGTAAAGCCGACTAAATCCCAACCCTGTCATTTCATTTGCTGCCTATAATGATCTTGAGAAAACTATTTAACTTCCCTGAGCCTCAGTTTTCCCCACTGTGAAATGGGAGTGTAAATACTCATGTTCACATCCTATTTATGACTGTTCAATCAGATGATGTCTCTGAAGTGCTTGACACATGGTAATGTTCAACACAGAGTATCCATTCTTAGTAAGGAAAATATCACCAAGGACACTTATAGGCAAATAAGGTTACCAATAAGAAAAAAAATAAAAAGGAAACAGATAATTCACCCAAGAGGAAATATGGAAAAATGTTTACAATAGTAGCAGTAATACAATCTTGTCAGCAAATACATAAAAATTAAAATAATTTGATGCTGGGGGTTGGGGGAAATGGGGAGATGACGATTAAAGAGTACAACAAATCTCAGACAAGAGGAAAAAGATTTTTCTTTTGCTCTACTGCACAGGGTGGAGGATATCATTAGTAATCGTAATACACTAAGAGAATAAATTCCAGCCAGGCGCGGTGGCTCATGCCTGTAATCCCAGCACTTTGGGAGGCTGAGGCAGGTGGATCACCTGTCAGGAGTTTGAGACCAGCCTGGCCAACGTGGTAAAACCCCATCTCTACTAAACATACAAAAATTAGCTGGGTATAGTGGCAAGTGCCAGTAATCCCAGCTACTCGGGAGGCTGAGGGAGGAGAATCACTTGAACACGGGAAGCGGAGGTTGCAGTAAGCTGAGATCTCACCACTGCACTCCAGCCTGAACAACAAGAGAGAAACTCCATCTCGATAAAAAAAAAAAAAAATCCAAATGTTCTCACTACAAAAAGTGGTAAGTATTTGAGGTGACAGATATGTTAATTAGCTAGATTTAATTATTCCAAATTGTAGTCATGAATCATAACATCACTTTGTACTGTATAAATATATACAACTATAAATTATCAATTTACAATTAAATTTTTAAAATAATAATTTCATGCCATCTATATGAATTTAAAAAAAGAAACAATTTTATAAGTTAATAAACAATGCAGATGAGATAATAAGAAAATAAAAATATTCATTCAAAGCCAATGGCACTTCAGGCCAGGCATGGTGGCTCACACCTATACCCAGCACTTTGAGAGGCTGAGGCGGGCAGATCACTTGAGGTCAGGAGTTCGAGACCAGCCTGGCTAACATCATGAAACCCCATCTCTACTAAAAATACAAAAATTAGCCGGGGCCAGGCATGGTGGCTCACACCTGTAATCCCAGCACTTTGGGAGGCTGAGGCAGACAGATCCCTTGAGGTCAGGAATTCAAGACCAGCCTGGCCAACATGGTGAAACTCCATCTCTACTAAAAATAAAAAATGAGCCAGGTGTGGTGGCAGGTGCCTGTAATCCCAGCCACATGGGAGACTGAGGCAGAAGAATTGCTTGAACGTGGGAGGCAGAGGTTGCAGTGAGCCGAAATCGTGCCACTGCATTCCAGCCTGGGCAACAGAGCGAGACTCCGTCTCACAAAAAAAAAAAAAAAAAAAAAAAATTAGCCGGGTGTGGTGATGCATGCCTATAATCCCAGCTACTCAGGAGGCTGAGGTAGGAGAATCACTTGAACCCAGGAGGCGGAGGTTGCAGTGAGCCAAGATTGCGCCACTGTACTCCAACCTGGGTGACAGGGTGAGACTCCATCTCAAAAAAAAAAAAAAAAAAAAAAAGCCGATGGCACTATAAATTGGTACTTCCATTTCAGAAGTAAAATTGGCAATAAATATCAACACTGACAAAACTGGTCATACCCTGTGGGGAATTTCTCCTTCCTTATTCTGAGAAGATCACTCAAAGAAATGGTTCTGCCTATAAAGTTGTTGACTGAGTACTTATAATCATGAAAAGCTGGAAACTACATTTTCAACAGAAAATAGTTAAATATATTTTGATAGAATATTAACAATCTATCAAAAAAGGATAAATGTGAAAATTTTGTAGCAGCACAGAAACAAAATCTGAAATAATCTCATGGCAAGTCAATAAAGCAGAACCCAAGGTTTTGTATTAACTGATTGTGAAAATATGTATGCTGGCTTGGGTAAAATCCAGCAGGGAGGTTGGAAAAATAAAAAATGTTCAATCTACGTGGTAAGAACTGTTGCTAACTTTTTCCTTTTATATTTCTTTTAAATTTGCTTCAACAGTATATTTTTCTGACTGTTCAAGATCTGAGCACCAGCCAGCACTGTGGCTCAAATCTGTAATCCCAGCACTTTGGGAGACCAAGGCAAGAGGACTGCTTGAGGCCAGGAGTTTGAGAGCCTGGGCAACATAGTGAAATCCCATCTCTACAAAAACATGTAAAAGTTAGCCAGGTAGGCTGGGCACAGTGGCTCACACCTGTAATCCCAGCACTGTGGGAGGCCAAGGTGGGCAGATAACTTAAAGTCAGGAATTCGAGACCAGCCTGGCCAACATGGTGAAACCCCATCTCTACTAAAAATACAAAAATTAGCCGGGTGTGGTGGTGCACACCTGTAATCCGGGCTACTCGGGAGGCTGAGGCAGGAGAATTGTTTGAACTCGGGAGGCAGAGGTTGCAGTAAGCCAAGATCATGCCACTGCACTCCAGCCTGGGAAACAGAGTGAGCCTCTGTCTCAAAAAAAAAAAAAAAAAAAGTTAGCCAGGCATGATAGTGCATGCCTATAGTCCCAGCTACTTGGGAGGCTGAGGTGGGAGGATCACGTAAGCCCAGGAGGTCAAGGATGCAGTGAGCCATGATTGCATCACTGCACACCAACCTAGGCAACAGAATGAGGCCCTGTCTTTAAAATTAATTAATTAAATAAAAATTTAAAAATCTGAGCACCCATCAGGACACATGTAACAATTCACCTCACCATGGTCAAAGCTTCAGGAGTTTGCCAACCTCCAGGTACACCAAACAGGTTGTAGATGTAAATCTGTAATTTTATACCATTCATTCTAAAGTTTAAATTCAGGAAAGAAACTTACTTTGCAGGTGGCATACAAGGCACAGTATGTCTACCCTTGGCTTTCTCTGGGGAAGATGCATTCTTTTCAGCAGTATCTTGATGAGCACTGCCTTCTTCCTCTGGCTTCTTTTTGTTGTTAGAACTTGAGTTCAAAAGGACAAAAAATATGTTTTCAATTCCCTGAAGCATAGCCTGTACCCTCCTCCCCAAATCTACTGCATATGGATTAAATTTTCTCATTCTATAGGATAACAAGCATGCTTCGACCACATGATTCTTCCAACAGTATCATTAGATCATATATATTAATGGCTTCAATGAGTAAACTTTGAGAAAGCCAACCGCTATCAAGATAAGAGTTATCTAGTGGTGGTTTGGAAGAGTAAGGAGGGACTCTAACTGCTCACCATCAAATGATCAAATGGCAGAGTTAATTGCCATCCCAATATCTATTCTGTCTCTTTCTCATTAACAAAACCCCAATTTCGGGAGGAGCAGCAACGCACTAAGCTACAAGTAAGTATTGTACTTGCCTCAACAGCCTCTACTGCAACTAGGGAATCCAAGTGACACAAGTCTAGGCGAATGAAATGAAATTTAAGGGTTGCTGCGAAAGACTTAAGTTTCCTGATATAGATGCTGCCCTTTTTCCTTTACTGTACTCTTCTTCTTCTCTTAAACATAAATATAACACCTAGAGATACACCAGCCATCTTGTGCCAGTGAGACAACAAGCAAAAGAAAAAATCTAAGAAACACAGAGCAGCATCTTGAAGAACAAGTACGAAAAAAAAAAAAAAAAAGCTAAAAATCAGCCACTGAACCAAAGCCAGCAGCAAACTACTTTTAGACCTCTGTGAAACAAATAATTCATTATTCTTTAAACCACTCCAGTTGAAGACTATTACTTGCAGCAAAATACATTCTTAACTAATAAAAATATAAACAAACATCATGTATGCAGCTTGTTATTAGCCGTAAAAACAAAAAGAGGTAAAACCTATGCCAACTAAGATGTGAGTGCCCTCCAGGACACACGTAACAATTCACCTCACCATGGTCACAGTTTTAGGCATTTCTCAAGCTTGAGGTACACCAAACATATTACAGATGTACCATTTTTAATTTTAATCTATTCAATCTAAAGTGTAAATTCAGAAAAGAAACTTACAAGTGGTATACAAGGTACAATATGTCTGCCCTTGGCAGTAAGAAGTTGTGGCTACTCACACTTTCATTTTCTTAGAGGGTAGAATTTCATCGATGATTACAGGAGTGGCACATCTCTTGGCTTTCATTTTTACATGATGCTTTTCTTTCTGTTCCAAATCCTTCTGAGCAGAAAGCCTAAGAGATCTTCTATGGTAGAGAAATTGACAAAATATATAATAAATATATATACTACAGATATCCAAATGTTCCTGAGAAATGTGAAAGGATGTCAAACTACAAAGGGCAATAAAATGGAGTGCTATTATCTCTGCTCTAAAAATCTAATCTCTCTTGTTGATAGTTTTTGAAATTCAACCATAACATTTTAGTTCTTAAATACACCGGTGTCTATAAATGTGACCTCAATAAAATGATTAAAAAGAAAAACTTGGCTGGGCCTGGTAGCTCATGCTTGCCATCCTAGCACTTTGGAAAGCTGCGGCAGGAGGACTGCTTGAGGCCAGGAGTTCAGACCAGCATGGGCAACATATCAAGACCCTGTCTCTACAAAAAATTTTTTAAAAATTAGCCCTACGTGCTGGTGCGCATCTGTGGTGCTAGATACTTAGGAAGCTGGGGCGGAAGAATCACATGAGCCCAGGAGGTCAAGGCTGCAGTAAGCCATGAGCGTGCCACTGCATGCCAGCCTGGGCAACAGAGTAAGACTCTGTCTAAAAATAAATAAATCAATAAGATGAATACAAAACAAAGAGCATAATGACAGATCTAATACATACCAAAAAGTGCACAAAACAAAAATACTTAAATGACTACAAAGTGGAAGACCTTATGAAATCACCACCTAGGCCAAAATACAGAACACTGACAACCACTGCTACCTTGATTTTAAGAGTGATCATTAGATAGGCTGGGCGCGGTGGCTCACGCCTGTAATCCCAGCACTTTGGGAGGCCGAGGCAGGCGGATCACCAGGTCAGGAGATCGAGACCATCCTGGATAACATGGTGAAACCCCGTCTCTACTAAAAATACAGAAAAAAAAAATTAGCCAGGCGTGGCGGCGGGCGCCTGTAGTCCCAGCTACTTGAGAGGCTGAGGCAGGAGAATGGCGTGAACCCGGGAGGCGGAGCTTGCAGTGAACCGAGATCGCACCACTGCACTCCAGCCTAGGCAACAGAGCGAGACTCCGCCTTGAAAAAAAAAAAAAAAAAGCGTGATCATTAGATAATTTCCTTATTGTTTTACCAAATAAGCACGTATTACGTAAACATGGTATGTTAGTTTCGAAGAAAAACAAAAAATTTTGTGGTTTTTTTTTTTTATTATTATACTTTAAGTTTTAGGGTACATGTGCACAATGGGCAGGTTAGTTACATATGTATACATGTGCCATGCTGGTGTGCTGCACCCAAAAATTTTGTATAATGTAACCACACTACTACAAGTATTCTTTTCTGTCTGGCTTATCTCACTCAACTTTATGTATGTGAGATTCAACCACGACAATTCACACAGCTCTAATTCACTGACTTTCATTGCTGTATAATATTCATTGTAGGGATGTGCAACTATTTATTCAGTCTACTATTGATGGGTTATCTCCTCATTTTAACTATTCTAAAAAAAATAAGATTGCTGGGTCATAGGAAATTAATGTGCTTTTCTCTGATGATCAGTGAAACTGAGTACATTTTCACATGTGTATCGGCCATTTGGTTGTCCCTTTTCGTAAGTGCTAGTTTAAGTCGTTTGCCTGTTTTCTACTGGCTTGTCAATTCTTTACTAATTGATTTGTAATTCTTTGTATACTCTGGATATAAGCCCTTTGTAGGATTCATGGGTTACAAATAGTTTCTCCTACTCTAGGGGTTGGCTTTTCATCTCTTTATCTTTTAATTAGATAAATGTGCCTGAATTTATCAACCTCTTCCACCCCCATTATGGTCAGTGCTTTTCTGTGTGTGTCCTGTTTAAGAAATCTTTCCGGCCGGGCACAGTGGCTCACGCCTGTAATCCCAGCACTTTAGGAGGCCACGGTGGGCGGATTACAAGGTCAGGAGATTGAGACCATCCTGGCTAACACGGTGAAACCCCGTCTCTACTAAAAATACAAAAAAAAAAAAAAAATTAGCCGCGCGTAGTGGCGGGCGCCTGTAGTCCCAGCTACTCAGGAGGCTGAGGCAGGAGAATCACTTGAACCCGGGAGGCGGAGGTTGCAGTGAGCCAAGATCGCCCACTGCACTCCAGCCTGGGCGACAGAGCGAGACTCGTCTGAAAAAAAAAAAAGGATGGCATGTGTCGGGCATGGTGGCTCACGCCTGTAATCTCAGCACTCTAGGAGGCATAGGTGGGCAGATCGCTTGAGCTCAGGAGATCAAGACCAGCCTGGACAACATGGAAAGACACTATCTCTACAAAAAATACGAAAATTAGCTGGCCACCTGGTGCCCTGCACCTGTAGTCTCCACTACTCAGGAGGCTAAGGCAGAAGGATTGCTTACACCTGAGAGGTCGAGGCTGCAGTGAGCCAAGATCATGCCATTGCACTCCAGCCTGGGCAACAGAGCAAGACCCTCTCTCAAAAAAAAAAAAAAGATGAAATTTTTGAGGCAAAATTTCAGAAGCAAGAAAACCACAGAGAGGGTAAACACTAAACTCTGATTATAAACTCTACTCTGGCCTGGGTGCAGTGGCTCATGCCTGTAATCCTAACACTTTGGGAGGCATAGGTGGGTGGATTGCTTGAGCTCGAGTTTGTGACCAGCCTAGGCAACATCGTAAAACCTTGTCTGTACAAGAAATACAAAAATATTAGCTGAGCACAGTGGCTTGTGCCTGTAGTCCCAGCTACGCAGGAGGTTGAGGTGGGAAGACTGCTTGAGCCCAGGAGGTTGTGGCTACAGTGAGCCATGATCATGCCACTGCACTCCAGCCTGGGTAACTGAGCAAGACTCTGTCTCAAAAATAAATAAAATAAAAATTTGTCTATTGGCTGGATGCGGTGGTTTATGCCTATATAGTCTCAGCACTTTGGGAGGCTGAGGCAGGAGGATCACTTGAACCCAGGAGTTCGAGTCTGCAGTGAACTATGTGCCACTGCACTCCAGCTCCAGCCTGGGTGACAGAACAAGACCCTGTCTCAAAGAAAAAAAAGAAAAAGAGAGCTAAAGTAATACAGAAGAACAAAGATATTTGACATCAGGAAGATGTAACAATTATATCCATACAAGGCCTTTGGAAACAGATTGATAAGAGTTTGAATCTTGGCTCTGAAATAAACTTGCCTTAAGCAAGCAACTTAGTATCTCTGAGACCTTATCTATAAATTAATTAAGCATATTACCTACAACTCATAAATGTTATACAGATTTTTTTTAATTTATACCAACCACACAAACCCATATTATGAGGATTTTTAAAGGTAACATAGCTGGGCGCAGTAGCTCACGCCTGTAATCCTAGCAGTTTGGGAGGCTGAGGCGGGTGGGTCACCTGAGGTCAGGAGTTTGAGACCAGCCTGGCCAACATGGCAAAACCCTATCTCTACTAAAAATACAAAAATTAGCCGGGTGTGGTGGCAGGTGCCTATAATCCCAGCTACTCAGGAGGCTGAGGCAGGAGAATTGCTTGAACACGGTGGGGCAGAGGTTGCAGTGAGCCAAGATCATGCCACTTCACTCCAGCCTGGGCAAAAGAGCGAAACACTCCGTCTCAAAAAAAAAAAAAAAAAAAAAGTAACATAAAGGTGTCCATAAACACAGTATAGACACATAATAGATGTTCTGTCCAGTAACTATCCTTTGAACATTATTATCATAACCACCACTTTGAGATTCCAAAGTCTTACCTCTGAGGCTGGGCTGGAGTTTTTCTTGATATGGCTGCCTCAACTTCCAGGGAAGAACAAGCATTTGACGGAATGGATTGTTCCACAAGATTTTCTTTTTCTGCCTCTTTGTAGTAAGTGTTGTCAACTGCGGAAGACCAAAAGCTAGTCAGCACTCAAAGGCCAAGGAAAATAATTGGAGATGAGACACACACACACACACACACACACACACACACACACACACACCCTGTCTAAGCCACAGAAACCTTAGTTCCAGTTAAATCTTATACAGAAGACCAGTTTATAAAAGCTACTTTGGTTGAAACAGAAATGATGTATCCAGGGCTTGCCTATTTGCCAGCCTAAGGTACTACCTTTAAAAAAAGCATCCCAAACACAATCTCATGACATTTCAGGACACTGGTAAAGATAAAATTCTGAAAGCTTCCATAAAGAAGAAAAAAAATCACTTACAAAGTAAGGAAAATTAGATAAGCACTGAATTTTTCATCAGCAATACATAAAAATAGAAGATAAAGGAACAATGTCTTTAGAGTAGTGATAAAAAATAATTTGCAATCTATAATGCTGTATTAAGATAAACTTTCAATTGTATATAAAAGTGAAACAATGCCATTTTCAAATATGTGAGAACTCAAAGTTTTTCTCTCCTGCACTAATTTAAGAAAGTTTCCTGAGGATGCACTCCCACATAATGAAGGAGTATATCCAGAAGAAAGTTATAAGGTCCAGGAAACAAGGCAGCAAAGATAGTAAAAATAATAATGCTCTCCCAAAAAAGTAGTAATAACTTCCAAGGATCATTGTCCAATATGAAGCAAGATAAAGTGTGGCAGAAATTTAAGAAATTGATAAAGTTTAAAGAAAAGCAAATCCACTGATCTCCTGATGTCAGAATCATCTTTATGTGGCTCAGGGGTTGTGACAATACAACCAAAGATAGCCAAAGAGTACCAAGAAGGGATGCAACTGCATCACAGTTATTGATCTGGCATTGAACAATATTTATATAATCATAACATTGTAAATACTGCTGATATAATCATACTATCAGGCATTATGAATGTAACCACAGCACAAGTTAAAATAGTGAGTTAAAACAGCTACTGGGAAGACGGAGGCAGGAAGATCACTTGAGCCCAGGATTTTGAGACCAGCTTGGGCAACACAGTGAGATCCCACCTGTAAAACAAAATATAAAAACAAACAACAACAACAACAACAAAACCAATATGAGTTTGAGAAAAAGGACAGGGGGTAGGGATGGGAAGAGAAAGGGGTTATTTTAACATAAACTCTAAGTATTGTTAGCCATGTTACCATGGCCATGTTTTATTTTGATAAACGTTTTTTTTTTTTTTTTTTGCTTTTCAATATTATATAAATAGAGATGGGGGTCTCAGTATATTGCCCAGGCTGGTCTCAAACTCCTGGCCTCAATCAATCCTCTCATTTTGGCCTCCCAAAGTACTGGGATTACAGGCATGAACTACAAGCCCAGCCTTGATAAACATTTTTAACGAAATAGAAAAAAAGTGTTATGGGAACACTGAGAAAGTTAGCCAGACATGGTGGAATGTGCCTGTAGTCCCAGTTACTCAGGAGGCTGAGGCAAGAGGATCACTTGAGCCCAGGAGGTCAAGGCTGCAGGGAGCTGTGATCATGCCACTGCTCTATAGATGGGGTGACACACTGAGACCCTGTCTGCAAAAAAAAAAACAAAAACAAAAAAACAAAACAGAATAAGAAACAAGTAAAGGCTTCATGGAAGAAACAGCACTTAATCACATAGCATATGAACTGACTCCTGATAAAGGAATTAAACTGCAACAAGATGACAGGGAAGAAAAGATAGGCCATGAAAACATAGTTTAGGCATTATTCATTTCAGAGAACAATCATTTGGTTCATCTCCTAAAGAAATATTTTTGGGGCAGAGAGACTCACACGCACACACAAAATAATAGCATAGCATGTCAAGGCTAAAATAGATGCATTTATTCCAATTAAAATGCAGCAACAATAATATTAAATAATAAAGCAAGACCCAATTATATGCTGTCTACAAAAAAATGCACTTTAAATATAGACATACCATGCTAAAACCAATCAAAAGAAAACTAGAGTGGCTATATTAATATCAGGCAAAGTAGGTTTCAGAGCACAGAATTTCAATGGGGATAAAGAAGATCATTTCAAACTGTTAAAGTGGGGCCAGGCACAGTGGCTCAACCTGTAATCCCAGAACTTTGGAAGGCTGAGGTGGGTGGAGCACTTGAGCCCAGGAGTTCAAAACCAGCCTAGGCAACATGGCAAAATTCTGTCTCTACAAAAAATACAAAAACTAGCTAGGCATGGTAGTGGCATCTGTGGTCCCAGCTACTCAAGAGGCTGAGGTAAGAGGATCACCTGTGCCCAGGAGGTAGAGGCTGCAGTGAGGCGTGATTGCTCCACTGCAGTCCAGCCTGGGTGACAGAGTGAGACCCTGTCTCAAAAATATATACATATACATGTATGTGTACATGTATGTACACATACATGTATATGTACATATATACACACATACATGTATATTAGATGTATGTACATATATATATGCTTGTGTGTATATATATGTGTGTATGTGTGTGTGTATATATATGTATATAATTTTTTGTTTTTGAGATGGAGTCTTGCTCTATCGCCCAGGCTGGAGTACAGTGGCATGATCTTGGCTCACTGCAGCCTCCGCCTCCCAGGTTTCAGCGATTCTCCTACCTCAGCCTCCCGAGTAGCTGGGACTACAGGTGCGCACCACCACACCCGGCTAATTTTTGTATTTTTCAGTAGAGACAGGGTTTCACCATATTGGCCAGGCTGGTCTCGAACTCCTGACCTTGTGATCCGCCCACCTCAGCCTCCCAAAGTGCTGGGATTACAGGCATGAGGTATCACGTCCAGCCAAAAAAAAAAAAAAAATTAAATTTAAATTAAATTAAATTTAAATTAAATTAAAGTGGCCAATTCATCAACGTGACATAACAATCCTAAACATTTATGCATCTAATAGTAGCTTCAAACTATATGAAGCAAAAATTATAAAGATAAAGAGACAAATCCATAATTACAGTCTGAGATTTCACTACCTCTCTCTCTAATTGATGGAACAAATGGAAAGAAAAATTAGTAAGAATACAACAGCCATAAATAATGTATAAGCAGGACAGGCGCAGTAGCTCACGCCTGTAATCCCAGCACTTTCAGAGGCCGAGGCAGGTAGATCACCTGAGGTCAGGAGTTCGAGACCAGCCTGGCCAAAATGGTGAAACTCCATCTCTATTAAAAATACAAAAATTATCTAGGGGTGGTGGCAGATGCCTGTAATCCCAGCTACTCCAGAGGCTGAGGCAGGAGAATCACTTGAACCCGGGGGGCGGAGGTTGCAGTAAGCCAAGATCGCACCACTGCACTCCAGCCTGGGCAACAAGAGTGAGACTCTGTCTCAAGAAAAAAAACCTAAAATTCACATGGAACCACAAAAGACCCCATATAGCCAAACCAATCCTATGCAAAGAGAACAAAGCTGAAGGCATCAAATTACCAGCCTTCAAAATACATTACAAAGCTATAGTAACCATAACAGCATGGTACTGGCATAAAAACAGACACACAGACAAATGGAATAGGATAGAGAACCCAGGAAAAAATCCACGTATTTATAGCCAACTGATTTTTGACAACAGCACCAAGAACATTCCTTGGTGGAGGGACAGTCTTTTCAATAAATGGTGCTAGCTTTGGGAGGCTGAAGTGGTAGGATTGTTTAAGCCCAGGAATTCTGAGACAAGCCTAGGCAATAGAGTAAGACCTCATCTCTAAAATAAAATTTAAATTTGAAAAATCAAAAAATGGTGCTGATCAAACTAGATATTTAAATGCAGAAAAATGAAACTAGACATCTATTTCTTACCATATACAAAAATCAACTCAAAATGGATTAAAGACTAATATGTAAGACCTTAAACTATGAAACAACTAAAAACATAGGGGAGGCCGAGGGCGGTGGTTCATGACTCTAATCCCAGCACTTTGGGAGGCCGAGGTGGGAGGATCACTTGAAGTCAGGAGTTCAAGACCAGCCTGACCGACATCACGAAACCCCATCTCTACTAAAAATACAAAAATTAGCTGGGTGTGGTGGTGCGCGCCTGTAGTCACAACTACTTGGGAGGTTGGGGCAGGAGGATCACTTGAACCCGGGAGGCGGAGGTTGCAGTGAGCCGAGATCGTACTACTGCACTCCAGCCTGGGCAACAGAGTGAGACTCTGTCTCAAAAATAAATAAATAAAGTAATAAAATAAAAACATAGGTGAAATACTTTAGGACACGGTTCTGGGCAAAGATCCTATGAACATGACCTCAAAAGTATAGGCAACAAAAGCAAAAGTAGACAAATGGGATTATATTAAATTTAAAACTTTCTGCACAGCAGAGGAAACAATCAACAGAGTGAAGAGACAACTAAAGAATGGGAGAAAATACGTGCTAACTATTCATTCAAGAAGGGACTAATATCCAGAATACACAAGGAACTCAAATAACTCAACAGCCGGACAAATGAGCTGAACAGACATCTCTCAAAAGAACACATACAAATGGCAAACAGGTATGTGAAAAAATGCTCAACATCACTAATCATCAGGGAAATGCAAATTAAAAATCACAATGAGATATCCTTTCATCCCAGTTAGAATGGACACTATGAAAAATATTAAAAATTTCTCTGCATCCCTGAGGATGCAGAGAAAGGAGAACTCTTATATATTGTTAGTAGTAAAGTCAATTAGTACAGCTATTATGGAAAACAGTATGGAGGCTCCTCAAAAAATTAAAAATATAATTACCATATGATCCAGCAATCCCCCTACTGGGTATATATCCAAAAAGAAGGAAATCAGTACATCGAAGAGATATCTATGTGCACTCCTATGTTTATTACAGCACTATTCACAATAGTCAAGATATGGAATCAACTGAAGTATCCATCAACAGATGAACAGATAAAATGTGGCATATATATATACAATGGAATACTATTTAGCCATAAAAAAGAATGAAATTCTGTCATTCATGGCAACATGGATGAACCTGAAGGACATTATGTTAAGTGAAGTAAGTCAGGCATAGAAAGATAAATATTGACCGGGTGCAGTGGCTCACGCCTGTAATCCCAGCACTTTGGGAGGCCGAGGTGGGCGGATCACAAGGTCAGGAGTTTGAGACCAGCCTGGCCAATATGGTGAAACCCTGTCTCTACTAAAAATACAAAAATTAGCCGGGCATGCTGGTGGGCGCCTGTAATCCCAGCTACTTGGGCAGCTGAGGCAGGAGAATCACTTGAACCCAGGTGGTGGAGGTTACAGTGAGCCGAGACTATACCACTGCACTCCTGCCTGGACAACAGGGTGAGACGCCAGTCTCAAAAAAAAAAAAAAAAAAAAATTAATTGAAGGAGGGGTGACAGGAGGGAGGTGAGAGTAGTCATATGGTGTGATGGAGACCAGTTTCAGATTTACCCACATAATACTTTTCAAATGTTCTAAACTGATAGGATGATGGTTGCACAACTCTGTGAATATACTTAAAAACACTGAAATGTTTATCTTAAGTGAATCATATGATGTGTGAGTTAAATCTAAATACAGCTGTTTTTTTCAAAAGAATCAATTTCAAGAAGGATTTTATGACCTCTTAAAGAATGCTTCTTATGTTCTAACCAAACAGACAATATTCTGCAGATCCAGTACCCACCAGTTTAAATGTCAATCATCTTTTACACTTGATCTTAGCCAAAAGGCCGAGAAGCGATCCATCATCTTTTAAAATCAGATACATAACTCAAAGAATTCTTGTACAATGGCAAGCAGTACAGTCTTCTTTCTTGCTGTTTTATTTCCCACCCAGACCCAGGTTAGGTTACATTAAATCTTGTCACAAAAAGATAACAGTTACGTATCTGGCAATAAAATTCTATGTTAGCCCCCGGGAACAGTAGCTCACACCTATAATCCCAGCACTTTGGGAAGCCCCTGAGGCAGGAAGATCACTTGAAGCCCGGAGGTCAAGACCAGCTTGGCTAGCAAAGACTCCTCTACTAAAATTTTTTAAAAATCAGTCAGGCATGGTGTTGAGCACCTGTAGTCCCAGTTACTAAGAGCTCAGGAGTTTGAGGCTGCAGTGAGCTATGACTGTGCCACTGTACTCCACCAGCCTGGGTGACAGAACCAGACCCCATCTTAAAGAAAAAAAAAAAAAAATTCTATGTTAGCTTAAGCTCCAAGAGATTTTTTTTTAAGTGTAGCACATCATTAGTTTTACATTTATCATGAAATGAATTAGCCCATTTCACCAATAATAAACAAAGAGATAGAGCATTTAGGTAATTTTCCCAGAACCTCAGGCTTCTAAAACACTGTCCCACCATTCTATCAAGGAGCTTTTTTCTAAGATGTTTTCTTACCTGGTTTCAAAGGTGTGACAATAGCTTGCTGAAGATTAGCCTTTCTCAAAGGAGTTTTGCCCTGAAAAAGCCCTCCAGTTCCATTCTTCCCCAGTAACTTATTCTCCAAATTGGCCTTCTCCTCTGTGAAAAGGGAAGATCATCATTGTCTGATCAGCAAGGAAGCAAAACAAATCACTATCACGCATTTAAAATGCAAACTAAAGCTCCCTACCAGTACACTTCCAACTCATGTGGCAAGTACAAGCAAAGTTCTAGCAATCAAAAGAAAAAGTACACATTACACATCCGAGATAGACTATAAGAACAATCACTAAAAACTGGCAACATTGAACAATGTATTATAAAAAAGGAAAAGTACAGATTCTGCATTGTGAATAACTCCTTATCTTTGTTTGGTACACATTTAGGGTCATACAAATATGAACTGGCTTTATCTACTCCCTAAATATATCATGTTCCTCTTAAAGAAAACTGTAACCAGCCGGGAGCGATGGCTCACACCTGTAATCCCAGCACTTTGGGAGGCCGAGGCGGGTGGGTCATGAGGTCAGGAGATCGAGACTGTCTTGGCCAACATGGTGAAACCCCGTCTCTACTAAAATACAAAAAATTAGCCAGGCGTGGTGGCACATGCCTTTAATCCCAGCTACTTGAGAAGCTGAGGCAGGGGAATCGCTTGAACCTGGAAGGTGGAATTTGCAGTAAGCTGAGACCGCACCACTGCACTACAGCCTGGCGACAGAGCAAGACTCCATCTCAAAAAAAAAAAAAAAAAAAAAACGAAAGAAAACTGTAACCATCAAAAACTGTAGGGCTTACAAGAGATACTGTATAGTCTTACAGAGTTTCCTCCTCAGTGGGGTGGTGGGAGGAATAAGGGGTGTGTGAGGGTAGAGCAGAGCTAGGTTCTCTCAAGAAATTTTATCTTAGATTCTACTGTGCCCAGAAGTCAGTACAAAGCAGTGAAGGGTCTGTTCTACCAACAGCCTACTGATAGTTTCAGGAATGCAGTGAGACACAGCAATAACTACCCTGTGCATGTACATTCTGATTGCAACTGTGTAGAAAGATGTGACTATTTATTTGGGAAAGAAATTGGAAAGTAATATATTAAAACTGAGGTAGTTTTGTTAGCCAAAAGAACTCTGGCAAAAACAAAAAGAAAAAAAAATAAAAATGTTTTAAAACTAAGGTAGTTTTGGAAAAATAGTGGGGTCATTTTTTTTCTTCCAAATTGTATTTAACAGTATTCTTAGGCTAATCTTTTCTTTTCTTTTTTATTTTAAAGAAAAGCTTAGAAAAAGAAATCCTCAGACAGCCCAGCCATTTCCTTACAGTTCCAGTGAAGCAAGGGCATGGGGAAGATCCCCGCAGGACAGCTGGCCCTTGTATTTATTTACCCTTCCTCCCACACCACTTCCAACAGACGACTCCTCTCAGGATCCCCACTAGATGCCATTAAAGTCCTTTTCCAAAAAATGGCACCTGTCAACACATTTGGACAGTGCACTATACGGATAAGTACAGCTGCAATGGACTCACTTCTGTTCCCCACCACATATTCATAGTGATTTCTCCCGATAAGGAGGATGGAGACATGAGAGAAAGAATCAAAGGGGCCTCAACAACTAGTCTCAGATATTATTTCAAAGTAATGTAAAAATGTAACCACATTCTTACTTACCATTGGCCAAGCAATACTGTTTCTGGGAATGGGTTCTTAGTAGCATAATCCTTCCATTTAAAAATGAATTGAGGGCCAGGCGCAGTGGCTCACGCCTGTAATCCCAGCACTTTGGGAGGCTGAGGTGGGTGGATCACCTGAGGTCAGGGGTTCAAGACTAGCCTGGCCAACATGGCAAAACACTGTCTCTACTAAAAATACAAAAATTAGTTAGGCATGCTGGTGGGCGCCTGTAATCCCAGCTACTTGGGCGGCTGAGGCAGAACCGCTTGAACAAGAGTGGCGGAGGTTACAGTGAGCTGAGATTGTACCACTGCACTCCAGCCTGGGCAACAGAGCGAGACTACAGCCTCAAAAAAAAAAAAAAAAAAAATGAATTGAGGGAGGGGTGGCAGGAGGGAGGTGAGGGTAATTATAAAAGATCTTGACTGTGATGGTAGACACATAAACCAACACAGGTGATAAAACCACAGAGAACTTAATACACATACAAGTAAAACTGGAGAAATCTGAGTAAAACTGGTAGATTGTATGAATGTCAATATCCTAGCTGTGATATAATCTATCCCTAATGATAGTAGACAAAGTTTTTATGTGGCTGCCATCACTACAGACATATTTGAGCATGGAGTTTTGTTGAACACTGGTTCATCTGAACTTTCCCATAGGTCCCTAAAGCTTAAATCTGCCATTCTGAACTACAAAACAACATATGCTTTGTACTTACAATCCATTCCCCAAATACTGGGCATTTCAATTATTCCCATAATATCATGGATGACAGAATGTCTTGGTGCAGAAAGAAGTTGATATTTTAGTTCTTTTCTTGCAACCCCTTCTATTATTGAAAGGTCTTCAGCACAAAGCAAGCCACTAATCCTTAAAATAGCCAGAGAAAGCAGGCACTTACCAAACCATGAATCTATGTTTTGAGTATCTCCTTCATCATCCAAGGATGAAAAATTGATGAAATCCGAGGGGGCATCATAGGAATAAGAGCTTTTAACTTGTGACATTGTCTCCCACTTAACGCAGAAGAGCAGGTTTTTCCCAGTATTTGTACCACTTTTCTCAGCAGGTCACCTTCTGAGGAAAGAAATGGTTGCACATAAATCTAAGTAAATTCCCATCATTACTTTGGTTTTACTACCACGTTTGTAATTTTGCAAACCACCTAGAATTTACTGAAAATAGCCTTACTTTGTCCAATCAACCTAAACATTAGTTTTTCAGGTAACTTAAAGATACTCCTTGAGGTAGATATGTTTGGAATTAGAAAGAAGTGGGCCAGACACAGTGGCTCACGTCTGTAATCCCAGCATTTTGGGAGGAGGGAGGACCACATGAGACCAGGAGTCCAAGTCCAGCCTACAAAACATAGACAGACCCTGTCTCTAAATAAATTAAAATTATCTCTAAGTATAACAGTTGACCCTGTCTCTAAAAAGATAAAAATTATCTGTAAGTAGTTGACCCTATCTCTAAAAAAATAAAAATTATCTTTAAGTAATCAGCAAATATAAAGAAAAACCAAAAAGAAAAAATTGAAATTAAAAATAAATTTTAGGCCAGGAGCAGTGGCTCACGCCTGTAATCCCAGCACTTCGAGAGGCTGAGGCGGGTGGATCACCTGAGGTCAGGAGTTCAAGATCAGCCCGACCAACATGGCAAAACCTCTTCTGTACTTAAAAAATACAAAAAATTAGCTGGGCATGGTGGCAGGCGCCTGTAATTCTAGCTACTCGGGAGGGTGAGGCAGGAGAATCGCTTGAACCTGGGAGGTGAAAGTTGCAGTGAGTCGAGATCGCGCCATTGCATTCCAGCCTGGGCAAGAAGAGCAAAACTCTGTCTCAAAAAAAATAATAATAAATAAAAATAAAATAAATAAATAAATTTTCTAAATGTTTTTTAAAAGAGGCAAAGTTTGATAAGTATCTACACTGTGCTAGGTGTTTTACATTCACCATGTCATTATTTTCCCTCAATTTACCATTTTCTCATTTCTAGCCTCCTCTAGCCCAATTTATTCTCTCTCTGCCCTGAATAACCCAATTTCTAAAATACACCACTAATTTTTATGCCTACCAACCAAAATCTTATCCATCATTCAAAGTCCAGGTCAAATCTCTATGAACTCTTTCCCAATTTCCACCTATCATACAAAATTGTTGCCTCTCCAAAGCCAATTGTGCTTTGTTTATATCTCCACTGTAACACTTATCATCCAATTTTATATTAACTATGTAAATGTCTCTCCCAGTAGACTCGAAGTTCCTAAAAACAAAGATAGATTTTACTCACTTGTGTATACCTCATCCATCCATCCATCCATCCAACCATCAAGGTGCTTAACACAGTGCATTATACATAGTAAGAGTTCAACACAGTTTTGTCAAATATAAGTTGTCTTTTCTTAGAAATATTCTCAAAAAATACTATTTCTGAGTATAAAGACGACAACTTTGAAATACACGTAAGAGTCACAACATGCAGCATAGGAACAGAAGCAAGGATAAGGGAACAAGTTAAATAGGCCCCTCCCTACTCCTGCGTACGAAGTTTTGCACTCTATCTTGTGGAAACCTGTGAAGGTTTAAAGTCAGCTCCTACTCAAGCCTAATCTAGTTAATAAAATAGCTGAAAGTAATCTGATAAATAGCCTAAAGGCCACACTCAGTGGCCAATAATTTGCCAATGAAACCCAATGAGCCATTTGTCTTTTTTTTTTTTTTGAGACGGAGTCTCACTCTGTCCCCCAGGCTGGAGTGCAGTGGCATGATCCCAGCTCACCACAACCTCTGCCTTCCGGGTTCAAGCAATTCTCCTGCCTCAGTCTCTAGTAGCTGGAATTACAGGCGCCCACAGCCACACCTTGCTAATTTTTTGTTTTCAGTAGAGACGGGATTTCACCATGTTGGCCAGGCTGGTCTCAAACTCCTGACCTCAAGTGATCCACCCACCTCGGCCTCCCAAGTGTGAGCCACCGCGCCCGGCCAGCCATTTGTTTTTATCCAGGGAACGACATGTACTTAAAAGTATCTGTATCTTAGAAGGGAGGTAGATGCCAGTAATCACTTGAATAAATGTTTATTTAAATTAATACCTTTCTAGTGTGGCGCAGTGGCTCATGCCTGTAATCCCAGCACTTTGAGAGGCCAGGGCGGATGGATCACCTGAGGTCAGGAGTTTGAGACCAGCCTGGCCAACATGGTGAAACCCCATCTCTACTAAAAATACAAAAAAGCGGCCGGGCACGGTGGCTCACGCCTGTAATCCCAGCACTTTGGGAGGCCAAGGCGGGTGGATCACGAGGTCAGGAGATCAAAACCATCATGGCTAAAATGGTGAAACCCTGTCTCTACTAAAAATACAAAAAATTAGCCAGGCGCAGTGGTGGGCACCTGTAATCCCAGCTACTCAGGAGGCTGAGGCATAAGAATCCCTTGAACGCAGGCAGCGGAGGTTGCAGTGAGCCAAGATCACGCCACTCTACTCCAGCCTGGGTGACAAGAGCGAGACTCCGGCTCAAAAATAAATAAATAAATAAACCTATAATGCTACACTATTCCAGATGTCTTCTCCCTCATATATATACAAACTATTATTTTTTTAAATGAATCATTGACAGTTTGAATCTGCTTCACATATTATGAATATTCTTGTATGTCAATAAATATAGACATATCAATTAATGGCTGTATCTGTTCCATAATTACTTATCCTTGATTTTCAGCCTTTTTCCAATATTTTCACTTTAAAGATACTGCTAAAGCATCATCCTTGTAGCTAAATTTCTGTACACATCCATAATTCTTCCCTTAAGATAAATCTTAAGAGGTGGAACTGCTGGGTCAAAAGCTCTTGACACATACTGTGAAAATGTCCCTCAGAAGAAAAAAACACCCACTTACATTACCAGGAGTGTGCCAGTTCCCCAAACTCTCCCCAACTCTGGGCACTGCAGCACTCATTTTCTCTAAACTATACCACATAAGCTATCCACTGAGATGAATCATGAGATTAGTTACTCCCAACCTACATAGCCGTTCAGTGGTTTGGCCAGCATTTCACAGCTTCTCTCAGTGGACTAGGGCAATTCAAAATGGACTAGGGGCTGAGAGTGGTGGCTCATGCCTGTAATCCCAGCACTTTGGGAGGACGCGGCGGGAGGATCACTTGAGGTCAGGAATTCGAGAACAGCCTGGCCAACATGGTGAAACTCCATCTCTACTGAAAATACAAAAATTAGCCTGGGGTGGTGGCTGCACCTGTAGTTCCAGCTACTCGGTGAGAATCACTTCAACCCGGGAGGCTGCAGTGAGCCAAGACCGCACCACTGCACTCCAGCCTGGGAGACAGAGCGAGACTCTGTCTCAAAAAATAAAATAAATAAAAATAATGTACTTCTGGTCCTTATAGTGTCTCAGAAACATCTGTTATTGTTGTTGTTTTTGTTTTGTTTTGTTTGAGATGGTGTCTTGCTCTGTCGCCCAGGCTGGAGTGCAGTGGCATGATCTTGGTTCACTGCAACCTCCACCTCCTGGGTTCAAGCGATTCTCTTCCCTCAGCCTCCCAAGTAGCTGGGGTTACAAGCGTGCGCCACCACGCCTGGCTAATTTTTCTATTTTTAGTAGAGATGGGGTTTCACCATGTTGGCCAGGCTGGTCTTGAACTCCTGACCTCAGGTGATCTGCCTGCCTCGGCCACCCAAAGTGCTGGGATTACAGGCATGAGCAACCGCACCCGGCCAGAAACATCTGTTATAACAAATATTTCATTTATACAGTGACATCAATCTAGACCCCAGAGAACATCATCTTCCCATGGTCTCTCCTATGCTCACTGCAGCCAGAATTCCACAAGTATCTTTATAACAATGCTCTAATTGAGGTACTTAGTGTAGAAACATGATATTTTAGAATTGGGAGGAAACTTTGATTAACACCTAACCTTTGCAGTCTATAAGATATTAACTTAAAGCAAAAAGGGGTTCTCCAAGATCACACAACAAAAATCCTAAGGATCATGGTAAAAACAGTTACCAGAGGTGTTCATTACATGCCAGGTGCCATGATATACTAAATATGTATTCTTTCTGATATGCAAAACAATCCTGTAAAGCAGCAATTATTCCCAACCTAGAAGCTGAAGATCAGAAAGATTAAATGACTTGCCCAGTATCACACAGTTACGTAAAAACAGAGCCAGATCTGGACCTGAGGCTCGTGACTTCAGCACAATGTTCTTTCTACATCCTTCTGCCCTCTTACCTTGTGAATTAAAGAAGGGTGTTCATGAAGTTAAGCTATTTGCATAGAAAAGAATACTGTATTTATTTCCAAGTAAATCCATTCTCCATAGTCTTCTGTCTGGAATAGGGGTTCTTTGGTATCCCCAGTCTAAATTTTCCTCTCTCCTCCATTTCTACTTTCATTATTAAGCTTAACTCAATAAGCTTTTTGTCAGTGGTTCACAATAGTGTGTACTTGCTAGGGGCCATAAGCTGTGTGCCCTTGAATGTTTCTCAGTAACATTCAAGGATGACACTCTATATCTTCACACAAAAAGTAGATCTAAGCGGCCAGGCTCAGTGGCTCGCACCTGTAACCTCAGCACTTTGGGAGGCCGAGACAGGTGGATCACAGGGTGAGGAGATTGAGACCATCCTGGCTAACATGGTGAAACCCCGTCTCTACTAAAAATACAAAAAGAATTAGCCAGGCATGGTGGCGGTCACCTATAGTCCTAGCTACTCAGGAGGCTAAGGCAGGAGAATGGTGTGAACCCGGGAGGCAGAGCTTGCAGTGAGCCGAGATCACGCCACCGCATCCAGCCTGGGCAACAGTGCGAGACTCCGTCTCAAAAAAAAAGAAAAAAAAGTAGATGTAGTCCTGAACACAAAGGAACTTAACATCTACATAGACGCTAAGGTCCTATCATACACAATAAATAAGACAGTTTGTTTAAATTATACAGTATGAACTCTAAGTATAGAGAATTAGAAATTAACATGGCTGAAGTCAAGGTACGATTAAATATTTTTCATTGACCATGACCAAAACAGTAGCAAGTACATTAAAATGGAAGTTACCTCCTGATAGCCACTTTCCAAGCTTGGGGTAGCCATGGGACAGTTCTGGCCAATGAGAACTAAGTAAGAATCTGCTGAGGGATTCCTAGGAAAAAATTTTCTTTCCTGAAAACAGCTATAGCCCTTATTCCTGCCCTTTCCCTTTATCCTTCTTCTTGCCTTGAAGGCAAGCTGGAGCTATGGCAGTCATCTGGTATACATGAGTAGATGGCCAAGAGAACAATAAACATAGGGCTTAACATCAATGAGCTAATGACTATTAAAGATCAAATATCAGCTACTATATACCTCTAGACTTCTGGTGTTTTTTACAATTTTCCATGACCTGCTAAAAAGACTTCTTATACTAAAAAAAAATAGGCCAGGCACGGTAGCTCACACCTGTAATCCCAACACTTTGGAAGGCCAAGGCAGGCGGATCACCTGAGGTCAGGAGTTCGAGACCAGCCTCACCAACATGGTGAAACCCTGTCTCTAATAAAAATATAAAAATTAGCCAGGTGTGGTGGCAGGTGCCTGTAATCCCAGCTACTCGGGAGGCTGAGGCAGGAGAATCACTTGAACCCAGGAGGCGAAGGTTGCAGTGAGCTGAGATTGCGCCATTGCACTCCAGCCTGGGTGACAAGAGTGAGACTTCATCTCAGAAAATAATAATAATTATTGTATAAACCATTATAGCCACATTTTCTGTCACCTGTAGTCAAAAGCAATTCCAACTAACAGAAGTCCAGAATGCCCTCTCTGGCATTTACCACATGTATATGACAATAGGCAAGTCACTAATTCTCTGCCTACCTTCTTACCATAATCAAATAAGAAGCTACTTCAAGTGCTATGAAATACACTATTGTAAGGTATTATCACTGCTGATACCTTTCCTCTCCTTGACCACATTTCTATTCAAAGGATTTTTAGTGAAAGATTCCATGGTACTGACAGTGGTTAAAAACCCCTTGCTGCAAGGAGGAAATTTTCCTTTTCTTGTGAACAAATATGCTAGAAGACATGGGAAAATCTTGGATTCCCATGATCTTAATGCCTAACTCAGGTCACTGGGAAGGCTTCCCAGGCATGAATGTAATGAAGACGACTAAAGCTGGGGGAAGGAAGAGGCAGGAATGTAACATGCAGCAACCCCACTTAGCCTCAAAACCATGATTCCACCAAAGCATGATGCTGAAAACTACCTGGAAAGTGTTCAAATTTAACCCTTCACATCCTTTTTTTCTTTCTTTTTCATCTCTGTTTTTTAAAGAATCTAGCCTGTTGCTCAGGCTAGACTCGAACTCCTGGGCCCAAAGGATCCTCCCTCCTCAACCCCTCCTAAGTAGCTGGGCATGGTGGTGTGTGCCTGTAGTCCCAGCTAATCAGGAGGCTGAGGTGGGAGGATCATTTGAGTCCAGGAGTTTGAGGCCACAGTGACCCACGATTGCACCACTGCACTCTAACGTGGGCAACAGAGTGAGACTCTGTCTCTTAAAAGACAACAACAACAACAACAACAAAATAGTTAAGCAGTATTTATTTCCCTAGATCTATGTTTGCAGCCCAAAAGAAACTGAGCTTTCTCAAATTTTTATTAAATATTCATGACAAGCAATGATTGTCTAATCTCTTGATTTAAGGAAATAATCCTTCCCATTTACGTGGCCTATAAATTGACTATTAACTTACCCAAATGTTACATATTCTCTTTCTAATATTTCTATATAGAACTACCAACCTGGCCAACATGGTGAAACCCCATCTTTCTACTAAAAATACAAAAATTAGCTGAGTTTGGTGGCACATGCCTGTAATCCCAGCTACTCGGGAGGCTGAGGCAGGAGAATCGCTTGAATGCAGGAGGCAGAGGTTGCAGTGAGCCGAGATCATGCCACTGCACTCCAGTGTGAGACTCCGTCTCATAAATAAATAAATAAATAAATAAATAAATAAATAAATAAATAGCCGGGCACGGTGGCTCACACCTGTAATCCCAGCACTTTGGGAGGCCAAGGCGGGCGGATCGCCTGAGGTCAGGAGTTCGAGACCAGCCTCAAAATGGAGAAACCCTGTCTCTACTAAAAATATAAAATTAGCCAGGTGTGGTGGTGCATGCCTGTAATCCCAGCTACTTGGGAGACTGAGGCAGGAGAATTGCTTGAACCTGGGGGGTGGAGGTTGCAGTGAGCCAAGATCGCACCATCGCACTCCAGCCGGGGCAACAAGAGCGAAACTCCGTCTCAAAAAAAAAAAAGAAATCGAGACCATCCTGGCCAACATGGTGAAACCCTGTCTCTACTAAAAACACAAAATTAGCTGGGCATCGTGGCATGCGCCTGTAGTCCCAGCTACTCGGGAGGCAGAGGCAGGAGAATAGCTTGAACCCGGGAGGAGGAGGTTCCAGTGAGCCAAGATCGTGCCACTGCACTCCAGCCTGGCAACAGAGTAAGACTCCATCTCAAAAATATAATAATAATTAATTTAAAAAATTAAAAATAAACAAATAATAAGATTTCTATATAGAACTAAAAATGATTCCTGGGGCATTGACTTAATAAAAGGGTATATAAATTTGAAAAAGTTAAAAATAAAAACAGCTATTAACTTTTTTCTTTTTTTTTGAGACAGAGTTTCACTCTTGTCGCCCAGGCTGGAATGCAGTGGCACAATCTTGGCTCACTGCAACCTCTGGCTCACGGGTTCATGTGATTCTCCTGCCTCAGCCTCCTGAGTAGCTGGGATTACAGGCACCTGCCACCATGCCCAACTAATTTTTTGTATTTTTAGTAGACGGGGTTTCACCATGTTGGCCAGGCTGGTCTTGAACTCCTGACCTCAAGTGATCCACCCGCCTCAGCCTCCCAAACTGCTGGGATTACTAGCGTAAGCCACCGTGCCCGGCCAACAGCTATTACTTAATGAGCACTTATGACATGCCAGACACTGTTGACAGTGTCTTACATGTATTAACTCACTAAATCCTCACAATAATCCTATAAAGTAGGTACTGTTATTATCTTCATTCTATACTGAGGGACTTGAGGCACAGAGAGATTTACTACTTATTCACAGTCATGCAGCTAAGAAGCAGTAAAGCCAGGATTCCAAATGGAATAGACACCGAAGGTGGTGTTCTTATCCACTGCCTATTTATTTAAAAATAGACATTTAAGCTGGGCGCGGTGGCTCACGCCTGTAATCCCAGCACTTTGGGAGGCCGAGGCGGGTGGATCATGAGGTCAAGAGATTGAGACCATCCTGGCTAACACAGTGAAACCCCGTCTCTACTAAAAATACAAAAAAATTAGCCAGGCGTGGTGGTGGATGCCTGTAGTCCCAGCTACTCGGGAGGCTGAGGCAGGAGAATGGCGTGAACCCAGGAGGCGGAGGTTGCAGTGAGCCGAGATCGCGCCACTGCACTCCAGCCTGGGCAACAAAGCAAGACTCTGTCTCAAAAAAAAAAAAAAAAATTCACATTTAAATAGATAAATAACAAATGTCATGGAGCAAGAGATAATAACTTCCAAATACTGTCTACTGTAGGCCAGGCACCTTACCAGACACTTCACATAAATCATCTCGTTTAAACTGCATTAACAATATAGACAATAGATAGATGTCTTTATAAATAAATGCTACCATCACCATTTTATAAACAAGGAAACAAGCTCAGAGAAGTTACACTATTCCAAGATCACCAAACTAATACATAGCAGTGTTGAGTTTTAAAAGAACAAGTCTGCAGGATTCCAAAATCTGGGGTCTCTCTAATGCACAAGTTTTCCTATAAACATTGCTTCAAAAAGGAGGTAGGTAATCAAATCATAAGATCCTGTTCAACAAAGACAAATCCTGCCCTTTATGAAAACTAAGCATCCCTGATATGCTCATAAAGAAAACTTTAGCAAATTACAAATCCTGTTATAAATATATTTGGAAAGCTCTGATCTGAATCTTCCCATAAATTTTTTAAAAAATCCATTGATTCCTCTTTTTTTAAGTATACTTTTCCATATGAAGTTTTTCCTCTATATAAGATGGTGGTTAGTGAAAACCTCAGTGATATTCTAGAGTAAAGAGACTATGAAGAGGGTTCAAGCAGCAGAAGAAAGGCTGTCCTCTGAGGTCTAAGACTACATTTGATTAGTGGGGAACAAACGGCGAGGGGTGCAAACCTAAGTACACTTAATCTTTAGGTGAAATTTTAAAAACAAAATATTATTTTCCTAACATGACCTGTTCTTTAAAAAAGCTTCTTTTAAGCTATATTTTGGTCTAGAATGGCCAACTCAGGAGACCATCCCCTCTCCCTGGAAAAAGAGAATAAATAAATACATATCCATTGAGAAGTCTGACTCTCTTCAATTAAGGCTGATAGGACAAGTACATCAAGAAAACGAAAAGCTAACTACTGGGTAATTTCGGTTTCACGACACTACCTCCCCCAGAAATAATAAATATGAGGATGTGAAATCTTCCAAAATTAAAGTCCACAGGGCCTAGTGGGAAATGGAACAGGCCAGAGCCAAAGGCAGCTGTTTAAATGAGAGAGCCCCAGGCATGGTGGGAACTGGATGCCTTCCTGCGTCCCTTAATCAAGATTGAATTTCTGTCAACAGGTCTCACCAAAAAAAAAAAAAAAAAAAAGGCACATGCGTCAACCACATTCCCCCAAACAAATCAAGTTGCCAAGCAAGAGAATCAGCTTCACATTTCAAAATTATCTGAATCTACCACAGCTTCAGATTCTTGCAAAACTAGAAATATTCTGCATGGAAAAATAGCTATTAATGACCAATATTCCTACAAAGACCCAAGGAAAAAGCCTATCCTGTATGCTATGAACCAATTAGGTTCCTCTAAAAACTGCCTATTCAATGCCATCCATCGTGTCTTATAGCCCATTTTTGTTTCCAAAAAGCGAAGACTAAAACGATAGATAGATAGATAGATAGACAGACAGACAGACAGACAGACAGAGATAGAGATATAAAATCTCGGCCGGGCACAGTGACTTATGCCTGTAATCCCAGTACTTTGGGAGGCCAAGGCAGGCGGATCACGAAGTCAGGAGTTCGAGATCAGCCAGGCCAACATGGTGAAACCCGTCTCTACTAAAAATACAAAAATTAGCGGGCGTGGTGGGTACGTGCCTTTAATCCCAGCTACTCGGGAGGCTGAGGCAGGAAAATAGCTTGAACCCAGGAGGTGGAGGCTGCAGTGAGCCGAGATTGCACCGCTGCACTCCAGCCTGGGACAGAGCGAGACTCCTTCTCAAACAACAACAACAAAAAAAAATCTCTTCCCTCCAAGAACGCACAATTGAATGGGGGAATGCAAACAATTACAATATAGGGCTATCCTTGCTGCAAGAGGGCATTAACAGAGAGCGCTCTGGAAGTGCAGAGAAGGAGAACAGCATAAAAGAGGATCAGAGATGGTTTCCTGATGTAAAAAATACTTAAAAGATACAGACAGACCTGCGGAGTTCTACAAGCTAAGAATGAACGTTGACTTTTTCTAGGGTAAGAGATAAATGGAAGGGGAAGACAAATACAAATTAGGAAGATTGCAGACAAAGCAATGTAACCTGTTCCCACATTCATCTGAAATTAACCTCCCATTGCCTCCCATCTTTCTTCACTCTCAAACCAAAAATAACTAGTCTTGACAAGCTCTATAAATCAAAAGGTGCAGGTTCAGACCGGGTTGGGGAAAGCTGCAAGAGGGTGCATTCTAAGCAGGGTGAAATAGGGGACTACCAGCTCCTGAGCAAAACAAAGACTTTGGTGTGACAGATGCTCTCAAACACCTTGCTATCCAGTCAGTGAGATATGACTTGCCTATTTCTATTAAAGAGAAAGTCATGAGTTAAACTGGTAATATAATAGAATAAACAGAGTAAGACAAGACTTCATTAGAAGTATAGTTAGTTAAGATGGTCCCATCCCAGGCAGTGCCATTTCTCCAGGGACATCCTCTCCTACTTTCACAAGGGATAAGAGATCCTGTTACATTACCACAAGTAAAATAGAGTGGAGTTACTTTCATCTTACCCAGAGAGAAAACACCTACATTTTTTTCTTGTATATAAGGGATTAGCAGCAGTCAGTAAATGGCAACATAATCCAGCATGCAATTTTAACTGTTAATCAAAGTCACAAACTAAGTCTGAAGGAAGTTTAATGGACTTTGTGTTTCCACATTTATGTTTGCTAACTTCTATGTTGAAATTGGATCTGTTTACAGAAACAGATCTATGAAGCTTCCAAAATTGGGTCAATTTAAAATCCAATGACAATCCCTCACTGTCCAACACTCAGAAGTCAGCACAGGACACATGGACACTTGTTCTAATTCATCACTGTCCAGAAACTTCAAGCAAATATATTTCCTATCATTTCTCTCCCAAACTTGTATGTTTCATATTGCCCTTTTTTAAGGATTACAAACTCAGTTTTGCTATAATTTATCCATAGAACTCAACAAACCATAATCCACCTATGACTAATAGGACCTAGATGGAAATCAATGATGCTGTTTACTACTAGGACAGATAATGACAGAGAGCTTTGTAAAATACTAAAAGGAAATCTTAGTAGAAACCCAAAGTAATCTGATATTCCAATAGTATGAAGCTGAAAAAGTTTGTAATGGTTGACAGTGTGGCTGCAGATTACAATCCTAGTCAAATAGCAGTCATTTCATTTTATAGAGATTTATTCCCTTCAAAAGGTATCTGGTTTGGGGAATAACACACAAACACTCAAACCCAAGAACCTAATAAAAGTGTTTATTAGATGGCTCATGCCTGTAATCCCAGCACTCTGGGAGGCCAAGGCAGGTGGATCACCTGAGGTCAGGAGTTCAAGACCAGCCTGGCCAATATGGCAAAACCCCATCTCTAATAAAAATACAAAAATTAGCCAGGTGTGGTGGCGTGCCTGTAATCCTAGCTACTCGGGAGGCTGAGGCAGGAGAATCACTTGAACCAGGGAGGCAGAGGTTGCAGTAAGCTGAGATTGTGCCACTGTATTCCAGCCTGGTTGACAGAGTGAGACTCTGTCTCCAAAAAAAAAAAAAAAAAAGTGTTTACCTATGGATGGTGAGAGTGAAGAAGTAACAAGGCTGGAGGAAGATTTTAAACCATGAAGCTTTTTATATTCTTTTGATTTTTGCACCATGCAAATATATTACCTATTTTAAGTTATACATTTATGCCTATGTGAATATATACTGTTTTAGGTAAATCAGCATAATCTTCCTACAAGGCAATTTGGTGTTACATGTCAAAAGTTTTTAAAAATATGTTTTGTTTGTTTGTTTTTTGAGATGGAGTCTCGCTGTTGCCTAGGCTGCAGTAGTGCAATGGCGCGATCTCGGCTCACTGCAACCTCCACCTCCCAGGTTCAAGTGATTCTTCCACCTCAGCCTCCCGAGTAAGTGGGATTACAGGCACCCGTCATCATGCCTGGCTAATTTGTGTATTTTTAGTAGAGACAGGGTTTCACCATGTTAGCCAGGCTGGTCTTGAACTCCTGACCTCAGGTGATCTGCCCGCCTCAGCCTCCTCAGAGTGCTGGGATTACAGGCGTGAGCCACCGCGCCCGGCCAAAAATACGCATTCTTTTAGACCAGCAATTTCACTGGTAAAAGTAATATAAAGAACCAAATAATGGAATACCATATAGCCATTAAAATTATGTTGTAGAAAAATTTGGCCAGGTACAGTGGCATGCACCTGTAGTTTCAGCAACTCGAGAGGCTAAGGCAGGAAGATCACTTGAGCCCAGGAGATGGAGGCTGCAGTGAGCTGTGATCACGCCACTGAAGTGCACACTCCAGCCTGGGTGACAGAGCAAGACCCTGTCTCAAAAAAAACAAAAAAGAAAAGAGAAGAAAATTTATTAATGACACGGGAAAATATTCATAGCCTGATTATTAAGTTAAAAAAATTAGAGGCCGGGCGTGGTGGCTCAAGCCTCAATCCCAGCACTTTGGGAGGCCGAGGTGGGCAGATCATGAGGTCAGGAGTTTGAGACCAGCCTGGCCAATATGGTGAAACCGTCTCTACTAAAAACACAAAAATAGCCGGGTGTGGTTGCGGGTGCCTGTAATCCCAGCTACTCGGGAGGCTGAGGCAGGAGAATTGCTTGAACCTGGGAGGCGGAGGTTGCATTGAGCCAGAGATCGCGCCATTGCACTCCAACCCGGGCGACAGAGTGAGACTCCGACTCAAAAAAAAAAAAAAAAAAAAGTTAAAAAAATTAACAAAAGTTTTTAGTGTATGATTTTTTTAAAAATGAAATACAGTTGGCTGTCCGTATCTATGAGTTCCATATCTGTGGATTCAATCAACTGCAGATCAAAAATATTTGGGGGAAAAAAAACTGCAAGGCCAGGCACGGTGGCTCACGCCTGTAATCCTAGCACTTTGGGAGGCAGAGGCGGGCAGATCACCTGAAGTCAGGAGTTCGAGACCAGCCTGACCAACATGGAGAAACCCCATCTCTGTTAAAAATACAAAATTAGCCAGGTGTGGCATGCCTGTAGTCCCAGCTACTCGGGAGGCTGAGACAGGAGAATCGCCTGAACCTGGGAGGCGGAGGTTACGGTAAGCTGAGATTGCACCATTGCACTCCAGCCTGGGCAACAAGAGCGAAACTCTGCCTCAAAAAAAAAAAAAAAAACTGCATCTGTACTGCATATGTACAGACTTTTTTTGAGACAGGGTCTCTTTCTGCCACCCAGGTTGGAGTGCAGTGGTGCCCTCAGCTCACCGTAACCTCAAACTCCTTGGCTTAAGTGACCCTTCACCTTGGCCCCCCAAGTAGCTGGGACTACAAGTAGGTGCCACCACGCCCGGTTAAATTTTTTTATGTTTTATTTTTTTTGTAGAGACACGGTGCCACTATGTTGCCCAGGCTGGTCGCGAACTCCTGGCCTCAAGCAATCCTCCTATTTAAGTCTCCCAAAGTGGTGGGATTACAGGCCTGAGCCACTGTACCCAGCCTAGACTTTTTTTCTTGTCATTATTCCCTAAACAATACAGTATAACAACTATTTACATAGCATTTACATTGTATTAAGTATTATAAGTAATCTAGAGATAATTTAAAGTATGTGGGAGTATGTACATAAGCTATATGCAAATACTACACATCATTTTATACCAGGGCTTGAGCATCTGAGAATTTTGTTTTGTTTGTTTTGAGACAGAGTCTTGCTGGCTGGAGTGCAGTGATGAGATCTTGGCTCACTTGCAGCCTCTGCCTCCCGGGTTCAAGGGATTCTCCTGCCTCAGTCTCCCAAGTAGCTGAGATTACAGATGCGCACCACCACACCCAGCTAATTTTTGTATTTTTAGTAGAGATGGGGTTTTGCCATGTTGGCCAGCCGGTTTCAAACTCTTGACCTCAGGTGATCCGCCTGCCTCAGCCTCCCAAAGTGCTGGGATTACAGACATAAGCCACAGTAACCGGCCGCATATGAGAATTTTGATATCCTGGGAAGGTCTTAGAACCAATTCCCCATGGATATCAAGGAATGACTATATAGACATAGAAAAAAATTATAAAGAAATCTATCAAAAGGCTAACCATGGTTTATCTGAGAGGTGGGATAGTGGGTGATTTTATTTTCTTTTTGCTTTTCATAATAAATAAATTTCCTTCCAAAATATGTGTTACTTTATAAAATTACATTAGTCATTTAAACACTTATGAAGCTGATATATTAATGTTCCTTATTCCTATGGTCACTGCCTTACCTGTGGTTTAATCAGTCTATCAGGCCTACAGGTCTGACTCAAAGTTGCAATCTTCTCTTTCACCCCTTTTCTGAAATCTTGAAGTCTGGCAAATATGTATCAAGAACCTGGAAGAAGCAGAAAAGTGATGAAACAGGTTCCAAGTTCTCTGTAGTAAAAAAGGGTTAACAGGCCGGGAGCAGTGGCTCACGCCTATAATCCCAGCACTTTGGGAGGCCAAGGCAGGTGGATCACTTGAGGTCAGGAGTTCAAGACCAGCCTGGCCAACATGGTGAAACCCCATCTCTACTAAAAATACAAAAATTAGCCAGGCATGGTGGTGCACGCCTGCAATCCCAGCTACTCGGGACACTGAGGCAGGAGAATCGCTTGAACCTGGGAAGCGGAAGCTTCAGTGAGCCAAGATTGCGCCAGCCAGTGCACTCCAGCCTGAGCAACACAGTGAGACTGTCTCAAAAAAAAAAAAAAAAAAAGAGCAAACTTTTACTACTTTGTTTTACTAAGTACAAATAACATTATTTTTAATTTCCAAAGTAACCTCTAGATACAATTTTATACTTTTCTCACTGTTCTTTATTCCCCTTTTACCAAGTTTCCCTACACAAACAAAAACGGAAGCCCTCCGCAGTTATCTATCCTTTTTTCACAGAGTACCTTGGGCTGCTGATCTCTACATCTCTGTCTCAAATACAGATCTATTCACAGAATCGCTTGGGTTATGAAATCTCTCTAAGGCCAGGCAAGGTGGCTCACACCTGTAATCCCAGCACTTTGGGAGGCCGAGGCAGGTGGATCACCTGAGATAAGGAGTTTGAGACTAGCCTGGCCAACGTGGTGAAACCCTGTATCTACTAAAAATACAAAAATTAGGCCAGGCACAGTGGCTCACACCTGTAATCCCAGCACTTTGGGAGGCCGAGGCAGGCAGATTACGAGGTCAGGAGATTGAGACCATCCTGGCTAACATGGTGAAACCCCATCTCTATTAAAAATACAAAAAAACTAGCCGGGTGTGGTGGCATGCGCCTGTAGTCCCAGCTACTTGGGAGGCTGAGGCAGGAGAATTGCTTGAACCCAGGAGGCGGAGGTTGCAGTGAGCCGAGAGCGCACCATTGCACTCCAGCCTAGGTAACAAAGTGAGATGCCATCTCAAAAAAAAAATACAAAAATTAGCCGGGTGTGGTGGCAGATCCCTATAATCCCAGCTACTCAAGAGACTGAGGTAGGAGAATTGCTTGAACAGGGGAGGCAGAAGTTGCAGTGAGCTGAAATCGCGCCACTGCACTCCAGCCTGGGCGACAGAGTGAGACTCCGTCTCAAAAAAAAAAAACAAAAACAAAAACAAAAAAAACAACTCTATAGTCAATTTTGCTTCCTAACTTTGCCCATAGCAAAGAAAATTAAGTATGTCAAAGGGCATTTAAATATCCCTCCTCTTTCTCCCAGGAACTCAAAGAGAATTAGGGAAGAGACACAGAAAAAGCTGAAGGAAAATTAACCAGGAGATGTAGATGAGCCCTGAACATCTCCTGGTAACTAAAGAAATGAAATGAAGGACTCTCTCACATAATCCTGGACAAACTTAATTGCAATAAATTAATTTTATCAAGGTTGGAATACACAGATTTATGCATAAGGTTGGCCAAATAAACCCTATTCAGATAATTTGAAAGTCTAAACAAATTTACCAACCTAGTTGAATACAATCCAGTTTTTCATACCCGCAATTTTGTAGTCAATTCAGATAGTGCCTTCCTGCCTACTCAATTCAACAGGTATTTAGTGGGTGATTCCTATGCACTAGGATTGTTTCAGTCCCTGTCTAACCAAACTCTGGTTATCAAGAATTAGACAAGGGTGGCTTTGTGAAGCACAGAAACACAAACTGGCTCTTGAACTCCCTCACCTCTAAATTGTCCAGACACCTAGAATACAAAACAGTAGAGCACCCAGATGGTGTCCTATCTTGCTCTGATTCTCACTTGCCAATTTCAAACCATGTTTTTGTCCCCAAACATACCAAAAAACGTTTGAGTACATCATATATCTGTACACCCATAATATCTCATGCCAATCTGAGCACAGTACCCTCAAAGGTCAACTAAATGGCTGAGTTAGCTGACAGCCACATAATTTTGATCCAAGAATGCCAGCTTAATACTGAACTGACTCACCCAAACCAACCAGGGGGACTCAAGTCTGACGTGGGGGTGATGTAATACACTAAGGCCACAATACAAGAATATCCTTACTACAGCAGCAAGTAGTCCTATTTTTGACAACATTTGATGAGTGAGAGAAATTCAAAGAGAGGCCACAGGATGTCAAGAAAAGGTAAGGGTGAAGCAGGAAGTAAACCAAGAGCTGGTCTTAAAGCAAAATCCAGGAGTCAAAAATCCTCTTCTATCCTAAGTAGGCCTGATTTGGGGGGAGTCCATGTTACTGAACTACTAGAAAATTATATGTGGAAAACCAGACGTTATATGTCAAGAAAATAGGGGGTAAACCAATTCTACATTATAACCTGGTTTGGTTTTCCTTCCCCCCTCCAATCTATAAATGTTGAGAAAGGAAATGAGAAAGGGAATAATATCTGGTGATTCCATACAAAAAGAGAGCTGGACAAATATGGATAACATATAATGAATTTTAAATCCCAAATAGAAGACAACTCCAAGTGGACTTAAACTCTCCCTCAATTATGTTCTCACACCATCTAATTATCTTCCTGTTTTAGACAACAGTTTTGAAATGTACTTATTTGTGACTACCTCTGTTTTCCTCCATCAAACGCCACACTTCCTGAGGGCATGGCTACTGTATCACCCATTTCTCGAAATTTATCTAGATTCTGGGCCTCAGTTTCCTCCTCCTTCCTCCTTCCTCAGTTTCTGTCAAGAGGGACCAAGAATAGCACCAACTACATTGGCTTGGCGAGGAAATTAAATGAGAACGGGCATGCAGGGTGCTTAGTTCAGTCAATGTTTATAACCTGTTAGCATGGTAATAACAATAATTATCGTTACCGTTATTAGCCGACAGCCTCCCGCAACTCTTTTTTTCCTCCGTTTCCCGGACGGACTTCACAGCAAAATCCTGTCGCCAAGAGAAGCGTGGCCCGAAGCCCCTGCTCGCACCCTGCCCCGCCTAGGCGGCGACCGAGCACCGCAACCGCCTCAGAAGCCAGGCCTAGCGGCGCGAACGGCGCTAGGGGCTGGAAGGTGAACTTCAGCCGTTCCAAACTCCGGGAGGAGGGAGACCCGCGCCCTAGCTGCTCCCTCTTTTCTTCCCACGGCTCACCTAGCCTCGCCTCAGATCTGACAACGAAGCGCGAGCCAACCCGCCGCGGGACTCATTCAGTATCGTTGAAATTTTGAACCCAGGCAGCCTAGTCGAATGCACCAATCAGAGCGCCGGGAAAGCAATTCCAGGCTCCCGATTGGCCCTACAGACCGCAGCAATACCGGAAGTCAGAAGGAGGTACCAGCGAACAACGCGGCCCGGAGTTCCTGGGAAGTGTAGTCTCCTGCGCCTGCGTGAGTCCACTGGAACAGCTCTTAGGAGTACGTTATTACAAAGACCGGAGTGCTCTGCTCCAAACTATTTGGGAAAGGTGGTACCAACTGAAGAGGTGGAGAGTCAACCTAGATCACAGAATGGCGCGCATCCTGGACCTCTCCAAGTTTTCAGGGAAGAAAACTCTATTTTTAAAAATTATTCTCGTTATGGTTGTGCATTATCCCTTGAAGGTTCAGGGAGTTCACTTCGTCTTAACATGGAGTCGCCTGCATGCAACATAGACTCGCCCGTAGCGTCCTTCCCAATAGTGCAGGAGTCTTTGAAACCTTTTACCCAGTCCCTGCCCTGATCTTATGAAACCCGCGGTTCGTTGGGAGCTTTATCCGGTTTTATTCCCAACTGCATCCCGGCTTTATGATCCCCATGTCGTAAAAAGAAAACAAAGTCTAGGAGAAGTTGAACAAACATGTCCAAAATCACATAATAAATGGAGAAGATGGGATTCGAATTAAGAAGGTCTGTTCTTTTTATACACCACCGATAATTAATTAGAGGCCGGGCTTCGTGGCGCTCACCTATAATCCCAGCTCCACAGGAGGCTAAAGCAGAAGGATCCCTTGAGACCAAGAGTTCCAGAACAGCGTAGACATCATAACGAGACCACCCCCACCATCTTAATTTTTTTTAATCAATTAGAAAATAGCAGCAACAAGAACAACAAAACAACCCCCTTCATAATACCAGCAAAAGCTAAAGATTCAAAAATTAAGCCTAGGCTGGGTGCGGTAGCTCACGCATGTAATCCCAGCACTTTGGGAGGCCGAGACAGGCAGATCACTTGAGGCGATGAGTTCGAGACCAGCCTGGCCAAAATGTTGAAACCCCCCCCCATCTCTACTAAAAATACAAAAATTAGCCGGGCGTGCTCGCGCGTGCCTGTAATCACAGCTACTTGGGAGGTTGAGGCAGGAGAATCACTTGAACCCAGGAGGCGGAGGTTGCAGTGAGCCAAGATTGCACCACTGCACTCCAGCCTGGGCAACAGAGCGAGACTCTGTCTCAAAACAAAAAAAAAAAGGTCAAGGCAATTCCAATGAAAGTCCCAGTGGGTTCTGTTCTGGAATTTGCCAAGTTAATTCTAAAGTTCCTATGGAAGAGTACAAGTACTGGCATCTTGAATTTTGAAAAAGATTGGGGGATTTATGTACAGATTTTGTACATATTAACATGAAATTATAGTAATTTTTAAAGTATGGTTCAGTTAATTCACACCCATGGGGGTGCAATCGGCAAAATCCAGACAGGAAAACCACAGGACAATTTAGTTCCTTCAAAACATAAACTGCCAGAGTTTGGTTTTGTTTTCTTTTTGTTGTTGTTGTTTTGTTTCATTTTGTTTTTTGAGACGGAGTTTCGTTCTTGTAGCCCAGGCTGGAGTGCAACGGTGTGATCTCAGCTCACTGCAACCTCCGCCTCCCGGTTTCTCCTGCCTCAGCCTCCCAAGTACCCGGGATTAAAAATGCGCCACCACACCCGGCTAATTTTTATATTTTTTGATAGAGACGGGGTTTCACCATGTTGACCAGGCTAGTCTCGAACACCTGACCTCGGGTGATGCCCCCGCCTCACCCTCCCAAGTGCTGGGACTACAGGTGTGAGCCACCACACCTTTTGTTTTCTTTTTTAAGAGTCCTTGTGTTGTAGAGATACATATAGATACGGTAGGGATGAAATTACTCTGGCACTGGCTTCCAAATAATTGGGAGTAGGCAGTGAAGATAAGTAGGTGGGGATTTAGATGAAACAAGATTAGCTACAAATTGATAATTGTTGAACCTGGTGATGGGTTCATGATACATAAATACATACATATACTCTTGTATGAGTTTGAAATTTTCCACAATTAAAATGGGGTGGTTGCCTGGTGCTACTTGGAAGGCTGAGGCAGGAGAATCACTTAAACCCAGGAGGCAGAGGTTGCAGTGAGCCAAGATGGTGCCATTGCACTCCAGCCTGGGCGACAGAGCAAGACTCTACCTCAAAAACAAAGGGATGGGGGAGTGGTAGTTGTTGTGGTGGTTGTTTTGTTATTTTGAGATAGGGTCTTGCTGTCACCCAGGCTGGAGTGCAGTGGCAGGATCACGGCTCACTCCAACCCCAACCTCCCAGACTCAAGTGATCTTCCCACCTCAGCCTCCCACAGTGCTGGGATTACAGGCATGAGCCATGGCACCTTGTCTAAAAAGAGGTATTTTTGGCCTGGCGCGGTGGCTCACGCCTGTAATCCCAGCACTTTGGGAGACCGAGGCGGGTGGATCACGAGGTCAGGAGACTGAGACCATCCTGGCTAACACGGTGAAACCCTGTCTCTACTAAAAATACAAAAAAAATTAGCCGGGCATGGTGGCGGGTGCCTGTAGTCCCAGCTACTTGGGAGGCTGAGGCAGAAGAATGGCATGAACCCGGGAGGCGGAGCTTGCAGTGAGCCAAGATCGCGCCACTGCACTCCAGCCTGGGTGACTGAGCAAGACTCCGTCTCAAAAAAAAAAAAAGTATTTTTGCTGGGCACAGTGACTCATGCCTGTAATCCCAGCACTTTGGGAGGCCAAGGCGGCCAGATCACCTCAGGTCGGGAGTTCCAGACCAGCCTGACCAACATGGAGAAACCCCGTCTCTACTAAAAATAGAAAATTAACCGGGCATGGTGGCAGGCGCCTGTAATCCCAGCTACTCGGGAGTCTGAGGCAGGAGAATCGCTTGAACCCGGGAGGTGGAGGTTGTGGTGAGCCAGGATCGCGCCATTGCACTCCAGCCTGGGCAACAAGAGTGAAACTCCATCTCAAAAATAAATAAATAAATAAAGGTATTTTTAAGTATGGTATTGTCGTAGAAGTTAAAAGTGGGGGAAATCAGTAGAAGAGTTTAAGAGTCCAGAAACACACTCAGCCAGTTATGGTGGCTCATGCCTGTAATCTTAGCACTTTGGAAAGCAGAGGCGGGAAGATTGCTTGAGCCAGGAGTTTGAAATCAGCCTGGACAACATGGCAAGATACAAAAAACTTTTAAAATTAGCCAGGTGAGGTGGTGCGTACCTGTAGTCCCAGCTACTCAAGAAGCTGAGGTATGAGGATCACTTGAGCTTGGGAGGTCAAGGCTGCAGCGAGCCATGATTCTCCAGCCTGGGCGACAGAGCTGGGTCCTGTCTTTAAAAACAAAAACAAAATCCAGAACTCATGTATATCAGAATTTAGTAGGCCAGGCGCAGTGGCTCACGCCTGTAATCCCAGCACTTCAGGAGGCCGGGGGTGGGGGGCGGGGGCAGATCACTTGAGGTCAGGAGTTCGAGACCAGCCTGGGCAACATGGCAAAACCCCTTCTCTACAAAAAATACAAAACTTAATAGGCCTGGCACAGTGGCTCATGCCTGTAATCCCAGCACTTTGGGAGGCTGAGGAGGGGGGGTCACGAGGTCAGGAGTTTGAGACCAGCCTGGCCAACATAATGAAACCCCGTCTCTACAAAAAATACAAAAATTAGCCAGGTATGGTGGTACGCACCTGTAGTCCCAGCTACTCAGGAGGCTGAGGCAGGAGAATCGCTTGAACCCAGGAGGCAGAGGTTGCAGTGAGCCAAGACCATGCCATTGCACTCCATCCTGGGTGACAGAGTGAGACTCTGTCTCAAAAAAAACAAACAAACAAAAACAAAAATTAGCTGGGCATGGTGGTACTCACCTGTAGTCCCAGCTACTCCAGAGGCTGAGGTGGGAAGATCGTCTGAACCTGGAAGGTGGAGGTTGCAGTGAGCTGAAATCAGGCCACTACACTCCAGCCTGGGAGACAGAGCAAGATCCTGTCCCCCAACCCTCCACTAAAAAAAAGAAGAAACAAAACTGGCCATCAAACACATGAAGGTGCTCAGCCTCACTATAATAAAGGAAATTGAAACAAGAAAGTTCCATTTTTCACCCATCAGATTAACCAAAATTAAAAGTTTGATAGTATCAGAAATTTGTAAGGTAACTCAGCAGGTAGGAGTATAGATGGGTGTGGACAACTATTGACAACTATTTTTTTTTTTTTTGAGACAGAGTCTCTGTCTGTCGCTCAGGCTGGCATGTAGTGGCACAATCTCAGCTCACTACAACTTCTGACTCCTGGGTTCAAACAATTCTTGTGCCTCAGCCTCCCTGAGTAGCTGGGATTACAAGCACCTCACAGCATGCCCGGCTAATTTTTTAATTTTTTTTTTTTTTGAGACAAAATTTCGCTCTTTCACCCAGGCTGGAGTGCAATGGCGTGATCTCGGCTCACTGAACCTCCCCCTTCCGGGAAGTGATTCTCCTGCATCAGCCTCCTGAGTAGCTGGGATTACAGGCACCCACTATGACGCCCAGCTAATTTTTTAGTTTTTAGTAGAGACGGGGTTTCACCATGTTGGCCAGGCTGGTTTGGAACTCCTGACCACAGGTGATCTGCCCGCCTCAGCCTCCCAAAATGCAGAGATTACAGGTGTGAGCCACTGCGCTCAGCCTATTGACAACTATTAAAATGTCAAATAAGTATGCCCTATGATGTAGGACTTCCATTTCTAGGTTTCATTCCAAGAGATAACACTCATCCAGTCACACAAATGCCCAGTTGCTGCAGCATTTATTGAGCACCTGCTATGTGCCAAGTCACCATACTAAGTGTGGGGATACCACAGTAAAAAGACAGACAAAATTCCTGTCCTCGTGGAACTGTTATTCTAGGGGAGAAGACAGATGCCAGATGAGATAAATAAGTAAATGATCTAGTGTATTAGCAGGTGATAAATGCAAAACCATTTGCTCGCGAGGCCCTGAAGTGTGGATGGCAATACAAGGAGAAAGGCAGGAGCTGGATAGATGGTGGGGCAAAGGGAGGGCAGGGGTCTGCCTGGGCTGTGACTGTCCCACTTTCAGCACCCACATCACCCAACAACCAGGCATGTGCCTGCCAACAATGGAGTAGACAGGCTTGGGTCAAGGTGGGGGTAAAGGTAGTTTGCCTTATATTAGGAAGGAAGAAGCATCAGAACTATTGTTGTCTGGGGACTACTAGGCAGAAGGTAACTGACTGAATGAATAAATGAATGAATGAGGCAATGCCAGGAGGCCAGGATGTATGCAAGAGCTTCCCAATTCCTTCCAAATGAACAGGAGGTAAGCCTGGTCCAAGAGTTTCCTCTCCTATCATTTTACCTGCTTATGTTAGGCTGAGCTTCAAGTTCTCGTTCTCTGTGAATGGGAGACTATGTGGTCTGAATCACTGAAGCAGAATTTCAGGGCTGGAAAGAAGGATAGACACATCTGGTCCACTCTGTTCACAATTTCAGTTATCATCGAGGGAAGGGAACAAGAGTGGAAATAAGGAAATCAATTAGTAGTTCATTGCAATGTAGTTGTAAGAAATTGGAAACCACCTAAATTTTCACAAATCGAGGAATATTTCAATCAACTGCCTACAGAATGGAACACTAAGCAGCAGTTTAAAAAAGTTCCATGGATCTGGACTGACAGGAGAGGATCTTTGAGATATATTTTTGAGTTAAAAAAAATGAATTGCATGGCTGGGCGCGGTGGCTCATGCATGTAATCCCAGCACCTTGGGAGGCTGAGGCAGGTGGATCACCTGAGGTCAAGAGTTTGGGACCAGCCTGGCCAACATGGTGAAACCCGGTGTCTACTAAAAATACAAAATTAGCCAGGCGTGGTGGTGGGCGCCTGTAATCCCACCACTCAGGAGGCTGAGGCAGGAGAATCACTTCAACCCGGGAGGCGGAGGTTGCAGTGAGCTGAGATCGCGCCACTGCACTCCAGCCTGGGCAACAAGAGTGAAACTCCGTCTCAAAAAAATGAATTGCTGATTGACATAAATTCATTATGACATCATTATGTTTTTAAAATACTCAAAATAATGTTCCACTTTTCCCATGGGTGTGTATAAGTAACCATTAGTACTTACCACATGCTAACCACTATTAGAAGTATTTTACACATATTAACTCATATATCCTAACAATAACCCTATGAGATAGTTAATGTTACCACACCCATTTTATAGATTGTAGAAATTGAGGCTTAAAAAGATTAGACAATTTATCTGAGATCATACAGCTTTTGTGGTGACAAAATCAAGATTTGAGCCCAGGAAGGCCTACTCCAGAGACCAATCCCCTAACCATTGCCTTGGACTGCCTCTCCTATGTGGATATATATATAGAGAGAAAGTTATGGAAAAATTCATAACAAACTAACAAGAATGGGAAATTCAGAGGGGAGAAGTTAAACTGGATTTATACAGAGAAAGGATAGATAATTTGAGTCTTTAATTAAAAAAAAAAAGAATGTTAGCTGGGTGCGGTGGCTCACGCTTGTAATCCCAGCACTTTAGGAGGCTGAGGTGGGTGGATCACCTGAGGTCAGGAGTTCGAGACCAGCCTGGCCAACATGACGAAACCCCATCTCTACTAAAAATAAAAAACTTAGCCAGGTGGTGGTGGGCGCCTGTAGTTCCAGCTACTCGGGAGGCTGAGGCAGGAGAATTGCTCGAATCCGGGAGGCAGAGGTTGAGGTGAGCTGAGATTGCGCCATTGTACTCCAGCCTGGGCAACAAGAGTGAAACTCCATCTCAAAAAATAATGATAAAAATAAATAAATTCAAATCACCCAAATAATACACAGCAACACTCTTTTTTATTTATGTAATTATTTTATTTTATTTATTTTTGAGATGGAGTCTCACTCTGTCGCCCAGGCTGGTGTGCAGTGGTGCCATCTCGGCTACTGCAACCTCCGCCTCCCGAGTTAAAGCGATTCTCCTGCCTCAGCCTCCCGAGTAGCTGGGATTACAGGCATGCACCACCACGCCCGGCTAATTTTCTATTTTTAGTAGAGACGGGGTTTCTCCATGTTGGTCAGGCTGGTCTCGAACTCCCAACCTCAGGTGATCCGCCTGCCTCGGCCTCCCAAAATGCTGGGATTACAGGCATGAGCCACCACACCCAGACTTTTTTTTTTTTTTTGTAATAGTAAAACTGCAAAGGAGAGAGAAGGAGGAGCCAGTGAGGTAGAAAGTTATTTAAGCTCTCAAACTCTGTTTTGAAAAAGTGAGAGATTAACTGGGTGTGGTGGCACATGCCTATAGTCCTACCTACTCTGGATGCTGAGATGAGAGGGTTGCTTGAGCCCAGGAGGTTGAGGCTGCAGTGTGCTGTGATGATGCCACCTCACTCCAGCTTGGGTGAGAGAATGAGACCCTGTCTCGAAAAATAATAAATAATGAGCGAGAAAGAAAGAACCAGCCTCTACTGCTGCCCCTAACAAATCTGATCCTCCACTCTGTGTCTCTTAGTCCCTCCACCATCTAACTAGTGGTCACTAGGCCAGAAATCTGGACCTGCCTTCCAGCTTCATGGAGGCTTCCTACTCCATTGGCTCCGGGTGATGACTTAACTTCCAGACACCTCCAAACGAGGTGACTTCGATCACCCAAAGACACTCCTCTGGAGAAGGTTGCAGGTATAAATAATTGATGACAGCTGTCAAAAGGATCCCCAGGATCGCTTGGACCCGGGAGGTCAAGGCTGCAGTGAGCTATGATTACACTGCTGCACTCTAGCCTGGGCAACAGAGTCATACCCTGTCTCGGAAAACAAACAAAAAAAAGGTTCCCCAGAAAAGTCAGCACTGTGGCACTGTTTTTTTTTTGTTTTTTTTTTTTATTCTTCCAGTCTTCCATCCAACCAAGTGTTGGGGCTCAGAAAATGATGCTCCAAAATATGGTGCTTTGGCATGCTGGGTGCTTTGAACAAAGGAGATTGAAAGGCCTCAGAAATAAGCCTCAGAAACAAGGTCTCCCTCTGACCTTCTGCTCCCTGTCCCCATCATTCCCTTCCAAAGAGCAGGAGGGAGCAGTTGCGGAAGTTCTTTCCCTTATATGACTGAGGGAAGTTCTTCCAATTGTATTAAATGCAATTGTCTTAAACTCTCTTCCTAGAAATCTCATCAAACAACCAGGGAAGATTAGTCACCAGAGAGGAGATTAAAAGTAACCACCACATCCAGACAGGCTATTGCCTATTCTTCCAGAGACTGTTCCAAAACAACTTTTTTTTTTTTTTTGAGACGGAGTCTCGCTCTGTCGCCCAGGCTGGAGTGCAGTGGTGCAATCTTGGCTCACTGCAAGCTCCGCCTGCCGGGTTCATGCCATTCTCCTGCCTCAGCCTCCTGAGTAGCTGGGACTACAGTCACCCGCCACCACGCCCAGCTAATTTTTTGTATTTTTAGTAGGGACGGGGTTTCACTGTGTTAGCCAGGATGGTCTCGATCTCCTGACCTCGTGATCCACCTGCCTCAGCCTCTCAAAGTGCTGAGATTACAGGCATAAGTCACCGCGCCCGCCCCTTTTTTTTTTTCTTAAAGGCAGAGTCTCGCTCTGTCCACCAAGCTGGAGTACAGTGGCGCAATCTTGGCTCACTGCAATCTCCGCCTCCCAGGTTCAAGCGATTCTCCTGCCTCAGCCTCCTGAGTAGCTGGGATTATAAGCATGCACCACCACACTGGCTAATTTTTGTATTTTTAGTAGAGACAGGGTTTCACCATGTTGGCCAGGCTGGTCTTGAACTCCTGACCTCAGGTGATCTGCCCGCCTCGGCCTCCCAAAGTGCTGAGATTACAGGCGTGAGCCACCGCGCCCAGCCGCAGGGGGTTATTTTCAGTAAGCACATGTAAGATTGGTGGTAGCAGTTTGAGACCAGCCTACGCAACATAGTGAGTCCCCGTCTCTATAAAAATTAAAAAAAAAAAAATTGCTGGGTGTGGTGGTGCACACCTGCAGTCCCAGCAACTCAGGAGGCTGAAGTGGGAGGATCATTTGAGCCTGGGAGTTTGAGGCTGCAGTGAACTATGATTGTGCCACCATACTCCAGCCTGGGCAACAGAGGGAGACCCTATCTCAATTTAAAAAAAAAAAAAAAGAATGATTCGAAGACTTTTTAATGCAAATACAGATACCTCATATATCTATATCTATCCACACACGCATTTTTATATATTCATATAATGTCTGTGTGTGTTCATATGTTTTTCAAATTTCTCATTTAAAAAGTAAAGTTTTTTTTTTTTTTTTTGAGACAAAGTCTCTTCTGTCACCCAGGCTAGAGTGTAATCTTGGCTCACTGCAACCTCTGCCTCCCAGGTTCAAGTGATTCTCCTGCCTCAGCCTCCTGAGTAGCTGTGATTACAAGCGCCCGCTAGCACACCCAGCTAATTTTTTGTATTTTTAGTAAAGACAGGGTTTCACCATATTGGCCAGGCTGGTTTTGAACCCCTGACCTCAAGTGATCTGCCCACCTCGACCTTCCAAAGTGCTAGGATTACAGGCATGAGCCACCATGCCAGGCCAAAAGTAATGCTTTCTTATTTTAATATTTGGAAAATACACGGAAGGTAAGGGATTAAAAATCACCTATTGATTACAGTGTACACTCTTTATGTGATGGGCACATTAAAAGTCCAGACTTCACCAACTATATAATTCATCTACTATGTAACCCAAAACCACTTGTACCCCTAAAGCTATATGTTATATATATGAAAAAATACTGAAAATAATAAAGAATAAAGAAAAATAACTATAACGTAGCCTTTAGTGGCACTATCTCTACTATTAGCATTTTAGTATATTTCCTCTTGTCTTTTAAACATTGATTTTATTAACAGAGTAGATACAAATACATATATGCAATGTATGAAAGGTATAAAGAATAATGAGGCAAAAAAAGTCTCTGTACATATGTACAATTCAACAAGAAAACCATTTTCATTGTCTTTTCTTTCTACTTTGTTTCTTTTTTTTTTGAGACGGAGTCTTGCACTGTCGCTCAGGCTGGAGTGCAATGGCGCGATCTTGGCTCACTGCAACCTCCACCTCCCAGGTTCAAGCGACTCTCCTGCCTCAGCTTCCGGAGTAGCTGAGATTACAGGCACCCGCCACCATGCCCAGCTAATTTTTTGTATTTTTAATAGAGACGGGGGTTTCACTATGTTGGCCAGGCTGGTCTCGAACTCCTGACTTTATGATCAATCTGCCTTGGCCTCCCAAAGTGCTGGGATTACAGGTGTAAGCCACCACACCCGGCCTTGTTCCTTTTTATTTAAATTGTTTACTACTATTCTGTTTCAGACAGAGATCATTATTTTTGAAGCTTCCAATTTCATCTTGTTCCCTAGGTTAATCCAATACCCTCTCGTGTTAATGTCCAATAGCTATCATGACTTTTTTTTTTTTTTTTGAAAGAGAGTCCCTCTCTGTTGCCCAAGCTGGAGGGCAGTGGCAGGATCTCAGCTCCCTGCAACCTCTGCCTCCTGGATGCAAGCAATTCTCACGCTTCAGCCTCCAGAGTATCTGGGACTACATGTGCACACCACCACACCCAGCAAATTTTTAGTAGAAATGGCGTTTTGCCATGTTGGCCAGAGTGGTCTCAAACTCCTGGCCTCAAGTGATCTGCCCGCCTTGGCCTCCAGAAGTGCTGGGATTACAGGCATGAGCCACTGCACCCAGCCTATCATGACTTTTGTGTTTGTTATTCTCTTACCACGTAGGTATATAAGGTATATATATATATATGTTATCTACTATTGGAGAGCAAATTACCCCCAAACTTAGCAGCTTAAAATCACAATAATGTATTATTTCATACAATTTCTGAGCATCAGGAATCCAGCTTAATGGAGTGGTTCTGGTTCAGGGTCTCTAATAAGGTTGTCATCACCTGAAGGCTTGACTGGGGCAGGAGGACCCTCACATGACTGTCGGCCTCTCCATAGGGCTGCTCCCAACATGGCAGCTGGCTTCCCCCAGAGTGAGAGAGAGACCACAAACACAAAGACGGAAGCCACAATCTTTTGGGGGTTTTTGTTTTGTTTTTTGTTTTTTTTTGAGATGGAGTCTCCCTCTGTCACCCAGGCTGGAGTGCAGTGGTGGGATCTCGGCCTACTGCAAGCTCCACCTCCCGAGTTCATGCCATTCTCCTGCCTCAGCCTCCTGAGTAGCTGGGACTACAGGCGCCCACCACCACGCCCAGCTAATTTTGTTTTTTTTATTTTTAGTAGAGATGGGGTTATACCATGTTAGCCAGGATGGTCTCAATCTCCTGACCTCATGATCCACCCGCCTCGGCCTCCCAAAGTGCTGAGATTACAGGTATGAGCCACCGCGCCCAGCTGAAGCCACAATCTTTCGTAACAAAGTCTTGAAAGTGACATAACCCCAGCTTGGGCAATATGGCGAAACACCGTCTCTACAAAAAAATACAAAAATTAGCTGGGTGTGGTGGCACATGCCTGTGGTCCCAGCTACTAGGGAGACTGAGGTGGGAGGATTGCTTGGGCCTGGGAGGTCAAGGCTGCAGTGAGCCGTGATTGTGTCACTGCACTACAGCCTGGGCAACAGCGAGACCCTGTCAAGAAAAGAAAGAAAGAAAGAGAGAGAGAGAGAGAAGAAGGGAGGGAAAGAAACATTCCATCGCTGTAATTTGTCATTAGTCACACAGAACAACTGTGGTTCAGTGTGGGAGGGAAACACACAAAGGCATGAATACGAAGAGGCAGGGATATTTAGGTGCCATCTTGGAGGAAGCTAGATGCTACAAACTCTAAATTGTATATTGCCTATTTCTAAACTGTATATAAGTAGAATCTTCCTACATTATTCTTTTGCCATTTTTTCCATTCAATATGTTTCTGAGATTCCCTTTTTTTTTTTTTTTGAGAGGGTGTCTTACTCTGTCACCCAGGCTGGAGTACAGTGGTATGATCACAGCTCACTGTAGCCTTGACCTCCCAGGCTTAAGCGATTCTTTTGCCTCAATCTACTCAGTTGCTAGGGACAACAGGTGTATGCCACCAGGCCTGGCTAATTGTTCTTTTTCTGTTTTTGTTTTTGTTTTATTTTGTAGAGAGGGGGTCTCACTATATTGCCTAGGCTGGTATTGAACTCCTGGGCTCAAGCATCTTTCCGCCTTGGACTCCCAAAGTGGTGGGATTACAGGTGTGAGCCACCATGGCTGGTCTGTTTCTGGGATTCTTCTTTTTTTTTTGAGGCAGAGTCTCACTCTGTTGCCCAGGCTGGAGTGTGGTGGCATGCTCTCAGCTCATTGCAAACTCTGTCTCCTGGGTTCAAGTGATTCTCCTGCCTCAGCCTCCTGAGTAGCTGGGATTACAGGCACCTGCCACCATGCCTAGCTAATTTTTGTATTTGTAGTAGAGACGGACTTTCACCATGTTGGCCAGGCTGGTCTTGAACCCCTGACCTCGTGATCCACCCGCCTTGGCCTCCCAAAGTGTTGGTACTACAGACGTGAGCCACTGTGCCCGGCCAAAGTTAGCATGTTTTTAGATAGTGTTATATAATTAAAAATAATAGCTGGACGCAATGGCTCACGCCTGTAATCCCAGCACTTTGAGAGGCCGAGGCCGGCGGATCACAAAGTCAGGAGTTCGAGACCAGCCTGACCAACATGGTGAGACAGGAGAATCACTTGAAGCCGGGAGGCACAGGTTGCAGTAAGCCGAGGTTGTGCCACTGCACTCCGGCCTTGGCGATAGAACAAGACTCTGTATCAAAAAAAAAAAAAAAAAAAAGAGGGAGGCTGAGGCCAGAGAATCGCTTGAACCCAGGAGGCAGAGGTTGCAGTGAGCCAAGATCATGCCACTGCACTCCAGCCTGGGCAACAGAGCAAGACTCCATCTCAAAAAAAAAAAAAAAAGAAAAAGAAAAAAGAAAAAAAATACAAAGTTATGTGTAGACAACATAGAGAAGTATAAAAAAGAAAACTTATTTTCTTTAGATTTAAATGTAACTTATTTTCTTTAAATTAGATTCCAGTCAAAGATCATTTGAGAGCCATTTTCAAGACTTGCAAAATTCTTTTTCCAAAATATGTATCCATCTTTCCAAAATATAAATTTCTTCATGTTCTTTCTGGTTTAAAAAAATCTTTGCTGGCTCCTCTGGTGCTATTTGATGTGCTGCTCGCATGGATACACATTTATATTCCATCCCCTCTCCACCACTCCCCTCAGCCATCCCAATTTATTTCCAGGACACCATGGGCTCTCACGCTGGGCTGCCAGGCCTTCGCTCAAGCAATATCTTCTGCTTAAAATGCTCCTACATCCTTTCTCACCCAAGCAAAATTCTATTCTTTTGAGGGCCAGTTCAGTAAAGCCCCTATCTGTGGACAGAGTTTATCTGCCCTCTGCTGGGCTCCCAAAGCACACTGAGGCTTCCATAATGATAGTTTTCACATTGAGATAATTGTGGCACCATAGGTTCAAAAATGTAAATCAGACCGGGCGCGCTGGCTCACACCTGTAATCCCAGCACTTTGGGAGGCCAAGGTGGGCGGATCACGAGGTCAGGAGTTCGAGACTAGCCTGACCAACTGGTGAAACCCCGTCTCTACTAAAAATACAAAAATTAGCCGGGCGTGGTGGCAGGTGCCTGTAATCCCAGCTACTCAGGAGGCTGAGGCAGGAGAATCACTTGAACCCAGGAGGCGAAGGCTGCAGTGAGCCGAGATCGCACCACCGCACTCCAGCTTGGGTGACAGAGCAAGACTCCATCTCGAAAAACAGCAAAAAAAATGTAAATCAGAGCCAGGTGTGGTGGCTAATGCCTGTAATTCCAGGACTTTGGGAGGCCGACATAGACAGATCACTTGAGCCCAGGAGTTTGAGACCAGCCTGGGCAACATGGGGAAACTCCATTCTCTACAAAAAATACAAAAATTAGCTGGGTGTGGAGGTGCGAGCCTGTATTCACAACTACTGGGGAGGCTGAGGTGGGAGGATCACCTGGGATGGGGAGGTCGAGGCTGCTGTGAGCTGAGATCACACCATTGCACTGCAGGCTGGGTGACATACCCTGTCTCAAAAAAAAAAAAAAAAAAAAGGCCGGGCACGGTGGCTCATGTCTGTAATCCCAGCACTTTGGGAGGCTGAGGCAGTCGGATCACCTGAGGTCAGCAGTTTGAGACCAGCCTGGCCAAAATGGTGAAACCCTGTCTCTACTAAAAATACAAAAATTAGCCGGGCGTGGTGGTGTGTACCTGTAGTCCCAGATACTAGGGAGGCTGAGGCAGGACAATCACTTGAACCTGGCGGGCAGAGTTTACAGTGAGCCAAGATAGCACCACTGCACTCCAGCCTGTGCAACAGAGCAAGACTCCATCTCGAACAAACAACAATAACAAAAAAAAAAAAAAAAATGAGGAAAGAGTTCAACAGAAAGACCACCTGAAAAAGGGGTAAACAATATGAAGAAAATTCACCAATACAAGATCCACCACCCTCCAAAGAAAGACTAAAAAATATGACAAATTGCTCAACTTCATTCATAATAAAAAAAGAAATATGAAAGTGCCTTCGGTTTTTACCCATCTAATTGGCAAGGATAAAACATTTGATAACACACTGTGTGGTTCAGGGTGTAAGGAAATTGGCGGGGCGCGGTGGCTCACGCCTGTAAACGATTCTCCTGTAAGCGAGTCTGCTGCCTCAGCCTCCCGAGTAGCTGGGATTACAGGCATGCGCCACCACGCCCAGCTAATTTTTTGTATTTTTAGTAGAGACGGGGTTTCACCACATTGGCCACGCTGGTCTTGAACTCCTAACCTCAGGTGATCCGCCCGCCTCGGCCTCCCAAAGTGCTGGGATTACGGGCGTGAGCCACCGCGCCCGGCCTGTCCTATGGAGTTTACAATTAATAACTCTCTTAATCATCACAATAGCTCAACGAGAGAGGTTGGTACTATTACCCATTTTACAATTGAGGACATTGAAGCACAGAGCAGTTGAGAAACTTGCCTAACTAGCAGAGTTAGAATCCAGACAAAGTGCTTAACCACAAGGCGATGCTTCTTCTATATATAAACTGACGGACGGATGAAATAGGCTGATTGACTGATGAGTGACTGACTGACTGACTGAATGAATAAATGGAAATGTGATTATAAATGTTGATTTTTTGCGCCTCCCGATTCCCCAGATCTACCGCGAGGGGGCGATCTCTCCCCGGTCCTGATGCCAGTCACTCAAGGCGCGCACTCCCTTTGCGTCTCGGGCTCGCGCGCGTTGCCGCGGCACCGGAAGTGACTGAGCTTGCAAGTTCCCCTGTCTCTTCAGGGGAAACTGAGGCCGGCTTGTTCGGGAGAGACGGCGCGAGCAGTCAGCCAGGTAGGCCGGCAGCCAGGTAGGCCGGCCCGGGTCCGCGGCGCGGAACTCGGCCGCGAAGAGCTCTTGCGTCTGGAAGCTACCGGGCCGATGAAGGGGGATGTGGCCCCCCACGGCTCGCGGGGCTCGCAGGTGAGAGCGCCGCCTCCCCTGTGCGTGACAGCCGTTGCGCCCAATAGGAGCCTTCGCCGTCCCGCTTCCGTGCCGGCTGGGCTCGCTGATTGGCTGCGCTGGGGCGGACCGCCGGGGGCGAGGCCCCTCCTCTCAGGAAGGTCTAGGGGGCGCCCCCGGGGGAGGGCGGTTGCCTAGCAACGGGGCGGTGGCTCGGCGGGTACCCGGCCTAGTGAGCTCGAGAAGCCGCTAGGCCGCAGCCGGCCCACCCTGGGCTCCGGAGAGGTGCAGCCCCCGGCCCCGGAGCCCTCCCGGGGGCGCCAGAAAGCCACTTTGGGCCTGTCCCCAGGAAAACGTGGTCTCAGCTGTGGGGCCGTCGAGCAGGCCTCGACCCCTCTTCCTGACCTGAGGAGAGGCCCAGCGCCTCACCCTCACCCAGTCTTTGTGCAGGGCGCCGGCGGCCATTGTGTCCGGGCGGGGAATGGAGGACCCGGCAATCCCCAACTGCCACGTTCTGGGCCTTTGGGGAATTCAGAGCAAACCAGCGGCATTTGTTGGGGGTCTCCGGCCTTCAACATCACAGACAGGCCTGGGGGTGGCCTTCCCAAAGTCAGATTGCAGATCTGAGGCAGTTTCCCCCTCCCTGCGTCCCTCACTGAAACCTTGAACCCCATTGAGAAGTCCCTTTAGGGTTTCGGACGCCTCCACCTCACCCTGGGCTGGTGCTTAAATAGAAAAAAGAAAAACAAAAACCAACTAAATCCATACCAGCCACCTCCGGGAGAGTACTCCTGGCTCCCAGTAGGAGGCGGAGAGCCAAGGGGCGTGCAAGAGAGAGGGGGCTGGGCTCCCGGGTGGCAGGAGGCCGCGGCTGCGGAGCGGCCGCCCTCGATCCGGGCGATGGAGGAGGAAGCAAGCGAGGGGGCTGGTTCCTGAGCTTCGCAATTCCTGTGTCGCCTTCTGGGCTCCCAGCCTGCCGGGTCGCATGATCCCTCCGGCCGGAGCTGGTTTTTTTGCCAGCCACCGCGAGGCCGGCTGAGTTACCGGCATCCCCGCAGCCACCTCCTCTCCCGACCTGTGATACAAAAGATCTTCCGGGGGCTGCACCTGCCTGCCTTTGCCTAAGGCGGATTTGAATGTAGGTGGTGCGGGGGAGCGGGAGTGGGGCGGGGGGGACTGCCCAGGGAGTGACTTTCCGAGGAAGGCATTTCGGAGAAGACGGGGGTAGAAAAGGCTGGTGGGAGATTCAGAGTCCACTGGTGCTTTCGATTTGACTTAAGTGAAGTATCTTGGAACCTAGACCCAGACCTTCGTAAGACCCACAAAGAAACCAGTTCTGGTACCTGGAGGGGGAATGGAATTTTTAGGGTAAATGGCATGCATATTAATTATTTTTTTTTCCTGAAGCTCTTTCTCTCCCTTCAGAATCTTATCTTGGCTTTGGATCTTAGAAGAGAATCACTAACCAGAGACGAGACTCAGTGAGTGAGCAGGTGTTTTGGACAATGGACTGGTTGAGCCCATCCCTATTATAAAAATGTCTCAGAGCAACCGGGAGCTGGTGGTTGACTTTCTCTCCTACAAGCTTTCCCAGAAAGGATACAGCTGGAGTCAGTTTAGTGATGTGGAAGAGAACAGGACTGAGGCCCCAGAAGGGACTGAATCGGAGATGGAGACCCCCAGTGCCATCAATGGCAACCCATCCTGGCACCTGGCAGACAGCCCCGCGGTGAATGGAGCCACTGGCCACAGCAGCAGTTTGGATGCCCGGGAGGTGATCCCCATGGCAGCAGTAAAGCAAGCGCTGAGGGAGGCAGGCGACGAGTTTGAACTGCGGTACCGGCGGGCATTCAGTGACCTGACATCCCAGCTCCACATCACCCCAGGGACAGCATATCAGAGCTTTGAACAGGTAGTGAATGAACTCTTCCGGGATGGGGTAAACTGGGGTCGCATTGTGGCCTTTTTCTCCTTCGGCGGGGCACTGTGCGTGGAAAGCGTAGACAAGGAGATGCAGGTATTGGTGAGTCGGATCGCAGCTTGGATGGCCACTTACCTGAATGACCACCTAGAGCCTTGGATCCAGGAGAACGGCGGCTGGGTAAGAACCAAGCCCCTTGTGTGTCCCTTTTCTTTGGCCTCTGGTCAGAGATCCCCAACAGCCCTTCTTCTGTATCTCTTTCTGTTGTGTTGGGTGATTGTTGGAGACGTTGATAGTTGAGGAAACCTGACTGGCCTCATTTCACCACAAGAGGTTAACTCCTTGGAAATACAAATGACCCTGTGCTTCAGAGATCAGGCATCTTTCACCCTGGTCACCCCCATGACTCCACTATTCCATACTTGTGTTCCAGTTTCTCAGCAAAGAAAACTGTAGCCTATGTGTTCATTAAGTCCCAAACCTGTGAGGGTAGGAAGTTAGTTCGGTGTTTCCCTTACCTTATACAATGGTTCACACACAAAGGGGTGATGAGTATAATGCCTGGAGAAGATGATGAGCATCAATGACCCACAGACCTCTCCATCTGTTCCCCCCAAGGGGTCTCAGTCCTATCCTGGGCTTCTCTCCCCCAAATCAAGTTCCCTTTATTTCAAAGTTTGCGTGTATGGCACTCTCCTCTCAGACTAGGGCATGGCCATAGGCAGGAGTTCCCACTGGGTTGAATGGCTGAGAATTGTCAGATTTTGGGGCAGTGTAGGCTGTGCAGATTGTGTTTGCACTGCGCCCCCTAAGTTCATTTCCCCCAAAGTGTGCGACTTTCTGCATGGTTGCCTTGTTTGTGGAGCACTTGCTGTGTCACACATTAAGCCAGGGGACTTTGCACCTCATTGCCTGGGGTCGGTTGGGGAGCTCCAGCTGCTCTGCCTGTTACTTTCCGGCCAGAGCCCAGGGGCCTCTTCAAGCACTGTTTGCTGGCAAAGCAAGAACCTAGTCTTTGGGGCTCTGTGGGACATTGAGATTTAGTAACAGACTTCACATGCAGGTATAAGTTCCAGTTCTGTCATGTAACTAGCTGTGTGACCTTGGACAGGCTGGGTTACTTTCTTGAGGCTTAGTTTCTTTCACTAAAAAATGTGGCAAGCTCTCCTTGCCTTACAGTGTATTGTAAATCTTGGCGATAATGTGAGCACAGTGACTGACACCAGCAAATTCCCTTTCCAGGGAGGGAGAGTTCTCCTGCCCATCACTGAGCCAGGATGAGATGGTGGTGAAAGCTTCTTTACCAGTGGTCACTGTAGGCAAGTTTTGCTCTTCAGTGAATTCAGTCCTGTTTTCTTGCTTATCTCCCTACCTAGCGGAGGTGCAGGTTTTATGAGAGATGTTCTATCCCCTCAGAGTATGCAGAAAAGCATCAAGCTGTGGAAAATAAGTCATCCATTGAAGGAGCTGAGGTGGAAGGGGACATGCACCATGGACTCAGGAATGTCAAGAATGCAACTGTCTATAGGCTGGGCCTAGGGTGTGGCAGGCACTTCACTTTACCACTGAGCAAGAGACCTCCTGAGTTTGCCCTGGAACCCCACCCCCTCTCTCATTTTGCATTTCTTTGCAATTTCAACTCGTCTGTGCCAGCTCTTGTAAAAGGCAAGGGGGTCAAGTCAATAGAGGTCAGATAACTGGGGTGGGGTCAGGGGAGGTAAAGGTGGTGGGTTCTCTTGAGCTAGCTGACTAGACTTGAAAGCCATTCTGTAAATGAACTCTCTAGGGGGATAAATGATTAAATAGTTCCTGTTGGTTTGTGCAGTGACCTCTCCTGTTCCCTCCTGCTTTGATTCTCTTTTGGGGCAAATATTTGTTCAGCTGATTACAGGAGGGACAGGATTCCAGTACTGCAGACACACCCTCTGAGGCATCTCCAAGTAGGGATTGAGGCTGCTTGCCCACTTTGCCTGACTATTGTCTTTGGCCAGTGGTCCTAATACCAGGTGGGTTGTTGCCAGCTATAAACAAAAGGCAGTCTGGGAGAGGTGCCTGGTCTGCTAGCCAGCCTCTGCAGAAGGCTACCCCTACCAGAGAATTGCCAGCTGCCCAGTGGTGCATATGAAAGAGGTCTTAGACACAGCAACTCTGGGTAAGTTTATTAGATCTCCATGGGGTTGAAATTCCATCTTCCATCTCTTTGCTTAAGAATCATCAGAGCCTGTTGGACAACATACCACATGTCACTTCCTCTTGGTGAACAGAGGGGATGTGTGTGGAAGAGCCAGTTATATCAGAACCATTTCTGAGCACACATTCTCTCCCTAAGGCCAGGGAGTAAAGAACATTTGACTCAGGATCCTTTGAGCCTGGGTAGAAGGTACCCGCCCCCTTCCTCTCAGGTATTATCCTGTTCCAAGCTGCACCGACTGGCTACTGTGGTGGCATCGGGTAATTATCCTGGAGACTGCGGCTGGGAGATCCTTAAGGGTAGGAGTTATGGGCTATTCTACTCAGGGCTATGTTCTAAATTTAGCATCCCTACAGGAAAGGGGAAGGAAATTAGTCTTTATTGAGTACCTGTTAAGTACTAGGCACTGTGTTAGGTCCTCTACTTATGCAACCAGTGTTTCTTGAGCATCTACTGTGAAGCTAGCAGTGTACTAGGTGCTGGCCATAAGCCACGCATGGTACCTTCCTTCATGGAAACGGCATGCTGTTTCATATATTCTACAGTAACCTTCCAAGGAAGGTGAGTTTATTCCCAGTTTACACATGAAGGTCTTTGTGCCTAAGTGACTGACCCCAGGTGTCCCTCAGCCAGTTAAGTGTCTGAATGAGAATTTACACCAAGGTTGGCATAATTCTAAAGCCAACACTTTTCATCCTATCAAGTTGTCCAGGGAGTAATAAAGTGACCTAGACATGCTGGCCCAGAAAGCCAGAGATGCTGTTGGGCCAAGCAAACCATGCCTGTGAAGGTGCTCACTCTGGACTGATAACTGGCTTTGTTCAGGTAGCTATGGGAAGGATAGTTGGCAGTAGCAGGTTCCCAGAGGCGTGTTGGTAGCCTCAGATTCTGGCACTGGTAAAACTCAGACATGGCAGGTTTCAAGTGGGCATCAGGGTTTTGCCCAGAGTGAGCTGCTTATTAATTTTTTCTTTTTTTTTTTTTTTTTGAGACGGAGTCTCGCTCTTGTTGCCTAGGCTGGAGTGCAGTGGCGCGATCTCAGCTCACTGCAGCCTCTGCCTCCCGGGTTCAAGTGATTCTCCTGCCTCAGCCTCCCAAGTAGCTGGGATTACAGGCATGCGCCACCACACCTGGCTAATTTTGTATTTTTAGTAGAGATGGGGTTTCTCCATGTTGGTCAAGCTGGTTTCAAACTCCCAACCTCAGGTGATCCGCCTGCCTCAGCCTCCCAAAATGCTGGGATTACAGGCATGAACCACCGTGCCTGGCCCCGGCCAATTTTTTCATTGTTAAAACCCTCTCAGGCCCTGCCAATAGATGACAGTGGTGTGCGTGTGGGGAGAAGGTGGCCTGCCCCAGGTATCTCTACTTAGTGGTGGAGTGATGCTTCAAGGACTGAAAGTGTAGACCCTTAGCCAGATTACTGCCTGCCTGGAGTCACCTGATGAAATGCTGAACCTGTTCGGCTGTCTTGTCCATCTGTCTCTCCCGCCTGTAAAATGGAATAATGATAGCCAGCTGCCATAGCTTGACTCGAGTAAAGGATCTAGCACAAAAGCCCTTCTCCTGCCATAATTGTAGGGTGGAAACCCTTTAATGAATGGGCAGCTTCCCTCAGAGAACTGACTCTTCCCCCTAGAGTTTCTCCTTGAGAAACAAAGTCCCTGTGATACTTTCCTGGAATGTTGTATACATGACCTTCCCCGAAGGGACACAAGTGTTTCTGGTGCTTTCCAATGGGAATGTGGGAAGGGACCCAGGTGGGCCTTGCCACTTTGGGATTGCTGTCCCTGAAGAAATCCCTTAGCCTGATAGAAACGTAATTGTTGGGAGCAATGAACTGTGTTGGGGGAGAAAACATAACTTGGCCTTTCTTAAGCTGTATGGCTCAGTGGTCTGAGTTTCTGTAGATCTCTTATTGCCTAATGTGGCTTCTTCAGATGGATGTATGCTTAGTTGAAGCACCTCAGCTCCCTTTGCAGATAGTGGCAGTTCTGTGGTTTTCTTAGGGAAACCCCATTAGAAACCCCAAATGTGGAAATTTTTAGTAATCTCATTCGGGTCCCAAAATTAAGTAGAAGTGTCTCAGGGGCTCCCCCTTGAAACACCTACTTCTTCTGAGTGTACATTTGAGGTTGCTCTTAAAATTCTGTTACCATCACAGGGTTTTCCAGACTTCCTAGGAATAATTTCCCCAGTAGCCCCACAGAGCCCTTTAGCTTCTGTCGAAAATTACCCGGGTATTTTTTCAGGGGGCTCCAATGGAACCTGGAGGGTTTTCTTGACTTTTGTATGGGTGTCCCCAGATTTGTTTGGGCTGCATGAAACAGCAGTTGTTATCTCTGTCCCTTCCCCCAGCAGATATCTGTCCTGAGGCCAGTGGGCTTGAGCGTCCTCCTCTGTGTCCAGTCTCCCTGGTTTTGCCAGTGCCCTCAGCCTTCCATCATGGGGCTTTCTTGAAGCAACTGTGGTTTTGCCTGAGTTTAATGTGGATAGACATAGGGGTAATTCCCAGTGTACTGCTTTTCTACGGAAGTATAATCTCCTACTGCCTTAATTAAGCAGAGGCCCTGTCCCCACCCAACCTCCAACCTAATTCCACAGAGTCCTCCCTAAGGACTCCCTCTTTTTTCTTTGAAGGAGTCACTCTACTCCTGGATCCTCTTCTCTTCTGCCCCTCTATCCGACAGTCTGTCTTCCTTGTTCCCAGTTGGCAGACCTGAGTCAGGCAATCCCACTGGGTCTTTTTGTTTAGCCTGGGGAAGAGAAGACCCAGGAGAATATCACCAGCTTCAGATATCTGAAGGAAGAGGGACTGAGTCTTTTTTTATTGGTGTGGTACCTGGCAAAACTTGGATAAATGAAAAGAAGTTAACAGTTGGTAGAGCTTAAATTATGTGCAGAGAAGACATTTCTAACAGATTTACTCTGTCCTAGATTTAGGAGCTCCTCAGGGTGGAGGCCACATCTTGTCCATGCTTGTTTCCTCAGCACTGAGCAGAGGCCTTGGGCATAGCAGATACCTAATTGAAGAGAAACCCACTAAATTTCTGAAGAAACAGACCCTTGTCAAGCCAGAATAACAATAATGGGAGTGGCTATTTACCTAATAATTCATTCGTTGAGTCAAACAATGTTTATTGAGCTCCTACTGTGTACCATACTGGGAGTATGGCAGTAAACAAAAGTAAGCAAAACTAAGTTTCTGTCCTCATGGAGCTCACATTCCAATGAGGAGTGACAGGCAATAAATATATAATTACATGTTTATATCAGATGATTGTACATGCTATGAAGAAAATAAAGCAGGTTGGGGCATAGGGCATGTCTAGCAAGGGAGGGTGGGGCTGCAGTTTTAAAAGAGTGATCAAAGAAGGTGTAAGGGAGAAAAAAATGGCTTTCCTCTACCCTTCTAGGTCCTTTGGCTGGGCTGAGAATTAAATTGACATAGACAGATTAACTGGAGGAAAAATAATTAATTACATAGTTGTACACAGGAATCCTACAAAATATGAGGCTCAAAGAAGGGTCAGATAATTGAAGCTTATATAGCATCCTGAGCTACAGAAAAGAATATGGGGCTTGGGACTTCTGTTAGGGGCTTGAGTGGCAGCAACCCAAGTTATGGCAGGGTGAGGGAAAGAATTGGTGGTGGCGTGTGTCTGTGGTCCCAGATACTGTTGAGGGGGTGTACTGAGGTGGGAGGATCACTTGAGCCTGGGAGGTGGAGGTTGCAGTGAGCCGAGATCAAGCCACTGCGCTCCAACCTGGGTGACAGAGCAAGACCCTGTCTCAAAAAATAAAAATAAAAAGTCTCTCTGGTAATAAAATTTGTCTGGAGCAGCCCTCTTCCTAATACAGATACCTTTACTAGTGTAGATTTCCTTTTTAGATGTGAATTTCTTTTACAAAAGGACAGCTTTTCAGAGCTACTCTTATGTCTGCAGTTTCTCAGAATAACCAGTTCAAAATATGCCAAAGAAGTATATTTTTGGGGTGGCATATTGTTTTCCTACAGTCATATTTTGGGATGGTATGTCCTGAGTCCCAACAAAAGTATTACCTAAATTTATTTGAGCCAAGCGCTAAATGAGGTAAGGAGGTGGATGATGTAGGTACCCTACAGCAAAGGGTGTTTAAAGCAGAGGGAATGGACTCAGGAGGGAGCATGCTTGACATTTTCAAGGATGAGCAAGAAGGTCAATGTGGCTGGAGAAGAAACAGCAAAGGGGAAAAGGGTAGAAGGTGGGGAGGGAATGGTTGAGGAGGAGGATGGAGAAGTAGGTGGGGGCCAGATCGCATACAGCATTACAGACCATGATGAGGATTTGGCTTTGGTGGAATGGTCTGTATTCCTTTTTTTTTTTTTTTTGAGACAGAGTCTTTCTCTGTCTCCCAGACTGGAGTGCAGTGGCACGATCTCTGCTCACTGCAAGCTGCACCTCCTGGGTTCACGCCATTCTCCTGCCTCAGCCTCCCAAGTAGCTGGGACTGCAGGTGCCCGCCACCACACCCGGCTAATTTTTGGTATTTTTAGTAGACGGGGTTTCACCATGTTAGTCAGGATGGTCTCGATCTCCTGACCTCGTGATCCGCCCGCCTCAGCCTCCTAAAGTGCTGGAATTACAGGCGTGAGCCACCGTGCCAGGCCTGGTCTGTATTCTTAAGGGTGGCAACAGGGAGCCCAGTGAAGAGGCTGGTGCAATTGCCAGGTGAAAAAGAATAGTGGCTTGGACCTAGAGGTGGAGGTGTAGTGAGACGGGGACTGGAGAATAAGACCAGGCTTGCACATGGTATATTGATGGGTCCAGCCATCCTGGAAACCATATTTTTCAACTACTTGGAGGTCCTAGAATCAAAGTTAAGTAAGATAGATGTTCTTTGGGAATAGTTCTCTCCAAATGTGATATTCTGATGAATGGTCCTCTTCCACTCCAACAGTATTTCTGTCTGAGTAAATGAAATTTGTCTGAGTTCAGTTCCCAACTCATCCGTGTCTACCTATGCAAGCTCCTTTTACCTCTCTGAATCTTGGGACAAATAATAATACCTGCCTCACAGGGGGCGATGGTAAAGACACAGTGAGGTATACCTGAGATGCATAAAGACTGGAGCCATGTTGGTATCATTATTCTTATTATCTTTCCACAGAACGCATGTCAGAGACCCATTCACGGAATCTTGAGCATCCACTCTCCTTTTTCTAAATACCATAGTGACCCATCAGCACATCTCAGAGCAGGCCCTTGCAGCATTTCTGTTGTAGTAGGAGCTCCACAGTGTTTGTGTGCAATGGTGGTGTAAGCACTGGTCTTGGAGTTGGAATCCCAGTTCTACTCTCAGTCTCACCTTGGCCAAGTCACTTCACCCCCAGTCCCCAGTTTCCCTTTATGCAAGATGGAGGGTTTGAAGTAGGCAATAAAGGAATGCTGGTTCTCTCTATCCTTAGGCCTTGTGGCGGATTCCACCATTACAGCATATTTCACATTAGTTATATTTTAAAATGGCTCTCTCCTGTTGACAGATATGTCAGCACCTTAACTAAACCCAGTGTCAAGGCAGGCTAGTTTATCACTGAGCCCACAATAGTGCTACCCTATATTTATGTAACACCTTACAGCTTCCAAAGCACTTTCAGATCCACCTTGCCTTTTTGATCCTTATAACCACCCAGAGAGGTGAGCAGGAAGGATGACATCTCCGTTTCAAAGGAGAGAAATCAGGTGAGAAAGATGAATTGACTTGCCCAAGGTTACATCAGGAGGAAGAGGCAGTTTTTGGACTTTCAAATTGGAACTTGACTACTAGCTTGCTGTGTGACCTTGGGCAAGTCTTTTAACTTGTAAATGGCTATAGTAATGCCACCTTTTTCTGAAGATTGGGTGAATTAATTCATTCTTTTAAGGCTTTCATATCATCCTAGGGCTCTTCACTCACATCATCTGGCTTCTCTTTTTTTACATATTGATTTTTGAAATTGTGGTTTTGTATAAAGAAACTGCCTTTGGGACCGTCTGCTATTTGGTTTCATCCCTGATGAGACTCTCGGGCCAAGCTTGAGCCTTACAGTGAACTCTGAGCCACACAGCTTTTTGGGCAGCCTCCAGTGCTCCCCTCGGAACTGGAGGTTTTTCTCCAGCTCTTCAGGAAATGCCATTGCGATGACTTCCATGGACTGCTTCCTGTCCCAGCCCTGCCGGCAAGAGTGTGGAAACTGGAAAGCAATGTCCCTAGAGGTCCGCCCCCCAAAAACTACTTTTTTTGGACGTGTCCCTGCCTTTCCTCTTGTCCATTACTTTCTTTGCTCCCTACCCTTTCCTCCTTCACCTGGCTTCTGCCTCCAGCTGTGATCATCCCTTCAAGATTTAGAAAATGCCTTTCTACTTGGTTCTGCCAGGCCATTACCCCCTACCCTAGGCTAGGCTGTGAGGGAGGTCAGTTAGAATTCCTGGGTTCTCTCCTTGGCTCCATCACGCATTAGCAGTTTCAGTCCTGGACTTCCCCTGGAGATGCATTAAACCTGTTGCTTGCGGTGCCCTGTGTCATCCATTAACCCTGAGTTCCCCTAGGAGATTCCACCCCACCCCTGCATAGGATGGGATTCTTAAGAGATAACTTGAGGTTTGGCACATATAAATCCTGCCTCTTGGAAATTGATGATAAAGGGTGGAGTGAAACAGAGCCTGCCTTCCCCTCCCCCAGTCACCTTTGAGGAGGAAGCTAGAAGGTTGAAAACCTTGTTGGACAATCATCTGAGGAATGGGAGCTGGCCTGGGAGGGGATTGGAACGCACTCAACTATGCCTCAGATCCTTTGTTCCTCTCTTGAAAGGGAAACATTCCCCTCCCTCCTCCCTGGCCACACACACATACACACGTGCCTTTGTTCCCCCGAGTCAGGCAGGGATAGGAACATAGTGTCCCTTCCAAGGAGCCTGACTCGCTTCCCTAGAGACTGGCCTCCTGGTCAGTGGGACTGGGATATTTGCTCAGGAGCCCCCAGCCTCGTGTCCTTTCCATAGAGTCTTCGAGGCTAAAAACTTGCCTACAAACAGCTGCTGAGACTTCTCTGTAATTATTTCATGGGACACCCATGTCCCAGGATAAACAGTCCCTCCCTCTTACTCCAGTTGGTGATTAATATTATTGTTAACATTACTATTAATAGTATCTAACACTTATTGAGTGCTTACTCTATGCCAGCCATTGTTCAAAGTGCTTTACATGTATTAATAGATTTCATTCTCACAGCAGCACTCTGAAGTAGGTTCTTTTATCCCTGTTTCACACATGAGGAAACTGAGGTACAGAGAGGTTAAGCAATTTATGCAAAGTAGCACAGTTAGTAAGAGGCAAAGCCTGGGAGGGTAGCTTCCAACCTCCCCCTTTTAAACGCTCCACTGTGTTCCCTCGTCCAGTGCGCTATTGTCTAGGTGACTGCTGGCATTAATCCAGTGCTCACTATGTGACAGCCTTTAGTGACGCTGTTTTTGTTACTATCCCAACAACCTTATCGTTATAGGCACTGAGATTTGGGAGGGCTTATAGTTAGCCAGAGGCAGAGTCAGCATTTGAAACCAGGTCTCTCTTACTCTGAAGCCTGTCCTTTTTATCTCCAGTCCTTAAAAATCTTGCAAAGTAGGTGTTGTTACCTTCATTTTATGGTTGAGAAAATTGAGGCTCAGAGAAAAGTGATATACCCAGAGCTTCACAGGCTAGTACCAAGAAGAGCTGGGATTCACACTCTACTGTCTTAGTAGTCTGTATTGTCATGATTATTCTTTTTATGTGCATGATAATACTTTCAATTTACCAAACTCCTTTTATAAGTTATTTCCCAGTGAAGTAGGAGAGGTGGGTATGTTCAGCCCTGTTTCCAGAGGGGAAACTAAGATAAGGGGTCTTGTCCCACAGTAAATGGCAGCATCAGACTTAGAATTCATGTTCTGGCTTTTAACACAGTATTATCAATACTGTCTGCCTCTCCTAAAGCTGGATGTGTGGCTTGGAGCTGTCCTTGGAGTTTCATTTCTTTTGTTAAATCAGCAAATATTGACAAATGCTTTGTAATGTGCTAAATGCTAGTGATACTGTGGATATTGTGGTAACTGAGACTGAGTCCCATCCCTCAATGGTCTGTTTCCATACTCCACACCTTGGGTCTTGCTGGTGTCCCTCTGCCATCTGAATCAGTCTACATGTGCCATCCATCCTTCTCCTCAGCTGCCAGACACACCAGGCAAGATTCATTATAGTTGATATGTATTAATCACCTTCAACACATACACAGACAAAACTCTGGCCTCACATTTGAGACAGCTTGACTCCTTGCTGGTGGCATAACACAAAGCAAATCAGCTTCAAATTCTCATCCATAAGCCTGAGAGAATAATGCCAAGCCACCAGAGTAAGTGAGGCATGAATGAGAAAGTGAAATGTAAGTGTGTTTTTTGGTAATAATAACAGATACTATGGGTTGAGTAGTTACTTGCTCTGTGCCAGGTGCTGTGTTTATCCCCTCAATATAATCATCTTACTTGGTTCTCACAAATGCTCTCCTGTGAAGATGGAGAATCTAGGGTTCAGAGAGGCTCCCTAATGTGTCCACAGTAACAGATCTTCTAAGAGGCAGAGCTGGGTCTTATACTCAGATGTGTCTGATGCAAAAGCCTATAAGCGTCATTGCTTCTTACAAGCCCAGACTGGCTTATTTTACCCTGACTACCTGGCTCAGGGCCCGCGGTTGGGTGAGGACTCAGCCAGGGCCTGCTCAATGAACATGAAGGGTTATTATTAGATACAGGTTAGGCTACAAAAAAAGTTTCTGCCCCTAAGGAAGCAAACTCATTTGAAGCAGTAGGAATAGACCTCAAACACTTGGTGAATGGCTTGAGGCAAACTGTGCCAAACCTGTAGAGTAAACACCAAAAGTGGAAGAAGTTGAGCCCACCTGACTGCATTGCTGGGCCCTGGGCCTCTGCCAAATGGGCCAGCTTCCACCATCAGCTACCCAGTTGATTACTGGGCCCAGAGGCCTCCACCCTCAGCCTGTATCATCAACCTGCACCCTTTCCCTAGCCAACTGCATTGCCAATCCAGACTGTCTTCTGCATCAACAGTGGAAAGGGTTAGGAAGGAGAGAGGTCACTGACAGCTTAAATAATCATAGCTTTCTCAGCACCGTAGCTTTGTACAATTTCCACTGAGGCCTCAGTTTCCCGGTCTGTAAATGGAGATAATACTAATCTCTTAATGAAGATGATAGTAATCTCTTCCTTATAGGCTTGCTGTTTTTCCTCTGCCTGTATCACTCATCCTATGGATCTGATCAGGGCTCTCTCTCTTCTTATCATTCAGGTATCAACTCAGATATCACCTCCCTAGAGGTCGCCATGTTTACATGTTTACCATCTGTCTCCTGTAGTAAAACATAAGCTCTCGGAGTACACGGGCTTTATCCTGTCTTTCATCCCCAGCATCTAGCAGAGTGCTTGGTACATAGGAGGCACTTAGCAAATATTTGTTGAATAAGTGACTGTGTAGACCACCTCACACGGTGTCTGATATACTCAGTCAATGTTAGGCATTGTTATGTCTTAGGAAGATGTGGACCATGATGGGTTTAAATAGGTGAAAAGAATGTAACAAGAGCAGGCTGTGGCTGGGCGTGGTGGCTCACACCTGTAACCTCAGCACTTTGGGAGACTGAGGCAGGTGGATCACTTGAGATCAGGAGTTCGAGGCTGGCCTGGCCAATATGACAAAACCTTGTCTCTTCTTTTTTTTTTTTTTTTTTTTTTTTTTGAGATGGAGTCTTGCTCTTGCTCAGTTGCCCAGGCTGGAGTGCAGTGGCACGATCTCGGCTCACTGCAAGCTCCGCCTCCCAGGTTGACGCCATTCTCCTGCCTCAGCCTCCCGGGTAGCTGGGACTACAGGTGCCCGCCACCAGGCCCGGCTAATTTTTTTTGTATTTTTAGTAGAGACGGGGTTTCACCGTGTTAGCCAGGATGGTCTCGATCTCCTGACCTCGTGATCCACCCGCCTCAGCCTCCCAAAGCACTGGGATTACAGGCATGAGCCACCGCACCCGGCTCGTCTCTTCTAAAAATACAAAAATTAGCAGGGTGTGGTGGCGGGCGCCTGTAATCCCAGCTACTTGGGAGGCTGAGTCAGGAGAATCACTTGAGGCCGGGAAATGGAGGTTGCAGTGAGCTGAAATCATGCCATTGCACTCCAGCTTGGGCGACAGAGGGAGACTCTGCCACACACACACACACCAAAAAGATCAGGCTAGTTACACACGCGTGCACGCGCGCACACACACACACGAGCAGGCCAGACGGGTAAGAACCACCCAGACAGAACTGGAGGGTGGAGTATGTATGAAGCATTTGAGAGATCATGAGGAGGCAGACTGGCTAGAGCCAAAGATGGTCTGTGTCAGCAATAAAGTTGGTCAGGGAAGAAACCAGGTGGCTGATGACAGAGGCCTCTGGACAGAGGGATGGTTGATGGTAGAGGTGGGCCTAATGGGGAGAGGCCCAGAGCACCTGTGGGATGCAGTTAGGTCTCAGTAACCCCTAAGAAAAAGAATCTCTTGCCAGCCAGGGCTCAGCAGGCAGAGCTGCAGGGAGAGAAAAGCCAGAGGCACCTGCAACCTGCAGATCAGGTAAGCTGCCCTGGTTGTTATTTTGGGACTCAGGGCCAGGTGCAGATTCAAAGGATTGATTGAAGCCTTTTGGCAACTCTGGCCTCAGCAGGGTAAACATCACCTGTCTCCTGCCACCTGCAGTGACAATGCCAGGAAGGGTACCCTAGGTAGGCCCAAAGGGGCCTAACTTTCTTGCTGCCCTGGTGGAGCAAGAAATATCTTCTAGGAGAGGCCAATCCTTCCCTGCCCCACAGCTCCTTCTCTGCAAAGCTCAGGTGGCAATCAGGTACCTCCTGCCCAAGAGGCCCCCATGGTTCTGGCCTAAGGAAGGCAGGGCGGGGCATTGGGAGCCGTTGACAGCTGGGCTCAGCTGGGGGGAGGGGTCAGTTTGGGAGCAGGTGCAGATTTCAGGGAGGGTGGGGCCTAAAGGGAAGTAGGGATCTTGGTAGGCTGCAAAATTTTCCTCCCCATCCCCCAGCCACAGCTGGCTTCTCCAGGAACCTGATGACCTAGTTACAATGCTTAGAAATTGTCAGCTTAGCTTGCAGTTCAGGGCTTTGCCAGTCTCTCCTCTCTGAGGCTTCTTGGGTCCAAAAGGTACCTTGGCATTTCCCCAAGGGGGTTCCATGTGAATGACATACACTGTATCACATGTACAGGCTTCTTGCCCAGGGGAGGAAAGAGCCAGTAAGGCTGCTGCTTCTTCCCTTGTGTGTGCCCCCCAACCCCAGGGAGAAAATACTCCCATGCCCTTGCCCCCTTCTGTTTCTCTCTAGAGGGTTGGTGAGTGACAAATGGGAAGTCACAAACTTCTTCCCTTGAGGGTCAACAAAGAGGGCCAGACCCTTGTTGCCCTAAGGATAGATTGAGCACACCTAACCATTCTTTCCTTACCTCCCCATCTCAGTGTGATGTTAAAACCTGATGGAAAGAGGTTAGGAAGACTCTTCTGGGGGCTCTGGAGGCCCCCCACTCTCTCAGGCAGCAGCTGCTCCTGGTATTCCTGGTGTCTGCCTTGCCTCCTTGGGAGAAATTCCATCGTTGTTAAGAGTCAGGTACGAAATTTGACAAACCGTTGTTGAGTTGGTGAGTCTCACTTGCTTAATAGTTATCCTTGGCAAATACTTAATCTTTCCCAGCCTTAGTTTCCTCATGTATGGAAAAGAGGTAACAATATACAGTGCTTTTCTTTTTTCCTTTTTTTTTTTTTTTTTTGAGACAGAGTTTCGCTCTTGTTGCCCAGGCTGGAGTGCAATGGTGCCACCTCGGCTCACCACAACCTTCGCCTCCCAGGTTCAAGTGATTCTCCTGCCTCAGCCTCCCGAGTAGCTGGGATTACAGGCATGCGCCACCACGCCCAGCTAATTTTGTTTTTTTAGTAGAGACGGGGTTTCTCCATGTTGATCAGGCTGGTCTCGAACTCCTGACCTCAGGTGATCTGTCCGCCTCAGCCTCCCAAACTGCTAGGATTACAGGTGTGAGCCACCATGCCCGGCCTACAGCGCTTTTCTTGAAACACTCTTGAGAGCATGAAAATAGTTGAAAAGATACATGGAGCACTTACCAAGGAGCCCAGCATATAGTAATTACTTAGTATAACAAGCTACTATTATTACTGTTATTGTCACATTGCAATCACTGGTAAACAAATTGTTGTCATTGCTATTGGATCTACTCTCCAGGAGTGAACTTTCAGGCTGACAGAATATGTGGATATCTTTGGACCAAGAGTTTAGAGATTTTAAGGTACCTGAAGCTTGGGGCCTTGGCTCACAACCTTGTCCCCTACCTCCTCTACAAGGCCCAAGTCATACCTTGTACACAGTAGAGGTTTGGCCAGTGTTGTTGACTAGGCGTTTGGCAATGGGGCATATTTTGTTTTATCTTCCCAGGGTCCTCCTTGTTTGTTGACTGAGTGGAAGACTTAATGAGTTAAGTATTTAAAGTGGGTAGGAGCATGCCTGGCACACAGTAGGTGCTTGACATGGGTTTGAATGATTAAACATGGCATTGTGGGAACTCTGGAGTTTTTCCAGGATGGCCCCACTCACTCCTTGTTTGCTCTGTGGCCTCAAGCCTCTTGCCCAAGCTCTGCCTGTTGCCTCATATGTTGAAGAAAGATAACACCCGCCTTGCCTCCCTCATGGGCTAGCAGGGAGGCCCAAAGAGATGATAGATGAAAAAGCACTTTGAGAACTATAAATATTTGGTCTTGTTGCTACTCCTTGACTAAAGTCACAGCCATAGCTGTGTCATTCATTCATTCATTCAGTCAACAAGCATTTTTTGAGTAGAAGCAATATCTTATCACTTAACTGGCTTCATGAATTTGGACAAGTTACTTCCCTCTGTAAACCTGAAGATCTATAAAGTGGAAGTAATACTCATTTCAGAGGGTTGTTGGGAGAAAGACTAAACGAGGTGCTCTGAGCTTACTGAGGATAAAAACTATGTCTTATTCACTCTTAACAGCTACTGCTGGGCCTAGTACTTGGTGGCTGAGTGTTTAGTGACTGGATTAACAAACATTCCTAATAATTAATGGTACATGTAAAGTGCACTTACACATTGCCTAGTGCAGAGTAAAAGCTCAGCAAATGCTGAGTCTTTCCCTTTTCTCTATGAGGCTTGAGGTGCCTTGATTTAGCCATGGGTTGCCTTCTGCAGTCAAAGTACCAGGCAAGGCCAGACTCTGAATATGACTCAGATGGGAAGTAGAAGTGAGTATTAATGCCTGGCTCCAGGTTGTCCTTACCTGCCTACGCTGGACTTCAGTGCGGGAGTTCTGAACTATCGAGGATCAGTGCTGCTTAAACATAAAATCCAGTGTACTATGGTTCTCACCCCATGCTTATCTCTGATCCAGAACAACTGCCTCTTGTTCTACCCACTCTCCATCTGCTACTCAGAAGAATTTCCCCTTGCTCACAGCACCCATGTTCAGTTGGAGCCCTAGGGGTTACCATGTCAGGGAAGTCCCAGGGAGTCACTCAGAAATAGCCTTTGGGGCAAGGTCCAGAGAAGGAGCCCAATTCTAAGGCTCAGTGTCTCCTGGGACTGGGTCAAGCAGCAGGTGCATACATGAGACCCAGGGCTGGTGGCTGAGTGATGAAACTGAGAGATGTGTAGGGCCAGACAAGAAGTCAACCTAGAGGAAACTGCCTGCTTGTTCATGCAGGTGTTTGGACACCTGGGGGAACTTTCTGGGTCTGATTTAGTGGTGCTAGTGTAGGTTCCATATTAGTATCCCAAGCCCCAGTGAGGGAAACCTTTGGGACTCCCAAGCAAAGCCTGTAGTTGGCACCCAGCACCTTTAAACCCTTCTCAGATCCCTTTAGGGTGAAAGAGAGGCCCCCTCCTCTGGGTTCTACAGCATCTACAGCTGGAAACTCCAGGGACAATGACATAATAACCATAGCTCCCTTTATAAAGTCTCTGCTGTGTGTTAGGCACTGTGCTGGGGCTCTTTATGAAAAGGGGATCATTTTGTTAATTGGAAGTATGGGCTCTGGAATCAGACAGAGTTGAGTTTGAATCTGGTCTCTATTACATATCAGCTGTTAGATTTTGGGTGCATTCCTTTCCATTTCTGAGCCTCAGTCCCCCTATCTGAAAAATGGGGATAATAATAATACTTCATAGGGTTTTTGTAAGGATTTAAGAGCCTTTTGTAAGAATGTATGTAAGATCATATGGTGCAGGTATTAAGGTAATTTTAGTAATATTTAACAATGAGCACTTGCACTTAAGTGTTTTATATGAGATAGTTCATTGAATTCTCAAAATAGTACCACTCAGGTAGGTTCTCTTATTATTCCTATAGAGAAGTTAAGAAAGTTGTTCAAAGATGCACAGCGAGTAAGTGGTAAAACCATGATTTGAACCCAGGTAGTCTGGCTCCAAAGCCAACTTGTCCTACCTGGATAAGGAAGGCCCTAGTAAATGTTGCTGTTATAACTATTGTATCCAGCATTGTAGTTGTCTGTAGTTTTTGGTCTATCCACTGAATTCTGAGCTCAGTGAAGACTAGAAACCCATTTAATCACCTTGCACCCCCAGAGACCAACATAATACTCATAAAACTCATTAATATTTGCTTAATGGCTGAGAATATTCTCTTTCTTTAGTAATCAATCAGTAACTCTTTATCGACCAGTTCCTGTAGGCTAGCTTTGAACTAAATCCTAGGAGGAATGCAAAGTACAGCTATGCCTGTGTAAACGGAAGATTGGGTGTGTGCGTTGGGGGGGTGCATTCCAGAGAGCACTGTGTCATTGGCAGAAACTTCCACACAGGAGGCAGAAACAATACAGGTGGTTTGAGGATGTTTTCCAAGATGGGATTCCCACCCCTCCCTGAGGGAGTCACTTCCTCCATCTCCTGCAGAACAAGGTGACACAGATTCCCTACTCCGGCCAAGGGCAAGGAACCACTCTAAGCTCTTCAGTCACTCTAATCCAGAAACTGTGTCTTTATGGCTCAGGCAACCAGTTCATGGCAGCCTAGAATGACAGGGAAAAAGCTGGGAAGGGACCTTAGAAAATCACTCTTGCCCAATACTCCAGCCAAAGTGGTCTTTTAAAAACCAAGTTCAGGCTGGGCGCGGTGGCTCATGCCTGTAATCTCAGCACTTTGGGAGGCCGAGGTGGGTGGATCATCAGGTCGGGAGTTCAAGACCAGCCTGGCTAAGGTGGTGGAAACCCCGTCTCTGCTAAAAATACAAAAATTAGCCGGGTGTGGTGCACGCCTGTAATCCCAGCTACTCAGGAGGCTGAGGCAGAAGAATCGCTTGAACCTGGGAGGCATAGGTTGCAGTGAGCTGAGATCGCGCCACTGCACTCCAGCCTAGGTGACAGGGAGAGACTCCGTCTCAAAAAAAAAAAAAAAAAGGTTTAGGGCCGGGTGCAGTGGCTCATGCCTGTAATCCCAGCACTTTGGGAGGCCAAGCCGAGTGGATCAACTAAGGTCAGGAGTTCGATACCAGCCTGACCAATATGGCGAAACCCCGTCTCTACTAAAATTACAAAAATTAGCCAGGTGTGGTGGCGTGGGCCTATAGTCCCGGCTACTTGGGAGGCTGAGGCAGGAGAATCGCTTGAACCTGGGAGGCAGAGGTTGCAATGAGCCAAGATCGCACCACTGCACTCCAGCCTGGGTGACAGAGCAATACTCGTCTCAAAAAAAAAAAAAAAACAAGTTCAGGGCTGGGCTCAGTGGCTCATGCCTATAATCCCAGCACTTTGGGAGGCCAAGACAGGCGAATCACCTGAGATCAGGAGTTCCAGACCAGCCTGGCCAACACAGTGAAACCCCATCTCTACTGAAAATAAAAAAATTAGCCGGGTGTGGTGGTGCATGACTGTATTCTCAGCTACTCGGGAGGCTGAGGCAGGAGAATCACTTGAACCCAGGAGGCGGAGGTTGCAGTGAGCCGAGATTGCACCACTGCACGCCAGCCTGGGCAACAGAGTGAGACTCTTGTCTCAAAAAAAAAAAAAAACAACCACCAAGTTTAGGCCAGGCATGGTGGCTCACACCTGTAATCCCAGCATTTTGGGAGGCCAAAGCAGGTGGATCACCTGAGGTCAGGAGTTCGAGACCAGCCTGGCCAACATGATGCAACCCCGTCTCTACTAAAAATACAAAAAATTAGCCAGGAGCAGTGGCTCACATCTGTAATCCCAGCACATTGGGACACCAAGGCGGGTGATCACCTGAGGTAATGAGTTCGAGACCAGCCTGACCAACGTGGTAAAACCCCATCTCTACTAAAAATACAAAATTAGCCGGGCATGGTGGCTCATGCCTGTGATGCCAGCTACCTGGGAGGCTGAGGCAGGAGAATCACTTGAACCCAGGAGGTGGAGGTTGCAGTGAGCCAAGATTGCACCATTGCACTCCAGCCTGGGCAACAAGAGCAAAACTCTGTCTCAAAAAATTTAATAAAATAAAAACCAAGTTCAGATCTTATTGCATTTTTGTTTACAACCCTCCAAGTGGTCTTCCACTGTAGTTAGAATAAAACCCAGACTTTTTTTTTTTTTTTTGAGATGGAGTCTTGCCCTGTCGCCCAGGCTGGAGTGCAGTAAGTGTCATTTCGGCTCACTGCAACCTCCGCCTCCCGGGTTCAAGCGGTTCTCCTGCCTCAAACTCCTGAGTAGCTGGGATTAAAGGTGCCCACTGGCCGGGCACGATGGCTCACCCCTGTAATCCCAGCACTTTGGGAGGCTGAGGCGGGTGGATCACCTGAGGTTGGGGGTTCGAGACCAGCCTGACCAACATGGAGAAACCCGTCTCTACTAAAAATACAAAATTAGCCAGGCTTGGTGGCACATGCCTGTAATCTCAGCTACTCAGGAGGCTGAGGCAGGAGAATCACTTGAACCTGGGAGGCGGAGGTTGTGTTGAGCCAAGATCGCACCATTGCACTCCACCCTGGGCAACAAGAGCAAAACTCCATCTCAAAAAATAAAAATAAAAAAATAAAGGCACCTGCCATCACGCCCAGCTAATTTTTGTATTTTTAGTAGAGATGGGGTTTCACCATGATGTCCAGGCTGGTCTCGAACTCCTGACCTCGTGATCTGCCCACCTCAGCCTCCCAAAGTGCTGGGATTACAGGTGTGATCCACTGCACCCAGCAAAACCCAGACTTCTTACCAACCTCTGAGGCCTGTGTGATCTGGTCCTGGCTGCCCCTCCATCATTCTGTCTCTCCCTTACTCCACTCAAGCCGCATGGGTTCCTTGCTGCTTCTGGATCCTGGCATAACTTCTTCCTGCCCAAGGGCCTTTGTAGTTGCTCTTTTCTCTGCCTGAAATGTTCTGCCCCTAGTATTTCCTTTCTGAGGCCTACATTTGGTTCAGCTTGCTGGTCACCTCCTCTGAGAGACTTTCCTTGACCTTCAGTTTAAAGTAGCCATGCTATTTCTAAATCCCTCTCCAGTCTTCTTGTAGTTTTGTCATAGCAACAGCCTCTACCTGGAATTTTCTTTTTGTTTGTGTACTTGTTTTTGTCTGTCTCTTCTATTAGAATATAAGCCCCATGATTATAGGGCGTTTGGTTTGTTCATCATTGTATCTCCAGTGTCTGCAGCTGTTCTTTGCAGGTAGTAAACATTCAGTGAATACTTTTTGAATAAATTATTAAACAAATGAACAAAACCTAAGACATGAAAAAACTGAGGCCCAGAGAAGAGAAGCTAATGAGAATTAATAGTGTTCTTTCATCCTACTTTTGAATGCTCATTAAGTGCCAAGCACTGTATTCAGTGATTTACATGCATTATTTTTGCCACTTATTCTTAATTGTTATAATGAGTTGTTTGGAACATCATTTTTTATATATACCACTGTACCACTTAAAAGAAAACTGGACCAATCTTATTTTTTATTGGAACCTTGCTCTGTTTTACAAAGAGTTGGAAGCAACTTAGGAAAATTCATACAACCAAAAGGATAATGTAGCTAAGGGAGTCGGGTGAAAGGAAAATATGGGTAAGAAGACGAGCCAAAAGTAAAATTAGTTCACACAAATGTATGTTACAAAAGTCCTTTGAACTGAGCAGTTTTTATGCCATTCTTTATAACTAAATATTGCCCAGATTCATTTAAAATGATGGTTTTTTAAAAATCTAACTACAGGCCGGGCGTGGTGGCTCACGCCTGTAATCCCAGCACTTTGGGAGGGCAAGGTGGGCAGATCATGAGGTCAGGAGATCAAGACCGTCTTGGCCAACATGGTGAAACCCTGTCTCTGCTAAAATACAAAAAATTAGCCAGGTGTGGTGGCGCGTGCCTGTAATCCCAGCTACTCAGGAGGCTGAGGCAGGAGAATCGCTTGAACCCAGGAGGCGGAGGTTGCAGTGAGCTGAGATCACACCACTGCACTCCGGCCTGGCGACAGAGCAAGACTCCGTCTCCAAAAAAAAAAAATCTAATTACATAGATGACCTTGGGATTGTCCCAGACTGCACCTAATAGTCTAGGATTTGCTGGCTCCCTTCCTGCCTCATCAGCTGGGCTCCTGGATTGAGGCAACACGATCTCCTCTTTTTGCCAAAGGGGCTGGTCCAGCAGGGAGGAGCCTAGACCCCTCTCCAGTCCTCTCTGGACCTAGCTAACTTTGTTTCAAGGAGTCTTTTCTGTAGAAGGTTTATTAATTGAGATATTGCCATTGGAAACCCAGTTCTGCTCTCAAGATACTTCCAGTTGAATTAGAGAGAAAAGACATAATATACATGAAAGGAGATCTTGTAAAAGCCAACAATAAATGCTAAATGCCAAATGAGGGAAGGACTTCACAGAAGAGGTGAGGTTTACACCGAGCCTTACCACAAAGCGGAGAAAAGAGGGGCTGTAGCTCCCAGTAGGAGAGTCAATGTGGGTTAAGATTTGCAGGCTGAGACCAACTCTCAAGAAGAGACCCGTGGGCAGTGGCAGTCAAATTTTAGGCATATGTGGAGGGGTCTCTTTCATTAGGTAATAAAGCCAAAAAGGTCAGCTAGAACCAGGTTTGTAGGATCTTCAAGTGCCAGGGGGAGGATTCCAAGGCCCTCCTTGGCAGCCCTGGTATCCCAATAGATAGGTCGTGCCCAGGGACTAATGCCCATGCTGGCCACTGGTTGGGCTGCTGATTCCCAGGTGGCAATGGCAGCTTCTGAAATGGGAGCCAGAGCCTTCAACTAATAGTGAGGGGAGGAGTTAAGTGTGGGGCCATTGTCAGTTTAGCTTTTGGCCATCCCAGGTGCTATTCATTTGGCGATTCGGCAAATGTTTATTGAGCACCAACTATGTGCCAGGCCCTGTGCTACATGCTGAAGATGCTAAGATAAACAAGATAAGGTCAAGGACATTGCTCTTGTAGAACTCTTACTTTAATGGGAGAGACAGCTAGCCCGAGAAACAAACAAGATTATTTCAGGGATTGGGTTAAATGCTGTACAGAAAATGAAACTGAGTAATGGAATATCTAGGAAGCAACTATATGCATGGGCCAACTCAGTTACTCAGCTTTGACACTGTTGGGTCTAGTTGGTACCTTTGTTTCCTTTTGTGTTATAGATGGAGGTGATCTTTCAAATCTCCTCTGCAGAGATCCAATGGGATAATGGTTGACTACCATTTATTGAGCACCTAGCCCATGTCAGGTACTCTACATGCATTTTCTCATTTAATTCCCTCACCTAGACTGTGTGCTAAATGGTCCATTAGCCCTACTTTCTTTTCCAGTAAAGAAACTAAGGTTTGGATAAGTGAAGTTGCATGCCAGGGTCCTGCAGCTTTACGTGGTGAATCCTGGATTTGGACCTAGATTGGGCTGGCTCTAAAGCCAGGCTTCTTTCCCCTGCTCCACTCTTGGAATAAATGAAGGATTGTTGGTTCAGGATATGCAGAAAGCTGCTTAGCAAAAGGAGAGTTGGAGAAGCATCTTGGTTTGAGGGTCTTGAAGGACACCTACTGTACTCCCAGCTGAGAGGACTCTTTCTCCTCATCTTCAGGAGGATGCCTCCAGAGCCTGGGGTTACTGTAGGCCTTTGCCAGAGGCATGTTCGGACTTAGCCAGCTGAGTATCCCCTGTTTCCTGCTTTTACCATCTCAGCTGCTGGTCAGGAGGTTTGGGAAGGTGACATCATCTAGCTGAATCAGCTGCTGCTTCTAGATACATTACTGGAACTGAAAGTCATTACCCCTTCCTTCCTGCTCTGCAAGTCTCTTCAGAATGAGGCTGGAGTATGGGTGTTCCACCTGTCTGCAGGGTCATGACTGGAATGGTACTTGCTGCTTTTAAAGAGCTAAAAGGTTTTTAAAAGCTTGTTCATGGAAAAAGCTTTCCTCAAGGCTTCTCAAGCTAAGGGAACAGAGCGTCCTTGAGAGGCAGGAGGATTCACAGGAAGGCCCTCCCCGACTCCCTCTTGTCCACCTACATTTAGCCATATGACCCTTCTGATCTCCTTTGCCTAAGTCCGAGGCTTAGGCCTAGCACTGTAGGATGGGTAAACAAAACGTTATTTGTGGACTTTTTGACCTTAAGACTTTTAGAGTCTGGTCAAGGGGACAAAAAAAAACTGCTTACATTTCAGAGCAGACCAGCCACCACACTATTGGAGATATATTGGAGATCTCCCCTTGACTCACTAATTGAAAAGCAAAAAAGGGCAGGTGTGGTGGCTCATGCCTGTAATCTGAGCACTTTAGGAGGCTGAGGCAGGCAGATTGCTTGAGCTTAGGAGTTTGAGACCAGCCTGGGCAACATGGCGAAACTCTGTCTCTACAAAAAAATACAAAAATTAGCCGGGTGTGGTGTTTCGCACCTGTATTCCCAGCTACTCGGGAGGCTGAGATGGGAGAAACACTTGAGTCCAGGAGGTCAAGGTTGCAGTGAGCCATGTTCACACCACTATACCCCAGCCTAGGTGACAAAGCGAGACCGTCTCCAAAAAAAAAAAGAAGGAAAATCGACTGGGTCCAGTAGCTCATGCCTGTAATCCCAAAACTTTGGGAGTCTGAGGTGGGAGGATCACTTGAGCCCAGGAATTCAACATCAGCCTGAGCAGTACAGTGAGACCTCCATCTCTACAAAAAATTTGTCAGGCATGGTGGCACATGCCAATAATCTTGGCTACTCAGGAGGCTAAGGTGGGAGGATCACTTGAGCCTGGGAGTTCATGGCTGCAGTGAGCTATGAACACATCTCACAGAACTCCAACCTGGGCGACAGAGCAAAATCCTGTCTCAGAAAAAAGAGTCATTGGAGGGTTTTGAACCAAGAAATGACAGTCCGACATACATTTTTAAAGGATCACCAGGCTGGGCACGATGGTTCACGCCTGTCATCCCAGCACTTTGGGAGGCCGAGGCAGGCAGATCACTTGAGGTCAGAAGTTTAAGACTAGCCTGGCCAACATGGTGAAACCCCATCTCTACTAAAAATACAAAAATTAGCCAGGCATGATGGCGTGTGCCTATCATCCCAGTTACTCAGGAGGCTGAGGCAGGAAAACTGCTTGAGCCCGGGAGGTGGAGATTGCAGTGAGCTGAGATTGTGCCACTGCACTCCAGCCTGGGCAACAAAGCGAGACTCCGTCTCAAAAAAAAAAAAACAGCAACAGCACATGCTGAGGATTCTGTTCAGTGGTTTCCACTTATCAGTATAGCACCTCATTAATCCTCCCAACAGTTTTATGAGGTATGCTCTAGTGGTATCCACATTCTACAGAGAAGAAAACTGAGACTTTGAGAGGTAAAGTCACCTGTTAGGCCGGGCACAGTGGCTCACGCCTGTAATCCCAGCACTTTGGGAGGATGAGGTGGGCAGATCATGAGGTCAGGAGTTTGAGACCATCCTGGCTAACACGGTGAAACCCCGTCTCTACTAAAAATACAAAAAATTAGCCGGGCGTGGTGGCGGGCACCTGCAGTCCCAGCTACTTGGGAGGCTAAGGCAGGAGAATGGCATGAACCCGGGAGGTGGAGGTTGCAGTGAGTCAAGATCGTGCCACTGCACTCCAGCCTGGGTGACAGAGCGAGACTCCGTCTAAAAAAAAAAAAAAGAAAGTCACCTGTTAAAGATTACACAGCAAACTGCCAGCATCCAAAGCCTGTCCTCTTCCCTCTTCCATTTGAATAGGCTCCTTCCAGCCAACATTCATGTATATTCTATCCAGGCTCCAAAGTCCAGTACCAAGCCAGTCTTTTCCAGGAAGCCTTCCCCAAGCTTATCTAATGGCCTGTCCCTCTATTGAGAGCTGATCTACAGAGCTACCATCCATTGAGCACTCCATGGGTGCTAAGTATACTGCTGAATGATTTAAATATGTTATCTCATGTAATATTCCAAGGAGCCATATGCCCTGTGACATCCATTTTACATGTGAAAATAGTGAAGCTAAAATATAGGCACATGCCATCATGCCTAGCTAATTTTTTTTTTTTTTTTTTTTTTGAGATAGAGTCTTGCTCTGTTGCCCAGGCTGGAGTGGCTTGATCTCGGCTCACTGCAGCCTCCGCCTCCTGGATTCAAGTGATTCTCCTGCCTCAGCCTCCCGAGTAGCTGGGATTACAGTCACCCACCACCATGCCCAGCTAATTTTTGTATTTTTGGTAGAGACAGAGTTTGACCACGTTGGCCAGGCTCGTCTCGAACTCCTGACCTCAGATGATCCACCCGCCTCGGCTTCCCAAAGTGCTAGGATTACAGGTGTGAGCCACCACACCCGGCCGACTAGCTTATTTTTAAATTTTTAGTAGAGACAAGGTCTCACTGTGTTGTCCAGACTGGTCTCTAACTCCTGGGCTCAAGCAGTCCTCCCACCTTGACGTCCCAAAGTGCTGCGATTACAGGCGTTAGCCAGCAGTGTCTGGCCTCTAATGACACTTTATTCATGAGAATAAATGCCAAAATGTATACAGTGCATGGGCATATGACTGGGAGACCTTGGTACGCCAGCAGTGGCAAGGACAGTCACCTAGAAGTAAGTGCCCTAGAGTACACCGAACCTGGGTTTCAACTGCCCAGGCTTACTCCTTCTCAAAACCAGCCCTTTTCCAGCTTTGTGTCCCTGTGTGTTTGCATGGGTGCAGGCACAAGTAGATGACACAGTGGTGATGCTATGCACCCAGGACATTTCATAATAGGGAAGGACGTTGACCGCTGCCATGGGGTACCAAAGGTCATCAGGGCTGTGAAAGCCAAGGACACTCAGGCAGCCTTACTCCCCTTTGAGTCTGAGTCATTTCCTGAGGGATATTGGTCATTCATTCATTTGTTCATTAACAAGTATTTATTGCATTCCTGTCATATATCAGGGACTGAGCTAAAGGTTGGACATACAGTCTGAACGAACCAAAGTCCCTATTCTCACCCAGTGGACATTCCAAGGTGGGTGACAGATTTTAAGTAAATTAACATGTCAGGGCTAGGCATGGTGGCTCTCGCCTTTAATTCTAGCACTTTGGGAAGCTGAAGTGGGAGTATTGCTTGAGCCCAGGAGTTCGAGACCAACCTGGGCAACATAGTGACAACCCACCTCTAAAAAATAAATAACATGTGAGGTAGTATTTAGTGATATAGGGAAAAATAAAGCAGAGAAAAGGGATTAGGGATGGGAAAAGGAAGGGTAGGGTAGTTAGGAAGGCCTCTCTGATAAAGTGACATTGGATCTGAATGCAGTGAGGGCATGAGCTGTGCGGATATATGGGGGAATAGTGTTGTAGGCATAGAGAACAGCAAGCCGTAAAACAAAAAAAAGCCAGATGCAGTGGCTCACGCCTATAATCCCAACACTTTGGGAGGCCAAGGCAGGAGGATCACTTGATGCTGAGAGTTTGAGATCAGCCAGAGCGACAAAGCCAGAGTTTAGTTGGGCATAGTGGTGCATGTCTGTAGTCCTAGCTAGCTACTCGGGACACTGAGGCAGGAAGATGGCTTAAATCCAGGAGTTTGAGGCTGCAGTGAGCTATGATCCTGTCCCTCCACTCTAGTCTGGCTGACAGAGCAAGACCTTGTTTCAAAAAAATTAAAAAATAAAGCAAGTACAAAAAAAGACTCTCCAACATATTTAAAGTACAGCAAGTTGGCCAGTATGGCCAGAGTAGAGTAAGCCAGTGGTAGGAATCAGGTCTGAGACGTCACCAGGGGCCAGGTCTTGTAGGGCCACATGGGACCTTGCTTTAAGGGCAGTGGAAAGGCATGGAGGATTTTTAAGCAAAGAAGTGACAGGTTTTAGAAGGATCTCTCTGATGTGGAGAACAAACTCTATGGGTAAGAGCGGGAGCAGGAGACCAGTGAGAAGCCAGGTGGGTGATAACAGCAGTTTATACCAGGGTGGATGGGTGGTGGAAGTGGCGAGCAGTGGTCAGAGCTTCAATACAATTTGAAGGTTGGACCAACTGGATTTGCTGATGTTTGCTGGATAAGAGGTGAGAGAGAAAGGAGTCCAGGTTTTTGGCTTAAGAAACTGGAAAGTCCTTACTGCCATTTAATAAGGGGAAGATGCCTTGGCTGATAGTGATTTCCTGCTAGGGCTGTGGAGTTGAACTGCCTGCATTCAAGTCCTAGTTTGCTTACTGTTTTGTTTTTGTTGTTGTTTTGAGATGAGGTCTCACTATGTTGCCTGTGCTTGTCTCGAACTCCTGGGCTCAAGTGATCCTCCCGCCTCTATCTTCCTGGGATTATAGGTACGCCACCAGGCCCTGCTTACTGTTTGACTTTGAGCAAGTGTTTGACTTTGCCAAGCCTTAGTTTCCTTCAATGTAAGCCTACTGTCTAGATGATAGGCAGTTGGGTGCTGTGAAAACTAAATGAGGGTAATTTGTATGAAGGGCTTAGGACAATGCCTGGCATATGGTAAACCTTCAGTAAGAGTTAGCTCTAATCCTTATTACTATTGTTGGAAGACAAGAAGTCCCAGGGCCTCAAGGTCCTCTGGAAAGCAGGCAGCAGGTCACACTCCACCTCCACCACCCCCTCAAGGAGCCCGCCCTCCAAGAGGCAGCTCAGACACCATCTGTCCAGCAGAGAAAAGCCACAGGGAGACAGCTTTCGGGGAGCATTAGATAGATGAGCCCTTCCCAAGAAACCTAATCTCATTCTCAGCAGGTGCTAATCCCACCACCCTCCCTTGGTATCTGAGCCCAGCCCACCCACTTCCTTCCCCACCCCCATCCTGTGTCCTAGACCCTCTTCCCCTTCTCACCAGCTCCAAGCTGCCACCAGCAAACTTCCTTACCAGATGGAGGGGCTCTGACAGAAGCCCACCACCCATCTGACTGGGCCCAGCCTCTCACATGTATCAGGTCACCAAGGGCTACAGGTGCCACCTGTCCAGAAGCCCCCCCTACAGGTGCCAGTTCCTGGGCGTGGTGCTTGATCCAGGCTGGAGCCAGCTGGAGCCAGGAACTCCCACTGTGCCCCAGCTGCTGCCTGCCCTCCCACCCACAGGCAGAGAAACAGGCTTAACCCTTCGGACACTGCATATGTTGAGTTAGTTGTTACAGTTCTGGCTCAGAGTATTGCACTGTTTCAGTACACTTTTTTTTTTTAAAGAAATTTATCATAAATACAACAGAGAATATCTAATGCATATGTACAATTTTAAAAATAGGAAAATCATCACTTGTAAACTCATCACCCAGATTAATTAATAATCAAACATATGTTTGCCTTGCATGATGGCTTATGCCTGTAATCCCAGCACTTGGGAGGCTGAGGTAGGAGGAATGCTTGAGGCCAGAAGTTTGAGACTAGCCTGGGCAACATAGTGAGACCACCATCTCTACAAAAACTAAAATTAAAAAATAGCTGGGCGTGGTGGTGCACGCCTATAACTCCAGCTACTCAGAAGGTTGAGTCGGGGATCACCTGAGCCCAGGAGTTTAAGGCTGCAGTAAGCTATGATCGCGCCACTGTTCTCCAGTGTGGGCAACAGAGGGAGACCTTGTCTCTAAAAACAAACAAAAATAAACGTGAGTACCTTAGAGCCCCCTGTGTACCCCCTCCCCAATCACAGCTACCCCACCATCCATACTCCTGAGTTCTGTGTTTTCTTTTGTGATATCTTACCATGTCAACCAGGCTAGAGTGCAGTGGCATGATCATACCTCACTTCAGCCTCAAACCTCTGGGCTCAAGTGATCCTCCTGCCTCAGCCTGCCAAGTAGCTAATTTTTTAATTATTATTATTATTTTTTTTAGAGATGGGATCTCACTATGTTGCCTGGGCTGGTCTAGAACTCCTGGCTTCAAGCGATCCTCCTACCTCAGCTTCTCAAAGCACTGGGATTACAGGTGTGAGCCACCACACCTGGCTACCTTTTTTTTTTTTTTTTTTTAAGTTTTACTATATATATATAGGTATATATTCCTAAACAATATAGGATATTCTTCTACATGCTTTTTTTTGTTTTTGTTTTTGTTTTTTTTTTTTGAGACGGTCCCACTTTCTCGCCCAGGCTGGAGTGCTATGGTGCGACCTCAGCTCACTGCAACCTCCGCCTCCTGGGTTCAAGCGGTTCTTCTGCCTCAGTCTCCCGAGTAGCTGGACTACAGGCGCACGCCACCACACCTGACTAATTTTTTTTTTTTAAGACCGAGTCTCACTCTGTCGCCCAGGCTGTAGTGCAGTGTGGTGCGATCTTGGCTTACTGCAACCTCTGCCACCCGGGTTAAAGTGATTCTCTTGCCTCAGACTCCCTAGTAGATGGGATTACAGGCACCTGCCACTGCGCCTGGCTAATTTTTGTAGTTTTAGTAGAGATGGGGTTTCACCATCTTGGCCAGGCTGGTCTTGAACTCCTGACCTCGTGATCCACCAGCCTCGGCCTCCCAAAGTGCTGAGATTACAGCTGTGAGCCACGGCGCCCAGCCCTAAGTTTTGTATTATTAGTAGAGATGGGGTTTCACCACATTGGCCAGGCTGGTCTCAAACTCCTGACCTCGTGATCTGCCTGCCTCAGCCTCCCAAAGTGCTGGGATTACAGGCGTGAGCCACTGCGCCCAGCCTGTGCATTCTTTTAAACTTCATTTAGGTATTATGCTGTGTTTATCATCTGCAGTTTCCTTTTTTCATTCAAGGTTGAGATCCATCCATGTTACTTGCATAGCATAATTTGTTCATTTTCGTATCCATTTATATGATCATGTCTCAAGCTGTGTATCCATTCTGCTGTCAGTGGTTATTTGGGTTGTCCCCTTGTTTTTGCTGTTTCAGACAATGCTGTTATGAAAACTGTTTGTGTCTCCTGCACATGCACATGTTCAAGAGTTTCTCCCAGGCAGTGGTTCCCAAACTTTAGCTGCCCATCAGAATCACCTGGAAGGTTTGTTAAACCTCAGATTGCTGGGCTCCACCCCCAAAGTGTTTGATTGTGTATGTCAGGGTTGGGGCCCTCAGAATTTGCACTTCTAACAACTTCTCAGCTGATGCTGCCACTCTTGGTCCTGGGACCTCACTGAGAATCATTGTTGTAGGGTTTACACAGAAGTGGAATTGCTTGATCAGAAGGTAATGGCAGATTGTTTTCCTGTGTTTGTGTGAATTTACACAGCCACCAACAGCATATGGGTTTTCCATTACTTTACCTCTTTGTTAATACTTGATATGGTCAGACTTAAATTTTTATGGAGCTGGTGGGTGTGAGATGGTATCTTGCGGTTTTAATTTGCATTTCTCAGATTACAAGTGGGGCTGTGAATCTTTTCTTACATCTGTTGGCCATTCATGTTTCCTCTTTGTAAAATGTTCAAGTCCTTGCTCCATTTCCTTTTGATTTGACTTTTTCTTATGGGTTTGTAGGCTTTTAAAATGTATTTTGAATACTAATACTTTGTCTATGCATGTTACAAATATAGTCTTTCAGTTCTTCTGCCTCAGCCTCTTGAGTAGCTGGGATTAATTTGTTCGCCGGGCGCCACCACACCCAGCCTGTTTATTTTATTTTATTTTATTTTATTTTATTTTATTTTATTTTATTTTTTATTTTGAGATAGAGTCTCGCTCTGTCGCCCAGGCTGGAGTACAGTGGCACGGTCTTGGCTCATTGCAACCTCCGCCTCCCAGGTTCAAATGATTCTCCTGCCTCAGCCTTTCAAGAAGCTGGAATTACAGGCATGCACTACCACACCCAGCTAATTTTTGTATTTTTAGTAGAGACGGAGTTTCAACATGTTGGCCAGGCTGGTCTCCAACTCCTGACCTCAAGTGAGCCTCCATGCCTGGCCTCCATAGGGTGTTAAAGGCTGTAAATTTGAATTATTTATGACTTAAGTTATACCTAGAGCTTATTGTATATACTGTATTAATATTTCTTTTTTTTTTTTTTTTTTTTTTTTTTTTTTTTTTTTGAGACAGAGTCTCGCCCTGTTGCCCAGGCTGGAGTGCAATGGCATGATCTCGGCTCACTGCAACCTCTGCCTCCCGGGTTCAAGCGATTCTCCTGCCTCAGCCTCCCAAGTTAGCTGGGATTACAGGCATATGTCACCATGCCTGGCTAATTTTTTTTATATTTTTAGTAGAGACGGGGTTTCACCATGTTGGCCAGGCTGGTCTCAAATGCCTGACCTCAGGTGAGCCACCCACCTCGGCCTCCCAAAGTGCTGGGATTACAGGCCTGAGCCACCGTGCCTGGCCTACTGTATTAATATCTCATAATGAACAAAGGTACCCTCTTTGGGAAAAAGTTGGGGCTTTTTTTCCTTTTTTCTTTTTTAACTTTTCAATTGATTCTCAAAGCCAGCATGTGGGAGAGAGTTTATCAAAACAGCCAGGCATCATGGCGCACGCCTGTAATCCCAGCTCCTTGGGAAGCTGAGACATGAGAATTGCTTGAACCCAGGAGACGGAGGTTGCAGTGAGCTGAGATCATGCCATTGCATTCCAGCCTGGGCAACAGAGTGAGACTCTGTCTGCAAAAAAAAAAAAAATACATACTGACCTGTGTGTGGGATTTGCTTCAAAATACTACTGGAGTGAGAGATAGTGGTTGGGGAACAGATGAAATCAGATTGGCACCAAGTTGGTACTTGTTGAAGTTGAATGATGGGTTCGTTTTATTCTGTCTACTTTTGTACATGATTAAATATTATCATAAGAATAAGTTTAAAATTGGCCAGGTGCAGTGACTCACACCTGTAATCCCAGCAGTTTGGGAGGCTGAGGTGGAAGGATGGCTTGAGCCCAGGAGTTGGAGACCAGCCTGGACAACATAGTGAGACCCTGTGTCTCTCAAAAAAAAAAAATTAGTCATTTGCAGTGGTACACACCTGTAGTCCTAGCTTCCTAGCTACTTGGGAAGCTAAAATAGGAGAATCTCTTCAGTCCGGGAGGTTGAAGCTGCACTGAGTCATGATTATGCCACTGCACTCCAGCCTGGATGAGAGTGAGACCCTGTCACAGGGGGAAAAAAAAAGTTAAAAATATCCAAGGACTATTTCCAGGGCTACTTGTGAGGTAGCACATCTTTTCTTTTTTTCTTTTTTGAGACAGAGTTTCGCTCTTGTTGCCCAGGCTGGAGTGCAATAGCGCGATCTCCAGCTCACCGCAACCTCCGCCTCCTGGGTTCAAGCAATTCTCCTGCCTCAGCCTCCCGAGCAGCTGGGATTACAGGCATGTGCCACCACACCCAGCTAATTTTTTGTATTTTTAGCAGAGACAGGATTTCTCCATGTTGGTCAGGGTGGTCTTGAACTCCCAACCTCAAGTGATCCGCCCGCCTCAGCCTCCCAAAGTGCTGGGATTACAGGCGTGCGCCACCGCGCCTGGCAGAACATCTTTTCTTAACGTTTTGTTAGCCATTTGTATTCTTCAGAGCCAATTTAGTCTCCATCTACTTTCAGGAGTTCCTGATAAAGTGGTCTTAGCAGGCATGGAAGAGACTGATTTTAAAGAAAACAGGAGAGGGAGTGGTAAGGAAAGACTGGGGAGGGGATTTTCAGGCGGTTGCCAGCCCTTCTCCTAGAGCCTGACTACTACTGCCTCTAGGATTAAGTTTCCTACCTTCCCTTGTTTCTTCCAGGACCACCATGGGATAATTTTTATTTTCTTTCTTTCTTTTTTTTTTTCTTTTTTTTGTAGAGACGGGATCTCACTATGTCTCCCAGGCTGGTTTCGAACTCCTGGTCTCAAGCAATCCACCCGCCTCAGCCTCCTGAAGTGTTAGTAGGATTACAGGCATAAGCCACTGCACCCAGCTGTCTTTCTTCCTTCCCTCCCCTCCCCTGCCCTCCCCCTCCCCTTCCCTCCCTTTCCCTTCCCCTTTCTTCCTTTCCTTTTCTTCTTTAATTATAGAGACAGGGTCTTGCCACGTTGCCCAGGCTAGTCCTGAACTCCTGGCCTCAAGCAGTCCTCCTGCCTCGGCTTCCCAAAGTGCTGAGATTACAGGCATGAGCCACTGTGTCCAGCCAATTTTTATTTTAATGGTATTCTTCTTTCCCTATTATTTTACCTGGACAGACTTAACCCAGAGGATAGAGGAACCTCATCATGGATCCTGGTCCGCTTTTAGCTTAACAGCATCCAAAGACAAAGGGTCAGAGATGGTAGCAACCCTAGTGTGGTTGATTACACAGTAGTGGTGTTATTTTGTTGTCATAGGATGCAAATATCAAAGTTGTATCTCTTAAGATCTTTCTGTGTCAGTACATAAAAGCTTTCTCAGTCTTTTTAATGCTGCATAGTATTCTACACAGGGCACTATTCTATACTTTAACCAGTTCCCATTGGTAGACACATTTTTTTCCAGTCTTTTGCAGTTATAATAGTGACACTCAATGAATAGCCCTGTATATTTGTCATTTGGCCCATATATGAATACAGTATATCTGGGGGGGATGAATCCCTAAAAGTGGAATTACTGGGGCCAAGGGTATGTGTACTTGGGATTTTAATAGGGTTAGTTAGCCTGGGCCCACAGCAGTGGGTACCAGTTTACAGGAGAATCTTTTTTCTTAACACCCTTCCACCCAAGTGGAGAGTTTGGTTCAGCACATTTCTTTTTCTTTTTCTTTCTTTTCTTTTCTTTTCTTTTTCTTTTCTTTCTTTTTTTTTTTTTTTTGGAGACAGAGTCTTGCTCTGTCACCCAGGCTGGAATGCAGTGGCACGATCTTGGCTCACTGCAACCTCCACCTCCTGGGTTTAAGCAGTTCTTCTGCCTCAGCCTCCCAAGTAGCTGGGACTACAGGTGCCCACCACCTTGCTGGGCTAATTTTTGTATTTTTAGTAGAGACAGGGTTTTGCTATGTTCGCCAGGCTGGTCTCAAACTCCAGACTTCAGGTGATCCACCCACCTCAGCCTATCAAATTGCTGGGATTTACAGGTGTGAGCCACCGCGCCGGCCATCAGCACATTTCTTGAGTGCCTTCCTGTACCTGGCCCTGGATATAAGATAAACACTTTCATGTATCAAGTGAAATTGTTACTATTTGCCAGGCACCAGCACATTATCTGATAATCCTCATAACTACTCAAAGAGGAAGGCTTTTAGATGAGATAAGTGAAGCTCAGAAGGGTTAAATAGGGTGCCATGGTCATGGTCCAGCTATTAAGTGGCAGAGCTAGGATTAAGCCCAGGTTTCAATCCTCTGATGCCTGTGCTCTTACAGTACACCTTTACCTGCCTCTCAGGAGGAAGAACATATGGTCTTATTGTCTAATACAGATAAGGAATCAGGCTCAGAGAGGGTAACTGGCCACAAAACAGCCAGCCTGGAAGCTATGAGGAACCCACATATGTCTGATCAGAGGTCTCTGGTCTACACTGAGCTGCCTGCCTCCCTCCCGGGGAAAGAGTTTGAGAATTTTCTTTTTTTTTTTTTTTTTTTTGAGACAGAGTCTCTTTCTGTCGCCAAGCTGGAGGAGTGGAGTGGCAATCTTGGCTCACTGCAACCTCCGACTCCCGGGTTCAAGCGATTCTCCTGCCTCAGCCTCCTGAGTAGCTGGGATTACAGGCGCGTGCCACCACACCCGGCTATTTTTTTTTGTATTTTTAGTAGAGAAGGGGTTTCACCGTGTTTGCCAGAATGGTCTCGATCTCCTGACCTCGTTATCCTCCTGCGTTATCCTCCTTCCTTTGGGAGGCCGACGCCTCCCAAAGTGCTGGGATTACAGGCGTGAGCCACCGCGCCCGACCGAGAATTTTCTCCGTTCAGAGCTTCACTTGCTATAGAGAGCCTCAAGTCACTGGTTCTCAGTGTGCATCTATTGGCCATCAGAGGGTCCTTTAGGGATGACCCATCTGTGCTTAATTTACTAATGACAGTATAGTTGCTGCTATTTATTGAGTGCCTGCCATGTGCAAGATGCTGTAAGGTACAGTGTAGTTTGTTTTGTTTTGTTTTGTTTTTGTAGAGATGGAGGTCTTGTTGTCTTGACCAGGTTGGTCTCAAACTCCTGACTTCATATGATCCTCCCTCCTGGACCTCCCAAAGTTCTGGGATTACAGGTGTGAGCCACCAGACTCGGCCAGTGTAGTATTTTTAATCTTCACAATAATCCTTCTTGGGAAACATGTTATTGTCCTCATTGTCCAGATTAGAAAACTGAGTGTAAAGTAAGTTAAATTATAGTCCTAAGGTTGAATGCTAATAAAGACAGAATACAAGTCCAATATATTGGACTCAAAAGCCCTCACTTAACTATGGTCTCCATGGGCTTCCCTTGGCTCTCTCTGCCTTTTTTTATTTTTTCTTATTGCTTGAGGCCCTTTCTGGAAGGTAAGTCTGGATTATCTACTTCACACTGTTTTAGAGAAGACTTGTGGTTTCCATTTACCCCTTACTCCCTCCGCTCCATGGCCTTTCAGGGAGAACACTGTGGGTATCATGCTGGGTGGCCTGGAGGGTCCAAGTAACAGGAATCTAGAAGGATGGACCAGATGTGAACAAAAGAAAGCCTGAGTAGGACACAAAACAGAGAAGTGGGGCTGTAACATCTCTAAGATATTACAGCTTGCTACTTCCACTCTCTTTGCAAATGTGGTGAAACCCAGGCTGGAGTCATAAAATAATAGCATAGGATCATTAACTAAAGTTTGTCTAGTGCTTCCTTGTGTTCACACATTATCTCATTGAACCTCTGACGATGCTAGGAGGAGGTAAATAGGGTTTTCCTCTTACCTTGGGTGAACTGAGGTCTTCTGACTAAGTCTCAGGTCCTTTCTACCATTTGTGCTGCATCCACATCTCTACTGGGAAGAACACAGGCTCTGCAGTCAGACACACCTGGGTTTGAACCACCTCCATTTTGTGTGTGTTGGATCTTGAGCAAGTGAATTCACCTTTGTGACCATCCATGTCTTCATAAAATAAGAATTTTAAACACACATGAGGGCCTGGCATATACAAAACATTGAATAAATAGCAGTGATCTTTTTATTGACATCAGAAGGGGGTTGGGGACCCAGAGGCTATTTGGGCTCCTATGGCATAGCTCTTGGAACGTGTTAATTTTCAAGGACAGGGGTTTGCAAGTCAGAGCAATGTCAAGTAAAGAACAGGTTCTTTGGGAGGCCAGGATATGCTAATGGGTGAACAATGTAAGGGAGGCATAATAATAATGCCAAAGGCCTCCTAGAGTACCTGTTCACTGCACTTTTGGGTCTTTGGTTTATATATGAAGAAAATGAGGTGCCCCCAGAGGGGAAGTGGGTTGCCATTGTTACACAGTAAGTTAATAAATGGCATTGCTGAGATTAGAACTCAGTCTTTTGTCTGCCAAGAAAGCTTACTTTTCCCTTACACTCCACTGCTCCCTTGAGGGGAAAAAAAAAGGGCCCGGAGATAGGATCTTAGTGCTTTGGAACTGGAGAGAAAGCCTTAGAGATCATCTGATCCATCCTCCACACTTTTCAGATGAGAAAAGTGAGGCCCGTGGTGCTTAATTGACAGGACCATAGCCAAATAGAGCCACCACAAAGCAGGAGTAAGCTCACGTTTCTTGAACCTGACCATGTGGAACTTTCAAATTGCCTTTTTTCTGTGCGGAACTAGAGCCTCACTGAAAATACCAGTGGTTTACAATAAGAACAGCTGTTTAGTTTGGGGAACATTTTTCCAAATAGAATCTTCTTTTTCTCTCTTTCTCAATTCTTTTTTTTTTTTTGAGATGGAGTCTTGCTCTGTCACTCAGGCTGGAGTGCAGTGGCACGATCTCAGCTCACTGCAAGCTCCGCCTCCTGGGTTCACGCCATTCTCCTGCCTAAGCCTCCCGAGTAGGTGGGACTACAGACACCCGCCACCACGCCTGGCTAATTTTTTGTATTTTTAGTAGACGGGGTTTCACCGTGTTAGCCAGGATGGTCTTGATCTCCTGACTTCGTGATCCACCCACCTCGGCTTCCCAAAGTGCTGGGATTACAGGCGTGAGCCACCACGCCTGGCTGTCTTTCTCAATTCTTAATAAAAATATACTAGAAGAAGAAAAAGCTTTAATGGAGGACCTTGGTAGAAAGCAGGTAAAAATTATATAGAGTCTCTAAAATCTAGGGAGGTCCCCAGAGCCAGTAAATTTAGAGGCCAGCCTTCTCGCCTATCCCAGCAAGCTTATCACTTGTCTTGCCCTATTCACAACAGGCCTTCAGAAGGCCCAGCCTTCCCTTGGCAGCTGCATGTGGTGAACACCAACGGAAATCCCTGGTATTTTTCTTTGTATGCAACCAACCGTGGAGATGTAGGTCAGGCATTGCTGGCTTGGCAGTTACAACATCTCTAGCTTCACCCCTGCACCTGTAGCCGTGTTCACTAAGCCCCTCAAAGATGGGAAATGGATGGTCCCTTCTTAATAGGGTTTGGATCCCCGAGGGCTCATATGGGTGGAGTGGGTTTGGGAGGAGACAGACCATCCGGAATGTGGAGATGAGAAGGGTAGATCTGGCTCTTCCCTCCTTAATGTCTGATGTCTGGTGTTACTATAGCTGGATTGGTGGTGCTTCTGCTCAGCTCACCTTAGAGTAATCATCACTGACGGAGGAGACTGGGGAGGTCCCATCCTTCCCCTGGGCTCAGCTGGGTCCCCAGACCTACACCTGAACCCCACGCCTGTCTGGTGTTTACGGATTGAAGCTGCCACCCTTTGGGACCTATCCTGTTTTCATTTCTGCTCTCAGCTCTCTGGTCTCTGTGGACCTCACTTACAGGTTTGTACGTGCCTGTCACCCACGGTGCAGCCCCATGAGGCTCTCCCAGCCTGGCACACTCATGCCTCTTTGGCCTTTGTTCTCTTCAGGAAAACTGCTAGCTCTATGCCTTGCTAGGGAGGGCTTTTCTGGCCCCTCAGATAGGTTCTTTTGGTCCAACCTAGCTATACCTTTCCTGAGATTCAGTCTCTTTGTCCACACCCTGGGGGACAGGGCTGTGGTTCCAAGGCATGTTGGGGGGTACCTGTGGGCCATTCTGGACTGGCTTCCGGTCAGCTGGCTGACTCTGCCCTGGGTCTCAAATATCTCCTCTGTAAAGGTGTTAGACCAGGATCTTCAAGGTAACTTAGAGGTGATATGCAGATGGACATTTTCTGTTTTAATAGTCAGTGTATTTTATGTTGATTTCCATCTGGGGCAAATGATACTCTTTATAGGAAGAATAATAAGTTGCCTTTTCATTGCATTTATTTATTTAGCAAATATTTGCTAAGTGTCTACTATCTGTCAACCACTATTCTAGCTACTGGGGATACCTGCCTTCATGAAGTTCACATTCTTTTTTTTTTTTTTTTTTTTTTTTTTTTTTTTTTTTTTGAGATGGAGTTTCACTCTTGTTGCCCAGGCTGGAGTGCAGTGGCGCAGCCTCGGCTCACTGCAACCTCTGACTCCCGGGTTCAAGCGATTCTTTTGCCTCAGCCTCTTGAGTAGCTGGGATTACAGGTGCCCGCCACCACACCCAGCTAATTTTTGTATTTTTAGTAGAGACGGGGTTTCACTGTGTTGGCCAGGCTGGTCTTGAACTCCTGATCTCAGGTGATCCACCTGCCTCGTTCTCCCAGAGTGCTGGGATTACAGGCGTGAGCCACTGCGCCGGGCCATCATGAAGTTTACATTCTAAGAGGACAGAGAGTGATTAGGTGGCCGGTGGTAGGCAGCTTTTGGTATGTGTTTGCCTTTTTAATAAAGGATAATTAAGGAAGGCCTCTGAGGAGCAGGCATATGAGCAGAGATCTGCATGATCTGTCTGAGGGAGGAAACCATGTAACAGTCTATGGAAAAAACATTCCAGACATAAGGAACAAGTGCAGAGGCCAAAGGGTGGGAATGGTGTGCCTGGCATGTTTGAGGAAGAGCACGGGAGATCAGTGTGGCTAGAACAGAGTAAGCAGAGGAGAAGTGATTGGAAAGGAAAGTTTGTGTGAGCAGTGGTGAGACATTTTGGTTCTTCCTCTGGGTGAGATGGGAAGGCAGTGGAGGGTTTTGAGCAGACAGGAAACTGACTTTGCTGACCCCTCTGGCTGCCATGTGGTGAAGGAACCATGGAGTCGATAAGAAGCTGGGAGACCAGTAAGGAGGCTGTTAGGACAATACAGGCAAGAAATGATACTGGCTTGGACCAAATAATAGCAGTGGAGGTGGTGGGAAATGGTGGGACTCTAGATAAATTTGGAATACAGATTCATCAGGATATATTGACAGATGAGTGTTAGAGGGGATTTAAGGATGAGAAAGATGCAGAAAGAACAGGTTTAGGGAATAAATTGAGAATTTTCAGTACATGTATTTAAATTTATAAAAAGTAAGTAAATTGATAGAATAATGTTAAGTAGGCCAGGCACAGTGGCTCACAGCTATAATCCCAGCACTTTGGGGGGCCAAGGCGAGAGAATAGCTTGAGCTCAGTAGTTCAGGACCAGACTGGGCAACATAGTGAGACCTTATCTCTACAAAAAAAGAAAAAGAAAAAAAAATTAGCCAGGCATGGTGATGCACACCTGTAGTCCCACCTAGTCGGGAGGCTGAGGCAGGAGGATTGCTTGAGCCTGGGAGGTTGAGGCCTCAGTGAGCCTTGATCACACGATTGCACTCTAGCCTGGGCAACAGAGTGAGACCCTGTCTTGAAAAGAAAAATGTTAAGTAAATAATAACAGAATCACATATAAGGTCAAAGCAGTGATGGCTGAAATTGTGGATAGAGTGGACCAAATGTGTCTGTGCTGCCTTCCAGCTCTAAAATCCTGCTTCAGTGATTCAGACCACATAGTCTCCCATTCACAGAGAACAAGAACTTGAAGCTCAGCCTAGAATAAGCAGATAAAGTGACAGGAGAGCAATCCTTTGGACCAGGCCTACCTCCTGTTAATTTGGAAGGACTTGGGAAGTTCTTGCACATATACTGGCCTTCTGGCATTACCTTATTTATTTATTCATTCATTCACTCAGTCAGTCAGTCAGTCACTGAGCACCTTCTGCCTAGTAGGCCCTGGACAACGGCAGCTCTGATGCTTCTTCTCTCCTAATATAAAGCAAGCTACCCTGACCCCCGCTCCCACTGGAGCCTGTCTACTCTGTGGCCTGGCATATGCCTGGCGGTAATGTGTGTGCTGAAAGTGGAATAGCCACAGCCTAGGCAGAGCCCTGCCCTCCCTTTGCTGCACTGTCTCTGTCCATCTCTGCCTTCCTCATCTTATTGCCATCCACACTTTGAGGCCTGGTGAGCAAATGATTTTGCTTCCATGAGAGCAGCAGAAATAGTTGCTTTATCTCTTTCTTCATATAGGTCCTCATAGTTATCAAACTGGAAAGAAATCCCCAAGGGCCTCTTCTCTCGCCTTTTATAGATGGGAAACAGAGGGCCAAGAGGGCAGGCAACTCCCACAGTCCACATCTAATTCATCAGCAAATCCTTTCAGCTCTACTTTTATTGATTGATTGATTGATTAAGAACAGTATCTTGCTGTGTCTTCCAGGCTGAAGTGCAGTGGCGCAGTCATGGCTCACTGCAGCCTCAGCCTCCTGGGCTCCAGCAGTCCTCCCACCTCAGCCTCCGGAATAGCTGGAACATGCCATCACGCCTGGCTACTTTGTGTCATTTTTTTGTAAAAATAGGATTTTCCCATGTTGCCCAGACTGGTCTGAAACTTTTGGACTCAAGCAGTCCTCTCACCTCGGCCTCCCAAGTGCTGGGATTGTAGACATGAGCCGCTACACCTGGCCCAGCCTTACTTTAAAAAATAAATTCTGAAACTGACTGCTTCTCACCAACTTCCCTGGCACCATTGTGGCTAAGCCACTGTCATATTTTCCTGATTATCTCACCAGACCCCTGGAGATCTCCACCCAGCAGCCAGACGGACGCTATTTAACACCAAGGTCAGGTCATGTCCTTCCCCTGCTCAAAACCCTACAGTGCTTTCCCAGGACAAGCCCAAGTCTTTAAATGGCCTACCAGGCCCCACACAATCGGGCCCTTGGCTACCTCCAGATCTCATCACCACCAGTCTCCTCACATTCACTGGACTTCAGCCACACTGGCATTTTTCCTGTTCCTGGAGCACCTCAAGCGTGTTCCTGCCTCTGGGCCTTTGCACTTGTTCCCACAGCCTTTTCTCAGATCTTTGCAGTGCCTGTTTCCTCATTTCATTCAGGTCTCTGATCAAATTCACCTCCTTAAGAAGTTGTCCCTGACCATGGATTCTAATCTTACCTTCTTCCATGTTTCTCTGTACCCCCTTTCTCACATTTATTCTTTCTTAATGCATCACCGTCTGACATGTTTATTGCCTGTCTCTTCCCATTTGATTATAAACTCATACAGGTACGAATTTTCATTCTATTTAGTCACTGCTTTATCCCCAGCGCTTAGTACAGTGCCTGACTCTTAGTGGGCACTTAATGAAGATTTGTTGAATGACTGAGTGTCCAAAGCTAGGGAAGGCAGCCTGTCTGGGCCTTCCTACAACTCCATAGGTCAGCCTGGCTTACAAATAGGTCATGTCCCATCTTAGAAAACTCATCTAATAGCTTCACCAAAGCTACGTGGCATCACTTTTGTTTCCAAGATAAAGATCAGACAGAGGGAGGAACTCTCTCTGCAAGTACTGTCCTTGCAGATCTGGCTTAGGGGAAAGTGGGTTCATCACTGAGTAGCCTCAGCACACTCTTCCCTTTCTCACCCCTCAAGGCACCCAGGGAACCAGGGGGGAATGCTACTTCCATGTACTTAAAGTCATCTCTGACTTCGAAGGCCTAAGAATAGCAGATTCTCAGTAAATATTGGGTAGGTGAAAGGGTGAAGGAAAGAAGGTCTTAGTAAAATCTCTTCATGTATCCTGTTGCACTGGTAAATTTAACATGCTGTGAAGTTGAATGCCCTCACTAGTAACCAGGGGCCTCAGGCAAAGTCTCATCACTTCGCTGAATTTTAGTTTCCTCATTGGTAAAATGGGAACAGCACCTACTTGCAAGATTTTGAGAATTCAAACAGTAAATATTAGTTCAGCAAATACTAGCTGTTACTTTTTGTTTGTTTATAGCTACAAATAAGAGAGACACTATGAGAAGCACAAATGGAGCCACTGATTTTTTAGCTATAAAAAAACAGGCTGGGTGCAGTGGCTCATGCCTATAATCCCAGCACTTTGGGAGGCTGAGGCAGGCAGATCACTTGAGGCCAGGAGTACGAGACCAGCCTGGCCAACATAGCGAAACCCCATTTCCACTAAAAATACAAAAATTAGCCTGCAAAAATACAAAAATTAGTGTGGTGGCACATGCCTATAATCCCAGCTACTCAGGAGGCTGAGGCACAAGAATCGCTTGAACCCAGGAGGCAGAGGTTGCAGTGAGCAGAGATCACACCACTGCACTCCAGCCTGGGCGACAGAGACAGAGTGAGACTTCGTCTCAATTAATAACGATAATAATAACAACAGCAGCAGCAGCAGCTAACATTTACAGAACGCTTACCATGGACCATTGAACTCTGCTGCTAGGCCTGTGAAGTAAGTACAGCTGTTTTCATTTTGCAGCCGGAACACCAGGCTTGGAGGGGGAAAGTGTCTTGCTCCAGGTCCTGCAACCAGGTAGTCACAGAACTAGGGTTGGAAGCCACACTGTCTCACTCCAGGGTAGGGAGGCCTGAGACCAGGCTGTGCTCTGTCCCTGTATGAAGCCTTGGAGGTATCCCTTCACTTCCTCTGGGCCTCAGTTTCTTACCTGCTCAGGATCGAACCACACATCTCTGTGACGCTCTGAAATTTCTGGTGGTCCACAGGCCACATCAAGTGGGACAGTGAGTTGCTTCCAGGCCTCCTGGTGGTGGTGCTCTGGGTATTGACTGTGAACAGCACACCTCTGGGTGCCCCCTCCCTCGACATCAGGCAAAGTACCCTAGCCCTCTTCTCACCATCTCAGGCATCTTACTGTTCTGCACCTTAAAGGGGTAATGGACTGGGGCAGAAATGAATAGGGTAGAAAACAAGAAGGAACCCACTCCCTTGTCTGGTGCAGATCAATGTTGGATGCTGCAGAGAAGAGTATGAGGCTGACAGTCAGTGGATGTGGGTTTTGTTTCCCAGTTCCATCACATCACAGAATAGAAGGAAATGCAACACCGTGGGTGCCTTCAGCCCTGAGTTTTTGGTTACATGGGGTGTGAGCATTCATCTGTACAGTGGGGAGAGAAGGGTGTTGCAGGGATTTGCTCCCTTCCCCAAATCCTCCAGAGCTGTTGCCTTCTGCTGTGGAATTCCAAACATTTCTGATCAGATAAAGGTGGCTGAAAATACTTGGGACTTGTCTGGACTAGTTGGAGGCGGTGCTGGGGTGAAGAGGTCGAGGCCACAGGAGCTAGAGCGTGGAAAGATCTAGCCTTGCCCAGGAGTCTGCCTGGTCATAGATGTGCCTATTGCTCTCTTCCCCTGGAATCCTGCAGGTTCAGAGCAATGCCCAGCGGGCTTTGAGGTGGAGAAGGATCAGACTCCTTTGTGGCAACAAGTTCTCCTACTTCAGAATGTTGCTTCTCAATTTACACACTAATTACTGGATCTTTTGGATACCCCTGAGAGAGAGAACCCTGGTAGTCACTCATCTGTCTGCATGAGTTACTTTCATTCTCCTTATGCTGTAGCCCTAGACGGAGCCCTTTGAGATGATTCCCACTTCATTTGACAGTTGGGGAAAGGCCCATACTTTCCCAGAGTCTCAGGCAGGGGAAAGGACTCACCTGCAAATCAGCGATGGAACTGGGAAACAAAATCCACATCCACTGACTGTCAGCCCAGTACTCTCTTCCCCACAGCATCCAGCACTGATCTGCATCAGACAAGGGAGTCGCCATAGCTTTGGGTGGAGAGGAGGAAGGAGAAGCTGCTTTGGACTATGGAGCACTTGGGGTCAAAGACCTCAGAAAGAAGTCCTAGTTTTTGGAGATTGCTACCCCATTCCTGCCTGTTGCCTCAGCACAGTGCAAAAGATGCCTTTTCTAGAACTTTCCCATAAGCTTCCTGTCCCCTTTCCTTATCCTGAGAGAAAGTGTCTGGAGAATACTGGACACCTTGCATAATCACCTGCTATATTGGGGCCTCTTTCTAGTTTTGCCAGGCAGTGAGGAAAGGGATGAAGAGAGTGGGAACTGGCCTTTCTTCTCTTCCCTCCTCTCTGTCCAACACTCAGCCAGACTCTTCAGCACCTTCTCTGGACCCAGCACTGGGCAAGGCCTAGGGGACAGAGCCCATGGTCAGATGGGGGAAGAAGTGAGCAGCTAGGCTCCTTGAGAAAGTGACCTGTGGATTAAGACCTCAGAGATAAGTGGGACAGAGCTTGGTAGAAGCACCAGTGTGGGCAAAGGTCCTGAGTCTGAACAGAACATGGCATGTGAGGAATGAAGCAGCCTGGCCCTAGGTGAAGCTGAGAAAACCCTGCAGGCCCTTGTAAGCCATAGAGAAGGCTCCGAGACACAAGCTGAGCCATGGTCTACTAGTAAGAACAATAAACCAGACATTTACTCAAAGTTAACTATGTGCCATGCACAATTCTAAGACCTTTACATGTATTAATTTGAATCCTCATGGTATTCTTTTGAAATAAGGACATTTTGGGCCAGATGCAGTGGCTGACGCCTGTAATCTCAGCACTTTGGGGGGCCGAGGTGGGTGGATCATTTGAGGTCAGGAGTTTGAGACCAGCCTGACCAACATGGTGAAATCCAGTCTCTACTAAAAATACAAAAAAATTAGCCAGGCATGGTGGTGCATGCCTGTAGTCCCAATTACTTGGGAGGCTGAGGCAGAAGAATCACTTGAACGTGGGAGGCAGAGGTTGCAGTGAGCCAAGATTGTGCCACTGCACTCCAGCCTGGGCGACAGAGTGAGACTCTGTCTCAAAAAAAAAAAAAAAAATTAAATAAGGATTTTTTTAATCCGCATTTTACAGATGAGGTCAAAAGCAAAATATCTTAATCTAGTTTGCAAGACTTATTGGTTCTCTGCCTGCTCTGTGCTCTGGCAGCCCAGCTTGGTAGAGAAGTAGAAATTAATTGCCTTTATCCAGATAGCACTTCCATTTCACAAATGAGACAACTGATACTTGGAGGAGAGCAGGAGAGCAGCAGCGGAGAGAGAGCAGAACTAAGACCAGCCAGTCAAGGGAGACAGAGGGAGACGAGCATCAGCTCCCTGACAGGGAAGAGTTTTCCAACGGGGCTGTCCGAAGATGAAATGTCCCACCCAGGAAGGAGGGAGCTCTCCATAAGTGCATAAGGAGAGAATGCCCTCGAGATGACTACCAACTCCCATGGGTGTGGACCATCAGAATGAAACAGACCCACTGTGGGACTTCAGCACTCCACCCTTCTGAACCCTGTCTGTGAAATGGGGGTGTTCGTGGTGAGCTTGAGTATTACATGGAAGGTTGGATGGGCATGCTGTAAGGTCCCTGGAGTCTCCGACTCTGTTCCAAGGGTGAGTATTGGTTTTTCTCACCCTGGACACTGGGAGAAGAATGGAGGGCTGTGGCCATCTACTTACGAAAGAATAGGGAGTCACCAGGGTTGAAATGAGAGAGTTGAGATGACGGGAGGCATCGGAATCCCAGGGGATGAGCCTATATGAGCACATAGCAGCCACCCAGGAACAGTTAAATGTTTGGACTCTGGAGACAGACTGCCTGTATTCAAATCCCAACTCTACCACTTGTGGCCTCTGTGACCTTGGGAGGGTGATTTATCCTCTCTGCCTCTGTTTCCTCATCTGTAAGCTGGAGAGTAATAACAGCATGTACTCGGTGGGATTATTGTGAGGATTAAGCAAATTCTTTACACACGAAGCACTTAGCACCATGCCTGGTACTTAGTAAACATCAGCTGTTTTATCTCCATCGGTTCCAGGGAAGGAGGTTATGAGCCCCCAAATGAGCATCTCTGCCCCCAGTAAATGCTTTTCTGAATTCTCTCTCTTTGCCCCCAAGCCCATCACCCTGGTTCTGAGCCAGAGAGATGGAGAGCCCACACTCGCACTGCTAGGCCTGATAGCTTTCTCGATTCCCCAGCGGAGGTGTTATCTCCTCCCGGCACAACCGCTTCCTTTTCTGAGAAATGCAAGTGCATCTGTCAGGCACAGCTTCTTAGAACTAATGGTGGGGGAGGAGGTGGAGGAGGAGAGGCTGGCAGCTGAATTGAACAGGTCAGAGTTGGAGGAAGATAAACATGAAGTTTGTTGTGAGGATACCACCAAATATTCCCTATAGCCCAGATGGCTTGAGCCCTCTATGACACCCCCTGATCTCACCACTACTGCTAGGGAGGTCAAGGCAGGAGAAACTGAGGCTCAGAAGCCAAAAGGCTTGCTGTGGCACCCACCCATACCTGGGCCGGCTGGACTGAGGTGTTGACCCCAACACAGTCTTGCCACCCCTCTCTTTGCCCTGCCTCCACTGAGCTGCTTCTCCAAGTTGCCCACCTCCAGGCCTATGTTTCCGTGGGGGAGAGGAGAAAGGCCATGTTCTTCTCACATCTCGGGAGCCAACAGCTCCCCTGGGAAAACCAGAGGAAGTGGATTCCAACCACAAACCTCACTTCTTCCGAGTCTCCGCCTGCAACTCCCTGCCAAAAGAGTGATAAGGCCTCTCCGTTTGCCCTACCCCCTTCCTACCATCTCCCAGCGATCTTCTAGCAAGGCCATGTTTGTCTATTCAGCACACATTTATCAGCCTCTCCCTCAGGGAAACTGAGGCCAGGAGCATAAGGTGACTCTGCAGGTGACTCACAGCCTGCCAATGCAGGGATGTGAGAAGGACAGAACAAGGTACAGTTCTGGTGTCCCTGGCACTTTTCCTGGCTGCTAGTAGCCTCTTCCTCTTCTCCACCTACCTCTTTCCTGAAATAACCAAGCAGGAAGGAAGCAATGGGCCTGGGCCCTCCAGAGTCACCCAAGAGGAAGGAAGGGTTCGTCTGGCACAGGCATGCTTGTTCCTCACTGAAGCCAGGACGGAAGGGTTTCACTTTCCCTCCTGGTCTTCGTCACATCCTTTTCCTGTGGCACCAGTTCCCCTCAGCTGGCAGGAGCCAGTGCTTATTCATTCAGCTGATGGCCTCAGGCTACTTTACCCTCCTTGACAGACCCAGGGCCATGGCCCTGGCTCAGAATATGGGGTTTGCTGCCAAACATACTGGGGCTTAAAAATGGCTTCCCTTTTTTTTTTTTTTTTTTTGAGACGGGGTCTCATTCTGTCGCCCTGGCTGGAGTGCAGTGGTGCTGTCACAGCTCACTGCAGTTTCAACCTCCCAGCCTCAAGCAATTCTCCCACTTCAGTCTCCTGAGTAGCTGGGACTATAGGTGCATGCCAACACACTCAGCTAAATTTCTAAGATTTTTCTTATAGAGATGGGGGTCCCACCATATTGCCCTGGCTGGTCTCGAACTCCTGAGCTCAAACAGTCTGCCCACCTTGAACTCTCAAAGATGCTGGGATTACAGGTGTGAGCCATCACAGCTAGCTGCCACTTATCCACTTTAGCTAGGTCTCAGTATCTCTGAGCCTCAGGTTACCTGGACTTAGAATGAAGGCCTTCCTCAGCCACAGAAGTACATGGACCTGGCCCATGATTGTCCTTTAGAAACTGAGCAGAGTACTGCATCAACGTTAGGAGTAAAGGCACTGAACCAGATTGCTGGTGTAGGCATCCCAGTTAGGTCACCAGCTCACTACATGGCCTTGAGCAATTCACAGATCATCTGTGGGCCACATATCCATCAGCTATATGGGTTAATGGTAGTACCCACTGACAGAGTGTAGAGACAACTAATGAACTAATCTACAAAAAAACCAAGAAGAGTACCTTACAGAGTATGTGCTCAGGAAGTGTGCGCTGCTGCTGAAGTCACTAAGGAAGTCAGGTTTTCTGTGGGTAGAGATAGCAGGGTCTAAGATGGCAAGATTGGACATCAGAATGAGTGTGAATGAAGTACTATCTTGGATAGATTAAAAGAAAAAGAATGGTGTGAGGCCAGAACTCAGACAGATCCTACTCTTGCCACTTCCTAGATAGGGATCTTGGGTAAATTCTGGAGCCTCCATTTTCACATATGTAAAATGGGGCTATTGATAAATGTTATGAGGATCAAATGAAAGCATTCATTTGTTCTTCTAAAATAGATTTATTTAGAATGGCATCTGCTGTGTTCCAAGTATAGCACACCAGGTTCTAGAGATACAGGTGACAGAGCCACACACAGTCAAGTGGGGGAGACAGGACAAAAAATAATCTCTCAAGTGAATATGATGATTGTACATGTAATTGGGAAATATGGCCTAGTGTGCATAGACTGCTTTATAGCTCAGTGCCCAGCACAGGTGAAACACTGAAATGTTTGGTAATGGTCAGCTGTCATAATAATAGTTTTTTGTTTCTTTGCTTTTATCTTTTGTTTTTTTGAGACAGGGTCTCACTCTGTTGCCCAGGCTGGAGTACAGTGGCCCCAAACATGATTCAATGCAGCCCTGACCTCCCAGGCTCAAAGATCCTCCTCAGCATCCTGAGTTGCTGAGACCATAGATGCATACCACCACACCCAGCTAATTTTTTTTTTTTTTTTAATTTTTTTGTAGAGACAGGGTCCTCCTGTGTTGCCCAGGCTGGTCTCAGACTCCTGGGCTCAAGCAATCCTCCTGCCTCAGCTCCTAAAGTATTTTATTACTGTTAACAAGTAAGGGCTGGGTGCGGTGGCTCATGTCTTTAATCCTAGCACTTTGGGAGGCCAAGGAAGGTGGATCACCTGAGGTCAGGAGTTCCAGACCAGCCTGGCCAACATAGTGGAACCCCACCTCTACTAAAATTACAAAAAATTAGCCAGGTGTGGTGGCGGGTGCCTGTAATCCCAGGCAACTTGGGAGACTAAGGCAGAAGAATTGCTTGAACCTGGGAGGCTGAGGTTGCAGTGAGCCAAGATCATGCCACTGCACTCCAGCCTGGGCAACAGAGTGAGAGGCTATCTCAAAAAAAAAAAAAAAAAAAAAGCAAGGACACCATGGACCAGAGAGGTGAAGTAACCTGCTCAAAGTCACACTACTTGGAAGAAGTGGGAAGGGTGGGCACAGTTGCTCATGCCTATAATCCCAGTACTTTGGAAGACCAAGGTAGGAGGATGAGGCCAGGAGTTTGAAACCACCCTGGGCAATGTAGTGAGACTCCATCTCTCCAAAAATTTACAAGAAAAAAAAAAAGAAGGAAATGTGGGCAGTGAAGCCAGGATGGGAACTAAAAGATCAGATTCAAGTAGGGACTATACTTCAGCCTCTGGCTGGTCCTCTGGCACTTGGGCCCCTTTCCTCAGGGCATCATGCCAACCTTTTCACCTGACTTCTACAGGGTCACAGGCACCTACAAGGTGACCTGCATCGTTCAGTTGGCTGCCTCTGGGCAGAGATCTAGCTGAAGTCAGTCTGTGCCTGTCTGAGTAGGTCCTGGGCCAGACTTGGTCCCTGCCTGCACTGAGCCCCCAGACTGTTGGGGGAAACCAGGCACACAGAGGCCATCAACCCAGGAACACCCCTCCTCTCCCTCCCACCTCAGGGCCTTTGCACTTATTACCTCTGCTAAAACAGGCTTTTTTTTTTTTTTGAGACAGGGTTTTGCTCTTGTTGCCCAGACTGGAGTACAATAATGTGATCTTGGCTCACTGCAACCTCCATCTCCTGGGTTCAAGCAGTCCTCCTGCCTCAGCCTCCCAGGTAGCTGGGATTACAGATGCCTGCCACCACACCCAGCTAATTTTGTATTTTTGGTAGAGACAGGGTTTCACCATGTTGGTCAGGCTGGTCTTGAACTCCTGACCTCAGGTGATCTGCCTGCCTCGGCCTCCCAAAGTGCTGGGATTACAGGTATGAGTCATTGTGCCCGGCTCCCCCAGATATTCTCTGTCACCTCCCCAGGACTTAAAACCCTATCATCTCTAAAATTATCTTTTTTTTTTCTTGTTATCCTCTCTGCTTCCCAGTAAGACAGGGTTTCTCAACCTTTTTTTTTTATCATCCACCCCTGCAAGGAGTCTTTTTCAGATTTTTTTGTCCTAATTGCCCTCCCATGAAATTTGAATACCTCAGCTATACTATACTATATATAGTATATATAGATATAGATATGTATAATATATAATATATAGTATATGTAAAGTATATATATAGTATATACAGTACTATATATACTACATATTGTGTGTATATATATGGTATATATAGTATAGTATAGCTGAGGTATTCAAATTTCATGGGAGGGCAATACCTATATACTATATATACTATATACTCTATATCTCCTTATGTGCTGTGGCCCTGTGGAGAGCCACAAATCACTGTAATGTCTAAGAATGCTTCACTTCACGCCATTGGAGGTGATCTTACCACCATTGAGAATGGACTAGAACATAAGCTCCATGGAAGCCTTGCTCACGGCTGAGTCTCCAATGCCAGCCTCAGTGCATACCCCTGGTATAAACAGAAGTCCAAGGAGTCTGGGAACAGAAAGGAGACATTCATCCCAGAGGTTGGGGAGGGATGAGCAGGGAAGAGGGGACTCCAAAATGGAGTCCTATAGGCTTAGTAGGGGTTGGTTAACTGAGGAAGATATGGAGTGACCAGTTAAAGGACAGTGTTGGCAAAGGCACCAGGGCCTGAAGCACTCAGGAGTATGTAGTGTGGGGCCATTCCAAGTGGGTGGCCAGGACTGTTGAAGCCTCTTGAAGTATTGGAAGAAGGACCTTGAAAGTGATACTAGCCTGGGCATCTCCTAGGGGCCAAGTCAGGAGACCCAGTTTTCTAGTGTAGGCTCTACTACAAACCAGCAGTGGAAACGTAGAATGGGCAGGTGGGTTGGCCTTGCTGACTTCATGGGCCTACCTGGCTAGGAATCCATGACTCTCCTGTGGAGGTCATTAGCCATTGCCTGTCGCCAGTGGCCCTACAAACCCCCACATGGAAGTCAGCTACCCCACTTTCCTCTTAACTCAAGCAGAGGATGCAGACAGGCCCTTGGGCCTGGGTCTCCTAGAAACCTTTGTGACATCAGAGACCTCCCTACAACCCACTCTTAAACCTCATCCCCTGCCTACCATGCCAGCCTGGTTAAAACCAGTGGGAGCCACCCAAGGTGCAGTAGGGGCTTATCTCTGCTTTTCCAGACCAGGGCTGCTCTGCAATCCTGTTTATTTATCCAGAGCAGCCGCCTGCTGAGAAAATGGCTCTGTTTATTTCCAAGTGTGTCGTGTGAACCATGGGCTAAATATACCCACGCCACCGCCTCTCCAGCACCCGCCCTGGAACAGCACGCCCCATTTTGCTCATGCTGTCTCCGCAAAAGCAATCCTTAGAATCCACACCCCTTGGAAATACTACTCCCCTTCCCCAGGAAAAGAAGCTGAAATGGAAATGAAGGTTGTCATGACCAGGAACACATGAGTGGAAGCTGGGGCAGGTGAAATGAGAATGTTTCTATGGCACTGAAATGAGAATGTTCCCTCCACCCAGGAATGACTGTTTCTGGACAGTGAATGCTTTGTGCCCTTGTGGGGACAGCGCCTGTTTACTCCAACCCAGCCCCAGAGCTGAAAATTTCCTGTGGCTGCCAGCCGTCTACTTCAGGAAAGTTCCCATCAAGGGAGCCAGGCCTCTCCCATTTTGGCTGCAACCCCAGTGTCCCTGGTTTCTTGAGAGACATTTGGCCTCTTGGGATAACCAGGGCCTTCTCCTATGCTCTTCATAGTGTGGAACTCTCCCCCATCACAGATAAGCCTATTTTGTGACTCCACCTGGGTGTACTTGGGAGCAACAAAATCAAACCTCCTGTAAGAATATTTTTGTCTGCCAAGACCCGCAGAGGCTAGCTAGGATGGAGAGGGAGACAGGGAAGCATAGCCACGGCCCTAGTGCCCTCCTTTCCCCAGATCCTCCACCTCAACCCTGCTCCCACATTCCTTCTCCTGGAAATCCATCCTTTCAGCACTACTGACAGGACAGGTCCCTCCAGCCTCCAACTTCAGGGAAGTGTCCTGACATAGCAGCCCTCCCTTTGAAGCTAGGCAGTCTTGCAGTTTGATCCCGACTCTGCTATCTGTTTGCTGAGTGTTCCCTGCTTTAAATATCAGGCATCTTATTTGTGAAATGTGGCTCAAATCTACATCTCAGGATTCTGATGAAGATGAAATGGGATACCAATGCCTGACATGTAGTAGACATGCAATACATTTGTTAACTCATGTATTCTCATGTATTTACAGAGCAAGACACTGTTCTGAGCACTGGGTGTATAGGAACGAGACAGGACCTCTGCCCTCATCAAGACACATCTAGTATAGGCCGAGGGCAGTGGCTCACGCCTATAATCCCAGCACTTTGGGGCTGAAGAGGGCAGATCACTTGAGGTCAGGAGTTTGAGACCAGCCTGGTTAACATGGTGAAACCCCATCTCTACTAAAAATACAAAAATTAGCTAGGCGTGGTGGCAGGCGCTACTCGGGGGGCTGAGGCAGGAGAATGGCTTGAACCCGGGAGGCGGAGGTTGCAGTGAGCCAAGATTGCACCACTGCACTCCAGCCTAGGTGACAGAGCAAGTCTTCGTCTAAAAAAAAAAAAAGACACATCTAGTATGGAAGACACATCACAACAAAAACAAAGTACAGAATCTAGTTATGAGAAGTACAGCTTAATGGGGGAAAAATGTGGTGAGGTGGTGAGGCCGGGCATGGTGGCTCACGCCTGTAATCTCAGCACTTGGGAGGCTGAGGCAGAAGGATCCCTTGAGCCCAGGAGTTTGAGACCAGCCTAGGCAACAAAGTGAGACCCTGTCTCTACAAAAAATTTAGAAATATTAGCCAGGCATGGTGGTGTGTGCCTGTAGTGTGGCAGCTACTCAGGAGGCTGGGGCAGGAGGATCATCTGAGCCCAGGAGGTCAAGGCTGCAGTGAGCCATGATTGCGCCACTACAGTCTAACCTGAGTAACAGAGTGAGACACTGTCACAAAAATTTAAAAATTAAAAAATAAAGCACTGAGAAGAAAAGCTGGCATGGTGGTCATTCTGTGTAGTGTAGTTCCTGTAATCAGGAGGCTGAGGCAGGAAGATTGCTTGAGTCCAGGAGTTCAAAGTCAGTCTGGGCACATCTTTTAAAAACAAGAAAAAAAAAATGGTGGCTGGGCATGGTGGCTCATGCCTGTAATCCCAGCACTTTGGGAGGCCGAGGTGAGCAGATCACCTGAGGTCAGGAGTTTGAAACCAGCCTGACCCAACGTGGAGAAACCCCGTCTCTACTAAAAATACAAAATTAGCCAGGTGTGGTGGCACGCGCCTGTAATCCCAGCTACTTGGGAGGCTGAGGCAGGAGAATCGCTTGAACCTGGGAGGCGGAGGTTGCAGTGAGCTGAGATCGCGCCATTGTACTCCAGCCTGGGCAACAAGGGTAAAACTCTGTCTCCAAAAAAAAAAAAAAAAAGGCCAGATATGGTGGCTCGTGCCTGTAATCCCAGCACTTTGGGAGGCCGTGGGCGGATCACTTGAGGTCAGGAGTTTGAGACCAGCCTGGCCAATATGGCAAAACCTTATCTCTACTAAAAATATAAAAATTAGCTGGGCATGGTGGCACATGTCTGTAATCCCAGCTACTCAGGAGAATCGCTTGTACCCAGGAAGCAAAGGTTGCTGTGAGCCCAGTTTGTGCCACTGCACTCCAGCCTGGGGGACAGAATAAAACTGTGTCTCAAAAAAAAAAAAAACTGAGAAGAAAAATCAAGGAAGGTAAGGGGACAGGCAGAGAGAGACGGGGGTGGTGTACTGTTTTAGACAAGGCAGTCAGGGAAGGCCTCCCCTAGGAGGTGACATTTGAGGGGAGTCATGGTTGTGAAATGAGGGAGTGAGGCAGGCGACGACCTGGGGTCAGGTGCTCCAGGCAAGCAGGAACAGCAGACTCCTGCGGCAGGAGACGTTGGAGGAACAGCAAGGAGGCCAGTGGGACTGGAGTGAAGTTCAGGGGACAGGGGTGGGGAGGAGGCCAGAAAGTGTTGGAGCCAGATCCCACTAGACCTTGCTGGCCAGAGTAAGGAGTGGGGACTTTATTTCAGGTGTGATGGAAGCCCTGGGAAGGTTGAGAACTTGGAGTGACTGAATGGAGTGTGCTTCTGCAAGGGCTGAGATTCATGGGTCACTGCTCTCTACTGCCTTAATGTTGAGGATTCCTTCAGTCAAATTAGCAGCTCAGTGCACATGGCATTTTGCTAGGTACCAGGGATACAAAAATAAATGATGCTGCCCTTCTAAGTGCAGGAGAATGCTGCTGGAGGGCTTCCAGTGTTCTTAGAAAGCTCTGTGTGGAGCATGGACTGAGGGGGTTGTCAAGACTGGAAGTGGGCCACGGCAGGGGTCACAAGTGAGCAAATTGATAGGTGAGACCTGAGGCCAACTGGAGATGGCATGCCTGTCTTGAGGGAGCAGCCACTCGGCCATTTGGGACTGGTTGGAAATGTAGGCCCAGTGTGGCAGAGGTCTTGGTAGAGAGGCAAGAACCAGCCAGTAACTCATTCATTTTACACACACACACACACACACACACACACACGGTACTATGGTACTTCCTTTTTTTTTTTTGAACGGAGTCTCTGTCACCCAGACTGGAGTGCTGTGGTGCGATTTCTGCTCACTGCAACCTCCGTCTCCCGGGTTCAAACAATTCTCGTGCCTCAGCCTCCTGAGTAACTGGGATTACAGGTGCGTGCCACCACACCCGGCTAATTTTTGTATTTTTAGTAGAGACAGGGTTTCACCATGTTGGCCAGGCTGGTCTCGAACTCCTGACCTCAGGCAATCCACCCACCTCAGCCTCCCAAAGTGCTGGGATTATAGGCATGAGCCACCGCACCCAGCCTGGAACTTACTTCTTTCTTACATATTTCTAGGTGCCAGATGCCAGTTTTAGATTCTGGCTCCACCACTGACACAGCTGGGTGACCTTGATCCAGTCCCTGGACCCTCAGAGGCACAGCTTCTTGGCCTGTAAATGGGGAGAGACAGCCTGCATTGCAGAATTGTTGGGAGGATTAAAGGACAAATTGGGTACTACGCTTACTCATAAAAGTTATGTTCTAAGCGTCCTTCTCCCTGCCCCACAGGCTGCTGCACCCTGGGCTGGGTAATTTAGCCCACAGCTCCTCCTTCCCCCTGTCATGTGCTTCCCTTCTGACTTAGATTCAGGGCAGAGGGCTGTTGATCACAACCTCCTGGGCCCAGAGTCACACCCCCTGCAGTGGAGGATGTCCGGGACAAGGCCTCACAGACCCCGTGATGGAGGCCTGTCAGTCCTGCATCATTGTTACCCTCTCTCCTCTGCCCTGCTCTTCTTGTCACCAACCTGCCCACCAGAGGCTCCCTCCAGAGGGAGGAGCCTCTGGCTGAAGTCCCAGGACCCATTCTACCCCTGAATTGGCCTCAAATGACCCTGGGGATTTAGCCCTGGGCTTCCTTATCCCTCCCTCTGGTGCAGCAGTAGAAAATCTGAGGCCTAGTGGCTCCACACTCCACACTACCCTCAGACTCAACTCTAGGCTCCTTGCGGCTTCCAGGCCACGTATGGTCTGGCTCTTGCTCACCCCTGCACCATCATCTCCCCCATGCCCTCCTCTCCTGCACTCTGCTCCAGCCACCTGGCTTCCATCAGTTCCCTGACCCTGCCCATCTCGTTCCCACCTTGGATTCTGGAGTAAGTGCTACTTCTTGACTTACCTCAGACAGGGCACTTTCCTCCTCTCTACCTGTTTCTCAGCAGTAACATGGTTTGATTATCACCAATGGAGGGTCAAGAAAGAGGACCACCCTTAGCCCTTTACCTGGCCCAGAGTGGGCACAGATGGCTACAGTTTTTCACATCACCAAGGCCATAGCATGCAGATGGCCCCTTTCCCCACCCACCTACATCACTCTCTGAGGACTAAAACTGCACCTTCCTTCTCTCTCCCTGCAGGATACTTTTGTGGAACTCTATGGGAACAATGCAGCAGCCGAGAGCCGAAAGGGCCAGGAACGCTTCAACCGCTGGTTCCTGACGGGCATGACTGTGGCCGGCGTGGTTCTGCTGGGCTCACTCTTCAGTCGGAAATGACCAGACACTGACCATCCACTCTACCCTCCCACCCCCTTCTCTGCTCCACCACATCCTCCGTCCAGCCGCCATTGCCACCAGGAGAACCACTACATGCAGCCCATGCCCACCTGCCCATCACAGGGTTGGGCCCAGATCTGGTCCCTTGCAGCTAGTTTTCTAGAATTTATCACACTTCTGTGAGACCCCCACACCTCAGTTCCCTTGGCCTCAGAATTCACAAAATTTCCACAAAATCTGTCCAAAGGAGGCTGGCAGGTATGGAAGGGTTTGTGGCTGGGGGCAGGAGGGCCCTACCTGATTGGTGCAACCCTTACCCCTTAGCCTCCCTGAAAATGTTTTTCTGCCAGGGAGCTTGAAAGTTTTCAGAACCTCTTCCCCAGAAAGGAGACTAGATTGCCTTTGTTTTGATGTTTGTGGCCTCAGAATTGATCATTTTCCCCCCACTCTCCCCACACTAACCTGGGTTCCCTTTCCTTCCATCCCTACCCCCTAAGAGCCATTTAGGGGCCACTTTTGACTAGGGATTCAGGCTGCTTGGGATAAAGATGCAAGGACCAGGACTCCCTCCTCACCTCTGGACTGGCTAGAGTCCTCACTCCCAGTCCAAATGTCCTCCAGAAGCCTCTGGCTAGAGGCCAGCCCCACCCAGGAGGGAGGGGGCTATAGCTACAGGAAGCACCCCATGCCAAAGCTAGGGTGGCCCTTGCAGTTCAGCACCACCCTAGTCCCTTCCCCTCCCTGGCTCCCATGACCATACTGAGGGACCAACTGGGCCCAAGACAGATGCCCCAGAGCTGTTTATGGCCTCAGCTGCCTCACTTCCTACAAGAGCAGCCTGTGGCATCTTTGCCTTGGGCTGCTCCTCATGGTGGGTTCAGGGGACTCAGCCCTGAGGTGAAAGGGAGCTATCAGGAACAGCTATGGGAGCCCCAGGGTCTTCCCTACCTCAGGCAGGAAGGGCAGGAAGGAGAGCCTGCTGCATGGGGTGGGGTAGGGCTGACTAGAAGGGCCAGTCCTGCCTGGCCAGGCAGATCTGTGCCCCATGCCTGTCCAGCCTGGGCAGCCAGGCTGCCAAGGCCAGAGTGGCCTGGCCAGGAGCTCTTCAGGCCTCCCTCTCTCTTCTGCTCCACCCTTGGCCTGTCTCATCCCCAGGGGTCCCAGCCACCCCGGGCTCTCTGCTGTACATATTTGAGACTAGTTTTTATTCCTTGTGAAGATGATATACTATTTTTGTTAAGCGTGTCTGTATTTATGTGTGAGGAGCTGCTGGCTTGCAGTGCGCGTGCACGTGGAGAGCTGGTGCCCGGAGATTGGACGGCCTGATGCTCCCTCCCCTGCCCTGGTCCAGGGAAGCTGGCCGAGGGTCCTGGCTCCTGAGGGGCATCTGCCCCTCCCCCAACCCCCACCCCACACTTGTTCCAGCTCTTTGAAATAGTCTGTGTGAAGGTGAAAGTGCAGTTCAGTAATAAACTGTGTTTACTCAGTGAACAAAGAGCCTGGGCTCTTGTGTGCTCCGGGATGGGGAAAGGAGGGGCCGCTGGAGAGCTGGGTACTGGTCCTGGCTCTGCTGCCCTCAGGGGAGGGCCTTGGACAAGTCCTTCCTTCCTTCTGGGCCTGAATTTATCCACCTGTACGGTGACAGGGTTTTACTGGGTACATGCTGTGTGCTGGGCACTGGGGCTGCATGTGAACAGGACAGACACAGTCTCTGCCCTCAGGAGCTGACATTCTAGTGGGAGACACAGCCACTTGGCAAGTGTTTACTGAGCTCTGCTCTACACAGACATAGTCCTGGGCACTGGGGACTTCTTCAAACAAAACCTTTGCCTTTACAAGCATTCATTCTAGTGGAAGAGACAGACATAAGCACGGCTCTAGCTGCTGTAGGGTGTGGGGGAAAGGTGTGATGCCTTTCCTCACCCATCAGAAGGTTCTGTGACTGACATTCCTATAACAAAAGAAAAACAAAGTGGCAGTTCACACCCTGTAATCTCAATACTTTGCGGGTGGGGGATGGGTTGCTTAAGGTCAGGAGTTCAAGATCAGCCTGGGCAACAAAGTGAGACCCTGTCTCTACAAAAAAATTTTTAAATTAGCCAACCCAGCAAGGCCAGTCCAGATTCTTCTTGGCCTCTGTGTAGCATTCCTTCCTCTCCTGTACAGGAGACAAGACATAGGTCAGAGTATTTATTTGTTTTTTAAGAGGGTCTTGCCCCGTCACCCAGGCTGGAATGCAGTAGTGTGATAGATAACTGCAGCTTCAAATTCCTGGGCTCAAGTGATCCTCCTGCCTCAGTCTCTTGAGCAGCTGAAATTACATGTGAGTGCCACCAAGCCTGGCTAATTTTCAAATTTTTTTTTGTAGAGATGGGGATCTTGTTATGTTGCCCAGGCTGGTCTCGAACACCTAGCCTCCAGTGATCCCCATGCCCAGCCGAGAATTTGTGGCCAGCTTCTACACAGTAGAGCAGAGGAAGGTTACAGTAATATTTCTGTGTTTTAGCGGATCACGAGGTCAGGAGATCAAGACCATCCTGGCAAACACAGTGAAACCCCGTCTCTACTAAAAATACAAAAAAAAATTAGCCGGGCGTGGTGGTGGGCGCCTGTAGTCCCAGCTACTCGGGAGGCTGAGGCAGGAGAATGGCGTGAACCCGGGAGGCGGAGCTTGCAGTGAGCCGAAATCGCGCCACTGCACTCCAGCCTGGGCGACAGAGCAAGACTCCGTCTCAAAAAAAAAAAATATATATATATATATGTGTGTGTGTGTATATATATATATATGTGTGTGTGTGTGTGTGTGTGTGTATGTGTGTGTATATATATGTGTATATATATGTGTATATATATGTATATATGTGTATATATATGTATATATATGTGTGTGTGTATATATATATATATATTTCTGTGTTTTATGAGTTGCTTTGGGGAGAGGAGTTCTAGTTTCTATGACCCACCTTGGGGAAGAGGAATGAATGCTAGTTTCTGTTACTTGCTTCAGGGGAGAAAGAGAAATGGGAGACAGCAAGGCAGGAGAAAGTCAGAGATCTTGTTTCTGAGGCCTTTCAGCCTCCTTTAGTTCAAAGTATTCGGTATGCCAAAGTGCCATACTTTGGGGTATTGTTTTCTAAGCCCCAGTAAGGGCAAAGGAGGAAAAAGCAACGACCATGAGGAAGCGGTTTGGTCTTCTACCAAGACATGAAGGACTTAGTAGAGAAGGAGGTAAGAAGGGGTCAGACTTCAGATTTTTAAGGCACATCCCACAGGATTTCAGATGGAGTAGAGATAGCTTCAGAGAGACTCAAGGATGACAGATTTTTAGAATAGTGATGCCATTATAGATACAAAAATGAAGTGCATGTTTGAAGCCAGTGCAACCCAAGAGACTCATAGTAAGTGCGATCTGAGCTCGTCTGGGAATCAGGAGTCAGGGAGGGCTCCCTGGAGGAATTGACATGAGAGCCAGGGCCTGAAGAGTGCATCACGGTTAACTTAAAATTAAGTGGGGAGGCAGGAGAGTGGGCCTGGGGAAGAAGCAGTAAATGCACCAGATGAGCAGGCATTGTCTTCAGGCTGAAAAGCTGGTGTGTCCAGAGCTAAGAGAGAGGGCGCTGCTGGGTTTAAGATGATGACAGAGGGTGGGGTGAGAGGACTGAACTTGATCCTGAGGGCAGTGACAGCCAGAGAAAGGTGGTAAGTTAGGGAGTGATACAGCCCGAGAGCCCCCAAAACTCTGGCTGATGGGTGGAGAAGGTTCCGGAGGGGAAGCAGAGTGGAAACAAGGAGATCAGTGAGGAAGCCATGGTTTCATGAATGCTCCGGTTTTGAGGATGGACAGCCAGATTTGTGTCCCGGGTCGTCATTTCTCGAGCCGTGGCTTCCAGTGAGTGAGTTACCTACTCTCTCTGTGCCCCAGCTTTCCCCTCTACAAAATGGGTGTGATGGGCAATTGAATGAGATAACCTAGAAGCAGTGGAGGAGGACTGGATGTTGAGGGTGACCGCGGGGATGGACTCGGCATTCCCCCGGGCTCTCCAGGAGAAGAGAGGAGGTGCTGCACTCTCGGAGTCCCGCGTGGCCGCGTCCAGCGGTCCAGGAGGGGTCTGGGAAAAGCGGTCAGGAGCTCCAGCTGGAGGGCAGGCCTGGAGGTGGGACATGCCCCAGGCGCCCCGCCCCGCCCCGCCCCGCCCGCTTTTCGGAGTGGGCTTCACTGCCCCCTGGTGGCCACAGGATGCGACCTGAGAGCCAGCCCCAGCTCAAGCTGCTCCCGCTCAGTGCACACGACCTCTCTCGCCGGGGGGCCACTTTCCCCAATGTCCTCCATCCTCTACCCTACTCACCAGAAAAACAGCTACACTTCCAACCCTTAGGTACTGGATTCAGAGCTTGTATGGGCTCTCTGGAGCTTAGAATCGCCATCTTGTTTGGTTCAAGACCAAAGCCTCCAGCCTCCCACTCACGCCTTCCCCCACGATGTGTCCTCAGCTCCTGCCCCTAGCCATAGCCGTTCAAGTCCCTTCCTCACATTCTCCATGTGCTTCCAGAAATGTCTTCACTCGCTCTTTTATTTATTTATTTATTTATTTTTTATTTTTTGAGAGAGGGTCTCACTCTGTTGCCCAGGCTGGAGTGCAGTGGCCTGATCATAGCTCACTGCAGCCTCGACTTCCTGGGCTCAGGTGATCCTCCCACCTCAGCCTCCCACTGTGACTACAGGAGCACGCCACCATACCCGGCTAATTTTTTTGTATTTTTGCAGAGACAGGGTTTTGCCATGTTGCCCAGGCTGGTCTCGAACTCCTGGTCTCAAGCCATCACTTGGCCCCGGCCTCCCAAAGTGCTGGGATTACAGGCGTGAGCCACTGTGCCCAGCCCAGAAACATTTTTTCACATATTGGCACAGATATATATTTTGATCCTCCACTAATTTTTTACACAAATAGTAACATACTAAACACACTTTCCCTTGCTTTTTCCACCTGCATACTGTATCTTGTAGAGGTTTTTTTTTTTCTTTGAGACAGAGTCTCCTTCTGTCGCCCAAGCCGAAAGTGCAGTGGCATGATCTCGGCTCACTGCAACCTCCACCTTCCCGGTTCGAGAATTGCAATCTCCACCTTCTGGGTACAAGCAATTCTCCTATCTCAGCCTCCCAAGTAGCTGTGACTACAGGCGCACAACACCACGCCCAGCTAATTTTTGTGTTTACCCGACCTCAGGTGATCCATCCACCTTGGCCTCCCAAAGTGCTGGGATTACAGGCTTGAGCCACCTAGCCCAGCCTTGTAGAAGTTTCCATATTCACACATGAATCCCCATGTACTCACCAGGCAGTTTCAACAATTACCAACTGATGTCAACTTTATTCTTTTTTTCTAGCTGTGTGGTATTCCACAAGTTTTTAACCAGACCGCTCAGTGATTCCCAACTTTATATATTGCCATGGAACATGCTTGGAATTGCACAAAGGGAAAGCTGGAGGGGGTTTGGGACTCTCTATGTGGTTCTTGGTGAAAAACTCATTCAATTTCCATATATTACATATTTATGATGAAAGAAATGAAATATATTTCATAGAGAAAATATGAAGTTTTATCTTTGATTAAAACATCTAAATACATAAAATATTTTAAAATTTTTTCTTTAAAAACTTGACTTTGGTCCTGTAAATGCAACTTTTTATATGAGGTTTTATTATTGAAATGGCTCGGCCGGGCACGGTAGCTCACGCCTGTAATCCCAGCACTTTGGGAGGCTGAGGTTGGCGGATCATGAGGTCAGGAGTTCGAGACCAGAGCCTGGCCAGCATGGTGAAACCCCATCTCTACTGAAAAAAAAAAAAACAGAAAAAATTAGCCAGGAATGGTGGCGTGGTGGCGTGTGCCTGTAATCCCAGCTACTCTGGAGGCTGAGGCAGGAGAATTGCTTGAACCCAGGAGGCGGAGGTTGCAGTGAGCCGAGGTTGTGTCACTGCACTCCAGCCTGGGTGACAGAGCGCAACTCCGTCTCAAAAAAAAAAAAAAAAAAAAAAAGAGAAAGAAAGAAAGAAATGGCTCACGCAGGGCTCAGCATGGTGGCTTATGCCTGTAATCCCAGCACTTTGGGATGCCGAGGTGGGAGGATCGCTTGGGCCCAGGAGTTGGAGACCAACCTGGCAACATGGTGAGATCACTTGAACCCGGGTGAAACCCCATCTCTACTAAAAATACAAAAATTAGCTGGGCGTGGTGGCCCACATCTGTAGTCCCAGCTACTCGAGAGGCTGAGGCAGGAGAAATGCTTGAAACAGGGAAGCAGAGGTTGCAGTGAGCTGAGATTGTGCCACTGCACTCCAGCCTGGGCCACAGAGCAAGACTCTATCTCAAAAAAAAAAAAAAAAAAAAAAAAAAACAGAAAAAAGGAGACATTATAATCTCAAGTAGGAAATAAGAGAAAAATGTAAGCCATTCCAAAGCTTACTATTGAAATTATATTTAAACATTCTAATAGCTCTTCCTTTCTATAACTGACAAATTAATGTCAATATTTCTTGTATTCAGTTGGATTTGAAATCAATCCAAATGTACGTTTTCATTTTGAATATTTTAAAATAATGAGTTCAGAAAACAGGAAAAGATATAAATCTTTTAAACTCTTCTTTCTTTCTTTACCATTATAACTGTTATTAAAACTGGGCAAGGCTGCCGGGTGCAGTGGCTCACGCCTGTAATCCCAGCACTTTGGGAGGCCAAAACAGGTGGATCACGAGGTCAGGGGATCAAGACCATCCTGGCTAACACGGTGAAACCCCGTCTCTACTAAAAATACAAAAAAATTAGCTGGGCGTGGTGGCGGGCGCCTGTAGTCCCAGCTACTCGGGAGGCTGAGGCAGGAGAATGGCATGAACCTGGGAGGCAGAGCTTGCAGTGAGCCGAGATCGTGCCACTGCACTCCAGCCTGGGTTACAGAGGGAGACTCCATCTCAAAAAACAAAACAAAACAAAACAAAAAAAACTGGGCAAGGCTGTACAGCACCAAGGAAGAGAGAGGAAGGAAGGAAAGAAGGGAGAGAGTGAGGGAAACACAGAAGGAAAGAAGGAAGAAAGGAAGGAAAAGAAAGGGAATTATTGGTCACTATTACTTATGAACATGTATGCCAAAGTTATAATATTAATAAACCAAACCTAATATTAACAAACAACATAATATTAAAAGAATAATATATCACAACCTGTAGGGTTTATTCCAGGTAAACAAGATTGACTACATATAGGAATTTTTTCTTTTTGCTTTCTTTTTTTTTTTTGAGACGGAGTCTCACTCTGTAGCCCAGGCTGGAGTGCAGTAGCGCCATCTTGGCTCACTGCAACCTCTGCCTCCAAAGTTCAAGTGATTCTCCTGCCTCAGCCTCCCAAGTAGCTGGAATTACAGGCATGCACCACCATGCCAGGCTAATTTTTGTATTTTTAATAGAGACAGGGTTTCACCATGTTTGCCAGGCTGGTCTTGGACTCTTGACCTCAAGTGATCCGCCTGCCTTGGCCTCCCAAAGTGCTGGAATTACAGACGTGAGCCACCGCACCCAGCCAAGAAATTTATCTATGTAATTTATTGTATTGAAAAATTAACAAAGAAAATGCTTATGATTATTTCAGGAGATATGAAAATAGTATTTTGTAAAATTCAACACCTGTTCATTTTTTTCTTTTTTTTTGAGATGGAGTCTCGCTCTGTTGCCCAGGCTGGAGTGCAGTGGTGCCATCTTGACTCGCCACAGTCTCCACGTCCCAAGTTCAAGTGATTCTCCTGACTCAGCCTCCTGAGTAGCTGGGATTACAGATGCCCGCCACCACGTCCAGCTAATTTTTGTATTTTTAGTAGCAACGGGGTTTCGCTATGTTAGCGAGGCTGGTCTCGAACTCCTGACCTCCGGTGATCTGCCTGCCTCGGCCTCCCAAAGTGCTGGGGTTACAGGCATGAGCCACGGTGCCCAGCTAACACCTGTTCATGATTTATTAAATTTAAAAAAAAAAAGCTTTTTAGCCAGCTTTCACTTCTTTATAGTCTTCTGGGTCTATAGAAGTTTAAGATAATAATTTTGTGTATTGCTTGTGCAATGTTTTTTTTTTTTAAATAGAGACAGGGTTTCCTTATGTTGCCCAGGCTGGTCTGGAACTCCTGGGCTCAAATGATCCTCCTGCCTCAACCCCCCAAAGTTTAGGGATTACAGATGTGAACCACTGTGCCTGGTTCACTTGTGCAATTTTTAAAAATTGACAAATCACGCAGAAAAACCAGCAACTTATGTCATGATCAAATTTATTACATAGGCCAGGTGTGGTGGCTCACACCTGTAATTCCAGCAGTTTGGGAGGCTGAGGTGGGCAGATTGTTTGAACCCAGGAGTTCCAGACCAGCCTGGGCAACATGGCAAAACCCCGTCTTTACAAAAAAATACAAAAATTAGCTGGGCATGGTGGCACGTGCCTGTATTCCCAGCTAATAGGGAGCCTGAGGTGAGATAATCGCTTGAGACCAGAAGGTTGAGGCTGCAGTGAGCTGTGATCACATCACTGAACTCCAGCCTGGATGACAGAGCAAGACCCTGACTCAGAAAATAAAATAAAATCGACTGGCCGCGGTGGCTCTCGCCTGTAATTCCAGACTTTGACAGGCTGAGGCGGGCAGATCACTTGAGGTCAGGAGTTTGAGACCAGCCTGGCCAACATGGTGAAATCCCATTTCTACTAAAAATACAAAAAAAAATTAGCTAGGTGTGGTGGCGCGCACCTGTAATCCCAGCTACTCTGGAGGCTGAGGCAGGAGAATCGCTTGAACCCAGGAGGTGGAAGTTGCAGTGACCTAAGATCACGCCATTGCACCCCAGCCTGGGTGACAGAGCTAGAGGCTGTCTCAAAAAAAAACAAAAAACAAAAAAAAAAAACACACACACACACACAAAGTACAATAAAATAATGTATTACATAATGCCCAGCTTTCTATTTTTCTATCTCTACCATCATAGCCTTTGTCATGAGGCAAAAATAACAAGAACTATTTCTTACTATATAGAAAATAATAGAAATGGGCCATGCGTGGTGGCTCGTGCCTGTAATCCCAGCACTTTGGGAAGCCAAGGCGGGCAGATCACCCGAGGTCAGGAGTTCAAGACCAGCCTGGCCAACATGGCAACATGGTGAAACCCCATCTCTACTAAAAATACAAAAAAATTAGCTGGGCATGGTGGTGGGTATCTGTAATCCCAGCTACTCGGGAGGCTGAGGCAGGAGAATCACTTGAACCCAGGAGGCAGAGGTTGCAGTGAGCCGAGATTGCGCCATTGCACTCCAGCCTGAGCAACAATAGCAAAACTCCGTCTCAAAAAAAAAAAAGGAAAGAAAGAAAAAGAAAATAATAGAAATGGCTGGGCATAGCCAAGTGCGGTGGCTCACGCCTGTAATCCCAGTACTTTGGGAGGCAGAGGTGGGCAAATCACCTGAGGTCAGGAGTTCGAGACCAGCCTGACCAACATGGAGAAACCCCGTCTCTACTAAAAACACAAAATTAGCCAGGCGTGGTGGTGCATGCCTGTAATCCCAGCTACTCGGGAGGCTGAGGCAGGAGGATCGCTTGAACCCAGGAGGCAAAAGTTGCAGTGAGCAAAGATCACACCATTGCACTCCAGCCTGGGCAACAAGAGCAAAACTCCATCTCGAAAAAAATAAAATAAATAAATAAAAATCAAAGAAGACCTACATTTATATAGATCATATATGTTCATTTCTTTCTTTCTTTTTTTTTGAGACAGAGTCTCGCTCTGCCGCCCAGGCTAGAGTGCAGTGGTGCATCCTGGCTCACTGCAACCTCTGTCCCCTGGGTTCAAGTGATTCTCCTGCCTCAGCCTCCCGAGTAGCTGGGACTACAGGTGCCTGCCACCATGCCCAGCTAAATTTGTATTTTTACTAGAGACAGGGTTTCACCATGTTGGCCAGGCTGGTCTCGAACTCCTGACCTCAGGCGATTCGCCAGCCTTGGCCTACCAAGTGCTAGTATTACAGGCGTGAGCCACTGCGCCTGGCCTGATTTTTAATTAATATGCACAAACTCACATGAGAATTCTGACCATGTTGAGTATTCTCTCCTGAATTATTTAAGCCATCTCATTTCAATAAATTCACATATAAATAATTAGTTTTAATAATTTCATTATAGAGAGTCTTGTGAATTCTTGAAGTTCTTAAATGAAATTTAAATGGCCATATTACGAACTGTTAACAAGTCAATGTTAAAATTTGAGGAACTCATTTTTAAAATACTAAGATACCAAGAATGTGGACATAAAGCAAGAAAAAGTTTTTCTGAATATGAAATAGAAAATAATATAAACATAACATAGTGGCCTGGCCAACGAGATGGTTTGTAAATTTGTTGCTGAATAGGAAATGACCAGTACCCACGTCAACAAGTGCCCACGTCAGGCTCTAATTGCACTGATGTAAAAAACAAGCCAGGCATGGTGGCTCATGCCTGTAATCCCAGCACTTTGGGAGGCCAAGGTGGGCGGATCACCTGAGGTGAGGAGTTCCAGACCAGCCTGGCCAACATGGTGAAACCCCGTCTCTGGTAAAAATACAAAAATTAGCTGGGCGTGGTGGCAGGTGCCTGTAGTCCCAGCTACTCAGGAGGCTGAGGCAGGAGAATCACTTGAACCCAGGAGGTGGAGGTTGCAGTGAGCCAAGATCACACCATTGCACTCCAGCCTGGGCAACAAGAGCAAAAACTCCATCTCGAAACAAACAAACAAACAAAAAGCTGGACGTGGTGGCTTATGCCTATAATCCCACTTTGGGAGACTGACGCAGGAGGATTGCTTCAGCCCAGGAGTTTGAGACCAGCCTGGGCAACATACCAAGACTCCATCCCTACAAAAAAAAAAACTTAAAAAACAAACAAACCTCCCCCAGAAATAACTGCTATGATTGCACTGTAAAAATAATAATAATAAATTAAAATAATGATAGGGCTGTAGTTTACAAACCATTTATGAAGTGGAACATCCCTCCGCAGCTGTTTGGCTGTCCCCAAAAGGGTATATCAATCTTACCTGAACTTTGTGCCAAGCTCTCTGGGCACCTGGAAAACAAACTGTAGAGGGTAGGTGGATGGCCATTCTCCACAGCTGACCACTACAGTAGAGGTCCAGAAACGAAGAGGCCAACCGTGGCCAAGCTCAGCTCATGCTGGTGGAGCAGCAGGGGACCAGAGAAAGGATAGTGTAATGGTTTGGAGCAGGACCCTGAAACGAGACTGCCCAGGGGAGGCAGGTGCCCTTGGACAAGTGACGTAACCTCTCTGTTCCTGAGTTTTTTGCCTAAAAAATAGGGGTGCTAATCATACCTACTTCATGAGGTAGTTACACAGGTTTAATGCTCGTAAAGTGCTTAAGGATGGTATCTGGCACTGTAAGTACTATTTTTTTTTTTTTTTTTTTTTGAGACGGAGTCTCTCTGTCGTTCAGGCTGGAGTGCAGTGGTGCCATCTCGGCTCACTGCAAGCTCCGCCTCCCGGATTCATGCCATTCTCCTGCCTCAGCCTCCCACAGAGCTGGGACTACAGGTGCCCGCCACCTTGCCCGGCTAATTTTTTTGTATTTTTTAGTAGAGACGGGGTTTAACCGTGTTAGCCAGGATGGTCTCGATCTCCTGACCTTGTGATCCGCCCACCTTGGCCTCCCAAAGTGCTGGGATTACAGGTGTGAGCCACCGTGCCCGGCTGTAAGTACTATTTTTTATAGTAACTACTATAAATTGTATCAGACTGTGCTGCCAAACCACCACCAAGCTCTGCCTTAGTGTAGATTTCCCCCAAAAGCAAAGCCTAGAATAAAGATTCAGGGGCAAATGATTTAAGTGGGGAAGTGACACAAGGAAGGACAGGCAGCCAATATAGGGTGTAATAATGAGTAAGCTGCCACTCCAGGCAATGGGGCTCCTCCACCAGGGCATCCTTTGAAAAACCCGTGGAACACTGCTCAAAATTCTATCACTGAGGGAAAAGAACACCAAGGTGTTTATCCACCAACTCATCCCTCATTGGCTGAGGAGGGCTGCTTCAGGACTTTCTCCTTGACGTTTGGCATTTCCTGCCTGCCCCATGCTTGGTCAAAAACACACAGGTGGCTGTTCCCTTTAATGAGAACTGTCCACCAAAGCTTCAGAGAGCATCCTGCAGGCACATTGCCCACAGCGTCTGCCACAAGTTGTGATAATTTGTAGCACTCCAGGTGGAACAATTTGGTAGTTCTCAACTTCTGTTGTTACTGTTTTTGTTTTTGGAGACAGGGTCTGTTCTATTGCCCAGGCTGGAGCGCAGTGACATGATCGTGACTTACTGCAGCCTTGACTTCCCAAATTTGAGGATCCTCCCACCTCAGCCTCCCAAGTAGCTGGGACCACAGGCATGCACCACCATGCCCGGCTAATATTTTTTTATTTGTAGTAGAGACAAGGTCTCACTATGTTGCCCAGGCTTTAACTCCTGCTAATCCAAACAATACTGCAATCCATCATTTTGCATATATGCACATGTATCCACAGGGTACATCCCTAAAAGTAGAATTGCTGGGCCAAAGGGTGTATACATTAGTCATTTTGATGGATACAGTCCAATCAGGCAGCCTATGAAATCGCCTGTCCTCTGCACTCTTGCCAACATTCGTGTTAACACTCTGATCCTTGTCAATCTGGTAGATGAAAAAATAGTACTCATACTTTAAAATTTCATTTTTAAAAATCTAATTGAGGTTGGCATCTTTTCATGTATTTGAAAGCCATCTGTACTCCTAATAAGTTAATGAATCTACACAATGACCAATGAAAGCTGCTAATGCTACACAAAGACAACCAGGCGTCATGTGCTGCCTGCCAAGAGAACACAGCACACCCATAAAATATTCTTGCCAAAAAAATCAAGCGTGAGTCTAAGCTTCTAAATGTAATCACCATTTACAGAAAACAACGGGGACAGAGGGGCATAATAAGAGACACATGGGATTGCAATTACCAAAATACAGACTGGGGGAAATCCTCAGGACAAATGACTCAATTTTTTTCAACAAATGAAATGGAAGGGGAGGGAGGGGTAGGGAGAGAGAGAGAGATTATATATCAAAAGATATTTTAATATATATTAGGAAGAACCACTGGACTTCCACATCCAGGAAGATGGAGCAGATGTACTTTTCCCTATTTCTCCTCCTAAGTAAAACTAAGAACCTTTGACACTGTATATAAAATAAGAATAAGAAAACTCAGGCTGGGCGCGGTGGCTTATGCCTGTCATCCCAGCACTTTGGGAGGCTGAGGCAGATGGATCACTTGAGGCCAGGAGTTTGAGACCATTCTGCCCAACATGACAAAACCCTGTATCTACCAAAAATACAAAAAATAGCCAGGCATGGTGGCTCATGCCTGTGATCCCAGCTGCTAAGGAGGCTGAGGCATGAGAACTGCTTGAACCCAGGAGGTAGAGGTTGCAGTGAGCTGAGATCATGCCATTGCACTCCAGCCTGGGCCACAGAGTGAGACTCCATCTCAAAAAAAAAAGAAAGAAAGAAAAAGAAAAGGAAACTCTGAAAAGTGGAAAGAAGGCTGACCAGCTAGGGACCTTAAGACCTGAGACACAGCCAGGCGTGGTGGCTCATGCCTGTAATCCCAGCACTTTGGGAGGCCAAGAGGGCAGATCATGAGGTCAAGAGATGGAGACTATCCTGGCCAACATGATGAAACCCTGTCTCTACTAAAAATACAAAAATTAGCCAGGCATGGTGGCATGCACCTGTAATCCCAGCTACTCAGGAGGCTGAGGCAGAAGAATAGCTTCAACCCAGGAGGCGGAAGTGTCAGTGAGCTGAGATTGCGCCACTGCACTCCAGCCTGGGCGACAGAGCAAGACTCCGTCTCAAACAACAACAACAACAACAACAACAACAACAACAACAACCGTAATGAGATAGGTCTCATTATGTTGCCCAGGCTAATCTCAAAATCCTGGCCTCAGGCAGTCCTCCTGCCTCAACCTCCAAAAGTGTTGGGACTACAGGTGTGAGCCACCACACCCAGCCTTCAACTTCATTTTGTGTTGGTCATTTCTCCACATCTGTAGAATATTTTATTATCTGCTCACAATTCTGCCTTCTCTCCTCATGCCTCCATGCACATCCTGGCTGTAGGATATTTATCTGTCCATCGACACTGGGCTTGACCTCGGGTGGTAGACTGTATTTTCGAAAATGATCTCAAAAATTTTCCCTCTTGGCCAGGTGCAGGGCTCATGCCTGTAATCCCAGCACTTTGGGAGGCTGAGGCGGGAGGATTCCTTGAGCCCAGGAGTTCGAGTCTGCAGTGAGCTATGATCGTTCCACTGCACTCCAGCCTGGGTGACAGAGCGAGGCTTGGTCTCAAAAAGAGAGGAATGAGATCATGTCCTTTGCAGGGACATGGATGAAGCTGGAAGCCATCATCCTCAACAAACTAACACAGGAACAGAAAACCAAACATCGCATGTTCTCACTCATAAGTGGGAGCTGAACAATGAAAACACATGGACACAGGGAGGGGAACAACATACACCAGGGCCTGTGGGGGCGAGGGGAGGGAGAGCATCAGGACAAATAGCTAATGCACGCGGGGCTTAATACCTAGGTGATGAGTTCATAGGTACAACAAACCACCGTGGCACACGTTTACCTATGTAACAAACCTGCATGTTTTGCACATGTATCCTGGAACTTAAAATAAAATTAAAAAAAAAAAAAAGAAGAAATTTCCCTTCTCCCATGCACACCACATTTTACAATGGGATCTTGATGTCCTCCTACTGGGTGGTGGACTCCATGTCCTCTCCCTCTTGAACCTGGGTGTACCTTTGGTAGTGCCTTGACCATTGGGCTCCAGCAGAAATGATGCTTTTTGTCTTCTGAAGCTGAATCATAAAAAGACCATGCAGGCCAGGCACGGTGGCTCACACTTGTAATCCCAGCACTTTGGGAGGCCAAGGCGGGCGGATCACCTGAGGTCAGGAGTTCAAGACCAGCCTGGCCAACATGGTGAAACCCCATCTCTACTAAAAATACACACAAAAAAGCCGGGCGTGGTGGTGCACGTCTCTAATCCCAGCTATTTGGGTGGCTGAGGCACAAGAATCGCTTGAACCCAGGAGGCAGAGGTTGCAGTAAGCCGAGATGGCGCCATTGCACTCCAGCCTGGGCAACAGAGCAAGACTCTGTCTCAAAAAAAAAAAAGAAAAGAAAAGAAAGAAAGACAAGGCACTTCCCCTTCGCTCTCTTGGGACCCAGCCACTGTTTTTGTTTTTGAGACCGAGTCTCGCTCTGTCTCCAGGCTGGTGTGCAGTGGTACAATCTTGGCTCACTGCAACCTCCGCCTCTCGGGTTCAAGTGATTCTCCTGCCTCAGCCTCCCGACTAGTTGGGACTACAGGCACATGCCACCACACCCAGCTAATTTTTGTATTTTAGTAGAGACAGGGTTTCACCGTGTTGGCCAGGATGGTCTCGATCTATTGACCTCATGGTCTGCCTACCTCAGCCTCCCAAAGTGCAGGGATTATAGGCATAAGCCACCTCACCCGACCTCCAGCTACCATGTTTTAAGGGAGACCAAACTAGTCCACACAGAGTGACCATGGAGGGAAGCCACAAAGTGGTGTTCCAGTTGATCTGAGGTCCAGCTGTGGTCCCAGCATCAAGTGCTACATATGTGAGTGAAAACACCTCCAGCCAATCCTAGTCACAGCCCTTGAGTGTTTCCAGCTGAGGCCCCGGATGTTCTAGAGCAGAGGCAAGGGGTTTCCACCATACCCGGCCCAAATCCCTGACTCACAGAATCTCTGAACATAGTAAAATAATTGTTTTATGCCAGTCAGTCTCAGGTAGGTTTGTAATGCAGCAATCATAATTGGAATACCTTGGCCAGTGGAATGTGGTGCAGTTTTGTGTGTGCTTGTTTTGGGCCTGGACTTTAAGAGTGTCCCCACCCATTCCTCTGCCCTGCCAAAGTCTCAGACTTCTGCCATGAGAAGAACATGCCCTAGGTGTCCACTGGTCCCAGAACAAAAAGACAAACAGAATAACCTTCAGTCCAACTTTTTTTTTCCTGAAACAGAGTCTCGCTCTATTGCCCAGGCTGGAGTGGAGTGGCACAATCTCGGTTTACTGCAACATTCACCTCTGGGTTCAATCGATTCTTGTGTCTCAGCCTCCCAAGTAGCTGGGATTACAAGCGTGCACCAACACATCCAGCTAATTTTTGTATTTTTAGTAGAGATGGGGTTTCTCCATGTTGGCCGGGCTGGTCTAGAACTCCTGGCCTCAAGTGATCTGCCCTGCTCAGCCTCCCAAATCCTGGGATTACAGCCGTGAGCCACCGTGCCTAGCCCTGAGCCCAACTATTGTGGTCTCAATTGTGTCTCCCCAAATTCATATGTGGATGTTCTAACCCCCAGCACCTCAGAATGGGACTGCATTTGGAGATAAGACCTTTTAAAAGAGGTGATTAAGCCGGACACAGTGGCTCACGCCTGTAATCCCAGCATTTTGGGAGGCCGAGGCGGGTGGATCACGAGGTCAGGAGTTCAAGACCAGCCTGGCCAACATAGTGAAACCCCATCTCTACTAAACATACAAAAAATTAGCCAGGTGTGGTGGTGAGCACCTGTAATCCCAGCTACTCAGGAGGCTGAGGCAGGAGAACTGCTTGAACGAAGGAGAACTCCTTGAACCCGGGAGGCGGAGCTTGCAGTGAGCCGAGATCGCACCACTGCACTCCAGCCTGGACGACAAGAGAGAAACTCTGTCTCATAAATAAATAAATAAATAAATAAATAAATAGCTGATTAAGTTAAAATCCACAATAAATATTTGTTGGTTGAATGACTGTTGTCACAACTGCTTTGCTAAATTCTTCCTTTGGCACCTAGGGCATCTATGGAGACGTGCTACTCAGATTCTTCAAGAGAACCTGCTATGAAGAGGGTAGTTGTGTGACCACCTCCAGCTGCCACACTTTCAGACCTGCTGTAGTGTTCATGCTGAGGCCATGATCTTTCTGGGCCGCTCCCAACCAGGGACTGAGCACAATGGAGTTACTAGGTGTGATGGTTAACACTGAGTGTCAGCTGGGTGCAGTGGCTCATGCCTGTAGTCCCGGCACTTTGGGAGGCCGAGGTGGGAGGATCACGAGGTCAGGAGATCGAGACCATCCTGCTAACACAGTGAAACCCCGTCTCTACTAAAAATACAAAAAATTAGCCAGGCTTGGTGGTGGGCGCCTGTAGTCCCAGCTACTCAGGAGGCTGAGGCAGGAGAATGGCGTGAACCCAGGAGGCAGAGGTTGCAGTGAGCCGAGATCGCGCCATTGCATTCCAGCCTGAGTGACAGAGCGAGATTCCATCTCAAAAAAAAAAAAAAAAAAAAAAAAATTGAATGTCAACTTGATTGGATTAAAGGATGCAAAGTATTGTTCCTGGGTGTGTCTTGGAGGGTGTTGCCAAAGGAGATTAATGTTTGAGTCAGTGGACTAGGAGAGGCAGACTCACCCTCAATCTGGGTAGGTACCATCTAATCAGCTGCCAGCACAGCTGGGTTAAAAGTAGACAGAGGGGCCGGGTGTGGTGGTTCATGCTTGTAATCCCAGCACTTTAGGAGGCCAACGTGGGCGGATCACCTGAGGTCAGGAGTTCAAGACCAGCCTGGCCAACATGGTGAAACCCCATCTCTATTAAAAATACAAAACTTAGCCAGGCTGGTGGCCCATGCCTGTAATCCTAGCTACTCAGAAGGCTGAGAGAGGAGAATTGCTTGAACCTAGGGGGCAGAGGTTGCAGGGAGCTGAGATCACGGCACTGCACTCCAGCCTGGGAGACAGAGAGAGACTCCGACTCAAATAAATAAATAAATAAATAATCACACATAAGAACGTGGAAGTACTAAACTGGCTGAGTCTTCTGGCCTCATCTTTCTCCCATGCTGGGTGCTTCCTGCCCTCGAACATCAGACTCCAAGTTTTTCATCAGACTTCAGCTTTTGGACTCTTAGACTTACACCAGTGATTTGCCAGGGGCTCTCAGGCCTTCAGCCAGACTAAAGGCTGCACTATCGTCCTCCTTACTTTTGAGGTTTTGGGACTCAGACTGGCTTCTCCTCAGCTTGCCGATGGCCTACTGTGGGACTTCCCGTTGTGGTCGTGTGAATAAATTCTCCTTAATGAACTCCCTTTCATAGATACATCTATCCTATTAGTTCTATCCCTCTAGAGAACCCTAATACACTAGGGATGCATTAATTTTGCCCAATACAGGACTCCTCTAGCGGGCATTACTGCTCTGGGACTTCCCACTGGCCTAGCCAAGACTTTCTGAAAGATGCTGGGCCAGTTATCAATGTATTACTGCTCAGCTCCAAATGCACTCTGCTCTGCACACTGGAGATGAACTGAACTCCTTGACAGTGAGATGCTGAGCTTTGCAAGTAGTCAGTGCTAGAAGAGACTTTCAGGAGGAGAGGAGGTTTGTGTGTGTGTGTGTGCACGCGCTGTTCTTGCTCCTGTTTTTTGGTTGCTTAGCAGTGTGGTGAGGACATTTAGTGGTGATCTGCCCCAGCCATGAGCCCAGTGTGCATAGCCTATAGCAACATTGCAGGCTTCAGGCCCGGGGACCATCTTCCAGCAATCCTCCTGATGCAGATGCCTCAAGCTTTAGGCCTCACATCTGCAAATGTGCCCCAATTCCACCCGCCCACCAGTCTCAGCTCCCTTAGCCCTCTGAGGGTTATTCCTGCTTACGCAGGGGACTATGGACCAGCTTTGGCCGTAGGCAAGCCACCCAACTTCTCGCCATCCAGTGGGCTGCAACCAACCACACCTTCTCCAGTGAGGTCTGAGCCTCACTTGGGGAGGGCACCCCCTTCCAAGTTTATCAAGTTTATCTTTCCTTGGGGACTCTCCTTGGGTACCTTTTAAAGGTCTCTGTGCCTTCTTTTTTTTTTTGAGACAGAGTTTCCCTCTTGTTGCCCAGACTGGAGTGCAATGTCGTGATCTTGGCTCACTGCAAACTTCACCTCCCGGGTTCAAGTGATTCTCCTGCCTCAGCCTCCCGAGTAGCTGGGATTAAAGGCATGCGCCACCACGCCTGGCTAATTTTGTAGTTTTAGTAAAGACGGGGTTTCTCCATGTTGGTCTGGCTGGTCTCAAACTCGCAATTTAGGTAATCCACCCGCTGCGGCCTCCCAAAGTGCTGGGATTACAGGCGTGAGCCACTGTGCTTGGCCTTTGCCTATTTATTTATTTATTTTTGAGACAAGGTCTTGCTCTGTTGCTCAGGCTAGAGTGCAGTGGCGCAATCTTGGCTTATTGCAGCCTCCGTCCCCCAGGTTCAAGCAATTCTCCTGCCTCAGCCTCCTGAGTAGCTGGGATTACAGGTGTGTGCCACTATGCCCGGCTAATTTTTGTATTTTTAGTAGAGACAGGGTTTCCATGTTGGCCAGGCTGGTCTTCAACTCCTGATCTCAGGTGATCTGCCCACCTCAGCCTCCCAAAGTGCTGAGATTACAGGCATGAGCCACCACACCCGGCCTTCGCATCTTTATGGTTACTTTCCTGTGTAAGATTAATAATTTTTTTATATTAAACAACCCGTTTAAATTGCTTTGTGGTTTCTGTCTCCTGATGGGACTCAGAATGATCCAGAGGCCCTGAAGTCTGAGGCTGTTCCTATGCAACTCTCCTTTCTTCCCTTCTTTTCTTCCACAGGTGTCAGATCTGCACCACAGTCTGAAGATTCTCCCAACCTACTCCTGCTTCCTCTCTCCTTTATCTCTCACAGGCATCACCCCCAATAAATCTCTTCACATGGTTAATTCCTTCTTGGCATTTGCTTCTCAAAGAACCCAAATGGACACAGCTTCCCATCACACTTAGAATAAAATCCCCCAGCGCTTTGAGAGGCTGAGGCAGGAGGATCACTTGAAGCCAGGAGTTCGAGACCAGCCTGGGCAACATAGTGGAGCCCTGTCTCTACCAATAAAAAAGGCCGGGCGTGGTGGCTCATGCCTGTAATCCCAGCACTCTGGGAGGTCAAGGCGGGCAGATCATGAGGTCAGGAGTTCAAGACGAGCCTGGCCAGCGTGGTGAAACCCTGTCTCTACTAAAAATAGAAAAAACTAGGCTGGGCACCATGGCTCACGCCTGTAATCCCAGCACTTTGGGAGGCCGAGGCGGGCAGATCACAAGGTCAGGAGATCAAGACCATCCTGGCTAACACGGTGAAACCCCGTCTCTACTAAAAATACAAAAAAGTAGCCGGGCGTGGTGGCAGGCGCCTGTAGTCCCAGCTACGTGGGAGGCTGAGGCAGGAGAATGGTATGAACCCGGGAGGCGGAGCTTGCAGTAAGCCAAGATCGTGCCACTGCACTCCAGCCTGGGCGACAGAGCGAGACTCCGTCTCAAAAAAAAAAAAAAAAAATACAAAAATTAGCTGGGTGTAAAAGTAGCCCAGCTAATTTTTTGTATTTTTAGTAGAGATGGGGCTTTCACCATGTTGGCCAGGCTGGTCTTGAACTCCTGACCTCAAGTGATCCGCCCTCCTTGGCCTCCCAAAGTGCTGGGGTTACAGGAGTGAGCCATCGCACCCGGCCAAGTATTTGTTAATTAGCTGAATAAAAGAGTGTTCTCACCTTTGATTAAGCCACTTGCTCCACCCCGAATGCCTTCCCTTCTTCTTGCCTTTCCTAATCCCACCTAAGCCTTGGCTGTAGCCCCCACTCCTCCAGGAAGCCCTCATTGACTAGATGAGTTCTGAGCCCTTCTTGCCCCTCACCTGTTAAAATGCCTAATTTTAGGTGCCAAGTAAAGTCTGAAGTGGTGGTGAGAGGCAGAAGAGAATAAATTTTTTTTTGGAGCTTTACTGGGGTTAAGGGCAGGGGAGGGGAGGGGCCGCCAGAGGCTCCCAGCCAGGGCGGAGCCTCAGGGAGACAGCTGGGGATGCAAGTCACTTCTTCCACTGCTTCTTCTCATAGTCCCAGCGGGAGGCCAGGCCCTGCACAGGATTCACCTTCATGTCCAGCATGCGCTGCAGCTGCTGGGCTTTCCGCTCGTCCGTCAAGGTGATCGGCTTTGGAGGAAATACTGCAGGGAGTACATGGGGTGGATCAGGATCCTGCCAGTCTTCCTACACCAGCCAGGGTCTCCAGCCACCCTGTAGCCTCCCAGCCACTCGCAAGGCTGACGGTACAAGATACTCCAGGGTTGAAGTATCTTGCACTGAGGAGCTCACTCCACCCTGTCTAGCCCCGCACCCCAGACTTTCTCCTAGAGCATCGTCCCAGGCACCTCTGGGTTCTGACCCCAGCTTTGCCTTAGACCCCAAGGACTGTGGGAGCTGGGCCAAGGTCCTTCACAACTCAGTCACCTCACCTACCTCTGTGGTCTGTGGTAATAAGATCACTGATTTGAAGACTGCCTGAATCCAAATCCTGGCTCTACCACTCCCTTGCCCTGCGACCTTCAACAAGTCACTTCATCTCTCTGAGCCTCAGTTTCCTTACCTGTCAAAAGAGGTCCTATCCACTAGGATTGTGGGGACTGAGTATTTCCAAAGCTGTTGGCACAATGTTAGACAAATATTAAGCACCTGATACATGTTACCTACTATAATTATATAATTACTGAGTTTGTTCCCACTTGCTGGGCAGGGTCCAGGATGAAATAATTCCTTTTACTTTCTAAGAGGGTTGAAAGTAGGAAGTAGGTAAGAGTGTTCACTTTAAAAATATGGGGACAGGCCACCGGGCACAGTGGCTCATGCCTGTAATCCCAGCACTTTGGGAGGACGAGGCAGGCGGATCACTTGAGGTCAGGAGTTTGAGACCAGCCTGGCCAACATGGCGAAACCCTGTCTCTACTAAAAATACAAAAATTAGCCGGGCGTGGTGGCACACTCTTGTAGTCCCAGCTACTCGGGAGGCTGAGGCAGGGGAATCATTTGAACTGGGGAGGCAGAAGTTCAGTATATATATACACTGAAAAACACACAGTTCATACACAACAATCAGTTACAACACCATTCATGACTATGAGCCAAACACTGGCCTACAGCCCTCTCTCATTAAAATCCTCTTAAGTACCCTGAGATGGAACATTACTATTCCCATTTTAGAGATGACGAAACTGAGGCCCAGAGAGGTAAAGTTCCTGCATTCAAACCTAGACAGCCATGCTCTGTCCTTCACCCTACACCTCTTCAGAAATTTTCAGCTCTTCAGATGAGTGCCAGCATGGTTCCTTTAAGAAACTGTCTGGTGGCCGTGACCACAAGGGCATGGCCCAGGACTGCAGCCAGATGAGGTGTTGCCACTCACCGTAGACCCGCTGCCACCAAATCACCAGAGCTGCGAATCCAATGAAGAAGAAGACACAACCCATCACTGTCTTCCACTCATTGGAGCGACGGTTCATCTCCGCAAAGGTCTCATTGAACTGGAGCCGGTACACTGGAGGCAGTTGGGTGTGGGGAAGGGGCCTCAGGTGCGTCCACTCTAAGTGATCCCGGCTTCCCCCTCCCTGCAGCAGATGCTGTTCATTCAGCAAATTCTTACTGAGCACGTACTATATGCACAGCATGACCAGGAACAGGTGACAGCAGTGAATGAGCCAGATGAAAATCCCTGCCCTTGTGGAGTTTAGAGGGGGAGACAATGGCAAATGCTTCAGGCAAACAGTTGGCTGGCCAGGGAAGGTGTCTCAGAGGAGGTGACATTGGAGCTGAGGTTTGAAAAATCAATGGGAGAAAGTTGGTGAAAACTGGAAGGAAGTGCAAAAACCCTGAAGCAGGAAGTGGGTAGGGAAAGTGTGAAGTGAGGACCACTGTAGCTGGAGTGAAATGAGCAAAAGAGAGAGAATTTAGCAAATGAGAGGCTGGCTCTCTCAAATGAGAGGCAGAGCCGGTTCACACAGGACCTTGTTAGAATCCATGGAGAAGAGTTTGGATTTCATTCTAACAGAATTAGGGAGGGGGCCAGGCTTGGTGGCTCATGCCTGTAATCCTAGAATTTTGGGAGACCAAGACGGGTGGATTGCTTCAGTCCAAGAGTTCAAGACCATCCTAGGCAATAAAGCGAGACCCTGTCTCTAGAAAAAATTTAAAAATTAGCCAGGTAAGTCCGGGCGCAGTGGCTCACGCCTGTAATCCCAGCACTTTGGGAGGCCGAGGTGGTGGATCACGAGGTCAGGAGATCGAGACCATCCTGGCTAACACAGTGAAACCCCGTCTCTACTAAAAATACAAAAATTAGCCAGGAGTGGTGGCGGGCACCTGTAGTCCCAGCTACTCGAGAGGCTGAGGCAGGAGAATGGCGTGAACCCGGGAGGCGGAGGTTGCAGTGAGCCGAGATCATGCCACTGCACTCCAGCCTAGGCGACAGAGCGAGACTCTGTCTCAAAAAAAAAAAAAAAAAAAAAAAAAATTACCCTACGTGTGTAATCCTTTCTCAGTACATTAAATAAATATGAAAATAAATATCTAAAGGAAAATCAAAGCTGGCAGCAGAATTCCTTGGGAAAAGGGAACTGTCTTAGGTTTTGGGAAGATACTTGGGTGGGCGGTTCAGGCTGAGACAATGAAATCAACCAGTGGAGGCCACTCAGTGTGGCTGTGGTAGAGCCATGCATAGACACAGGCCATGCACTCCAGTGCTGCCACGCCTGCCTGCCCTGGAAGAGGTCTGACAAGACTCAAGGCATTTGGCCTGGCATGATGGCTCATGCCTGTAATCCCAGTGCTTTGGGAGGCCGAGGCAGGAGAATTGCTTGAGCCCAGGAGTTCAAGACCAGCCTGAGCAACCATAGTGAGACTGCTCTGTCTCTACAGAAATATAAATAAATAAATAAATAGCCGGGCATGGTAGCTCACCCCTGTAATCCCAGCACTTTGGGAGGCTGAGGTGGGTGGATCATGAGATCAGGAGTTCGAGACCAGTCTGGCCAACATGGTGAAACCCTGTCTCTACAAAAAAAATACAAAAAAAAAAATAGCCAGGTGTGGTGGCGCCCGCCTGTAGTCCCAGCTACTCAGGAGGCCAAAGTGGGAGGATCGCTTGAGCCCAGGAGGCAGAGATTTCAGTGAGCCGAGATGGGGCCACTGCACTCCAGCCTGGGTGACAGAGACCCTGTCTCAAAGAAAAGGAAAAAAAAAAAGTTGTTTGAGCTGTGAGGTTACACTGAAACTCCCCAAGCATCCCACCAAACCTTCATTGTAGCTAATGTGGTGTAGCAGCTAAGGGTGAAACCCCTGGTGCCTGTCTATGTGGTTTCAAATCTTGCCTCCACCACTCTCTAGCTGTGCAACCACTGTAAGTGACTGCACGCCACTGAGCCTCAGTCTCTCAAATGTGAGCTAACGAGAGCAACCTAACGCCACAGCGGTGCCTGCTACATGTAAGCGTGCAGGACATATTAGGGATGGTGCTCATTATCATCTTGCTTGGGGAATGTCCATCATTTCTTTCTCTCTCTCTCTTTTTTTTTTTTTTTTTCAGACAGGGTCTCACTTTGTTACCCAGGCTGGAGTGCAATGCCGTAGCACAATCACAGCTCACTCTAGCCTCAGCTCCCCTGGGCTCAAGTGATCCTCCTGCCTCAGCCTCCCAAATAGCTGGGACGACAGGCATGTGCCACCATGCTCAGATAAAGAGTGTCAATTTCTCTTTTTTTTTTAAATTTTATTATTATTATACTTTAAGTTTTAGGGTACATGTGGTTTGTTACATATGTATACATGTGCCATGTTGGTGTGCTACACCCATTAACTCATCATTTAGAATTAGGTATATCTCCTAATGCTATTCCTCCCCTCTCCCCCCAAGAGTGTCAATTTCTGAAATGGATGAAGAAAAAACCAAGATGTGTGTGTGTGTGTGTGTGTGTGTGTGTGTGTGTGTGTGTAGAAAGAGAGAGAGAGAGAAGGGGTAAAGGTGCTGAGAGAGGGCTGGAAATGCAAGCTCACAGGCAGGAACGGAGCCTGGCTGGCTCACAGCTGCATTCCCAGTGCATGGTATTGTAGTAGGTGCCAAATAAGATGTTGACTGAATGAATGAATGTGAGAAGCATGAACCTTTCCCCACTAGGAATCCCTTGAAATCTTGGAGGTCAGGCTGAGTGTTCCCATTCATGGAATGAAAATAAGGTGCTCCAAATTTCAAAGGGTCAGCTCAGGGATGCTCTGGTGGACATGACAAGGGACCACACATCCCTCCAGCCTCCCAGGGTCAGAGGGCTCCTCCCCAACCGCCTCACCTGCCTCTCTCTGTCCCATCTCCCCCACATCACTCAATTCCAGGGCCCTCCACAGTCTCCTGCTCTGACACCCTTCCCCATGCAGTTCCCACTCCCTGGCAGTGCCCTCCTCTTCACCCTTAAAGGCCAGCTGGAATGTGCCCTCCTCTGGGAGGTCCACCAAGATTTCATCTCACAGTCCTTGAACACACCTCACCCTAGCCACATGTTCTGTATTACAATTATTGGAGTCTGTATTGGTTTTCCCCACGGGACCGGGGGCACCATGGGGGCAGGAACTATCCAGGTGATTCACCTCATGTCCCCAGCATTGCCTAGCATCAGGCTATGCACAAACAGGTGAGTGAATAAAGAAACGAACAAAGGCATGAACTTCACCCCTCAGGTGTTTGGAGGTTTCTGGCTGTCTTGGGGGCCTCTCTCTGCCCTCTGATCCCTGACAGGCCATTCTTTCCAAAGTCAGCCCCCAACCCACTCTCTCCAGCCAGCCCCACCCTGACACTTACAGGCCACCTTTTCGGCGTGGGTCAGCTGGGTCCAGCTTCCCTTCTCCTTCTCCTTCAGGGCCTGCTCCTCAGCGTTGAGTTCTGTGCAGAAGGGCTCTTCTGGCATGGGGTAGTAGCGCTGGGCATAGCAGTTGGTGTAGGGGGACATCTTCCCCCCACCACGGGCTGCAGACACAATGGAGGGAGCTGAGTCCAGGCTGCCCTTGGGACACCCTATCTCTAACTATATTAATAAAGAAGGTGGCCGGGCTTGGTGGCTCATGCCTGTAATCCTAGCATTTTGGGAGGCTGAGGCGGGTGGATCACGAGGTCAGGAGTTCGAGACCAGCCTGGCCAAGACAGTAAAACCTCTCCTCTACTAAAAATACAAAAATTAGCCGGGCGCAGTGGTGGGCACCTATAATCCCAGCTACTCGGGAGGCTGAGTCAGGAGAATTGTTTGAACCCAGGAGGCGGAGGTTGCAGTGAGCCGACATTGCGCCACTGAACACTCTAGCCTGAGCGACAGAGCAAGACTCTATCTCAAAAAAAAAAAAAAAGGAGGTTTATAATAGCTTGGGGTACTAGTAAGGGCTCAATAAATGTTATCTTTGTTATTCTCCATGGGTCAGCAAGGCCCTTCTGCTATCTGGCTGAAGTCTCTCCTACTTTAGGTCTCTTTCTTCTTACTAGCATTGAAACTAGGGTCTGGAAAGGAGGAATCAGGGTCCAAGGTTCTGTCAGCATCCTCCACCTCAGAACAAAAGGTCTAGGGGCCTGAGGCTTGGGGGCTGGCTCCTAAGGAAGCTTGGAATGGAGATGACCACTGTCTGCTCACCCCGCGCACTCCATTTCCTGGAGAAACTTGACCTTGGACCAAGGAGTGGGATCATGGGAACATGGGAAGTGTGGTAGGAACAGGCCCAGGGTGGCATGGAAGGGCAAAGGGGGCAGCCTGCAGAGGGGACCCCTGCCCCTATCTCTGGAGTTAGGCAGGGAGGAAGGAGTCCAGGTCTCACTGGTGCCTTCTGAGCTGTGCATCCCTCGTCTTCCACCTCCACCTTTCCTCAGCACCAAGCTCCAGGCAGCTCTGGGGAGCATCTGGGGGCGTGAAGGTATAGATGAGTTCTGCCCCCACATCACCCTCTGCCCCCAAACCGCAGGGCCAGATGGAAAAATCCTTTTCCACTGGTATGGTAGTGGTAGGGGTGTCCCAGTGTTTCAAGGTCACCCTCATGCCCTTGACCCTTCTAATTTTGTCTGATATCCCCAGCGGGGGGCCAATGGGGGTCCTAGACCTTTGAAGCCCCTTTTTGGGACCTCAATTCACCATCTGAGAAGTGGGAGGAGGCCTAAGTCTTGGGCCAGGGTCTGAAGAGTTTGAGGCTGAGGGCTTGGGTTCTGGTGCCAGCCCCAGCTCAGTCTGGCCAGATTGGAGAACCCCGCTCACTTGTTTGCTCCCCAGAGGAAGCTGGGTGGGGTCCAGGTGGAGAGGGAGCAGTTCTTGAGTCTCTCTTCCCTGCAGGGGCCAGAGGCCCCTGCACCGGCAGAACAGACAGACGGTCTGGCCCCCACCCCTTCCCCCCTAATTGGCTGCCTACGTGCACACAGGCCTGCTCTGCTGGATCTGGTTGGGGTGGGGACTGGGCTTAGCCAGTCTGGCTGAGCCCAGTCTCCCACCCCCAGGGAAGACTCAGGGTTTGGCATCCATGGTGGTGGGGAGGGGCTTTAGAGGATGGGGACTTAACTGGGTCAGAGGGAGGGAGACACACATCTGGGGAAAAGAAGGGGAGTCCCACATCTAGGGAGAGAGAGGGGCACCCAACAAATAGAGTGAGGGAGGGGGCACACTACAGGTGATAAGTGGGAGGGGGCGGCCCACACTTCTGGAAAAGAGGGGCTCCGGCCAGTGATTATGATTAGTGGGTGGGAGAGCTCCACATATCAAGAGAGGGAGGATGTAATCTATATTTGGGGAAAGAGATGGCACACATATGCAGACTCCCCAGGAGTCTTCAACTCTAACCTACAAGAAGCCCCCCAACCCTCTAAGACAGGGACCACTGGGGCGTGACCCAGCGGCGAAGGCAGGAGACCGAGCCGCGCCCCTGACCCGCGCGGGCTTGGGTGGCGGGGTCCTCCCCCAACTCACTCACCTCGCGGGCTCGGCAGTGGGAGCGCGACCTGGGTCTGCCCAGCGAGCAACTGAGAACCCGCTGCGGAGGGACCTGAGTGCGGGCGCCCGCCCCCGGCCCGCCCCACAGCCTTTCTCGGGGCCGCCCCAGCGTGGGAACGTCCTGCTTCGGCAGGGCGTGGGAGCGCACAGCCTGCGTCCCTGGGGGCACCCCGGCCCACAGATTGGGGGGAGGCACTGCAGAGCGCCTCCTGCATCAGTGTCCCTACCGGGGTCCTGCCTCTGGAGACCCTCTGCAGACAGTAGTCCCAAGAACAGGGTCTCCCTGCCTCCTCCACACCTCCCCTCCTTGCTGTTTCTCCCACCTGGGATGTTCTCTTCAGGCCTTTGCAGACGCAAACCTTCCAGCCAGGCCCAATGCCTCCTACTCCAGAAGCATCTTTTAGGCCAGCAGTGGCTCACGCCTGTAATCCTAGCACTTTGGGAGGCCGAGGCGGGAGGATCACCTGAGGTCAGGAGTTTGAGACCAGCCTGCCCAGCATGGCGAAACACCTTCTCTATTAAAAATAGAAAAATTGGGCGGGCGCGGTGGCTCATGCCTGTAATCTCAGCGCTTTGGGAGGCCAAGGCAGGCAAATCACGAGGTCAGGAGTTTGAGACAGCTTAGCCAACATGGTGAAACCCCATCTTTACTAAGAATACAAAAATTAGCTGGGCGTGGTGGCACGCACCTGTAATCCCAGCTACTCAGGAGGCTGAGGCAGGAGAATCGCTTGAACCCGGGAGGCGGAGGTTGCGGTGAGTCGAGATCCGGCTACTGCACTCTAGCCTGGGCAGCAGAGCTAGACTCCATCTCAAAAAAAAAAAAAAAAAAAAAAAAAGTTAGCAGGGCGTGGTGGCGCGCACCTATAGTCCCAGCTTCACAGAGGGCTGAGGCAGGAGAATCACTTGAACCTGGGAAGCGGCTGTTGCAGTGAGCCGAGATCGGGCCACTGCACTCCAGCCTGGGCAACAGAACAAGACTCTGTCTCAGAAAAAAAGAAAAAGAAAAAGAAAAAAAAAATTCCCAGCACTTTGGGAGGCCAAGGGGGGCAGATCATGAGGTCAGGAGATGGAGACCATCCTGGCTAACACAGCGAAACCCCGTCTCTACTAAAAATGCAAACAAAATTAGCCAGGCATGGTGGCAGGCGCCTGTGGTCCCAGCTACTCAGGAGGCTGAGGCAGGAGAATGGCTTGAACCCGCAAGGCAGAGGTTGCGGTGAGCCAAGATCATGCCACTGCACTCGAGCCTAGTGACAGAGCGAGACTCCATCTCAAAAAAAAAAAAAAAAAAAATAGACAAGGCTCAGGCACATTTATTCAAGAATTACTTATAAAACTGGGCGTGGTGGCTCATGCCTGCAATCCCAGCACTCTGGGAGGCGGAGGCGAGCAGATCACCTAACGTCAAGAGTTTGAGACCACCCTGGCCAACGTGGTGAAATCCCGTCTCTACTAAAAATACAAAAATTAGCCGAGTGTGGCAGGGGACACCTATAATTCCAGCTACTCGGGAGGCTGAGGCTAGATAATCGCTTGAACCTGGGAGGCAGACGTTGCAGTGAGCCAAGATCGCACCACTGCACTCCAGCCTGGGTGGTAGAGTGAGACTCCTCAAAAAAAAAAAAAAAAAAAAAAAAACTTAAAAAAAACTTATAAAGACCTGTTTCAGCTGGCATTTATTGCATACTTGTTTACCAGGATAAATGTTGGGGGCTATAGAGCCAAAAAAAACCAGACATAGTTCCTGCCCCCACAGGGCTTACAATTCTGTTCTAGGCAGAGGAAAAGGCCTGTGCAAAGACCCAGAGGCAGGAAAACACAGCATGTTCAAAAAACAGAAGAGACAGGCCAGGTGCAGTGGCTCACGCTGTAATCCCAGCACTTTGGGAGGTCAAGGCAGGTGGATCACAAGATCAGGAGATCGAGACCAGCCTGGCTAACACGGTGAAACCCCATCTCTACCAAAAATACAAAAAATTAGCCAGGCGTGGTGGCATGCACCTGTAGTCCCAGCTACTTGGGAGGCTGAGGCAGGAGAATCGCTTGAACCCGGGAGGTGGAGGTTGCAGTGAGCCAAGATTGCACCATTGCACTCCAGCCTGGGCGACAGAACGAGACTCCGTCTCAAAAAAAAAAAAAAAAACAACTGAACAGAAGAGACAGCCAGGTGCGGTGGCTCATGCCTATAATCCCAGCACTTTGGGAGGCCGAGGCGAATGGATCACCTGAGGTCGGGAGTTTGAGACCAGCCTGGCCAACATGGTGAAACCCCGTCTCTACTAAAAATAAAAAAATTGGCCAGGTGTGGTGGTGCACATCTGTAATCCCAGCTACTCGGGAGGCTGAGGCAGGAGAATCGCTTGAATCTGGGAGGCGGAGGTTGCAGTGAGCCAAGATCCCACCGTTGCACTCCAGCCTGGGCAACAAGAGCGAAACTCCATCTCAAAGCAACAACAAAAACAATAACAAAAGAAGAGAGGTCATCTTGGCCAGAGTGTCATGGTTAAAGGGGAGGCTGGATGGAGGGAGAGGTGGGCTGGACCACCGAGAAGGACCTGTAGGCGGTAGTGAGGAGCTTGGATTTTATTTAAAGAAGGTGATTAAGCTGGCATGGTGGCACACCCCTGTAGTCCCAGGTGCTCAGGAGGCTGAGGCAGGAGGTGGAGGTTGCAGTAAACTGAGATTGCACCACTGCACTCCAACCTGGGCAACAGAATGAGACCCTGTCTCAATAAATAAATAAATAAATAAAATAAAATGAAGGTGGGAGGCAACCAAAGTTAAGAAGAGGAGTGATGTGTTCAAATGAAGCAGAGCACAAGTTCAGTAAATGTGTCCCGGGACTGTTAGTATACGGATGGTGGATGAATGGGAGAGGGCTGGGGGTCCCCTCGGTGGCCTGGAGACCAGAGCTTTCCAGGTCTCCTGGCTCTAGGTCCATGGGGTATGCCCAGCCCCCATGCCTTCCATCAGGGTTCCTATACCCTAGTGAGTCCACAGGGGCCTGCTAAAGACAGTTTCTAAAGGCTGGCCAGGCATGGTGGCTCATGCCTGTAATCTCAGCACTTTGGGGGGCCAAGGTGGGCAGATCACTGGAGGTCAGAAGTTCGAGATTAGCCTGGCCAACATGAAGAAAACCTGTCTCTACTAAAAATACAAAAATTAGCCAAGTGTCGTGGCACATACCTGTAGTACCAGCTACTAGGGAGGCTGAGGCGGAGGTTGCAGTGACCCGAGATCGCACCACTGCACTCCAGCCTGGGCGACACAGCGAGACTCTGTCTCAATAAATAAATAAATAAATAAATAAATAAAGGGAGGGGGCTTAGTCCTGGGGGCAGATGAGCCTAGAAGGCGAGGGGCTCAAGGGAAGGTGTTAGAGGGACCCTAGAGTGCACATCACCTCCATTCTAGACGCTGCCAGAGACAAAACTTTGAGAAGGCAGCTTGGGAGTCTTCCCGAGTTCCAAGAGTCCAGCTCCCAGAACTGACCATGTTGGGCCCAGCGCCCTCTGCTGGTCACTCTGGGAGCTGCTCCTCCCCTTCCCCAACCAAGGTAATTCCAAACGTGAGAGACCCCCAAAAGGATCACCTTGGCCAGGCACCGTGGTTCATGCCTGTACTCCCAGAACTTTGGGAGACCAAGGCGGGTGGATCATCTGACGTCAGGAGCTCGAGACCAGCCTGGCCAACATGGCGAAACCCCGTCTCTAGTAAAAAGACAAAAATTAGCTGGGCGTGGTGGGGGGGGCACTTGTAATCTCAGCTACTTGGGAGGCTGAGGCAGGAGAATCGCTTGAACCCGCGAGGCGGAGGTTGCAGTGAGCCGAAGTCGCACCACTGCACTGCAGCCTGGGCCACAGAGTGAGACTCCCTTTCCAAAAAAAAAAAAAAAAAAAAAGGACCACCCCTTACCTCGGTCACTGAGCAGGATGTTCTACAGAACAGCCCTATGGACAGAGGACAGGGGAAGACACTCCTTCTTTAAGAACCTGGAGGAGAGCATGCCTTGTCTTTTTTTTTTTTTTTTTTTAAGCTTTGTAGAGACAGGGTCTTGTTATGTTGCCCAGGTTAGTCTTGAACTCCTGAGCTCAAGGGATCCTCCTGCCTTGGTCTCCCAAAGAGCTGGGATTATAGGCGTGAACCACTGCGCCAGGCGGAAGGTCATGAGTCTTGCCAGACCTTTTTCAGGGTGGCTGGGAGGGCGGTGGCTGCACTGGAGTGAGTGGCCTGTGTCTATGCATGGCTCTACTACAGCCACTCTGGCCAAGCGGCACCATTTCTGGGCCTCAGTTTCCCCCATCTCCTCAGTTTCACAGGGTCTTCCAAGGGAAGGCATTTGGGAAAGGCGATCCTCTGTTCTTCCCTGCCCTCTTCCGCCCCCGCCTCTGTGGGAACATCAGGCTCCAGAAGTTGAGTGATGCTGTGATAAGGAACATCTGTGGGGGAAGCCCAGCCCCGGACTGAGGGCCATGGGGTGGAGGCCGGCCCTGAGTAGCTCACGGTGAATATAGCCTGCAGGACAACTGCGGAGCCTCCTTTCAAGGTCCTGAACCTGGGAAGAGACGGACTGTCCCTTAAGGCAGGCCACTCGGGGTCCCAGAGCCGAGGAATAAGGGTCTTCTCCTGGAACCGCGGGGGGTCCAAGGGTGGAAGGGACTCCGGACACGGCATTCAGGCCACTTGTCGTGACAGGCCCGACATGCTGAGAGCTCTGGGATAGGCTGAGACCTGCCAGCAGGAGGGATGGCAGCTCACGCTCACTTGATCAGCTCCAGGGAGCCCCCAGATTCTGCCCAGATGCAAAGACCTGAGCCATGGCCTCAGCATCCCCCCACCAGCCAGGCTCTAGGTATCACACAGGACCCACCTCCGGCCTGCCAGCCCAGAGGGGATACTGTGGAAGAGCTAGGCCTCACGCAGGACCCTAAGGTGAAAATAGGAAGAGGAGCTGGACAAAGCGTCACAGACCCAGACCCCCAGCCCTTCAGGAGGCCCGGGAGCCCCTTGAACCCAGGGAGGAGGTCTAGTACAGGAGGAGCGGGGAGAGGCGAGAGTGGGCAGAGCTAACCACAAGGAGCGGGGCCAGGCGACAGCAAGGGAACCGGGCGCCGAGGGGGCAGAGCCAGCGAGCCGATGGGCGAGGTCAGTGAGCCGAGGGCCCTGGCCAGGAGCGGAGAGCAAGGCCCACCCAGCTCACCTGTGGGAGCGGAGGCTCTGCGGAGCTATGGGAATCACCGAACGCTGAGGGTGTCTCGGCAGCAGCTCAGGCTCGGAGGACGTCGCGGGAAGACCCGCAGCTCTGGTGGACCGTCCAGCAAGCGCTTCTAAAACCGTGGACAGACACGCCAGGCCAGAACCAACACTGAGGGCTGGGCACGGTGGCTCGCCCCTGTAATCCTAGCACTTTGGGAAGCTGAGGTGGGAGGATTGCTTGAGATCAGTAGTTCAAGACCAGCCTGGGCAAAATGGTGAGACCTTGTCTCTATATAAAAAAAAAAAAAAAAAAAAATCAAAAAATTAGCAGGATGTGGTGGCGCACACCTGCAGTCCCAACTAAGGAGGCTGAGGTGGGAGGAGTGCTTGAACCTGGGAGGTCGAGGCTGCAGTGAGCTGTGATTGCACCACTACATTCCAGCCTGGGTGACAGAGCAAGATCCTGTCTCAAAAAAACAAACTGACGTTGAGCTGGGACTGCCATAGGAGTGGATGGCCACTAATGGCAGGTTTCCTGGCCTGCCGCAGAACCCATAGCATGATCGGGGTAGATGAATGCCCTTGGCTAGATTTCACCGGGACAGGACAGGACAGGTGGCCTAGAGATGGAAACTTCCTGGGGCAGGTCAGATCTCTTCATACCATTGCCGTCTCCTCCTCCCTACCAGGGCAGACACACTAGAGGAGTGGGGCTGAGGGAGGCGTCCAACCTGGCAAAGGGGCTGAGGTGGTGAGATCTGGGAGTGCAGGTGTCACATCAGCCCTAGGGGTAGGCACTAGTGCCTTCACATCCTGGAGGCCAGGGCCTCTGTCTTCTCTGAGACACAATTGGCTCCTGCACATGGGCATGGGTATTTGGCCCCCAGATGTGGGGACAGCCTATGTGGGGACAGCCTCATGGTATCCTTGAGCCTTTCTTGGCACCGCTGGCTTCCCAATAAACTCCTTAGCCTGACGTTCAAGGTCCCCACTACCAAACCTTCCAAATACAGCTTCTTCATCAGCCTCTCTTGCTCTCCCACCATGCCCCAGCCACACTGGGCTTCAGTTCCTAGAACACACCCACCTTGCCCATGACAGGGCCTTTGTAATTGCTCTTCCCTCTGCTGAAATGCTCTTCTCTCAAGGGCAAGTCTTATTCCCACTCACCTGTTCCATCTGAGAGAGCTCTACCGGAGCAATACACCCGGCCTCTCACCCACAGACCAAAGCTATGCTTTACAAACTAGTTTATCAGGAATTGTGGCAAATTGTATTTTCAAAGAAGATAGCCTATCAATATCTCCAATTCGACATGCTCATTGTACAATTATGACCTTGACACTTGAGTGTGGGATCTATGTCCCCCTTCCTTCAGCCTGGATGTACCTTTGTGACAGCATTAAACAGCAGAATATGGTGAAAGTTGCTATGTGACTTCTAGATCATAAAAATGCCATGTGGGCCCGGGTGGGGTGGCTCACGCCTGTAATCCCAGCACTTTGGGAGGCTGAGGTGGGTGGATTGTGAGGTCAGGAGTTCAAGACCAGCCTGGCCAAAATGGTGAAACCCCATCTCTGCTAAAAATACAAAAAAATAGGCTCAACGCCGTGGCTCATGCCTGTAATCCCAGCACTTTGGGAGGCCGAGGCAGGTGGATAACCTGAGATCAGGAGTTCGAGACCAGGCTGACCAACATGATGAAACCCTGTCTCTGCTAAAAATACAAAAATTAGCCGGGCGTGGTGGTGGGCGCCTGTAACCCCAACTACTCAGGAACCTGAGGCAGGAGAATCGCTTGAACCCGGGAGGCGGAGGTTGCAGTGAGCTGAGATCGCACCACTGCACTGCAGCCTGGGTAACAAGCGAGACTCTGTCTCAAAAAAAAAAAAAAAAAAAAAAAAAAATTACCCAGGCATGGTGACAGGCGCCTGTAATCCCAGCTACTCGGGAGGCTGAGGCAGAGAATTACTTGAACCCGGGAGGCAGAGGTTGCAGTGAGCTGAGATTGTGCCACTGCACTCCAGCCTGGGCAACAGAACACAACTCCATCTCAAAAAAAGAAGAAGAAAAAAGCCACGTGGTCTGTTAGGACATTCTCCCTGGGAACCCAGCCATCATGCTATGAGGGAGCCAAGCCAGCCCAGGTGGAGAGACCATATGGAGAAGTCATGTGTAGATGTGCTGGCTCAAGGCCCTGCTGAGGTGCCAGCCTACAGCCAGCATCCATTTCCAGACATGTACAACTCCAGATGATTCCAGCCCCAGCCATCAAGGACCTCATAGCCATTGAGTCTTTCCAGCTGAGGCCCCAGACTTCATGGGGCAGAGACAAGTCATCCCTGCTGTGCCCTCTCTGACCTCCTGGCCCACAGAAACCATGAGCATCAGTTATTTTGCACACTAAACACCAGGTGGTTTGTAGGTGGTTTGTCATGCAGGAACAGTGAATGGAACAGTAAGGAAGTGTTATTTTGATTTCAATATACCTGATTCCTCATCTGCTCTCTGTTGTGTCAGAACTTGGGCAAAGAAGAAGTTGTTATGTATTGACATCCAAACCCTAACCACTGTCCTTCAAATTGCAGCTTAAATGTCATCTCAGAGAGCCCTTCCCTAAGACCCCTATGCAGTTTAGATTTCTTTTCTTTTTTTTTTTTTAAACAGGGTCTCATATGGTCACCCAGACTGGAGTGCTATGGTGGGATCTTGACTCACTGCAGCCTCAGCCTCCTGGATTCAAGCAATCTTCCTGCCTCAGGCCCTCCAAGTAGCTGGGACTACAGGTGTGTGCCACCATCCCTGGCAAAAATTTTTGTATTTCTTGTAGAGATGAAGTTTTGCCATGTTGCCCAGGCTGGTCTTGAACTCCTGAACTCAAGCTACCTGCCTGCCTCGGCCTCCCAAAGTGCTAGGCCTCCAGGCGTGAGTCACTGCACCTGGCTAGATTTATTTTCCTCATAGTATTTTTCATTATCCAAAATTATGCACAGGCTTGCCTGGCCTGCATCTTCTGCACACCAAGCCTGTTCACTCAGTCCCTCCACCTCTACATGGGGATGAAGTAGGATCTGGCTGTTACACTGATACTCACTACTTAATTTTTATTGGTGCAATTGCTTTGTTTTTGTTTTGTTTTGTTTTTTTGAGACAGAGTTTCACTGTTTTGCCCAGGCTGGAGTAAAGTGGTGTGATCTCGGTTCACTGCAACCTCTGCCTCCTGGGTTCAAGTGATTCTCCTGCCTCAGCCTCCCAAGTATTTGGGATTACAGGCACATGCCACCACATCTGCCTAATTTTTTTTTTTTTTTCTTTTTTGTATTTTTAGTAGAGACAGTGTTTCTCCATGTTGGCCAGGCTGGTCTTGAACTTCTGACCTCAGGTGATCCACCCGCCTCAGCCTCCAAAAGTGCTAGGATTACAGGCATGAGCCACCGCACTCGGCCTATTGGTGCAATTGTAAATCATACTTTTGAAAAATTTCAAGCCAAGCGTGGTAGTGCGTGCCTGTAACTACTCAGGAGGCTGAGGTGGGAGGATTGCTTGAACCCAGGAGTTTGAGCCCAGCCTGGATAATATAGCAAGACCCTGTCTCTAAAAAATAAAAAAAAAAATCAATTTCCAATTGTTCATTGATATTATATAGAAATGCGGCTGGACACAGTGGATCACTCCTATAATTCCAGCACTTTGGGAGGCTGAGGTAGGCAGTTCACTTGAGGTCAGGAGTTCGAGACCAGCCTGGCCAACATGGCAAAACCCCATCTTTACTAAAGATACAAAAATTAACTGGGCGTGGTGGTGCATGACTATAGTCCCAGCTACTTGTGAGGCTGAGACTTGAGAATCACTTGAACCTGGGAGGCAGAGGTTGCAGTGAGCCAAGATGGCGCCACTGCACTTTAGCCTGGACGACAAAGAAGACTCCATCTCAAAAAGAAAAAAAGAAATGCAATTGATTTTTGTATATTGACCTTATATTTTACAACCCTGCTAAATTCATTTATTAGTTGTATTAGTTTGCTAGGACTGCTGTAAGAAAGTACTAGAGACTGGCTGACAGAAATGTATTATCTCACAATTCTGGAGGCTGGAAGTACAAAATCAAGGAGTTGGTAGGATTGGTTCCTTTTATATATATATATTTTTTTTATTATTATACTTGTAGTTTTAGGGTACATGTGCACAACGTGCAGGTTTGTTACATATGCATACATGTGCCATGTTGGTGTGCTGCACCCAATTAACTCGTCATTTACATTAGGTATATCTCCTAATGCTATCCCTCCCCCCTCCCCCAACCCCACAACAGGCCCTGGTGTGTGATGTTCCCCTTCTTGTGTCCAAGTGTTCTCATTGTTCAGTTCCCACCTATGAGTGAGAACATGCAGTGCTTGGTTTTTTGTCCTTGTGATAGTTTGCTCAGAATGATGGTTTCCAGCTTCATCCATGTCCCTACAAAGGACATGAACTCATCATTTTTTATGGCTGCATAGTATTCCATGGTGTATATGTACCACATTTTCTTAATCCAGTGTATCATTGTTGGACATTTGGGTTGGTTCCAAGTCTTTGCTATCGTGAGTAGTGCCACAATAAACATACGTGTGCATGTGTCTTTATAGCAGCATGATTTATAGTCCTTTGGGTATATACCCAGTAATGGGATGGCTGGGTCAAATGGTATTTCTAGTTCTAGATCCCTGGATTGGTTCCTTTTAAGGGCTGTGAGGGAGGATGTGTTCCTGGCCTCTCTCCTTGGACTATGGATGGCTGTCCTCTCTTGTCTCTTTACGCCATCTTCCCTCTATGTCTACTTCTGTGTCCAGATTTCCCCTTTTTTGAAGGAGACCACTAATATGCATATTGATCTTTTCAAAGAACAAGCTTTTGTTTCATTTATTTTCTCTCTATTGTTTTTCTATATCCAATAGCATTGACTTCTGGTGTTTATTATGTTTTCTGTCTACTTGCTTTGGGTTTAATTGGCTGTTATTTTTCTAGTTTCTGAAAGTGGAAGTTTGTACTATTGATTTAAGACTCTTCTATTCTCATATACCCATTTAATACCAGAAAATTTGAGGCTGGGCACGGTGGCTCACGCCTGTAATCCCAACACTTTGCGGGGCCGAGAAAGGCGGATCACAAGGTCAGGAGTTCGAGGCCAGTCTGGCCAACATAGTGAAACCCCATTTCTACTAAAAATACGAAAAATTAGCCAGGTACAGGCCGGGCGTGGTGGCTCACGCCTGTAATCCCAGCACTTTGGGAGGCCGAGGTGGGTGGATCATGAGGTCAGGAGATCGAGACCATCCTGGCTAACACGGTGAAACCCCGTCTCTACTAAAAAATATTTAAAAAATTTAGCCAGGCACAGTGGCGGGAGCCTGTAGTCCCAGCTACTCGGGAGGCTGAGGCAGGAGAATGGCGGGAACCCGGGAGGCGGAGCTTGCAGTGAGCCGAAATCGTGCCACTGCACTCCAGCCTCCAGCCTGAGAGACAGAGCGACACTCCATCTCAAAAAAAAAAAAAAAAAAAAAAAGGAATTAGCCGGGTGTGGTGGCAGTTGCCTGTAATCCCAGCTACTCAGGAGGCTGAGGCAGGAGAATAGTGTGAACCTGGGAGGTGGAGGTTGCAGTGAGCGGAGATTGTGCCATTGCACTCCAGCCCGGGTGATAGTGTGAGACTCGGTCTCAAAAAAAAAAAGTAGAAAGTTCTCTCTGCTCTATTTTATGAAGTTTAATATGTTGTAATTTTATTTCATTAAGTCAGTTTAAAATATTTTCTGGCCAGGCACAGTGGCTCACGCCTGTAATCCTGGCACTTTGGGAGGCCAAGACAGGCGAATCACCTGAGGTCAGGAGTTCGAGATCAGCCTGGCCAACATGGTAAAACCCCGTCTCTACTAAAAATACAAAAATTAGCTGGGTGCAGTGGCAAGCGCCTGTAATCCCTGCTACTCAGGAGGCTGAGGCAGGAGAAGCTCTTGAAACCAGGGGCGGAGGTTGTAGTGAGCCAAGATCACACCACTTCATTCCACCCTGGGTGAAAGAGCGAGACTACGTCACACATGCACACAGACAAAACTACACATGTATATATTTTCTAATTTCTCTTGAGACTTCTTCTCTGGCCCATGATTTATTTAGAAGCGTGTTGCTTCATTTCCAAATATTTAGGGGTTTTCCAGATATTTTTCAGTTCTTTTTTTTTTTTTAATTTGAGATAGGGTCTCCCTCTATCACCCAGGCTGGAGTGAAGTGGTGCTATCATGGCTCACTGCAACCTCCACCTCCCTGGTTCAAGTGATTCTTGAGCCTCAGCCGCCCCAGTGGCTGGGGTTACAGGCACCCTGCACCACGCCCAGCTAACTTTTGCATTTTAGTAGAGACAAAACATTATTTTCAAGTACACTTGGAACATTCACCAAGATAGACCATATTCTGGGCCTTTATATTTAAAAAATGTTTAAAAATGTAGGTGATACATTCTCTGATCATAATGGAATTACACTAGAAATCAAGAAATCAGCCACGTGTGGTGGCTCACGCCTGTAATCCCAGCACTTTGGGAGGCCGAGGCAGGTGGATCACCTGAGATCAGGAGTTCGAGACCAGCCTGGCCAACATGGTGAAACCCTGTCTCTAATAAAAATACAAACATTATCTGGGCGCGGTGGCTGGTGCCTGTAATCCCAGCTACTGGGGAGGCTGAGGCAGGAGCATCGCTTGAACCCAGGAGGCAGAGATTGCAGTGAGCTGAGATCTTGCCACTGCTCTCCAGCCTGGGTAACAGAACGAGACTCCATCTCAAAAACAAAAACAAACAAACAAACAAAAGTTTAAAAATACAAAAATTAGCCAGGCGTGGTGGCACAGGCAGGAGAATCACTTGCACCTGGGAGGTGGAGGTCGCAGTGAACCAAGATCGCACCACTGCACTCCAGCCTGGGCAACAGAGGGAGACTTGGTCTCAAAAGCAAACAAACAAACAAAAAACAATTTGATTAAATTGGTTGATAGTGTTGTTCAGCTCTTTTATGTCCTTGCTGATTTTTCTTTCTTTTTTTCTTTTTTTTTTTTTGAGATGGAGTTTTGCTCTTTTTGCCCAGGCTGGAGTGCAATGGCACAATCTCGGCTCACCGCAACCTCCACCTCCCGGGTTCAAGTCATTCTCCTGCCTCAGACTCCCGAGTAGCTGGGATCTGGGATTACAGGCATGCACCACCATTCCCGGCTAATTTTTTGTATTTTTAGTAGAGACAGCGTCTCACCAGGTTGGCCAGCCTGGTCTCAAACTACTGACTTCAGGTGATCTGCCCACTGCAGCCTTCCAAAGTGCTGGGATTACAGACATGAGCCACCGTGCCCAGTCCTTGCTGATTTTCTGTTTTATCATTTACTGAAAGAAGAGAGTTGATATCCGCAAGTATAATGGTGACTTTATTTCCCTTTTTAGATCATTTTTGCATTATATATTTAGGAACTTTATAAGCGCGTACACATTCAGAATTGTCATGTCTTCTTGATGAATTAACCCTTTAATCATCATATAATGTCCTTTTTTCTCTGATAATTTTTTTCTTGTTCTAAATCTACTTGTTATCAATATAATCATTTCAACTTTTAAAAAATTTTTATTTTATTAAAAAAAATATTTTGGCCTGGCATGGCAGCTCACCCCTGTAATCCCAGCACTTTAGGAGGCCGAGGCGTGCAGATCACGAGGTCAGGAGATCGAGACCATCCTGGCTAACATGGTGAAACCCCGTCTCTACTAAAATACAAAAAAAATTAGCTAGGTGTGGTGGTGGGCGCCTGTAGTCCCAGCTACTCGGGAGGCTGAGGCAGGAGAATGGCGTGAACCCGGGAGTGGAGCTTGCAGTTAGCCAAGATTGCCCCACTGCACTCCAGTCTAGGCGACAGAGCAAGACTCTGTCTCAAAAAAAAAAAAAAATTTTGCAGAGACAGGGTCTCCTGTATTACCCAGGTTGGTCTTGAACTCCTGGGTTCAAAGGATCCTCCCACCTCAGCCTCACAGAGTGCAGGGATTACAGGCGTAAACCACCATGCCTGGCCTTGTATGTCAATTCTAATGGCTGGGTGTGTGTGTGTGTGTGTGTGTGTGTGTGTGTGTGTGTGTGTGTGCTGGCATCTATTGATTGTTTTTTTCTTTGAGATTTGGTGAGATTTTCCTTGTTGAGTAACTTTGTGTTGTATCCTGGGCATTTAAAATATTGTCTGGTGGCCGGGCGCGGTGGCTCACTTCTGTAATCCCAGCACTTCGGAAGGCCGAGGGCAGATCACCTGGGGTTGGGAGTTTGAGACCAGCCTGACCAACATGGAGAAACCCCGTCTCTACTAAAAATACAAAATTAGCCGGGCGTGGTGGTGCATGCCTGTAATTCCAGCTACTCAGGAGGCTGAGGCAGGAGAATCGCTTGAACCTGGGAGGCCGAGGTTGTGGTGAGCCAAGATTGCGCCATTGCACTCCAGACTGGGCAACAACAGCAAAACTCCGTCTCAAAAAAAAAAATAAATAAAAATAAATAAATAAAATAAAATATTGTCTTGTGGCCAGGTGTGGTGGTTCATGCCTGTAATCACAGCAATTTGGGAGGCCAAGGCGGGTGGATCACCTGAGGTCAGGAGTCAAGACCAGCCTGGCCAGCATGGTGAAACCCCATCTCTACTAAAAACACAAAAAATGAGCCGGGTGTGATGGTGGCAGCCTGTAATCTCAGCTACTCCAGAGGCTGAGGCAGGAGAATGGCTTCAACCTGGGAGGCGGAGGTTGCAATGAGTTGAGATCGTGCCATTGCACTCCAACCTGTCCAACCTGAGCAACAAGAGTGAAACTCTGTCTCAAAAAAAGTAATAAATAATAAATAAATAAATAAAATATTGTCTTGTGAGACTCTGGGTCCTGTTAAAAGCCTGTGAAGGACCCAGCACAGTGGCTTGCACCCATCATCTCAGCACCTTGGGAGGCTGAAGTGGGAGGATCGCTTGAGCCTAGGAGTTTGAGATCAGCCTGGGCAGCATGATGAAACCTTGTCTCTATGAAAAATACAAAAAAAAAAAAAAGGCCAAGTGTGGTGGCTCATGCTTGTAATTCCAGCACTTTGGGAGGCCGAGGCGGGTGGATCACGAGGTCAGGAGATCGAGACCATCCTGGCTAACACGGTGAAACCCCATCTCTACTAAAAATACAAAAAAATTAACCGGGCGTGGTGGCGGGCACCTGTAGTCCCAGCTACTCGGGAGGCCGAGGCAGGAGAATGGCATGAACCTAGGAGGCGAAGCTTGCAGCGAGCCGAGATCACTCCACTGCACTCCAGCCTGGGTGACAGAGCGAGACTGCATCTCAAAAAAAGAAAAATACAAAAAAAATTAGCCAGGCATGGTGGCACACACCTGTAGTCCCAGCTACTTGGGAGGCTGAGGTGGAAGGATTGCTTGAACCAGGGAGGTGGAGGCTGCAGTGAGCTGTTACTGCACCACTGCACTCCAGCTTAGGTGACAGAGTCAGACCCTGTCTCAATAATAATAATATTCATAATAATTTAAACAACAACAACAACAAAATACTCAAAATTCTCCTCACACTGTCTGGCTAACAGGGGCGTGTTTTCCTGGTTCTCTGGCCAGAATATTAAACTTTTCTTTTGAAGGTTTTTGCTGCTGGTGTCAAACACAGTTTCCTGATTCAGAGTCCTTTGGGTCAAGGCCAGAAAATACAGAAAGAAAATTCACCAGGAAACTTTCCACTGCCATGCTGGCTGTTCTTCAAATGTTGACTTCCTATGCCAATCTATTTTCTATTGTTTACTTTTCAGAGGTCCTCCTTAAGTAGGTGCTTTCTGTATTTGTCCAGAGTTTGATTTTTGTTTTTTGTTTTCTTTTTTCTTTTTTAGACGGAGGCTCGCTCTGCAGCCTAGGCTGGAGTGCAGTGGCACGAACTTGGCTCACTGCACCCTCTGCCTCCTGGGTTCAAGTGATTCTTCTGCTTCAGCCTCCCAAGTAGCTGGGATTACAGGTGCCCGCCACCATGCCCAGCTAATTTTTGTATTTTTAGTAGAGACAGTGTTTCGCCATGTTGACCAGGCTGGTCTCGAACTCCTGACCTCTAGTGATCCACCTTCCTTGGCCTCCCAAAGTGCTGGGATTACAGGCGTGAGCCACCGTGCCCAGGCTGTCCAGAGTTTTTTGTTGTAATCAGTGGGAGAGAGGGCTATGGTAGTCTTACTCCACTTTAGCCTTCATTCTCTCTCTCGCTCTTTTTTTTGGGGGGGCGGGGAACAGGGTCTCAGCTGGAGTGCAGTGGTGTGTGATCATGGTTCACTGTAGCCTCAACCTCCTGGGCTCAAACGATCCTTCCACTTTAGCCTCCCAATACCTGGGAGTACAGGCTTGTGTCACCATGCTCGGCTAATTTTTTTACTTTTTTTTGAGACAAGACCTCACTATGTTGCCCAGGCTGGTCTTGAACTCCTGGGATCAAGCAATCCTCATGCTTTGGCCTCGAAAAGTGCTGGGATTACAGGCGTGAGCCACCACACCCAGCCTTTCTCTTTTATTTTAATGTCTTTTTTCCTTTTGAGATAATTTTAGTCTTACAGAAGATGTAAAAATAGTACAGGGAGTTCCTGTATACCCTTCACCTGGCTTCCCCTTCTGTCAACATCTCAAACAGTGACAGAACATTTATCAAAACTAAGAAATTAACCTTGGTACATTACTATGAACTAAAGTACAGAAGTTTTTCGATTTCATCTGTTTTCCTACTTATGTCCTTTTTCTGTTCTGGGATCCAAACCAGGATCTTTTTTTTTCTTTCTTTTGTTTTTTTTAGACGGAGTCTTGCACTGTTGCCCAGGATGGAGTGCAGTGGTGCAATCTTGGCTCACTGCAAGCTCCACCTCCCAGGTTCAAGCCATTCTCCTGCCTCACCTCCCAAGTAGCTGGGACTACAGGCTCCCGCCACCATGCCTGGCTAATTTTTTTTTTTTTTTTTTTTTTTTTTTAAGTAGAGACAGGGTTTCACCATGTTAGCCAGGATGGTCTGGATCTCCTGATCTCACGATCTGCCCGCCTTGGCCTCCCAAAGTGCTGGGATCACAAGCGTGAGCCACCCCGCCCGGCCTAAACCAGATTTTTCTTTTCTTGTTTTTTCTTTTCAGACAGAGTCTCACTCTATGCCCCAGGCAGGAGTGTAGTGGCATGATCTCAGCTCATTGCAACCTCCGCCCCCCAGGCTCCAGCGATCCTCCCACCTCAGCCTTCTGAGTAGCCCGGACTACAGGAGTGAGCCCACCACACCCAGCTAATTTCTTGTATTTTTTTTGTAGAGACAGGGTTTCACCATGTTGCCCAGACTGTTCTCAAACTCCTGAGCTCAAGCAATCCTCCTGCTCAGGCTCTCAAAGTGCTGGGATTACAGGTGTGAGCCACCACACCCGGCACCAGCAGTCTTTTTCAATCTGTGACAGTTCCTCGGTCTTTCCTTCTTTTTTGTGACCTTGACACTTTTGAAGAGTCCTATTCAGCTGCTTGGTAGAATGTCTTTCAAGTTGGATTTGTCTGAGATTTTCTTGTGATCAAATTGAAGTCATGAATTATGGGGAAAATGTCACAGAAGTGGTGTCATGCCTTTCTCAGTGCATCCTTGCAGAGGCCCTGATGTTGACATGTATGACCACCAATGTTAACCTTGATCAGTTATCTAGGGCAGTATGTACTGGACTTCTCCACTGTAAAATTATTATTTTAGGCCGGGTGCGATGGCTCAGGCCTGTAATCCCAGTACTTTGGGAGGCCGAGGCGGGTGGATCACAAGGTCAGGAGTTCAAGACCAGCCTGGCCAACATGGTGAAACCCCGTCTCTACTAAAAATACAAAATTAGCTGGGCGTGGTGGTGTGCACCTTTAATCCCAGCTACTGGGGAGGCTGAAGCAGGAGAATTGCTTGAACCCGGGAGGTGGAGGTTGTGGTGAGCTGAGATTGCACCACTGCACTCCATCCTGGGTGATAAAGTGAGACTCCATCTCAAAAAAAAAAAATTATTTTACTCTGTGTAGTTATTAAATATACTTAGGGAGATACTTTGAAACTAAGAAAATATCCTTTTTCTGCTTGAAGTTTAACCCCTTGAATTGGGCATCCTTTGGTAGATCGTTATCTTCACTGTCAGTGCTTAGTAAGTTATAGTCATGATGATGATGACGATGATGATGATGAACTGGATCCTAGAAGAGCACTTGCCAGCCAGGTACCTGGAACTAGTTTTTCCTCTTGGAGCCTCACCTTTCTCATTCATAAAATGGGACAATCATGGATCTGACCTCACTGAGTTGTGGAGGTGTGTTGAACCGAGATACTGACAGCAAAACACCCAGCACAGGATTTGACACATAGCAGGGATTTTGGTTTGGGAATGTCATTGCTAGGGGACTGAATTGTGCAGGGTGGGAGGTGGCCATGTGGGGCACCAGGGGGCTCTGGGTGGGAATGATCCTGAAGCAATCCCTGCAATTGTCTGTAGTCAACAAGAGGGAGGAGGGTTGTCTCTGGAGGTCAGGAAGGGAGCCTGAGAGAGTTTCCAAACTAGACCAGCTTTCTGGAGGAGGTGAATTCAGAAAAATGAGACTTGGAAGACATCACTGGAAGTCATTTATGCAAAGTCTGGAGGTTGGAACAGAAAAGGGAGGTCATGGCAGGTAGGCACTAACTGAGCCCTCATGCAACAATAGGTTTTGGTGACCAAAGCCACTCTCAGTACCCCCTTCCAGGGCTGGGGACGAGGCTGCCAGGGGATGGCAGGTGCCTGAGTGCCCCTCTTCCCAATGTCAAGGCATATGCAGGATTATCCCAGAAACTCTACCCAGATGGATGAACGGAGTTGAACCCGAGTGTGGTGGGCATACATCTATTAATCCACTCTCTCATTTATTCAGCAAATATTTATTAAGCACCAACTATGTGCCAGGCTCTGGGCTGGACAGTGAGCACATGGCAGAGAACAGAGCAGTTCATGGAGCACCCATTCCAGAGACAGAAAACATGGTAAGCAATCAAATAAACATGATGGTTCTGGCTACAACAAATTACCATAACAAATGCTCCATAACAAATTACCCCAAAATTTAGTGGCTTAAAACGACAACCGTTTTACTATATCTCACAGATTCTGTGGGTCAGGGATTAAAGTGGAGCATAGTTGAATAATTCTTCTGTTCCCTGTTTTTGTTTTTATTTTTTTGAGTCAGAGTCTCACTCTGTAGCCCAAGATGGAGTGCAGTGGCATGATCTCAGTTCACTGCAACCTCCACCTTCCCAGGTTCAAGCAATTCTCCTACCTCAGCCTCCCAATTAGCTGGGATTACAGGCATGCACCACCATGCCTGGCTAATTTTTTTTTTTTTTTTGGAGACAGAGTTTTGCTCTTGTCACCCAGGCTGGAGTGCAGTGGCACGATCTTGGCTCACTGCAACCTCCCCCTCCCGGGTTCAAGAGATTCTCCTGCCTCAGCCTCCTGAGTAGCTGGGATTACAGATGTTTGCCACCATTCCCGGCTAAGTTTTTTGTATTTTTACAGGTGTGAGCCACGCGCCCAGCCGGCTAAGTTTTTTTGTATTTTTAGTAGAGATGGGGTTTCACCATGTTGGCCAGGCTGGTCTCCAACTCCTGACCTCAGGTGATCCACCCACCTCGGCCTCCCAAAGTGCTGCTATTAAAGGCATGAGCCATCACACCCGGCCCCCATCTCCTTTCAACCTGTTTTTTGTTGTTTCCTTCTTTATCACTATTCACATCTGTAATTGTCCTCTGGGCAAGGAACTGAACCTCTCTGAACACACTGCACTTAGAATAGCTTATTATCCTCATGACAGTTTTTGTTTGTTTGTTTGTTTTATAATTAGAGACAGGGTCTCATTATGTTACCCACTCCTGGGCTCAGGCTCAGGTGGTCCTGTCCCCTCAGCCTCCAAAGTAGCTGGGACTACAGATGCACCCTGGCACCCCGGCTTAGTTTCTTTTCTTTTCTTTCTTTGTTTTTTGTTTTTTGTTTTTTTTCTTTTTGAGACAAAGTTTCGCTCCTGTTGCCCAGGCTGGAGTGCAATGGCGCCATCTTGGCTCACCGAAACCTCCGCCTCCCGGGTTCAAGCGATTCTCCTGCCTCAGCCTCCAGAGGAGCTGGGATTACAGGCATGTGCCACCATGTCCGGCTAATATTTTTGTATTTTTTTTAGTAGAGACGCGGCTTCTCCATGTTGGTCAGGCTGGTCTCAAACTCCCGACCTTAGGTGATCCGCCTGCCTTGGCCTCCCAAAGTGCTGGGATTACAGGCGTGAGCCACTGCACCTGGCCATTTTATTTCTTAATGGCCTCAAATTTTTGACATTCTTCCTGTCAAAAGGGGGGTGTATGTCTCCTCCCTTTTGAACCTGAGAGGGCTTCTGTGACTGCTTGAACCAGTAGATTACAGCGAAATGGTGCTGTAATCCCAGCACTTTGGGAGGCTGAGCCAGGTGGATCAATTGAGCCCAGGAGTTTGAGACCAGCCTGGGCAACATGGTGAAACAAAAAATACAAAAATTAGCTGGGCATGGTGGCGTGCACCTGTAGTCCCAGCTACTTGGGAGGCTGAGGTGGGAGGATCACTTGAGCACTCTGAGAAGCCCTACTTGGAAGGACTGCTTGATCCCAGGAATTTGAGACTAGCCTGGACAACAAAGTGTGACCCCATCTCTACAAAAATGAAAAGAAAAAAAATTAGCCAGGCGTGATGGCACACACCTGTGGTCCCAGCTACATGGGAGGCTGAGGCGAGAGGATCACTTCAGTCCAAGAGTTCAAGGCTGAAGTGAGTCATGATTGCCCCACAGTACTCCAGCCTACAGAGTGAGGACCCTGTCTCAAAAAAAAAAAAAAAAAAAAAAAAAGAAGGAGATGGGATGGTCGGGGAAGACCCTCTGAGCCAACCTTTGGGCTGAAAGCTGAAGGACATGAAGATACGCAGGGTGTAGAATTTGAGGCACAGGCAAAGTCTCCCCAGTTATGAAAGAGCAACTGAAAGGAAACCAAAGTGACTGGAGGGGAGTGGCAAGGGGAGAGTTAGGGGAAGTGGGTGGATGTAGGCAGGAACCAGGCCTTACTGTGCCTTGTAGGCTATGGTAACAAATTAGGATTTTATTCCAAAAGTAACGAATGCCACAGGGAGCATTTAAGCAAGCAAGTGACGTGATCCTTGTATTTTTTAGAAGGATCTCTCTGGCTGTCATGTGGAGAATGAGGGGGAAATGGAAGCAGGGTGACTGAGGAGGCTATTGCAGTATCCCAGTGAGATGATGGGCACCAGGGTAATGGCCAAGGGGAAGGGCAGAAATGCGTAAATTTGGGATATATTTAAGAGTTAAGGCCGGGCATGGTGGCTCATGCCTCTAATCCCAACACTTTGTGAGGCTGAGGCAGGTAGATCACCTGAGGTCAAGGAGTTCGAGACCAGCCTGGACAACATGGTGAAACCCCATCTCCACTAAAAATACAAAAATTAGCCGAGCGTGGTGGCACATGCCTGTAATCCCAGCTACTCAGGAGGCTGAAGCAGTAGAATTGCCTGAACCTGGGAGGCAGAGGTTGCAGTGGGCCGAGATCCTGCCACTGCACTACAGCCTGGGCGACAGAGCAAGACACCATCTCAAAAAAAAAAAAGGCGGTAAGACCAGGCGCACTGGCTGACGTCTGTAATCCCAGCATTTTGGGAGGCCGAGGCAGGTGGGTCAATTGAGCCCAGGAGTTTGAGACCAGCCTGGGTAGCATGATGAAACAAAAAATACAAAAATTAGCCAGGTGTGGTGGTGCACACCTGTAGTCTCAGCTACTTGGGAGGCTGAGGTGGGAGGATCGCTTGAGCCCAGGAGACAGATGTTGCAGTGAATCAAGACTGCACCACTGCACTCCAGCCTGCGCCACAGAGTGAGACTTTGTCTTTGAGGGGGTGGAAAAAAAAGCATTAGAGTTGGCAGGACTTGGAGATGCAGTGAGTGTGAATGTGTATTTGTCTTGGGATGGTTTTTTCTTTTTTTTTTTTTTTTGAGATGGAGTCTCGCTCTGTCACCCAGGCTGGAGTGCAGTGGTGCAATCTCAGCTTACTGCAGCCTCTGCCTCCCAGGTTCAAGCAATTCTCCTGCCTCAGCCTCTCAAGTAGCTGGGACTACAGTTGCATGCCACCACGCCTGGCTAATTTTTGTATTTTTAGTAGAAATGGGGTTTCACAATGTCAGCCAGGATGATCTCAATCTCCTGACCTCGTGATCCACCCACCTCGGTCTCCTAAAGTGCTGGGATTACAGGTGTGAGCCACCACGCCCGGCGGGATGGTTTTCAAGGAGCATCCTGTGTTTCTAGTTTGCCCAGATTATTATTATTATTTTTTGAGACGGAGCCTTGCTCTGTTGCTCAGGCTGGAGTGCAGTGGCCAGATCTTGGCTCACTGCAACTTCCGCCTCCTGGGTTCAAGCAATTCTCCTGTCTCAGCCTCCTGAGTAGCTGGGATTACAGGCGTGCACCACCATGCCCGGCTAATTTTTGTGTTTTTAGTAGAGACAAGGTGTCACCATGTTGGTCAGGCTGGTCTCAAACTCCTGACCTCGTGATCCGCCCACCTCAGCCTCTCAAAGTGCTGAGATGACAGGTGTGAGCCCACCGTGCCCAGCTGCCCAGATTCTAAAACCAGCCTAGAAGACTATTTTAAGGGTAAAATACAGTCTTGTTCATCTTCAAAATGAGAAGGAAATATATTCTCATGCCTCACTCCCAGAATCACTTCCAAGGCTATGACCTTAGCCCAAGAGGCCAGGTCTGAGGGATCCTGGGCAAGTCACTGAACTTCTCCGGGCTTTCCTTTTCCTATCTCTACAATGAGTGCGCTGGGTTAAGCTGTATGTAAGGGACCTTCCAGTTCTGATTATTCTGTTTAATCAAAATAGACTCCAGTCCAACCTAGTAATGTTTAAATTGTGCATCACCTAGGATGCAGCCATCCTACTCCTTTTAACGCATATTCACTGAGGGCATTCAGAGCAGCACTGCTGATAACAGCAAAACCTATGAAACAATCCAAAGGTCCATCACAGGAGACTGGGGCAATAAATCATATAATAGAATACTACAAAGTGGGCTGGGTGCGGTGGCTCACGCCTGTAATCTCTGCACATTGGGAGGCCAAGGTGGCGGATCACCTGAGGTCGGGAGTTCGAGACCAGCCTGACCAAAATGGAGAAACCCCGTCTCTACTAAAAATACAAAATTAGCTGGGCATGGTGGCGCATGCCTGTAATCCCAGCTACTCGGGAGGCTGAGGCAGGAGAATCGCTTGAACCCAGGAGGCAGAGGTTGCGGTAAGCTGAGATCGTGCCATTGCACTCCAGGTTGGGCAACATGAGCAAAACTCCATCTCAAAAAAAAAAAAAAGAATACTACAAAGTGGTGGAAATGAATGAATGAAGGCAAGAAATCAACATGGATGACTCTCATGTAATTCATGTTGCATGAGAAAATCAGGTTGCAGAAAATTGCATATAATATGATTTTATTTATATAAAAGGCAAAACCAGGTAATATCAAGTAATGGATTGTTTAAGGATGCATACTTGTACATATGTGAAAAAAAATAAAAGAACAAGCAATTGATTAACACAAAGTTCTGGATAAGAGGTAAAATCTTATGGGGATTTTATCCTGAAGGGCAAACACAGGCTTCAAATGAACTAATATTCTATTTCAAGCAGAGAGGCTGGTACTTGTGTGTTTTATAGTTTTATATATATACATATATGTGTATATATACATATGTGTGTATATACATATATGTGTGTATATATACATATATACACATGTATACATGTGTATATACATATATACACATGTATACATATGTATATACATATATACATATATACACATGTATACATATGTATATACATATATACATATATACATACACATACATATATACATATATATACACACACATATATATACACACATATACACACACACACACACACACACATTTTTTTTTTTTTTTGAGACAGAGTCTTTGTTGCCCAAGCTGGAGTGCAGTGGCGCAATCTCGGCCTCCCAAAGTGCTGGGATTAAAGGCGTGAGCCACCGCACCTGGCCGGTTTTATTATTATCTTTAAACTGCAGACGTGTGATATCTGCTCTATTGTAGGTGTGATACATTTCACAATTGAAAAAAAGAAATTTCCAAGATTAGGCCAGGCGTGATGGCTCACACCTGTAATCCCAGCACTCTGGGAGGCCGAGGTAGGCAGATCACCTGAGGTCAGGAGTTCAAGACCAGCCTGGTCCACATGGTGAAACCCCATCTCTACTAAAAATACAAAAAATGAGCCAGGCTTGGTGGCGAGCCCAGATTGCGCCACTGCACTCTAGCCTGGGCGAAAGAGTGAAACTCTGCCTCAAAAACAAAAAACAAAAAACAAAAACAAAAACAAAAAACAAAATTAGCTTGAGCGCCGTGGCTCACGCCTGTAATCCCAGCACTTTGAGAGGCTGAGGCAGGCTTATCACCTGAGGTCGGAAGTTCGAGACCAGCCTGATCAACATGGAGAAACCCGTCTCTACCAAAAATACAAAATTAGCCAGGCGTGGTGGCTGGCGCCTGTAATCCTAGCTACTCGGGAGGCTGAGGCAGGAGAATCGCTTGAACCCAGGAGATGAGTTTGCAATGAGCCAAGATCGCGCCACTGCACTCCAGCCTGGGCTACAAAAAAAAAAAAAAAAAAAAAAAAGCCGGGAGCGGTGGCTCACGCCTGTAATCCCAGCATTTTGGGAGGCCGAGGCAAGCGGATCACGAGGTCAGGAGATCGAGACCACGGTGAAACCCCGTCTCTACTAAAAATACAAAAAAATTAGCCGGGTGCGGTGGCGGGCGCCTGTAGTCCCAGCTATTGGGGAGGCTGAGTCAGGAGAATGGCGTGAACCCGGGAGGCGGAGCTTGCAGTGAGCCGAGATCGAGCCACTGCACTCCAGCCTGGGCGACAGAGCCAGACTCCGTCTCAAAGAAAAAAAAAAAGAAAAGAAAAGAAAGAAGAAAGAAAAGAAAAAGAAAAAGAAAAGAAATTTCCAAGATTAGCCCAAGATCTCCTCCTTTAAAAGGGAAGGAATGCCGGGCACGCTGGCTCACGCCTGTAATCCCAGCACTTTGGGAGGCTGAGGCGGGCGCATCACGAGGTCAGGAGATCGAGACCATTCTGGCTAACACGGTGAAACCCCCTCTCTACTAAAAATACAAAAAATTAGCTGGGCGTGGTGGCGGGCGCCTGTAGTCCCAGCTACTCCGGAGGCCGAGGCAGGAGAATGGCGTGAACCCTGGAGGCGAAGGTTGCAGTGAGCCGAGATCGTGCCACTGCACTCCAGCCTGGGCGACAGAGCGAGACTCCATCTCAGAAAAAAAAAAAAAAAAAGGGAGGGAATGAGGCTCATAGGGGGTTGTCACAAGCAAGGAAGAGGAAAGAGGATGAGAGAATGGGGGAAACGGTAGCCAAAGGGGGCCTGAGAGAAGGGGCTGAGGGTTTACATGTGCGCAGAACTCTTCACTCTCCTAACACGCTTGCAGCTCTGACTGCAGTTCCCAAGGCGTCCACTAGAGGCCACCAAGGCATCAGCCTCCGCCTCTCGCCGCAACCAGGCCGCCTTTCTCGCCCACGGTGGCATAGCCCGGGCTCTGCCCGGGAGGGGGCGCTGGTGGCCAAAGGAAGACGGGGGCGGGCACAGCGCCTGCGTTTGCAGCTGCATGAGACCAGGTGCTCTGGAAAGCGCTGGCCCGCTTCCCAGCTCTTCTCTGCCGCCCAGAGATTTTAGGGTCTCAAACCCAAAAACCGGGCCGGACAGGGTGGCTCACGCCTGTAATCCCAGTGCTTTGGGAGGCAGAGGCGGGAGGATTGCTTGAGCCCAGGATTTTGAGGCCAGCCTGGGCAACCATGCAAGACCCCGTCTCTATTAAAACAACAACAGGCCGGGCCCGGTGGTTCACGCCTGTAATCTCAGCACTTTGGGAGGCCGAGGCGGATGGATCACCTGAGGTCAGGCGTTGGAGACCATCCTGGCCAACATGATGAAATCCCGTCTCTACTAAAAATACAAAAAATTAGCTGGACGTGGTGGTGCACGCCATAGTCCCAGCTACTCGGGAGGCTGAGGCAGAAGAATCGCTTGAACCCAGAAGGCAGAGGTTGCAATGAGTCGAGATTGCGCCACTGCACTCTAGCCTGGTGACAGAACGAGACTTTGTCTCACAATTAAAAAAAAAAAAAAAATTAGCTGGGCGTGGTGGCAGGCACCTGTAACCCCAGCTACTTGGGAGGCTGAGGCAGGAAAATCGCTTGAACCCAGGAGGCGGGGGTTGCAGTGAGTTGAGATGGTACCATTGCACTCCAGCCTGGGTGACAAGGAGGAAACTGTCTCAAAAAATATATAAATAAATAAAAATAAATTAATAAAATAACAAAACAAACCCAAGCAACGAACAGCACCCACAGACACGATTCTTTGTCTTCTGCAGCTATGCCTTCAAGCTTGGGCCCTGCTCGGTCTCGTCTATATATAAAGAAGAGGATCTAGGTTTGTGCAGCCTCTAAGGAAAAGAATACAACATTTTGCAAATCTTGCAAAACACACAGAAATCATGCTAACACATGGCTGATACTCTTTCCATGTGAGGAGGCTTGAAGTTTAAGCTTAAGTAATTTCCAGGTAAATGCACCTCTGATTACACATCTGCATATTTATCTACTGCGTGTCTCCCACTAAGAATGTAAGTTCCAAGACTGCAAGAATTTGTATCTGAATTGTTAACTCCTGGGGCCCGGTTCCTAGTATATTGTAGAAGCTTTATAAACTATTTGTTGAAAGAACCAGTTGGGGCTAGTTTCACAGGTAGAAGTACAATGGCCTAGCCTGAGGCTTGAGGAGTGCAAAGGTTTGGGATGATATCACTGAAACCTCAAAACGGTGAGTATAACACCCATTTAAAAGCTGGGAATGAGGCTGGGCGACATGGTGGCTCACACCTGTAATCCCAGCACTTTGGGAGGCCAAGGCGGGCAGACCACGAGGTCAGAAGGTCAAGACCAACCTGGCCAACACGGTGAAACCCCGTCTCTACTAAAAACACAAAAATTAGCTGGGCGTGGTGGCACGTGCCTATAACCCCAGCTACTTGGGAGGGTGAGGCAGGAGAATCACTTGAACCTGGGAGACACAGGTTGCAGTGAGCTGAGCTCCTGCCACTGCACTCCAGGCTAGCAAGAGAGGGAGACTCTGTCTCAAAAAAAAAAAAAAAAAAAAAATGCTGGGGATGGCAGGGTGCAGTGGCTCACACCTGTAATCCCAACAATTTGGGAGGCCAAGGCAGGTGGATCACCTGAGGTCAGTAGTTCGAGACCAACCTGGCCAACATGTAGAAACCCTGTCTCTACTAAAAATACAAAAATTGCTGGGCGTCGTGGTGCACACCGGTAGACTCAGCTACTGGAGGGGCTGAGGCAGGAGAATTGCTTGAACCCAGGAGGCAGAGGTTGGCAACAGAGTGAGACTCCGTCTCAAAAAAAAAAAAAAAAATGCTGGGGATCCTAAGAGCCCAGGAGGTGAAGCAGGTGCCCAACCAGAAGTGGCACTGGGCCTAGAACCCGCATTTGCCTTGCCTCTTGCCCTGCCTTTGCTCCCAGCCACTGTCCTCCCTTTAACCCCCCTTGCACAAGGCCTTGATGCAACCCTGTACTGGCCTGGGGCACCCTGCTTGAGGACAGCGTTGGGAACGAGGTTTTGCAAGAGTTGCAGCAGGAAGCAGCACCAGCCAGGGCAGGTCCAGGGAGATAAGGGCACCCTCGCCCCTCCCTGTGCTCCTCCTGGCCTTCTGGTTTCCTCTTCCCTTCCCTTTCCTGGAAAGTGGCGCCTGCCTGGACCCTGGCCCCAGCCTCGCCCAGCTCCTGGCCTGGCCCTGTGACTCACCTCCTTTCTTTCCGGCAGCCATGCTAGGATGTGAGACCTGCCTGCCACCAGGAAGCCCTGCTGTGTGTGACACTGGGCAGCAGGGAGCTCTCTCTGGCTGGCAGTTCCTGGTGCTCAATAAGAGTGACTGGCATGGGTCGGGTGTGGTGGCTCACGCCTGTAATCCCAGCACTTTGGGAGGTTGAGGAGGGCTGATCACCTGAGGTCAGGAGTTCGAGGCCAGCCTGGGCAACATGGTGAAACCCCGTCTCTACTAAATATATAAAAATTAGCCAGATGTGGTGGTGCGCGTCTGTAATCTCAGCTACTCAGGAGGCTGAGGCATGAGAATTGCTTGAACCCGGGAGGCGGAGGTTGCAATGAGCCAAGATCACGCCACTGCACTCCAGCCTGGGCGACAGAGCGAGACTCTGTCTCAAAAAAAAAAAAAAAAAAAAAAAAAGAGCCGGGCACGGTGGCCTCATGCACTTTGGGAGGCTGAGGAGGGTAGATCACCTGAGGTCAGGAGTTCGAGAGCAGCCTGGCAAACATGGTGAAACCCTGTCTCTACTAAAAATACAAAAATTAGCTGGGCGTGTTGGCATATGCCTGTAATCCCAGCTTCTTGGGAAGCTGAGGCAGAAGAATTGCTTGAAACTGGGAAGCGGAGGTTGCGGTTGAGTCGAGATCGCCCCATTGCACTCCAGCCTGGGTGACGAGGAAAACTGTCTTAAAAAAAAAAATAGACATTCCCCAATATGGGTTGCAAAAATTGTGATATGTGTATATTTCTTGCATTTATCTGAGTTATGCTTTTAAAACAAATAAATATAATGACCAGGTATGATTTCAGTTGGAAATAAGATGAAAGGCTTTATAAACTGGACATACTGTGGGAACATGAGGCCCCTCATAAACCTGATTTAGACAAGTCTGATTTCTGGAAAGTCCTCTAAGGTAATGTGCAATGTGGCCTTGGGTGGGTCACCTCACCTCTTTGATGCCTCCGTTTTCTCATCTGAAAAGTGAACACAGGCCGGGCACGGTGGCTTACATCTGTAATCCCAGCTCTTCGGGAAGCTGAGGTGGGCAGATCCCTTCAGGTCAAGAGTTCGAGACTAGCCTGGCCAACATGGTGAAAACCCTTTTCTACAAAAAAAATACAAAAATTAGCTGGGCATGGTGGCACGTGCCTGTAATCCCAGCTACTCGGGAGGCTGAGGCAGGAGGATCACTTGAACCTGGGAGGTGGAGGTTGCAGTGAGCCAAGATGGTGCCACCGCACCCCAGCCTGGGCAATAGAGGGAGACTCTGTCTCAAAAAAACCAAAAAAGTGAATATACCAGTAGGCCCACACCTGGTAGGGCTGTTGAGACAATCCGCTCAAAACACTTTATTGCAATATGCACTAAGTATCTACCATGAGCCTGTGCTATGCTTTTTAGGTGCATTGGTTCAATTAATCCTTGAAGCCCAGGTTCTGAAGCCCGTTTTCCAAAAAAGAAGAGGCTCTGACAGGTGAAGTGATGAGCATCAAGGTTGATTCTGGGCTTGTGTTCTACCTGCCTCCCTACTAAAATGTTAGCCTATTACTCTTGTTGTAGTGGTGGTGGTTGCTCTTATTAAAATGAGCATATGATGATAGCACTGGCCTCGTTAACAAGTTCTGACGATTAAATGAATTGATATTGTAAAGAGTTTAGCATGGTGCCCAGCACACAATAAGCTCTCTGTATTTCTTAAATAAAATTAACAGTACAGCCCCGGAAAGGCAGAGTCCAGTGCCCAAGAAACTTGGTCCTCGGGTTTCTCGGCATCTTCCACCCCAGCTCCTGGCTTCGTCCTGTCCAGGAGGGGTTAAGGAGTTAATGATTTCCAAAGGAGCAGGGTTTTGTGTGTTACATGCACACACACCGGTGGCCTCTGTCCCCCCTCCCTCTGCGAGGCCCGGAGCCTCTTATGCAAGCCGCCGGCGCCCGCCGGTTCCCAGGCCCGGCTGCAGCTGGGGGCGGAGGGGCAGGGCGGGGGCGGCGCGCTGTTTGTCTAGCGCGGCTGTGCCAAAGGCTGCGGGCCCCAGACAGCCAGGCGCCTCCGTACACCTGGGGATGCTCAGGTTAAATAGCTCCGCATTCCTCGGGCCCAGCTGATGGAAACGCTCCCAGGCCGCCGCGGAGCCGGCCTCCAGATGGGCTGGGTCTGGGCCAAAGGGGAACAGAGGGAAACGTGGAATCCAGAGTGTGCCTGAATGGCGGGGGAGGTGGCCCAGGCCCCCGCCGCAGCCCCTTCCTCCCCTGGAAAAAGGCCCTGCATGTCGGAGTACGCGAGGGGGAACCCGCTCAGACCCCGTGGGTGGGCTTGCAGGCGGGGGCCCACACGTGAGAGTGCGTGCGTGCACACGTGTGCCTCCGAGGACACTCCAAGGACTCACAGGCGACAATAATAATTTATAACTATGAAACATTCTGTGCCAAGCACTGTGCTAAACGTTTTACACACTTACTTTATTTCATTTATTCTGTACTACATTCCGTGAGGTTAGTACTGTAATACAGCAGCCGGTGGGGAGGAGGTAGCAAAGAACATAATTCGCCTGCAAGTACTGGGTTCTTCGATAAAATCCATAAACTGTGGAGGGGGTGTACCTGGCTTAATGTTAGTGCTCAAATCATAATCTTTCATTTGATTTTTTGTTCATCCCCTCTCTGAGCTTGTTCCTTCTGCTGTAAAACTGGGATCACAGTCTTGCCTTTAGCCCCACAGGGATCCATGAAATCGTTTTTGTAAAGGGTTCAGTTGAGCAGAGCCAGGCTTCTGGTGCTAAGGGCTATTGATTTTATTCTATTGTTTATTGACAAAATATATTAATAGCCCTTACCTGTCTGGGACAAGTTCTTTGTCATTCCTGGGACTCAGTTTCTCCATATGTAATACAGGGGGGTTTACCTGGCAGCAATCCTTGAGGGTTGGTGCCCCCAGGACCTAACGATAGCCCAGGGAGTTGCCACGTGAACTTTTGAGGAAGGGTTTGCCCAAACACAGCTGTCCCCACCTTCACTCCAGACCCGCAGAGGCCCAGGAATGCCAACCAATCTATAGAACAGTTATACACACAGAAACCCACAGTGTGGTTCTGTGGCCCCCAGACACACAAACCCATCCATCATGCCAGACCCATGCAGAGATGCCTACAATGCATTTAGGCAGAACACACAAGCCCAAACAGCTGGAGGTTCCACACTTATCTGCAGAACACATGTGCTCTCATTTGCCCTTCTGCACACACCCCCAAGCATACTCCTACTTACACCCCCTCCCCCAAGCCTATATGTGAACAGTTGGCCCATCCCCACTGTGGGAGTAGTGGGGGAAGATCAGCTTACTCCTGTTACATACACAGGCGTAGACACTCATACATGCTCCCCTGAGTAGAAATCCACATACATGTCCAGGAAGATTCTTAGACCCTTGCCAATGACATATTTTTCCTGCTCAGGAGCTGGGTAATGAGACTCGTCCACTCCTCAGATCCTACGCAGGAGCCCCGGGGTTGGTGGGGGAGATTTGTTTGAACTGCCGACAGAGCCAGGCCAGAGTGAGGAGGCCGAGTCTGGACCCAGAGCAGGTGTCTCGGCAGCTGTGCCCAGCCTGGCCCTGCCAACTTGCTCACCCACTTGGATGAGCCAGGAGCCCCAGGGCTGCCTGCTGGAACCCAGAGGTAGGCTGTTGGGGGAGGCACCTCCAACTGGGGAATGGGGTGATAGAATCACTGCCTCTCACAAGCTATGGCCCTAAGCAAGTCCCTTTCCACTGGGTCTCACTTTATCCACATCTTGGCAAGGAAGTGGGTGGTCCAGCGGCCAGGTTCTCCAACTTAAATGGCTTGCTCAATACTCCCAATACAGAGGGGGCCCTGGCAGGTTCATCTGCATTTTAACAACCTCCCCAGGTGATCTAGATGGCCCAATGATCACTGTGAGAAACCCCAGAGGTCTGGAGTATTTAGTTTTATAACACTGGGGAGCAGGGAAATGGGCAGGGATGGTGGGGGAAGAATAGACTTTAAAGACACCGGAAACACTCATTCAGGCCGGTAAGAGCAACAATCCAGATGTAGCCCTCCAATTCTCCTCCCAGAACCAGCTGTGAAGAGGGTCAGGGGTCAACCCCCAGCCCAGGCCCCTCCCCTCAACCCAAGAAGTCACTACAACTTTACCACCATCTAAATTATTTGTTTAATAACAAAAAAACAGCCCCACAGAACTATTGTAAAACAATATTTTCAGTCGGTGATCATTGTAATATACAATACAAAGCAATTTCCTCAGAAATCTGAGAAGCACCAAACGTGACCATTTTTTAAAATGTCTGCTTTTCAAAAAATAGAAACACACGAGTGGAATCCCACCCCCTAAAGTCTCTGGTGACTAGTAGGTGTGCAGAGAGGAGCGCCCTCTCCTCGCCAGTGCCTCAGCCTCAGCCCCAGGCTGGATGCAGTTAAGGGCGCAGTGGCCGCCGATCGGTCTTGTTCTCCCTCAGATCCGGCGAGGCGCGTTGGGGGAGACCCACAGAGCACGTAATTCCTCTTGCCCCCTGGATGGCTGGGGTCCGCCGGTCCCTGGGGGAGGCGCTTCAGCGACACAAGATGCGATCGTCCGCAGGAACGCATGCCGCCTGTGAAAACGAGAAGAAATGAGACCGGCGGGTTGGAAGGGACGCCGCTCCGAGCGCAGCGAACGCCCCCTTCCCCAGGAAGCACGACGGGGGAGCGCTTTTTCCAGGCTCCTTAGGCACCCCCGCATAGCCAGGTACCCGCAAGGATGGGACGGAAGTGGTGCAAGCGCCCACGCCCTCTCTGGCCTCCGTTTCCCCGTCGGTATAAGGATGATCTAGTGGTCGGATCTGGATCTCACCTCGGCCGTCAGGGCGCTGATCTCGCCGTTGAGGGTGCTGAGCGGAGCCCGGACCGGCAGCCCTCGGCCCCCGGGGGTTCCAACTTCGGATTCCGAGTTCAGCTCCAACTGAAGGTCCCTGATGTAGTCGATGACGTGCTGGAGAATCTCCACCTTGCTCACCTTGCGGTTCTGGGGCAGGGTGGGCACCAGCTCCTTGAGGCGTGAGTAACAGCCGTTCATGTCGTAGAGCAGCACGTTTACCTGCTGCTCGTCCAGCAGGGCAGGCAGGCGCGCCCCGGCGCCCCCGGCGCAGCGCGAGATGGCCACGCTCTGCTCAGACAGACAGCGCACCACCTCGCCCGCACCGCTCGCTGTCTTGCCGGCCTTCAGCGCGCAGCTGGGGCCCGCGGCGGCGGTGGCGGTGCTGCCACTGGCGACTTTCATGATTCTTGGCGACTGGCTGAAACAGAATGGGCAAAGCGAAAAAAATGAGGTGGAAGCCCGAAGCAGATACGGAAAATGGAACAGTTAAGAACGTGGAATGAGAGTGCGGAGCCACAGCTTGTCTTTTATAAACACGCCACGGCCCCCGGAGGGGCGGGCTCAGAACGTTCAAAAGCAGCCAATGGGCGGCATGGGGGCGTGACCCGCGCTCCTAGGTCCAGCCTCCTGCTCGTCTAGTGCCTGCTCGCAGTGTGGAAAGACGACCCGGGTTTCAGAACAGCAAGGGTGGGTCGGTGGCAGGGCACCGGGCAGGGCAGCGGGTAGAGGCGAGGGCCGCACTGGGCTCCTCTGGAAGGAGGCAAGGAAGCTAAGCAGGCATTGCCTTATAATGAAAAGACCTCAGGAATCAGTTTTTCCCATATTCACTTTCTCACTTCTCCAGCTCCATTTCACAGATGAGAGAAATTGAGGCCCGAACGGAGAAGCGGCTGGCTCTGGATAGCCCAGAGAGCCTGGGTTTCCGGACCCTCTTGGAAGATGCTTCTCGGACCCTGATCTACAAATATCAGGACCGAAATTTAAAGCGGGCGCTCCTTTACATCTGCTCCCCTGGGCTTTCTCAATTCCTAAATAATGTTGCTGTTCGTGTTCCTGAGACCCGGAGGGCCTACCCAGATCCCTCCCGGGTGGGAGCAATTAATTCGGGAAAGTCTAGTAAGTTTGGGGCTGGGTGGCTGGGAAGTGAACTAGATAGAGCGCAGTGGAGTGAGGCTGCATTCGATTCCACCTTGAATTTGCAGCTCCTTGCAAAAATTTCCTGAACCTGCAACAGTTCGTGATTTTTTAATGTTTTTTCCCATTTTTGGCTGCTTTTTAAATTTTCTTCTCAAAGACCTCAGAGCAGGGTCTCCCTCCCACGGCGCGGCAGCTGCGGAGCTACAGTCTCCCCCCTCCCTTCCCGGGCCGGTCTGTGTCAGCGTCTGAACCAGCGGCTCAGACCGTTAGACGCCAGGCCTGTGACGTCACCCATTCATAAAACCCGGACGGACTGTCAGGCTGGCGCCGCGCGGGCGGTCGCCATGGAGACGACAAACTGGTCTAGCTAGTTCCCGTGCTCCCCCCAGCCCGTCACCTGCAGACCCCGGGCGGGAGGCCTGGGAATGCGTTTCTTGCGGGCGCGGTCGCTGAGCAAGGGTCACCTTACCTCCCCGCCCCACACCTGCGAGTCTCCCAACCCAGACCCACAGCTTGGGCCGCTTGGGGTTTCTTCACCGCTCCCCCCACCTCTCCGCCCCAGCTACCCCTTCCAGCGTGGGGAAAAAGGCCTGAGTTCTCTTTCCAGCTCTGCAGCTGAGTGAATTCAGGCGGGTCGCATGCCCTCTCTGAGCCCTAATATTTAATATCTGCTTGGTGTTTAAATAATAATCACAAACGTGACCATTATTAATTTCTTACTTTGTACAGCGGGCACTGTATGAAGAGTTTGTCTTGATCATCTTTTTTCATTTATTTCTTATTTTAAAAAATGAAGGGCTGCGCGGTGGCTCACGCCTGTAATCCCAACAATTTGGAAGGCCGAGGCGGGTGGATTGCCTGAGGTCAGGAGTTCGAGACCAGCCTGACCAATATGGTGAAACCCCATCTCTACTAAAAATACAAAAATTAGCCGGGCATGGTAGCGTTCGCCTGTAATCCCAGCTACTCGGGAGGCTGAGACAGGAGAATTGCTTGAACCTGGGAGGCGGAGGTTGCAGTGAGCCGAGATCGCACCACTGCACTCAAGCCTGGCGACAGAGTGAGACTCGTCTCAAAAAAAAAAAAAAAAAAAAGGATACAGGGGGCCGGGCGCAGTGGCTCACGCCTGTAATCCCAGCACTTTGGGAGGCCGTGGTGGGCAGATCACGAGGTCAGGAGTTCGAGACCAGCCTGACCAACATGGTGAAATCCCGTCTCTACTAAAAATGAAAAATTAGCCAGGTGTGGTGGCGCGCACCTGTAATACCCCAGCTACTCAGGAGGCTGAGGCAGGAGACTCGCTGGAACCCAGGAGGCGGAGGTTGTAGTGAGCCGAGATTATGCCACTGCACTCCAGCCTGGGCGACAGAGTGGGACTCTGTTTCAAAATAAAATAATAATGATACAGGGTCTTACTCTGTCACCCGGCTTGATCAACTTCTGTAGTCTTTTTCACAACTCTAAAGAAAGGAGCTCTTTGGTTTCTTTATACAAAGGAAACTGAGGCTCCACACGACGCCTAAGTCATAACCATAGTTGTGTTATTATAAGGAGGGTACAGTGTTGTAATGCAACCGCTTCCTGCTGAGAGCAGGCAGTCTGACTGCAGAGTCCTGGACATGCCACAGGTGGGGAAACCGAAGCTCAGATTAGTCACCCAAAGCCACACAACATTAGCAGGGGTAAAAATCTGTGCTCACCAGTGGAGGGTGATATTATGGTCCCTCCCTGCTCCGCTCCACCGCACTACCCCGCAGCAATTAATTCACTGAGTTATCAGCAGGTTCCGTTTTCCCACAGAAGTTCGGGGGATGAGGGAAAAGTAAAGGAGCCTTCTGCCTCCACATCAGGAAACCAGGAAAACCAAACCAATCAGTGAGACCAGCTTCAAAAGAGAGAGACATCATCAATTAATTAGCCAGACTCCTCATCCCCTTACCACACACACCAAAACTCTCTAAACTCCCTACGCCTTGTTTAGCAATCCTAAATTAATGATGGGAGGGAATAGTTTGCTGCTCAAAAGAATTGCCAAATAATTGGAAGAACAACAGTCAACCAGAGGAAATTAGAGTATTAATTCATCACCAAGTGTTTATTTTTGTTTATTTTTGAGGCAGAGTCTCGCTCTGTTGCCCAGACTGGAGTGCAGTGGCGCGATCTCAGCTCACTGCAACCACCACCTCCTGAGTTCAAGTCATTCTCCTGCCTCAGGCTGGGATTACAGGCACCCACCACCACGCCCATCTAATTTTTGTATTTTTAGTGGAGACGGGGTTTTGCCATGTTGCCTAGGGTGGTCTCAAACTCCTGACCTCAGGTGATCCGCCCGCCTTGGCCTCCCAAAGTGCTGGGATTACAGGCATGAGCCACCGTGCCTGGCCATCACCAACTATTTATTTATTTTTTTTTGAGATAGAGTCTCAGACTGTCACCCAGGCTGGAGTGCAATAGCACAGTCTTGGTTCACTGCAACCTCCGCCTCCTGGGTTCAAGCGATTCTTCTGCCTCAGCCTCCCAAGTAGCTGGGATTACAGGTGCCCGCCACCACACCAGGCTAAATTTTTTGTCTTTTTAGTAGAGACGGGGTTTCACTATGTTGGCCAGGCTGGTCTCAAACTCCTGACCTTGTGATCTCTCCACCTCAGACTCCCAAAGTACTGGGATTACAGGCGTGAGCCACAGTGCCTGGCCTTCAACTGTGAATTAATTGATCCAGCAATTCTGTTTACTGCAATGAATTCCAGAGAAACCAGCTTGGCCAACATAGCAAAACCCAGTCTCTACTAAAAATACAAAAATTAGCCAGGTGTGGTGGTGGGCGCCTGTAGTCCCAAGTACCTGGGAGGCTGAGGCAGGAGAATCATTTGAACCCAGGAGGTGGAGGTTGCAGAGAGCCGAGACCAAGCCACTGCACTCCAGCCTGGGCGACAGAGTGAGATTCTGATTCAAAAAAATAAAAATAAGAGAGAAAATTATGCTGTAGAAATTAATTCAGGGCCAGGCGCAGTGGCTCACGCCTGTAATCCCAGCAGTTTGTAAGGCCAAGCCAGGTGGATAACCTGAGGTCAGGAGTTCGAGATCAATCTGGCCAACATGGTGAAACCTCATCTCTACTAAAAATAGAAAAATTAGCAGGGCGTGGTGGTGCACACCTGTAATCCCAGCTACTTGGGAGGCTAAGGCAAGAGAATTTCATGAACCCAAGAAGTGGAGATTGCAGTGAGCCAAGATGCCACCACGGCATTCCAGCCTGGGTGACAAAGCAAGACCCTGTCTCAAAATATAAATACATAAAATAAATAAAATGACATAGTATTTGTATAAAACCTATGCATATCCTTCTATCCACTTTTTTTTTTTTTTGAGACGGAATCTCGCTCTGTCACCCAGGCTAGAGTGCAATGGCACGATCTCCGCTCACTGCAACCTCTACCTCCCAGATTCAAGCAATTCTCCTGCCTCAGCCTCGCGAGTAGCTGGGATTACAGGTGCCCACCACCACACCTGGCTAATTTTTGTATTTTTAGTAGAGATGGGATTTCGCCACATTAGCCAGGCTGGTCTCGAACTCCTGACCTCAGGTTATCCGCCCTTTTCCACTTCCCAAAAATGCTACACTTGCAGGCGTGAGTCACCGCGCCCGGTCTTTTTTTGTTTTTGTTTTTTGTTTTTTGAGACACAGTCTCGCTCTGTCCCCAAGGCTGGAGTGCAATGGCACGGTCTCGGCTCACTGCAACCTCCGCCTCCCGGGTTCATGACATTCTCCTGCCTCAGCCTCCTGAGTAGCTGGGACTACAGGTGCCCGCCACCACGCCTGGCTAATGTTTTTCTTTTCTTCTTTTTTTTTTTTTTGAGATGCAGTCTCGCTCTGTCGCCCAGGCTGGAGTGCAGTGGTACGATCTCAGCTCACTGCAAGCTCTGCCTCCTGGGTTCACGCCATTCTCCTGCCTCAGCCTCCCGAGTAGCTGGGACTACAGGCACGCGCCACCACGCCCGGCTAATTTTTTGTATTTTTAGTAGAGACAGGGTTTCACCGTGTTAGCTAGGATGGTCTCGATCTCCTGACCTCGTGATCTGCCCACCTCGGCCTCCCAAAGTGCTGGTATTACAGGCATGAGCCACTGCACCTGGCCTTCTTTCTTTTTCTTTTTTGTTTTTTGAGACAGAGCCTCACTCAAGTCGCCCAGGCTGGAGTGCAGTGGCATGATCTCAGCTCACTGCAACCTCCGCCTCCCAGGTTCAAGCAATTCTCTGCCTCAGCCTCCCGAGTAGCTGGGATTACAGGTGCCCGCCACCATGCTCAGCTAATTTTTGTATTTTTTTTTTTAGTAGAGACAGGGTTTCACCATCTTGGCCAGGCTGGTCTTGAACTCCTGACCTTGTGATCCACCTGCCTCGGCCTCCCAAAGTGCTGAGATTACAGGAGTGAGCCACTGTGCCCGGCCTTTTTTCTTTTTATTTTTTGAGACGGAGTCTCGCTCTGTTCCCAGGCTGGAGTACAGTGGTGCGATCTTGGCTCACTGCAACCTCTGCCTTCCAGGTTCAAGCGATTCTCCTGCATCAGCCTCCTGAGTAGCTGGGATTATAGGGGCCTGCCACCACACCTGGCTAATTTTTGTATTTTTCGTAGAGATGGGGTTTTGCCACATTGGCCAGGCTGGTGGTCTCCAACTCCTGACCTCAGGTGGTGATCCACCCGCCTCTGCCTCCCAAAGTGCTAGGATTACAGGCGTGAGCCACCGGGCCGGCGGTCATTCCTTCTTATTGCTAAGTAGTGTTCCATTATATGGATATACCACCATTTGTTTATCCAGACATTTGGTGAGGGGCATTTGGATTGTTCGTAGTTTTTGGTTAGTAAAATAAAACTGCTATGAACTTTTTTTTTTTTTTGAGACAGAGTCTCGCTCTGTCGTCCAGGCTGGAGTGCAGTGGCGAGATTGCGGCTCACTGCAAGCTCCGCCTCCTGGGTTCACGCCATTCTCCTGCCTCAGCCTCCCGAGTAGCTGGGACTACAAGCGCCTGCCACCGCGCACGGCTAATTTTTTTTTTTTTTTTGTATTTTTAGTAGAGATGGGGTTTCACCGTGTTAGCCAGGATGGTCTCGATCTCGATCTCCTGACCTCGTGATCCGCCTGCCTCAGCCTCCCAAGGTGCTGGGATTACAGGGGTGAGCCACTGTGCCTGGCCATGAACTCTTGTATACAGGTGTTTATGTGAATGTATACTCAGTCTTGCTCTGTCGTCCAGCCTGGAGTGCAGTGGCACAATCTTGGCTCACTGTAACCTCCGCCTCCTGGGTTCAAGCGATTCTCCCACCTCAGCCTCTGGAGTAGCTGGGATTACAGGCGCCCACCATCACGACTGGCTAAGTTTTGTATTTTCAATAGAGATGGAGTTTCACCATGTTGGCCAGGCTGATCTTGAACTCCTGACCTCAAGTGATCTGCCCACCTCGGCCTCCCAAAGTACTGGCATTACAGGCGTGAGCCACCACAACTGGCCGTATTTGTTTAACTTTACAAAAGAACTGCCAAACTCACTGGGCACAGTGCATGCCTGTAATCCCAGCACTTTGTGTGGCCGAGGTAGGCAGAATGCCTGAGCTCAGGTATTCAAGACCAGCATGGGCAAGATGGTGAAACCCCATCTCTTACAAAAAGTACAAAAATTAGCCAGATGTGGTGGTGCACACATGTAGTCCCAGCTACTTGGGAGGTTGAGGCAGGAGGATTGCTTCAGCCTGGGAGGTTGAGGCAGGAGGATTGCTTCAGCCTGGGAGGTTGAGGCTACAATGAGCCAAGATCATCGTGCCACTACACTCCACCCTGGGCAACAGAGTAAAACCCTGCCTCCAAACAAAACAAAAAAACCCAGCCAAACTGTTTTCCAAAGGTGGTTGTATCATTTTATATTCCTATCAACAGTATTTGAGAGGTCCAGTTCTTCCACATCCTCTCTAACACTCCAACAGTTGGTATGTTGTATAACTACAGTACAATATCACAACCAGAATTCAGGTGAAATTCAGTTTTCTTTTTTGTTTTTTGGAGATGGAGTTTCGCTCTTGTTGCCCAGGCTGGAGTGCAATGGCATTAATCTTGGCTCACTGCAACCTTTGCCTCCCGGGTTCAAGCGATTCTCCTGCCTCAGCCTCCCAAGTAGCTGGGATTACTGGCACGCGCCACCACGCCTGGCTAATTTTTTGTATTTAGTAGAGACAGGGTTTTACCATGTTGGTCAGGCGGGTCTTGAACTCCTGACCTTAGATGATCCATCCGCCTCGGCCTCCCAAAGTGCCGGATTACAGGCGTGAGCTACTACGCGTGGCCTTTTTTTTTTTTTTTTTGGAGACAGAGTGCTCTGTCGCCCAGGCTGGAGTGCAGTGGTGCGATCTCGGCTCACTGCCACCTCCGCCTCCCAGATTCGAGCAATTGTCCTGCCTGTCGAGTAGCTAGGATTACAGGCACACGCCACCACGCCTGGTTAATTTTTTGTATTTTTAGTAGAAATGGGGTTTTGCCATGTTGGCCAGGCTGGTCTTGAACTCTTGACTGCAGATGATCTGCCCGCCTTGGCCTCCCAAGGTGCTGGGATTACAGGCATGAACTACCGCGCATGGCATGAAATTCAGTTTTCACCCAATTTATATGCACTAATTTTTGTGTGTGTTTTCAGTTCTATGCAATTTTTTCTTCTTGGAGACAGGCTCTTTCTCTGTCCACCAGGCTGAGTACAGTGGTGCAATCACGGCTCACCACAGCCTCGACCTCCTGGGGTCAAGCGATCCTCCTATTTAGCCTCCCAAGTATCTGGGACTACTGGCATGTACCACCACACCTGGCTAATTTTTTATTTTTTTGTAGAGAAGGGGTCTTACTATGTTGCCCCAGGCTGGTTTAGAACTCCTGGACTCAAGTGATCCTTCTTCTTTGGCCTCCCAAACTGCTGGGATTTACAGGCATGAGCCACCACACCTGGCCTTATCTTTTACATGTTTAAGGCCTGACAAGGAGTTTAAATAAAGATTGCCTGCTTATCTTGTTGTCAGATGGGCATTTTTCTGGCCTTGTTGGTAGTGTGAATTGAGTGTGCATTTTCTTCCCAGTCCTCCTTTCCTGAGTCACCTTAGGAAAACCGACACTTCTGGTGGCCAGGAAGTTCGGAGGGCTCCTTAAATGAACCCCCATATTCCCAACCCAGCATTCATGGTCATAGTCTCTCAGGAAGCCCTTTTCACATACCTGGCACATCTGATTTCACAACTGCTCCCTGGAGCTGGTGCAGCTGTATTATTGTAATGCCCCATTTCACAGATGGGAATATTGAGCCCCAGAGAGAAAAAGGGACCAGCCCTTCACTGCCTCCAGTCCTGGCTGTGCCATTGACAAACTGGGCCTCAGTTTCCTCATCCATAAATTGGAGCTAATGCTCATCCCTCTTCGTAGGGTGGTTGTGAGAGTGAAATGAGCCATACCAGGAGCCAACTGCAGCACCTGGTGATAAAAGGGAGTGCACTTTCCTTAGGATTTTTCTGTCACCACACCTCCTTCTCTGCCTTCCAGGGTGCCTCCTCTGGCCTCCAGAGCTCCAGGCAAATGGCTTACATTTACTAAGAGTTTCCTCAATGCCAGGCCTGGTTCTAAAGCATTAATTGTGTGCTTAGAAGGGAAGGGACCACGGAGGTCCTGTTCCCTGCTGTCACGCAGAGCCTCATGCAGCACCTGGCATGTGGGAAGTGCTCAACGAATATTTGTTGAATTAGAAATAAACAGCCTGGGAGCACTTTGGGAGGCTGAGGTGGGTGGTTCACCTGAGGTCAAGAGTTTGAGACCAGCCTGGCCAACATGGTGAAACCCCATCTCCACTAAAAATATGAAAAAATTAGCCAGGCCTGGTGGCGGGAGCCTGTAGTCCCAGCTACTACAGCTACTAGGGAGGCTGAGGCAGGAGAATCGCTCGAACCCGGGAGGCAGAGGTTGCAGTGAGCTGAGATGGTGCCACTGCATTCCAGCCTGGGCAACAGAGTGAGACTGCGTCTCAAAAAATTAAAAAAAAAAAAAAAAAAAAAAAAAAAAAAAGAACAGCCTGTGGAACTGTGGTAGTAATATCATGTCCCCTTCACAGCTGAGGCCATGAGACCCAGAGAGGTTGAGTGACTTGTTTCAGATCACAAAGCTGGGAGGTGGCATTGAACCCAGGCACTCTGTCCTGAGGCAGGGGCTGTGTGGGGCTGCAGGGGGCCGTGTGCCTGGACGTCTACAGTGCACAGTTCCTCCTCGTTGACGCACTGTTCTCGTCCAGAGTGTTCTCCACTGCCCCTCCTAGGAGTCTTGGCCTTGTAGGCTCCAGGACGGTCCTGCCCTGTGCCACGTGACCCACTCTGGCCCTGGCTCGGCAGCTGCTCCCCAGATGTGCCCACAGTGCAATCTTCCAGCCGCCAGGCCGGCGCCTCTGGGCTGGGACTGCCGGAGCTGTGGGGGAGAGACCTTTGGCTCTGGCTGTCCCCACACCCCCAACCCTTGTAACAGGAGACTACAGGCCCCCCCACTACCACCAGAACCAGCACATCTCACGGAGAATAAGATCCAAACTCCTCCCCTGCCCACTACCCAACTGGGCCCCTTCCCTTTCTCTCACCAGCCCAGAGGCCTCCCTCCTTAAACTATTAATAGCTCTGTCCTGCCTCAGGGCCCTTGCCCTTGCTGTTACTTGTTCCTAGAACACTGATCAGCCCCAGGTCTTTGCCAGACTCCTCATTCTTCAAGTCTCAGGTCAAATGTCGCCTCCCCAGAGGCCTTCTCAGATCCCCCTAGGCTACTTTCTTTTACATTCTCCTGCTCTTATTCACTGAATTCATTACCATCAGAAATGATCTTTGTTTTCTTGTGTATTTGCCATTCCTTGCCTCCTCCTCCCTGCCCAGGCTATGGGCTCTAAGAGAGCAGGAACCACGGCTCCTTTGGTCACTGCTGTGTCCCAGAGCTGAACTAGGGCCTGGCCCAGAGAAGGTAAGCAACTTGCTCAAGGTCACACAGCGTACTACTTGAAATACAGTAATGTTTAGAGTAGTGTCCTTTGAAGAATAAATTGTTGCCTTATGGTTCAGTGTACTCCTGTGCAAAATGGGTACAAAATATGAACTTAACCTGCAGAGTTATGACACTTCTGCACTTAGCACATGGTAAGCATTCAGAAATGGAAACCACAATAGACCGTTTTGTTTCCATTCTGGGGTGTCATTTTTCCATCCCCCAAACCCGGCAGGAGGCTGTGGGTGGGCACATAAAGGGTGTGGGGCTTCAGGCTCTCTCCCTTTTAATAGGAATGAAACCCCTCAGTTTTCTCATCCACAAAATGGGGACTGTCCCCAGGCCCTCCCTCCTAAGGATTCTGTGCTGTGCCCCTGGGTTGTTTCAGGGAGTGTGGGGGTCCAGGCCTGTGTCCACCTTTCACCTCCCATCCTGTTTTCCAGAGAGGCCCCAGAACAATGGACGGGAGGCTGGAGCCTACCAGTCTGGGCCCCTCCCAAGTCCCCTGCCGATGGAGGGGGGTGGGGTTTTCCTGTGGCTGGACAAAGGGCCATTGCTGCCCAGGGTCTCCAGCAGCCAAAGGCAAGGGCAGAGCCAAGGCTCAGGGAGCTCCCATCTTAGGTTACTCAGCATAGGCCAAACCTGCAGGGTTACACAAACACACTGCTTCGCACACCCACAGAGCAATATACAAATGCACACACCCACACGCCCAACGTGGCATTTATATGTACGACTGACACAACAGACAAACCCAACAGCCACACACCAATAGACACAACCTGCCAAATGCACAACGCACAACAGTACACCATAATATACAACCAACACACTGACCTCCGCGCACACTACCGAAACACCAAATCTGCATAACCAACACACCAAAAAATAGAGACCAAGGAGGAAATGTCTCAAAACACCCCATTATCACTCCTAACAGAACCACATGCAATGAATCCTCTCAACAAACAGGACACACAGACACATGCACCCACACTACAACATTGCAAACACTACACACACTTACATCTATACAGTATTACTCACGCCAAAACACCTGGGACTCCAAGATGCCAACACACATGCCCGCAGCCTTAGAGAAGTCCACTGCCTGCAAAAGGATAAACTGGCTTCCTGCAGGCACCCACTCCCACAGTGCACAGACCCAACCAACACCCACCTGCACCAGGCCAGAGACCTCCCACCACAGCCCTTCTAGAGCACACAGTCCCCTTACTCTCCACACATACACAATTCAGAATCCTGCAGAAAGGCCAGGTGCGGTGGCTCACGCCTGTAATCCCGGCACTTTGGGAGGCCAAGGCAGGCAGATTATATGAGGTCGGAAGTTCGAGACCAGCCTGGCCCACATGGTGAAACTCCCTCTCTACTAAAAATACGAAAATTAGCCAGGCGTGGTGGTGCACGCCTGTAACTCCATCTGCTCGGGAGGCTGAGGCAGGATAATTGCTTGAACCCAGGAGATGGAGGTTGCAGTGAGACGAGATCGTGCCACTGCACTGCAGCCTGGGCAACAGAGCAAGACATCGTCTCAAAAAAAAAAAAAAAATCCTGCATCAGCCCCAAGGACACACAACCACACCCATCCAGGGCTCAGGCCTCTCTCTCCTCTTGCACCCATGAATGCAGGCCTGGGCCCTGCCCAGGGTGGAGGCGTGGGAGCTGACCTGACCCTGGCAGCCTGGGAGGCTCATGCCACCAGTCAGGAGTGCCCTGAGGCCAACTGGCTACACCCTGGGCAAAGCTCAGCAGAGGCCACTGCCCCTAGCTGCAAGGACCTCTGAGGTGAGAGTGGGGAGACTGGGCAAGAGGTCTCTGGGCCTCGGTGGTGTCCCCATATGCCCACTGGGTGATGGACGGAAGGCCCCAGAGGCCCCCTCACAGAAGCAGTGGCCCTCCTCTCTGGCACCCAGCCTGACCCTCCTTTGACTCACCTGCCTCCCATATAACTGGCTTCCCTCACTGCTCCAGGGCCCGGAACCCAGGAACCAGCTGAGGTTGAATGTCTCAGGACCCCGCCCAGCTCCCTGCCCAGCTCCCTGCCCACCTCACAGAGCCTGAGGCAACCACCACCCTCCTGGCTCAACCCAACCCTGAGTACCCAGTCACCAGGGGGCGGCGCCTCCAGCTGCACCCTCACCTCAGGCCGCTTCAGAGCTGTACTCCTCAAATACTATGACTCATGATAATGTACGTTTTCTTCTAAAAAGTATTTTTTTTTTCTGGCTGATGCAAAAGCAACGATGTGCTGTTTAAAAGGAAGCTATAGGCCAGGTGCGGTGACTCATGCCTGTGATCCCAGCATTTTGGGAGGCCAAGGCAGGCTTTGAGTTCAGGAGTTCAAGACCAGCCTGGCCAACATGGTGAAACTCTGTCTCTACTGAAAATACAAAAAAAGGCCGGGTGCAGTGGCTCATGCCTGTAATCCCAGCACTTTGGGAGGCCGAGGCGGGCGGATCACGACGTCAGGAGATCAAGACCATCCTGGCTAGCATGGTGAAACCCCGTCTCTACTAAAAACATATAAAAAATTAGACAGGCGTGGTGGCGGGCGCCTGTAGTCCCAGCTACTCAGGAGGCTGAGACAGGAGAATGGCGTGAACCCAGGAGGCGGAGCTTGCAGTGAGCCAAGATTGCACCACTGCACTCCAGCCTGGGCGACAGAGCAAGACTCCATCTCAAAAAAAAAAAAAAAAATTAGCTAGGCGTGGTGGTTCGCGCCTGTAGTCCCAGCTACTCAGGAGGCTGAGGCAAAATAATCGCTTGAACCAGGAAGGTGGAGGTTACAGTAAACCGAGATCGTGCCACGGCACTCCAGCCTGGGCGACAGAGCAAGACTTGGTCTCAAAAAAAAAGAGTTTATGTGATTTAAGTCTGGGCGCGGTGGCTAATGCCTGTAATACCAACACTTGAAGAGGCTGAGGTGGGAGGATGACTTGAGGCCGGGAATTCAAGACCAGCGTGGGCAACATAGCAAGACCTCTCCATAAATAAATTAATAATAAAAATTAAAAATTAAGGCCCGGCGCGGTGGCTCACGTCTGTAATCCCAGCACTTTGGGAGGCCGTGACGGGTGGATCACGAGGTCAGGAGATCGAGACCATCCTGGCTAACACGGTGAAACCCTCTCTCTACTAAAAATACAAAAAATTAGCCAGGTGTGGTGGCGGGCGCCTGTAGTCCCAGCTACTCAGGAGGCTGAGGCAGGAGAATGGCGTGAACCCAGGAGGTGGAGCTTGCAGTGAGGCAAGATCGCGCCACTGCACTCCAGCCTAGGCGACAGAGTGAGACTCTGTCTCAGAAAAAAAAAAAAAAAATTAAAAAAAAATATCAGCTGGGCCTGGTGGCACATGCCTGTAGTGCTAGCTACTGGGGAGGTTGAGATGGGAAGATTCCTTAAGTCCAGGAGTTGACGCCGCAGTGAACCCCGATCTTGCCATTGCACTCCTGCCTGGGCAACAGAGGGAGACCGTATTAAAAAAAAAAAAAAGAGGGGCTGGGTGAGGTGGCTCACACCTGTAATCCCAGCACTTTGGGAAGCCAAGGCAGGAGGATCACTTGAGGCCAGGAGTTCAAGACCAGCCTGGGCAACACAGCAAGACCCTATCTCTACAAAAAAAAATTTTGTTAAAGCTGGGGCCGGGGCAGTAGCTCACGCCTGTAATCCCAACACTTTGGGAGGCCGAGGAGGGCAGATCACCTGAGGTCTGGAGTTTGAGACCAGCCTGGCCAACATGGTGAAACCGTCTCTGCTAAAAATACAAAAATTAGCCAGGTGTGGTGGAGAGTGCTTGTAATCCCAGCTACTCAGGAGACTGAGGCAGGAGAATTGCTTGAACCCAGGAGGTGGAGGTTGCAGTGAACTGAGATTGCGCCACTGCACTCCAGCGTGGGTGAGATTCTGTTTCAAAAAAAAAAAAGAAGGAAAAGAAAAGAAAAAAACCACACAGGTTCCTGGCAGTCAGCATTCAGTAGGCACTAGTTATTATTACAGTGACTATAATACCTCTAATTGGGTATATCCTCCACCACTGAAATACAGAGCTTTAGAATCATTAAATAATAAATGGTTATTGTACACTTGCTTTGTGCTAGGCAAAGCATGGAAAGAACATGACCTAGGCTCATGCTCTTCAGAGCTACATTTAGTTGAGGGTACCCAAATGGGAATAAACACCACCAGCCATGTGGTGCTTCCTTGCTGCTGTATCCAGATGCTGAGGACACAGAGGTGTGGTGGGTAGGTGAGCTACTGCCATCCCAAGGGCGTACTTTGTAGGAATTAGAGAAAGGAACTCCTTACTTCAAGTAGATGGAGCCTTCCACAAAAGTACTATTTGTAGCAACTTTGTGTTCCTTTCAGCCTGTTCAATGGCCCTGCAAATGTGACCTCTTCCTGGGGAGCTCACAGTCCGCTGGGGAAGACAGACCATAATGAGACAGTCACCCCTCAAGTTCCCAGTGCTGTGATGGGAAAGCACGCGAGGTTATGGGAAGCTGCCAGTCAGCTAAGGTAGACTGGGGAGGCCTTCCTGAAGGAGGAGGTGATAGTCCAGCTGAGACAGACAAAGTGAGGAAGGGTTAGGCCGATGCTCCTGAGCCCCAGCATTTGCATATCTGGGATGTCAGCAGGAGGCAACTGCTGTGTCACCCTGCAAAAAACATTAAAGTCTGGCTTGGCACGTGGCTCACACCAATAATTCCAGCACTTTGGGAGGCCAAGGTGGAAGGATGACTTGAACGCAGGATTTTGAGACCAGACTGGGTAATACAGTGAGATCTCATCTCCAGAAAATATTTTAAAGGGCTGGGCGTGGTGGCTCATACCTGTAATCCCAGCACTTTGGGAGGCCAAGGCAGGTGGATCACCTGAGGTCAGGAGTTCAAGACCAGCCTGGCCTACATGGTGAAACCCAGTCTCTACTAAAAATACAAAAATTAGACGGGCATAGTGGCAGGCACCTGTAATCCCAGCTACCCGGGAGGCTGAGGCAGGAGAATCGCTTGAACCCGGGAAGCGGAGTTTGCGGTGAGCCGAGATCGCGCCATTGCACTCCAGCTTGGGTGACAAGAGCGAAACTCCGTCTCAAAAAAAAAAAAGAAAATAGTTTAAGGAAATAATTAGACAGGCATGATGGCATGTCTGTAGTCCCAGCTACCAGGGAGGCTGAGGCAGGAGGATCACTTGAGCCTGGGAGGTTGAGGCTGCAGTGAGCAAAGATGCTGCCACTGCACTTCAGCCTGGGTGACAAAGTGACATGCTGTCTCAAAAAATAAAATTAAAATAAAGGCCTGTCTTCAAAAAGAAAAAAATTAATAAAACAAAAGTTTAAAGTCTGATAATATAGAAAATGTTGGTGAAGCCGGGCATAGTGGCTCACGCCTGTAATCCTAGCACTTTGGGAGGCCGAGGCGGGCAGATCATGAGGTCAGGAGATTGAGACCATCCTGGCTAACACGGTGAAACCCTCTCTCTATTAAAAATACAAAAAAATTAGCTGGGTGTGGCGGCGGGCGCCTGTGGTCCCAGCTACTCGGGAGGCTGAGGCAGGAGAATGGCGTGAACCCAGGAGGCGGAGCTTGCAGTGAGCCGAGATCGCACCACTGCACTCCAGCCTGGGCGACAGAGCGAGACTCCATCTCAAAGAAAAAAAAAATGTTGGTGAGCATGTGGGAAAATAACACTCATCCAGTGCTGGTGGGTGTGTAAACTGGTATGACCACTTGGGAACTCAATTTGGCAATATCCACCAAAAGTGAACATTTGAAAACACCCTATGAGCCAGTGATTCACTCCCACGGACATACCCTGGGAGGCCTGCACACAAGAAAGCAGATGTGGGCAAGAATGTGACAGCCATTTCTACAACAACAACAAATTGAAAACTAGGCCGGTTGCAAGTGGCTCATGCCTGTAACCCCAGCATTTTGGGAGGCCGAGATGGGAGGATCAGTTAAGGCCAGGAGTTCAAGACCAGCCAGGTCAACATAGCGAGACTCCATGTCTATTTTAATTAAAAAAAAAAAAAACCCAAAAATTGAAAACTACTTACTTGTCCAATGACAAGAAAACAGGGAAATGGTGATGGAATCGTACCCAGCATTGAACAGGAATGAGCTACGTCTGTGTGTATTCTGCTAGATACCTGCATAATGTTGCTTAGGGAAAATGCAGAATGATTTTTTTAGAAGTATAAATTTAAAAAAACACACAATGCTAATATATTTACATGTAGTAAAAGTAACAAGAAACATAACCCGGAAGAAAACACCCAAGTCATTATATTAATAGTAATTGGGGGATTGCATGGTGGGTGGGGTGGCAAATAGTCTTAGAGAAAAGGGAAGAGGGCCCTGGTTAAAAGAAGGCTAGTGGCTCGGTTTGCTGGCTCATGCCTGTAATCCCAGCACTTTGGGAGGCCAAGGCAGGAGGATCACTTGAGCCCAGGACTTCCAGACCAGCCTGGGCAATATAGTGAGACCTGTCTCTTCAAAACAAAAATTAGCTGCTCCTGGTGATGGGCACCTCTAGTCCCAGCTACTGTGGAGGCTGCAGTGGGCAGATCCCTTGAGCCCTGGAGTTCAAGGCTGCAGTGAGCTGTGATCACACCACTGCACCACTCCAGCCTGGGTGACAGAGTGAGGCTCTGTCTCAAACAAACAAAAAACACAAAAAGGCCGGGGGCGATGGCTCATGCCTGTAATCCCAGCTTTATGGGAGGCTGAGGCGGGCGGATCATGAGGTCAAGAGATTGAAACCATCCTGGACAACATGGTGAAACTCCGTCTCTACTAAAAATACAAAAATTAGCTGGGTGTGGTGGCATGCGCTTGTAGTCCCAGCTACTGGGGAGGACTACGGGGCAGGGGAATCGCCTGAACCCGGGAGGCAGAGGTTGCAGTGAGCCGAGATTGCGCCATTGCACTCTAGCCTGGGGACAGAGCGAGACTCTGTCTCAAAACAAAACAAAACAAAACAAAACAAAGCAAAACAAAACAAAAAACACAAAAAGACAGGAGCACTATCTGTAAAGGTTTGTTCTTTGGAGGAGGAGAAATAGGCGCAAATACAGCTGACAGTTGTCAGTCCTGGGTGGTGGGAATGTGGTATTAGGAACATAAATCGCTATATTTCTCGGTACTTTTTATATTTCACAAAATCAAGAGTTAAGCAGGCAATGAGGACAAGGGGTATTCCAGGCTGAGGGGCCAACGCAGTTGGGAGTTTCTATTTTCCCACGTCCACACCAGCATTTTATATTATCAGACGTTAGCATTTTTTGCAGGGTGACGTGACAGTTGTCTCCTGCACTTTGAAGGTTTGGGGCTTAGGATGGAGACGGCGCGTCAGTGAGCCCGAAGTGTTCGGTGCAGGAGGAAGAGCGGGTGTTGGGCGGCGGACAGCGGGGGCACGCGGGCCCTTCTGGGGAGAAGCAGGAGGGGCGGCGGCCGCTCTTGGACCCAGCAGCCCCGGGCAGCGACTTTGGGTCCAGCCGCGCGGGGAGAGGCCGTGCACCCCGACTTTGTTCGGGGGCGCACCCGCCTGAAAGACATTGCTGGGCGCCGGTCCCGCCCTTTGGGGACGCCTCGGCGCTGGACTCGCCGCGCCTGGCAGCCGCTCGCGGCAGATGGGCCGCCCCGGCTTCCCGCACTCGGCCCGTGGGAACCAGGCCCGGCGGGCGGGGGCGAGGGCGCCAGGAACCGCCCCAGGGGAGCGGCGCGCAGATGGGGCGGGGGCCGGTGAGGCGGCAGATGGGTGCGAGGCCGGCCTGCGGCCGCGCCACAAAAGCGAAGGGCAGATGTTCGCGGCCAGATGTTCCAGGAGCGGGGGGAGCCTGGGAAAAACCAGCTTGCCTTCCCTCCGCCCTTCCCCAGCGGCAGCTCTGGGCTGGCCGGGGGAAGGTGCGGCTGGCGTGGCCGCCGCCCGGCACCACTAGGACGGTGGGAGCTGAGGTCAGGGTCTAAGGACATCTCAGGTGAAGCTTGTACCTCTAGCCTCCTCCACCACACCAGCCGTCCCACCTTCTTGCTGGAGAGTACTAAAAATGACATCTCAGGAATCTGGTCTGAACCCCCCTGCCCTATGTGACCGCCTTCCCCCCACCCCTCTTCTTCTGCACCCCGCTGTCTGCCACACCACCATGAGCATAGTGGCAGCAGTGTTCGCTGATACTTATAAAGCTCTTACCAGCGCTTTAAAGCATTATCTTATTTAATTCTTACAGCCACTCTGTGCTGAAGGTCGTCTCTATTCTGATTTAAGCAGCCGAGACAGAATGAAAAAGTTAAAAAAAAAAAAAAAATCAATCCGCCGGGTGCGGTGGCTCACGCCTGTAATCCCAGCATTTTGGAAGGCCAAGGCGGGCGGATCACGAGCTCAGGAGTTCGACACCAGCCTGGCCAACACGGTAAAACCCCGTCACTACTAAAAATATAAAAAATAGCTGGGCGTAGGCCGGGCGCGGTGACTGACGCCTGTAATCCCAGCACTTTCGGAGGCCGATGCGGCCGGATCACGAGGTCAGGAGATCGAGACCATCCTGGCTAACACGGTGAAACACCGTCTCTATAAAAATACAAAAAATTAGCCGGGCGTGGTGGTGGCGGGCGCCTGTAGTCCCAGCTACCCGGGAAGCTGAGGCAGGAGAATGGCGTGAACCCGGGAGGCGGAGCTTGCAGTGAGAAGACATCACGCCATTGTACTCCAGCCTGGGCGACAGAGCGAGTCTCCGTCTCACAAAAAAAAAAAAAAAAAAAAAAGCTGGGCGTGGTGGCGGGCACCTGTAATCCCAGCTACTCTGGAGGCTGAGGCAGAAGAATCGTTTGAACCCGGAGGCTGAGGTTGCAGTGAGCCGAGATCTCGCCATTGCACTCCAGCCTGGGCGACAGGGTGAGACTCCGTCTCAAAAAAAAATCCCTTTCAGGTGAGGGACTATGAACAGGGAGCTCCTGAGTGATAAGTAACTTGTCCACGGTGGCAGCGAGTACCAGGCAGGGCTGGGGCTGGAGTCCAGGATTCTGGAAGCTGTGGAGCATCTCTTGCTTGCCAGGCTGTGGGCCAGCGCTGGCATATTACAGTGAGCAGAATATTGTTGTTGTACTAATCTATTATGACTGGTGTGAACCCAAAAGCATCTGAAACAGGTCTTAATCAATTTAGAAAGTTTATTTTGGCCTAGCACAGTGGCTCACACCTGTAATAGTAGCACTTTAGGAGGCCAAAGCAGATGGATTGCTTGGGCCTAGGAGTTTGAGACCAGCCTGGGCAACACAAGGAGACCCTGTCTCTACATTGAAAAAATAAAACAAACAAACAAACAAAAACGGCTGGGCTTGGTGGTTCACGCCTGTAATCCCAGCACTTTGGGAGATCGAGGCGGATGGATCACCTGGCGTCAGGAGTTTGAGACCAGCCTGGCCAACATGGTGAAACCCCATCTCTACTAAAAATACAAACATTAGCTGGGCATGGTGGTTCGCGCCTGTCATCCCAGCAACTTGGGAATCTGGGGCAGGAGAATCATTTGAACCCAGGAGGCGGAGGTTGCAGTGAGCCGAGATTGCACCACTGCACTCCAGCCTGGGCGACAGAGCAAGACTCCGTCTCAAAAAAAAAAAAAGAACTTTTGTTTTGCCGAGGTTAAGGATGTACCCATGACACAGCCTCAGGAGTGTGCCCAGGGTTGTAGAAGGGAATGTCTGGGTTACAATAAGTGGTTGTGGCGACCAAGGTTTTATTATGCAGATGAAACCTCCAGGTGGCAGGTTTAAGTAAGAATAGACTGTAAATGTTTCTTATCAGACTTAACGTCTGTGTTGATGTTAATGCTAGTCAGCTTTTCCTGAATTCCAAAAGGAAGGAGGGTGTAATGAGACAAGTTCGACGCTTCCCCCTCACCCGCTTCCATCATGGCCTAAACTCATTTTTCAAATTCATTTTGGAATGCTCTTGGCAGAGAGGAGGGGTCCGTTCAGATGGTTGGGGGCCCCTAGCATTTTATTTTTGGTTTTACGCTTGTATATAGTGAACAGAATCAACAGAAGTCTCAGTCTTGTGCGGTTTTTATTCTGTGGGGGACAACACAGTAAGTGCAATATCTGTGATCTCATCTGGTGATAAAAATTAGGCGCCAGGCGGGGTGGCTCACTCCTGTAATCCCAGCACTTTGGGAGGCCCAGGCGGGAGGATCACCTGAGGTTGGGAGTTCAAGACCAGCCTGGCCAACATGGTGAAACCCTGTCTCTACTAAATACAAAAATTAGCCGGGTGTGGTGGCAGGCGCCTGTAATCCAAGCTACTCAGGGCCTGAGGCAGGAGAATCGCTTGAACCCAGGAGGCAGAGGTAGCAGTGAGCTGAAATCACACCACTGCACTCCAGCCTGGGCAACAGAGCCAGACTCCGTCACAAAAAAAAAAAAAAAAAAAAAAAATTTAGCTACCTCTCCCATCCAGAAATGGGAGTCAAGGCTTCCGATTTCCCAGGCTCAATTTATCCTCCCGCCTCAGCTTCTTGAGGAACTGGGACTATAGGCTTGCACTATCACACCTGGCTAGTTTTTTGTTTTTTTTTGTTTTGTTTTGTTTTTTTGAGATGTTGTCTTGCTCTTTGCCCAGGCTGGAGTGCAGTAGCACAATCTAAGCTCACTGCAACCTCTGCCTCCTGGGTTCAACCGATTCTCTTGCTTCAGCCTCCCAAGTAGCTGGGATTACAGGTGTGCCTCACGACGTCTGGCTAATTTTGTATTTTTAGTAGAGATGGGGTTTCACCGTGTTGGCCAGGCTGGTCTCGAACTCCTGACCTCAAGTGATCCACCCACCTCAGTCTCCCAAAGTGCTAGGATTACAGGTGTGAGCCACCACGCCTGGCCAATATTTGTATTTTTTTGTAGAAACGGAGTTTCACTATGTTGCCCAGGCTGGTCTTGGACTTCTGGCCTCAAGAGGTCCTCCTTCCTTGGCCTCCCAAAGCGTTGGAATTACATGTGTGAGCCACCACACCTAGCCTGCAATTTTCTATTCTCATGTGACCACCTATTAGTATTCATGTCTCATCACCATCAGTGTTTTTTGTTGTTTTTAACTGACCCTGTATGGAAACACCACTTGTGTCTGAAGTGGAGCATGGTGGCATGCTCCTGTAGCTCCAGCTACTTTGGAGGCTGAGGCCAAGGATCACTTGAGCCCAGGAGTTCTAGGCCAGCCTAGACCCAGTTTCTTAAAAAAACAAACAAACAAACAAAATTACATATGTATTTGCTTGTATCTCACTAGGAAACTGATGACTGTGGCTGCCTCCAATAGGGAAGAAGGGAGACATCCGTTGTTTTTCAGCGTTGTATCAGGAACATGTATTAGGTAATACATGTTCAAAAATGAAATGAAATTAAAATATAAAGGGGAGAGGTCTGGATCCAGAAAAGATTAAAAAAAGCCCTATGGCCCTGGGGTTTTTACCCACTCTGAGATTGTGTAGTTTGGAGACATCTGTGAACAACAAGTGGGCAAAACTCACCTGGACCCATGATTAATTAGGTCTAATAGTTGCTCAGTCATAGCCACCTGGAAGTGGGATGGGAGTGCAGTGGGGGAGGGATATGGGAAGTGGGGACCTTGGAGGTAGTGATTGCCTTATCATTGTACTGGATGCTCAGAAACAGGAGCATTTCTAGAATTTACCTTTTTTTTTTTGAAATGCAGTCTCGCACTGTCGCCCGGGCTGGAGTACAGTGGCACAATCTTGGCACACTGCAACCTCCACCTCCCGGGTTCAAGCGATTCTTCTGCCTCAGCCTCCTGAGTAGCTGGGATTACAGGCACATGCCACCACGCCTGGCTAATTTTTTGTATTTTTAGTAGAGACGGGGTTTCACCATGTTAGCCAGGATGGTCTTGATTTCCTGACCTCGTGATCCACCCGCCTTGGCCTCCCAAAGTGCTGGGATCACAGGTGTGAGCCACCGCGCCCAGCCCCCTTTTTTTTCTTTAACAGGTTTATTGAGAGATGATTTACATACCATACAATTCACCCATTTAAATTGTACAACTCAGATGTGTGTGGTGGCTCACACCTGTAATCCCAGCACTTTGGGAGGCCGAGGTGGGCAGATCACTTAGGTTAAGAGTTCGAGACCAGCCTGGCTTACTTGGCAAAACCCCGTCGCTACTAAAAATATAAAAATTAGTCGGATATGGTGGTACACATCTAAAATCCCAGCTAATTTTTTTTTTTTTTGAGACGGAGTCTCACTCTGTTGCTAGGCTGGAGTGCATTGGTGTGATCTAGGCTCACTGCAACCTCTGCCTCTGGGGTTCAAGCAAGTCTCCTCCTGCCTCAGCCTCCTGAGTAGATGGGAATATAGGCACGCACCACCACTCCCGGCTAATTTTTGTATTTTTAGTAGAGACAGGGTTTCACCATGTTGGCCAGGATGGTCTCGATCTCTTGACCTCGTGATCTGCCCGCCTCGGCCTCCCAACATGCTGGGATTATAGGCCTTGAGCCACTGCGCCGGGCCCTAACTAATTTTTGTATATATATATATATATATATATATATATATATATATATATATATTTTTTTTTTTTTGAGACAGGGTCTCACCCTGTTATCCAGGCTGGAGCGCAGTGGTGCAATCTTGGTTCACTGTAACCTCTGCCTCCCAGATTCAAGCGATTCTCCTGCCTCAGCCTCCTGAGTAGCTGGAATTAAAAGCACCCTCCAACACGCCCAGTTAATTTTTGTACTTTTAGTAGAGATGGGGTTTCACCATGTTCGCCAGGCTGGTCTTGAACTCCTGACCTCAGGTGATCTACCTGCTGTGGCCTCCCAAAGTGCTGGGATTACAGGCATGAGCCCTGCAGCCTGGCCAATTTTTTTTTTTTTTTTGAGACGGAGTCTCGTTCTGTTGCCAGGCTGGAGTGCAGTGGCGCGATCTTGGCTCACTGCAACCTCCGCTTCCTGGTTCAAGGGATTCTCCTGCCTCAGCCTCCCAAGTAGCTGGGACTACAGGTGCATGCCACCACACCCAGCTAATTTTTCTATTTTTAGTACAGATTGGGTTTCACCATGTTGGCCAGGATGGTCTCCATCTCTTGACCTCATGATCTGCCTGCCTCAGCCTCCCAAAGTGCTGGGATTACAGACGGAAGCCACCATGCCCAGCCCAATTTTTGTATTTTTTTAGAGACAGGTGTTGCCCAGGCTGGTCTCAAGTTACTGGCCTCAAGAAATCCACCTGCTTCCACCCCCAAAGTTCTGGGATTATACGTGTGAGCCACCTTGTCCGGCCTTATTATTGTTTATTATTATTATTTTGTACTTTGTGTAGAGAGGGGATCTCGCTATGTTGCCTAGGCTAGTCTCGAACTCCTGGGTTCAAGCAATCCTCCCGCTTGAACTTTGGCCTCTCAAAGTGTCAGAATTACAGGCATGAGCCTGTTTATTATTAATTAGTCATTATCAAGTTCATTATTATTGATGGCTTTTTTTTTTTTTTTGAGATGGAGTCTCGCTCTGTTGCCCAGGCTAGAGTGTAATGGGGTGATCTCGGCTCACTGCAAGCTCTGCCTCCCGGGTTCAAGCGATTCTCCTGCCTCAGATCCTGAGTAGCTGGGATTACAGGCGCGCGCCACCACGCCTGGCTAATTTTTGTATTTTTAGTAGAGATGGGAGTTTCACCATTTTGGCAAGGCTGGTCTCGAACTCCTGACCTCATGATCCGCCCACCTTGGCCTCCCAAGGTGCTGGGATTACAGGCGTGAGCCACCGCGCCCGGCCTTTTGCTCTCTTTGTCTGGCAATCCACAGTTCCTGAGCGTGTCCTTACTACCATTCCCATTAGAATCCTCCCAACCACCTTGCAGTTTGAGGATGAGGAAACAGGGTGCTGAGGATGGACTGAGAGTCCGAGGACATGGGTGCCCTCGCTGACTGACTCTTGCGACCAGGGTGCAAATGGGGCTGGGGGCTGGGAAGAGACGGACTGCCCTTCCCCTCCACCCCCTCACTCCCTTCCCTGGGAAAATCCAACAGGTGGTGGGGCCGCGGCGCTGTGGGCCATTGTGTGGGCCCTGGGAGGGTCGCAGGGCCCAGTGTGTGTCTGGGAGAAGATGGATGCCTTCATTACCATGTGAATCCTGGGAAAGCACTGCCGAGGCTGGGTGGTGGGTGGGCGTGGGCCGCAGGTCGGGGGGCTTGGTGTTCTCAGGCCCAGACCACACAGCGGCTGGGAAGTGGGTCTGGTGGAATCCTGAGAGACCCATTAAAAAACACCACCACCACCACCACCCAAAAAAACCAGAACAGATCATGGGGCTTCCCCTCTTATTTAATTTCTTATTTTAGGACATTTCTATCCTGTGGGGCTTAAAAGAGACACAGATTGGGAAAACAAAATTATTTTATTTTTTATTGAAGGCTTCACGAATTTGCGTGTCATTCTTGCTCGGGGGCAATGCCAATCTCTGTCTAGTTCCAATTTTAGTATATGTGCTGCCAAAGTGAGCACCAAAACCAATTTTATTAAGGAAGTAAAAACTCGTTTTTTGCTTTTTGTTTTTTTTTTGCTTTCTCTGTTGCAACTTTCCCACAGATTGTGCTGCGCATTTGGGCCTGAACAGAAAAATCTGAGGCTTACGCAGCATGCGTACAATCAGCATCTCTGTGGAGGCATTCCCAGCAGCACTCTCCCCGAGTGGCTCTTCCGCTCATGTAAATACGTCCTAGGTCACTCTGGATGATTAGCAAATAGCTGCTGAGCAAATTGGAAGAAGCTGGTTTTAGGCTTGAAAAACAAAAGCTATTATCAATTTGGCCAGAGCAGAGAAGACTGGCTGGTGTTTGGGAAGGGGGCAGGTAGCAGGGAGATAATAACAAGGACCACTGACTATATATCTCCATTTTACAAATGAGGAAACAGCCTTTGAATCAGTTGGCCAAACCACACAGGGAGAGAATGGCACAGAATTCCAAACCCTGTTTCTCTAATTCCAGAGTCTATGCTCTTTCTGGGGTTTCTCCATGAGGCCAGAAGAGAGGAAGCCGCAGAGAGGCCGCTGTAGAAACAGACTGTGCGGGGTCTCATGCCTGCAATCCCAGCACTCTGGGAGGCTGAGGAAGGAGGACTGCTTGAGGATAGGAGTTTGAGACCAGCCTGGGCAATACAGTGAGATCCCGTCTCTACAAAAATATTAAAAAATTAGCCTGGCCGGACGTTGTGGCTCACGCCTGTAAGCCCAGCACTTTGGGAGGCCAAGGCAGGCGCATCACTTGAGGTCAGAAATTGGAGACCAGCCTGGCCAACATGGTGAAACCCCGTCCCTACTAAAAATACAAAAAATTAACCGGGCGTGGTGGCGTGCACCTGTAATCCCAGCTACTTGGGAGGCTGTGGCAGGAGAATCGCTTGAACCCGGGAGGCGGAGGTTGCAGTGAGCCGAAATTGCGCAACTGCACTCCACCCTGGGCAACAGAGGCAGACACTGTCTCAAAAAAAAAAAAAAAAAAAAAAAAAAAATTAGCCAGGCCAGTGGTGTACACATGTAGTTCTAGCTACTTGGGAGGCTGAGGTGGGAGGATTGCTTGAGACCAGGAGCTTGAGAGCTTGAGGCTGCAGTGAGCTGTGACTGCACCACTGGGGGATGACCCAGGCAAAGGGAAGCATGAACCAAAGAAACAAGACCTGAAACACACACACACACACACACACACACACGCAGAAAGGGCTGGGCACAGTGGCTCACACCAGTAATCCTAGCACTTTGGGAGGCCGAGGCGGGCAGATCACCTGAGGTCGGGAGTTCGAGACCAGCCTGACCAACATGGAGAAACCCCCTCTCTACTAAAAATACAAAATTAGCCGAGCGTGGTGGTGCATGCCTGTAATCCCAGCTACTCGGGAGGCTGAAGCAGGAGAATCGCTTGAACCTGGGATGCGGAGGTTACGGTGAGCCGAGATCCCGCTGTTCCACTCCAGCCTGGGCAACAACGGCGAAGCTCCGTCTCAAAAAACAAAAAAGAAAAAAAACAAGCAAGCAAGCAGATGGGACAGCACACATTCACAAACTCGCACAGGCAATGCCCTTGCAAAAGCCCTTTTATCAACCCAAACACTTCCACATGATCTGTCTCTCTTATACCCACACACCAATTACACACACCCACCCACCAATGCAGGCACTTGCTCACAAATGTTCTCAGAAACACATACTCCTAAACATACTTAGACACAAACACACAATCATGCATTCACAATCACAACCATATAGAAACCCATCTACAGCACTGGTCCACGTAAGATTTCAACTTTACCATTACCCACAACTTGTAGAAACCCAAACATTAGCATAGACTCTCCTTTTTTTTTTTGAGACAGTCTCATTTTGTCGCCCAGGCTGGAATGCAGTGGTGCGATCTCAGTTCACTGCAACCTCCGCCTCCCAGGTTCAAGTGATTCTCCTGCCTCAGCCTCCTGAGTAGATGGCGAGAGGTGAGTGTGCTGGCAGCCCTCCCTCGCTCTTGGGGCTTCCTTGGCCTCGGCGCCCACTCTGGCTGCGCTTGAGGAGCCCTTCAGCCCGCCGCTGCACTGTGGAAGCCCCTTCCTGGGATGGCCGAGGCCGGAGCCGGCTCCCTCAGCCTTCGGGGAGGTGTGGAGAGAGAGGCAGGGGTGGTAACCGGGGCTGCGCCTGGCGCTTGCGGGCCAGCTAGAGTCCCGGGTGGGCATGGGCTTGGCGGGCCCCGCACTTGGAGCGGCTGGCCGGCCCGCCGCCCCAGGCAGTGAGGGGCTTAGCACCCGGGCCAGCAGCTGCAGAGGGTGCACCGGGTCCCCAAGCAGTGCTGGCCCACCGGCGCTGCGCTGGATTTCTTGCCGGGCCTTAGCTGCCTCCCCGTGGGACACGGCTGGGGACCTGCAGCCCGCCATGCCCCCCCGCCCCATGGGCTCCTGTGCAGCCCAAGCCTCCCCTACGAGCGCCGCCCCCTCCTCCATGGCGCCCGGTCCCATCGACCCCCCAAGGGCTGAGGAGTGCGGTCGGCACACGGCCTGGGATTGGCAGGCAGCTCCACCTGCAGCCCCTGTGCGGGATCCACAGGGTGAAGCCAGCCGGGCTCCTGAGTCTAGTGGGGACTTGGAGAACCTTTATGTCTAGCTAAGGGATTATAAACACACCAATCAGTACCCTGTGTCTAGCTCAGGGTTTGTGGATGCACTAATCGGCACTCTGTATCTAGCTAATCTGGTGGGGACTTGGAGAACCTTTATGTCTAGCTAAGGGATTGTGAATACACCAATAGGCACTCTGTATCTAGCTCAAGGTTTGTAAATGCACCAATTAGCAATCTGTGTCTAGCTCAGGGTTTGTAAATACACCAATCAGCACTCTGTATCTAGCTAATCTAGTAGGGACGTGGAGAACTTTTGGGTCTAGATCAGGGATTGTAAAAGCACCAATGAGCACCCTGTCAAAACGGACCAATCAGCTCTCTGTGAAACAGACCAATCAGCTCTCTGTAAAATGGACCAATCAGCAGGATGTGGGTAGGGCCAGATAAGAGAATAAAAGCAGGCTGCCCGGCTCTGCAGTGGTAATGTACTGGGGTTCCTTTCTGCATGGGGTGTGTGTGTGTGGTGGTGTTTTTTTTTTTTTTTTTTTTTTTTTTTTTTTTTTTTTTTGCTGTTTGGTTCCACATTGCTTTTGTGAGCTGTGATACTCGCTGTAAAGGTCTACAGCTTCACTTTTGAAGCCAGCGAGACCACAAACCCACGGGGAGGAACGAACAACTCCGGATACGCCGCCTTAAGAACTGTAACACTCACCGCGAGGGTCTGCAGCTTCATTCCTGAGCCAGTGAGATCACGAACCCACCAGAAGGAAAAAACTCCCAGCACATCCGAACATCACAAGGAACAAATTCCAGACACGCTGCCTTTAAGAACTGTAACATTCACTGCGAGGGTCTGCAGCTTCGTTTTTGAAGTCAGTGTAGACCAAGAACCTGCCAATTACAGACACAATGCGACTATAGGTGTGTGCCACCACGCCGGAGTAATTTTTGTATTTTTAGTTTAACCATGTTGAGCAGGCTGGTTGTGAACTCCTGACTTAAGGTGATCCACCCGCCTTGGCCTCCCAAAGTGCTGGGATAACTGGCATGAGCCACCAAACCCGGTCCATCAGAATAGATTCTCACAGGAGCAGACACTGTCAGTCAAACACCTACCCCGTCCCCGCAACATGCACGCATAGTTGCATAGAGAACCTGTCAAGAAGAAAGGATCCCGGTCAGGCAGAAAGAGGCTCAGCTTCTCCCCCAAAGTCCACACCTAAGAAATCTGTTTTCCAGACTCAGTACCCTGGGTTTTCCCTCACCACCTCTGCATCTGAGTGTTACCAGTGCCTCCACCTCCCCTCCCGCACTTCAGAGCCCAGCTGGGACCTGGGGTAGCCTGAGAGGGGGTGGGTGGCCAGCTTCCGGCAGCAAAGGAAAGCATCTGTCTGAGGTGGGCAGGCCCATGGGGGTCTGGCAGCAAAGGAAAGCACCTGTCTGAGGTGGACAGGCCCATGGGGGTCTTGAAGCAGCACCTTCGCTGGGTACCCCCAACTGGGCTGATCCCAGGGGGCACAGAGCTGGGACCCATGGTTTTGGGAAGGCAGTAGGGAGGGCCCATCAAAGACTCCACCAGGCATTCTCTGCAGGGGTCTGCCTTCACATGAAGATAGCCTTGTTTGTCACACCTGTCTGCCTTAAAATGACAAAGGTTGGATGCTGTCTGGGTGTGAGATGAAATGGCAACTGACTGAAATGGGAAGAAAGTTAACTATGGAAAAAATACTTCATTTAGATCTGATTTGGGTTAAAAAAAAAAAGCATAGAAAAAAATCTGAAAGTAATCTATGGGTGGCCAAATGTGCTGTTTTATTTTCAATGTTTTTTACATCTAATTTTCTTTTTTTTTCTGAGACAGGGTCTCTGTCACCAAGGCTGGAGTGCAGTGGTGCGATCATGGCTCACCTCCAGTTCAGGTGATCCTCCCATCTCAGCCTCCCGAGTAGCTGGGACCTCAGGTGTGAGCCACCAGATCCGGCTAATTTTTGTATTTTTTTGTAGAGATAGTTTCGCCATGATGTCCATGCCAGTCTGTAACTCCTGGGCTCAAGCGATCCACCTGCCGTGGCCTACCACAGTGCTGGGATTACAGGCTTAAGCCATGGTGCCCGGCCTTTTTTGAGACCTGGTCTTGGTCTGTTGCACAGGCTGAAGTGCAGTGGCACTATCATGGCTCACCCAGCCTTGACCTCCCAAGCTCAAGCAGTCCTCCTTGGCTCAAACAATCCTCCTGCCTCTGCCTCGTGAGTAGCTGACACTACAGGTGTGTGCCATCATTTCTGGCTAATATTAAATTTTAATTCTGTAAAGATGAAGTCTTGCTATGTTGCCGACGATAGTTTCAAACTCCTGGCCTCAAGCAATCCACACACCTCGGCATCCCAAAATGCTGGTATTACAGATGTGAGCCACCGTGTCCAGCCTAATTTTTTTTTTTTTTTTTTTTTGAGACTGAGTCTCCCTCTGTTGCCCAGGCTGGAGTGCAGTGGTACCATCTCGGCTCACTGCAACTTCTCCCGCCTGGGTTCAAGCAATCTCCTGCCTCAGCCTCCTAAGTAACTAGGATTATAGCTGCCCACCACCACACTTGGCTAATTTTTGTTATTTTTTTTTAGTAGAGATGGGCTTTCACCATGTTGGCCAGGCTGATCTCAAACTCCTGACCTCGTGATCCACCCGCCTCGGCCTCCCAAAGTACTGGGATTACAGGCGTAAACCACTGTGCCCGACCTTTTTTTTTTTTTCTTTTTTTGATAAGGAGTCGTGCTCTGTTGCCTAGGCTAGAGTGCAATGGCATGATCTCGGCTCACTTGCAACTTCTGCCTCCCGCGTTCAAGAGATTTTCCTGCCTCAGGCTCCCAAGTAGCTGGGATTACAGGCACCCACCACCATTCCTGGCTAATTTTTGTATTTTTTAGTAGAGACGGGGTTTCACCATGTTGGTCAGGCTGGTCTCGAGCTCCTCACCTCAGGTGATCCACCTGTCTCGGCCTCCCAAAGTGCTGGGATTACAGGCATGAGCCACCGCGCCCGGCCAAGAAAATTTTTTAGAGATTGGGAGGAGTCTTGCTATGTTGCTCAGGCTGGTCTTGAACTCCTGGCCTCAAGCATTCTACATCCTTTTGCGTCCCAAGTGCTGGGATTACAGGTGTGAGCCATGTCCAGCCTAATTAAAAAACTTTTCTTTTTTTTTTTTTTTTGAGACGGAGTTTCACTCTTGTTGCCCAGGCTGGAGTGCAATGGCACCATCTCGGCTCACTGCAACCTCCACCTCCTGGGTTCAAGCAATTCTCCTGCCTCTGCCTCCCGAGTAGCTGGGACTACAGGCGCGTGCCACCACACCCAGCTAATTTTATTTCATTTTTAGTAGAAACGGGATTTCACCATGTTGGCCAGGCTGCTCTCAAACTCCTGACCTCAAATGATCAGTCCGCCTTGGCCTCCCGAAGTGTTGGGATTACAGGCGTGAGCCACTGCACCTGACCATATTTCTTTTTAATACAGACAGGGTTTCACCATGTTGGTCAGGCTGGTCTCTAACTCCTGACCTCGTGATCTGCCTGCCGTGGCCTCCCAAAGTGCTGGATTACAGAGGTGAGCCACAGCGCGCCCGGGCCAAAGTTTTAAAAATACAAAATGAGGCCGGGCGTGGTGGTTCACGCCTCTAATCCCAGCATGTTTGGGAGGCCTAGACGGGCGGATCATGAGGTCAGGAGATGGAGACCATCCTGGTTAACACGGTGAAACCCCGTCTCTACTAAAAATACAAAAAAAAATTAGCCAGGGTGGTGGTGGGCGCCTGTAGTCCCAGCTACTTGGGAGGCTGAGGCAGGAGAATGGCATGAACCCGGGAGGTGGAGCTTGCAGTGAGCCGAGATTGCGCCACTGCACTCCAGCATGGGCGACACAGCGAGACTATGTCTCAAAAAAATAAATAAATAAAATAAAAAAAAAATGCAAAGTGAGCAGGGTGTGGTAGCACGCACCTGTAGTCCTAACTACTCAGGAGGCTGAAGTGGGAGGATGGCTTGAGTGCAGGAGTTCAAGGTTACAGTGAGCTATGACTGCCACACTGCACTCCAGCCTGGACTACAGTGAGAGCCTGTCTCAAAAACCAACAAGCAAAATACCCACCCACACACAGCTTAGTTTACATATATAGCAAAAATCTTCTTCCAAGCCACCTAACTCCTTTGTATATTCCTTGCCCTCAAATTTACTCAAAATAGTATCTCCCTTTTTTTAATATTTTGGAGACTCTTCCATAAATATCTATTGAGAACACACTATGTGTGATTTCCATGTATTTATTTATTTTACTTAATCCTCACAGCCATTATGTAGACGAGGAAAGTGAAGCTCAGAGATGGGAAGTCACTTGCCTGAAGCCGCAGGTTGGTAAACATTAGACTCTAGGTAATTTGATAATTTGTGTCCATTTATGAAGTGCCTGCTGTAGCCAGGCCCTCAGGATTGTCCCAAACCTTTATAGTCACTCTTACAACAAATACTGAGTGCCTTCATGTTTCAGGCAATGGGCCAAGTGTTGGGGCTACGGTGGAGAGGAAAACAAAGGCTTAGCCCATGGTTGAGGGAGGTTCAATTGTTCACCCCATTTTTCAGGTAAGAAAACCAAGGAAGAGAAGGGAAAGAAAGTGTCCTGAGATCACACGGTCACACGAAAATAGCTGAGGCACGGCGCGGTGGCTCACGCCTCTAATCCCAGCACTTTGGGAGGCCGAGGTGGGAAGATTGCTTGAGCCTGAGTTCGAGACCAGCCTGAGCAAGAGTGAGAACCGCCGTTTCAACTAGGGGAAAAAAAAAAAAGCCAGGCGTGGTGGGACACACCTATATTCCCACCTGAGGTGGGAGGATCGCTTGAGCCCAGGAGGTCGAGGTTGCAGTGGGCCGTGATCGCGCCACTGCACTTCAGCCTGGGCGACAGAGTGAAACCCTGCTGCACAAATAAAAGAGAAAAGGGAAAAAGAGCGGAGACAGGCAGCCCCGCTTTACAGGTAGGGAAAGTGAGGCACAGAGAAGTAAAACGACCTACCCAAGGAAACCCATCTAGTAAAGGCAGGGACCGGGATCGCAGGCTCTTGGAGCTCACCAGTCCCCGCCGGGCGGTGCTTGGCCCCTCCTTCCCCTCCGGCGGGCGTGGCCCGGCCGGGCCCGCCCCCTCCCCTGCGCGCGTTCCTGGCAGCCCGGCCGGCGTTTCCTGCCTGCGTCGCTGAGCTGGCGGGCGGGCAGCCCATCTGGCGGCCCCCGCGGGGCGGCGCGGGGAGGCGGCCCAGACTTGCTGGAGCCAGGCGCCGGCCCGGGGGCCCCCCTGCCCGCCTGGAGAACCCAGGTGTGGCCGCGGCGGGGGTGGGGGGTGGTGCTTTCCTTCCCGCTCGCTCGGCCCTTCCTGACGCACCAGGGCAGGATGCAGCCTCCTCCCGTCCTCTCCTCGGCCTCCGCCTCCCGCGCCCTGGCCCGGAATGCTGGAGGGAATCCAAACGCAGGGCGGGGAGGCAGGGGCAGGCCCCTGAGGCCCCGCCCCTGATAGCCATTTGATACCACCGCTAGTCTTGCCCGTGTTTGGGGTGACTCAGCTTCCCTGCTTGTGCAAGAACAGCTGAACTCTGACCTCCTGAATGGCCGACTCTTGCCTTGCTCCTCAGGGACCCCAGACACGATCGTAGGAACCGGAGGTACTACTGCCCTAAGCCATAGCGCTTGACATTATCCATTTATTCAGCAGTTTCAAGTCGCGGCAAGCGGCGTTTGACCACTTCTGTTCCCTGCCCAGTGCTTAACTGGTACCTGGTGCCGGCCTGATGGAGGCTCTGAAGGCTTTCCCTCAGAAAGCTGGACCCGCCCTGGGAAGCAGGTCCTAACCCCCCTTCACAGTCGAGCACAAGACCGCTTCATTCACACTGCAGGAGCCAGCCCTGCTGTCAGACTGACGGTGCCAAACCCCCTTCTCCAATGCTGCCCCCAAAAGGAACCAGGGATCCATTATCCTGATCATGTCAAACGGCACCACGGTGAATACGAGTCTTGGAAGCCAGACACTCTGGGTTCACATGCCCCCTGGGCCCGCCCTTACGGTCTCTGCCTCAGTTTCCCCATCGTAAGAATGATGTAGGTACCTCAAAGTGTTGTTACAACGATTAAGTAAATCTTAAGATACATTTGAAACTTGAACACGGGTTTCAATTGTGCAGGTGCACTTAAACGTGGACTTTTTTTCTACCTCTGCCACCCCTGAGACACCAAGACCAACCCCCTCCTCTTCCTCAACACAGAGACCAGGATGAAGATCTTTATTTATGATGATCCACTTTCACTGAATAATTTTTTTTTTTTTGAGACGGAGTCTCACTCTGTCCCCCAGGCTGGAGTGCGGTGGTGCAATCTTGGCTCACTGCAACCTCCGCCTCTTGGGTTCAAGTGATTCTCCCACCTCAGCCTCCTGAGTAGCTGGGACTACAGTCGCCTGCCACCATGCCAGGCTAATTTTTGTATTTTTAGTAGAGTCGGGGTTTCACCATATTGGCCAGGCTGGTCTCGAACTCCTGACTTTGTGATCCGCCTGCCTCTCTCGGCTTACTGCAAGCTCTGCCTCCCGGGTTCAGGCCATTCTCCTGCCTCAGCCTCCCGAGTAGCTGAGACTACAGGCGCCTGCCATCATGCCCGGCTAATTTTTTGTATTTTTAGTAGAAACGGGGGTTTCACCATGTTAGCCAGGATGGTCTCGATCTCCTGACCTCCTGATCTGCCCATCTTGGCCTCCCAAAATGCTGGGATTACAGGCATGAGCCACCATGCCTGGCTCTTAGGATTTTCTTAATTACATTTTCTCTAGCTTACTCTATGGTAGACAGTGTAGTACGTATAACATACAAGATGTTTTGACTGTTTATGTTATCAGGTAAGGCTTCTGGTCAACAGCAGACTATTAGTTGTTTTGCGGGACTGAAAAGTTATACAGATTTTCGACCATGATGGGTTGGTGCCCCTAATCCCTGTGTTGTTCAAGGGTCAGTTGCACTAGCATAATGCTAGTCACGTGAAATACAGTCAGTGCACACTGGGGTCTCAGCAGGGCTGGTTTTCCCCTTGGAACCCTCTCTCTTGTCGCAGTCATGGGAGACTGAGGCACAGAAACAGAATCTAATAAAGCAGGGTAGAACTTGGGTTCTAGAGCAGTTTCCTAATAATCCACCCCAAACCAGGTGAGGCTGGCATCTAGCCCACTCGGGGCCCTGCCCAACCACCCACACCCCCTCCCCAGCATGCAGGCCCAATCCTTGCCCGGCCTGGTGCCATTTTTCCATGGGACTCTGATGGTGGCGGTTCACATCTGGAGTCTAGACTCGCAGGCTCTGCGGGCCAGGCCTACCGCCTGGGCTGGGCCACCACTGCCCGCTGTTTGCTCAGCTGAAGCTGGTTAATTGGAATTACAGTGGCCTCTGCGGTGCCGGCTGGCCGGGCGGGCCCTAGTCCGCTGCTCCGGAGGTCTGTGGAACATCTGGCTGGACCAGGACAGTCATTAGGTGGCAGGCGCTCGGCGCCACTGCCACCTCAGCCTCTGCCGGGGGCTGGTGGTGACTCAATAAGGCCTTTGTGCGCCCTGGGCCGCAGAGCCAACCATGCTATGTGCCTGGGCCGCCTGCCCCATCTGCCTCAGAGGGGCCTTGTTCCAGGACCACATGGCCTCAGAGTTGGCTGGAGTGGGTAGAGATTCCAGAAGCCCCTGAAAGGGAACCCCCCTCCCTGAAAGGAAGAAGCCTTTTGAAATTTTCTACCCCTTTTCCTTCCTATAGAACCCTGGAGCCAGTAAAATTGGGTGGCTGGGGCTCAGGGATGCCCAGCACACCAGCCAGTGACTTGGTCCCAGGGGTCTGGGGAGGAGCTGCGGTCCTTAGGAACCTGGAATTGTTTGGCTTGGCTAAGGTCAAATCGATGTCCATGGGCAAGCTGCCTCAATTCCCTCATCTGCACAGCGGAGCGAATAATAGCACATACAGCCCAAGACTCAGAAGGAAGTGAAATCCTATATCAAGGTGCTTAGTGCATGTCAATACCTAGTGAGGGTATTACAGTCATACTCCTGAGTCTCTGGTCATGATTGTCCTTTGGCCACTTCCAAACTGGAAGCCACTGTTATTTTCAGCCTTTGAACCTGAAGCTTGGGCAAGGGAGAGCCCCGGGTCTGTCAGTATGGTGGCCACCCGCTCCTGTCTGTTTCCCCACTCAGTGACCTCATACCAGGTGGGTGGATGAGGGTTGTGGCCACCGTTTGCCTGGTTTGGGGTGGTGCCCGGTCGGTCTCCTGCTGGCCGGGGCTGCTGTCTTCAGCAAACTTTAGGGAAACCCGGGCGCTGAGATTTCAGCTCTTAGGCCCCAGAAGGCCTCTAAGAATCACTAGCTCAGTCCTTCCCCACCCCAGCCTCTAGAGGTCCTGGCCCTTGTGCCATGACTGGCCCCACAGTAGTCATTTTGGGAAGAAACCCAGGAATGGGCAGAATGGGAGACAAAGCCTTGATCTTCAGGGCAACCTAGAGTCTGAGCCCTCATCAGCCGAAGCCATATGGGCACAGGGACCAGGGAGGCTGGCAGGTTCTACAGTTACTGCTTCCCTTGTGAGTCAGGTCAGCCCTGGGTACTCCCCACCACTCTCACCATGGTGAGTGGGAGACTCTCATCTGCCAACACCCTTGCTGCCCCCAAGTATTTCGAGGAAGGTGGTGAGAAAAGTGCTAGCTGGTGAGAGAGGGCTCGTGGGCCCCCTCTACTGGCTAAAAGGTGTTTTACGGGTGCAGGGCTGGCCAGGCACTGGGGTGGGCACCCTTAAGGGGCTTGCAGAAAAGATTTTGGGTGGGCAGGTGAGACCTAGAAAACCCAGGGCAAGACACTGGGTGCTTAAACAGAGAATCTTCCAGGAGCACAGTGGCCCGCCCTGGCCATGGGATGAGTTTTTAATGTGAGGCAAAATCAGTCCACAATACAAAATCTAAAAATCACACCCACTTTTCCCACCTGGCTCCCGGGGAGGGGGGAAGCTGGGGGTTTCTTTTGCCTGCAGGGTGTGGGGAGGAGCAGAGGAGGGCCAAGAAAGGGAGAAGGAAACAGAGGCCACAGAGGCCTGGCTGGAGGTATCCTGCTGCCCCCTGCCCTGTCCTGGAGCTGCCCTTGGCCTCCTGTGCCCTCTACCGGTGCACGCCTGTGTGGGCCCAGCCCCCATCTGTCTGGTCTGGCCCTGAGAGGCTCGGGCACCAGCTGCATCATTTCTCTTTCTTCTCCAGCCCCTTCGATGCTGATGCCTCTGTTCCCTCTTTGGATTCTGTCACTGCCGCTGGATCCTTAGGATTTGACTCCTCATAACTGACCAAAAAAAAAAAAACAACAATAAAAATTCATTTAGAGGAGAGGGTGAGCAGAACCTTGGTTGTCCCCTTCCCCCACCCCCATCCTAGGAAAGCGCCTGGTCACATGCAGAGCGTCAGCCCTGTGTCCACTGCCCAGCACCTAACAGCGCCTGGCCCCAGCCCTACCACATGCCCTCCTCAGGCAGGCTGCTCTGCTTTCTCTGAGCCTGGGGGTACCAGGAGGCAGCAAGGGCAGCAGCCAATGGAAGAGAGGTTGGGCCTGGGCTTGTGTGGGCTGATTTCAAGCTTCCTGAACCTTCTGCTGTAGCGTGGAAAAAGGGGTGGCCATGACAAGGCTACAAGAGATGGAGATAGGCTGCCTCCCAGGGCACACAGCATGAATCAAACAGCTCAGCCCCAGAGGTGAGGGCACTGCTGTACTGGCAAGCGGCAAGGTGCTGCTCTGAAGACAGACACCCTGGCTTAGCTTCTTCTATGGGCTTCATTTTTCAAGCAACTGAGTTCATGCCAAAGATAATACAAATCTTTCCTCACCAGATAAACCCCGTGAGGCAGGAATGTGCCCACTTACAGATGAAGAAAGTAACTTGCCTAAGGTTATACATATACCTTGAATGGTAACAGTATCTACTACTGCATGACAAGGGCCATTTCCATCCACTATGATGTGGGCCCCGCATTACTGGTGAGGGCAGGAAGCTTCGGGGTTGTCCTGCTTCCCAGCCCTATGGCTCGGTGCAACCACTGCCTGGTGGTTGTGGAGGAGCTGCTCTTGCGGCCTACTCCTGGCAATGGTCCCTGCCCTATGCACTGGAGCTGCAGTGTCTGCCCTACCTTGGGCCCCGGGGCAGTAGGGGGAAGCGGGCAGGTGGGCACCCGCTGGGCATTACATGGCGCTGGGATTCTGCGGGCGCCGGCGGCGAGGGCCAGCTAGCTTCTGCTGCATGGAGTCGGCCAGGCTGGCTGGGGAGCCCGAGACTGTGGGGAAGTGGGTGAGCCTCGGGGTATGAGGCAGGATTTCCGCCGAGGACTCGTAGCTGTGTGAGAGAGAGAGAAGAGACAGAAAAAAAGAGATGGATAGGGAAAGACTAAGGGAGGACAGAGACTTCCTTTCCAAGGAGCAGAGAGCAGAACTGTCTTGTTTTTACCTATTTTTGCACTTCCAGATTTTATGGAAAGAAGCTGATATTATTTGGAGAATGAAAAAAGAAAGATGCACCTAGACAAAGGCACATCAGGCCACTGTGCAGAAGAACAAGCATGCTCTAGAAGTGTATGTGCTGCTGTGGAAACACCTCTAAGAAATACCGTAGAAACCCAATGTGCAGAATGCTCCAAGAATGCCACCGTCTGTGCAAGAAAAAGTATACACACATCAGTGCACAGGTGTCTGAATGTCTGTGTAACACTGCTGGCCTCTGTGGGGTAGCTGGAGCATGAGGGTGCTCTCTCTGTTACAGCTTTGGAATTTTTAACTATGTGAATGTGGTACCAATATAAAAATAAGTAAATCAATAAAAAAAGGAGGAGAATAGAAGGGAAAAGTAAAAAGGTGGAGAATTGGGAGAGAAATGGGGAGAAAGGAGGGAGAGAGAGAGAGAGAGAGATCACTTGCTTTTTACCCCAATCTAAGAATGTCCAGGGTGGGAGTGGAGGGCAAACAGTGGGGGCAGGGTACCTGTATGGCAGAGCATTTAGCACCAAGCAGGTAAAGGCCAGGGGCACCCTCTGCCTTGTGTATTCAGAGCTTTGCCTGATGAGGGCACAATAGCATTGGGTGGTTACCCCAAGGGGAGGGGCAGGGAAACCTGGGCTGGATGGGAAGCAGAGGGAGGGTGAAGGATGGGTGCTAAGCTCAGGGATCGGGTGCCATGCCTGCTCCCAAAGCTCCCTGAGACCTGTCCCCAAGTTCACCCCTAGCCCCCACTTGCCTCAGACCACAGAGCTTTGCTGGGCGAGGCAATGTGGGCAGGCAGGCGGGGGGCTGGGGATTCTAGACAGGACAGGGAGGGCAGAGGCAGGTCCGGGGGAGGGGTGAGTCACAGGCTCCCCTGCGGGGAGCCAGGTGCACAGGAGGCCCTGGCAAGCGCTCTAGGGACAGCTTGGAGGCCAGGCAGGTGGAACTGGGCGGAAGGCACCCGAGTAGGCAGCTTTAATCGCAACTGACAGCTATTTCTAGGTCCCTGGCAGGCAGGGTCGGCAGTGCTGGGGGCAGACACCTGTTGGAGTCACGCAGGCCTTGCGGTATGGGTGGGGCTGTGTGCAGGGTGTGGTAGGTGTGGATATGGCCCTGGGGAAGGGGTATCTGTGTGAGATACAGATATAGAGAAAGCAGTGAGCTGTGGGTTAAAGCCACAGAGGTGAATGAACAGGGACTGACACCTGCCTTCTACTCGGGGCACTTTCTACCACACTAGGGCATCCCACACGCCCCCTGTTCTATTACTCACATGTGAAAACTGAGGCCATGGGAGGGGAAGACATGCCTGAAGTCACCTGGGGGCAGAGTCACCTAGGACTTCTGACAGTAGGCAGAGAAAAATCCACAACAGCTATTCTTAAGATCCAGCTAACATTTGGATGGGGGATGCCTAGAGGGCTCTGATGCCTTGCGCTCCCCTGGCTCCTGGCCCAGGGTAAGGTTCCCACTGGTGTCCACAGGCCAGGTACCCATGTACTGCTGAAAAAGGCAAGGGGTGGGGCTGGTGGCAGGAACAATGTTCCCCTGGAGAGGTGTAAAGATACCCCCAGCAGGTTCCACTGACTGCCAGCAGGCACACTGGTGCCCATGAGGACATCTGCCCCCCACTCTGCCTTACCTGAACATCTCTGTCACTTCTCCCTTGGCCAGCGCCACCAGGACAGGAAAACCGATGCAGGCGGGGACCAGGTATAGGAGGGCAGGCTATGAGAGGACACAGGCTGGTGAAGCCATGCTGGGCACGGCACTGCCTCAGGGCCGTGCCCAGCACCCCAAACCCCTTCTGGGCTGGACTGAAGGACAGTGACTGGTCCAGGACCATAGCAAGTCAGTGGCTGGGCCTGAACCCAGGGCTCCTAACTCCCAGACAAGGGTTGCTCCTCCCGAGAGGGAATGCAAGAAAACTAAGAAACTCAAGTAGGCAGGGCTTCAAGGGTTCCCAGGGGTTTGGCTGGCAGCATCTGAATCACCTAGGTCACCAGGTTCAAAAAGCAACTTCCTGGTTTGGTCCTACTCCCAGAGACTCTGCTTCCTGAGGTCTGGGGCTCACACCTGCATTTTAGCAAATGCTCCAGGAGATGCTATTATAGTGATGATGACACCACAGCTGCTATGTAATAACTACTTGTTGCAGCCTGTATTAAGGTGACCTAGCTGGTCACTGGCTCCCCCAGGATTCACACCCAAGCAATTTGGCATGTCTGTGCTGAGACTCCTGGTAAAGCTGGGTTTGGAGAAAAGGACGGTTATACTAAGACCCTGTTCATGAACATCTACTGTGCAGGCACTGAGCTTAGCCTTCCCAGGAAGTCAGCCCACTGCCACATCCCATGATGGTTATCCTTTTGCAGAGGAGGAAGACCAATGCTTCACAAGGAGAGGGAAAATAGCCCAGGACTCAGAGACCCAAATCTTTTTTTTTTTTTTTTTTTGAGACAGAGTCTCTGACTCTTGTTGCCCAGGCTGGAGTGCAATGGTGCAATCTTGGCTCACTGCAACCTCCGCCTCCAGGGTTCAAGCGATTCTCCTGCCTCAGCCTCCTGAGTAGCTGGGACTACAGGTGCCTGCCACCACGCCTGGCTAATTTTTGTATTTTTACTAGAGATGGGGTTTCACCACGTTCGCCATGGTGGTCTCGAACTCCTGACCTCAGGTGATCCACCTGCCTCGGCCTCCCAAATTGCTGGGATTATAGGCCTGAGGCACCACGCCCAGCCCAAAGAGTTTCTTTCTTTTTTTTTTTTTTTTGAGATGGAGTCTGGCTCTGTCACCCAGGCTGGAGTGCAGTGGTGTGATCTTGGCTCACTGCAAGCTCTGCCTCCCAGGTTCACACCATTCTTCTGCCTTAGCCTCCGGAGTAGCTGGGACTACAGGTGCCTGCCACCATGCCCGGCTAATTTTTTTGTATTTTTAGTAGAGACAGGGTTTCACCGTGTTGGCCAGGATGGTCTCGATCTCTTGACCTTGTGATCTGCCTGCCTTGGCCTCCCAAAGTGCTGGGATTACAAGCGTGAGACACCGCGCCTGGCCGAGTTTCTTTTCTTTTCTTTTTTTTTTTTTTTGTGATTTTGAGATAGAGTCTTGCTCTGTCTCCCAGACTGGAGTGCAATGGTGCGATCTTGGCTCATTGCAACCTCCGCCTCCTGAGTAACTGGGATTACAGGCATGCGCCACCATGCCCGGCTAATATTTGTATTTTTCAGTAGAGATGCGGTTTCACCATGTTGGCCAGGCTGGTGCACTTGAGTTCTTTCACATGGAGTCAGGTCCCTTGCTACGTGCTCTGTAAGTCCCTCTAATTTCCCTCACAGCATTCCTCAGCAATTTTTTTTTTTTTGAGACAGGGTCTCACTTTGTCTCCCAGACGGAAGTGCAGTGATATGAACATGGCTCACTGTAGCCTTGACCTCCTGGGCTCAAGTGATCCTCTCGCCTCAGTCCTACAAGTTGCTGGGCCTACAGGTGTGCGCCTCCATGCCTGGCTAATTTTTGTATTTTTTGTAGAGACTGGTTGTCACCATTTTCCCCAGGCTGGTCTTGAACTCCTGAGCTCAAGTGATCCACCTGCTTTTGCCTCCCAACGTGCTGGGATTATGGGTGTGAGCCATCGTGCCTGGCCTCCCCAGCAATTTGTAATGGAACATCCCCATAGGTGGTGAGTTCAGTGAGGGCGGGCCCACAGCTGTCTTGCTCACCGTAGTGTGCCCTGCATACTGAAGAGGGCCTGGTAAATACTCAGTGAATGGCTCCTTCATGGTGCGTCTTCATGGGTGCTCATGAAGTGAAGAGATTGTCCTGGAGAGGGTGAGGAAACTTCATTCTTTTTTTTTTTTTTTCTGAGACAGAGTTTCCTTCTTGTTGCCCAGGCTGGAGTGCAGTGGTGCGATCTCGGCTCACTGCAACCTCCGCCTCTCAGTTCAAGCGATTCTCCTGCCTCAGCCTCCCAAGTAGCTGGGATTACAGGCATTCTCCACCAAGCCCGGCTAATTTTGTGTTTTTAGTAGAGATGGGGTTTCTCCATGTAGGTCAGGCTGGTCTCAAACTCCCGACCTCAGGTGATCCACCCACCTTGGCCTCCCAAAGTGCTGGGATTACAGGTGTGAGCCACCACGCCTGGCCGGAGACTTCATTCTTAACGTAAAGCCAGCCCTTGGCCAGAGAACAAAGAAGTCTTTCCCGCATGCCCTTGATCCTAACATTCAGACTTATTTCTTGCCATCTGTCATAGGTGGGCTGTGATCAATACTGCTTTATGTATATTAAATTATTGAATCTAACAATCCCTAAGTAGGATGGGTGTGGTGGCTCACGCTTGTAATCCCAGCACTTTGGGAGGCTGAGGTGGGCAGGTCAGTTGAGGTCAGGAGTTTGAAACCAGACTGGCCAACATGGTGATACCCTGTCTCTACTAAAAATATAAAAATCAGCTGGGTGTGGTGGTGCACGCCTGTAATCCCAGCTACTTGGGAGGCTGAGGCAGGAGAATTGCTTGAGCCCAGGAGGCGGAGCTCCAATGAGCTGAGATCACACCACTGCACAAAGGCAGAGGTGACCCTTACCTAGACCAATGCTAGCACTGGGACTACCTGTGTGTTGGAGAGCAGGGGACCCCATGGGACAGGGTCCCCTCATGTCCTGGATCCCCTTTCCAAGGATTTTCAGAGAGGTACCCACTTGGATGACTGGGGAGAAGGGCTGGGCTGCTGCTGGGGAGTAACACAGGCCTTGGGGCAGGGTTCAGGAGTTCATTAGTCTGGAGTCCAGATCGCCACCCAGGGCCCAGCCTGATGTAGTGTTCGCGTTCTCTCAGCGCTGCAGTTTTCCGATAAAGGAGAGGACTCCTGTGTGCCAGAGCTCTGAATGGGAGCCTCTTCTCAGTCCAGCCAGGCAGAGGGTGAGGCTGCCACCTTATGGCCACTGGGGGAATTGGCTCTGGGCTTGGACTCCAATAAGGGGCCGGGAGCTGCAGAGACCTCCAAAAGGTCTCTTAACTAGTCCTCCAAACCAGGTCCAGTCACTCTCTGTGACCCTTGCCATACGCATGTTACTCTCACCTTACACGCCATTGAAGCCCTTGAGCAGAAGTGAGAGGCAGTTCCACAATGGTTGTTCTTGGTTTTTCTAATTATGGGCTAGGGGCCTTTTGACCTTCTATAAAGTAATACTGTACTAGGACTAAATGAGTTATTAGCAAAAGAGTTTAGCACAGTGCCTGGCACAGAGTGATTAAAAAAACCCCAGCTTTTGTGATTAATTCAAAGATGGCTCGTCTGTATTTGGGCCCTGGGGAAGGGGAAAGGGGACAGAAGCAGCAAGCCCAGAGTTCCATGGTTACTGGGTGGTGCTGGGATTCACAACAGGGCTCCCTTAGCCCCTGTTCAATGCTGCGTTTCCCATGGCCAGGGCTTGAGAGCCTGGGTGTGGTTTCCATGCTGACCCAGGTTTGAATCCTGGCTTTACCACATACTTGCAGTGTGTCACCTGAACTCCAGTTTCCCCACCTGTTCACAAGGATCCTCATGAGTGCAGAGCCTGACATGTGGAAGTGCTTAACAAACAGGAGCTCTTATTATTTCCAGTAGAAAGTAGGGCAATCCTGTCTGCTCACTTTCCCCTGAATCTTCCCCTCTCCAGGCCACACTGAGGGCTCCCAGTCTTTGTGCTATGTTGCTTCATTCTGTGGCAGCTCAGTACTCCATCCTCATCTTGGTGGGAGAAGGAGGCAGAGCCTGGTCTACTAGGGAGTAGGGGGAGGGACGCCCCAATACCCAACACCCACTCCAATCCTGTTCTTCTCTGCCTGCTTCCCACTACCAAGGCTGAGAAGCCAAATCCTCTTTCCTGGACTCTCCTGTAGCCAGGGTGGCTTTAGGACCCCAGTCTGGCCCATGAGATGCTGAAAGGGTTCTGGGAAAGTTCCTGCCTTCCTGATGAAGGCAGCAGGCATGGCTGTTACGCTTTTCCCTCCTTCTTGCCTCTAACGTGCCCATGCTGCCTAGAGCAGTGGCAGCCATCTTGCAACCACAAATGGAAGGCCAAGAGAATCACAGACATGACTGCTCCAACACCAGTGGGGAGTGCCTATCTCTGGACTGCTTGCATTTACAAATAAATCCCTCTGTAAGTCCCTCTATTTGCAGTGAGGCATTCCTGACACTCTGATACCGTCCTGCCCACCTGAGCATGCTTGAAGATGTGCATGATGAAGATGGTAAGGCCCAGGCCGAAGATGTAGGCTGCAAAGCTGGTGTAGAAGTAGGTGTGGGTATTCTTCTTCAAGCTGCAGGGAAGGTGTGAAGAAAGAGGAGGAGGGTTAGATATAGGGACTGAACTAGTAATACCCCTTCTGAGGGAGCTGGGGAAGACCCTAGAGGTTGTGGGGGGGTGACTGAGCTCTGGGCTGGGAGTCTGGAGGTGGGTGTGCACGCTGATACTGCCCCCAGCTATGTGTCTCTGGACAAGTTGCTTTCCTTCTCTTAGCCTCAGTTTACTCATCTGCAAAATGGGAAAATGAGCTCATCTCCTTGGTAGTTATGAATATCAAATGCTGCAACTTATAACAGTGGCTGTAAGACTTTAGTCAGCATAAAAATCATCTGGAAAGCTTGTGAAAAAATGCAGGATTCTAGGTCCCACCCCCAGGGAGTCTGATCTAATAGCTCTAGAGCAGGGCCCAGGAATCTGCATTTTGAAAAAAACATCTGAGGTGAATCTCATACCGTTGGATCATGCTTTGAGAAACACAGATACAGAAACTGCAAAGATAAGTTACTACTTTTAAGTGCAGTGGACGTAATAGTTCAATAGCCTATTTGTGGTACTAACTAGATGCTGGCTGCATGAATAAATGCCAGTGGCTTCCTGGAGGTGATTCATCCAAGATCAGCTTCAGAACAGATGAATCATATACAGCCCGGCATTGCCATTACGTGACTTCCCTCTCCAATGCCAGCTCCGTAACCTCTGCATGTCCCCAGCACCTGGGATGTGCCCAGCCAGTACTATGGACTCAATTAACATTTGTGGAATGAATGAGTGCTTCTGACCCCCTTCTCTCCTTGTCCTGGGTGCTTCTAAGCCTTCGGCTGCAAGTACCTTGAGAACTCACCTATCTTGAGAACTGGGATACAAGTGACTCCCTTTGGGAATGTTGCACTGATTCTGGAAATCAGCTGAGGAGCTGCTTATGCTGTGAGCCCAGGCTAAAAAATGAGACTCTGTCTCTGAGGGTGCTGGCAGTTGAATCTGTCTCCAGCAAATAGCCTGGGGGCTTCTTATGGGTTTCACTTTGTATTACCTCTGAACAGCCAGGAGTAGAGACGGCTGGCACAGACATCCCTCTACTTACAGACTGGCCAGGTCTCTTCCAAAGGTGACTGTGAGCCCATATGCTCCTAAGGTTTGAAGTGGCACTACACAAATAACCCAGGTGTATGTGAGTGGGAAAAACCTAAGTTTCACATGGAAACTGGATTTCAATGATGCTGGTAGTAAGTTTCTCATTACCACTGTCACTGTTATTACTGCTTTTGCAACTATCAGGCATGAGGAAATCAAGAGAAGTTCACAAACCACCTCAAAGTTAAGTGCAACATTGCCAGCCCTCACAGGGATGACGGGGCATAAAATGATGGAGCTGTTGCTGGCGCCCCCTGCTGACGGCAAGTCCCATTGCATAGGTGCATTAACTTGGATAAGACCTTTCTTGTGTTTTAAACGCTGACCTAAGTTGCCCACCTTCTCCCCCTCGTGCTCACTGTCTACAACAGACTGAAAAATGTCTGAGTAAAGAGAGGGCAGGGAACAGCTAGAGCAGCTGAGACATGGTGACCTGACGCTAGGCTGATAAAAGATGATGATGATGACTGCAACCAGGATTCAACCAAGAGCGACTGAGGTCAGTGTGTGCTCAGCACTCTCTCCAGATTTTCATGGTAGGAACTCTTGTTATTAACTCAAGATGAGAAACCAGAGGCTCAGGAAGGTCAGGCCACTTGTCAAGGTCACACAGTGAGAAAGCACTGTGAGTACCACCAGGCCCTTGTGGGTTTAAATCTCTTGGCCTATGATTCTTAAAACAATTTTTTGACCACAGGCTCTTCAAATACTTAGAACTTCAAGATGCAAAATGCAGATAAAATCAGAATTGCTCTGGCTGCTGTGGGGGTGGAGGGTCTGGTCTCCTGAGGTACCTTCTCTGGGCTCCTGAAGGCCACTGGAGAATCCCTGGAGAAGCCCATGCTGGGGCAGGCCCTCACTCACTCACCTGATGTCAAAGCGCAGCAGCAAGGCAATGAAGATCCCTGTGGGAGAAAGCTGGGGTTAGAGAGTGGCAGGGAAGCAGCAGGGCAGTGAACTAACAGGAGACTGGGTCCTGGTCCCCAACCTGGTGTTCCATCTTGGAGCAATCATTGGAGACCAAGGGTGTGGCCAATACTCTCAAGTGACAGCAGAAAGTCCCATTTCTCTACCTAGAACAATGAGAGGGGCCCAGGATTTTGCTTTGGCCTGGGACTACAATGACCCAGCACCTCACCGCATCATACTATGTCACACCGTGTCTGCCCAAATGCTTATCAAGTGCCTATGTACCAGGCACTATGGGAAATGTAGGAGTAGGCAAAATCGCTGCTCCCACAGAGCTCAGCCAGGGGGACAGGGTAGCCACACTATGACATACCTCAAATAGTCACGGAAATCATTGTGAGATTGTGACTGTTAAAGAGTGCTTCCACTTTGGAAGGCAGAGGTGGGTGGATCACGAGGTCAGGAGTTCCAGACCATCCTGGCCAACATGGCGAAACCTCGTCTCACTAAAAATACAAAAATTAGCCAGACATAGTGGCATGTGCCCGTAGTCCCAGCTACTCGGGAGGCTGAGGCACAAGAATCACTTGAACCCAGGAAGTGGAGGTTGCAGTGAGCCAAGATCGCGCCACTGCATTCCAGCCTGGTGACACAGCGAGACTCTGTCTCAAAAAAACAAAACAAAACAAAACAACAACAAAAAACAAAAGCAAAAATTAGCCAGACGTGGTGGCAGGCACCTGTAGTCCCAGCTACTCGGGAGGCTGAGGCAGGAGAATCGCTTGAACCCAGGAGGCAGAGGTTGCAGTGAGCCGAGATCACGCCACTGCACTCCAGCCTGGACGACAGAGTGAGACTCTGTCTCAAAATACAAAAAACCCCAAAATGAGCTGGGCATGGCAGTGCACGCCTGCAATTCTAGCTATTGGGAGGCTGAGGCAGGAGAATTGTGCTTCCCATGTTGTAAGAAGGTGTAACAGGATGAGACCTAGGCTGGGCAGGGGTGAAGGAGGGGAAAGAAGGAAGGCTTCTTGGAAATGCCACACGCCAGGAGGAGAGAACAGCATGTGCAAAGGTCCTGGAGAAAGAGTGCTCAGGAGATGTGGCAGGGACTGAGGGGTCACTAAGGCAGCTTGCCTACTGGCAGGAGATGAGGAGATAGACCAGCCCTGCAGGGCCCCGAGGACCATGGGGAGGAGTTGGGTCTTTATCCTGAGTGAAGAGACGCACTGGAGGAGTTCTGAGCAGAACAACCTAAACACATTTTGAAAAAGGCCCCTGTGGCAGTGCGTGGCTGGAGGGGGGAGGAGGAGGGGCAAGCAGTGGGCTATTTGAAGGCTCCACAGGAGCACAGGAGAGGGTTACCTCGGTCCACCCACTGCACTCTGAAACTTGAAAACCAAGCCAATTGTAAGCAATGGTTCTGCTAAAAAAGAAAAAAGAAAAAGAAAGAGACATCCCGGAAGCCTAAGCAACCCCAAAACACAGCCAACCAGTCCTGTCCCTGTGCTATACGCACACCCTGTGTGTCGCCTCCCTTACTGGGCTCTGGGCTCTGAGTCTCATTTACTTGAAGGAAGGCGCTGAGAAGCACTGCCTGGCCGGGTGCGGTGGCTCACGCCTGCAATCCCAGCACTTTGGGAGGCCGAGGCAGGCGGATCACCTGAGGTCAGGAGTTCCAAGACCAGCCTGACTAAAATGGTGCAACCCCGTCTCTACTAAAAATACAAAATTAGCTGGGTATGGTGGCACATGCCTGTAATCCCAGCTACTTGGGAGGTTGAGGCAGGAGAATCACTTGAACCTGGGAGGTGGAGGTTGCAGTGAGCTTAGATTGTGCCATTGCACTGCCTGGGCAACAAGAGCAAAACTCCATCTCAAAAAAAAAAAAAAAAAAAAAAAAGAAGCACTGCCTGTCAACTGTCAACATATGATTAATTTTAAAGAGGGAAATGAATTAGTTCTCAATGAATACTCTGTAGGAGTAGGGAGTTGGTTGGGGATAGAGCAGACAACTGCAGTTATTCTGGAATCAAGCTGGGAACTCAGTGCCCCCTGGCGGCTGATTTCTACGAGTGTTCTCCAACTAATCCAGGGGTCAGAGCTCTGCCAGGGATTTTCACTCCTAAAGTGCATCTGGCCTTCCAAACAACGCTCCACTGTGATCAACTTACATTTATTGTGATTGCGGGACTACTGGGGATATATATAGAGGGTGGGGAAAGGACAGATATGCCGAGATGTCCTGTGCCTGTCTCAAGCCTGGAACTTATGACAAGGACACAGGGGAAGTTTGTGTGGGTGAATGACAGACCGTGCCCTTAAGAGTGAGCCAGATGCTTTACAGGACTCCATTTCTTTTGTCTGACAGAGATGCCTTCTACTGGGGAAGCAAGTCTCCCTGCCTCACAGCACTGCAAATTATGAAGACACATGGGTGCAAGCCCATACCCTCGTGGCCTCAGGCAAGTCAAACCTCAGTTTCCTTATCTGTAAAATGGAAATGCCCTCTATCTCACTGGACTGCTGGGAGAAGTAAAGATGACATATAAAAAGTACCTAGCACCATTCTTTTTTTTTTTTTTTTTGAGATGGAGTCTGGCTGTGTGGCCCAGGCTGGAGTGCAGTGGTGCAATCTTGGCTCACTGCAAGCTCCACCTCCCGGGTTCATGCCATTCTCCTGCCTCAGCCTCCCGAGTAGCTGGGACTACACGCGCCCGCCACTACGCCTGGCTAATTTTTGTATTTTTAGTAGAGACGGGGTTTCACCATGTTAGCCAGGATGGTCTCGATCTCCTGACCTCATGATCCACCCGCCTCAGCCTCCCAAAGTGCTGGGATTACAGGCTTAAGCCACCGTGCCCGGCCGGCCACCTAGCACCATTCTTGGTACACGACAGGTGCTTGATAAATGGTAGCTGTTGTGATTACCGTCTTATTACTGCTAGTGCTGCTGTAAGGAGCAGTTCTGACAGCGTAGCCTTTTTTGCAGTTGGACAGTGCTGGTCTGAGTCCTGGCCCTGTTGCTTACTAGTGTGTGAATTTGTATCATTCCCTTTACTTCTGAGCTTCAGTTTCCTCACTGGTAAAACAGGGAAAGCCTCTGTGTCACCTCCATGTGTCACAAAATGCAACTGTCACAAATAGAAGTGCCTGTATCACCCTAGGTGATCAGAATTGCTATAATATCCTACCCTGGAAAGTAAGTCAGCCTTTAATCTGCTGCTTTAAAATAATTCCTCTTCTTTTAAAAAATATAGACGGGGTCGGCCAGGCGTGGTGGCTCATGCCTGTAATCTCAGCACTTTGTGGGGGCCGAGGTAGGTGGATCACCTGAGGTCGGGAGTTTGAGACCAGCCTGACCAACATGAAGAAACTCCATCTCTACTAAATATACAAAATCAGCCGGGCGTGGTGGTGCATGCCTATAATCCCAGCTACTTGGGAGGCTGAGGCAGGAGAATCGAGAATCGCTTGAACCAGGGAGGCAGAGGTTGCAGTGAGCCGAGATCGCGTTATTGCACTCCAGCCTGGGCAAGAGCAAAACTCCGTCTCAAAAAAAAAAAAAAAGGAGAAATAATAATTTTATATATATATATGGTCTCACAATTTGCCCAGGCCAGACCTCCTTCTTTAAGAGACAGGGTCTCACTCTGTCACCCAAGCTGAAGTGCAGTGGCACAATCATAGCTCACTGCAGCCTTGAACTCCTGGGCTCAAACGATCCTCCTACCTCAGCCTCCAGAGTAGCTGGGACTACAGGCATGAGCCACCACGACTGGCTAATTTTTTTTTTTTTTTGTAGAGATGAGGTCTTGCTATGTTGTCCAGACTGGTCTTGAACTCCTGGCATCAAGTGATCTTCCCCACGCAGCTTCCCAAAGTGTTGGAATTACAGGTGTGAGCCACTGTGCCCAGCTAAAACCTTCTTTTAAGCAAGCTTCTAACCCTCTCACTCTGAGGCTAGGAAGACAAGTATGTCCCTTGGGTTCACTGCCCCCACAACTGGGCCCAGATAAGCAGACACACCCGAGCCTCAGCCACTTCAGCAGCTCAGCTTTGCCCTTAGTCTCTTTCCTGACTGGTAGTTTGAGCTGCTCCTGCCCCAAAGTGAGGCCAGGCTGTGGTTGCGCAGGATGTGCTATCCTGCTTGGATTGTGGACAGGGCCCGTGTCCATACCCACAGACACACTGACTAGAACCCACACGCAGATCCAGGGGCTCAAAGGCCAGCCTCTGCAGATAAGCAGGTGTGCACGCACATGCTCCTCTGCTGAGAGTGCAGACAGGAGCCCATGTGTGTGTTCTCCCTGGAGATGTCTTGGCACAGGGAGGAGGAGCAAGGGGGCTAGGGCAATTCTGGTACATCTGTGATGCTTGCAGATGCTGGGAAGGGGTATGTGTATGTGTGGGTGTGTGTGACAGGGGTCCAGTCTGTTAAGATTGTCATGAAACGTGCTTTTTCAGAGTGTACCTCAATCTGTCATTAGACTTTTACTTTTGTAGTTCTTGAGCAACATCTGCTCACCTAGACCAGAGGCTCTGTGAAGACAGTCTTGTTCACTGACACCTGACCAGGACCCAGCTTGGGGCATGGCACCTGACTGGCCCTCCGTAAACGGATGTTAAGGGGGAACCCTTCACCAATCCCTGGCCTGATCCAGCCTTACCTTTTCTCTTTCTCAGCTGGTAAGCCTGTCTGTTTAGCAGTAATCCCCTTGCTCCGGGGAATACCCTCTCCACCCCTTTCACATAGCCCCCACACCAGCAGGCTCACCTGGAATGACGACATCTCCAAGTCCCAGCATGGCAAAGTTGTTTGCTTCGAGGCCTTTCTCCAGCAGATCCTGGGGAAACACCACTGAAGCGGGAGGCGGGAATGTGAGGAGTCAGCTGGAGCCCAGTTTACATTTTTTTTTTTTTTTGAGACGGAGTCTCGCACTGTCACCCAGGCTGGAGTGCAGTGGCGCAATCTCGGCTCACTGCAAGCTCCATCTCCTGGGTTCATGCCATTCTCCCGCCTCAGCCTCCCAAGTAGCTGGAACTACAGGCGCCCACCACCGCACCCAGCTAATTTTTTGTATTTTTAGTAGAGACGGGGTTTCACCGTGTTAGCCAGGATGGTCTTGATCTCCTGACCTCGTGATCCTCCCGCCTCGACCTCCCAAAGTGCTGGAGTTACAGGCGTGAGCCACCGCTCCCGGCCTACTTTGTATTTTTTTTTTTTTTGAGACGGGGCTTGCTCTATTGCCCAGGGCAATGAGGACTGTAATCGGGAGTGCAGTGGCACGATCTTGGCTCACTGCAACCTCTGTCTCCTAGGCTCAAGTGATTCTCCTGCCTCCTGAGTAGCTGGGATTTTAGACGCCCGCCCCATTTTTGTATTCCCAGCTTACTTTGACTCCTAACCCCCCATTCTTGTTGTATGAAACTCACACATTTGTTTCTGGGTGGGATGTGGGGGATGGGGACGTGAGAGGATGCAGGGCAATGTCTCCATCTGGAGTCACAGCTGGTTAGAGTGGGGAGGAATAGGGTCATCTAGGCTGAAGATTTAATGCCTTTACTGAGCTATAACTCAAATAACCATACAATTTCAACGCCTTTTTATAGCTATTGAACCCTTTGGTTAAATGGGATTGACCCTAAAGCCCAGTATATAAAAGAAAAGAGCCACACAGTGCCAACATCTACAAGGTTTCCCATCTCACTATAACAGGGGTATGGACAGATGTTGGCCCTTGTTCTGAAGCAGGGTGAGCCCGGGCTATAAGCTCCTTCTGTATTTGCTGAGGGAGAAAAGGCTACACACCCGCAGATTGCTTCCTTAAAGCCCCTCACTCAGAAATCTTGCTGGACAGCTTGTCTGGATAAATACAGATTAGGGAGAAACGCCTCCCTCTGTGTCTAGTTATAGCAAAAGGAGGTTATAACTGGATTTCATCCATAGGGCCTTGCAAGCAGAAGAGCAGTTATAAGTGGGCCTTAGAGGCTGACTTGTGGGTCTGTAGGTCTGAATCCTAGTTCTGTGCTCTGCACAGGTTACTTACCTGCCTTAGTTTTGTCACCTGTGAAACGGGTAGACAACAGAACTGACCCCTCAGGGTGATAGTGAAGATTAGATGATTTGTACACAGTTAACTGCTACCTCATGCCTTCTTTACTAATCCAGTCCTGGTTTTGTGTTAGGCAGCCTTCCCAGGTGATAAGTGTGGTGCAAGACTAAGCCAATCAGGAAAATCCTGTTCCTTGAATTCCTTACTTGCAGGTAGGGGGTCAGCTCTGGCCAACATTTTTTTTTTTTTTTTTTTGAGATGGAGTCTCGCTCTGTTGCCCAGGCTGGAGTCCAGTGGCGCAATATCGGCTCACTGCAACCTCTGCCTCCCGGGTTCAAGTGATTCTCCTGCCTCAGCCCCCTGAGTAGCTGAAATTACAGGCATGCGCCACCATGCCTGGCTAATTTTTGTATTTTTAGTAGAGACAGGGTTTCACCATGTTGGTCAGGCTGGTCTCGAATTCCTGACCTTGTGATCTGCCCACCTCAGCTTCCCAAAGTGCTGGGATTACAGGCGTAAGCCACCACGCCTGGCCATTTAATTTTTATTTCTTTATACATATATACATATATATTTGAGACGGAGTCTTACTCTGTCACCCAGGCTGGAGTGCAGTGGTGTGATCTTGGCTCACTGCAACCTTCATCTGGCCAACAACAGGTACACAGAGGTGCGTGCACAGGGATTCTGAATAAGCTTGTGCTTCCCTAATACATGGATAGGTACCCTTGCCCTGCCTGCCTCTTCCTGCCTTGAATGTACAACGCAGTGATTTACAGATTTTCTCTCTCAATCCTGGTACCATTCAATTTTGAGTGGCAGAGACTATTGTCACCATTTTACAGTTCTAGAAACCAGGGCTCAGAGAGGACAAGTCTTCTCCCCAAGGCCACACGGTCAGCAAGTGGCAGAGCTGAGATTCAAGTCCAGGCAGCCTGATGTCAGCATATGAGCACTTCACTGTTCTGCCTTTCTGCCACTGAGCACTAGTCCTAGCAGTAGAAGGCAGTGGGTCTTCTCCCTAGCCCAGAAAACCAGACCCTAAGTATCAGAAACCAAATATGACAGCACCACTTCCCTGCTCGGAGTCTTCCAGTGGCCTACGGGGCAGTGTCCAAGCTCCTTAGAGTGGCATCCTTGGCTTCCCAAATCTGGCCTCTGCCCACCTCTTTCCAGCCTCTTTTCCCTGAACTCAGCTATGCCCACTCCCTGATTCTCTGCTCCCAGGCCCCTCCATGCACCTTCCTGCCTCCAGCCCTTTGCTGAAGCTGTACATTATCTTTCAAATGCCCATATTGCCCCTGTATGCTTGGGAAATGTGTATTCATCCTTCATGACCCAGAAAAGATTTTCCTGACACCCTGGCTGGGTTCTCTGGGCTTACACACCCCCAGGCTCAACCATCAAGGCACTGGGGAATAGCTGTTGCTCTGGCTGGCCCAGCATCTGTTCCCTTGCTCTGGAGAAATGCCCTCCCCGTGTACACTTGGTTCTCGGGGGCTGCCAATTCCAATACTCTGCCCCCAGGCCCTGGAGAGGGCAGTGACCCTGGCCTGTCCATCACGATCCTCCATCTCTCCAGTGGGAGTGTCTGGCTCATGGGCCAGGCCAGGTCTTGTAGGTTTATTCAGGCCAAAGCTGGGAGAAACCTGTTTTCCTCTGGGGTCACTAAGCTGGGACCACAGAATTCAGGAGCTGTTTGTGGCCATGAAGCTCTCCTCAACGCAGGGAGAAAGGCTGTCCGCAGTGGTAGAGTGAGTCACGAGAAAGACAGCTGTTTCTTGATCCCCTGAGTGGAATCTCCCCCAGTCTCCCCCAACGACTGCCTGTCGCCACGAGCCAGTGCTTCCATGGCATGCACTCACTGTTGCCTGCCCTCCCGGCAGCATCTTCCTCTCTTCCTTGCTAGCATGCCTGACGGATTCTGTTCCCCTCTCTGAGCCTTGTAATACCAGCAGGTGATTCTCCACTAGTCTAAAGCTTAAACTCTAAGCCAATCATGTTTCCTATCCCCCTCACTGGTGAATGGTTTAGACTTGGGCCTGTGACACAGTTTTGGCCAATAAAGTATGAGGGAGACTGCACAGGAGACTTGGGAAAAACCATCCCTCCCTGAGACATAATTTCCCCTTTCTTTTTCTGGACACAGCTATGTGAGGAGTCAGTGCTGGGAGCTGTGGCAGCCATCTTGGGACCATGAAGGGATGACCTAAGGGGCAGGTGGACATGCTGAGAATGCTGGGGTGGGAGTCCTGAAGTAACCTTGGCTCTTGGTGAAGAGAGGGTCATTAACTCACTCTGAGCCTTCTACCCCTGGGCTTGCTGTAGTGTGAGATGACAAAATTTCCCCCTTGTTTAAAGACAGTTATACAGGTTGAGTATCCCATATCTGAAATGGTTCAACCAGAAATGTTTCAAACTTTGTTTGAATTCTGGAATATTTGCATATACATAATGAAATGTTTTGGGGATAAAACCTAAGTTTAAATATGAAATTCACATTATACATAATAGCTTGAAGGTAGTTTTATATATGTACACACACATATATATTTATACATATATAAATTTTAAAGACAGGGCCTCATTCTGTCATCCAGGCTGGAATGCAGGGACATGATCATAGCTCACTTCAGCCTGGAACTCCCAGGCTCAAGTGATCCTCCTGCTTCAGATCCTCCCAAGTAGCTAGGACTACAGATGTGTGTTACCACTCCTAGCTAATATTTTAATTTTTTGTAGAGATAGGGTCTTGCTGTTACCCAGGCTGGTCTTGAACTGCTGGCCTCAAGTGATCCTCCCGCCTCAGCCTCCTAAAGAGTTTTATACAATCTTAAAATGCTATTTCCTGCATGAAACACAGTTCACATGTGTTAAGTCCTTATGTGTGGAATTTTCCACTTGTGGTGTCATGTCAGTGCTCAAAAACTTTTGGGTCTTGGAACATTCTGGATTTCAGATTTTCGGATTAGAGATGCTCAACCTGTAGGTGGATTTTCTATTACTTATAAACAGTGGATACACTGAAGAACAAAACCAAGGCAGTTTGAGAGGCACGGGATAGACAGCACCCGACACTCAGGTGCCAAGGGGACCCCAGTGAGGGGTCTCGGCTTAGAGGTTTTCTCTCCTGGAAAGCCCCTGCGCGTGCCCCCCGGGCTGGGTTAAACACTTCCCCTCCATGCTCGCTCCCATTTTGGCTCATTTCACGCCATGCTGCACCACGACCAAGTGGCCAGGGGCCGGGACCTGGGCAGGATGAACACAGCCAGATGAATCAATTGAGGATAAGGAAACCAGGCTGGGGAGCCACAGGAGGAAGAGGTACATGGGGAAGAGATAGGGAGATGCACTGACTGAAACGGGCTGTGGGGGCATGGCCCGGCAGGGGTGGGGGAAGGGGTTCCCTGTGGCAGGGTGGTCACTTACATTTTATTGGTGCCTCGAAGGACTTGGCCACTGTCACCATCACATTGGTGCCAAATACCTAGAAGGAGAAAAAAAGAGCAGTATGAAGGGAAGTGAGGGGCTGTGGGGGGAAGAATGGCTGTCCCTGGGCTTCTAGATGTGCTGCTGCCTGGGATCTGAGGGGAGCTGGGAGGGGCTCCAGTGCAGATCTGAAGCTGAGGTGAGGTGGCCACTGATACTGGTTCTGGGCAACAAAGGGGAAATTCGAGGGAGTATAGAAAAGACCTCTGATGGCCCAAGCCAGGCAGCCTATGTTTGTTCACAGTTCTGTTCCTCCCAAGTGATAAAGTCCCCCAGCGCTACCCACTTGAGAGGGGAAGAGGCTGCCTGGGGCCAGGAAAAGGGTACCTGAGTCAGGCTGACGTCAGTCCCTCTGTGATGCCTCTCAGAGTGAATGTGAATGCCCTTGCTGGGCCCATTCATCAACATTCTTCCACCCCTACCTGAACTTCTTTGAGTCTCAACTCCCTTGCCAAGGAGACATGGGATTAGGTAACACCCCTGCTAGCAAGGAAGAGAGGCAGGTGGTCGGAAGGCACCGGGCATGAGTGTGCTCTCAGAAAGAGGTAGAATCTGCTCTCTCTGGCTCCATCTCACAGATGGGCCCAGAGAGGACTTGCTCTGCGGTCCGGAACTTCAGCCCAAAACAGCTCTTCTCCGTCAGATGACTGCAACTTGGGCCAGAGAGGCAGGGTGATGAGATGAGATGGCCCCGGAGCCAGACATCCTTGGCATCCCTGCCTGACTCACCCAGAAGACATCGTAGATGAAGAGTCCGCCCAGCAGGATGCAGCCAGTGCTGACATTGTTGAGGTGCAGGAGCTCTACTCCATTAAGGGAGAAGGCCAGGCCAAAAAGGTTGTTGGCAATCCAGTGCTGAGGAAAGCGGGGAGTGAGACCAGCTTGCTGTGACCCACCCTGCCCTGTCAACCCCATCCTCCCCTTCTGCCCAGGTCCTGACTACTCACCTTCCTCAGCAGGTACCAGACGCCAACGATGCTGCTCAGGCCCAGGCACACCAGGTCCTTGGTGTCAAATTCATAATTGATGATCTCTGAGCAGAGAGGCCAGGTAAGTCCACTCCCTGAGGCAGGGCTACCCCTCCCACCTGTCAGCCCCTGGACGGAGGAGGGCATGGCTGTGGGCACTGTGAGAGGTTCACAGGCTGGCGGGGCTAAGCCTTGGCTGCCCCAGATTAGTATGAGTTTCAGAAGGGGAGAGCTCACTGGAGCCACCCCAACCCCTCCAATTTCCTACAGGAGGGAATGGAGGCCCAGAGAGAGACTTACAAGCCTGGCACAGTGTCAGCGGGAAGTGGTCTTTGGTGTTAGAAGCACAGGCTTTGTTACTTGTAGCTGGGTGACCTTGGGGAAGGCAGTGCCCTCTCTGAGCTTCAGTTTTCTTATCTGTAAAAAGGGGATAACAGCACCCCTTCTTAGGGCTGCTGTGGGGGAATAAGTAAGACAGTCCTTACAATGCATTCAGCACAGTGCCTGGCACATAGTGGGTGCTCAGTCAGTGCCAGCTGCCTCTGAGCCCAGGTCTTTAGAAAGGTCGAGTTAATTCTGGAATCTTTCTACTTTGCCACCAAAGGATGAAGAAGGTTAGCGGCAGCCTCAGTTCACTAGCAGGCGATGAAGAAGGGAAGAGATGCAGGTCTCAAGGAAAGGCCGGAGTCCCCGAGGCTGCTTTTGTGGGGGGCCCTGTGGTAGACATCTTGATGTTAGACCATTCTCAATTGCTTCCAAGCTTCCTAAGAAGACAACTAGAGGCTGTGGAGTTTGCCGGGAGTCACAGAGTCCAGACACTCCTTTCACATTCCAGAGTGTTAGCAGACTGCTTGCTGCTTGTCCCCTAATTTGTTTTTTCATCTGTGGTAAGAGCACCCTGATTTGTTTTCTATAAAGTATCTGTTAAACTTATTTAGCATAACCACAGAGGCATTGTATTCACGCTGTCACACACAGACACAAACACACATACGACACAATCAATATCCACATTTAGCCCCCCAAATGCATTCCTTCTGAGGCTCATTTATATGTCTTCATGTGCCACAGCCCATCATTTAAATAATGGATATTTTCAATGCCAATTCCTTTGTTGACTTTCTCAATATCTTCTGCAGACATCTTCATGACCCCAACACACAGAGCATGCTGTTTTCCTTCCGCTGTGACTGCTACAATCGTATCTACTGCAGCAGGGTACAGCTTAGCTCCAGGAGAAGTTAAACCTGGACACATAATATTTGCGCCACTGAGTACAAATTTGATAGCTCCTTTATCAACCTGCTGGTGTGGCAGGATAAAAGGGTATTTGTGAAGCAACCTTAGAGTTGGACAAAAAGGCCCCTTTCTTTGTCTAAAAAACAATAATTCCCCACTTACGGTAAGGATTTCTGTATGTTCGTGGCATCGGACTATTTTGACAGGATCTTTCTTAGGCATGATTTGATTAAGCCATGGTTCAATACCTGGAAATTGCTCTACCAGTTGGCTCTTAATGCCCTTAATAACTGACGTTTTCAACTGGATGCAGTTGGACACACTTTCCTTTTCATCAAACTTCTTGAACATGATCCAGGGTGAAGCGGGCGACAACAGGGAAACAAACGGAATTGGCAAGGCTCCGGTGGAGTCCCCTGCAGGAAGGCCGGCGCGGGCGCCACGCGGCCTGCCAGACGGTCAGAGCCGTTGTCGCTAACCGGAAGATGACACAGCCAGCGCGCTTTACGGCCCGGTGAAATCTGACAACTTCCGCTCTCTGAACGCCACGTCACGACTGCGCTTGGCCCGCTGTTCCTTCGACTGCTGATTCCTCTCCAATGAGGATCGCTGAAACAGTAGGGCTTGACAAGCTAGAAATGATACGAATGCTTTCTCCTTGCCGGAACAGAAGACTGCAGATGCGCACCCTGATGAGTTAGTTCTAACTGGACACGAGACCGACTCACGGCCATTTTCCAGCTTCTCTTATAGCTAAATGGACAGGGAATATGGATGCCTCTCCTTCCTTCTGGCTGGACAGTGGAGTGATGACACTATCCTGACCCGAGGGCCAGTGCTGTATATGGCGGAGCATGAGATAGAGAGGGCCTGGGACCTTGAAGACTGTGGTATAAGCCTAGCCTTTTTACTGTTTTATTTATTTATTTTTTTAGACGGGGTCTTGCTCTGTCGCCCAGGCTGGAGTGCACTGACCGTGGCTTACTGCAGCCTCGAACTCCAGGGCTCAAGTGACCCTCCTGCATCAGCCTCCCAAAGTGTTGGGATTACAGGCATGAGCCACCGCGCCTGGCCAAGCTTAGTCTTTTTTTTTTTTTTTTGAGACAGGGTCTCACTCTGTCGCCCTGGCTGGAGTGCAGTGGCGCGATTTCGGCTCACTGCAACCTCCGCCTTCCCAGGTTAAAGCGATTCTCCTGCCTCAGCCTCCCGAGTAGCTAGGATTACAGGTACACGCCACCATGCCTGGCTAATTTTTTTTGTGTTTTTAGTAGAGACGGGGTTTCGCCGTGATGGCCAGGCTGGTCTGGAACTCCTGATCTCAAGTCATCCGCCTGCCTCAGCCTCCCAAAGTGCTGGGAGGCGTGAGCCATCTCACCTGGCCCAAGCTCAGTCTTTAAAAAAAAAAAATCAACAATTGTTTAACAGAGGTTCCTTAGAGATGCACAAAGCAATCACATAAAATTGCTGCCGATTAGGGACAAGGCAGCATGTGCTAGGCACCAGTAAGAGAGAGTGCTACGGCCGGGCGCGGTGGCTCACGCCTGTAATCCTAGCACTTTGGGAGGCGAATCAAGAGGTCAGGGGATGGAGACCATCCTAACACGGTGAAACCCCGTCTCTACTAAAAATACAAAAAAATTAGCCGGGCGTAGTGGCGGGCGCCTGTAGTCCCAGCTACTCGGGAGGCTGAGGCAGGAGAATGGCGTGAACCCAGGGGGTGGAGCTTGCAGTGAGCCAAGATTGTGCCGCTGCACTCCAGCCTGGGCGACAGAGCGAGACCCTGTCTCGAAAAAAAAAAAAAAAAAAAAAAGTGCTAGATTTCACATGCTCAGTATTGTATACAAGAGAAATACCTGCTGGGCGTGGTGGCTCACTCACGCCTGTAATTCTAGCGCTTTGGGAGGCTGAGGTGGGCAGATCACTTGAGGTCAGGAGTTTGAGACCAGCCTGGCTAGCATGGCAAAACTCCATCTCTACTAAAAATACAAAAAAATTAGCTGGGTGTGGTAGCACACGCCTGTAATCTCAATTACTCAGTTGGCTGAGGTTTCAGTGAGCTGAGATCGCACCACTGCACTCCACCCTGGGTGACAGAACAAGACTCTGTCTCAAAAAACAAAAAACAAAGAAATACCTGCTGTTTGGTCAAGCATTGATAATCTTGTTACAGCATTTGAATCCATACCCTAACTAACCTACAAATCCCAGGATCTCCACACTTCCCCATAGTTTGCATTTTTTTACAATTTTTTTGTAGAGATGAGGTCTCACTATGTTGCCTAGGCTGGTCTCAAATTCCTGGCCTCAAGTGATCATCCTGTCTTGGCCTCCCAAATTGCTGTGATTACAGGCATGAGACACTGTTTCTGGCCAGTTTTTATTTTTGAAAAAAGAGCTGTGGAACCCCCTTTTCAAACCTTAGGTGAGGCAGTGATCACACTAAAAATATATACGAATAAAATAATCATGAAGGCCGACTTTGAGTGCTTACTATGAGCCAGGCACCATGCTGAATGCTTTCCACTTATTGACTCGCCATCTTAACAACATGACTGTGAAGGAGGTACTAGATTAACACTTTCATTTTACAGATGGGAAAAAAAACAAAAACAAAAACACCCAATGCTCAGAGAGGTAAGGCGTTCACCCAGGGTCCCATGTCTAGACAATAGCAGAGTTGGAATGTGAATCCAGGCCATGGAATTCCAGAGCCCACTTCATCAGTTGCTCTATTGGAGAACCCCAATATTGGAGAGACAAAGGGAATGGTGGAGGAAGACACCCAAGGCACACTACAGGGGAAAGTGGTTAGCACTGACCTTCCTTGTTTTCCCCAGAACCCTGTGTGAAGAGCAGCTGGTACTGTCGATTTGGAAAGCTGGCTGGAAAAAACTTATTCATGAAGGGGCTGGAAGGAAAGACAAAGCAAGTCGGCAAACAGAGCCCCCATGGGCAGTCAGCCTTAACACACCCCTGCCCCATTTACAGCTGGCACCCTTACAGCTGTCCTGATAGGTAGGTGTTACTGTTCCCACTCTACAGATGTGAAAACAGAGGCCCTCAAAAGGTAAGTGATTTGCCCAGAGTCACACAGGGGTCCTATATCTCAGCTAAGACTCAAACCTAGGTTTTTGCACTCATAGTGATTTCTCTACTGCCTTTTTGTTAACATCAAAGAAATGCAAAGCAGAAGCAGATAGACTGAAGGCAAAATACCATTTTTGGGAGAGCAGAGGATCCCAAAGTCTGGCCCACATGCCACCTATATGAGTCCCTTGTCAAGAAGCATATTTGTGGACTCCCTTCCAAACCTATCAAGTTAGATGACCTGACAGTCACCCCCACCCCACTCCATGACTTGACATTCTGCTTTCCAACAGCAGGACTGAGATTTTTACAGACTCAGCTGGAATCAATCAGCCAGATGAATCATAGCCCCTGGGCAGGATCACCATCACATTCACTCCTTCCACAAGGCCTCAGTTGTTTAAGACCAGCTTGGCCTCGTCTCTAGAAGCATTCTCTCTGATTACCCAGCATGCCCCACCTCCCAGCCAGGAAGGAAGCAGAGACCTTTTCTGGACTTTTTTCAGAGCAAGATTAGCAAACCAAGGCCTCTTGACCCAGCCTGGTGGCAGTACTGTGGAGTGGCTACATGCCTGGGTGGCCCAGCACTGAGGCCTGCTCTGCCATGTGGCTGTGGGAGAGCCATTTCAGTGGCTCTGTCTCCCTGGACCTCAATCTTCTCATCTGTATACAGGGCTAACAATACCATCTGTCTCAGAGCATTGCTATGAAGATATGAAAGAAGGCAGGATGAATGCTTTGCCTGGCATGGAGTCTTTAGCAGGGATGAGGCAGGCCAGGAGGTACCCAGGTCACAGTGATAAAGGGAGGGAAAAGGGAACTCTTTTTTTTTTTGAGATGGAGTCTCACTCTGTCGCCCAGGCTGGAATGCAGTGGCGCGATCTCGGCTCACGGCAAGCTCCGCCTCCTGGGTTCATGCCATTCTCCTGCCTCAGCCTCCCGAGTAGCTGGGACTATAGGCACCCGCCACCATGCCCGACTAATTTTTTTTTGTATTTTTAGTAGAGAAGGGGTTTCACTGTGTTAGCCAGGATGGTCTCGATCTCCTGACCTCGTGATTCGCCCACCTCGGCCTCCCAAAATGCTGGGATTACAGGCGTAAGCCACCGCGCCCGGCCAAGGGAACTCTCTTTAAAGACCCTGGTGGCATGGAGCAAGATGTAGATTCAAGAACCCTCTCTGGCCAGGTGCAGTGGCTCACGCCTGTAATCCCAACATTTGGGAGGCTGAGGTGGCGGATCACTTGAGGTCAGGAGTTCGAGACCAGCCTGGCCAACATGGCAAAACCTCATCTCTACTTAAAAAAATACAAAAATTAGCCCGGCGTGGTGGCAGGTGCCTGTAATCCCAGCTACTCAGGAGCCTGAGGCAGGAGAATTGCTTGAACCCGGGGGGCAGAGGTTGCAGTGAGCTGAGATTGTGCCATTGCACTCCAGCCTGGGCGACACAGCGAGACTCCGTCTCTAAAAACAAAAACAAAAAACCATCTCTGGGCCTCTATTTCTCCACTTGTCAAAGAGCCGATCCCTCCTAGCCTGTAGGGCTGTGGTATGAATGATGGGAGGGCTTTGTGAAGAGAAGCGCAGCAGGTGCAAGGCCAGAATCGGAAATGGGCTCCCACAGCAGGGTTCTGAGGCGGTGGGAGGCAGAAGCTGGGTGGGTGACAGGAAGCTACTTTCAGATTAGTTTGCTGAATCAGTTTTGGGGGAGTCTGAAGCCAGGGTGTGAGTGCAGGTATGGATAAGAACTCTGCCCATCTTAGCCGGCCTCTTCCTTAGGAGCTTGGTGCTCAGCTTCTCAACCAGCAGAGTGTGACAGTTAAAGACATGGACTCCGGAGCCAGACTTCCTGGGCTCAAATCCTAACTCTGCCACTTATTAGTGGTCTGATCTTGGGAAACTTACTTAACTGCTCTGTGCAACTGTTCCTCATCTGGAATGCTACAACACCTTTCTTGTAGGGCTATTGAGAGGATTAAATGAGCACTTGGCACCCTATAAACTTAACTGCAGCTTCAACTTCAAGTAGCAAGTCTCTAGATTGATATCTTTGTTATTCCAAGAAAAGAGAGGCTGCTTAGCACTACACAGGGGAGGAGTCAAGCAACCTGGCTAGCGCGAGCCTGTGGACTTGAGAATAGAGGCCCCGTCTCATCATCTTCACCCTACCCTGGGGTGAAGATACCTGGTGCCTGCTAGACATCTGCTAAAATGCTTGCTGAATGACTCTGAATGCAGACTTTTGTAGCAGGCAGAGATTCTTCCTGGCCCTTGATGGCTCATGTCAAACGTAAAGGTCATTGCTTCCCACTGACAAGCCACATCCTGGTGCCCTTCTCCCCTGGGGGTGGAAGGCAGGGTCAGTGAAACTGGTGATGTGGCTTCCTCCTCTGGGGTGGCAGATCTGGTCCTTCTGGGCATTTTTTCCCTCTAAGGTCAGCTGGGTGGGGCACGAGCTCAGACACAGATGATGAAGTAAGCCGAGGTTCCCTTTGCAGGAAGGATGTCTTGGGTTTGAATCTTGGTGACTACACAAGGTAAGGCAGGCTGCGGCCCCTGCCTTCCTCCAATCCCCCAGGCTGGGGTTTGTTCCAAAGAGGCTTAATGTGGGCTAGGAAGTGGTGGTGGAGGTGGAGGGAATCCTGAGAACCTCAGCCTGTGCTGTCACAGCTCGGGTGCAGCTCTCTGCAGCCTTTCAGCAGGCCTCTCCTCTGCCAGTCCTTGGGAGACCACAGGCTCAATGGCAGGAGGTGGCCAGCCCACCCTCTTTAAGCTCCCCCCACTTCACTTTTGCCAAAACTGTAAAGAATAGGGGTTTTGGAGTCAGACAGACCTGAGCTCAAAACCTCACTTTGCCCTTACCAGCTGTGAATCCTGGTGGTTACATAACCCCTCTGAGCCCAATTTCCCTGTCTTAAACCTTTGGATCTGTTGTTTGGATCCTGAGGAAGGTCTAAGTTTGTGGATACAGGCAGCTGATCAAAATTCTAACAACACTGTAGACTTTCCTTGAGAAAATATTTAAGAAAACTCGATTTAATTGAAACATCCATTTAATTGGTAGACCAACTTTCTAAAAAGCATGATCAAATCATCCCCTACTTACTAAAATTATTTTCACTGGATTCAGTTCTTTTTCATGTTAATTTTACAATAATGATTTCCTTCATCTGACAGTTTTTGGTCCCCATCAAATTTTTTAGTGGACCAGCTTTAACCCCATATGGTAAGCATACCTTCTGCCTATGGCCATCCATTATTCTTTTTTTTTTTTTTTTATATTTTTCAGATGGGGTCTTACTCTGTTACCCAGGCTGGAGTGCAGTGGCATGATCACAGCTCACTGCAACCTCTCTGCCTCCCAGGTTCACGCGATCATCCCACCTCAGCCTACCGAGCAGTTGGGACCACAGGCACGCACCACCATACCCGGCTAATTTTTGTATTTTTTGTGGAGACAGGGTCTCAACATGTTGCCCAGGCTGGTCTTGAACTCCTGAGCTCAGGTGATCCAACAGCCTAGGGTTCCCAAAGTGCTGGGATGACAGGTGTGAACCACCATGCCCAGGTGATCCATTATTTTTAAAAGGTATGGTTTTCCCAGGTCAAATTTTGTTGCTCTAAATTTCATTAAGAAAATTATTCTTCTGTTAGTTTCTAGTCACTCATACATTTTACCATGTGCAGTTTTAGCTGCTGTTGGTTTTATTTTCTGTTGATAATATCTATCTCTAAAAATTATGAAGTGGCTAAAAGACAGATAGACAATTATTTCTTTTTTTTTTTTTTGAGATGGAGTCTCCCTCTGTCACCCAGGCTGGAGTGCAGTGGTGCGATCTTGACTCATTGCGACCTCCACCTCCTGGGTTCAAGTGATTCTCCTGCCTCAGCCTCCCGAGTAGCTGGGTGCGTCATCACACCCGGCTACTTTTTTGTATTTTTAGTAGACAAGGTTTCACCATGTTGCCCAGGCTGGTCTTGAACTCCTGACCTCAGGTGATCCACCTGCCTTGGCCTCACAAAGTGCTGCGATTACAGGTGTGAGCCACCGTGCCCACCCTCAATTATTTCTTGACATAGATTACTCATCTATGAGAAATTTGGGACAATGTCCCTTAGTTATTATTCTAAAAGGGAAAAAAAGTCTTTGGTGTCAAGATGATAAAGGTTCAAAATACCCTGCCTAGGCAGCTGGGTAGAGATAAGATCTTCATTGTAGGGTTGTTGCTATAACATTAAATAATCAGTTCCTCAGCACACAGCCTAACAGTGGCTTTCAAAACCCACTGGGCTCTCTGAGGTGGAGGCTGGGCTGTGGGGAGACTTGGGGGTCTCAAGCGTCTCACAGATGCTGGGGTAGGATGGGCTACAGTTGGGGAGGATCCTAATCAGCATGGGAAAGGAGGACACCCAATGTCTGCAAGTGACTGCCCCCACCCCACCCCAGGTCCACCACGAAAGGACTGGTTTGTCCTGTGAGCAAGGGCGACTGGGCCTGCCATTATCTTGGTTGGGTCCAAGTCACTCAGGTTCCCTGGGCCTCCATTTTTCAGGATGCGGGGCTGGACTAGAATTCTCCCAAGCTAGCTAGAATAGAATTTTGTGGGTGAAGAGTCAGTGCAGGTGAGGACAACAATGACCTCAGTGGGAAGACCAGAGGTGAAGTCTCAGCTGTGTAACCCTGGGCCAGCCACTAGGCTCACTGTGTGCTTGGCACTGTGCTCTAGGGATGTTACAGCCTGGGGCTCACTAGACCCTCCCCACACCTCTGAGGAGGTACCTGTAGTCTCTCCATTTTATAGGTAGAAGAACTATGCTCAGAGCTTGAGTAATTTACACATATTAGAGCTGGCAGCACCAGGTGTTTGTCCCAAGGCTGCCTGCCTCTTGACCCTGTGCTCCTGACTACCACACTGTCCTGCCAGTGTGCCTAGAAGAATGAAGCCACATTCATATTGGCTTTTTTTTTTTTTTTGAGATGGAGTCTCACTCTGTCGCCAGGCTGGAATGCAGTGGTGCAATCTCGGCTCACTGCAACCTCCGCCTCCCAGGTTCAATGATTCTCCTACCTCAGCCTCCTGAGTAGCTGGGACTACAGGCATGCACCACCATGCCCAGCTAATTTTTTTGTATTTTTAGTAGAGACGGGGTTTCACCATGTTGGCCAGGATGGTCTCAATCTCCTGACCTTGTGATCCGCCTGCCTTGGCCTCCCAAAGTGCTGGGATTACAGGCATGAGCCACCACCTGGCCTCATATTGGCTTTCAATGCTTTTGGGAGCAGATTCTGCCCATGCCCTCAATGTGCACAAACTTTCTAGCACCTGACCTCTCCCTCCTTTGTACGTCTTCCAGGTTTCCTACCCTTCAAAGAAAGCTAAGTTCAAGGTGAGTTCCTTCCTTCTGGGAACCCTGGCCACCTCTTGGTCTATCAGTGTTTCTCAGCCTGAGGCTGCACCTCTTCAACGGGGCAGAAAGAAACATACTGGGACATCTCTGTAGTCACAAGCTGGGGAATACTGGTATGCAACTCCCATTTGGTGAGCAGGGCAAGGTTGCCAACTGTTTGTAATACATGGGATAGTCCTGCAGAATGGAGAACTGGCCTGTCCAAAATAAAAGTAGCAACCCCCTCTAATGAACCACTCTCCCCACTGAAAGGACACGAGCATGTGGCAGTTTGAGTTAGGGTAGCAGTGGGAAGAGGATGGGCTCTGGAGCCACACCTGGGTTTGAATCCTGGCTCTGTTGCTTATTAGTGGTGTGATCCTAGCAAATTTCTTAACCTCTCTGGGCTTCAGTTTCCATGACTATCATACAGGTGTGAAAGCAAAAGCAACCCATATAAGGTTGTCTGGCAGGTTAACACAGATAATGACAGTAACAGCTAATAGTTACTGAACACTTTAAATCACCAGATACTGTGCTAAAAGCTTTCCACATGACCCCATGGGAAGGGCACTATTATTTTTCTCCACATTCACCAGGAAATTGAGGCCAGAGAGATTAAGTAACTTGCCCAAGATCACAGAGCTATTAAGTGGCAGAGTCTGGACTCAAAGTAAGGTAGTCAAATGCCAGAGCCCACGCTCCTAACTTTTCACTATGCTGCCTCTGGCTCCTTACGAAACACGATCATGTGTGAGGAGCCCAACATGGCACTTAGCACACAGCTAGGCCACAACACCCGGCAGGTGGTACTGGTGTTACTCACCTGAGTACTGTCACAACTAACATGACATTACTGCTCACAAATCACTTTCCCAACAGCTGTGGTGGTGGAAACACCCACCAGATCCTCATCATGTCTATAAGGAAACTGTGGCCCAGAGAGGTCATTGTTCTTGTCCTAGTCATCTACAGTGTGCAGGGGAAAGAGTCCCTTGAGTTTTATAGCCAGGATTCAAACCTGGCTCTGAATGATGCCAAAAGTCATGTTCTCATCCAAGACCCTGTACTGGTTCCCGAGAAAGCTGCTTCAAATGTTGCAGAGAGATGCCTTCTGACCTGATGGTGTGGGACAGGGCCAGGATTCCCAGCACGAAGAAATACATGGACAGCAGGAGGTTGATGTACTCCTGGGAGAATATCTGAGGCAGAAATACAAAGAGAAACAGGAAGTTAGGGTTGCCAGTGGCTGTGAGGAAACCAGAGTCCCTGCGTCTCTTCTGGAGGTTGGTCTCACCCTTCTTGAGTCGGGGGACAGTCAGGAAGAGTCTCAGACAATACTAGTGGCATTCTAGTTTCTGCAGCTGTGGGGGAAAGGTGAGAAACCTCAAGCCCCCAGCTGTACCTCGCAAAGGGGTTTGTAAGTTTACATTTAGTGGCTCCATTATCTGGAGGGAGGCAATTATGTTTGTGCTCAAAGTGCTGCACAGGGGTTCTGAAGGGATAAGGGAGTCTTCAGTATAGAGCCCCAGGAGAGCTGTTGGAACCTCAGAACTCGCTCTTCCACATTTCCTTCTCCCTGTTTAATCATCCAGGGATCCCCTACAGAGTGGCCACCCAGGCCGCAAGCATGCTAGTTACAAGACATCTGTCCCACTCCATTCTCCACATTCTGCTTTGTGATGACTCCTCCTGCAGTGATGGCTGAAGCTATGACAGCATCCCTGACAGCTGCTTCTTGGTCTTTTCGTCGTTAGGTGAAACTTGAGAAATATTCTGTCACAATGCTCCAGTCAATGGTCACATGTTAATTCTAGACTTTGGAAAGGCTATGCCATGGTACACCATGTTTGCTGCATCCCTGATGAATTTGTTACTATCGTGGTCTCTAACCTGGAGGGAATAAGGGAATAATGTGCTGTTGTGTGGGGTATAGGGAACCTGGCCACTCTCAAGCAGGGCTGTTTTGGAATCTGCTGAACATCTGTCAGATCATGTCACTCCCTTACTGGAAGCCTCTCCGCAGCTAACCTCTGCTCTCATAAGCCGAAAGCTCACATCCACCTGTTGGCCTCTTGCCCTCGTGGTGGCCACCACAAGTCTCCTGAGCCTTGGCTCACACATGCTCTTGCTCTACACACTGCAGCCACACTGGCCTTTTTGCAGTATGATGTGTGTGCTACATGCCCACCCACAGGCAGCTGTGTACAAGCTCTCCTGCTGCCTGAGATGTTCTCCTCTCTTCTCTCTTCACTGAGGCCACCCTTACTCAACCTTCTTTAGCTCCCAGATCAGGGAAGCTTTGCTCACATAGTTTCTATGAGACAATAACCCCTCAGTAATTCAGCCCATACTGATTGATTGCCTACTACGTGCAAGGCATTGTCCTAGACACCAGTGATTCAGCAAGGAATCAGGCAAAGTCGCTGCTCTCCTAGAGGTCATGGGCCAGTGAGGGAGAAAGAATCTCGAAAGAAACAGTTACATGTATTGTTAGGTGGTAATGGGCACTAAGAAAAGCAAACCAGGGCAGGGAGATAGAGAATGAAAGGGCAGAGCTGCTATTTTAGACAGGTGGTCAGGGAAGGTTCTGGAGGAGAGGACATAGGAGGAGCGTCATAAACGAAGGGAGCAGGTGCAAAGGTCCTGAGGTGGGTGAATGTTCATGTGTGCAGGGACTACAGAGGGCCTGTGAGCCCAGAGCTAAGGGAGCATGGGGACAGTGTCAGGAAAGTAGGCTGGGCGGGAAAAGGGAGCCAGACCCTGCAGTGCCATGGGAAAGTCTTTAGATTTGCCTGCATGAGACAGGCTGGTACTGGAGTGCTGATGGCAGGGTTTGACATGATCAGACAGCATGAGAGGACTTCTCTGCTGCTGTGTAGAAGACCCTGCAGGGCTAGAGTGGAAGCAGGGAGCAGGAGAGGGGGACGGTGCCCTGGCTTGGGGGGATGGAGGGGAAGTGATGAGCAGTGGAAGGATTCTAGATCTGTTCTGCTCCCCTGACCCCCACCCTCCCCGAGATGGAGTTTCGCTCTTGTTGCCCAGGCTGGAGGGCAATGGTGCGATCTTGGCTCACTGCAACCTCCACCTCCTGGGTTCAAGTGATTTTCCTGCCTCAGCCTCCCAAGTGGCTGGGATTACAAGCATGCACCACCATGCCCGGCTAATTTTGTATTTTTAGTAGAGATGGGGTTTCACCATGTTGGTCAGGCTGGTCTTGAACTCCTGACCTCAGGTGATCCAACTGCCTCGGCCTCCCAAAAGTGCTGGGATTACAGGCGTGACCCACCGCACCCAGCCTCCAGATCCGTTCTGGAATTGGAGCTGCAAGACGTGTGAAGGGGCTGGATACAAGGGCTTGGGGGGACAGGGAGAAGGATGACTCCTGGAGTTTCGGCTGAGCTAGGTCAATGCAGGTGCTGTTGTGGATAAGGGGCTTGGGCAGTTCACCTTGGGTGTAGGTTCACCCTGAGCTGGTTCTTCCATGCTTTCCTGGTGCTATGGACCTCGCCTTAACAGCACTTTGTACAGCTGTAACTTCACATCTATCTGTGTGATTGGTGTCTGTCTCTACCACTTAACAAGATGCTTCTTGAGGACAGGGATGGTCAGCTGTTTTTCTCACTTCAGTATCCCCAGTACCCAGCCAGGGCCTGATGTAGCAGGCTCTCAATAAATGCAGAATGACTGAATGGAAGGGCAAATTGGTGGTCCATGTTAGTGCTACAAGAAAAAGACCTATGAGCAGACTTTGTAGGCATATGGATTGTGCTTTATTTATGAAGATGTGGCATACCTCTCACATTGCATTCTTTCAGTCTGAGCCCTTGGGACAAATCACTCTCAGGCCACACCTCTGAGCTTCTTGTTGGTTTCACTGTGACCCATGTGGATTGGGCACCAGGTCTCACTTTCCTTTGTGTTTTGGCTGCTAAAAAGCCAGAGCCACAACTAAGCCCATTTCTAGCAAGAGTACAGGCTTTAGAGCATGGGGTATGGGTGTGGTCCTCACCCAAGCCTTGTTTTATCTTATTTTAATTTTCTCCTTTAACTCTATTTCTTCTGTTTTTCTTATGCTGTTGGATTTAATTTTTTGAGTTGCCTCAAAGGAATCAATTTTAAATAAGGTGGGATAAAGTAAATACTATGATTTTGTGAAATATTACTATATTGTGCAAATTTAAAACTTATTTTAAAAACTTACTTTACAGATGCCTCAACATCCCCACAAATAGGATATGAACATTCTGCCCAGGTTCTCCTTCTGGCCCTCCTCTTCTTCTTTTTTTTTTTTTGAGACGGAGTCTTGCTCTGTCACCAAGGCTGGAGTGCAGTGGCACGATCTTGGCTCACTGAAAACTGTGCCTCCCGGGTTCACGCCACTCTCCTGCCTCAGCCTCCTGAGTAGCTGGGACTACAGGCGCCTGCCACCACGCCCGGCTAATTTTTGTATTTTGTTTAGTAGAGACGGGGTATCACCATGTTACCAGGATGGTCTCGATCTCCTGACCACGTGATCTGCCCGCCTCGGCCTCCCAAAGTGCTGGGATTACAGGCGTGAGCCACTGCACCCGGCCCATTTCTTCTTTTTTTTCTTTCGAAACAGGGTCTCACTTTGTTGCCTAGGCTGGAGTGCAGTGGCCTGATTTTGGCTCACTGCAGCCTCGACCTCCAGGGTTCAAGTGATCCTCCTGCCTCAGCCCCCAAGTAGTTGGGACTACAGGTGTGTGCCACCACGCCTGGCTAATTTTTGTATTTTTTGTAGAGACAGGGTTTCACCATGTTGGCCAGGCTGATCTTTAACTCCTGGGCTCAAACGATCTGCTGCCTTGGCCTCCCAAAGTGCTGGGATTACAGGCGTGAGCCACGGTGCCCAGCCTCTGGTCTTCTTCTTCTATGACCTAATACCATTCAAACACATGGTAAATCCCCTCATGCCCTTTGCTTGTACTACCCTGAGCCCTAACAAAGGCACTTGCCCAGGGGTCCTCCCCTCTCCTTCCTTCCTTCTGTCCTCTCCCCCTTCTCCCTACCTGCTTGGTTGAGTGGCTTCCTTGGAGCTCCTCCCATATGGCCCCCTGTGTGGCATGCATGCCTCCTTCTCTAGAACATGTGAGTATAGTAAATCCTGTAATTTCATAAGCCTCTCTGAGCATAGTTTCTGTGGCTGTGTGCGAGTGATCCTTAAAGACTTCATAAAGTGGGCTGGGTGCAGTGGCTTGCGCCTGTAATCCCAGCACTTTAGGAGGCCAAGGCGGGAGGATTGCATGAGGCCAGGAGTTCAAGAAGCATAGGCAACATGGCAAGACCCCATCTCTACAAAATAAAAAAAAATTAGGCGGGCGTGGTGGTGCATGCCTGTAGTCCCAGCTACCCAGGGGGCTGAGGTGGGAAGATTAACTGAGCCTGGGAGTTTAAAGTTATTGTGAACTACAATCGCACCACTGCACTCCAGCCTGGGTGAAAGAGTAAGACCCTGCCTGTAAAAACAAGGACAAAAAAACCTCACAAGGGGAACATCTTTTTTACAACACAATTGGTGATGAGGATGGGATCATTCTAAACTCAGTGTGAAAGTCCTTGAGAGAGAGGCATATGAAATGAAAGGATTTATTATACTCACAGGTCCTACAGAAGGAGACCCACGGCCAAGTGCCTTCTTTGGGGCTCAGGGTGAAAGACACAAGCAAAAGGGGATCTCACTGATGTGTCTGAATGTCACTAGGTCAGAGTAGAGGAGGGCAAGAAAGGGAACTTGTCGCAGGGACCAGCCTTATCACACTGGCACCTGTTCACCTGGGCAAAGTGTTCATGGCCTATTTGTGGGATGTTGAGGCATCAGGAAAATATGAAGTTTTTTTGTTGTTGTTTTTTTTGAGACGAAGTCTCACTCTGTCACCCAGGCTGGAGTGCAGTGGCATGTTCTCGGCTCACCACAACCTCTGCCTCCTGGGTTCAAGCGATTCTCCTGCCTCAGCCTCCCAAGTAGCTGGGACTACAGGCATGGGCCACCACGCTCGGTTAACTTTTTTGTATTTTTAGTAGAGACGGGGTTTTACCATGTTGGCTAGGCTGGTCTTGATCTCCTGACCTCAGGTGATCTGCCCGCCTCGGCCTCCCAAAGCGTTGGGATTACAGGCGTGAGCCACTACACTCAGCCCTGAAGTTTTAAAAATGTTCAATGCAGTTACAAACTCCAGTGCCCCAACCAGGAGGAGGGGAGGAAAAGGGCTGAGGGAGAGCCGCTGTGGTGGGCTGTTTTTCTGTTAAGCAAACCAACCAGCCAGATGTCAGGGGGGAGGCCAGGAGGAGCCCAGTGGCTGTGCTGTCCAGGCAGCTGCCTTTCAGAAATCTTACTGGGGACACTCTAGAGGCATGGGGTATACTCTGTGCTTCTGGCACGAGGCAGACTGAGGCTTACCTGCCCAGAGAGGAGGAAAGACTGAGCAACAGGAAGCCAGTGCCTTAAATAAAAATGCTCACACCCATTGCTGCCAGAAATTCCTTTTGGGAGCATCTGGTCTAAGGAAAGAATCCTAAATACTAAAAATGTTAGAAGGTCTCTCAAGACTTCAGAAATATCTGCCAAAAGCAAAGGCAGAAGCAATGGCTGGATGTACACAGAGCCACGGAGAGATCTTAAGGTACAGAGAGCGGAAAAGGAAACAGAGGGAGATCAATGCACAGTTCTATTTATGGAAATGCAATTCCCACTCATACACACAGATATACCAACACTACATATTTTATAAGAAACATACACATCTAAGGACAGAAGTCAAATGCATTAAAGCAGCTGCCTCTGGCAGAGAGAGAAATGAAGGTGGGAAATGGAGGTGGATATTGGAGTGAAGTGGGAAAAAAAAAAAAGTAGGGGGGCCTGGCATGGACCAAGGATGGTATGCTATGAACCAAGGCATTTGATAAATTCAGCTGTTTGTTTGTTTGTTTTGTTTTGAGATGGAGTCTCTCTCTGTCACCAGGCTGGAGTGCAGGGGCACGATCTCGGCTCACTGCAACCTCCGACTCCCTGGTTCAAGCGATTCTCCTGCCTCAGCCTCCCAAGTAGCTGGGATTACAGGCGTGTGCCACCACACCCTGATAGTTTTTGTATTTTCAGTAGAGACGGGGTTTCACCATGTTGGCCAGGATGGTCTCGATCTCCTGACCTCGTGATACACCCTCCTTGGCCTCCCAAAGTGCTGGGATTACAGGCTTGAGCCACCGCGCCCGGCCTAAATTCAGCTCTTTACCTGAGGTCCAGAAAAAAAGAAAAAAAAAAAATCTGTGAATAGCCAATGTTATTTAGTGCACTCTTATTTCTTAGAGTAAAAATCAGAATGACATTTTCTGTTTAAAGTGAGGGGGATGCTTTAAGTCAACTGTGCTGTATCTGCTTATAGGGATGTTTTTCTGCTTTTATTGTCAGGGTAACATTCGTGTCCAGGCTGGAGTTCAGTGGTGTGATCATAGCTCACCATAGCCTTGAACTCCTGTGCTCAAGTCATCCTTCAGCCTCAATCTCCTGAGTAGCTGGGAATATAAGCCTGCACCACCATGTCTGGCTAATTTTTAAATGTTTTCTAGAGATGGGGTCTTGCTATGTTGCCCAGGCTGGTTGCTTGTGGGGATACCCTGTAACCATTAAAAAGAGCATTTCTCAGGAGGCTGAGGCAGGAGAATTGCTTGAACCTGGGAGGCAGAGATTGCAGTGAGCCAAGATCATGCCACTGCACTCCAGCCTGGGTGACAGACTCCGTCTCAAAAAACAAAACAAAACAATAACAACAACAAAAAACAACAAAAAAAGAGGATTTATAGCTGGATGTAATGACATACGTCTATAGTCCCAAATACTTAGGAGGCTGAGACGGGAGGATCATCTGAGCTCAGGAGAACAAGTCTTCAGTAAGCTACGATTATGTGACTGCATTCCAGCCTGGGCAACAGAGCAAGACCTCATCTCTAAAAAAAAAAAAAAATTCCGATCCAAAATGAGGGAGCTATGAAATAGGAAACAGGTGTTAAAAAATTATGTTTTTGGCTGGGCGCAGTGGCTCACACCTGTAATCCCAGCACTTTGGGAGGCCAAGGCAGGTGGATTACCTAAGGCCAGGAGTCCAGCCTGACCAACAAGGTGAAACCCCGTCTCTACTAAAAATACAAAAATTAGCTGGGCATGGTGGCACACACCTGTAATCCTAGCTACTTGGGAGGCTGAGGCAGGAGAATCGTTTGAACCTGGGAGGTGGAGGTTGCAGTGAGCCGAGAATGTGCCACTGCACTCCAGCCTGGGCAACAGAGTGAGACTCCATCTCAAAAAAGAAAAAAAATCTTTTTAATTCACTCACAGACTGGAAAAAACTAAAAATTTTGGTGTTATCCAATGCAGGTGAGCGCCTGGGTAGGCCAGCACACTTGTAACTGTCAGTGGGAATGTAAAATGGCACAATCTTTTTGGAGGGTGATTTGGCACTATCTAATTACAAATGGAGATGCATTTGACCTGGTAGACCTACTGCAGATAGACTTGAAGAAAATAAGTGCACAAATTATGTGTATGAAGTGTTCACGACAATACTGCTATGATACCCCAACACTGGACAGACCTAAATACCCTCAGGGTACACTGTAAAACAGAACCATGAGCAGCTGTTAAAAAGAATGAAAGAGGCTGGGCACGATGGCTCATGCCTGTAATCCCAGCACTTTGGGAGGCTAAGGAAGGCGGATCACAAGGTCAAGAGATCAAGACCATCCTGGCCAACATGGTGAAACCCCATCTCTACTAAAATTACAAAAATTAGCTGGGTGTGGTGGCATGCACCTGTAGTCCCAGCAACTCGGGAGGCTGAGGCAGGAGAATCGCTTGAACTAGGGAGGCGGAGGTTGCATTGAGCTGAGATCGCACGCCACTGCACTCCAGCCTGGCGACAGAGAAAGACTCTGTCTCAAAAAAAAAAAAAGAATGAAAGAATGGGGTAATTTGACTGTGTTGATATAAAAATACCTCCGTGGTAAGAATCATGTATTTGATACATATAAAAATATATATAATTTAACATAAGTATAGATTTATGCATGACAGAATCACAGGAAACTGTATTGGGGAGAGGATTATGGTTCATTTGTACTTTAGGTTGAAAAAAATATTTCTTTTTTTGAGACGGAGTTTTGCTCTGTTGCCTAGGCTGGCAACAAATTTTTTTAAATGATGTACATTATTGATGAATCGGTTTATTTATTTACCTATGAATGAGATGGGGTCTCACTATGTTGCCCACACTGGCCTCTAACTCCTGAGCTCAAGTGATCCTCCCACCTTAGCCTCCCAAAGTACTGGGATAACAGGTGAGCCACTGCACCAGGCCTACATGTACATATTTTTTTTAATTGATACTTTTTTTTTTTAATTGAGACAGAGTCTCGCTGTGTCGCCAGGCTGAAGTGCAGTGGCACCATCTCAGCTCACTGCAACCTCTGCCTCCCGGGTTCAAGCGATTCCCCTGCCTCAGACTCCCGAGTAGCTGGGACTACAGGCACATGCCACCATGCCCAGTTAATTTTTGTATTTTTAGTAGAGACCGGGTTTCACCACGTTGGCCAGGATGGATTTTTGTAGTTTTTGTAGAGACAGGGTTTCACCATTGTTGGCCAGGGTGGTCTTGAATTCCTGACCTCAGATGATCCACCCACCTCGGCTTCCCAAAGTGCTGGGATCACAGGTGTGGGCCACTGCGTCCAGCCTACATTTTAAGATGTAAATTAAAGACATCCTTGAGGAATTTTCAATGACCAGGAAAAAAGCTGACGTACTATTAAAAAGAACAAAAAGGGGCCAGGTGTGGTGGCTCATGCTTGTAATACCAGCACTTTACAAGGCCAAGGAGGGTGGACAGCTTGAGCCCAGGAGTTCGAGACCAGCCTGGGCAACATGCAAAACCCCATCTCCACTAAAAATATGAAAATTAGCTAGGTGTGGTGGTGCACGCCTTGTAGTCCCAGCTACTCTGGAGGCAGGGTGGGAGGATCGCTTGAGCCCAGGAGGTTGAGGCTGTAGTGAGCCATGATTGCACTATGGCACTCCAGCCTAGGTGACAGAGCAAGACCTTGTCTCAAAAACAAAACAAAACAAACAAAACAAGGGCCTGGCATAGTGGCTTACATCTGTAATCTTAGTGCTTCAGGAGGCCAAGGAGTTTGTTACCAGCCTGGGCAACATAGTAAAACCCTGTCTCTAAAAATAAAATACAATAAAACAAAATCAGTCGGTTTTCCACTTGAGTCCAGGAATTGAGGTTGCAGTGAGCCATGATTGCACCAGTGCACTCCAGGCTGGGCAAGAGTGAGACCCTGTCTCTAAACAAACCAATAAACAAAGAAAAACCTAACATAAACAACAAAAAGAAGATCTAACACTACAGTTATGATTATAATAATGCTAAACATACACTTATTAAAAGGCTGAAAGGGATGGATGCAGTGGCTTACGCCTGTAATCCCAGCACTTTGGGAGGGAGAGGTGGGAGGATCACTTGAGCCCAGGAGTTTGAGACCAGACTGGGCAACAAAGCGAAATCTTGTTTCTACTAAAAGAAAAAGTTGGCCGGGTGCAGTGGCTAACGCCTGTAATCCCAGCACTTTGGGAGGCCAAGGCGGGTGGATCATGAGGTCAGGAGTTTGAGACCAGCCTGACCAACACAGTGAAACCCTGTCTCTACTAAAAATACAAAAATTAGCTGGGCGTGGTGGCGCGCGTCTGTAATCCTAGCTACTCAGCTGGCTGAGGCAGGAGAACCACTTGAACCTGGGAGGTGGATGTTGTAGTGAGCCGAAATTGCGCCACTGCACTCCAGCCTGGGTGACAGAGCGAGACTCCGTCTCAAAAAAGAAAACATTAGCAGGGTGTGGTGGTGCGTGCCTATAATCCCAGCTACTTGGGAGGCTGAGGCAGGAGGATCTCTTGAGCCTAAGAGGTTGAGGCTGCAGTGAACTGTGATGGCGCCATTGCACTCCAGCCTGGGGGACGGAGTGAGACTCTGTCCTAAAATAAATAAATAAAAAGCCCGAAATGAGATATGCCAAAATGTTAATGACTACTTCTGTGTTGTGGTATTTATTTTTCCCTCTATTGATATACTTTCTTTAGTTTTTCTGAATATATTTTTATAATCCAGAAAATAGTACAACTAAGGAAGGTTTGCAGTAACATGAGAAAATGTTTATGATGTTATTAATGTGAAGTGAAAAAAGCAGCTACAAACTGAATACACCATGTGGTCACAGCTACGGAGAAACCATGCACAGGGAGAAACAGTGGAAGGACACACCTCCGAAGGGAAACTGTGACTGTCTCTGGTAGTGGGGTTTTGGATGACTGCTGTTTTTCCCTTTTTACTTTTCTGTGTTTTCCAGGTTTTCAACACTGAGCCTGCATAACTTTTATTGGGAAAATAAACCTCGATAAATTAAAAAAAAAAAAAAGGCCATTAGTATGGTAGAGGTATGTCTGAGCACAAGCTATACCCCATCCCAACATAAACAGTACAATGAAACCAAACTGATATCACAAAAACAAAACAAAAAGCTACATGGAGAAAAGAAATACGGACTAGTGAGAAAGGGTCCCAAACACTAACAGTTGTTGTCTTTGGGTAGGTCTATGGGTGAATTATTAATTTTTCTTTCTTCTTTATTTTCTATAAATGAACATGCATGGTTCTTGTGATGGGAAAAATAAAACAAAATAAGATAAAGTCATTTAGATCAAATGACACAACAGGTGGCAAAAGACTTACTTTGAAAAAGAGGTAGAGCCCCAAGAGTGTGCAGCTGGCGATGATGGGGAAGCGGGCGGCATCCCGGCTGGTGATTGTTTCAGGCATGTCTGAAGCATTCTAGAGGAGAGAAGAATGACAATGGCTCAGCACGGCTGGTTCCCATATGTTCCTGCAAGGCTCTGCTAATGCTATTCCCTTGGCTAGGGATGCTGCCTGCCTCATCCTGGGGCAAGATGCTCTGATCTTGCCATTTTTTTTTTTTTGAGATGGAGTCTTGCTCTATCACCCAGGCTGGAATGAAGTGGCACAATCTTGGCTCACTACAGCCTCCGCTTCCTGGGTTCAGGCGATTCTCCTGCCTCAGCCTCCCGAGTAGCTGGGACTATAGGCATGCACAACCATGCACAGCTAATTTTTGTATTTTTAGCAGAGATGGAGTTTTACCATGTTGGCTAGGCTGGTCTCGAACTGACCTCAAGTGATCCACCTGCTTCGGCCTCCCAAAGTGCTGGGATTACAGGTATGAACCACCATGCCTGGCTGATCCTGCCATTCTACCATGAGGAGATCTGGACCCTGATCAAGAGACCAAGGAGAACCCAGGGCATGTGTGACACATCTGGGGAGAAGGGCTATGGCAGAGGCCATTCCAGTATGGAATAACTGAGAGAAGAAAACCTGGACACCAGTGATGCCACAGCAGTTTCAGACCTCTCGAAGAAAATTGTTTTCAGTTTTCTAATGGATCAGCCAAGAGGGAAAAATGACTATTCTGTCATCCAGTAGGTAATGAATATTATGAGTTGAAATTAACAACAAACAAGACAGACAATGGCTGAAACTGCACATAGGGAGACACCAACTGTGAGGAGAAGCAAATCTTGACAAAACTTAAATTTAAGAAATTTGACTGGCAGACTTGAAAATGGTAAAAATAAAAGCCACAATTAAATTTATAATGGCAGATGCTATAGTTGGCAAGAATGTGATGTGGGTAAAGAACTGATGAAGGATAAATATTTACATGAAAAAGAACTGAATGCAATCAAAATAATTTCAGTATTATAAAAATGGAAAAGAATTGAAAATGGAGTAACAGATCAACATAGGAATAGATTAGCTTCATAGAATTTATGCCAAAGAAGGCCAGGCGCAGTGGCTCACGCCTGTAATCCCAGCACTTTGGGAGGCCGAGGCGGGTGGATCACAAGGTCAGGAGTTTGAGACCAGCCTGGCCAACATGGTGAAACCCCGTCTCTACTAAAAATACAAAAATTAGCCGGGCGCAGTGGCGGGCACCTATAATCCCAGCTACTCAGGAGGCTGAGTCAGGAGAATCGCTTGAACCCAGGAGGTGGAGGTTGCAGTCAGCTGAGATCGCACAACTGAACACTCTAGCCTGGGAGACACAGCAAGACTCCGTCTAAAAAAAAAAAAAAAGGATTTATGACGAACTTTCTTTTTTGTTTTTTGAGATGGAGTCTCATGAGCTCTGTCACCTAGGCTGGAGTGCAGTGGTGCAATCTTGGCTCACGGCAACCTCTGCCTCCTGGTTCAATCAATTCTCCCGCCTCAGCCTCTCAAGTAGCTGGGACTACAGGCACATGCCACCATACCTGGCTAATTTTTGTGTTTTTTGCAGAGAGGGGGTTTCACAATGTCGGCCAGGCTGGTCTCAAACTCCTGGCCTCAGGTGATTTACCCGCCTTAGCCTCACAAAGTGCTGGACTTATAGGTGTGAGCCATTGTACCTGGCCAGAACTTTCTAATGAAAATTTATCAATGATATATAGTACTGGTATAAATTTCTTTTCTTTCTTTTCTTTTTTTCTTTTTTTTTTGGTATAAATTTGTATTCCAAACAGGGTCAAAAGCTTCCAGGATCACAGTGGTCTCTACCTGCCCTCTCTCTGCTAGGCAAAATCCTCACAGTCCTCAAGGGCCTAGTAAATGTCACTGCCACGAAGCCCTTCCAGATTTCCCCGCTGGGACAAGCCTACTCTGCAACTGTTTTATATCATGGCTACCAAAAGTCCTAGCAATGCCAGATTAGACTCCTGCTCATGCTGAAGTTCTTTCCATAGTAGCCAGGCTCATTACAGTGCCTGAGATTCTACTATCACCATATCCATCTTGCAAGTAAAGCACCAGCATCCCTAGAAGAAGGGATCACATTCAGTTATGGAGACTCACAAATATTTTGGCTGACAAAAACCAACAATAAAAAACCTGCTAAGAGAGAGGGTGTCTGGAGAAGGTAAGACTGGCTCAGAGAGGCCCTAGTGTCCCAGGTGGAAGGTTGCAAAGAGGGAAGGAGATGGGGCAGAGGGCAGTAAGCCCACAAAATGACTACTAGGAGAGGGAGGTGTGGGCTAGATTCGAAATCCTGGGTTTAAGTAATCCTCTTGCCTCAGCCTCCCAAGTAGCTGGGATTACAGGCATGCACCACTGTGCCTGGCTAAAGGAAATACATAGACAGCACTGGCCTAAAGTATAAACCTGTCCAGCCTTTTCGGGAGGGTAATTTGGCAGGATGCATTAGACTGAAATTTCCACATGCCCAAAGATACAAAAAGAGGAGCCACAGAGGCCGGGCACAATGGCTCACGCTTGTAATCCCAGCACTTTGGGAGGCCGAGGCAGGCGGATCGTGAGGTCAGGAGATCAAGACCATCCTGGCTAACGTGGTGAAACCCCATCTCTACTAAAAATAGAAAAAATTAGCCAGATGTGGTGGCGGGCGCCTGTAGTCCCAGCTACTCGGGAGGCTGAGGCAGCAGAATGGCATGAACCCGGGAGGCGGAGCGTGCAGTGAGCCAAGATTGTGCCACTGCATTCCAGCCTGGGCGACAGAGCGAGACTCCATCTAAAAAAAAAAAAAAAAAAAAAAGCCACACAACAAGAACTACAAATGGCTCTTAATAATAATAAAAAAAGTCTTTATTCTCACTCTTAATAAGAGCTCAAACTAAAGCACACTGAGATTCTGTTTTTTGTCTATCGGAAAGGTAAGAATCCACACACTGGGTAACATACTGAGTCGGTGGGGCTACGGGGAAAGATGTAGTCTCCCACACTGCCTATGGGAGTCAATCTGTCTTCCTGTAGAAAGCAACTAGGCAATACACAAAAAATTACAAATGCACATACCCTTTGACCAAGCAATTCCATCTGTGGGAATTCTCCCTACAGATATAGTTCATAAATAAGTAAAATGCTACACATAAAGTGTATCCAAGGTATTCCTTGCTCTGTTAACGGCTTGCTGAGTGACTGGGTTTACTTCTCTGTCAAACAGGAGGACAATCTCTAGCCTCACTTCAAAAAAGGTCCAAGAGCCTTCTTTTTTTTTTAAAGAAAAGTGACAGGGTCTCTCTCTGTTGCCCAAGCTGGAGTGCAGTGGCAGGATCATAGCTCACTGCAGCCTTGAACTCCTGGCATCAAGTGATCCTCCTGCCTTGGCCTCCCAAAATGCTGAGATTATAGGCGTGAACCACCACACCCAGCCCCATAGGAGTCTTAAAGCAAATAAGATATGGGATGCGAAACAGCCTGGCAAACTAAAGTACTGTGCCTGTATTGGGGGTTGTGACTATCAGGGAGAGGTGAGTGAGGAGGCCCCTAACCACACCCTTGCCTATGCATGGCTGAGGCAGCCCAGGCTCTGGGCTGGAAGGGAGACCCTCCCCTCTGGAGCCACTGGAGGCAGCTCCATGTGAGTCACTTGGACAGCTTTGCTAGGAGGTGGGAGTGGGGTGGGTGAACAATACCCACATGAGAGGCCCAGTTTCCTTCCTTCCCTATTCTCTCCCAACCCTTGGCTTCTGCTTTTGCCAGCAGTGTGCTGTGGGACTTGGGCAAGTTCCTCATCCCCTCTGAGCATCTCCACACATTCAATACATTTCCTGTGTAGCAGTAGTATGGGTACAAAAATGAGTTCCTGATCTTGAAACACTCACAGGCAGGTAGGTTAATACTGTGACATGATACATATTACAGGGAACACGTATTCTATTTTATGGAATGCACAGCAAAACTGGCTGGGCGTGGTGGCTCATGCCTGTAATCCCAGCACTTTGGGAGATGGAGGCGGGCGGATCACCTGAGGTCAGGATTTCGAGATCAGCCTGGCCAACATGGTGAAACCTTGTCTCTACTAAAAATACAAAAATTAGCTGGGCGTGCTGGTGTGCATCTGTAATCCCAGCTACTTGGGAGGCTGAGGGAGGAGAATAGCTTGAACCTGGGAGGTGGAGGTTGCAGTGAGCCGAGACTGAGCCACTGAACTCCAGCCTGGGTGGACAGCGAGACTCTGTCTCAAAAAAAAAAAAAGACCAGCCTGGCCAACATGGTGAAACCCCGTCTCTACTAAAAATACAAAAATTAGCCGGGTGTGATATTGTGCGCCTATGGTCCCAGCTACTCAGGAGGTTGAGGCAGGAGAATTGCTTGAACCCGGGAGGTGGAGGCCGTAGTGAGTGGGGATCGTGCCACTGAACTCCAGCCTCGGCAACAGAGCGAGACTCTGTCTCATAAAAAAAAAAAAGCCCCCCTCCCAAAAAAAACCCCAAACAGGCTATTATAATGTAGTGTGACACATGATGCAATAGACATGTATATCACTGTGACACACAGTATGAACATCAGCAGTTATGAAGGGACTCTGAGATCAGGAAGTCCATTTGGACTCCCAGCTCTACTTCCCAGCTGTGGGACCTTGGGAAAGTGATTTTTTTTTTCTCTAAGCCTCAATTTCCTCAGCTGTAAAACAAGTTGTGAGGATTCTGATTTCTGCTTTGGAAGTACTCAGCATTGTATCTCGAGTCATCATTTAAACCGTATACACCATTTGTATCATTATTATGCAAAACGGAATCACGACACAGCCAACAAGACACTATTTCTGCAGAGAAGTAAGGGAGTCAGAGGTGGCAAGAGCAGGTACCACTTAAGCAAGGCCTTGATGGTCAAGCACAGTGTCTGGTAGTCTGGAGCCAGACAAATGCTGACTGGGTTTAGGAGTCAGCTTGTCAGTTTTTTTTTTTTGTTTTTTTTTAGTGGAGTTTTGCTCTTTTTGCACAGGCTGGAGTGCAATGGCACAATCTCAGCTCACTACAAATCAAGTGATTCTCTGCCTCGGCCTCCTGAGTAGCTGGGATTATAGGCACCTGCCACCACACCCAGCTAATTTTGTATTTTTAGTAGAGATGGGGTTTCACCATGTTGGCCAGGCTGGTCTCAAACTCCTGACCTCAGATGATCTGCCTGCCTTGGCCTCCCAAAGTGCTGGGATTACAGGTGTGAGCCACCATGCCCGGCTTGAGGAGTGTGCTTTGTGTACAAGGAAAGGAAGTGCTTATCAGGCAGAAAGATATGCACATGCAGAGGCTCAGGGCTGTCAAAGGACACGCAGGACTCTGTGGCTTCACCTACAAACCAGCATTATGGCTCATTTCCACATATTCCTTTCAATTCAGCTCAGCACCCTGGGTGGGAAGAGGCCTAATCTTATTCAGTGACAAACCAAGGTTGGACAGATCCTCTCCATTACACAGAGGACTCTGGTCTCCTTTGCGGGTGACTTATAAATATCCCATGCTGCAATGCTGAGTCAGAATGGGAGACTGGACTGTAATCCCAGCACTTTGGGAGGTCAAGGTGGGCAGATCGGTTGAGCCCAGGAGTTTGAGACCAGCATGGGCAACATGGAGATACTCTGCCTCCATTAAAAAAAAAAAAAAAAAAAGAATGGGAGACCTGAAATCTGACGATAATAGTAATAACAATAACATTACTGCACTGTTCTAGGTACTTTACATGTTTTCATCCTCACAAAAACCCCACAAAGCAGGTACTTTTTTTTTTTTTTTTTGAGATGGAGTCTCGCTCTGTTGCCCAGGCTGGAATGCAGTGGTGCAATCTTGGCTCACTGCAACCTCCGCCTCTTGGGTTCAAGCAATTCTCATGTCTCAGCCTCCCGAGTAGCTGGGACTACAGGCATGTACCACCACGCCCAGCTAATTTTTTGTATTTTTAGTAGAGACAGGGTTTCACCATGTTAGTCAGGATGGTCTGTCACAAGATCCTGACCTTGTGATCTGCCTGCCTTGGCCTCCCGAAGTGCTGGGATTACAGGCGTGAGCCATCACGCCTGGCCAGCAGGTACTTTTAATAGCTCTTTTACAGATGAGGAAGCGGAGGTCTAGAGAGGTGAAGTAACTTGCTTAGTGTCACACAGCTGGTGAGTGGCAGAGCCAGGACTGAAACTGAGGCAGTCCAGTTCCAGACCCCAAACTCTTGGGAGCTGTTTCCTAGAAGATTTCTATCTTTCCTATCTGGAAATTTCGGTTGGAAAGTTTTAACAGGAAGATACTTGGGAAGCCTGCAACCTTTCTGAGGAACAGAATCCTGAAGGTAACTGAACAGCTAATCTTTGTAGTTACAAAAATACTAAAAAGTTGCTAGGATTCTTTACCAATCCAATTGCGATTTTTTAACCAGATTTGTGTATGTAAATACAATAGATCCTGCAACATAAAACACAATTAGAAAGTGGGGGAAAAACCTGACACAAACAGCAGAAGTAAATGTAGCTTCCAGTGACATTCTGGATGTTGTTATCAGAGCGGAAACAAAAGCTGTAAGAGAGGACAGATGCCTGCTTCAAGCCATTGGCACGGTTCAAGCTCTCGGAGCACTGCTTCTACGCCATGCCCTGGAAATGATCTGAAATTCATGGGCCATTCTGTTACTGTTGACCCAGCTGGAGACTCCAGAGTCTCCATTCTTTACCACAACATCCAGTCACTCAGCTCTCCAAGGTTACCTTTCCTAACTTCCCACCCCAATCCTTTGGCCCTCATTGCTGCATTGCTGTCTTCACAACCCCTGCACCAACATTACACTTCTCCCTCCTGCCTATCACCCACCCTGCCATGAGCTCTTTCTAAAGCCTACACCTGATTGTATCACGTATCTGCTTAAAAACCTCTGGAGAAGCCAGGCACAGTGGCTCACACCTGTAATCCCAGCACTATGGGAGGCCGAGGTGGGCGGATCACTTGAGGTCAAGAGTTCGAGACCAGCCTGGCCAACATGGTGAAACCCTGTCACTACTAAAAATATAAAAATTAGCCAGGCGTAGTGGCACGCGCCTGTAATTCCAGCTACTTGGGAGGCTGAGGCATGAGAATTGTTTGTACCTGGCAGGCGGAGGTTGCAGTGAGCCAAGATCACACCACTGCACTCCAGCCTGGCCAAAGAGTGAGACTCTAACAAATGAACAAACAAACAAACAAAAACAACAACAAAAAAACAAAACCTCTGGAGAACAGACTACTCCACAGCCATTAAACAAGAATTGAGGTCATTGCTGGTGGGAAAGTAAACTGATACAACCTCTATAGTGGATCATATGGTAAAATCTATCTAAATAAAAAGTGTGGGCTGGGAACAGTGGCTCACGCCTGTAATCCCAGCACTTTAGGAGGCCAAGGCGGGCAGATCACCTGAGGTCAGGAGTTTGAGACCAGCCTGGCCAACATGGTAAAACCCCATCTGTATGAAAAACATAAAAATTAGCCAGGTGTGGTGGGTGCGCGCCTGTAATCCTGTAATCCCAGCTACTCAAGAGGCTGAGGTGGGAGAATTGCTTGAACCCAGGAGGCAGAGGTTGCAGTGAGCTGAGATGGCACCACCGCACTCACACTCAGCCTGGGCAACAGAGCGAGACTGTCTCAAAAAAAAAAAAAAAAAAAGTGTGCATAGCCTTCGACCCACCAATTTTGAGAAATTTATCCCACAAATACACAGACAAGTGTGAAATAAAAATGTATAATGTTATTAATTTCAGCATGGTTTGTAATAGCAAAAGACTGAAACAACCTAAATGACCAGTTGGGGACTCAAATTCTCAAATTTGAGCATGCATCAGAATCACCAGGTGGGCTTGTTAAAACACACATTGCTGGGCCCACCTTGAGCTTCTGATTCAGAATGTGCATTTCTAACAAGTTCTGGGGTGATGCTGACACTGCTGGCCCAGGGACCAGATACTAGAGAACTAGCATTCTAAGCAAACTGGAGTACAAGTGGGATACCATACAGCTGTTAAAGAACACACCCACCCCCTATGTACTGACATGATTGGATCTGCAACACACATTAGGTGAAAAAAGCAAGGTGCAAGGAAGAGTGTACTGGCCAGGCGTGGTGGCTCACGCCTGTAATCCCAGCACTTTGGGAGGCCAAGGCGGGTGGATCACCTGAGGTCAGGAGTTCAGGACCAGCCTGGACAACCTGGTGAAACCCCATCTCTGCAAAAATACAAAAATTAGCCAGGCATGATGGCAGGTGCCTGCAATCCCAGCTACTCGGGAGGCTGAGGCAGAAGAATCGCTTGAACCCAAGAGATGGAGCGTGCAGTGAGCTGAGGTTATGCCATTGCACTCCAGCCTGGGTGACAGAGTGAGACTCGGTCTCATTAAAACAACAACAAAAAAAATCAGGGAAAAGTATATGCCTATTTATTTGTAAAGACACAGAATCTTTCTGGATGGATATCTAAGAAACACAGGAGAGGGGCTGCCTCTGAGGAGGGAAATAGGGCAGCTTGGGGTAGCAGGGAGACTTTCACTGTGCACCCCTTTGTACCTTTTGAATTCTGTACCATGGGCATGTATTACCTACCCTCCCCACCATAAAAGATGAGGTAGATCTCTCTCTCTCTCTCTCTATATATATATGTATATATTTTTTGAGACAGGGTCTCACTGTTGCCCAGTGGTGCAATCAGGGCTCACTGCAGCCTTGAACTCCTGGGCTCAAGTTATCCTCTCGCCTCAACCTCCAGAGTAGCTAGGACTACAGGTGCATGCCATCATGTCTGGTTAACTTTAGGTCTATATGTACTGACATAGAAAAATAATGAAACATATTATTATTATTATTATTTTTGAGATGGAGTCTCACTCTGTCGACCAGGCTGGAGTGCAGTGGCATGATCTCGGCTCATTGCAACCTGTGCCTCCCGGGTTCAAGCGATTCTTGTGCCTCAGCCTCCCGAGTAGCTGGGATTACAGGCGTGCCCCACCACACAAAGCTAATTTTTGTATTTTTAGTAGAGATGGGGCTTCACCATGTTGGCCAGGCTGGTCTTGAACTCCTGACTTCAAGTGATCCACCTGCCTCGGCCTCCCAAAAGTGCTGGGATTACAGGCATGAGCCACTGTGCCTGGCCAACATATTGTTAAAGAAAAAAAAAAAATTGCTGGGCGCGGTGGCTCATGCCTGTAGTCCCAGCACTTTGGGAGGCCGAGGAGGGTGGATCACCTGAGGTCGGGAGTTTGAGACCAGCCTGACCAACATGGAGAAATCCCGTCTCTACTAAAAATACAAAATTAGCCAGGCGTGGTGGTGCCAGCCTGTAATCCCAGCTACATGGGAGGCTGAGGCAGGAGAATTGCTTGAACCTGGGAGGCAGAAGTTGCAATGAGCCAAGATCACGCCATTGCACTCCAGCCCGGGCAACAAGAGTGAAACTCCATCTCAAAAAAAAAAAAAAATCAAGTTGTAGAGAAATATGTACTATATAATCCAATTTTTATAAAAATAAATTTACATGTCTATATACACAGACACATATACAATGAATGTGTAAACACAGAAAAAACTCTCAAAGGTTATATACTCAACAGCCAGTTGGGTTACTTCCAAGGAATAGTGCCCAGGAGGCTTTTCCTTTATACTTCTGCACTGCTTGATTTTTTTTTTTTTTAACAAGTGTATAGTATTTTTGTAACAATACGATTAACCGCTGCATTGCTTTCAGGATTCTCTTCCCCAGAAAGGCCACGGGCTTCCTGAACATCTTGTCACTACATCCAAGCCCCTCTCCTGGGCTCACACCACACTCTTCACTGCCTCCCTGAACACATCTTGTGGTCCCCTGCCCCACCTTCTCCTGCTCTGCCTGTTGGACTCTCCCAATCCATGCAGAGACAACTGCTGCCCCCTCCAGGAGGCCTATCAGAGCTCTATTTACTTGACTAGTCACATGTCTGTTTCTCCTTGGTGACTGGGCTCAGTGAGGGCAGGGCTTGGCCTTCTTTGTCCCGGAACTCCTGGTACCCAGCCCAGAGCCTAGCCCACAGCAGGCACCCAGTCCTGTTCGCTGAGGGCCCTTTAAACCAATGTTTAATGTGCAGCTACTGCCTGGGTCATATTCGCTTCTGTCTGGGATATAGGACTCTGACAGTGATGGGTGCTGCTCTGAGACTGCTCCTCCCAAGGCTACTTCTTCACAACATACTCCTGGAGGCTCTACCTTCTTTCTCTCCATGATTTCACAATTTTCCCTGCCTGTTATGGACACCTTGACCCTTGGGGATTCTGTCCTCACATTCCCTCTCTCCCAACTGGTTTTGGGGTCCAACACTGGTGGGAAATCAAAACTGGGTCCCCACACTAACTCTTCTCTCTCCTTTTCACATGACCAGGGAAACGACTCAGGGTAGAAGGGGAGTCATTTGCCCTGTCCTTTCCCTAGGTCAATGCTGCTTGTCTTTAAAGGTACCTGTGTTAGGAGAGAGCCCTGGATGAGGACTAGGCATACCTGATTCTGCCCCTAAATGGCAGAGTGATCTTCAGAAGTCATTTCTTTGACTCTCAGTTTCTTTTCCTGTACAATGAGGATAATGAAACTGGCTCTGCCTGCCACCTCAGTTGCTGTGAGCATCAAAGGGCGTCAAGGTTTTGCAAGCTTTACCGCATCTGGGTCATTGGTGGTGGCAGGCTCTTAATGGTCAGGTCCTGTTTGTAAATTCATACAGTCCTCCACACCCTGCTGCCCTGCAGGAGATGCTTGGGAGAGGTATTCAGAGGCTAAGGCTTTCTCCTATCCATACCCTCTGTTCCAGCCACACCAAACCTTCCACTATTTCCTGAACTGCCTCGTAGCCTCCTGCCTCCGTACCTCTCTCTGCTTACCTGGTTTCTTTTGCTTAGAATGCCTTCTCCTGGCTGAAATTCTACCTCTACGTCAAGGCTCAGGCCTACCTCTAGCACAAAGCCTCCCTGCATTGTCCCAGATGTGCTCAATCTTTCTCCCTAAACCTTGTAGCATTGCTTGTAGTATAATCACAATCTAGTTATTATTCTTTCACCTACGCTCCCGAATTCCTTGGTGACAGGGCTCTGACCTACTCATCTTTGCAGCAATCCTCCCTTACCCCTGACAGTGGTGGAAGTTCAGGAAATACTGTTGCCTGGAAGGTGTTTTCTGCAGAGATTAGTGATCCATGTACAGAAGGTGCCAGGGAGAATTACTCAGTTTGGAGAGCAGCTCAGATCAAGCTGCCTAGCCTTATGCCAGCTGTCCTTCGCCTCCTCTGTCCTGGGTTATCTCAGAACTGCTCTCTACACTAAGTGTCTACCTGACAGGCATAGTAGAGAGGCTTAATATCACCTGAACTCAGCTTAGAAAAAGCCAAATAAAAAGGAAAATGGAGTCATGTTTGAGTCTCTCAGCCTAAGCCCCGCCTAACTACTTTCCTTTGCATCTGATCGCATACAGAGCCAGTAGTGAGTTCTCTGCTCCTGGGGAAGGAAGATGGCAGGCCTCAGCTACTGCTCAAGTTGGGTAGTGTTTTGAGAACCTCAGCTTCAGCAGTTTCAAAAGTGGCAGCTGCTTTGTGGGCCTGCCCTCTTTGGGCAAGACTTCCACTTAGGTCCATCCTCAGGTCTGGGTGGGGGAGGAGCATCGGGAAGGTGCAGATTAAGAGGTTGTGGAGGAAGGGAGAGGGTGCCAGGAAGTGAAAAGTCATTGGTACAACGGGCTAGAAAGGGCTTAATATAGGGAAGAAGTGGGGCAGGGAAGGGGGAGGGAGAAGCAGAAGGTGAAATGTGCTGGAGTCCTCCTAGTTATCCAATAGGACAGATGTTGAGGAAGGCCAGGGATGGAGTCTGGCCCAGTCTCACAAGAGGGGCCAACAGTGGCCCAGCAGACAGGCCCAGTTTGGTGGGGGGATTGTCTTGGGGGTATGGGGAGAAGGGCTACTTTGAGATAGGGTCAAAGGCTGGGTGGGAAAAGGGTTACAGGTTAGGAACAAGGTCTAGGTTTTGACTAGGCCATGTCCAAGGTTGGATGGTAGTTAAGAGAGGAAACCAGGAAAATAAGACGTCCATGCCTAGTTGGAAAGTAGAGGCACCAAGATGCCAGCTTCTGAGGAGCCAGCTGACTGGGATGGTTCCAGAAAGTGATGTGAAAAACTGGGCTCTAAGAGATCATTGTTTTTGAGGCAGGGGCAAGGGCCAGGTGTGGGGGATCTAGGTGAGCACATAAGGTGCCATAGATTCCAGTGAGACAGGAGTCAGAGTCTAGGGATGGGTCTGGATGGTAGAAAGGGCCCTGCGGTGGGCTGAGGCAGGGTTCCTAACAGGGAATGACACGAAATTGTACCATTCAGTAAGTTGTGAGGACCAGTATCCATCAGGTATACATGATGGGGCTGATCTGCCTGGGCCCAACAGGCTCAGAACAATCAGTGCCCGAGTCGCAGTGGGGGACGGGCTGACAGCGTTCCCAGCCGCGGCATGATGCACAGGGAGGGAAGTGTCAGGGTCCGGGTCGGGAGCAGAAGCAAGTTCCTATTGGGGAAGGTATCATACCCTGGTCGGGGGTCGGTGCCCAGATCCCGGGGTAGGAAATGCCAGCCCCGGAATGTGGGCCCGAGACAGAGGGAACGGTGGTGATCAGGGCTGGGAAGAGTCAGTGTCCGGGGAGAGGTGTCTGTCCCGCCTAGGAAGGGTCCATGTCGGCCGTGTTCGGTATGGGGGTGGAAAGTGCCCGGTTTTCCCGCTGACCCTACCTTGCCGCGGGCGCAGCGTACGGAGCGCAGGGCGCCGAAGAAGATGGGCAGCAGCGCCATGAGCAGGAGGCTGCCGTAGGCCAGCGCGATGCCCTCGGGCGTGGAAGGCGGCCGCGTAGTGCTGTTGGTGGGGCCGCCTGCCTCGGCACTGCCGTTATGCGGATCGCTGAGGGCCGAGTCCATGGCGAGGGTGCGTTCGGGATCCGACTCCAGCTCCGGTTGCTGCAGCAGGGACGCAGGCGGAGACACCGGCTCTGCAGGGAAAGCCACGTTCCCCTAAGGCAACAGGAAGTGACGTGCTCCCTCCCAAGCCCGCGCCGCGCACGCGCGCACACACGCTTGCACGCACGCGCGCGCGCGTGCACGTCTCCCCGCCCGCTCGCCCTCTAGCGGTGGCCGAGGGCCGGGCGGCGGGTTGCTAAGCAACTTGTTAGCGGTCCGGACAGGGGCTCTGGGCCACTGCGGTGGGCATGCGACCCGAATGCCCATTTCCCAGTCCCAGCCGGTCTCCTCAATCCCCTGCTGTCCACTCTCCGCAAATCCTCATATTCCGAATAACTAAGAATGTGTTTATTCATACATGCATTTATTGGGTATCCAATTGTTTATTCACTCCTTAAATATTTATTGAATGTCCCTCAATATGCCAACAACTGACCTAGGCTCTGGGGACACTGAGGTGAACAATACAGGCAAAAGTTCCTCCTTGCCTTCGTGAAGTTTGCATTTTAGTGCAGTGTGTGTGGGGGGACGTTGGGAAGACAATAAAGAAACTGAACAAAATAAAAGTCTGTAAAATGGGCTGGGCGCAGTGGCTCACGCCTGTAATCCCAGCACTCTAGGAGGCCGAGGCGGGTGGATCACCTGACGTCACGAGTTCGAGACCAGCCTGACCAATATGGTGAAACCCCGTCTGCACTAAAAATACAAACAATTAGCCGGGCGTGGTGGCACGCACCTGTAATCCCAGCTACTCGGGAGGCTGAGGCAGGAGAATCGCCTGAACCCGGGAGGCGGAGGTTGCAGTGAGCCAAGACTGAGCCATTGCACTCCAGCCTGGGCAACAAGAGCGAAACTCCGTCTGAAAAAAAAAAAAAAAAAAAAAAAAAAAAAGGCCAGGCGCGGTGGCTCACGCCTGTAATCCCAGCACTTTGGGAGGCCGAGGTGGGCAGATTGCGAGGTCAGGAGATCGAGACCATCCTGGCTAACACGGTGAAACCCCGTCTGTACTAAAAATATAAAAAATTAGCCGGGCGTGGTGGCGGGCGCCTACAATCCCAGCTACTTGGGAGGCTGAGGCAGGAGACTGGCTTGAACCTGGGAGGCGGAGGTTGCAGTGAGCCCACTGCACTCCAGCCTGGGCGACAGAGTGAGACTCTGTCTCAAAAAAAAAAAAAAAAAAAACAAGAAAAATTTGTAATTTGTAAAACGTTAATGTATAGTTATGTGTTACATAGCATGTTAATGCAGATAAATAGAGAAAAATAAAGCAAAAGAAAGTAAGGTGTGTGTGGAGTTTGCAAATGTATTGAGAGCCTACTATGTGCCAGGCAATTATAATACCTTACGAGTTCATGCCCCTGTACAATTTATAAAGCTTTGTGGCTCTTTTCAGAATTTGAAGAATCTGTTTATTTATGTGATTCTTATTTTTGATATTGTTAAAAAAGTTAAAAATATATATTTTCTTAGACATGGGGTTTTGCCATGTTGGCCAGGCTGGTCTCAAACTCCTAGGTTCAAGTGATCCTCCTGCCTCAGCCTCCTAAAGTGTTGGGATTACAGGTATGAGCCACTGCTTGCAGCCTACTGTGGCTATATTAGATACTGGAACATCTAAGCATCACTGTGTGACTGTGCAAACAAAAAACTTCAAGGAGGGCCTATTATTATTATTATTATTATTATTATTTTGAGACAGGGTCTCACTCTGTCACCCAGGCTGGAGTGCAGTGGCATGATCACAGCTCACTGCAGCCTCTACCTTCTGGGCTTGGGTGATTCTCCCACCTCAGCCTCCCCAGTAGCTGGGACCACAGGTGTGTGCCACCACGCCCGGCTAACTTTTTGTGTTTTTAGTAGAGATGGGGTTTCGGCATGTTGCCCAGGCTGGTCTCAAACTCCTGGGCTCAAGCAATCTGCCCACTTCGGCCTCCCAAAGTTCTGCAATTATAGGCATGAGCTGCCACCTCCCGCAAGAGTGCCTATTTTATTTTATTTTATTTATTTTTTATTTTTTTTTTTGAGATGGAGTCTTGCTATGTCACCCAGGCTGGAGTGCAGTGGCACGATTTCGGCTCACTGCAACCTCCAGCTTCCGGGTTCACGCCATTCTCCTGCCTCAGCCTCCCGAGTAGCTAGGACTACACGCACCCGCCACCACGCTCGGCTAATTTTTGGTATTTTTAGTAGAGTCAGGGTTTCACCGTGTTAGCCAGGATGGTCTCGATCTCCTGACCTCGTGATCCGCCCGCCTCGGCCTCCCAAAGTGCTGGGATTACAGGCATGAGCCACCGCGCCCGGCCAAGAGTGCCTATTTTAAAAAAGATTTCTATGTGTTGAGGCAGTTGTTTACTGCAGAATTAAGCCCACTTTAGGCTTACTACCAGCTTCTATCTAAAAATATTGACTGATAACCGAAAGTGTTCTAAAGGTGGTTATTCTGATCTATAGTTTTTTTGTTTGTTGTGAGACTGAGTTTTGCTCTTTTTGCTCAGGCTGGAGTGCAATGGCGCAATCTCGGCTCACCACAACCTCTGCCTCCCTGGTTCAAGCGATTCTCCTGCCTCAGCCTCCCGAGTAGCTGGGATTACAGGCATGCGTCACCACGCCCAGTTAATTTTGTATTTTCAGTAGAGATGGGGTTTCTCCATGTTGGTCAGGCTGGTCTCGAACGCCTGACCTCAGTGATCCACTCGCCTCGGCCTCCCAAAGTGCTAGGATTACAGGCGTGAACCACTGCGCCTAGCCTCTGATCTATAGTTTTTTAAAAAAGTATTTACAGAAAGTATAGAAGTTTTTGTGAATTTAATACAAGTTAGCCTCCAATTTTCTCTTCTCAAATGTTTGATTTATAGTTTTTGCTCCTTTACATATTTGCTTTTTTAATTTCAAGATTTGTAATTTTACCTTCAAAACAGTTCATTTTTAAAATTGTAAAGCATGTTTAACATACGCAGAAATAGGCTGGGTATGGTGGTTCACGCCTGTAATCCCAGCATGCTGGGAGGCCGAGGTGGGTGGATCGTGTGAGCCCAGGAGTTAGAGACCAGCCCGGGCAACATAGCAAGACCACATCTAAAAAATAAATAAATAAATAAAAAAAAGTCAGTATTTTGAAATTATTTGAGCTCAATGCAGTTCTACTCTTTGGAAGCAGATTAGCTAACTGAATCTGGTGCTCTTGTTGAATAGAAATAGGTGATGGGAAATGTCTATCATTTGACTTTATAAGGATAAGCAAGATTTACCATGATGCTTTGATTTGGGGGTGGATTCCAGTCCATCATTGCCCTGGCACATGTCAATTAGTACACACAAAATTCAATGTCAAATCCAGAGCCTCAGAGGAAAAAATTTATTCCCCAAGAGAACAATGATAACATAACAAAGTAAAATGTTATCTAGATTATATTGGTATTAAAATTATCTCTTATATAAAGTATATTGACTGTAACTATACATAGAAGATTCATAGTAACACCTGGAAGTTCCTTCTCATGTTATATATAAATTGAATTATGAAAGCTTTTTATATTACCTGTTTATGGCCTTATAGATTTAATGTACCAAATGAAAACTTCCCACTCTACCTCTAGATAAGATAAAATCTATATTTATTTTCAAGGTAGAGTTTTAAGTGGCCATATTTCTTAAGCCGTATTCAAAGGAAAATTTTATTTCAAGGCACATTTTCACTCTGTCACCCAGGCTGGAACACAATGGCATGATCACAGCTCACTGCAGCCTTGACCTCCTGGGCTCAAGCGACCCTCCCACTTCAGCCTCCCGAGTAGCTGGGACTATAGGCATATACCACCATGCCCAGCTAATTTTTCCATTTTTTATAGAGATGGGGTTTCACCATGTTGCCCAGGCTGGTCTTGAATTCCTGGGCTCAAGCGATCTGCTCACCTTGGCCTCCCAAAGTGCTGGGATTACAGGCATGACTACCATGCCTGGCCACTCAAGGAAATTGTGTCTTAACTAAGTTTGAATGCTGTTCCTCTTCATTTTGTATATGAAACTTCAGCTGATTTAATATTGACATTCATCATCTAGTCAAACCCTTCACATGTTCTTCAAACCAACCAAATTTGGGGTTCTTGACATTTTCTGTGTCAATAAAATTAGATGTGGATCTTATCTTTTTTTTTGAGATGGCGTTTTGTTCTGTCACCCAGGCTGGAGTGCAGTAGTGTGATCTTGGCTCACTGCAACCTCTGTGTCCCGGGCTCAAGCAATTTTCCTGCCTCAGCCTCCTGAGTAGCTGGGACAACAGGCACCCGCCATCACGCCCGGCTAATTTTTGTGTTTTTAGTAGAGATGGGGTTTCACCATGTTGGTCAGGCTGGTCTCAAACTCCTGACCTCGTGATCTGCCCGTCTCGGCCTTCCAAAGTGCTGGGATTACAGGCGTGAGCCACCACGCCCAACCAAGATGTGGATCTTATATTTTATTTTGAGATGGAGTCTCGTTCTTTCGCCCAGGCTGGAGTGCAGTGGCATGATCTCAGCTCACTGCAAGTTCCGCCTCCCGGGTTCATGCCATTCTCCTGCCTCAGCCTCCCAAGTAGCTGGGACTACAGGCACCCGCCACCGTGCCCGGCTAATTTTTTTTTTTTTTTGTATTTTTAGTAGAGACGGGGTTTCACCGTGTTAGCCAGGATGGTCTTGATCTCCTGACCTCATGATCCACCCGCCTCGGCCTCCCAAAGTGCTGGGATTACAGGTGTGAGCCACCACGCCTGGCCTGTATCTTATTTTATCTAGATCTACTAGATTTGATGAAGACTTGTTTTTTCCTTGCCATACTGGCCTTCTAGATGACCTTTGAATTGAATTTAGAAGATGGGAAAGTGTAGACCTGTCTTGGCCTGAGTCTTTTTTTTGAGATAGTTTCACTTTTTTTTTTTTTTTTTTTTGTTTTGAGATGGAGTCTAGCTCTGTTGCCAGGCTGGAGTGCAGTGGCACAATCTCGGCTCACTGCAACCTCCGACTCCCTGGTTCAAGTGATTCTCCTGCCTCAGCCTCCCCAGTAGCTGGGAATACAGGCATGCGCCACCATGCCTGGCTAGTTTTGTATTTTTAGTAGAGACAGGGTTTCTCCATGTTGTTGAGGCTGGTCTTGAACTCCTGACCTCAGGGGATCCACCTGCCGCGGCCTCCCAGAGTGCTGGGATTACAGGCGTGAGCCACCATGCCTGGCCTGGCCTGAGTCTTTTAACAGCAGAGAAGAGGAAGAGAGTGAGACCCTGAGGAGTGAGGGGGGAGACTGGCTGTTGACTGCAGGACACTGTCAATGCCTTATTGGTGGCATTCGCTAGACTTGGGGGCAGCCGTTATTCTGGAAGAAGTTACTTAAAAGTTAGAGCAGTTGTTTGAGCTGTATAAATCTGCATCCGTAGGAGCAGTGCCAGAAGTTGCAGCCCCTGCTGGAGCCTGGCTACCATTGCTCTGCCCATGCCTGCTCCAACCGTGCTGGGTGCATCTCACTTGATGCTGATGCTGGGTGTGTAGAGAACTGCTGGCTCAGGGCAGCTGCAGACAAGGTTGATGCTGCATGACTTCTGAAGCGAGGTCAGAAGAGGCCAAACAAGAAGATAAAATATTTTAGAGGAAATTAAAGAAAAAGGAAATAAGGAAGAAGCCAAACAGCTTCCACCTTGTTCAGTGGAACAATTGCTCAAGGACCTCTGAGCCACTTTTAACAAGTCTGACTGCCCAGAGACTGCCATGTTGTAAGGAAGCCCAAGTCACATGGAGAAGCCATGTGTAGATGCTTCAGTCAGCAATGCCAGCTGAGTCCAGTCTTTTTGTTATCTCAGTCCAGGTGCCAGACATGTGAGTGAAGAGTCCTCCAGATGATCCCAGTCCCCAGCTGCTTGAGTCACACTAAACCATCAAGTCTTCCCAGCTGGGGCTCCAGAGAGCATGGAGCAGAGTCAAGCCATGCCCACAAAGTCCTGTCAAAACTCCTGATCCCCAGAATCAGTAAGTTTGACAAAATAGTTCTTTTGGGAGTTCCTCTTTATGCAGCAATAGATAACCAGAACAACATGTCAGTTATGATTAGGTTTGGCTGGTTGCATGCAACAGAAAACCTCCAAATAACAACAATTTAAAACAGATGAACTTAAAGAGGCCAGGCGCAGTGGCTCACACCTGTAATCCCAAAGCTTTGGGAGGCCAAGTGGGCGGATCACCTGAGCTCAGGAGTTCAAGACCAGCCTGGCCAAAATGGTGAAACCCTGTCTCTACTAAAAATACAAAAATTAGCCAGGCATAGTGGTGTGCACCTGTAGTCCCAGCTACTCGGGAAGCTGAGCCATGAGAATTGCTTGAACCCAGGAGGAGGAGGCTGCAGTGAACCGAGATCATGCCACTGCACTCCAGCCTGGGTGACAGAGTGAGAGTCTGTTTAAAAAAAAAAATTTAAAACAGATGAATTTAAAGAAATGTGGAGTCAGGCAGCTCAGGGCCAGTACAGCAGCTCCATGGCTATCGGGGATCCAGCTCCTTCTGTCTATTGTATTCATCGTTCTAGCATAGGACTTCCATCCTCAAGGTCACCTCATGATCTAAGAAGGATGCTAAAGCTCTGGACACCTTGTTCAAATTGTAGTCTGGAAGGAGGAGGAAAGAGCAAAAGAGTTTTCATCCCCTCCCCTCTGACAATCACTCCAGGAGTTCTATATAATGCTTCTACTTACATTTAATTGGCCAGACCATAATTACCTGGTCATGTTTAGCCACAAGGGAGGCTGTGTGCACTCTATTAGTGGGACAGCATTAAGCTAGTTATTGGAAATCTTGCAATTGCCTAGATAAAAATGGAATATTATTTTTTTTCTTTTAAAAAAAAATATGCCAAGCTGCGCCAGGCGCAGTGGCTTACGCCTGTAATCCCAGCATTTTGGGAGGCTGAGGCGGGTGGATCACCTGAGGTCAGGAGTTTGAGACCAACTTGACCAATATGGTGAAACTCCGTCTCTACTAAAAATACAAAAATTAGGCCGGGCGTGCTGGCTCATGCCTGTAATCCCAGCACTTTGGGAGGCCGAGGTGGGCGGATCACCTGAGGTCAGGAGTTTGAGACCAGCCTGACCAACATGGAGAAACCCCGTCTCTATTCAAAATACAAAAAAAATTAGCCAGGCGTGATGGCGCATGCCTGTAATCCCAGCTACTTGAGAGGCTGAGGCAGGAGAATTGCTTGAACCTGGGTGGCGGAGGTTGTGGTGAGCCGAGATCGCGCCATTGCACTCCAGCCTGGGCAACAAGAGCAAAACTCCGTCTCAAAAAAAAAAAAATACAAAAATACAAAAATTAGCCATGCGTGGTGGTGTGTGACTGTAGTCCCAGCTACTCAGGAAGCTGAGACAGAATTGCTTGAACCCAGGAGTTGGAGGTTGCAGTGAGCCAAGATTGTGCCACTGCACTCTAGCCTGGGTGACAGAGCAAGACTCTGTCTAAAAAAAAAAAAAAAAAAAAAAAAAAAAGCCAAGCTGCAGAGTGCAGGAGTTTTCTTACAATGAAAGAGGAGGAGAATGGAAGTTAGGAGGCAACAGCAGTCTCTGCCATTGAAGGGCTCCCAGTGGAGTGGGCATTTGAACCAAATCTTGAAGGATAAAGGAGATTTTATTTTCTATGTTTTATTTTTTTTAATAGCTAATGTACGGCCGGGCGTGGTGGCCCAGGCATGTAATCCCAGCACTTTGGGAGGCCGAGGCGGGCGGATCACGAGGTCAGGAGTTTGAAACCGGCCTGGCCAACAACGTGAAACCCCATCTGTAATAAAAATTAGCTGGGTGTGGTGGCGCATGCCTGTAATTCCAGCTACTCAGGAGGCTGAGGCACGAGAATCAGTTGAACCCGGGAGGTGGAGGTTGCAGTGAGCTGAGATCGCGCCACTGCACTCCAGCCTGGGTGACAGAGTAAGACTCTGTATCAAAAAAAAAAAAAAAACCAAAGGAATGAAAGAATGGTTACTCCATAGGCAGAACAGCTGCATGGGCTGCTTGACTGAGTATATTTATAGTTATTTCTGGATTATATATTAAACAAGGAGTGGATTATCCATGAGTGTTCTGGGAAAGGGGTGGGCAATTCTTGGAGCTGAGGGTTCCTCCCCTTTTTAGACCATAAAGGGTAACTTCTGGACATTGCCATAGCATTTGTAAACTATCACGGCATGGGTGGGAGTGTCTTTTAGCATGCTAATGCATTATAATTAGCATTTAATGAGCAGTGAGGAGGACCAGAGGTCACTTTTGTTGCCATCTTGGTTTTGGTGGGTTTTTGCCAGCTTTTTTACTGCATCCTGTTTTATCAGCAAGGTTTTGTGACCTGTATCTTGTGCTGACCTCCTATCTCATCCTGTGACTAAGAATGCATAACTGCCTGGGAATGCAGCCCAGTAGGTCTCCACCTAACTTTACCCAGCCCCTACTCAAGATGGAGTTGCTCTGGTTCAAGCACCTCTGACAAAGGTATATATCAGAAGTCTACATAGCAAATCTAACAAGGTCATTTACATATTAAAGAATGTACGTCAAGCACATTGGAATGGTTGCCTATAGAGGGTTGGGAATGAGAGTGGCAACTGGGATTAAAACAACAAAAAAATAGGTACGGAAGTAAAATAAAGCCGGGCCCTTTTGGAAAATGGTGATGATAGGCTAGGAGGAAGGAATGAGTATAATGAACTTGTCACTCTGCTCCTTTCAAAATAGAAAACAAAAGGGAAAATTGAAGACTTTAAGAGAAAATTGTCATTTCAGAGTTCCCTTTGTTCTTTGTTGAGTTGGGGATGGAGGCTAGATTTGCAAAGGGAATGGGAAGTGTCAGAGAGAGAACCTCTGACAGACTCAGGGTTCTGTGATTTGCAAGGGCTGGAAGCACAGTTTGAAACGCTTTAGGCGAAGGCTGGAATGCATTGGCCTCTTGAACTCCAAGGAAGAGGTGAATAACCAAACCCCTGCAAGGACAGGCAGGGATGGAATTGGGCCTCACTAACCCCTGGAAGCCAGGATGTCCATGCTGCCAGGATCCTCTCTCTGCATCTCCTTTCTGTTTTTATCTGCTTTGTCTTCATTCTCTTTCACAGAAAACCAGGCTTGCTACAAACAGCAGCCCTCAGGAACTGAGTTAACATGTTATGATTTGCTGCAGGAACCTAGAAGCTCCCAGATCTGTGAGCTTCCTTGGCTCAAGTTGGTCAGGGGAGTCTTGAAGGGTGTCCAGTTCTACTCTCAAAGGCCTCTGGGGTGGGTGGTGAGGCTTCTGTTACACAGGCTGAACCTGAGGTCAGTGAGGATTTCCATAATCTCAGACCAAGCCATAAGATGTTGAATGTCAGGCCGGGTGCGGTGGCTCACGCCTGTAATCCCAGCACTCTGGGAGGCCGAGGCGGATGGATTACCTGAGGTCAGGAGTTCGAGACCAGCCTGGCCAACCTGATGAAACCCCATCTCTACCAAAAATGCAAAAAATTAGGCGGGTGTGGTGGCGCATGCCTGTAATCCCAGCTACTCGGGAGGCTGAGGCAAGAGAATCACTTGAACCCAGGAGGAGGAGGTTGCAGTGAGCCGAGATTGCACCATTGCACTCCAGCCTGGGCAACAAGAGTGAAACTCTGTCTCAAAAAAAAAAAAAAAAAAAATCGACGGTCATGGGATGAACGTCAGGGTCATAGAATGAATGCTAGCCTCACAATGTATCTGGGTAAAAATGCTGTTGTCCTGATACTGGTATTTTTCCTAGGGAGGGGACAGTATATATATATGTACATTACACGAAGATACCATGGCAACCTGCTTGAGGAAAATGTGAGCCCTAAGCACCCTGGCTGGCAGGGCTGAAATGGCAAATCTGCTTTGCATTAGAGGTGAACAGGAATTTGTGGGAAGGAGAGAAGTAGCAGACAGAAATATAAGGGAGCGGCGGCTGGGTGCAGTGGCCCATACCTGTAATCTCAACACTTTGGGAAGCTGAGGAGGGAGGATCTCTTGAGGCCAGGACTTCAAGACCAGCCTGGGCACACAGACTCTGTCTCTACCAAAAAAACAAAACCCAAAAAACCAAAAATTAACCAAGTGTGGTGGCACGCGTCTGTAGCTACTCAGGAGGCTGAGGTGGGAGGATCATTGAGCCCAGGAGGTTGAGGCTGCAGTGAGCTGTGATTGTATCACTGCACTCCCAGTCTGGACAGAGGGAGACCCAGTCTCAAAAAAAAAAAAAAAAAAAAGAAATGGAGCTGAGGATGTGGAAGGAGAGGAGCCAGTGAGATGGATGGCATGAGGCTGGGACACCAGTAGAGACGGGGAAACATTCCCAGTAGGAGGGTGGCCAAGTGCCTTGTTTGTGGGGCTCTGATGTGAGCACCTCTGTTGTCTTGCATCTTCAGGACAGTTTTCTACATGGACAGGGTGCCCTGGTGGGTGGGGCTGTGTATTTCTCAGGGATGTCCCCATCCGGCTCAAACACTGAGGAGAAAGGATCTTGGAATCAGAGGACACCACGAGGACTCCGGCTGCTGAGTGGGAAACGGATTGGCCAGGACAAGAGTAAAAGTGAGTAAATAGACTAAAGAAGTGATGTTTGTGGCTTTGACTGGGAGTGGGGGCAATGGAGACAAAGAGAGGTGGACAGGATTAAGATAGATCTAGGATATTTCCAATTGAGGATTGTGTTTAGGAAATAGGGTGAAAAGGACTCCCTGATGGGATGTGAGGGAGGAGGAAGTGTGAAGACTGTGTCTTGGGTTTCTGAGCTGACCTACTGCATGATGGATGTGCCAGGACCTGAGATGGGGAAGATGGGTAGGGTGGAGGCACCGTCCCTGTCTCCACCTGGAGTTGTTTCTTTTTTTCTTTTTCTTTTTTTTTTTTTGAGATGGTGTCTTGCTCTGTCACCCAGGCTGGAGTGCAGTGGTGCAATCTCAGCTCACTGCAACCTCCGCCTCCTGGGCTCAAGCGATTCTCCTGCCTCGAGCGCCACCATGCCCGGCTAATTTTTTTGTGTGTTTTTAGTAGAGACGGGGTTTCACCGTATTGGCCAGGCTGGTCTCGAACTCCTGACCTCAGATGATCCACCCACCTCAGCCTCCCAAAGTGCTGGGATTACAGATGTGAGCCACCGCGCTGTTGACCCACCGTGGTGGCTTTGGGAGGCTGCAGCTCCCCTTGCTCAGGTGCCCTCTCCTGCCAGCAGAGGGCAGCATAAGCCAGTTAACAGACAGTCCCCGCTACGTGGCCGGGTTCTGGCCGGGCCGGAACACTGGGATGAGGGCCACCACTTGGACCTGGCTCATGGGGAGGCAGCAGGCCACTCTGAGGCTCAAATGCAGTCTTTGACTTTAAGGCCAATTCCAGCCACAGAAATTTGGGGCTGTTCATATCTAAGGCTGCTGGCCAATCCAAGCCAGCCCATCTCTCCTGGGCTCTTCAGCAGCTTCCTAATTTGTCTCCTGGAGTCCCCTGCACATTGCATCTCTTTGCTTGAAACCCTTCGATGACTCCCCGGTGCCCCTGCCCTCAAGATAACTTCACGCTCTTCAGCATGGCCTAGTTGTCCAGCTCATTCATTGCACATCTTCTTTTGCGATCCAAGCTCTTTTCTGCCTCAGACCCTTTGTATAGGTGTCCCCTGCCTGGTGTTCTCTCTCCCTGCTTTTTTTTTTTTTTTTTAATTATTATTATTATTAAGGTAGCTCCTTCTTATGGGTCCTAGTTTCAAACTCACTTTCCAAGTGGCACGATCTCGCTCATTGCAACCTCCATCTCCCAGGTTCAAGCGATTCTTCTGCTTCAGCCTCCCAAGTAGCTGGGACTACAGGCACCCACCACCACACCCAGCTACTTTTTGTATTCTTAGTAGAGATGGGGTCTCACTGTGTTGCCCAGGCTGGTCTCAAACTTCTGGGCTCAAGCGATCCTCCCGCCTCAGCCTCCCAACGTGCTGGGATTATAGGCATGAGCCACCGCACCCAGCCCCTGACCACTTTTCTATCTTTATCTGAGTTACTTAAAAGGCAAACAAACCCTCACAGCACATAGCATTTACGTACCAGGGTGATTTGATGTATTATTAATACTTTGCATCTTTCTCTCTCTATTTGTCCCTCCCCTTTCTGTACCCTCTTGCCTAGGGGAGGTTTGGTTCTAGGGCCCAAAGCAAAAGCTGCTTCCAAGACTCTTCCCTTTCTGGACTCCACTTTCTATAAGCTTAAACACTGTAGAGCAGATATTGTAAATTGTCAGTTTTATAGGCCCAGTCCTGCTCACAGATGTGTTTTGTATGACTTTTGCCAAGGTTTAAAAACTGGCTTTGGTTGGGCATGGTGGTGGTTTGTGCCTGTAGTTCCAGCTATTTGGGAGTCTGAGGTGAGAGGATCGCTTGAGCTCAGGAGTTTGAGATCAGCCTGGGCAACATAGCAAGACCTCGTTTCTCTACAAAACACTAAAAAAAAATAGCCAGGCTTGGTGGCATGTACCTGTAGTCCCAGCTACTCAGGAGACTGAGGCGGGAGCATTGCTTGAACCTGGGAGTTTGAGGCTGTGGTGAACTATGATTGTGCCACTAAATTCCAGCCTGTGCAACAGAATGAGATATCGTCTCTAAAAAACAAAACAAAACAAAACAAAACAGAAACAAAAATCTGGGTTTACTTAGCTACCAAGGTTAAAAAATGGAGCAGTTTCAGAATAAAAATTTGGATAGTTGCTTTCTTTTGAACATTTAGTAGGTCTGGAAGTCTTGGCCCTGTATTTTCCTGTGATGGGTGCTAACATTTACTGAGTAACTACTAATGTCAGGCACTGTCCTAAGTGCTTTCTCATGTGAAGCTGCCGTACCTACCGGTACAAGTTTTGTTTTGTTTTTTTGGGACAGGGTCTCACTCTGTCACCCAGGCTGGAATGCAGTGGCGTGATCTCGGCTCACTGGAACCTCTGCCTCCTGGGTTCAAGTGATTCTCCTGCCTCAGCCTCTGGAGTAGCTGGGATTACAGGCATGTGCCACCACGCCCGGCTAATTTTTTTTTTGAGACAGAGTCTTACCCTGTCATCCAGGTTGGAGTGCAGTGGCGCAATCTCAGCTCACTGCAAGCTCCGCCTCCTGGGTTCACACCATTCTCCTGCCTCAGCCTCCCCAGCAGCTGGGACTACAGGTGCACGCCACCACACCTGGCTAATTTTTTTGTATTTTTAGTAGAGATGGGGTTTCACCGTGTTAGCCAGGATGGTCTCGATCTCCTGACCTCGTGATCCACCCGCCTTGGCCTCCCAAAGTGCTAGGATTACAGGTGTAAGCCACCGCGCCCAGCCTAATTTTTGTATTTTTAGTAGAGACAGGGTTTCACCATGTTGGCCAGGCTGGTCTCGAGCCCCTGACCTCAGGTGATACGTCTGCCTCGGCCTCCCGAAGTGCCGGGATTACAGGCGTGAACCACTGCACAAGGCCACAAGTATTATTCTTTTTCATAGTTTAGGAAACAGGTACAGAGAGGTTAGGTGACTTGCCTAAGGACTCACAGACAGCAAAGAGTGGCACCAGAATTTGAACCTGGGCAGCATAGCTCTAGAATGCAGCCCCTAACCACGAGGCTACATTACCTGATAAGTTTGGTAAGCTAAGTTGTGCTGACCTTTTTTTATTGGGAAAAAAAAAAAACTTTTTTTGGGGTAGAGATAATGTCTAACTATGTTGCCCAGGCTGGTCTTGAACTCCTGGCCTCAAGCCATCTTCCTGCTCCAAAGCCCTGTGATTATAGATGTGAGCTATTGCACCTGGCCTATGCTAACCTTTTTAGGCAAGGCATGTGCTCTCAGGTCACCAAGTCTCATACTTTTTTTTGTTGCTATCTGCTTGGCCCCTGGAGACTTGGAGTTTGCAAATGCTTGGTGCTCATTGTTTTTGAGGGCAGAAACAGAAGAACAGAAAGGAGGTGTCAGAGGCCATGAAGGTTGGTGGAGTCCAGGATCAGGGAGATCTCCTACCCGAAGAGGTGGCTAGACTGTGGGGATGGCCAGGTGGTGTGCTTGGGGAGGCTGGATTCAGGCCTGGTGATTCCAGCCTCCAGCAAGACTCCCAGGCCCCTCGCTTGGCTTGGCTTGCAGGGGCTGCTGGATTTCAGGGGCTATTGAGGGCTTGGGCACCGTGGTCAGAGGCTTCACGTGGTTCAGTGCCAGGCGGAGTCCCTGTCTTCCCTCCTTGTTTCTTGTCATGGAGTGGCTTCAGTAAGGATGGAGACTGAATTTCCATGCAGCCCAGAAGGATGGGAGTAGGGGATAGGAGTAGAATTTGCTTTTTGAGAAAATAAAAAAATGAATATTTCTTGCACACTTGAGTTTGGAGGTTAAGATTTAGATCTGATGCAATAATTTGTAATTCTTTTTATTATTATTATTGTTTTGAGATGGAGTCTTGCTCTGTTGCTCAGGCTGGAGTGTAGTGGTATGATCTTGGCTTACTGCCACCTCAGCTTCCCAGGTTCAAGTGATTCTCCTGCCTCAGCGCCCTGAGTTGCTGGGATTACAGGTGTGTGCCACCATGCTCAGCTGATTTTTATATTTTTAGTAGAGAAGGGGTTTCACCATGTTGGCCAGGCTGGTCTCGAACTCCTGACTTCAGGTGATCCGCTCACCTCGGCCTCCCAAAGTGCTGGGATTACAGGTGTGAGCCACCGCGCCTGGCCTCTTTGTATTATTTTAATAAAGTTGTCTTTTTTGGTTTGTCTCTCCTATTAGACTGTGAACTCCTTGAGGGCAGAAATTATGCATGTTGTGTTCACACTGAACTTCACCCAGTACTTCTACTGTCTAGAGAGTGCCCAGCACATAGTAAATGTTCAGTAATCATTATAATTATAACACACATGCATGGGGTACTGATTTGCTTCCCATGCACTGCACTAAACATTTACAAACTCACTTGATCCTCACACCATCGTACGGGGCAGGCATCTCCACTGTCCTCATTATGCACACAAGGACTCCGAGGTACAGACAGGCTAAATAACTTGCCCAAGGTCACAAGCTTGGGTTGCATTTAATAAATATTCATCAAATGAATGGATGAGTGGATGATTTCCTGCAGTGCTCCTTGCTCTCTTTTGCCCTTCAACCTATGCAGCTCCATCCCCTCCATCCCACAGTATCAGAATTGCACAGGTTAGACCCAGGCAGGGGAGTGCCTCAGCATCTTTGGTGAGTCCCTGAAGCCCTGAGACTTGGAGTTTGCAAATGCTTGGTGCTCATTGCTTTTGAGGGCAGGAACAGAAGGACAGAAAGGAGGCGTCAGAGACAACGTCCTTAGCCCTGGGACTGGTGACTGATCCCTTTTAATCTCCTCTGGCTTGTCCTGCTAGGCTACTTTCTCTGTGTTTATTTATTTATTTATTTATATTCTTTTAGATGTGGGGTCTTACTGTATTGCCCAGGCTGGTCTCGAACTCTTGAGCTCAATTGATCCTCCTTCCTTGGCCTCCCAAAGTGCTGGGATTATAGGCCCTACTTTCTCTTTATCCTTACACGTCAACACACTAGGTAGTCACAGGTTCCCTAGATTCTTTTCAGCCTCCCTGCTTTTGCTCAAGATCTTCCCTGTGCCTGGGACATCCTTCCAATCCTGAGATTCCATTTTTCTAAAAGAAGATAGCGGGAAGGTAGGCCAGTTCTTTAAACCATGGCCATTCCTTGTTTGGTTATACTGAAACACTAGATTGCGTCTGGTCTCTGGCAGTCTTCTGATGGTGGTGGTGGTGGTGACTGTAGAACGGTATCCTCATCCCCTTGTCTTTGGTGGGGATACTGAGTCCCAGAGAGGAAAAGGGACTTGATAAAAACAAAACAGGGGATCAGACTCGGAGTGATTCTAGACTCAGAGTGGGGCAGCAACTTCTGCCTTACACAGCGGATGGGCCCGACCCCCCAAAAAGAGCTACTCAGTTCTGAGCATAGAGCCTGAAATTCCACCATTGGAGATTATTTCCTTTGGAGGGCAAAGGATGTTGAAGGCTCTTTGGTCTTCAGGGAGCCTCAGCCAATGTTGCAAACCCCTGCGATGAGTCCTACACAAAACTCATGTCAGCCTGTTCCCAGGAGGATGGGCTGGCTGACAGGCAGCCAAGGGTGAGATGCCGTGGGAAGGAGATCCTGACTGAGGGCTGGAGGAATGTGGGAAGCACCAAAGCAGGCAGAAAAATGGGGATAGGTGGGGGAGGGGCGGTGTCAGCTGTAGAGAGGGTGGGGCTGCTGTGAGAGCCTCGGGTGGGGGACTCAGGAAGCTTGACTTCACTGCCAGCTTGCTGTGTGATGTTGGGCAAGTCTCTTTCCTACTCGGAGCTCTGATATGGGTTAGTGCTATGGAACAGACTTGCTTCTGGTTTATCTTAAGGCTCTTGGGTGTCAGAAAGTTGGTGCCCCGGGGTAGTGGTTGCCATGGCAACTATCTCTAAGGAGATAGTGACCAAGGAGACTGTTGCCATGACTATGGTGACCAGGTAAAGAGCCAAATGATTGGTTCTCACTTCTTTCTTGAGACAGGTCCCTCCCCATCACTTCCTTCCATTACCTGCTCAAGTTCAGTGTGTGGGGTCCAGATAAACTGACACCTAAAGGAAGTGTCAGGAGTCAGGGACCTGCATTCTAATACCTTGTTTTACACTGCCTGGCAGTGTGACCTTGGGCAAGTCTCTGCTTCTCCCTGGGCGTTAGTTTCCTCATCTGAAAGATGAAGAGATTGCACAGGGCCTCTTCACCTCTAAATTTCTACCATTTGCCTTTAAACAGGAGACAAAGTTGTGATCCAAAGGGTTGTTTCCAGGAGTGATATGAAAAGTAGTAATAATGGTTGTGACCATCACTTACTGATGATCCACATAGCCCTGGGTGGCCCTGCCGTGGTAAGGGTACTACCCCTTTAATGGCTGTTAAGGGGAGGGGCCCTGGAGGCTTCCAGAGGAAGGCCTGGAGGGTCTGTTATACCTGGTACTTGGAGGACACTCAGGGCATGGGTTATTACCAACTAGTAGGAATGCATTTAAATATTTTAATGATTAGTATGACCATACCTTTGTATACTGAACAAGAGCCTTGGTTGTATCCATAATGGTGGAATTATGGGCATTGTGAGTAGCAAGAGGAGATTTACCAGGCAGAGGGACCGCACTGATGTCATAGAGATCAGGATGCATTTGATGTGGCTGATGGCTCTCAGATCTTAACCAGCCCTGGCGAAGATCTCTGAGAATAGGATCGATCCTTCTTCCTGGCCACCGCACCCTCCCTGAGTCAGCTGTGCGCATCCCCAGAGAGTCGAGTTTGCCAGCATCTCCATTCCAGGAGTGGTTGATGCCCAGATTCATGGGCAGGGCACAGCAGGAGTTGGCAGAGCCGGGGAGCCCAAGGAGGAAGCAGGGAGCTCGGGGAATGCCTGCCCCTCCTCTCCCAGGAGACCTGGCCCTGGACAGATGCCAGATCCTCATCCTCCCGGATCTGCCCCTCCGGCTCCTTCACCCACTGCGGTCCCAGCAGTTCCCTCCCCCTGGCCTCTCCCGGCAGGACATTGCAGACAGTTTCTCCGGGTGGACGCGGCTGCGCCTCCTCCCTGCACACTTTCCATTCCCAGCCCTGAGCCTCAGCCAGGGTTCCTCAGGAAAATTGGCTGAAAGAGACATTTTCCATGCTCTTGCCTCCTCTGCTGGGTGGCTGTCCCTTCCTCCACTCTCTCCAGTCTCTTCTCCAGCTGGTCACCCAGACCCAGAAGGAAGAGGGATATTTCTTCAAATGGCTGCTGCTCGCTCACCACTTCATTCCATGTGTTATTTCCTCTCCCTGGGCCTCATTTTCTTGATCTGTCGAATAAGCCAGCTACCCTGGGAAGCAGGCTTAGTTAGAAGCCAGACATTTCTGATTTAATCCTTAGCTCTGATCTTTACTAACTGTGTGACTTTGGACAAGCTACTTAACATCTTAGAGTCTTAGTTATCTTTTATCTGTAGAATAGTGTTATCTCTTACTGTTGTGAGGATTAATGAAATAACCTGGGAAAAGGGCTTAACTCAGTGCTCTTCACGTGTCAAATGCCCAATGAATGGCTATTAAAAAATTTAATTGTTATTAATGACTGCTAGGTGCTAGGTGCTGTGAGAGGTGCTTTACACACCCAGTTTCTAATCTAAATAACACCTATGCAAAGTGCTTGTCATCCTCCTTTGTAAAACTGACTGTCCAAAGGTTCAGAGAGGCCAAGTTACTTGCCCAAGGTCACAGAGCTGGCAAATGGCTGAGCCAGAGGGATTCAAATTCAGACCTGACTGATGCCAGATTTCCTGTTCTGGAATCAGGACTCTAGGCTGATACCAAGAGTATCAGTAACTGGATACCGAGGCTCTGGTAACTGGAATAAAGCACCCTCCTCTACCCCAGGCAGAGAATAAAGAATGAAATAGTCTAGGCTCAGAATTTAATGCAGCCCTTAAAAGCTGTAATTTCAAAGCTTCACTGTGGTTTTGGGCAGCTAAAGGGCACAGTCATTGAGCAGAATACAGCTCAACTTTGTTATAATTAGGGAAAAGCAAAATAGGCAATGAGACACCTTCCTTCCTACTTTCTCTCATCTTGTCCCCAATAAAAGGTCAAATGAGAAGAGACTGGTAATATCTAATGTGGGTCACAAAGTAGGGAATTTGGCACAATTCATCTGAATATAAACAAAACAGCCCCTTTGGAGGGCAATTTGGCAGGGTGTGTCAAAAGGTAAAACGTATGTGCCCTTTGACTAGTAAATTTGAATTTGGTAATCTCTTCTATACATGTAAAAATATTGAATGTCACACTGTTGTGAAGGGCAAAACATTTGCACTAACCTAAATGCCCCTCAATGGGTAAAATATGTTATGGTACATCCATACTGTAGAAAAGTAGTACAGCCATGAAAAAGAAAAAGGTAAAGGAAAAACTGACAGACTGGAAGGAGAAACAGTCACATACAACACTCCTTTCTCAGTAATTGATAAAACAAGTAGGCATAGAATCACTAAGCATAGAGAAGACTTGAACAGCATTATCAACCTCTTTGACCTAACTGGCATTTAGAACATTATGCCCAACAATGGCAGAATACATAGTATTTTCAGGTGCACATGAAACATGCATCGAGATGGGCCATATGTTGAATTATTAAGTCTCAAATTTGCAGTGGAAATAAACAAACAAATGGAAAACCCCCAAATATTTTGAAATTAACATACTTTGGAATAACCTATGGGAATCAGAACAAATCACAGGGGAGATTAGAAAATATTTTGAACTGAATGATAATGAAAAGCACAACATACCAAAATTTGTGGGATGCATCTAGAACAGTGTTGGAAGGCAATTTATAGCTTTCAATGCTAAATTGGAAAAGAAGAAAGGCCTCAAATAAATGATTGAGGTTTCTATCTGAAGAAGATAGAAAAATAAGAACAATATAACCCCCCAAATAACAAGGGAAATGTATAAGAATAAAGCATGGATAGAAAGCCAGTACACATTGAGTGAAAAAAGCATATTAACCGATACGTACGGCATTGTAGCAGAGATTACTGGTTGACCCTTGATTGCTGGTTATCTCTCAATGTCTTTCCTTTTTTTTTTTTTTCTGACTTGTCCCCCAATATCTATTTCCTCCTTCCATAAACACAGAATCCCTGATTTTGAGCTGGTATGTGACTATTTAGAATACAATACATTTCCTGGCTGGGAGCAGTGGCTCACACCTATAATCCCAGCACTTTGGGAGGCTGAGGCGGGTGGATCATTGAGGCCACGAGTGTGAGACTAGCCTGACCAACATGGTGAAACCCCATCTCTACTAAAAATACAAAAATTAGTCGGGCGTGGTGGTGTCTGCCTGTAGTCCCAGCTACTCGGGAGGCTGAGGCAGGAGAATCACTTGAACCTGGGAGGCAGAGGTGGCAGTGAGCAGAGATGGTGCCACTGCACTCCAGCCTGGGTGACAGAGTGAAACTCCATCTCAAAAAAACAAAACCAGCCAACCAACCAACCAAACAAATACAAAAACAAAAAACATCACAAAATCATTTCCTAAATTTCCATGCAATTAAGTGAGGCCATGTGACTATGCTGTGGCCAACGTGATGTAATCAGAGGTGTGTGTCTTCTGAAAGGCTGTGCCTTTTTTGACTCCTTACCGCTTCCTGCTGGCTGGAATGTGAATATGATGGCTGCTGCTTGAGCAGCATATTGTACTGAAGATGAGGGAACCAGAAGATAGAAGCAAGCACAGTTCCTGCCTTGTGGAATGCCATGCCACCCTTGGACAGCCTGCTTGTGGACTTCATTTATATAAGAGAGAAGTGCCCTTCTATCTGTTTCTATCACGGCTATTTTGGATTTGCAGTGGAATTCGGTCTTAATGCATATGGCTATAATCCCACTTACGTGAAAAAAGGAAACAAACCCATACATGCATATCAGATGGATGATTTAGACTTTGGCACAGAAATCCCCGTAATTTTCTTTTTTTTTGAGCCAGAGTCTCACTCTATTGCCCAGGTTGGAGTGCAGTGGTGTGATCTTGGCTCACTGCAACCTCTGCCTCCTGGGTTCAAGCAATTCTCCCGTCTCAGCCTCCCAAGTAGCTGGGACTACAGGTGCGCACCACCACGCCTGGCTAATTTTTGTATTTTTAGTTGAGACGGGGTTTCGCCATGTTGGTCAGGCTGGTCTCAAACTCCTGACCTCAGGTGATCCACCCACCTCGGCCTCCCAAAATGCTGGGATTACAGGCGTGAGCCACTGTGCCTGGCCCAGAAATCCTTCAAGAAAATTTGCATAACAGTAAGTCTAGAAATGGGGAAGCGCCAAGGTTGGTGTTCAGAGGCTTGACTTCATCAGCAAGGGTTCAGGTACTCCCCATCTTTCTGCCTTGTCATCCTCTGACTAGATCCCATCATAATTGCAAGATGGTGTCTACAGTTCCAGGTATTACATTCCTACACTCCAGGGACCTGTCAAAAAGGGACTGGTCTCTTCCTGCTGCAGCTCTTTTATTTATTTATTTATTTATTAAGCTCTTTTCTAAGAGCAAAGAAGCTTTTCCTAGAAACCTCCAGTTAACTTTTCATCACACTTCATTGGCCATAGCTGGACTGTAGGTCCCCCTTTAATCTCTGGCGTAAAGCAATCAGGATTTATTCTTGATTCCATAGATAAGAGGAGAACAACAGAGCAAAATTGCAATTCTGATAGGGTGGAAGAAAGAAAAGTGGCCAATTATTTTCTACAATGTATATGTAAGTGGAATGAAAAATATCCAGGATATATCCCAAACTGTTAATGGTGAGTACCTCCAGGGAGCGCAGTGGGACTGGGAAGAGGATGGAAGGAGTTCTCTGGCAAATACCGAAGTTGCCTATCTGACATCCTTCACCCACTTCTCCCTCGTTCATAGAAGCCGTCTTGTTTGGGGTAGCAAGAGGCAAAGGGAAATTTCTGGTAGAACAATTTCCTGCTTGATAAAAATAAAACCTATTCTGAACTTTTCCCTTTTATTTTATTTTATTTTTTTTTAGAGACAGGGTCTTCCTCTGTCGCCCAGGCTGGAGTGCAGTGGTGCGATCACGGCTCACTGTAACCTTGACCTCGAGGGCTCAGGGGATCCTCCCACCTCAGCCTCCCAAGTAGCTGGGACTACAGGTGTGGCCACTACATCTGGCTAATTCTTGTAATTTTTGTAGAGATGGGGTTTCACTGTGCTGCCCAGGCTGGTCTTGAATTCCTGGGGTCAAGAGATCCACTGGTGTTGGCCTCTCAAAGTGAACGGATCACAGACAAGAGCCACTGTACCCGTCCCAAGCTGTTTTTTTTGTTTGTTTGTTTTGTTTTTTTTTTGTTTTTTTTTTTGATGGAGTCTCGCTCTGTTGCCCAGGCTGGAGTGCAGTGGCACAATCTCAACTTACTGCAACCTCTGCCTCCCGAGTTCAAGCAATTCTCCTGCCTCAGCTTCCTGAGTAGCTGGGATTACAGGCGCCTGCCACCATGCCTGGCTAATTTTTTGTATTTTTAGTAGAGACTGAGTTTCACCATGCTGGCCAGGCCGGTCTCGAACTCCTGACCTGAAGTGGTCCACCCACGTCGGCCTCCCAAAGTGCTGGGATTACAGGTGTGAACCACCGTGCCCAGGCACCAGGGTTTAAAAAAAAAATCACAATTAGGCCAGGCGTGGTGGCTCATGCCTGTAATCCCAGCACTTTGGGAGGCTGAGGCGGGTGGATCACGAGGTCAGGAGATTGAGACCATCCTGGCTAACACGGTGAAACCCCGTCTCTACTAAAAATACAAAAAAAAAAAAAAATAGCCGGGCGTGGTGGCGGGTGCCTGTAGTCCCAGCTGCTTGGGAGGCTGAGACAGGAGAATGGTGTGAACCCGGGAGGCAGAGCTTGCAGTGAGTCGAGATCACGCCACTGCACTACAGCCTGGGCAACAGAGTGAGACACAGTCTCAAAAAAAAAAAAAAAATAGCCGGGCACGGTGGCAGGTGTCTGTAATCTCAGCTACTCGGGAGGCTGAGGCAGGAGAATCTCTTGAATCCGGGGGGCAGAGGTTGCAGTGAGCCAAGATCGCGCCACTGTACTCCAGCCTGGGTGACAGAGTGAGACTCCATCTCAAAAAACAAACAAACAAAAAAACACAAAATGACAATCAGCAATAATTATTTAAGAATTAGGGCTGGGTGGCCAGGCGCGGTGGCTCATGCCTGTAATCCCAGCACTTTGGGAGGCCGAGGTGAGCAGATCACCTGAGGTCGGGAGTTCGAGACCAGCCTGATCAACATGGAGAAACCCCATCTCTAATAAAAATACAAAAAATTAGCTGGGTGTGGTGGTGCATGCTTGTAGTTCCAGCTACTCGGGAGGCTGAGGTAGGAAAATCGCTTGAACCTGGGAGGTGGAGGTTGCTGTAAGCTGAGATCGCACCATTGCACTCCAGCCTGGGCAACAAGAGCGAATCTCCATCTCAAAAAAAAAAAATAAAAAAGAATTAGGGCTGGGTGAAGTGGCTCACACTTGTAATCCCAGCACTTTGGGAAGCCAAGACGGGAGGATCATTTGAGTCCAGGAGTTTGAAGCCAGCCCGAGCAACATAGAGAGACCCTGACTGTACAAAAAAAGAAAAAAAAAATTAGCTATGCCTGGTGGTGCATGCCTGTGGCCCAGCTACTTGGAGGCTGAGGCAGGAGGATCCCCTGAGCCTGGGAGGTTGAGGCTGCAGTGAGCTGTGATCGCACCACTGCACTCTAGCCTGGGGCAATAGAGTGAGACCCTGCCTCAAAACAAAAGGATTGGGATACTTCACATAAAGATCTGGCTCTCTGCCTTTCTTAGAAAAACTGACATGCGGTATCTGGCAACACTGGGTTCATATTCCAACAGTAGTCACAGGCAGCTTAGTTCGTATCCTCCTTTTAGGCAAGGCAGCTGATTCCAGTTTGCCATAGACTTGATGCTGCCTAATGTCCTCTACCCAGTTGACTTCACTGACTTATATTATTGGTCTGACTCTGTGAGCATTTGAGTTAGTGAATCCTGGTTTCAGTTTTGGAATTAATGTGTGTGCATGTGTATGTGTGTATGTAAGACTCAAAAATTGCTTTCCAGACAATCTTTTTTTTTTTGGAAACATTGTCTTGCTCTGTTGCTCAGGCTGGAGTGCAGTGGTGCAATCTTGGCTTATTGCAACCTCCGCTTCCTTGGTTCAAGGGATTCTCCTGCCTCAGCCTCCCAAGTAGCTAGGATTACAGGCCCGCACCACCGTGTCTCGCTATTTTTTTTTTTTTTTGTATTTTTAGTAGAGACAGGATTTCACCATGTTGGCCAGGCAGGTCTTGAACTCCTGACCTGAGGTGATCTGCCCACTTTGGCCTCCCAAAGTTTCATTCCAGACAATTCTGTGAAAAGGCATCTATCCTCATTCACAGAGTTGGGTAGACCCTGAAGTGGACTGGATTTGGAATGGTCACACTCACTCTGGACTGTTTTGTAAGACTGGAAAAGCTAAGAGCATGCACCCTTGACTGCCTGACTAGAGCACTTGGGGTGTTAACCCAGCTCTAGCTTTTCTTCTTGGTGTGGTCATGTTGTACTTTATGCAAACCCTGATTAACCTAAGCCACTGATTAGTTTGAAGGTGGCCATGTAACCAGATTCTGGCCAGTGAGAACTGGAAGAGTTTCCTTGCTGATGAAAGGGACATGCTGAGGAAGAGACAACCTTTTTGCTTTGCCTGGACCTTGTCATGTCCACGTTTCATGCCTGAAACTGGGGTGGCCATATTGGGACCCTAAGGGTAGCTATCCCAGGGCAAGCTGAGACCCAGAAGATGGCAGAGTGGAAAGATGGAAAGAGGAACTCTCATATTTGTGCTCAAAGAGGCACATGCAATGTTCATAGTGCATTATTTATAGCAGAAAAAAAGCCCATCAAGAGGAAGAAAAGATAAATAAATCTTATATGTTCATACAGTGGAATACTGTGCAGTGATGAAAAAGAATAGTTACAGATTTCAACACAAGGAATCTCATAAATATAATGTTGAATGTGAAAAATAATAAAGCTGAAGGATACATATAGTATGATGTTTAAAAGCATCCAATACTTTGCCTTAGCAAAATATATCTGTGGGAAAAAGTATAAAGTAATGCATGGAAATGCATTACAATTTATTGAGTGCTTACTGAGTGCAAAGCATCATGCTAACAAATAGCCAACCTGATTGAATTCTCACATCGACCCTTAGTGAGAAATACTATTTTTTTTTTTGTTTTTGAGACAGAGTCTTGGTCTGTCGCCCAGGCTGGAGTGCAGGGGCATGATCTCGGCTCACTGCAACCTCTGCCTCCAGGATTCAAGTGATTCCCCTGCCTCAGCCTCCTGAGCAGCTGGGAACACAGGCACGTGCCACCATGCCCAGCTAACTTTTTTTGTATTTTTAATGGAGATGGAGTTTCAACATGTTGGCCAGCTTGTCTTGAACTCCTGACCTCAGGTGATCCGCCCACCTCGGCCTCCCAAAGTGCTGGGATTACAGTCATGAGCCACTGTGCCTGGCCAAGAAGTACTATTAATATCCCCACTTTCCAGATGAGAAAACTGAGGCCTAGAGAGGGGAAGTAAATTACCAATGGCATATAGTGGTTCTTTCTTAAGTACTAAAAACTTCATTTAATCCTATGGGATAAGAATTATCACCTCTCATTTCAAAACGAAGGAAAGGAGAACCCAGCTCACACAGAGATCAAGTGCTTGAGGTGGGATTAAACACAGGTTTCTTCTAGTTCCAAAGCCTGTGCTTTTCCACCAATAAATTGTCACATCCACAATGGATGGGAATATAAGCCACAACACACACACACACATACACACAAACCTTAGCCTTGAACTTGAACCATATGGAACTGGGTAAAACCACACACATTGCTGCACCCAGAGCTCCCATCCCATCATTCGTATTATTTTTAACTGAACCCTGAACTGAACAGAAGGGAACAGTGCTCAAATTGAAACTGAACTTGTATATTTTTTCAAGCTGTTGAACTACAATATTTAAATATTCTGGAGACAGAGACAATTACATAGAGAATTCTATGCTAACCCCTTCACTCTGTATATTTTGATTTGCCTAAGGTCATATGGTCATGACAGACCGGAGGGATTCTTAATCATTACAAAGCAGTTGTAGGTGAATTTTTCACTACTTCTAACCCTCTTTTACCCTCCCCTTCCCTTCGTGGCCAGGGCAGGGACTTGGAAGTTCCTGTACCCACCAGCTGTGATCCTCTCTACATTCTCTACCTTCCTTCAGAGCCCACATCCTTGTCCATGTTTGTTGAATGAAGAAAGGAGAGAGCGGGCCCTATGAGATGTGTATTTCCCATCTCCAAGGACAGGGAGCTCCAGCCTGAACCTGATTTCTCGGGGGTCCCTGAGCAGAAGCTTCATGCCTGGGGTGAGAAATTGGAACTTTCCACCAAGGCCAGTGATCCTCAGTATTCGAGCAGCCTGGCTGGGTGTCTTGGGATCCAGGTGGCCTTTGTCTCATCTGGACCAGGCCAGCACAGTTTGTGGCCCTCCCCCACAGCAAGAGGAGGGACTCTGAGGAGGCTTGGGGGCCCCTGGGGAGACATCCATCTTCCCAGAGCTTTATCATTTTTTCCATAACAGTATCCTCCCTTCAAGGTGGAAAGTCCCAGCTGGCAGCTGAGGATGCTGTCAATGCGCTTTTGTTCTCTATCTTGCCCCTACCTCAGGCAGCAGGGCTGGAGACAAAGACACCTTCCTTTTTATACCAGCCTGTTCCAGGCTTGCTGTACAAACAAATGGTGTAACACACCCCACCTCTTAATGCTGTGAGCTAGATCTCCCTGGTTTGAATTCTGGTTCTGCTACTTGCTAACTGTGCAATCTTGGTGGGGTACTGCACTTCTCTGTGCTACAAGTTTCTCCATCTGAAAACTGGGGTGGTGATAATAGGATCGGTTTTTCAGGATTTAATGATTAATGTATGAAAAACACTTAGGACAGCACCTGAAGCACCTGGTACATAGTAAGAGTGATCTAACTGCTTGCTGTTTATTACATAACTTTGGGGTTGGACAACTCGTCTCCTCTCTCTGAGTCTCAGTTTCCCTAATTGTACAACTAAGATGGCAGGTCCTGCCTGCCTCTCCACCATTGATCTGGCCCTTTCTTGCTGTGTAGCCTTGGAGAGATTCTTGGGTTTTCTTAGCCTCTGTGTCCTCATCTATTAAACAGTACCTATTAAGTAGAGGGTTGTGGTGGTGAGGACATGAGAAAATGTGTACCCAGCATGTAGCATGGGGCCCAACATTAACACAGAGAAACAGTTAAAACAAAGTTAGCTATTTTTTTTTTTGGTTTTGTTTTTATGGATGAGAAAGTACTTTTTAAACTATAATAGGCTGAGGAAGAGTGTGGTTTTCTCACATGCTTTCCATTCCTTATTCACAGACACCTAGAATCAGAGAGGACAGGATTGGAAGGGCCACTTTACAGGTAATGGATAATGAATTAATGGATATCTATTAATGGATAATGAATTAATTCATTCAACAAATATTTACTGAGCACCTATTATGAGCCAGGCACTGTTGTAGGTGCTGGGATCAGAGCAGCACTGAGGGCCCTTCCCTCAAGGAGCTTTCATTCCTGTGGGGCAGACAGACAAAAACATGTGAATACATATGCCAGGCAGAGACTCATAAGCAGGTCTTCACAGTCTCAGAATATCTTACCTTTAACAAATCCTGGTTTCTGCAAGGCCTTAAGATATGATAGCAGGGTGAGACCCAGTGGCTCATGCCTGAAATCTCAGCACCTTGGGATGTTGAGGTGGGAGCATCTCTTGAGCTCAGGAGTTTGAGACCATCATGGGCAACACAGCAAAACTTTGTCTCCTCTAAAAATTAAAAAAAAAAAAAATTAGCTGGGCATAATGGCATGTGCCTGTAGTCCCAGCTACTTGGGGTGCTGAGGTGGGAGGATGGCTTGAGCCTGGGAGGTGGAGGCTGCAGCGAGCTGTGATCGCGCCACTGCATTCCAGCCTGGGCAACAGAGTGAGACCCTGTTTTTTTTTTTTTTTTAAAAAAAGAAGATATGCTAGCGGGAGCCCACATTTATTGAATCTTCTTAGACACGGAAAGTGTCTTAAGCATTTTACACAACTTGAATCATTTAATCCTCACATCGACCCTAAAGGAAAGAATTGTCATGAATCCTGTTTTATAGATGGAGAAACTAAGGCATGGAGAGATGGAGGGGAGCGGGGTTTGAACACACACCCCCTGGTTCAGGGCAGTGCCCTCAATCACCCTGCCATCTTGCCGTGCTAGCTGCATAACTCTCCTTCCCTCAACACCTCCCACCTTCCCATCTTGGTCTGCACCAGTTCTTTCTTCCCTCCCCCTTTCCTCCCTTATCCCGTTCTCAAGTATTTCTTCCACATTCTGAGTAGCCTGGGGTAAGCTCTCTCTCTCTCTCTCTCTCTCTCTCTCTCTCTCTCTCTCTCTCTCTCTCTCTCTCTGTCTCTCTCTCTCTCGCCCTCAGTTTTCCTATCTGAGGATGGAGGATTGGACTGGATTATCTTCAGGTCCTTCCCTGACCACTCTAATTTTCAGCTCCTTATAAGTTTGTGATTCTTTTATTTGCTGATTTGTTTTCTAGTCTCCCAGCCCACCCTACTGTGAGCTACCGAGCAGTGAGCTCCCTCTTTCTGTTCACCACATCTCCCCAGAGCCTGGCACTGTGCCCGGCACTTAGTAGGCCCTCAATAAATACTTGTAGATGAAGAAAGGAGGGGATGAGGGCGATTGTACTCAGTTTTCTAAAGCCAGCTCCTGCACTGTCTCCCTGGCCCCTCTTCTTTTCTCAGCTCTTCCCCCTCCCCACTTCCCTCCCGCCCTCTCACCTCCCAGGGCCCACTCCGGCCCTCCATCCGGCCTGCATTTTTCCGGGTTTGATATCATTTTTTCCACTCTCCCGGCTGCTGCCGGCCGCCTCTGCCAACTTTCCACAGCTAGAGCCCCTCCCCCTGACCGCAGGCCGGAGACAGCTTGGGGTGGGGGAAGACCTTCCTTCTTTTCCCTTCCCCAGGCTGGGGTTGGGGTGTGGGAGTGAGTGCCATCCATCCCCGTTGGAAGGCTGGGGTGCGGGGATTCGCGGCTGGAGGACGCTGCTGGCTGGCTGGCGGGTGCTGCGGTCTTTCTCTGCACCGCGTCCCCCGGGGCTGGGGCGTCTGGGATAGTTGGGGGAAGGGATGTCCGGCGTCAGGGACACGATGGTCCAAACGGTTTGCGTCTTGTTTTCTTCTCAAAGCAGTGACACCCCTTCCCTTCGGGCTGGAAACTCCTGACCTGATCCCCAACACCCAGCCCTGACCCCAGCCAGGCTGGACGCCTCACCACCTCCTTCCTCCCGCACAGCCAAAGGGAGACCCAGGAGGAGGCTGGGCCCTGGGGTGTAATCCTCCCTGGCTGGGTGACTCTGGCATGCTCACCTCCCCTCTCTAGGCTTGTTTCTGCCTTCGGGAAATGAGTGAGTTGGATTAAACTGGGGTCCATCCCGGGGATTAATGCATTGAGTTTCATAGAGCTCCTGCCCCAACCTCCTTTAAATTGGATGCGAAATTATGTTTTTAAATTCGTTTTGCCAAGATTCTATAGGGTTTTGTATCATGTTTAAAGTGGACAATGGATATGTTGGTCACTAGAGTCTGACAAGCCTGGGCTGGAATCCCGGCAACTTCGCGTATAGCAGCTGTATGATCTTGGGTGAGCCTTCGGTGTCCTCTGCCTCAGTTTACTAACGAGCAAAATGGGGTTAATCGGAAACCCTTCTCCCAGGTGTTGGGAGGAATAATTGTTGTGACAGCTTAGTACACAGCTCCCAACAAACGCCAGCAATTCTATTGCCAGGATGAGTACTGAGGTCCTTCCAGACATGTGAATCTAGAACGTAAAACATGGGTTAATGAGAAAGTAGCTGGTCACGGAACTGTGGTTGTGATCCACTGTTGAGAGAAGGGCCTGAGCACAAAACTGGTCCAAGTACTTTATTGATGCGCCCTGACGCCCAGGCCAGCAGGCCAGACCAGTCTACAGTCAAGTGTAGATGGGAGGGCAGTAGGTGGAGACGCCTGGAAGAGCCGAGATGGAGAGGTCTGGGCATTCAGATGGGACATCCTTCTGGTCTGGTTTATTGTGAGGGTTTCTGAGGGTTGGCCAGAGCCCAGGGACAAGGAAGATTTTTTTACAAAAAGACACCCACCACGTAAAAAACTACTTTGTGCCCAGCTTGGGGCTTCGGCCCCATCGTCTGTCTGTCCATCGCTTTCCCGGGATCCCCCAGGCTTGGATCTGGGGGATGCTCAGGCCATCAGGGCAGCAGGCAAGCAAGACCCATGATGCAGACTCCAGGTAACGGCGCCTTTGCCCCGCAGTGGCGTCCCTGGAGCCCAGAATGCACCTCAGTGACCCGCCAACTCTCAGAAGGGCGGGGGGCTTCAGAGCACGGCCAGATTGTGGCAGGACTTGGAGCGGGCCTTGAGTGCCCGGCGGCGTGCGCTGCGGGCTGTCAGGCGTGCCAGGAAGCGACGAGCGCGCTGGGCTAGGCTGGCCGGCCGTCGGGGTGCTGGGGGTTCCTTGGCCGCACTGTCCCGGCGGCGCAAGCGCAGTTGGCGCACCACGCCCTCGAAGAGCTCGGCCACATTGTGCTGCAGCGTGGCGGATGTCTCGATGAATTTACAGTCGAACACCACAGCGCAGGCGCGGCCCTCTAAGGGGGCGGGGCCCGGCGAGGAGGGGTGGAGCCATAACGGAAGGCGGAGAAAAAGGTAGGAAGAGATGTGTTTAGTCTCGATTGGAAGCAATTTTTCCTGTGCTCATGCCTGGTGCTGCTGTCTGGGGACTCAGATAAATCAGACTGGTCTTTGAGGGAAGACAGAGAGGCTGGGGTCAGGGAGGGGTCAGATTATTGAATGCCAGGTAAAGGGTCTAATTTGCTGTGGATCGGAATTACCTGGAGGAGCTTGTTTAAATGCAGATTCCTGGACCCACCCTCAGAGTTTCTGATTCTGTAGGTTTGGGTTGAGGTCTGGAAATCTGTGCTTTAACAAAATCTCCTGGGGCTTATGTTGCAGTTTTTTTTTTTTTTTTTTTTGGATGTCTGTTCACAAAGCATAGGGTCTTCCACCTCCAGGAGCCACTGAGCCCGAGTTCTAGTCCTCAGGGGCTGGTGACTGTGAAACTAGCTTTTTCCTTTCTGGGTCTCAGTTTACACATTTTTTTAGATTTTACTCTGTGAGTAAGACCATTGAAAAATTGTTATGGGCCCTATCTGATATGTCAAACTTATTAAAATAGTCCCCATCCCATTGTAAATACAAGCCATATATGACGTTTAAAATTTTGGTTTGTAGTTACTGGTTGACAAAATATGTTTTGCAGACAATTAAAGCTTTGAGAAATTTGAATTTCTAATTTTTTTCACTGTATTTTGGAGCCAATAATGGTTCTTTTCAGTTCTCAAATGTAAGCCCTTGAAAAGCCTGTAGGCACTGGGCCTATCATCCTGGTGGATAAAGTGTCTCTGATTAAGGGGCTAGGGGAGCCATAGAGGAAATTATTATTTTTTTGAGACAGAGTCTCATTCTGTCACCCAGGCTGGAGTGCAGTGGCGTGGTCTTGGCTCACTGCAACCTCTGCCTCCTGGGTTTAAGTGATTCTCATGCATCAGCTGCCCAAGTAGCTGGGATTACTGGTGTGCACCACCATGCCTGGCTAATTTTTATATTTTTAGTAGAGATGGGGTTTCACCATGTTGGCCAGGTTGGTCTTGAACTCCTGATCTCAAGTGATCCACTTGCCTCAGTCTTCCAAAGTGCTGGGATTACAGGCGTGAGCCACTGGGCCTGGCCAGAATTTTTTTTTAAAAAAAGAGCTAAAATTATTTTTAATTTTTTTTGTAGAGAGAAGGTCTTGCTGTGTTGCCAAAGCTGGTCTCAAACTCCTGGGCTCAAGCAAGTCCTCCCACCTTGGCCTCCCAAAGTGCTAGGATTATAGTTGTGAGCCACCATGCCCCACCACATACAGGAATTTTTAAGAAGTGCAAATTCAACTCTGGTCTTGGAAAATTCTGGCAGGTGGCAAGGAGGAATAATTGAGAAGCAGGAGGACTGGCGAAGGTGGAGATGCCAGGATAGCACAGAGACTGTAGGCAGAGAGGGAAGGGAATGTGGAATTAATGGAGGTGGCCTGACAGGATCTGGGGACTGGTTTGGGGGTGATGAGTGGGAGGCAAGAATGGTTCCCAGCTTGCAGGCTTAGGCAAGTGGCTGCAGGGTAGGGGCAGCTTGGCAGGGACAGTCACTGAGATGAAGAGCGCTGGAGGAGCAGCCATGACAGTGGGGCCCAGGTGAAGAGGAGGTGGTGGGATGGAGGGCTCACCTTCCACAGAGACTTCTCGGCAGCGGGCCAAGTCTGCCTTGTTGCCCACGAGGATGATGGGCACATGGTCTGCCTGATGTGTGCGCCGCAGCTGGATGCGGAGCTCAGAGGCACTCTCAAAGCTGCCTCGGTCTGCGATGGAGTATACGATGACATAGGCACTGCCCCCCTGCAGGCATGACTCCTGGCTCCAGCTTTTATCCTGCAGGAGAGGGACCCAAGACCCATCCTCAGAGGGTATCTAGGCCCTGGCTGAGGAAGGTGGAGCTGGGATGGTCTAATGGGTGGGATGCAGCTTGAGGTTTATAGTTTGGACAGGTGTGGGGGACAACTTCTGCTATAATTCCCTGTGTCACCTTGGGAAAATTGGTGATTCTTTCTGAGCCTCAGTTTCTCTGCTTAAAAATTTAGGCTAATAACACTACCTCACAGAATTCTCTCACTCACTGATACTTTTGCAGGCTGGGTAGTGCAGGCAAAATTTACTTGGTTCCTGTTCCTGCTAAAGAGGGTTCTCTCTTGACCTGTTTAGCTCTTTTGTCTTGTTTCTGAGGAGGGTTTAGTCTTGCCATATGGTTCTTTATGCCTGGTGAAATCCAGAATGAAGAGAAAAAAGAGAGAAAAGTGAGGACAGGAGGCTGACTTTAGAGGGAAGGCATTTTTCAGGACAGTTTTGAAGATGGAGGTGAAGGAGCAACTGTAAAGTGTAAGTTCACAAGGGGATGAGACAGTCAAGGGGCACTTTAAGAAGTGGAGTCCTTTCAAGTTGTTTGACCAAGAAAAAGAAAGAACTGCAGTGCTTTTGATATTTTGGATGGTGATCTTTTGTTAGGGACAGCCCTCCAAGACTGGACTACCTGGGTAGTAACCTTATAAGTGTTGAGTAAGACACGGTTTCTGCCCTCCAAAAGCTCATGGTCTGGAAGAGAGCTTATGGAAATGGGAGTTATAGTGTAGTGTGAAAGTACCAGTAAGAGACATGTGTAAGTGGCTGGAGGAGTGGGGTGGGGAGGCCAGAACAACCCCACCTGGCAGAGTGTGCGAGGGCTTCACAGGGGACTGGCGAATGGGGTTAGGAAGGAGGGGGAGGCCAAGCAGGAGGGAAGAGATTCCAGACAAAGGGAACAGTCAGAGCTAAGGCCTGAAGTGAGAAAGACTGTGTGTGGTTGTGAGGTAGTGAAGAAGCCAGAAATTTTCTTTCATTTTTCTTTTTTTTGAGATGGAGTCCTACTCTGTCTCCCAGGCTGGAGTGCAGTGGCATGATCTTGGCTTACTGCAACCTCCACCTCCCAGGTTCAAGTGATTCTCCTGCCTCGGCTTCCTGAGTAGCTGGGATGACAGGCAGCTGCCACAACGCCCAGCTAATTTTTTGTGTTTTTGGTAGAGACGGGGTTTCACGATATTGGCCAGGCTGGTCTCAAACCCTGACCTCAGGTGATCCACCCACCTCGGCCTCCCAAAGTGCTGGGATTACAGGCATGAGCCACCGTGCTCGGCCAGAAGCCAGAAATTTTCTGATAACCAAATGGGAATTTGGTGATGAATAGGAAAGCATCAGATTCGTGGTCAATGTCATTGTCAAAGGGGGGTAAGTTCTCAACAGCCATACTGATCATTTCCCAGGCCAAATAACCTTAGGGTGAGTCAGACAGATGTGGGTTCTCAACCTTGAGTATGGACAGGTTTCTTCCTTTGGGTCTTAGTTTTCCCCATCTCTAGAATGAGAAAGTGAGTCTTGACCATTCATTCATTCATTGCACAAATATTTTTGGAGGATTTGCTGTATTTCAAGATCACAAAAGCCAGTTAGTGTATGGATTTGTTGGTATGAACTTATTGGGAGTGTGATTAAAAATATAGATTCTCAGCTGGGCATGGTGGCTTATGCTTGTAATCCCAGCACTTTGGGAGGCTGAGGTGGGCAGATCACCTGAGGTCAGGAGTTCGAGACCAGCCTGGCTAACGTGGTGAAACCCTGTCTCTACTAAAAATACAAAAATAGCTGGGCGTGGTGGTGGGTGCCTGTAGTCCCAGCTACTCGGGAGGCTGAGGCAGAAGAATAGCTTGAACCTGGGAGGCGGAGGTTACAGTGAGCTGAGATCACGACACTGCACTCCAGCCTAGGTGACAGGGCGAGACTCCATCTCAAAAAAAAGAAAAGAAATAAAAGAATAAGAAGCTCTAAAAGTGGGGCTGTAGTATCTATGTATGTATGTATGTATGTATGTATGTATGTATGTGTGTATGTATGTATCTGTCTATCTATCTATCTATCTATCTATCTATCTATCTATCTATCTTTATTGAGATGGAGTCTTGCTCTGTTGCCCAGGCTGAGGGTGAGGGCCAGGGTGAGGCCTGATAATTTGATTTTTATTATTTATTTATTTATTTTTTTTGAGACAGAGTTTTGCTCTTGTTGCCTAGGCTGGAGTGCAATGGCATGATCTCTGCTTACCGCAACCTCTGCCTCCCAGGTTCAAGTGATTCTCCCGCCTTAGCCTCCTGAGTAGCTGGGATTACAGGCATGCACCACCACACCTGGCTAATTTTGTATTTTTAGTAGAGATGGGGTTTCTCCATGTTGGTCAGGCTGGTCTCAAACTCCTGACCTCAGGTGATCTGCCCACCTCGGCCTCCCAAAATGCTGGGATTACAGACATGAGCCAACGCGCCCAGCCAATAATTTGATTTTTAATACACTCCAAGTGGTCCTGATGGTCAGCCAACCTGGTACACTAAGGTCCTAAGGCCCATCCAATTCTGTCAGATTCAGCCTCTCTGATATCAGAGTACCATGTAGCGCACAGACGGAACGGATGGATACTTTTTTCAATGATGCTGCTATTGCTTGGACCCTCTTTGAGACCTCTCTTCACAGTCACCGATCAGGGAAACTAGTTCAGTTTCCTAATTTTGCTGGTTGCAAAAATAAAAGGCCAGAAAAGAGGAGAAAATGTTCTCAAGGCGAAAGCAAGCTGGGTGTGGAGTTCCAGCTCCCGCCTTCTAGTCTAGTATCCTTTCTCCCCTGTCTCCTGAGTGGGACTCCCAGTCTGATCACCCATCTTAACTTGCTGGACACTGACTGCCCCATAGCATTCTCAGCTGCATATGAAAAGTAGACCCTCTAACCAGCCTGTGAGGTCCACGAAGCCAGAGGGCCTGTCTGCCTTATTCATCTCTGTGTCTCCAAGGTCCTGGTCCATGATAGACACCCAGCAAGTATTTCTGAATGAATGAATGAGCAAATGACTGAAACCTCAGCTGAAGGTTCAGAAGGTGATGCTCTTGAGGGGGAGGACAGTCATAAGACGAGGACTCTTATGCAGTCCTAATGCATAAGAATACAGCCTCGGCCGGGCATGGTGGCTCATGCCTGTAATCCCAGCACTTTGGAAGGCCGAGGCGGGTGGATCACCTGAGGTCAGGAGTTCAAGACTATCCTGACCAACATGATGAAACCCTGTCTCTACTAAAAATACAAAAATTAGCTGGGCATGGTGACAGGTGCCTGTAATCCTAGCTACTTGGGAGGCTGAGGCAGGAGAATTGCTTGAACCTGGGAGGCGGAGGTTGCAGTGAGCCGAGATGGCGCCACTGCGCTCCAGCCTGGGCAACAAGAGTGAAACTCTGTCTAAAAAAAAAAAAAAAAAAGAATAAGATCTACAAAGATTTTGTAGATCTGGGTTTGGATCTTACTTGCTATTTGAGAGCTTTGGACACATTATTATTATTATTTAACCGCTCTGGTCTTTGGTTTCCTCATCAGTAGAATGGGAATCAGAAGACTCACCATTTAGTTTTTGAGCAGCCTATCCCCTAGAGAGATGGGATCCCAGGTGATTTTAGATCCTTCTCTTTGCTTAGGTGTTTTTCCTCAGAGTTCTACAATGAGCATGTATTACCCATGTAGCAAAAGAAAAGAAAACACAAACCAGATAAAATCATAATAGGGACATATTCCTGCCTACTGCTGTCTTCCTGCCCTGATTTCCTTTTTCTCTAGCTACCAAGTCATAATTACTAAGAGTTATCATTTACAATTCTTCACCCCTATTCAGCAGTTTTTCATGCTTTAAACTGGGCTTACCTCTGAAATTGCATAAGAACTTTAAAAAACTAGCTGATGAGGAAGGCAGGAATGGTTAACCCATTTATCAGATGAGAAAACTGAAGCTCGGAGTGGCTAAGTCAATTGCACAAAACTACACAACTAGTAAGAAAAAGAAAGGGGGTTCAGCCTTAGGTATTTTGGGGCCAAATCCAGCGTTCCTTCTGTACAATGTGGGTGGGAGGGGTGGGAAGAGGGTGGAAATAATGATGGGGAGATCTGCAGGGGGAGAAGTACATTCTGAGATGGCTGCTAGGAGGGGATTGTGGAGTGAGAAAAGGGGTCAGGGTCATAAGGGTCTTCTGTTTGGGATTGGAAAGACTGCTTAGGAGCTGTGGGTTTTGGGGGAGGGTGCTGAGGATGGCCGTTGCTCACACCTGATCTGTAGTGTCCCCAGGAGGGGACAGGAAGGAGTCTAGTATTAGGCTCAGCACCCCTCTCCCCAAATTCTGCTTGCAGTGCCATACCAGTTTCTCGGCCTCCCAGGTGTCCACGACCACCAGTGTGGTGTCTTCTCCATCCACCGTGAGGGTCCTCTCATATACATCTTCTGCAACCGAGGGAAGAGCTGGATCTCAGGGAGGACGGGCAAGCCTGAGAGAGTGTGGTGTTCCCTGCCCCCCATTTCTGGTCATATCGCCCCCTCCACTTGTCCTCGGAAACGCTTATCACACTTGTTTGATGCCTGTCTCTCCTGGTAGGAGCCCATGTCTCCCCAGCTGCCATAGTACCTGGCACATAGTAGGTGCCAGAAAGATTTGATTGATTGAATGAAGGTGGGGTGGTGGGGTTAAAGTTGGGCTAGGAATTCTCCCAGGCCTGCTCTGTCTCTGATTTAGTGAGTGCTTCAGGCAGGTCATGTTATCCTCTCTTGACCTCAGTCTCCCTATCTGTAACACATATGTGTTCTCACTCGGAGAGAGAAGTCAAGACTAGAGAGGAGTCTGGCTAGATGTCCCTACCTTTTCTCTGCATTTAATCAACCCCCTTCCCCCACTCACCCTATGTCCTTTTGGCCAGTCCTTCAGGGGCCTACCTTCATCTCTTCTATCTTCCCTGTACCCCATCATCCTGGGGCCCCCGACACTCTCAGCTCACAGCAGTTCTTGGGAATAAAGCAACCCAGGGCCCAGAACTTGGGGTCTCGGAGTCTCCCTTCTGCAAAGGATCTTAGTTTTGCTGTAGATCATGGTGACCATGGATGGGTGTCTATGGGACTGGGAGAATCTAAGAGTCAGAGGAGTCAGGGAGGGGAGTTTCTGACCTTGGTGGAAGTCCACCATTTCTTAACATGGAATTCAGAATTGCCACCCGCATGACATGGAAATGAATCATATACTTCTCATTCATGGGAAGTTGGCAAAATTCTTGTTCTATTCAAGAATTTCCCTCCCCTTGACCATTGTGCAGGCTGTGCCCTGTACAACTTTGGAGGGCGGGGGGGCATCGTGCATGTCATAGTCTAAGTGAATGATGCCCCTTAGAGTTGAACAGTGCATGACTTGTACAACTGTTCTTGGCAGCCCTGTGTCCCTGGTGACAGGGCTTTCGCTCCTTTGGCCACATCCCAGCCCAGCCCATATGGCCCCTACCTCCCAGCTGTTCATGGAGGTCCCTCTCTTGCTTCCCTGCAAAGAGGCTGGCCAAGCTGGTCTTCCCCACTCCAGGATCTCCAAGTAGCACCACACGGTAGAGAGCCTCCCAGGAGCCTTCAGAGTCGCTGGATTCAGAAGACCAATCATCTGGGGCAGGTGAAGGTTTCTGGGTGGGAGGGTTGAGGGAGGCTGATTGGCCCAGCCGGGGATGCTGGGATTGAGTGGAAGGCACTGTGCTCAGGCGGCCAGGCTGGTGGCCCCGTGGGGACAGGGGCAGTGGGGTGCTGGCTCGCCGGTGCAGAGGGGTCTTTGCTTCCTGCTCGGTGTTGAGTGTCATCTTTGGTAGGGGGGGGTTTGCTTCTTCCTTCTTTCCTTCTGAAAGAAGGGGGAATTGGCTGTCAGCCAATTGCTTTGAGCTGCTTCTTTCTATAGTGTCCTGATGAGCTGCTGTATGGCTTCTTCCAGATCCCCCTCTTGTTCAGATGGGAGTAGGAGGTGCCTCAGCTTCTTGGGGCAGAAAGTCCCTAGGTTTTCTGGCCTCAGGCTCTGCATAAACCTGGATCCGGATGGAAGGAGTGAGTGTGCAGGCTGTGAACACACAGACATGCACACCCAGAGGCCATTCCCTTGTCTTAAGGATGATCTACTCCTGATGACAGACAGGCAGGTGGAGGGGCAGTAGTAAGGTGGGATGTCCTCACATGCACACTCCCCATTCCGTGTACACGGACCTGCCCTTGCCACAGAACATGAGGCCCTGGCTCTGAAAGACATCTGAATTGTCCCCCTCCTCCCCTTCCCCACCGCTCTCTTTCACAGCTTCTGGGTTGGGAGTGCAGTTTCAGGTCTCCCCCAAGGGTAGGGGCTACTTAACTTTCGATGCCCAATTTCACGGGGTCTGAGGAGGAAGAGGCAGGAGGGCGGGTTGGCACTCCAGAAGCGCGAGGGGGGTATGGGGGTAACCCGACTGTAACCCGAGTGCCCTAGTGCCATGGGAACCGCGTGTCTGACCCGCCCCCTGTGTGAAAAATTCAGGAGCGGCTGGCGCTACGGCCTCCAACTGCTTTTGGGGACGGGAGCTGCCGCCGGTCAGGCCCCAGGTTAGGTGACAGGACAGGGTCCTGGCAGGGGACGGGGAGGGCAGACCACAGGGCCCGGGAACGCTGTGCCATTCCTGGAGTCTGGGTCCGAGCTTTCTCAGCCGGCATCCCGGGTGTGAATCCCCCATCCTGGGGTTGGAGGGGTCTTTGTCCAGGGCTATCCAGCCCTCCGGGTCCCAGGTCTGAAGACCCTCACCCTAGGGACGCGGTTTCGAAGCCCCCCTATTCCTGCCAACGCTGCCGAATCCCCCTTCAATCGCCTGGCGAACTCTGCTCCAACTTGAGCAAGTTGGCGGCGCGTAGCGCAGGGCTTTACCTCGGCGTGGGAGGGGTCCAGGGTCCCTCGCAGCTCCAGCGGCTGGATGCTCCAGGCTGTACCACCCGCCTCAGTGAGCAGCCCCTCAGGCCAGTTCCCCTCCCCTCGCCGCCTCGGCCGGGGGAGGAGCCGCGACCCCGCCCCATCCAGCCCCGCCCCATTAGGGCAGCCCCGGGGTCCCCGCCCCAAGGCCCTGGCCGCTCAGTGACTTTTCTGAAAGTGCAGAGCTCAGCTGACCCGCTTCTGCCAGCCCTACGCACCGGGTGAGGGTGGCAGACGAGAAAGGAAGGATGGGGGCTCTGGATTCCTGGGTCTGGAGCTCCATCTGCGTCCACATCTGTCCACTCCATCAAGGGGATGCACTAACATATTAGCCCCCAGAAAAACCACTTGGGGAACTTGCTAAATTTTCAGGTCCCGCCTTCCAAGAGAGGCGGATTCCACGGTGCTGGGGGAGGGGTTCGGGAATCTGCGTTTTAAACAAGTGCCCCAAGTGATCCTGATGCAGGCGGTTCACTGACCTCACTTTAAGAAACTCTGCTCTGGATGAAGAATTAATTTTGGGAGGTGGCTTGGAGGAAGAGAGAGCTCAGGAAGTCTGCACTGAAGAATTATGAAAATCTTATTTTGGCATCATTCATTCATTCACCAACTGAGGCTTAGCTGGGCCTGGGCCTGAGGTCTCTGCCACTCTGTCTACTGTTTCTATTACTGATGGCTGAAAAAAAAAATGCTCCCAGGTATGGAGGAGGAGGAAAGAGATTGCTGGTGACGTCGGCCATCCAAGGGGCCAGGATCCAGACTCTTTGACTGGGCTGCCTCCCTTTAGGTCTTGAGAAATTGGGGTGTGTCTGTGTGTGGAGCCCATGGAGACCAGGCTGCACCTGTGGGTGGGGCTCATTGTCATGGCTGAGGGGATTCAGGTGTTCAGCTTGGAATAACTCCCACAGCAGCTGAACAGACTGGCTCAGCCCCCACAGGTCTTGGAGCTGATACAGAACCCCCTCGTGCCTGGCTTCCTTCCGTGGCTTGGCCCTCTAAGCTTACCTTTCTAACTTGCAAGATGGGCCATGAGTGGTGCAGCACCCTTCATTGTCTGGGAGTGAGGTGACTTGGCTTTTCCATCTCTGCAGCACAATTGCTGTGTGACCTTAGGCAAGTCAACTTCCCTCTTTGGGTTTCAGTTTCTTTATTTAAAACTATAATATGAACAGCTTACACTCTTGCTAAAAAACTTTTGGTTGTCTATAATACAAAAGTCTGAACTTGGCATTCAAGCCCCAACCTATTCTCTGCAGAATCATTTCAACCTCTCCTCCCAGGAAAACCCTTGCTTGGCTCATGCCCTACTCTTCTAGGCACATTCTATTCTTTCTGCCCGGGATACCTTTTCCCCTACTCATCTTTCATGATGCAACTTAGATTCCTGTGTACCAGACACTGTTCTAAGCTCTGCACGGATATTATCTCAGGGGTTCTCAAACTTTGGCGGTGTGTTAGAATCACTTGGAGGGCTTGTTAAGCCACATTTTGCCGGGACCCACCCATACTCTCATCTATGACTAGTGATCTAACAAATGACCAGAGAGCTAACTTGTGACCAGTGTTAGTGAATCTGTGGTCTAACTTGTAACCAGTGGTTTAACCTGTGACCCATGGGCTGCTCTGTGACCTGTGGCCTTCTTCTGCTTAGGAAGAGGTGAATTCAGTAGGTTTGGGGTAGGGCTAAAGAACTGGTGTTTCTAACAAGTCCCAGGTGTTGCTGCTGCTTGCTGGGGGAACCATAGTATAGGAGCCACTGTATTACTTCATTTAGTCCCCTAAATGAGATGGGTAGCTATTACTCTCTATGACATGGGTACTATTACTCTTCCCATTTTAGAGTAGGCCTGCATACATGCTGTTCACTTGGCCTTGTAAGGGATGCTTGTCATCATTTCATAGACAACAGCCTGAGGCTCAGAGAGGTTAAGTGACTTGTCTGATGTCTCACAGCAGTTAGGGGGAGATGCGGGGGATTGAACTAGGTCTCTCTTAAGCCAAGATTTTTTCCACTCTCTTAGGTGGGGAAGATGTCTAGTTTCTGACCCTAGACACTGCCTCAGAAAATTCTACCTCCCCTTCCGAGCTCAACAGGCTCCGGAGGGTGTGGCTGACCAGTTCCCACGTAGCTGGCTGAAATCCCAAGCAGCCTGGGGACCACATGGCCTCATACTCCCACTTAGGCCTGCTGCCCACAGCACTGCCTTCATCTGCAGCTCAATAAAGCCTGGGCTGGAAGCAGCGAGGCTCAGCCTGCTCGGGTCTTTCCTCTTGTGCTCTCTCCAGCAGCCTCCCCAGGAGCCCCGTGGCCATGACACAGCTGCTTCTGTTCCTTGTGGCTCTCCTGGTTCTGGGTCATGTGCCATCAGGTAACAACATCGTGTGCATGTGTGTGTGTGTGTGTGTGCACATGTGTGCTTGTAAAAATGAGGACTAGACTCTCAGGTCCTGGAGGACAGAGGGGCCTCTATCAGCATTTAAGTTCTGGCCCCACCACTGACTTGGTGGGCAACTTAGAGCAAGTTGCTAAATCAGCCTGTACCTCAGTTTCCTAATCTATAAAATGGGATTCTCTCAATAAATATTCATTTATGTTATGATGGTTGTGAAATAATAACAGTGAAAGACATGTAGCAGTGAAAGAAAAGAAGGTCCTTGCTTTCATGCAGCTGACACTTTAGTTGGTGGAGATAGAAAATAAGTGGATAAACATATGTTGGGTGGTGATAAGTGCTGAGAAGAGGAAAGGCAAGGGAAGGGGTTAGAGTGGTGTGTGCATGGAGGGGGTGGGGATGGGAAGGCTGATGAGGATGGACAGAGAAGGTCTCTGATAAGATTTGTTTCTTTTGCCTCTCCCCTCTCCCCTCTCCCCTCTCCCCTCTCCCTTCTCCCCTCTCCCCTCTCCCTCTCGGTCTCCCTCTCCCTCTCTTTCCACTGTCTCCCTCTGATGCCGAGCCGAAGCTGGACTGTACTGCTGCCATCTCGGCTCACTGCAACCTCCCCGCCTGATTCTCCTGCCTCAGCCTGCCCAGTGCCTGCGATTGCAGGCGCGCGCCACCACGCCTGACTGGTTTTCGTACTTTTTTGGTGGAGATGGGGTTTCGCTGTGTTGGCCGGGCTGGTCTCCAGCTCCTAACCGCGAGTGATCCGCCAGCCTCGGCCTCCCGAGGTGCCGGGATTGCAGACGGAGTCTGGTTCACTCAGTGCTCAATGGTGCCCAGGCTGGAGTGCAGTGGCGTGATCTCAGCTCGCTACAACCTCCATCTCCCAGCCGCCTGCCTTGGCCTCCCAAAGTGCCGAGATTGCAGCCTCTGCCCGGCCGCCACCCCGTCTGGGAAGTGAGGAGCGTCTCTGCCTGGCCGCCCATCGTCTGGGACGTGAGGAGCCCCTCTGCCTGGCTGCCCAGTCTGGAAAGTGAGGAGCGTCTCTGCCCCGCCGCCATCCCGTCTAGGAAGTGAGGAGCGCCTCTTCCCGGCAGCCATCCCATCTGGGAAGTGAGGAGCGTCTCTGCCCGGCCGCCCATCGTCTGAGATGTGGGGAGCGCCTCTGCCCCGCCGCCCCGTCTGGGATGTGAGGAGCGCCTCTGCCAGGCTGCGACCCCGTCTGGGAGGTGAGGAGCGTCTCTGCCCAGCCGCCCCGTCTGAGAAGTGAGGAGCCCCTCCGCCCGGCAGCTGCCCCGTCTGAGAAGTGAGGAGCCCCTCTGCCCGGCAGCCACCCCGTCTGGGAAGTGAGGAGCGTCTCCGCCCGGCAGCCGCCCCGTCCGGGAGGGAGGTGGGGGGATCAGCCTCCTGCCCGGCCAGCCGCCCCGTCCGGGAGGGAGGTGGGGGGGTCAGCCCCCCGTCCGGGAGGGAGGTGGGGGGGGTCAGTCCCCCGCCCGGCCAGCCGCCCCGTCCGGGAGGGAGGTGGGGGGGTCAGCCCCCCGCCCGGCCAGCCGCCCCGTCCGGGAGGGAGGTGGGGGGGTCAGCCCCCGCCCGGCCAGCCGCCCCGTCCGGGAGGGAGGTGGGGGGGGTCAGCCCCCCGCCCGGCCAGCCGCCCCGTCCGGGAGGTGAGGGGCGCCTCTGCCCAGCCGCCCCTACTGGGAAGCGAGGAGCCCCTCTGCCTGGCTAGCCACCCCGTCCGGGAGGGAGGTGGGGGAGTCAGCCCCCCGCCCAGCCAGCCGCCTCGTCCGGGAGGGAGGTGGGGGGGTCAACCCCCCGCCCGGCCAGCCGCCCTGTCCAGGAGGGAGGTGGGGGGGTCAGCCCCACGTCCGGGAGGGAGGTGGGGGGGGTCAGCCCCCCGCCCGGCCAGCCGCCCCGTCCGGGAGGGAGGTGAGGTCAGCCCCCTGCCCGGCCAGCCGCCCCGTCCGGGAAGTGAGGGGCGCTTCTGCCCAGCCGCCCCTACTGGGAAGTGAGGAGCCCCTCTGCCGGGCCAGCCACCCCGTCCGGGAGGGAGGTGGGGGGCTCAGCCCCCCGCCCGGCCAGCCGCCCCGTCCGGGAGGGAGGTGGGGGGATCAGCACCCCGCCCGGCCAGCCGCCCCGTCCGGGAGGTGAGGGGCGCCTCTGCCCAGCCGCCCCTACTGGGAAGTGAGGAGCCCCTCTGCCTGGCCAGCCACCCCGTCCGGGAGGGAGGTGGGGGAGTCAGCCCCCCGCCCAGCCAGCCGCCCTGTCCGGGAGGGAGGTGGGGGGTTCAGCCCCCCGCCCGGCCAGCCGCCCTGTCCGGGAGGGAGGTGGGGGGGGGGGTCAGCCCCCCGCCCGGCCAGCCGCCCCGTCCGGGATGGAGGTGGGGTCAGCCCCCCGCCCGGCCAGCCGCCCCGTCCGGGAAGTGAGGGGCGCCTCTGCCCAGCCGCCCCTACTGGGAAGTGAGGAGCCCCTCTGCCAGGCCAGCCACCCCGTCCGGGAGGGAGGTGGGGGGCTCAGCCCCCCGCCCGGCCAGCCGCCCCGTCCGGGAGGGAGGTGGGGGGGTCAGCCCCCCGCCCGGCCAGCCACCCCGTCCGGGGGGTGAGGGGCGCCTCTGCCCGGCCGCCCCTACTGGGAAGTGAGGAACCCCTCTGCCCGGCCAGCCGCCCCGTCCGGGAGGGAGGTGGGGGGGTCAGCCCCCCGCCCGGCCAGCCGCCTTGTCCAGGAGGGAGGTGGGGGGGTCAGCCCCCCGCCCGGCCAGCCGCCCCGTCCGGGAGGTGAGGGGCACCTCTGCCCGGCCGCCCCTACTAGGAAGTGAGGCGCCCCGCTGCCCGGCCAGCCGCTCCGTCCGGGAGGGAGGTGGGGGGGTCAGCCCCCTGCCCGTCCAGCCGCCCCGTCCGGGAGGTGAGGGGCGCCTCTGCCCGGCCGCCCCTACTGGGAAGTGAGGAGCCCCTCTGCCCGGCCACCACCCCGTCTGGGAGGTGTACCCAACAGCTCATTGAGAACGGGCCGGGATGACAATGGCGGTTTTGTGGAATAGAAAGGGAGGAAAGGTGGGGAAAAGATTGAGAAATCGGATGGTTGCCGTGTCTGTGTAGAAAGAAATAGACATGGGAGACTTTTCATTTTGTTCTGTACTAAGATAAATTCTTCTGCCTTGGGATCCTGTCGATCGGTGACCTTACCCCCAACCCTGTGCTCTCTGAAACATGTGCTGTGTCCACTCAGGGTTAAATGGATTAAGGGCGGTGCAAGATGTGCTTTGTTAAACAGATGCTTGAAGGCAGCATGCTCGTTAAGAATCATCACCACTCCCTAATCTCAAGTACCCAGGGACACAAACACTGCTGAAGGCCGCAGGGTCCTCTGCCTAGGAAAACCAGAGACCTTTGTTCACTTGTTTATCTGCCGACCTTCCCTCCACTATTGTCCTATGACCCTGCCAAATCCCCCTCTGCGAGAAACACCCAAGAATGATCAATAAAAAAAATAAAAATTAAAAAAAAAAAAGATTTGTTTCTTTTTCTACTTTTTGAGATGGAGTTTCATTCTTGTTGCTCGTGCAATGGCATGATCTCAGCTCACTGCAACCTCTGCCTCCCGGGTTCAAGCGATTCTCCTGCCTCAGCCTCCCGAGTAGCTGGGATTACAGGCATGTGCCACCATGCCTGGCTAATTTTTGTATTTTTAGTGGAGACGGGGTTTCACCATGTTGGTCAGGCTGGTCTAGATCTCCTGACCTCAGGTGATTGACCCACCCCGGCCTCCCAAATTGCTAGGATTACAGACATGAGCCACCATGCCCGGCCCAGAGTTTTTTCTTTTTAAAAACTTTTTATTTTGGAAAATTTCACATATACATGAAAGTAGAGAGAATAACATAAATAAATAAGGTGAGTTTTAAACATTTTTATTATGGGAAAATTTAAACTTATGCAGAAATACAGAATACTGTAACAGCATGAGTTTTTAAAGGATACTTCTTTGATTTTTAAATTTTTGTAGAGATGGGGCCTCCCTATGTTGCTCAGGCTAGTCTCAAACTCTTGGCCTCAAGCAATCCTCCAGCTTTGGCCTCCCAAAATGCTGGGATTACAGGCATGAGCCCAGCCAGAAACTTTGGTATTTAGGAAAATTTCAACCAGAAATAAGAAATAAATAGTATAAAGAACCCTGGCCGGGCGCGGTGGCTCACGCCTGTAATCCCAGCACTTTGGGAGGCCGAGGCGGGTGGATCATGAGGTCAAGAGATGGAGACCATCCTGGCCAACATGGTGAAACCCCATCTCTACTAAAAATACAAAAAATTAGTTGGGCGTGGTGGTGGGCGCCTGTAATCCCAGCTACTCGGGAGGCTGAGGCAGGAGAATCAGTTGAACCCGGGAGGCGGAGGTTGCAGTGAGCCGTGATTGCGCCACTGCTCTCCAGCCTGGCAACAGAGTGAGACTCTGTCTTAAAAAAAAAAAATAGAAAAAGAAAATAAAAAGAGCCCTTATTACCCATCACTCAACCTCAACAATTACCAATTTGAACCAATCCTGTTTTGTTATTCACTTCCCTCTCCATTCCCGTGAATTATTTTGAAGTAAATTCCAGCGATCTTATTTTATATAAAGTGGGTTTGAATAGAGGTCTGAATAAGGTGAAAATACGAGGAAAGATCGTTCCAGGTAGAGGGAGCATCAAGGGCCAAGGCCCTGAGGCAGGGTGATGGATGGGTTTGAACAGCAGCAAGGAGGTTGGTGTGGCTAGCGGGGGGAGCACAAAGGAAATTGGTGGGAGACAGAGTCAAAGATATGAGGAAGAGAGTGCAGATCATGCAGGAGAAAGGAACTGCTGCTGGATATTGGAGTGATTGGGAAGTTCAAATGCGGTCATGTGCTAAGAGTATTTCTTGGCTGGGTGTGGTGGTTCATACCTGTAAATCCTAGCACTTTGGGAGGCCAAGGCAAGAGGATCACTTGAGCCCAGGACTTCGAGACCAGCATGGGCAACATAGGGAGACCCCATCTCTACAAAAAACAAAAAGATTAGTTGGGTATAGTGGTGTGCACCTGTAGTCCTAGCTATTTAGGAGGCTGAGGTGGAAGGATTGCTTGAGCCTAGGAATTAGAGGCTACATTGAGCCGAGATTACACTACTGCACTCCAGCCTGGGCAACAAAGTGAGATCCTGTCTCAAAAAAAAAAAATTATTATAGAAAGTGTCCTCACCTGGGAGCTAGGGTCTCGGGTTCCGGTTCCAGACCCACCACTTAGTGGCTATGGGAGCTTGGGCAAGTTCATTCCTCTCTTTACTGGTGAGTGAGAGGATTTACCTAGAATGGGTCCTGGTTGTTCCAGCAATCTAAGCTGTCATGCTGATAATCTTGCCTCCTATTTATTGAGCATTTACTACGTGCCAGGCACTGTGCTAAAGTGATCCTTTAACTGTGCTCTGAAGGAGAGTTGTACAGATGAGGAACTGAGGCCAAGGTCACTCAATGGGAAATGACTGAGCTGGGATTTGGACCCAGGAGGTCTGAGCTGGGTTCACACCACACTGTTAACGATTATACTACACACCGTCTTCAGAGGGTGGATTCTTTGCCTCATGGAGATTTTGAGGCCAGCACTGTATCATTCTAAGATTCTCTACCTTAGTAAGAGGGAAGTGTGGACTGCTCGGCAGGGTTGAATAAAACCTGTGGATATGCCTAAGGCATCATTTGAGGATTACATGGGATGTGTTTTAATCCAGAGAGATGCAGGGAAGCCTTTCCCCTCCACCTCCCACTCAGTGCTATTTCTTCTGGCCTGCTTGTTCTCTGCTAGTCTGAGGTTGTATGTCCAGAAATGTCATTTAACAGTCAAACTTGTCTATGTGGTCCTAGTCTCCCCTCACTTCCCACATGCATTCTAACTGGCCATCACAGTACCCTCATCATTTCCAGTGTGGCAGTTACCACAGAATCTATTTCTTGTATTTATATGCTTGTTTTTTAACTGTCTTCCTTGACGCTGGAAGCTCCTTGAGGGCAGGGACCATGGCTGTATTGTTCATTGTACTACTTCTAGTGCTCCGTGTTTATTGAGTGAATAAATGAAGGACAGGCTCCATCCCATGTTGTGACCAAAGACCCTTGGAGGGAGCAAAGGACCTGTTGCCCCAAAGCCTTGCCTTTTCCATTGCCCATGTTTGGAAATTCCTTCACTAAAACCTAACATTAAACAAGTCCCTATGTGTCAGGGGCAGTTTATGTAATGGGTGTGGACTCTGAAGCCAGATTGCTTGGGTTTGAGTCCAAATTCTGCTCCTCAATGGTGGTATGACCTCGGATAAGGTTTTATATATATATATATATTCTTTTTGAGATGGAGTCTTAGTTTGTCGCCAAGGCTGCAGTGCAGTGGCACGAACTTGGCTCACTGCAGCCTCCGCCTTCCGGGTTCAAGCGATTCTTCTGTCTCAGCCCCCCGAGTGGCTGGGATTACAGGTGCCCGCCACCAGGCCCGGCTAATTTTTATATTTCTAGTAGAGATGGGGTTTTGCCATGTTGGCCAGGCTGGTCTCGAACTCCTGACCCCAGGTGATCCACCCGCCTCAGCCTCCCAAAGTGCTGAGATTACAGGCGTGAGCCACTGTGCCCAGCTGGATAAGGTTATTAACCTCACTGAGCCTCAGTTTCCTTACCTGTATAGCAGGGATTGTAATAAGACTAACTATAATCGTATAGCACTGTTATGAAAAGTGCTTATGTGTACCTGGTGTGTGGCTTTACCTGGACAAGAAATCAGTTTCTGTTTATTTATTTGAGATGGAGTCTCCCTCTGTTGCCCAGTCTGGAGTGCAGTGGCACAATCTCAGCTCACTGCAATCTCCTCCCTCTGGGTTCAAGTGATTCTCCTGCCTCAGTCTCCCGTGTAGCTGGGATTAAAGGCACCTGCCACCACACCCGGCTAATTTTTGTATTTTTGGTAGAGAAAGGGTTTTGTCATGTTGGCCAGGCTGGTCTCAAACTCCTGACCTCAGGTGATCTGCCTGCCTCAGCCTCCCAAAGTGCTGGGATTACAGGCGTGAGCCACCGCGCCTGGCCTTAGTCTCTAATTTGTAACTAATGGTCTAACCTATGACATGTGGTCTAACCTAACTTGTAATCAGTACTCTCATCTGTGACTAGTGATCTAACAGAAGACCAGAGAGCTAACTTGTGACCAGTGTTAGTGAATCTGTGGCCTAACTTGTGACCAGTGGTCTAACGTGTGACCCATGGGCTGCTCTGTGACCTGTGGTTTTCCTCTGTTTAGGGAGAAGTGAATTCAAACGGTGCTGGAAGGGTCAAGGGGCCTGCCAAACTTACTGCACAAGGCAAGAAACTTACATGCACCTGTGCCCGGATGCGTCCCTGTGCTGTCTCTCCTATGCATTGAAACCTCCACCGGTCCCCAAGCATGAATATGAGTAGCTGGTTCCTGCTGTCCAATAAAACACAGGTTGCCAGTTGTCTCTTCTTTCTGCCTGCTCGCCTGTGCTCCTCTCCCCACCACGGGTGGGGGATAGGTCTAGGATGTGGGAGAAATGGTCTGTGGAGGGAGGTGAGGGACCTGAGGAGAGTGGGCGCTAATGACCATTGTAAATGGTTCCAGTCCTGGCCATGTCACTTTCTCTGTCCAACTCCGGAAAAATTACTGAACCTCTGAAAGTCTCCTCAACCATAAAATGGGAATAATTATAATATCAGGAGATTAGCACTTTATAGAAGAAATGCAAGAAGAAAGGTAGAGTTAATAATAACAAGAGTTAATCATATAGTTGATAATAACAGTGAATAATTATAGTAGAGTCAATAATAAGCTTCTGGAATTCAGAATGAGACGGCACATTTGGCTTGAGAGGCAGGCCCCACTGAGCGTGAAAGGGTTTTCCTATGTTCCTTTATAGGGTATCCTAATGACTTAGGGCTGAAGCCAAGACCAACAGACTAGATACTTTTCTGAAAATTAAACCGCCATTTTCACACATGAACTGCCATTTTCCTCCCAGTGTTCAAACAGACCCTCATCTAAGCATACATCCAACTTCCTAAGTCATTAGGATACACCCAACAAGCCGAAGAGACCAGCCGATTCTAGGGTGGAAGAGTCCCCAAAATACCTCACAGATGAGGCCCGCAAGCCCAGAGAGGGAAAGTGACTTGTTGAAGGCCATACAGTTCCCGAGTGACATGTCAAGGAATGGAGCCACACGCTGGTAGGACAGGACAGTGTGATGGGGAAATTTTGGGAGGAAGGGAGTCCCCTGACACTGGAGATGTGCAAGGTGAGCCTGGTGGCTCTGGGATGCTAGAGAAGGAAGTTACCTGGATAGGTGCTCAGAAGTGCTTTTTCGGAGGACAGGTTCTACTCAAGCCAAACCAATCATTGAATGGTTGAGATGATGATATATAAGTATCCTTTAGAAAGTACCAATTGCTTTATTCATACCACCTCATTGAATTCCCACAGTTACATATTATTATCTCCTTCCTTCTTTCCTTCCTTCCTTCCTTCCTTCCTTCATTCCTTCCTTCCTCCCTCCCTCCCTCCCTCCCTCCCTCTCTCTCTCCTCATTTCTTTTTTAACACAGGTCCTCACTCTGTTGCCCAGGCTGGAACACAGTGGAGATCGTATAGCTCACTGCAGCCTCACACTACTGGGCTCAAGCAATCTGCCTCAGCCTCCGAGGAACTAGGACTATAAGTGTATGCTGCCATACCTGGCTAATATGTTTTTGATTTGTTTGTTTGTTTTGTAGAGATGGGGTCTTGCTAAAAACAAAAACAAAAAACAAAAAACAAACAAACAAAAAACACGGGGTCTTGCTATGTTTCCCAGGCTGAACTTCTGGGCTCAAGTGATCCTCCTGCCTTGGCCTCCCAAGTTGCTGGGATCACAGGTGTGAGCTGCCACAGCTGGCCTATCTTTGCCTTTTCTATAAGGTAACTAAGACTCTATAAGGCAACTAAGAAAGTTGCCCAGGTCATAAACCTAGGAAGTGGTGGAGCTGGAACTCTATCCTGATCCTCTGCCACCTGATTTTGTCTCCCAGAGTCAGTCTTTTTTTGGAGACAGTCTTGCTCTGTTGCCCAGGCTGGAATGCAGTGGTGCAATCATGGCTCACTGCAGCTCTGAACTCCCGGGCTCAAGCAGTCCTCCCACCTCAGCCTTCCCAGTAGCTGGGACTGTAGGCGTGCACCACCATGCCTGGCTAATTTTTATATTTTTTGTAGACACAAAGTCTTGCTATGTTGCCCAGGCTGGTCTTGAACTCCTGGCCTCAAGCAATCCTCCTGCCTCGGCCTCCCAAAATGTTGGGATTACAGGCATGAGCCACTGTGCCAGACTCCAGAGTCATTCTTATTTGTACTTTAAAAATAACATTTTTTTTCTAATTGTAAAAGTAATACATGTTCATTGGAAAACATGTAAGCAGAGAAGCACAAATAAGAAAACTAAAATCATTAGTATTTTCACTGTACAGAAATACCCAGAAATAGGCCGGCTGTGGTGGCTCACTTCTATAATCCCCGCACTTTGGGAGGCCGAGGCAAGAGGCTCACTTGAGGTCAGGAGTTCAAGACCAGCCTGGCCAACATGGCGAAACCCCACCTCTACTAAAAATACAAAAATTAGCCAGCATGGTGGCGCACGCCTGTAATCCCAGCTACTCGGGAGGCTGAGGCAGGAGAATCACTTGAACCCGGGAGGTGGAGGTTGCAGTGAGCCGAGATCACACCACTGCACTCCAGCCTGGGCAACAGAGCAAGACTCTGTCTCAAAAAAAAAAAAAAAAAAAAAAAAAAAAAAGAAATACCCAGAAATAAAGAAAAATGTAAAATGTGACAAAAATAAAATGGAATCAAGCTGTAGATATTTTGTGTCCTGGTTTTTTAACTGATCAATATATCATAAAAATTTATGTATGTGCTTAGCCTTCCAAAACAATATTTTTAGCACTAAAATTCCTCCTGAAAAATTTTAAGTCACTTCTAGTTTTTATAACTTGAGTAGTATGTTTAAAATACGTATGGAGGCCAGGCGCGGTGGCTCATGTCTGTAATCCCAGCACTTTAGGAGGCTGAGGTGGGTGGATCGCCTGAGGTCAGGAGTTCAAGACCAGCCTGGCCAACATGGTGAAACCATGTCTCTACTGAAAATACGAAAATAGCCGGTCATGGTGGTGCACGCTTGTAATCCCAGCTACTTAGGAGGCTGAGGCAGGAGAATCGCTTGAACCTGGGAGGTGGAGGTTGCAGTGAGCCAAGATTGTGCCACTGCACTCCAGCCTGGGTGACAGAGTGAGACTCCATCTCAAAAAAAAAAAAAAAAAAAAAAAAAAAATAAATAAATAAATAAATAAAATACAGTGTCAAAAACTAAGAAAGTATAGTATAGATAAGCCTCAAAATATTCACCTGTCTTTCATAATTCCTGTTGGTATTTTGGTATATATATATTCTTATATATATATATATATTTAAGGCATTTTCACACGCATCAGAGACTCTTCTATGAGAAGGGCTTCTCCTGCTGATCAGGTGGACACCTTTGGGGTCACAGGGAAGGAGAAGAACAAGGAAGTTACAACAATGGATGGATACTGTAGGTAGTTCAGGGTAGAACTGGGTGTCTGACTTCTATCCCCACTCCCTTCTTTCAATGGCAGAGTGTTCAGTGGAATTGCTTATTATTATGCTAGGGCTAGGTTTAAATCTGAGAGCCAGGTGACAATTGCACATGACTTAAATTATCCTTGAAAACTGCTCAGGAAGGCACCTTTTTGGAGACTGACATACACAGCAAGTTTTCCTCCACTGATGGAACATATCACATTTCTCTGGCCGTGCATTAAAGGAAGTGGTTGGTTATGTTTAGGCACCATTTTTTTTGGTGAAAAATAAGTATCTTTCCACAGTGGAATCACACAATGCAATGTGATGTCTTCACTGCCAGAAGCTTTCCCTGCCCAGGAAATAATCCAATTCCCATCTCCCACTCATTCAGGCACTGGCTCAAGGAGGGATTTTTCTGGCTTATTCGGATTCTTATTGCACATATTTGCAAAACATATATCTGACAAAAGACTCATATCCACAATATACAAATAACTGTTACAAATTAATAAGAAAAGAGAAAACTCAATAACAGAATGGGCAAATATTTAAATGACATTTTACAAATGAAAATACATAAGTGGCCAATAAGTTCGTGAAAAGATGTTCAATATCATTAGTAATCAGGAGAATTCAAATTAAGATCACAATGAGATACCATACATACTCACCAGAATAATTAAAGTAAAAAGACTGACTATAGCAAGGCTGGTGAGGATATGGAGCACTGGAATGCTGATACATTGCTGGTGGGACTGTAACATGGACAACTACTCTGCAACTGGAAAAACAGGTGCAGAGTTACTTACAAAATTAAATAGACATGTTGGCTGGGCACTGTGGCTCATGCCTGTAATCCCAGCACTCTGGGGGCAGACACGGGCAGATCACTTGAGGTCAGGTGTTTGAGACCAGTCTGGCCAACATGGCGAAACCCCGTCTCTACTAAAACAATACAAAAATTAGCTGGGTGTGGTGGTGTGTGCCTCTAATTCCAGCTACTTGGGAGGCCGAGGCTGGAGAATTTGCTTGAACCCAGGAGGTGGAGGTTGCAGTGAGTCAAGATGGCACCACTGCACTCCAGCCTGGGTGACAGAGTGAGACTCCGTCTCAAACAAACAAACAAACAAACAAACAAACGAACAAAATTAAATAGACATATGTCTATACAAAGATTTCTCTATCCATGTTTGTAGCAACTTTATTTGTAGTAACCCATAAATGAAAACAGCCCAAATGTTCAGCAGGCAAATGGACAAGTTGAGTTATATCCATGCAATATGCTACTCAATAAATAGCAATAATTTACCAATACACACAACCATAAATTAATTTCAAAAACACTATGTTAAGTGAAAGAAGCCAGACACAAAGAAATACATGCTGAGTAATTTCATTTATATGATTTTTCAGAAAGGCAAAACAAAGTTGATTTAAAAAGTAAGAAAAAAAGAAAAAAACCCATCCCAAGTCTTATTTCCTTTAAATTCCTTTTTTTCTGAGCACATGTAGTTGAGTCTGGGTAAACTATCTGTGCTTATGATGTAGCTCCATTTGTGTCATAAAGAGCTGGGTGATCCAGGAGACAAGCATGATGTTTTCATGACTCTCTTAATGGCTAGATCAATGACTCACAAGAGGAGATACTCCCCTCTAGCGGTTATTTTTGGAATTTGCTGGTTTTTTTTTTTTTTTTTTTGAGACGGAGTCTCGCTCTGCCGCCCGGGCTGGAGTGCAGTGGCACAATCTCGGCTGAGTGCAAGCTCCGCCTCCCGGGTTCAAGGCATTCTCCTGCCTCAGCCTCCCGAGTAGCTGGGATTAAAGGCGTGAGCCACCACGCCTGGGTTTTTTTTTTTTTTTAGTAGAGACGGGGTTTCACCGTGTTGGTCATGCTGGTCTCAAACTCCTGGGGTCAAGTGATCCGCCCCCCTCGGCCTCCCAAAGTGCTGGGATTACAGGCCTGAGCCACCGCGCCCGGCCAAGACACAATTTTTAATGATATATCTCCAACATTTTGTACGTGTTCGTTAATTTTGCTCCTTTCCTCCTAATTTGAACCCAGTAGACTGGCTTAAGTCCAGTGAGCCCTTGGCTGAAACTAAGATCTCCCTGATTTGGGCATGCCTAATGATTTCCATCGTTGTCTCAACTGAAAATCAACTTGATGATTTTCACCTACGCGCCACTAGCATCAGCATTCTATTTTTCTGTTTTTCATTAATTCAATTTATATTTATTGAATACCTTTTATGTGCCGGGCATTATTCTAAGTATGGAGGACTCAGCAGTGGGCAAAGCAGACAAATCCCTACCTGTATGGAGCTTACATTCTAGGAATAAACCCAATTTTGACTTTGTTCTCAGTATCCAGCCTTAGCTTCACCCTTTGGAAGGATGAATTGCCAGATACCTACTTCAGAGTCACTTGTGGCACCGTGAACTTGTGTGTGTTCAATGATTTCATAATTGCACGGTAAACCAGCATGTCCAATAAGCATAATACCTTTGGAACATAGCATTTGGATTTATTGTTTACATATGAATATTCATTTTCACATAGTAAACACTTTAGATGTAACTTGGAATGAAATCTCATGCACTTTACATGTTTAAATTCATTAGTCATTTGAGATAGAAGTATATATTTATTACTGTAGGAATAAAATGTTGCAACAGTTAAAGATGATTGTGAAAGCTATCAATGTTAGAAAAATAATTAAGAACTTTCGACAATTCAACTTAGGAGAAAATATGAGTTAATTTAAATATTGAGAGCTAAAATTTGTTAGCTTGATAACCTTCAGAATGTTATATCCAATCAATATTTTTAATATTTTGAATATTAGCACTAGGCAAAATAATGGAGATTATATTATAGTTCAATCTTTGTTAAAATACCATTCATCACATTAAAAAAAAACTATTAGAGGCCAGATGTGGTGGCTCACACCTGTAATCCCAGCACTTTGGGAGGCCAAGGTGGGTGGATTGCCCAGCCTAGGCAACATGGTGAAACCCTGTCTCTACAAAAAATACGAAACTTAGTCAGGCGAGGTGGTGTGCACCTGTAGTGCCAGCTACTTGGGAGGCTGAGGTGGGAAGATCGTTTGAGCTTGGGAGGTTGACACTGCTGTGAACTGAGATGGTGCCACTGCACTCCAGCCTGTGTGAAAAAGTGAGACCCTGTCTCAAAAAAAAAAAAAGTACTTGCCTTTAGTTGTTCTTTAGTTATTTAATTCCATTTAGGACATAAGCCTTTTAGGAAAAAATTGTGGTTGAGAATTTCTCACACCTTGTAAGGATGAATAAAAAGCTAAATGCGATTTTGTCACCTCAAAATTTCACAGGTAGGAAAGACTCCAAAATCATGTACCATGACATCGATGATAAGTCACCTTCAATTTATACATACTGTTGGGTATAAAGACAATGAAGAACAGAGGAAAGCGTTAGGGAAAAGTGAGGTACCTTAGGCATATTTTATTCTCACTGATTTTCAAAATCACAAATTTTATGAAGGCTAAAAAATTAAACAATAAAGTTTGCCAAATTTTTTGCTATAAACTACCACCCGGTTTCAGTAGTTGAAGGTAGAATATTTTTGACATTTTTTCAAGCTGCAAATTCTGAATTTCTTTCTAAATTCAAAAGTTCTTTTTAGGAAGTATGTTTCTGAAATTAATTTTCTTTTAAATTATTTTTATTTTTAAATTTTTCGTTATTTATTTTTGTCTTTTAATTTTGAATTTAATTAATTTATTCATTTTTAGAGATGGGATCTTGAGATGTTGCCCAGGCTGGACTTGAACTCCTGAGCTCAAGTGGTCTTCTTGCCTCAGTCTCCCAAGTAGCTTGAATTATAGGTGCACACTACCATGCCTGGCAATTTTAAAATTTTTATTAAAAATGAAAAAAATATAATATTTATACATATTTATGGGGTACATATGATATCTTGATACATACATACAATGTGTAATGGTCAAATAAGGGTATTTAGCATATTCATCACCTTTATTATTTCTTTGTATTGGGAATATGAAATTCGTTTTTTGTTTCCTTTTTTTTTCTTTTTCTGAGACAGGGCCTCATTCTGTTGTCCAGGCAGCTGGAGTGCAGTGATGTGATCTCTGTTCACTGCAGCCTCAACCTCCTGGGCTCAAGCAGTCCTCCTACTTCAGCCTCCCAAGTAGCTGGGACCACAGGCACGTGCCACCATGCCCGGGTAATTTTTTAATTATTATTATTTTTTTGGTAGAGATGAGGTCTGCCTATGTTGCCCAGGCTGGTCTTGAACTCCTGGGCTCAGGAGACTCTCCTGCCTCAGCCTCCCAAAGTGCTGCAGTTATAGGCATGAGCCACCACATGTGGCCAAATTCATTTTCTTGAGTTACTTTATTCCATGACTGAAAAAGTTAGTGGATGTTGAAACTGAGCATCTATTTAGTACAGCAAATAGCATCTATTTAGTACAGCATCTATTTAGCATAGCAACTCCTTCGCTTCAAGACCAGCCTGGGCAACATAAAGAGATCTCATCTCTACTAAAAAAAAAAAAAATTAGCCAGGCATGGTGGCACATGCCTGTGGTCCCAGCTACTTTGGAGGCTGAAGTAGGAGGATTGCTTGAGCCCAGGAGGTTGAGGCCACAGTGAACTGAGATGAGCAGGACAGTGACTGCAGGGGTAATTGTTCCTGCATTCTAATATTAAACCTTTAAAATGTGACTCCTAGAATTTGTAATAATTAATACCGATGATTACTTTTTTGGGATGTTACTTCAGATTTATACTTACATCTCAGAAGTTAAATGGTGTGCCAGTGCGGCCTCAAGCCCAGCCTTCTATATTCTGCTCTGTGCTGCTGGGGCTGGGAGTCCGATATTACCATTTCCCAGACTCCTTCACCAGGTGGCTTCCTACTAAGAGTTTGCTAATTGCAGACAATGGTGGGAGGCTAGAAAGTGGGAGGGGAGGGGAGGGGAGGGGAGGGAGAAGGCATTCACTCTCTGCTTTGGATTCCATCTGTATCCTCCCAGCAGCTTAGGTGGCTATGGGTTCATTGCCAGAACTGCGATGTCCTTCAGAGGCACCAGCTCCAATCATAAGGTACCCCCCTCTCCAAGCACTAAACTGGTACATAGGTGCTCAGTAAATTTGTAGTTGAATAAATGAATACATACATATTCATATATATACATTCATCTGGGAAGGCAATATATATTTACTCAATATATATGAATAAATCATGTTCCATGTACTGTATCAGTCATGATCTAGCTAGAAAACAAAAGCCATACTAGGTATTTCAATGGAGGGAATTTTACATGAGGAACCCCAAATTTATTTGGGAAACTGGATCCCAAATTCATTTATGTATATTGGATAAATATACGTTGAAATATATATTGCCTCCTCAGATATATATAAAAATATATATTCACACATATACATATATATTTATCTGGGGAGGCAATATAATATATACTTATTCATATACATTGAATAATGTTTATTCATATATATATCAATACATCCAACATTAAATAAATCCACAGCGGACAGGGAGACAAGAAATACAATCAAGAAAAAAATATTATATTAGATGCTGATAAATACTATGGAGAAATGCAAGCAAAAAAGGAAGTAAGGGAGAGTAGCTTTTTTTTTTTTTTTTTTTTTTTGAGATGGAGTGTAGCTCTGTCGCCCAGGCTGGACTGCAGTGGCGCGATCTCGGCTCACTGCAAGCTCCGCCTCCCGGGTTCATGCCATTCTCCTGCCTCAGCCTCCCGAGTAGCTGGGACCACAGGCACCCGCCACCATGCCCGGCTAATTTTTTGTATTTTTAGTAGAGACGGGGTTTCACCATGTTCGCCAGGATGGTCTCGAGCTCCTGACCTTGTGATCCGCCCGCTTTCGGCCTCCCAAAGTGCTGGGATTACAGGCGTAAGCCACCGTGCCTGGCCAAGAGTAGCTTTTTTTTTTTTTTTTAAAGATTAAAAATAGCATATTCAGAGAAGTTTTCAGTGACATGGAGATATTTGAACAAACCCAAAGAATGTTAGAGAGTGAGTCTTGCATATTGGAGGATGAGAGTTCCAGGCAGAATGAATAGCAAGTGCAAACGCCCTGAGGTGGAACCATGCTTGGTGTGTTTGAGAAATGGCTAGGAGGCCAGCATAGTTTAAGTGGAGTGAGCCAGGGCAAGAATAGTTGGAGATGAGGTTCAAGAATTAATGGGATCCAGGCCAGGCAGGTTGCTCATGTCTGTAATCCCAGCAATTTGGGAGGCTGAGACGGGTGGATCACCTGAGGTCAGGAGTTAAAGACCAGCCTGGCCAACATGGTGAAACCCCATCTCCACTAACAATACAAAAAAAATTAGCCAGGCATGATGGCGCATGCCTGTAATCCCACCTATTCGGAGGCTGAGGCAGGAGAGTCGCTTGAACCCGGAAGGTGGAGGTTGCGGTGAGCTGAGATCGTGCCATTGCACTCCAGCCTGGGCAACAAGATCTCAAAAAAAAAAAAAAAAAAAAAAAAAAAAAAAAAAAGAAAGGATTACGAAGAAGCAGAAGAAAACTTTTGAGGGGGACAGATATGTTTATTATCTTGATTTTGGTGATAATTTCATGGGTGCACACATGACAAAACTTAGAAACTTTTACACTTTAAATATGTGCAGTTTACTGAATGTTAATTATACCTTGAAAGACTGCATGGGGTGGCTCATGCCTGTGATCCCAACACTTTGGGAGATTGAGGCAGGAGGATCATTTGAAGCCAGGAATTCAAGATTAGCCTATGCAAACATGGAGGAACCTTGTCTCGACGAAAAATACAAAAAAGTTAGCTGGGTGTGGTGGTGCACGCCTGTAGTCCCAGGTACTTGGGAAGCTGAGGTGGGAGGATCGCTCGAGCCCAGGAGGCTGAGGCTGCAGTGAGTTATGATTGCAACACTGCACCCTAGTCTGGGCAACAGAGCAAATCCCATCTCAAAAAAAATTATACCTCAATAAAGCTATTAAATAAATAAAAAACCCAGGATGTGAAAAATAAACTATGATTTTTTTTTAGGGGGAAAAAAGCTAAAGGAAAACAGAAATTAAAGGAAAGAGATGGAGTAACTGAGTGGTATGTGATGAAACCAAAGAGGCCGGGTGTGGTGACTCATGCCTGTAATCCCAGCACTTTGGGAGGCTGAGGCGGGTGGATCACAAGGTCAGGAGATCGAGACCATCCTGGCTAACACAGTGAAACCCAGTCTGCACTAAATATACCAAAAAAAAAAAAAAAAAAAAAAAAAAAAAAATTAGCCGGGCATGGTGGCGGTGGGCGCCTGTAGTCCCAGCTACTCAAGAGGCTGAGGCAGGAGAATGACATGAACCCGGGAGGCAGAGCTTGCAGTCAGCCGAGATCGCGCCACTGCACTCCAGCGTGGGCGACAGAGTGAGACTCTGTCTCAAAAAAAAAAAAAAAAAAAAAAGGCAACCAAAGAGATGGACAAGGGCTAGATCTCAGAGGAACTCCCAGATTAACAAATCCTTTTGCACGTGGAGATAGCAGATCCATCCCCAAGTCCTCAGTGTTCTCACAGGCCAATCTCCCATGCATCTTTTGCCCATTTAGTTATTGGGTGCCATTAACTGGAAGACTCCAGGAATCACTGCTGACATTCTGGAAGGTTCATCCAGCCCTTCCCTCCCACATCCCCATCCAGGATCCTAAATATTTAAACTGCAGCAATATTGCCTCCAGGTGGCTCAATAACACCAGCTATCACAAAGACAAATTTGGACCTCACATCCAGAACACCTCACTGTCTACTGTGCGATAAAAAAATCACCATTACCCCTTCCTATTGCTATATTCTTAGAGGTAACTGTTATCCTAAATTTGTATTTATTATCTCCTTAGCTTTTATTGAAAGTTTTATTATACATGTTTATGTCCCTAACAAAATATTTGTTTACATATACACAATTTTGAACAAGTTATGAACAAATCTTACTGGAATTTTATAGAATCTAGGAAATAATTAGTATAGAATTGACGTCTTTAAGATATTGAGACTTCTAATTCATAAGCATAATATGTTTCTCTATTAATTTAGGCTTTTTATATTGTATTTCAATAAGGTTTTCTAACTTTTTCCATAAATTCTTGAACATGTTTTGTATGAAATATTCATAGGTACTGAGAAGCACTTTTTCTTTTTTTTTTTGAGACGGAGTCTCGCTCTGTCGCCCAGGCTGGAGTGCAGCGGAGCGATCTCTGCTCACTGCAAGCTCCGCCTCTCGGGTTCACGCCTTTTTCCTGCCTCAGCCTCCAGAGGCACTTTTTCTTTTAATTGTTAGCAGTTTGACTGTGATATGTTTAGGGTTTGATTTCTTTCCTTTCCTTCTTTTTTTTTTTTTTTTTTGAGACAGAGTTTCATTCGCTGCCCAGGCTGGAGTGCAGTGGCAGGATCTCACCTCAGCAACCTCCAGCCTCCCAGGTTCAAGCGATTCTCCTGCCGCAGCCTCCTTAGTAGCTGGGCTTACAGGCGCGTGCCACCATGCCCAGCTAATTGTTGTATTATTAGTAGAGATGAGGTTTCACCATGTTGGCCAGGCTGGTGTCGAACTCCTAACCTCAGGTGATCTGCCCGCCTCGGCCTCCCATAGTGCTGGAATTACAGGCTTGAGCCACCATGCCTGGCAGGTTTGATTTTCTTTGTGTCTATGCTGCTTTGGAGTTCACTGAATTTCTTGTGGATTGATGTCTTTCAACAATTTTGGAAATTTTTCAACTATTATCTTTTAAAAATATTTCTTCTTCCTCATTGCCCTCTTTAATTTCTTTTTTTAATAGAGATAGGTGGGGTTTGGGCATGGTGGCTCATTCCTGTAATCCCAGCATTTTAGGAGGCTGAGGCAGGCCAAATTGCTTGAGCCCAGGAGCTCACAACCAACATGGTGAGACCCCATCTCGAAAAGAAAAAAAAAATAGGGAGGGGGTCTCATTATAATGTCCAGGCTGGTCTTGAACTCTTGGATTCATGTGATCCTCCTGCCTCAGCCTCCCAAAGTGCTGAGATTACATGTGTGAGCCACTGTGCCTGGTCTCCCATCTCTTCTTCTGGGACTTAATTATATATATGTTAGATTATTTGATATTGTCCCATAAGTCTCTCATACTCTGTTATGCTCGTTTTGCATTTTTTCTCTCTGTGCTTTGGTTTGTATATCTTCTAATCTGTCTCTGAGTTGACTGATTCATTCTTCCACAATGCCCTATCTTCTGCTGTTAAACCCATCCAATAGATTCCTTTTTTTAAGAGGTGGGGTCTCGCTATTTTGCTCAGGCTGGAGTGCACATGTGGCTATTCACAGGCATGATCATAGCATACTACAGACTTAAACTCCTGGGTGTAAGTGATCCTCCTGCCTCAGCCTACCAAGTAGTTGCGACTACAGGCATGTGCCACCACGCCTGGCTTACCATCCAATAAATTCTTAATTTTAGCATGTCTCAGTTTAGAAGGCCCAATTTATTCTTAGAGTTTCCATCATGCAATGAATCATCCTCTTAGTATTCATGCCCTTATGTAGTCCTCTTTCACAGTGACTGGCATATGATTTACCAGTGGGACTTCAGCAAATGTAATACAAACAGAAATTTGAGAAATGCTGGATGTTGAGGTTTACCCATATATGTCAGAAATTGTATTTAAGAGAACTATAAGACTAAAATAAGTGTTATTTTTTCCCTAAGGGAGAGCATGTCCTTTCTTCTGTTAGGCAGTTAGGACTGTTGTTAATATACCTCTGCAAGACCAGGAATGGCGGCTCATTCCTGTATTCCTAGCACTTTGGGAGGCTCTTGGCCCCAGCCATCATAGAGGAAGCCAAGGTTAACTTCTTTGCGGTGGAGAGGCTACGTGAAGAGAGATGTAGTAACATGAATGACCTCGTGAGAATATCAGAAGAACCACTTAATCAATGAGCAGAATTGTGAAAAATAACAAATAGTTGTTATTTTAGTCTACTAAGTTCTGGAGTGGTTTTGTAATGCAGCAGGTGGAAAACAATACACTATACACTATTTTTCTGTGTATTTAAATTCTTCATCTTTTCATTCATTTTATCAATCTTCTAATTTCTTTAACATATTTATAATAGTTATTTTAAGGTTATCTGTTAATTCCAACAACTACTCCATCTGTATTAGTTTGTTCTCATACTGCTATCAAAAAAAAAAAAAAACCCTGAGACCAGGTAATTTATAAAGGAAAGAGGTTTAGGCCAGGCATAGTGGCTCACGCCTGTAATCCTAGCACTTTGGGAGGTCGAGGAGGGTGGATCACCTGAGGTCAGGAGTTCAAGACCAGCCTGGCCAACATGATGAAGCCCTGTCTGTACTAAAAATATGAAAATTAGCCAGGCTTGGTGGTGCACGCCTGTAATCCCAACTACACAGGAGGCTGAGGAAGGAGAATCACTTGAACCCGGGAGGTGGAGGTTGCAGTGAGCCGAGATCATGCCACTGCACTCCAGCCTGGGCAACAGGAGCAAGACTTCATCTCAAAAAAAAAAAAAGAGGTTTAATTGGCTCATGGTTCTGCAGGCTGTACAAGGAGCATGAAGGCTTCTGAGGAGGCCTCAGGAAACTTTTGAGCATGGCAGAAGGTGAAGGAGAAGCAGGCCTGTCTTACATGGTCAGAGCAGAGGGAAGTGAAGAGCGAGACAGTGCCACATACTTTTAAACAACCAGATCTTGTGAGAACTCTATTACAAGAACAGTACCAAAGGGATGGTGCTAAACCATTCATGAAGGATCTACCTCCATAATCCAATCACCTCCCACCAGGCCCCACCTCCAACACTGGGGATTACAATTCAACATGAGATTTGGGTGGGGACACAGATCCAAACTGTATCACCATCTTTGGGTCTGATTCTAATTGATTATTTTTATTCTTGATTATGGGTCATATTTTCCTGCTTCTGTGCATGTCTTATAATTTTAAAATTGTATATATGTCAGAAATTGTATTTAAGAGAACTATAGAGACTAGAATAGGTGTTATTTTTTCCTTAAGGGAGAGCGTGTCCTTTATTCTGTTAGACAGCTAGGACTGTTGTTAATATACCTCTGCAAGTCCCCGTGGGAGTGGTGGCTCATTCCTGTATTCCTAGCACTTTGGAAAGCTGAGGCGGGCCAGGAGTTCAAAACCAGGCTGGGTAACAAAGTGAGACCCTATCTCTATAAAAAATAAAAAATTAGAACAAAATACCTCTGCAAACCAAGACGATAAAGTGTTCTTATTTCTTGTGGTACAAAGTAAGTTGTGGGATTTCAAAGTAATGACTTATTATATGATAATGAAGGTACAGAGATTGATTATTACAGTTAATAATATAACCAAAGATAGTTTGTAAGAGGACAGTAGAATTACTGAGAACAAATTGCATGAATCTCTGAAAATGAGCATACTTATACCTTGAGCCTTCTACCTTAAAAAATTCTACACAAGAGCACATAAGCACATCTTTCGTCAGCTGCCAGAACAATTATGTCATTATATGTCATGGAGATTCCAGAAAATTCCCCTATACACTTGTGAACGAGAGAGCTTAAAAAAGTGAAAAATGTTGGGAGGCCGAGGCAGGCAGATCACAAGGTCAAGAGATCAAGACCATCCTGGCTAACACAGTGAAACCCCGTCTCTACTAAAAAAAAAAAAAAAAAAAAAAAAAAAAAAAAAATATATATATATATATATATATATATATATATATATATATATATATTAGCTGGGTGTGGTGGCGGGCACCTGTAGTCCCAGCTACTTGGGAGGCTGAGGCAGGAGAAGGGCATGAACCCGGGAGGCGGAGCTTGCAGTGAGCTGAGAGTGCGCCACTGCACTCCAGCCTGGGCGACAGAGCAAGACTCCATCTCAAAAAAAAAAAAAAATTAAAAAATGTCTTATTATTATTGTGAAAACAGTTGTGACATCCCAAACCACCCGAAAGGCACTCCTGGGAGCTGCTGGGGTTCACTAACAGGCAAACGCAGGGATCAGCCAGAGGTGTTTATTGATAGAGTGTGGGAATCCACTGGGAGCTTCATCTGCATTTTCATGGCTTCAGGCTTCAAAGCAGTTAAAATGGCCACCACCTTTCTTTTGGCTGGTACTTGGGCTTCACGCAGCACATTTTATTATTTATGCAGTAAACATAGACTCTTTCCTTCTTGGAGCATCTGTAACGGCATTTGCCATAAAGATTCCAGCATCTTTGGGTGCCACCTGACACAAAGCAGAAAGAAGGGAGACAGTATCAGTCCTAACAAGTAGGCTCCGGATTTGAAAGGTCTGTAAAAGAATGGAAACAGATGAGATAGAAGGTCCCTTGTTTCCCTTGCCTTTGACTCTTTTCATCTATCACTGTTTTTCCTTTACTCTGTTTTTTTGCTTCCCACCTTTGACTGAGAGAGTGACCTTGGTACATCAGCTGAATAAAGCCTTTATGTGTGCGGATTGTCTTTTTTTTTTTTTTTTTTTTTTTTTGAGATGAGTCTTGCTCTGTCACCTAGGCTGGAGTACAGTGGAATGATTCTGGCTCACTGCAAACCTCCTCCTCCCAGTTCAAGGGACTCTCCCACCTGAGTTTCCCCGAGGAGCTAGGACAACAGACATGTGCCACTATGCCTGGCCCACCCTGTAGTCTTTAAGTGCCTTTCTGTGCATGTGCAAGAGGAAACTACCAAAGGCCTGAGGGGGAGAAAAATACCAAACACCAAAAAGAAGTAAGCAGAACAATTCCCAGTGATTGCACAGGTCTGGGAATAGCTTGTGTTTCCACCTGCCTGAGTGGAAAGACCCTGTAAAATCTGCAGCATTTAGTACTCGGAAGGCTATTGCCTTAGTAGTGGGGGCTAAATTAACCCTAGACTAAAGAATACCCTGTACCCATCCTAACAAAGCTTAAACGTCAGTCTTGAAAATATTCATCTGATTCCCACTAACTTAGCTGCATGCAAGAAAAATATCTAACTCTTTAAAGGAGTGTAACAAAATACAGAAACTGAAAGTGTAAAAATATTTTTCAGGCATACAAAAAAAAAAAGCAGGAAAATATGACCCATAACCAGGAGAAAAACAAATCAACCAACACAGAAATGACAATGATGATGAAACTAGCAGACAAGGATGATAAAACAGCTATGATAAATATGCTCCAAGTAGTAAAAAAGGTGGAGGAAGCCATGAGCATGATGAGAAGAAATAAAGATGTAAAAAATATTCATGGCCGGGCACGATGGGTCAAGCCTATGATCCCAGCACTTTGGGAGGCCAAGGTGGGTGGATCACCTGAGGTCAGGAGTTCGAGACCAGCCTGACCAACGTGGAGAAACCCCATCTCTACTAAAAATACAAAAAAAAAAAAAAAAAAAAATTAGCTGGGCGTGGTGGCACATGCCTGTAATCCCAGCTACTCAGGAGACTGAGGCAGGAGAATCGCTTGAACCTGGGAGGTGGAGGTTGCAGTGAGCTGAGATCGTGCCATCGCACTTCAGCCTAGGCAACAAGAGCGAAACTCTGTCTCAAAGAAAAAAAAATATATATATGTATATATTCACATGGAATAGTTGAGATGAAACATTAAATATTAAATGAAAAACATACTAAGTGAGATTAATAGTAGGTTAGACTGAAGAAGAAAAGATAAATGAACTTGAAGACATAGCAACAGAAATCATCCAAAGTGAAACATGGAGAGAAAAAGATGGGGGGAAAAAAGAGCAGAGTGTCAGTGACCCATGGGACAATAACAAGTAGTCTAACATGCATATAATTGGAATACTAAAAGGAGAGGAGAGGGGAGGGGCAGGAAAAGTATTTGAAGTAATAATGGCTGAAAAATTTCAAGTTTGATGAAAACTCTAAGCCCATAGAACCATGACCCTCGGTGAACTACAAGCTGAATAAAACCAAAAGAGAAGCATGCAAAGGCACATAATAATCAAATTGCAAAATCAAGTGAAAGGAAAAAAATCTTTAAAAAGCCAGAAGAAAAGACACGTTATGTACATAGGAGAAAAGGTAAAAATACTGGAAGAGGCTGGGTGTGGTGGCTCACACTTGAAATCCCAGCACTTTGGGAGGCTGAGATGGGAGGATTGCTTGAGCCCAAGAGTTTGAGACCAGCCTAGGTGAGACCCTGTCTCTCCAAAAAAATAAAAAAATTAGGCCAGACGTGGTGGCTCACGCCTGTAATCCCAGCACTTTGGGAGGCCAAGGTGGGCGGATCATGAGGTCAGGAGATCGAGACCATCCTGGCTAACACAGTGAAACCCCGTCTCTACTAAAAACACAAAAAATTAGCTGGGCATGGTGGCAGGCGCCTGTAATCCCAGCTACTTGGTAGGCTGAGGCAGGACAATGGCGTGAACCCGGGAGGCAGAGCTTGCAGTGAGCCGAGATAGCGCCACTGCACTCCAGCCTGGGCGACAGAGCGGGACTCCGTCTCAAAAAAAAAAAAAAAAAAAAAAAAGCCGGGTGTGTTGGTGTGCACCTGTAGTCCCAGCTACTAGGGAGGCTGAGGTGGGAGGATCACTTGAGCCTGGGAGGTCGAGGCTGCAGTGAGCTGTGGTCACGCCACTGCACTCTACCCTAAGTGACAGAGTGAAACCGTCTCAAAGAAAGGAAAAAAAAAAACCAACACAGAAGACTTATTGTCAGAAACTGCACACTAGAAGATGGTAGAGAGAGATCTTTAAAGTAATAAAAGGAAAAAAGCCCAGAATTCTTTACAGAGGAAAAATATTCTAAAAGTGGAGAAATAGACTTTTTCATGTATTTGAAAACGGAGAACATTGATCACTGAAAGCTTTCACTACAAGAAATGCTAAAGGAAGTTATTCAGGCAGAAGAAAATGGTACCAGAGGGAAATCTGGATGTCTACATAAAGGAGTAAAGAGAATCAGAACTGATAACTATGGGTAAATGTAAACAACTTTTGTTCTCAATTAAACATTTATTTATTTTTATTTTTATTATTATTATTTTTTTGAGATGGAGTCTTGCTCTGTTGCCCAGGCTGGAGTGCAATGGCGCAATCTCAGCTCACCGCAACCTCCACCGCCCGGGTTCAAGCGATTCTCCTGTCTCAGCCTCCCGAGTAGCTGGAATTACAGGCATGCGCCACCACGCCTGGCTAATTCTGTATTTTTAGTAGAGACGGGGTTTCTCCATGTTGGTCAGGCTGGTCTCAAACTCCTGACCTCAGGTGATCCACCCGCCTCGGCCTCCCAAAGTGCTGGGATTACAGGTGTGAGCCACCGCGCCGGGCCTATTTTTGTTTTTGTTTTTGTTTTTTTTTTTTTTGAGATGGAGTCTCACTCTGTCGCCCAGGCTGGAGCACAGTGGCGTGATCTCGGCTCACTGCAGACTCTGCCTCCCGAGACATTTCTTTAAAAGATAATTGTTTAAAGTAAAATAACAGCATTGTACTGCGGAGTTCATAGCATACACAGAAGAGAAATGTATGACAATAGCACAAAGGCTGGGAGAGGTGAAATGGAAGTACAGTATACTGTTTTAAGGTTCTTACACAATGTGCGAATTGGCATGTTTTTATTTGAGGTGAGACTGGGGTGAAGCTGTCTGCTGTAAAACTTAGAACGAATTCAAGACCTGGTGCAGGAACTGCACAAGACCGGCCTAGAATATCTCGTCACTCCAGATAGCCAGTGTGAGCCTGTGAAACTGCGTTTGTTAATTAACAAAAGAACAAAGTGCTGAGAAACCCTCTTTTCTCTAATCACAACTCTCGGAAACTTTGTATTTGAAATCATATCGGCAAGAAGGAAACGTTATATTCTTCCCCCAGGAACTGAGCCTTTCAGTACAGAAAAGCAGCCTTCATTTCAAAGCCAGGTGCTGGTGTCAGATAAGGGGTTTTGGAAAACAAAATTCCACAACTCTCCTCATTTTGTACTTTCCATGGAAACAGGATCCTGAATCCGTTTCTCAGCCTAGGCCTGATGTTAATTCCTTTACACTTTGCCCTGTGGCCCTGCCTTGCTTTGAAGTCTATCAGACCCTGCTTCATTTACATTATACTGGAATCTGCCCTTTTCTGTCATCCTACAGTACCCTATTTGTTTCTTCGTTTGGTGACTCCTCCTGCGCCCCCAACCACCCACAGGTCCTTTGGTGTGCAGTTTCCTTTGCTGTGGTAAGTTAATAGATCTGACCGTCAGACTGCTAGTGTGTCCTTGTGGTCTTTATAAGATGGACTTGATCACAAGTAAGCTATCAAAGGTTACCAGGGATATGTAAAATAAGGCTCAAGGGTCATATTAAAGAAGCTCCACCTAGCCACGGATGGGACAATTTCAGTTTCCTTAAGCATAAAGATCGTAATGAATGCAAATTCATTAAATATAGTTAAATCCATGCATTTTTAATGATACAAAAATTATTTCGTCGGCCGGGTGCGGTGGCCCATGCCTGTAATCCCAGCACTTTGGGAGGCCGAGGTGGGTGGATCACCTGAGGTCAGGAGTTTAAGACCAGCCTGACCAATATGGTGAAACCCCCGTCTTTACTAAAATTACAAAAATTAGGCAGGCGTGGTGGCGTGCACCTGTAATCCCAGCTACTTGGGAGGCTGAGGCAGGAGAATTGTTTGAACCTGGGAGGTGGAGGTTGCAGTGAGTCAAGATCACGCCACTGCACTCCAGACTGGGCGACAGAGTTAGACTCCATCCAAACTAAAGAACAAAAAAATTATTTGATCACAATTTGGGGAGATAGGACAATAGATCATTATCTTCCAGATTCATAAATAAAGAAAAATCATCAAGCCTGTATTCTGTCTTTCCTATATGCACTGTACTGCTAAGAAATCAAATAGTAGACAATGAGGAGTATCTTTTTCATATGACTGTTCCAGCTAAATAAAGAATATCACTTAACAGAATATTATCATTTTGAAATGGCCAAAAAATTAATGGATCTAGGCTTTGAGCATCATTGATTCCTATTGTCCTAAAAGACAGACAACCAGATATTATGTGCCTCCTAATGAAAGAACATATCACCACTGAAAGTTCTGCCAAAATGGGAGAACTTGAGCCTGATCAAACCTCTGGATACAGGTGCTGATTTGCAGGAAATGCAGAGGTCAGAGGAACACATTGAATTTTACCTTGAGTATGCAATCAGCAAAATTTATATTGTGGAAAGTTATAGATCAAATGACTTATGTTTTTTCAACAGATAACTTGTAAAGATAAGAAAGGGATGAAGATGGAACCAGTAAATTAAAAAATTCAAGGAATCTAAAGAGATATCAGATTTTAACAGTATAAATAGGGTGTCTAGGGATGCCCCCCTAGCAATGAGACTGTAAAGGAATGCAAAGAACTGATTGCTATAAAAGTCAGGAGAGTGCTTAATTTGGGGGATGAAGACAATTGTGATGGATGGAATAGGTGGAGACGTTTTCGGAGTGACTGTCAATGCTCTGTCCATTGACCTGAGTGGTGGTTACAAAGATGTGCACTTATAACCTCCATTAAGCTGCACACTTGTATTATGTGGTGTGCAGCATCTGTGATTCTGTGTTTTAGTTTACAAAAAGATAAGGAAAAAGCCACCATTTAACAACAAAATCTCAATTTTTAATTTAAGAGTGTCAAGAGGAACTATTGGTGAGTGAAAGGAATGACACTCATACACTTTTTTAGCATCTGTGGAGCCTACTGAGCAATAACTTACACATTTTAAAACTATACACAGTCTTTACCTAGCAATTCCTTTCCAGATGTCTACACCAGGGAAATACTCACATGTATAGACTGAGAGGCCTATACACTGGAGATAAAACTATAAATGAGTGAGACACCTACCCTCAGAGAACTTCCAGTCTAATGAGGGGAGAAAGAGCCATTAAAAAATAGATACCCAGATATTTGATTAACTAGAGTATGATAAAAATTATAAAGAACGAACTCAGGGTGCTGTGAGGATGTATAATGGAAGGGCAGGTGTCCCACCTAAATCTCATCTCTGCTGGGTTTCTGGGCTTTACATATGTCTCCTGAATTCCCACAATTAACCTAACGGTGAGTATGACAATATTTTGAAAATATTGAAGTGATGCATATTTCAATCCCCTTTAATCATAAAATCCATTGGTTGTCAAAAAGCAGAATTGGGCAGAGTTTCTGGGTTTTGGGGGAATGGTGAACAACAGAACAGCAAACTCATTGCTCAGCTTAAATGAGATAAGGGTTGTGCATGGAAAGACCATTTTAAGGACCAACATTTGTTAAGGAAGTTCAGGGATTTCCAAATTTCAAAGAGCTCCTTTATACATTATTAGATGAACCTGGGGGGTTCAGACAATACCACTTCATCATAAGCTATAGGAGGCTAAGGCTGAGGGTCCAGCTAAAGTAGCTTCCATTTAACCTCTGTCACCACTACCATACCCAACAGGAAGTAGAGGGGAAATACTCTGCCCATAATTTCTGGGGAAGCTGGAAGTTTAAATCCAGCTCCCGCAGCAGCAGCAGTGGGCCTGAGAGCCCTGCTAGAACCCATGCCTCATTCTGCCAGCCTGATGGTGGACCCACCAACAAGCTAGGGACAAAGGCCTTTCGTGTGTCTCCTGCTAGCAGTCTACTGGTTGACCTGAACACTCAGGAAGTAGAGATAATTAATGTGAGAAAGGTAGGGGCAAGAGAGTCTCTTGCTATGAATACCCAGATTGGTCGAAAGAAATTGCCAACGCAGAAGACACTTACTCTCTGCCTCTTAGAGCATAGCTCAGGGAAACTGGTAGCTCTTCAGAGAAATTCTTATCTTTAGCATGGATATAGCACTGCATGGTGCTACCTGAAGGGGGATTAGAAATGGCTAAGGGAAGTGGCTGAGCATCACTGTCAGCTCTCTGTTGAATAAAATAGACCCAGAAGGTCCCCAGGTTCCCTTGTCTCTGGCTGAGATAGGAAAACCAGTGAGGGACCTGCCAAGAGTACACCCCTAGTGCAGAAGGCAGTAAGGGAGGGTGTGAACAGCCTTAACTTGGGGACCAGATGGAAGATCTGGCTGAGATGAAGGGTCGAGTCAGTGGGGACCCCAAAAGGGCTGAGAGATTTCATCAGTCATGAAATCCAGTAGTAAGTGCTAGCAGGACGCTACTAACCACATCCAACGAGGGTCGTGATCCCAGAAGTCAGTAAGGGTCCAGCACAGGACCTGACCCCACCTCCTTATGTTCCTATCCCAGGACCCTTGCACTTGCTGTTTTCCCCAGCTTGAATTTCCTTCCCTCCATAGCCACATGCTCACACCGGTTGTTCCCTCAGGTCACAGTGAGACATTCCATGAACAACCCCTTAAAAATGGCAAAGACCGGGCATGGTGGCTCAAGCCTGTAATCCCAGCACTTTGGGAGGCTGAGGCAAGCAGATTGCTTGAGGTCAGGGATTCAAGACCAGCCTGGGCAACATGGCCAAACCGTATCCTACTAAAAATACAAAAATTTGCCAGGCGTGGTTGCAGGCGCCTGTAATCCCAGTTACTTAGGAGGCTGAGGCATGAAAACTGCTTGAATCCGGGAGGTGGAGGTTGCAGTGAGCTAAGATCGTGCCTCTACACTCCAGCACTCCAGCCTGGGTGACAGAGCAAGACCCTGTCTCCAAAAAAAAAAAAAAAAAAAAAGCAAATGACCTTCCCCTTCCCCTGGTGTTCACTATTTCCTTTCCTGCCTATTCTGCTCACTGTACTCATTATCTGACATACCATATGTTTCATTTATTTTTCAAATTCTTTGGGTCCTCCAGTAGAAGGTAAGCTCCAAGAGGACAGAGATTTTGCTTATCTTGTTTTGTTCCCAGTTCTACCTCTAGCACCCATCACAGTGCTTGGAACAAGAAATCCATTCAACTGTATTTACTGAATGAAGCAATTAATTATTTGATGACATATCAAGTTACTTTTCCCTGTAACCAGATACTATCCCAGGAAAGAGAAAGGGTGATGGAAGAAAGAGACATGCTGAAAGACTCAACACTTATTCAAAAGAGATTGAATTAGCTTAGAAATCATTTTAAAACAGAAAAGACAAATATTGAACTGCTGAGTTCAGGCCCAGCCCCTATGTGCCTTGTCACCCTGGGTTGTAAGTGCTATTTAACTGTCTCCCCTAGTTTGCTCCCCTGGTGCCATGTCATTTATCTCTGTAGTCCTGCTCCTCCCACCACTAACTCCCACAGTCAGGATGGAAGTTCCTGGGAAAGTTTGGTGAGTTAGAGAAAATAGAGAAGCCATATTTCTTTTGCAGACCAAAATTTCAGTGTGTTCAATGTTGTTCCCTCAACCTGATATTATTACACACTTGATGTTATTGCAGTTTGAGAAATGAGGAAATTGATACTCTGAGCAGCTGAGCTTCTTGTTGGGGCTCACAGAGTCAGAAAATGATGGGGCAGGTTTTAACCCGGGGTCTGGGCTTTCCTCCCTACTCCAGGTGAGTGGTGTTTTAGGGCCTCAGGAAGACACAAGGACGGAGGTCAGCTTGTTTAGGAAATTCACACGTTTCTGACTCTGTAGAAAGGTTAGCCGACAGCCTTAGGGTGGGTGGAAACTTCTGCCAGATGAGCAGGAAGGGATAGGTGGCTCATGCTGGAATTGGTGGGTGGTAGGTCTGACCAGGGTCTTTCTCTGTTTAAACCTTCCCATGGGTCCCTCACCTGGCATTTGAGGCCCACTGAGACCTGGAGCTTGAATGCTTCCTCAGCTTTACCCCCGCCTCTCTCCTAACCCACCCCTCCATGTTATGCAGGTCCCCGACACTCCCATGCTCTCTCCCGCATCCAACCTTTGCATAGGCTGACCTCTCTGCCTGGGACACCCTTCTGCTTTCCCCTCTCCTTCCTTTTCTATTTTCGACTCACTTTTTAGGACTCAGGATATCCCTCCAGGAGGACTCTCCTTTCCCTCAGCCTGGGCTGGACCATGTGTACCCAGCCCCCTGGTTTCCCACTGCCACAGCCGTGTCACCCTGGGTTATAAATGCTATTTAACTGTCTCCTCCAGTTAGTTCCCCTGGCACCATGTCATTTATCTCCGTGGTCCTAGCTTCCAGCGCAGAGTCTGGCACAGAGACAGCTAAGTACAAATGAGCTTTCTCTCCCATTAAGGTAGCTGTGATCTTCACAAAGCTTCGTTCATTCTGGGGACTATTTTGCAAAAGGGCCATACCTGCCTCTCCTCTTTCCTGCTTCTCTTGCTCACCCCTCCCACTCCTCCTCACACACTAGGCCACCCCCACATGCTCCCTGGAGCTGGGCAGGAAGAGGAGGGATGGAGCCGCTGAGAGAGCAGCTCTGGATGTTGTAGTTGTCATCTATCAGCTGGCACCTGCTGCTGGTGAGGCGCCTCCTGCCTCCTATACGTGGTGCTAGATGACAACCTGCAGCCCATCCTTCTAGCCCTTGGGATTCTCTGACCAGGCCTTAGTCTCTAAGCCCTGCCCCTTCCTTAAGGAGGTTCAGGTTACCTGGAGTCAGCTGGGATAAGAGCAGCAGCACAGTCAAAGTCAGCAAAAGGAGCTTCATGGCTAAGGCAGCCCAAAATGAAGCTGCAAGTCCGATGCCACGGCTGAGCTAATGGGAGAAGGAGAGTGCCTGGCCTGTGGCTCGCACTCCCTCAGCTGCCCACGGGTACAGCCCTCACACTCTGACTGGACACCCCTCCCTTTGTCATTTAGGTCAGCAGGGAGAGGACAGCCAACAAGGTCCAGGGCCCAAGACTTAATATACTACCCGTTCCTTCCACCCAGCTCCAAACTGCCTGAACCCAGTGACCAGCAGGAGGCGCCACAAACACCGGCTCCGGAAGGTCAGGGAAGACGGCAGAGTTTTGAAGAATAAATACAAAGCAACAGGTAGATGAGCTGAAATGGGGTTCCAGGTGGAGGAATGTCTGTACAAAGGCTCATGTTGGTGTTGAAAATGAGAAATATGACATAACCAGAGCAAAAACTGAGAGGAAAACGGCAGAAAGAGATGAAGCTCCGAGCACCAGCCTGTCTGTCACAGCCCCCTGCTGGGTTCTAACATGCGGTGGCCCTCCCCCTAGGGTCATCCTTCCGCTTCCTCAGAGATCTGAGAACCAACCACTCAGAATCCTTCTTCTGAACTCGGGTTTTGAAAACTCATTCTTGGCCGGGCACGGTGGCTCACGCCTGTAATCCCAGCAGTTTGGGAGGCCAAGGTGGGTGGATCACTTGAGGTCAGGAGTTCGAGACCAGCCTGGCCAACATGGTGAAACCCCATCTCTACTACAAATACAAAAAGTAGCCAGGTGTGGTGGTGCATGCCTATAATCCCAGCTACTTGGGAGGCTGAGGCAAGATAATCGCTTGAACCTGGGGAGGCTGTGGTGAGCCGAGATCGCGCCACTGCACTCCCGACTGGGCGACAGAGCAAGACTCTGTCTCAGAAAAGAAAAGAAAAGGCATCTCTTTCCTTTAGTTCCCTCAGCCCTCGGGTGGTAGCTGCATCCTGTAGTTACTGTTTCTCTGACTGGACCCTGCTTGAAACAGATGTCAAGGGTATAATAGCATACAGAGGGATTACAAGGGAAAAACAACAACAACAACAACAACAGTGAAAGCCATTTCTGTAGGGGCAGAAAACAGTCAATGGGGTTGAAAACTGAAAGGTAAGTGAAACAGTGAGGTCAGCAAGTGTAAATAATTCTTTCTAAAACCCTTACAATGAAGAGAAGAAGAGACACTGGCTAGGAAGGGACTCAGTGGAAAGCCTGGAAGTCCACCTTTCCTGTGCTGTTCATTTTTGGTAAGGAGGCTCATTTCATTTCTTTTTTTTTCTTAATTTTAAAAACTATTTTTTATCTTTTTGTTTTTGTTGTTGTTTTGGATACAGGGTCTTGCTCTGTTGCCCAGGCCTGGAGAAATAATGTATCTGTTGGATTCTTTTCTCCCTAAAAGAAGAGATTTTCCCACTGCCTGAAATGCCAGGATATATGGAGGATTTTTGTATTGAGAGTGACAGCAGAGTTGAAAATATTGGGTAACTAGTCCTGACACTGCTACTAGCTTTCTATGTGACCTTGGAAGAATTACTTTTTTTTTTTTTCTGGGTCTCAATCTCTTCAATTAAGGATTTGGGGCAGATGTGCAGTAGGGATCAATATATCCATCATATTATATGGTTTTCTATATAAAAGACACAGAAAGTAAAAGAATGCAGCAATCCAGGTTTTCAACACCAAAACAGGGCAAGGTAATTGGGTTTTCAGATAAGGATTCTCTAGCCTGCCCTTATCAGCCCCCAAGTCTCTGAACCACTTATATCACAGGTCTTTTCTCTTGACCCCAACTCCCAAGTACACTGTGTGGGTCTTGCAAAATCATTGTCCATCTCTGGGCCTGCTCCTTGCATAGTCAATGTAGCAATTTTGCTCTTGTTTTGAAGCCTTTGTAGTCCTCCTGAGGACTCTGGAGTAGCTGTGTATCCACAATGGGCAGGGGATAAGGGAGATGTCAAGGGAGCAGAGGGAGACTTATATGTGCACCTCCAGGCACACCTCAGACATCAGACACCAGGCACACCTCAGACATCATGGCCTGTTCATGGTGAGTCAGAAGGGCCTACTTCTCAACCTCACCAGGAATCAAGGACAAACAAATTCAGATGACAGTGAGGTATCATTTCTCCAATCAAATTGCCAAGAAAAAAAAATATATATATATATATATATAGAGAGAGAGTTGGAATCTTGCTCTGTTGCCCAGGCTAGAGTGCAGTGGTGCGATCCTGGTTTACTGCAACCTTTGCCTCCCGGGTTCAAGCAATTCTTGTCCCTCAGCCTCCTGAGTAGCTGGGACTACAGGCACGCACACCACCATGCCCGGCTAATTTTTGTATTTTTAGGCCAGGTGTAGTGGCTCATGCCTGTAATCCCAGCACTTTGGGAGGCCGAGGCAGTCAGATCACTTGAGGTCAGGAGTTTGAGACCAGCCTGGCAGATATGGTGAAACTCCATCTCTACTAAAAAAAAAAAAATTAGCCAGGCCTGGTGGCATGTGCCTGTAATCCCAGCTACTCAGGAGGCCGAGGCAGGAGAATTGCTTGAACTCGGGAGGCGGAGGTTACAGTGAGCCAAGATCGCACCACTGCACTCCAGCCTGGGAGACAGAACGAAACTCCATCTCAAAAAAAAAAAAAGAAAAAAAGTAATTTTCGTGTTTTTAGTAGAGACGGGGTTTCACCACGTTGGCCACGCTGGTCTCGGACTCCTGATGTCAAGTGATCCGCCTGCCTAAGCCTCTCAAAGTGTTGGGATTACAGGTGTGAGCCACCACACTAGCCAAGAGTATTATTTTATTGATGATCCTAGACTTTTCTAGGATGTAGGGAAAGAACGATACCTTGATCATAGAAATCCAAATCCAAATCCAGACTTTTTGGAAGTTGTTTGTCAATATCAAATCCTTAAAACATGCAGGCCCTGCAATCCAGAAACTTCACTTCTAAGGCTTTGTAATGGACCTTTGCATGCTCAGCAGTGATTTCCTTTTCTTCTAGTGACAGCCCCTTAATTTTCCTTTGGGGAGCCAAATCGCCTTCACTCTCAGCTCAAGATATTCGGGTAGGGTTCCCATCTTGCTTTTAGATTTTGCATTCTCTACTGAGCTGCTAGACTTACCTTTTATTTTTTATTATTTATTTAATTATTATTATTATTTTTTGAGACAGAGTCTCGCTCTGTTGCCCAGGCTGGAGTGCAGTGGTGCGATCTTGGCTCACTGCAACCTCTGCTTCCCAGGTTCAAGCAATTCTCGTGCCTCAGCCTCCTGAGTAGCTGGGATTACAGGCACACACCACCATGCCAGCCAATTTTTTTTGTATTTTTAGTAGAGACAGGGTTTGGCCATGTTGGCCAGGTTGGTCTCAAACCCTAGGCCTCAAGTGATCCTCCTGCCTTGGCCTCCCGAAGTGCTGGGAGCCCCCGTGTGAGCCACAGGCATAAGCCACCGCACCTTTTAAAAAGATGAATTTTTAAAGACTCACCTTTTAAAAATATGAATTAGATGTTGATTTATCTGATGGCTATCTTTGCACTAGGATACATTCCTACTCTTTCTGCTGGTCTGCACGATCTGGTTGCTGCATACTTCTCTGACCTCATCTCATAGCAATTGCTCCTCTCCCACTACTCTTCAGCCACGCTGGCTCTCCTTCTTTCCTTTAAATGCACGAATCGTGTTCCTACTTCAGGACATTTGTGCTTGCTATTTCCTTTGCGTGCAATATTCTTCCTGATTTTCTTGTGACTGGTTCCTTCCTCCCACTCATGTTTTAGCTCAAATAGGAAACTCCTGGGAGAGTTTTTCCTAACCACTAATTCTGATGTCACAAATTGTCACTCCATATTGACTTTACAGAGCCCCTATTAGATGCTGGTTCTGAAGAATAAACTTTGAAGTCAAGACAGACTTGGGTTAAGTGCTTGATCTTCCATTTGTGAACTTTCTGACATTGTATAAATTGCTTAACCTCTGTGGACTTAAAGTTTTCATCAGTAAAAAGAGATCTTAAAGTTACCTATTTCACTGAATTATCACAGGGAATAATGTATGTAAAAGGCTTAGGACAATACATGAATTGTTTATTATTAATAAACTATAACATCATAATAATCATTTAATAAATCTGACATGTAGAAATAGTACAGAAAGCATTATCTTATGACAATACCTGAGAGTTCACCTGAGAAGACTTGAATGTTTAGGGTGGTGGGATCTGGAAGCTTTTTCACTCATGGGTGGCACCTGAAGGCTGGGTTTATCTGGGGCTGTCAACCAAAGCACCCACATGATCCTTCCATGTGGCTTGGGCTTCATGCAGAGTAGCAGGACTTCTTACATGGGATCTCAGGGTCCAAGAGTGAGGGTTACAGCAAACAAACAGGAGATTGTATGACCCTTTTAGATCAAGCCTTGAAAGCATCACTTCTGCTGAACTCGATTGGTCAAAGTAGTCACAAGCATGCCTGGATTCAAGGAGAGGGAAATTTCTTCCCTTGATGGAGGCATATCAAATAATTGTCAATTATGGCTTTTTTTTTTTTTTTTAAATAGACTCTCTCTCTGTCTCTCAGGCTGGAGTACAGTGGCATAATCTCGGCTCACTGCAACCTCTGCCTCCCAGATTGAAGCAATTCTCCTGCCTCAGCCTCCCCAGTAGCTAGGATTACAGGCATGCATCACCATGCCCAGCAATTTTTGTATTTTTAGTAGAGACGGGGTCTCACCATGTTTGCCGGGCTGGTCTCGAACTCCTGACCTCAGGTGATCCTTCTGCCTCGGCCTCCCAAAGTGCTGGTATTACAGGCGTGAGCCACCACATCCGGCCATTTTCAGTTATGTTTTAAAACCACCTCAGACATGTTAGACATTCAAATGGAGGTATCATGTTAGATATGTTAAGAGTCAGAAAAACTTGGAGAGGAGCTTCAGGCTATCAATATAAATTTTGGAGTTTTCAGGGTATAGAGGTATTTAGAACCATATGGCTGGGTAAGATCCAGTAGGTGTGGCCATGCAAGTCAGTTCTAACAGCGGGATGTGAACTGGAGTGATGTGTATGGCTTCCTGGTCATATTCTTACAAAAGGTACCTGCTTGCCCTACATTTCTTTTTCCTTTCCCATTGTTTTGGGGAATCAAGAAAACTGGAGTAGCCACTTATTAAAAAAAGGGATGAAAGTTATCTGTGGAGAATGATAAGCTGTCTCATTATCCCTGGGCTACTTACCTCTGAACCATCATGCGAGAAGAAAATATACTTTCTTCTTATTTAAGTCATTGTATTTTGATTTTTAAAAAATTATAGCAACTTAACTCATACACTACTTGGTTTTTATAACATTAAGTGATGCAACAAGCAGAAAAGAAAGCTAAATTGGGGAACCTTTAGTGGAGACCCCTCTGTGTAAATCTTGGGCTTCAAAGGGCTATGACATCAGTGTGAAGGTGAATTAGAAATAAGAATACATGCCCCATTGAGAGAATCATAGAGAAAATGGCCTATCTTGAGTCTCGACACTGAATAGAGATGGGGGAAGGACTTGTAAATATAATTAAACCCTCACATGGGCTTGCAGACAAAATTCGCATACCTAGATGATACCCAAATCCTTTTTTTTTGAGACGGAGTGTCACTCTGTCGCCCAGTCTGGAGTGCAGTGGTGCCATCTCGGCTCACTGAAACCTCTGCCTCCTGGGTTCAAGCGATTCTCCTGCCTCAGCCCGAGTAGCTGTGATTATAGGCATGCGCCACGATGCCTGGCTAATTTTTGTATTTTCAGTAGAGATGGGGTTTCGCCATGTTGGCCAGGCTGGTGTCGAACTTCTGACCTCCTCAGGTGATCTGCCTGCCTCAGCCTCGCAAAGTGCTAGGGTTACAGGCGTGAGTCACCGTGCCTTCTCTCTCTCTCTTTTTTTTTTTTGAATGCTGTTACTATTTATTGACATCAAAACAAAACAAGCTGAGACTAAAAGTTGCTATTTATTTATTTATTTATTTATTTAGATGGGAGTTTCGTTCTTGTTGCCCAGGCTGGAGTGCTATGGTGCCATCTTGGCTCACTGCAACCTCCACCTCCCAGGTTCAAGCGATTCTCCTGCCTCAGTCTCCTGAGTAGCTGGGATTACAGGCATGTGCCACCACACCCAGCTAATTTTGTATTTTTAGTAGAGACAGAGTTTCTCCATATTGGTCAGGCTGGTCTCGAACTCCCGACCTCAGGTGATCCTCCTGCCTCGGCCTCCCCAAGTGCTGGGATTACAGGCATGAGCCACCACTCCCGGCCCTAAAAATTGCTATTTAACAGGAACAGACATTGGTGCAGTTTCCTTCCTGGAGAAGAGATGCACTCAGGTCATGAGATCTAAGATCAAACATACACTGGATTGTCAAGAGTCAAACAAGGCCTACATTTTACCTCTTAATAGAAAAAATGTTGAAGACAAAACGAGATGTTTAAAATATTCTTTATGCTAAGCTCATGTAAGCAAACACAAAACTAAAACTAATCCTAAAACTTTAAGACACTGGATACAGAAGTAACGTGACTATTTAAATTTTTGCATCAATGAAAGTTTGTTCTACCCTTCACTGTACTTGTACTAAAAGGACATGCTTGTTGCTTCTACACTACACAAAGTCAACAGTTATCATCAACAATGCAATAGAACTAGATCAGAACAAGACTTCAAAACGACTCTGTTCCACCCAAACTAAGAAAATTCAATTCAGGATGAACAACAGCTTTTGATTTTAGAACCAGCTCTTATTTTCCTCTCATCTGAGGCTCAACTGGGGAAGGATATGTTTCTTTTTTTTTTTTTTTCTTTCCTTTTTTTTGAGATGGAGTCTCACTCTTCGCCCAGGCTGGAGTGCAGTGGCACGATCTCCGCTCACTGAAAGCTCCGCCTCCCAGGTTCACGCCATTCTCCTGCCTCAGCCTCCCGAGTAGCTGGGACTACAGGCGCCCGCCACCATGCCCGGCTGATTTTTTGTATTTTTAGTAGAGACTGGGTTTCACTGTGTTAGCCAGGATGGTCTCGATCTCCTGACCTCATGATCCGCCCGCCTTGGCCTCCCAAAGTGCTAGGATTACAGGCATGAGCCACTGCGCCCGGCCGGGGAAGGATACGTTTCTATGCTCATGTGGTTGTTGGCAGCCTGCAAGTCATTATAGGTTGTAAGACCCAGGGTCTCAGTTTTTTGCCAGATGTTTGTGGGAGTGTTCTCAGTTTCTTGTCATGTGTGCCTCCCTAACGTGGTCACTTGCTTCATCAAAGTCAGCAAGGGAGAGGGACTTCTAGCAAGATAGATTATAATCTTATGCAATGTAATCCAGACATTCCATTCCATCACCTTTGCCACCTGTATTCTGTTGGTTAACAGCAAGTCACAGATCCTACCTACACTCAAGGGAAGGAGATCTCAAATGCATGAGTAACAGGAGGCAGGGATAAGGGGAAAGACTCCTAGAGTCTCTCCATCACAGTCAAGAAATCATTTTAGAAAGTGATAAACAGGATAGAGTAGGATAAAATAGACAAGAAGACATTGCTTTCTGTAAAAGCAACTCATGTCTCATAGAACTTTTGGTTCAATCAATCAATAATTGAATTCAATGATAATAATTCAATATATGTATATCACATATTATGATTTCTATGTCATTACATATACCATAATATATATATCTTGATCACTATGTAAAAGATATTGTGTCATGGTCAAAAAGATTTTGAAAAACATACCATTAGCTATATAAATAGAAGGCGTAACTTTTAAAATAGCAGAAGGGAAAAGTGGAATGAGAAAAACAATTCAAATATGAGATCAAGAAAGGAGAAAAAAAGAAACACAAAAACATGACTTTTCCTGCCTCCTGTCTTCCTGTCTTATAGTCTGAAATTTCTTTCAAGGCAATAAGGTGGGGCAATCACAGAGCCCACATTGTTTATTTATCATATCTCAAGAAACACTGTCCTCCATTCCTCAATGTCTAATGTTTTAGAAAGTATCGATTTATATTTTCTGCCTGATTGTTTAGTTGTTTCAGGTGGGAAGATCAATATAGTCCCAGTCACTCCATCTTGGTCAAGAGTGAAAGTCCCAGTCCCAGATAGTTTACCCACAAGTTCTACCAAACATTTGTGGGACAAATAATAAATAATAATAACAAAAATTTCACTTCACACAAATTTTTCCAGAGAAGATGAAAAGGAGTATTTCCCCTAAGAAAAATCATGTTTGCTCTCCCAGTTCTTCCAGTGGTTTGAGACACTGGCATACACTTTTTGCCGGATGTGCTTTTCTCCAATATCAGTGCTCAAGACACAGTGAAGCAAATTAAAAAAAAAAAAAAAAATCCCTGAATGGTGATTAGAGACATCACCGCTAAAAAACTACATTTATAAGCTAGGATTTGTTGTATGCAAATATTTTCTGCCTCTTCTTTTGTTCTGTTTAAAACAATAAAATGCATTTGTATAAATAATGCTTTAAAAAAAAGAAAAGAAAAGGAGTATTTCCCCATTCATTTTATGAGACCAGCATAACTTGACTGTAAAACCTGAAGAGTACAGAATTAGGAAAGCCAATCTCACTTAGAAACATAGATGTGGAAATCTTAGATGGAACACTGGCACAGCAAGTCCAGAAAATGTAAAAATGTCAATACTTTGTGACTAAGTTGGGTTTATCCTAGGAATGCAAGTTGGATTTAAAATTAGAAAATCAGTTAATATAATTTGCCAAATTAACACTTTCTGGTTAAAAATAAAAAACAATATTAATAGCACTTTAAATTTAAATTTAATTTAATTTAATTTATTTCGAGACAGAGTCCCGCTCTGTCGCCTAGGCTTGAGTGCAGTGGTGTGATCTTGGCTCACTGCAACCTCCGCCTCCCAGGTTCAAGTGATTCTCCTGCCTCAGCCTCCTGAATAGCTGGGATTACAGGTGCCCACCACCACCTCACCTGGCTAATTTTTGTATTTTTAGTAGAGATGAGGTTTCAATATGTTGGCCAGGATGGTCTCGAACTCCTGACCTAAGGTGATCCACCCGCCTCGGCCTCCCAAAGTGCTGGGATTACAGGCGTGAGCCACCGTGCCCGGCCAATAGCATTTTTAAACATCACAAATTAAAATAAGATACAATTTATAAAAGCACACCATTGACTTTTGGGTAAAAATAGTGGATTGAATACAAATATTTTTAGTTATTTGCTCCCCAACCCCACTTAAGCGACAGCAATTATAGCAACATTTTTTTAAAAGTCATAAACCAATAAATATGAGGAGAATGAAATAGAGGACACAACAATTTAGAAGATAGAAGGCAGCTGGATGAGCTGGAAATGAGTAAGCAGTCTAAAGAAAACTGAATTAAAGCTGGAAGTGGGGAAAACAAAGGACCGACCCAATTTAAACCACAAAATAAATAAGAGCTCAGAATCTAGTGGCACCATAAACATCTAGAAACAGGGAGAAATGTGGAAGAGTTAAAATAAGGAGGTTTGGTTGAAATAGTGTTTAAGAATCAATCCTTAGATACTCTATTCCTTCTCCTTTTCATGCAGGCAGCCATCACTCTATACCTATCATACTATACTACCCCAATCCTGAAAAAAAAAAAGACTTAACGGCTTTTGTAGCAAGGGTAAAACAGAGGCTCTCTGAACCTGGGGATTCCAAGCATCACTGAAGATAAACTTAGTAAGCAGAAAATGGGAGGATTAGCTGAAGCATGTATATTGGTTGCTGAGAAACTATTTAGCCCCCAGGCTTCATTCTCCACTTAGCTCTCAGAATTCCCAGCAGGAGATTAGCAGAGAAGCAGAAAAGATCCTAAAAAAACTGACACTGGCATTTCTCCACTAAATGGCCCAGTCAAATCACCTCACTGTCAATGTCACAATTGGTAAGCCCCGTTCGTGTGCTTAATCAGCATTTTAGTCTCTCACTCTTAAAAATTAACAAATATCAGCCAGGTGCAGTGGCTCATGCCTATAATTCCAGCATTTTGGGAGGCCGAGGCCAGCAGATTACTTGAGGTGAGGAGTTTGAGACCAGTCTGGCCACCATGGCAAAACCCTGTCTCTACTAAATATACAAAAATTAGCTGGGCATAATGGCAGACACCTATAATTTCAGCTACTCAAGAGGCTGAGGCAGGAGAATCACTTGAACCCAGGAGAAGGAGGTTGCAGTGAGCACCACTGCACTCCAGCCTGGGTGACAGAGCGACACTGTCTTAAAAAGCAAAGCAAAACAAAACAAAACAAACAAACAAACAAAGGAACCACAAATGTTGCCATTAAAGTATCTATTATGAAAATTAGATACCAAAACCAAACAGAACAAAATCATTCATTGAGTTTCTAATAAGCTTTGCAGTGAAACACTTTTATATATAAGTACATAATTAAGAATCATTAGTCATATGATCATTGATGAGAGGCAAACATCTAATGTAAAACAGATCAACCATCCAACCAACCAACAAACAAGTTATAGGAAATAGATTATGCAGACAGGAAAACATTATTAAAAGCCTCGCGAGAAATTAGAGATGCTACTACAACCATGAAACAAGAATAGGATACTACAAAAAGGAAAAGTTAGGGAATAAATAAGAACTCTTAGAAATAAAAAATATAATAGCAGAAAATGGAAAAGAAAGATTAATAGAAAAGCTGGAAGACAAATTTGATTAAAATTTTTGAGAAACTAGAGGAAAAAAGCCAAATGGATGGAAATCAGGAGAGAAAATACATAAAATTAGAGAATCAGTGCAGAGAGCCCAATATCTGGAAAATAAGAATTCTAGAAACAGGGAACAAAAAAATACAAAGAGGAGGAAGATATTACTAAAAATTATTTGAATATAGACAAAAATACGAATAGACAGTCCACAAAAAAAGGTAAAAAAGGGCGTTAAACATATGAAAAGATGTTCAGTTTCACTCATAATAAGAATTTAAAAAAAATTTGTCGTGGGTTGAATTGTGTCTTTCCCAAAATATATGTTCTAGTCCTAACACCAAGTGCCTGTGAATGTGACTTATCTGGAAATAGGATATTTGCAGATGTAATGAAGTTAAGATGAAGTCATGTTGGATAAGGGTGAGCTCTAATCCAGTGGCTGGTGTCCTTATAAGAAAAAAGAAATTTCAGCTGGGCGCAGTGGCTCATGCCTGTAATCCCTGCACTTTGGGAGGCCGAGGCTGGTGGATCATTTGAGGTCAGGAGTCTGAGACCAGCCTGGCCAACAGCGTGAAACCCTATCTCTACTAAAAATACAAAAATTAGCTGGGTGTGGTGGTAGGTGCCTGTAATCCCAGCTACTTGGGAGGCTGAGACAGGAGAATTGTTTGAACTCGGGAGGTGGAGGTTGCAGTGAGCTGACATCTCACCACTGCACTACAGCCTGGGCAACACAGTGAGACCCTGTCTCAAAAAAAAAAAAAAGAAAAAAAAAAAAAGAGAAATTTGGACAGAGACACACAGGGAGAATGCTGTATGACCACAGAGGCAGAGATTGGAGTTACGCCACTACAAGCCAATGATCATTTAGCAATCACCATGGACTAGGAGAGAAGCATGGAACAGATTTTCCCTCTGTGCCCTAAAGAGGAAGCAACACTGCCAACACTTTGATTTTGGACTTCTGACCTCCAGAACTGTGAGAGAAAATAATTTTTATTACTTTAAGCCACTCAGTTTGTTATGGCAAGTGTACTTTATTTATTTATTTTCTTTCAGATAATAAATTTATTATTGTATTATTTCTATTAAAAATAATGTAGTAAACAATTAGTCATAGGGAAAAACTTGTAGGAGGTACCAAGTTTCATCTCATGAAATTTAGTATGAAACTCAGAAATCAAGATAACAGGATACAGACCAGAGATATTCACTCTCAGGAATTTACCCTGCAGAAAGAGGAACTAATGTTTTATAAATTTATGTAACTCACCAATTATCTACAATATTTCCTCGTGGAAATGTATTCATTTTCTACAGCCAAAATCAAAGGAGATTTTCCCTATTATTTTCCTCTGTAGCATTCTAAAAGCTGAGCCTTGGAATTCTGTTTGAAATCACCTACAGAAAACACACCTGAGAAAATTCCTAAACTCTCTCTGGGAAAGAAAAAGGTAAGTAAGAATTTTTAACATAATGAAATATATGATTAGATATTAATATTTTTTGAAACCCACCACTTTTATGCCCTTTGTAAATGTTTTTGAACCTTTCTTTTTTTTTAATTTTTATTTTTTTTATTGATCATTCTTGGGTGTTTCTCGCAGAGGGGGATTTGGCAGGGTCATAGGACAATAGTGGAGGGAAGGTCGGCAGATAAACAAGTGAACAAAGGTCTCTGGTTTTCCTAGGCAGAGGACCCTGCGGCCTTCCGCAGTGTTTGTGTCCCTGGGTACTTGAGATTAGGGAGTGGTGATGATTCTTAACGAGCATGCTGCCTTCAAGCATCTGTTTAACAAAGCACATCTTGCACCGCCCTTAATCCATTTAACCCTGAGTGGACACAGCACATGTTTCAGAGAGCACAGGGTTGGGGGTAAGGTCACCGATCAACAGGATCCCAAGGCAGCAGAATTTATCTTAGTACAGAACAAAATGAAAAGTCTCCCATGTCTATTTCTTTCTACACAGACACGGCAACCATCCGATTTCTCAATCTTTTCCCCACCTTTCCCCCCTTTCTATTCCACAAAACCGCCATTGTCATCCCGGCCGGTTCTCAATGAGCTGTTGGGTACACCTCCCAGACGGGGTGGTGGCCGGGCAGAGGGGCTCCTCATTTCCCAGTAGGGGCGGCTGGGCAGAGGCGCCCCTCACCTCCGGGACGGGGCGGCTGGCCGGGCAGGGGGCTGACCCCCCCACCTCCCTCCCTGACGGAGCGGCTGGCCGGGCAGCGGGGCGCCTCACTTCCTAGTAGGGGCGGCCGGGCAGAGACGCCCCTCACCTCCCGGACGGGGCGGCTGGCCGGGCGGGGGGCTGAGCCCCCCACCTCCCTCCCGGACGGGGTGGCTGGCCCGGCAGAGGGGCTCCTCACTTCCCAGTAGGGGCGGCTGGGCAGAGGCGCCCCTCACTTCCCGGACGGGGCGGCTGGCCGGGCGGGGGGCTGACCCCACCTCCCTCCCGGATGGGGCGGCTGGCCGGGCGGGGGGCTGACCCCCCCCCACCTCCCTCCCGGACGTGGGGCTGACCCCCCCACCTCCCTCCCGGACAGGGCGGCTGGCCAGGCGGGGGGCTGACCCCCCCACCTCCCTCCCGGACAGGGCGGCTGACCCCCCCCCCCACCTCCCTCCCGGACGTGGGGCTGACCCCCCCACCTCCCTCCCGGACGGGGCGGCTGGCCGGGTGGGGGGCTGATTCCCCCACCTCCCTCCCGGATGGGGTGGCTGGCCAGGCAGAGGGGCTCCTCACTTCCCAGTAGGGGCGGCTGGGCAGAGGCGCCCCTCACCTCCCGGACGGGGCGGCTCGCCAGGCGGGGGGCTGACCCCCCCACCTCCCTCCCGGACGGGGCGGCTGCCGGGCAGAGGGGCTCCTCACTTCTCAGACGGGGCAGCTGCCGGGCGGAGGGGCTCCTCACTTCTCAGATGGGGCGGATGCTGGGCGGAGGGTCTCCTCACTTCTCAGACGGGGCGGCTGGGCAGAGACGCTCCTCACCTCCCAGACGGGGTCGCGGCCTGGCAGAGGCGCTCCTCACATCCCAGATGGGGCGGCGGGGCAGAGGCGCTCCCCACATCTCAGACGATGGGCGGCCGGGCAGAGACGCTCCTCACTTCCCAGATGGGATGGCTGCCGGGAAGAGGCGCTCCTCACTTCCTAGACGGGATGGCGGCGGGGCAGAGACGCTCCTCACTTTCCAGACTGGGCAGCCAGGCAGAGGGGCTCCTCACGTCCCAGACGATGGGCGGCCAGGCAGAGGCGCTCCTCACTTCCCAGACGGGGTGGCGGCCGGGCAGAGGCTGCAATCTCGGCACTTTGGGAGGCCAAGGCAGGCGGCTGGGAGATGGAGGTTGTAGCGAGCTGAGATCACGCCACTGCACTCCAGCCTGGGCACCATTGAGCACTGAGTGAACCAGACTCCGTCTGCAATCCCGGCACCTCGGGAGGCCGAGGCTGGCGGATCACTCGCGGTTAGGAGCTGGAGACCAGCCCGGCCAACACAGCGAAACCCCGTCTCCACCAAAAAAGTACGAAAACCAGTCAGGCGTGGTGGCGCGCGCCTGCAATCGCAGGCACTCGGCAGGCTGAGGCAGGAGAATCAGGCAGGGAGGTTGCAGTGAGCCGAGATGGCAGCAGTACAGTCCAGCTTCGGCTCGGCATCAGAGGGAGACAGTGGAAAGAGAGGGAGAGGGAGACCGAGAGGGAGAGGGGAGAGGAGAAAAGGGAGAGGGGAGAGGGGAGAGGGGAGAGGGGAGAGCGTTTTTGAACCTTTCAAGCTCTACTAATAAAATGCAATTTACAGTTTAAAAAATTGAAGTCAATATAAGTGAACAAATCTTTTCAAGGTGACAAAAACAAGTGTACTTTTATTATGGCAGTGCTAGGAAACTAACACTTCATGATAACCAATTTATTATGACAAAGGCATTAGTATATCTTTAGATGTTCATGATGCAATGAACAAGAGTGTTGTTGTTTCTGTTCAAATAGAAACAACTATACCCTTGTTCTTTCCCCATTTCTGAGGAAAGAAAAATCCACCATAGGCTATTTAGGCAAGGAAATTCTTAATGCATTCTCTTGCCTCTTTTTGGACACTGAGTTTACCTCTGAGCAATGAAAAAGAAACAAAATGTATTGAGTGTCCCATCCCATCTAACCCCATCTACAACTACAGCCAATTAAGTCACTGGAAAGAAGGCATTTGTGTTGCATCTTTAAAATCTTGAATAAATATTGAAAAAAGATACATTAAGAGTTAATGTTGAGTGATGCTACAAAGCAGGCCCCTATCATGCTCTGGACAACACAGAAACCCCTAAGGCTGAATATCCCTGTGGTCTGGACAGCATCAAGATTCTATGAAACCAACTGGAAGGAGAGATTCTGGGCTACCGATGGGAATGGTACTGAGGGACCATCTACACTTTGTCCAGAAGCATATCCAGACTGGAGTACCTTTATCTGGGTCTCCACCACATCCTAGTTGAAGGTGCTGGTGTTGTCAAAGGTAGAATCTGCCAGTGGCCAAACATGAACTGGGGGAAGGTGTGACAACCCCTGTAGCACCTAAGATGACAATAAACCCAAAGGACTCACTGATAGGTAGGCTGGCCTTTGCCACAAACATGGGAGATAGCTCCTGAGACTCCTCTTATGGTATCCTGAGGCTTCCTGTTCAGGATACCACAGAAGACCCCTACCATTTGTTCTGGACATTGCATTCTGGGCAAAAGTGAAAAGACAAGGATAGCCATTTGTTGAGAAACTAGGTCCTTGATCCTATGAAACTCTGGGATTATCATTATAAAAAAAGAGCTTCTTGTCAATTTGATAGGTGAAAAATATAGCTTGATGTCACTTTAATTCGTTGTTGTTGTTTTTAATTCCTGATGAGATTTGGCCCTAAGGAGTTTTGGTCCACCATGAACAGGTTGTGATGTCTGACATGTGCCCAGAGGTACACAGACAGAACAAGGTCTTCCCTGCTCTTTCATCAGTAGCTAATGGATCTCATGTCCAAAACAGCCTGCTGTGATGAGACCCCTTCAAGGGCTCTAGGGAGAATATTAAGCTTTTATAATAATCAGAGTAAAGTTTTGTGCTTTGACTATACAAGAAGCAGGCCCAAAGAGGGACTGTGTTTTGCAGGGACCATATAGCATATCAGGTGTAGGTATCAGGGGAAGAGGCCTCTGACCCCAGTGTGTAAAGAGAATTGGAGTCTGATAAGGGCAGCCCTGAGAATCCTAAGGTGTAAACCCAATGAGTGTTGCCTAGGCTGGGGCTGAAAACCTAGAGTTCCAGGCATTCCATTTTCCATGCCTTTTCACACCCAAAGAATCATAGTATATGAGGATTGAGTTAATCCCTACAGCCCATCTGCTCCAATCTGCTCATTGGTGAGATTAAAGCCCAGAGAAGGGAAGTGACTCTCCCAAGGTCACACAGCCACTAACTGGCACAGCCAGGACAACAAGCTGAATATTTCAGCTTGTCTTTTCTCACCCTCCATGCCAAAATGCTTCCTGAAACTGAGGATTTTAGGTACTCGGGCTTTCTTTCTTAGGAAATAATCCAATAGACACATTCTCCCTAAAATATGAATGATCGTCCTTTCTTCTTTACTCCTCTGCTCTCAAACTGGGAATTGCATTTGAAAAAAGGAGCTTGCTTCATTTACATTAGAACCATGATAATGGTGGATTTCTAAACCAGAGAATATAGGGCTTTGCAGGGCATAGTAAAGATTGTGGATTTTTTTTTTCTAGTTGTGGAGTCTTGGAGGATTTTTAAGCTGTATTATAACAAGGGCTGACATACATTTTTAAAAGTATCCTTCTGGGTGTTGTATGATTTATTTTTGCTGGTCCCTAAAAGATGATGGTGGACAAAGGGAGGCGTGCGAGCTCAGGGGTGTGGGGTCCACACTCTGGGTGCAGGGGTGTTGGGATGGTGACTGAGCATGAAAAAAAAAGGCAGGTTGTCCCAGAGCAAACTGTACCCATGGGCAGATAGTGGCACGTGTGAGTGACACACTTCCCAGCTGATTAGAGGCAGCAGAGAGTCCTGAGCTCGCCTCCATTTCCTGCCACTTCACCAGAGCCGAGACTACTCTGTGGGCTACTTGAAGTCATGAAGACTTTTTTGGTAACTTTGGCTGTGCTGCTGCTCTTCCTCCAAGTCATTCCAGATAACCTAGACCTCTCTAGGGGAGGGACTGGGAGTAGACAGTGAGTCTTGGTCAGGGCACACCAGGGCCTGGGAGGATGGGCTGACAGGGAGCAGTGTGAAATATTAATTGTCTGGAGGAAGAGGAAAGAGTCCCCAGATCCTGGTTTAGAACCTGCCTCACCATTTGCAAGTTCTGTGATGCCCCCAGCAAACTACTTGGTGCCTGTGAGTTTCAGTTTATTCTTTTCTCAATTTAAAATAATAAATTAGGTTGAAGGATCAACATTGAGGACACTGACATTTTGATGTACAACAAATATAGCTTTTTAAATTTTCTGTAATTCATTTGAATGTTTCCAGGAACTCCCATCCTGCTGGTAGGAAAAGTGGGAGTTAGAAAGGGCACAGGGATGTACACAACTTCAGAAGACAATTGTATTCATCTTTTTTGATTTAAAAGAACCTCTCAGATTAGCTCATTTTGCTTTAAAATGTTCAGTCTTTCAGCATTTCTACTTTCACCTCACCCCCTTCTTCTTCTCAGGATGGCAGCTGGATTTAGGGGATAGTGGACATGTCATTGCTTAAATAACTCGTTCAATCAGTAAATATTGTTGAGTGGATTCCGTGTGCCAGGCACAGGTGCTGGAGATAGAGCAATGAATCAACCAACTAACCAACCAACCAAACAAAATCTCCATCCTCTTGGAGCTTATGATTCTATTAGGGGAGGAAATGAGCAGGGTAAGCAGGGGATAGCAAGTATCAGGGTACGTGAATTTGCAACTTAAAAAGGGGTGTCAAGGGAATGCCTCACTGAGAAGGTGACATTCAAATGAAGACTTGAAGGAAGTGAGGGGTGAGCCGTACAGATATGTTGGGAAGAACCTTCATTTATTAGCTGAACTCCTTATCAAAGAGGCATTTTCCCTCATCTGTTTGGTTACCTTGGGGTTTAGAGAGTTCAGAGAGGAAGACAGGATAAATGCTTGAGTTTATCTTTGCTTAATTGGTTTGAGAGATAATGAATTAGTTTTCTATCAGCCTCTGAGGTTAAGCCATTAGTTTTTCTTAAATATTATTTATTTTGAACTGATGATTCTAAGCAATGAGTTCAATCTATTGCAATTATTTTCGCTATTGAAGTATACATTGTCTTATTCTTGGCCAATAGGAGTCTCTTTAATTTGGCTCGTATGTCTTTTAGATATATCCCTATTAATCTTTGGTGCTTTCTTAGTATCTGGTACGACAGAATGTTTCAAGATCATCTTGTAATTTACTGCCCAAGAACTGGAATCCACCATATCTCCAAGAAGTCCTGTTTTTTAAAAAAAGTTTACTGGGAGATAGTATTTTAAGATTATAGCATGGGTACTAGGAATACTAATTTCTACTAGTTAGTTATTGTTTCTAGACTTTCTCAGTGACCAGAGCTGGAAAAATTTCAATCTATCTATCCATCCATCAATCATCTATTTATTTTATCTATTTAAATATAAAATACTTGTGAGTTCATATTGGCATTTTCAATTCAAATTCAGAACTCAAATTCAGAATCAACTTTTATATTACATCAGTATTTTCTTTTCTATACTGAGAATTCTGGTTGTCAAGGTCACAGGGGACGATAGAATATCCCATGACTTACTCATTTGATTGATCTCTCATTACATATACAATAGTCTTAGTAAAATAATATCAATGCTACCATAATGTCATGATTACTCAAACTAGTTAAGATGTCTGCATATGTTCTCACCATTATTCTCTCATTTTTATGTTGTACTCTATTTATATTGTCAGAACATATAGCCATTATGTACTTTACTACCTCTTTTAAAATCCTCATTTTGGTTCTACAAGTATCTTTATATTTAATATTTAGTTCTGTGTCAATGCTCCTCTCATTTGCTTGTCTACAGCTCTTTTTCTAGTAGATTCTTTAGAAAGGGCTCATGGGTTTCACTGGATATTTCCTGAGTTTCAATATGGTGATAGACAATACCACCACCCTAGTTACCTAGAGGGAATGCCTCCTTCTTCTACAGCCCCCTTCTTCTGTCTGGTCCTCTGTTAGTCTTCTCAGTCCAGGACTCATTTCCCCTCATAACTGATATCAGCTCCTTTCTTTTTTCTTTTTGTAATAGGCAGGATTGAAACATGTTGGAATTTTCGTGGCTCCTGCCGTGACGAATGCCTGAAGAATGAAAGGGTCTATGTTTTCTGCGTGAGTGGTAAACTGTGCTGTTTGAAGCCCAAGGACCAGCCACATTTACCACAGCATATAAAGAATTAGTGCTTTAAAGTCTGAGGCCACAAAAATGAAGATAAACTTGCCTTAAGTCTGATGTCAGTAGATTCCTGGGCTTTATTAAAACATCTTTGGCTGACTTCTGTGTTTGTCTCTTAGTATACCTAATCAAACTCAAGCAGAAAAGGTGTGGGTAAAGTTGTATATACATGAGAGGAAACTGGACCTACTATGTGCTAGCTATTTTGGATAATTTTCCTTTTTATTTATTTATTTTTGTTTTAGAGATGGAGTCTCGCTGTCTCACCCAGGCTGGAGTGCAGTAGCATGATCATGAATCACTGCAGCCTTGAACTCCTGGGCTCAAGCAGTCCTCCTGACTCAGCTTCCCGAGTAGCTGGGACTAATACCTGGATAATTTTGTTTTTTTGTAGAGATGAGGTCTTGCTCTGTTGCCCATGCTGGTCTCAAACTTCTGGCCTCAAGCTTTCCTCCTGCCTCAGTCTCCCGAAGTGCTGGGATTATAGGCAGGAGCTGCCACACCCAGAGCTTTTCCTTTTTTATGAAAAAAGAAATCTCATCTATTCCTTAAATTTTTTTTACAGCTTTATTGAGGTATAACTGACAAATAAAAATTATGTATATTTAAGGTATGCAACATGATGATTTGATATGCAAATACATTGTGAAATGATTACCACAGTCAAGTTAATTAATACATCCATCACCTCACATGGTTACCAATTTTTTTTTTAACAATGTGTTGAAACACTTAAGATCTACTCTCTTGGCAACTCTCAAGTATACCGTATAGTATTGTTAACTGTAGTCACTGCTGTGGTTTGGACGTTTTTGTTCCCTCCAAAATTCATGTTGAAACACAATGCCCAATGCAACAGTATTAAGAGGTATGATCTTTAGGAGGTGATTGGGTCAGGAGGGCTCCACCCTCATGAAAGGGATTAGACGACCTTATAAAAGGGCTTGACAGAAGGAGTTTACCCCTTTTCACCCCATGTGTCCCTTCCCCCATGTGAGGACACAGCATTCCTACCCTCTGGGAGATGCAGCAACAAGGAACCATCTTGGAACCAGAGAAACTAGGCCCTCACAAACCGTGATCTTGGACTTCCCAGTCTCCAGAATTGTGAGAGATAAATTTCTCTTCTTTATAAGTCATTAAGCCTCAGGTATTTTGTTATGGCAGCACAAATGATCCCAGAAAATTACCATGCGTAACAGTTGATCTCCAGCACTTACTCTTCTTATAATGGAAAGTTTGTATCCTTTGACCAACTTCTCCCCATTTCCCACATCTCTCAGCCCCTGGAAACCACCATTTTATTCTCTGTGTCTGCAAATTCAACGTTTTTAGATTCCACATCTAAGTGAGATCATGCGGTATTTGTCGTTTGGTAATTGGCTTATTTCCCTTAAGATAATATCCTCCACGTTCATATGTGTTGTCATAAATGGCAGGATTTTCTTCTTTTTTATGGCTGAATAATACTTCCTTGTATAATATACTAGATTTTCTTTATCCATCCATCCATAAACAGACATTTAGGTTAACTCCATATCTTGGCTAGTATGAATAATGCTGCAATGAGCATGGGAGTGCAGGTATCTCTTCAACATACTGAATTCATTTCCTTTGGCTATCTACCCATGCATTTATCTGTTCTCACTGTGCTATAAAGAAATACCCGATACTCGGTAATTTATAAACAGAAGAGGTTTAATTGACTCACAGTTCTGCATGGCTGGGGAGGCCTCAGGAAACTTATAATCAGGGCAGAAGATGAAGAGGAAGCAAGGCACATCTTCCACGGCAGCAGGTGAGAGAGAGGGCACCAGGGGGAACTGCCAAACACTTTCAAAAACCATCAGATCTTGTGCGAACTCACTATCACAAGAACGGCATGGGGGAAACTGCCCCTATAATCCAATCACCTCCCACCAAGTCCTTCCTTTGACAAGTTGAACAGTTAAGCAGGAAAATTAAATTTATCCACAGGTCTAATTCTTATCCATTGCTTTCTCTCTATATTTGTTATTTTAATTTTCATATTTAGTTTAAATGTTTATCAAAACCATACATCTACATAGTTTTAAAAATCAACTTTGAATAAGAGACTATAATAGTATATAATAGTATAATATAAGACTATAATAAAATATAGGAGTCATCTGTCTCTCTTTCCTCATTTCCTGCTTTTCAAAAAACTACTTTCACATCTTTTGTTTTTTTCCTTTGGATTTCACTTCCATCTCTTCCGTCATTATTTACTAATATGCTTATATGGTTACTTCTTAATTTTTTAGTTTTAGGCACTTTCCATTGGATTTCTGCTATGGAAAATGAGGATTTAGCTGTCTGCCATATCCTTTGAATATGTTCAGAACCTTTAGGTATTTTATCAATTTTGTCTTCCTGGAGACTTCTCTCCTTGGGCATTCAGACCTGCTTCACTCTGAACTGGTTGACATTACACCTGGTGACCTGATATTATCCTGGATCTCTGTTTGTATCATCCTGTGGATTCTTTTTGACTTTCTCCTGAGATCAATGTCTTGCTTTCTGGATCCTAGATCTTTCTTGATTTACTCTTATTTGGACAGAGCACCTCCTGATAGCTTCCTGAAAATGTCTGACTTCAATGTACTATCCTTATACTTGGTTAGTGGTTTGGTTGGTCACTCCATATTGGAAATTATTTTACTCTAGACTTTCGAAGGCATTGCCTCATTGTTCTTTCCAATATCTAGTGTTACCCATGCTGGGCAAATTCTTACGAAGGAATTCAAGAGTGAGCGGTGGTAGAAGAAACCAGCTTTATGGAGGCGGTGGCAGTGTTACAGCTCCTTGTAGGCTCCTGCAGAACAGGGCCACCCCACAGGCAGTGTGTTGAGAGTAGCAGCTCAGGGGCACTTCTGTAGTCATATTTATATCCATTTTTAATTCCACGAAAATTAAGGGAAGGGTTTTTTAGAAATTTTTAGAAAAGGGGTGGTAACTTCCGGGTGTTGCCATGGCAATGGTAAACTGTCACGACATTGGTGGGCGAGTCTTATGAAAAGGTGATTTTGGTGCCTCTTCCCTGTTTCAGCCAGTTTTCTATCTAGAGTTGAGTCCTGCCTCCTACCTCTTTACTGTGGAGAAATCCGAAGCCATTCGGGTTCTTCTCTTTGTCTGTGACTTGTTATTTCTCTCTGAAAGCTCTTAAGGTCTTCTCTCTAGGATTTTGACGTTTCATGTTGATGTGCCTAAATTTCTTTTTTCCCTTTTTTCTTTTTTTTTTTTTTTTTTTTTTTGAGACGGAGTCTCGCTCTGTCGCCCAGGCTGGAGTGCAGTGGCGGGACCTCGGCTCACTGCAAGCTCCGCCTCCCGGGTTCACGCCATTCTCCTGCCTCAGCCTCCCAAGTAGCTGGGACTACAGGCGCCCGCCACTACGCCCGGCTAATTTTTTGTATTTTTAGTAGAGACGGGGTTTCACCGTTTTAGCCGGGATGGTCTCGATCTCCTGACCTCGTGATCCGCCCGCCTCGGCCTCCCAAAGTGCTGGGATTACAGGCGTGAGCCACCGCGCCCGGCCTTTTTCCCTTTTTTCGAAATGGAGTTTTGCTCTTGTCGCCCAGGCTGAAGTGCAATGGCACAATCTCGGCTCACTGCAACCTCCTTCTCCTGGGTTCAAGCAATTCTCCTGCCTCAACCTCCTGAGTAGCTGGGATTACAGGCGCCCACCACCATGCCTGGCTAATTTTTGTATTTTTAGTAGAGACGGGGTTTCACCATGTTGGCCAGGCTGGTCTCAAACTCCTGACCTCAGGTGATTGGCCTGCCTCGGTCTGCCAAAGTGCTGGGATTACAGATGTGAGCCACTGTGCCCAACCATTGTCCCTAAATTTCGTGTGGGATTACTGAAATCAATTTTTCTGAGCACTCGGTGGGCCCTGTCAATCTGCAAACTCATGTCTTTCAATTTTAGGACAATCTTCCTTTACTTATTTCTTTGATAATTTCCTGGTCTTTGTTTTTCCTGTTCCCTGTTTCTGGTCTACTTATTTTTCATATGTTGGACTCCTTGATTGATTTGCTGGTTTTCTTATATTTTCTCTACTGCTTTTATTTTATCTCTGTCATTTTGTTATAATTTCTGGAAATTTCATCTTTGTACTTTTAATTTCTAAGTTTTTATCATTACTGGTTTTTCTTCTTTCTTTCTTTTTGAGACAGGGTCTGGCTGTGTTGTCCAGGCTGGAGTGCAGGGGTGTGACCTCCACTCACTGCAACCTTCACCTACCAGGTTCAAGCAATTCTTCTGCCTCAGCCTCCCAAGTACCTGAGATTACAGGCACACATCACCACACCTGGCTAATTTTTGTATTGTTAGTACAGACGGGGTTTCACCATGTTGCCAGGCTGGTCTTGAACTCCTGACCTCAAGTGATCTGCCTGCTTCGGCCTCCCAAAGTGCTGGGATTATAGATGTGAGCCATTGCGCCCGGCCTTCTTTCTTTTCTAATGTGAAGGGAGGCCTATATAGACAAGCTACTGGGCCTTATCCGTCTTAAAACACCCCTTTTAAGGTTTTTGCTTGAGATCAGTCTCCCTGCTTTAAGAAAGGGAGAGGACTCAGATAAACAGAGTATACTGAGAGGCCTCACCAGTATAAGAGAATATACTGTTCTACTTTATAGGGAGAGGAAACTTGGGATAATAAGCCTAGGAAAAAAAAGACCAAATAGACCCATGATAGTTGTCTTCAAGCGCTTAACGTGGAATTGTTTTTGGACTTATTCTCTGGAACTGTTAAAGGTCAGAATTAGGAATAATAGGTAGATGTTACAGAAAGGTAAATTCTGGCTTAATTGATATAATCTCCTAAAAATTAGAGGCGTCCAGTGATGGAATGCATTATCTTGACATGTATTGATTTTTCCATTGCTGGAAGAGCTTTAAGAGAGAAGGCAAGGGTTGTTTAGAGGGTGTTCTTGCTTTTGATACGTGGCAGATGCAACAACTTCTAAGGTCTGAATTCTGAGACTCTACACTCACAAACTTAAAGAAAAAATGGCTCTGTATTTCCAAAACTAAGGTTTTTCAAATATTATTTTTAAAGGAGCAGAAAACTTTTTAAAACCAAAAACTTACATGAAACTCAATATATCAAACAGATCAAAGTAGAGCTGCTCAGTTTAAAGTGCGAAGAAGGCCAGGCGCCGTGGCTTATGCCTGTAATCTCAGCACTTTGGGAGGCCAAAGCGGGCAAATCACTTGAGGTCAGGAGTTTGAGACCAGCCTGGCTAACATGGTGGAACCCCATCTCTACTAAAAATACAAAAATTAACTGGGCGTGGTGGCGCACACCTGTAGTCCCAGCTACTTGGGAGACTGAGGCAGGAGAATTGCTTGAACCCCAGAGGTGGAGATTGCAGTGAGCCGAGATCGTGCCACTGAACTCCAGCCTGTGTGACAGAGTAAGACTCTGTCTAAAAACAAACAAACAAACAAACAAAAAAGTGGGAAGAAGGGCGCAGATCTCTGCCTTTTCAACCTCCCTCAGTTCCCTGATTTTGACCTGAGAACCAAGTCTAAGTATTTTACATTTGCATTCAAAGACTATAAAAATCTCATTTTTATGCAGTTTTCCCACATTATATGGTGCAGGAGCTGGCAGCTGCAGCCAGGCAGTATCTTCATTATTTCCAGATGGCTTGCAAATGTTCCTGCCACCACTCCTCAGTTCACACTGCTCCCTTGCCTGAAGTACTCTTTTACACCCTCTCCTTCTCCACCATTTCTCTGAAACCTATTCTCCTTCAAGCCTTGGAGAAGGAGAAGGTCCTCCATGAACCCCTCCCTGAATGCCCTGGCCCTTGGGTGGTTGTTCCCATGCTCCGTTCTACTGTAATATATATATATTTATTTTGATTAGACAGCCTACTTTGCAGTATTTTTATGTATGTGGACATTCTGCCTGACCACTGTGATGATATATTTGGTAGTCAGTAAGAGTGTTCATCGCCGGCATGGTAGCTCACTCCTGTAATCCCAGTACTTTGGGAGGCCGAGGCTAGCGGATCACCTGAGGTCAAGAGTTTGAGACCAGCCTGGCCAACATGGTGAAACCCTGTCTCTAATAAAAATAGAAAAATTAGCCAGGCATGGTGGCTGGTGCCTGTGATCCCACCTACTTGGGAGGCTGAGGCATGAGAATCGCTTGAATCTGGGAGGCGGACGTTACAGTGAGCCGAGATCGTACCACTCCACTCCAGCCTGGGGGATAGAGCGAGACTCTGTCTCCAACAGAAAAAAAAAAAAAAGGACTGTACATCAAATATTCTGGCTTTCTAAGTTTTTCAAAGATTTTATTTTATTGTGGTAAGAACACAACATGTTGAGATCTGTTTTAACAATTTTTTGTGTTCAACACATTATTATTGACTCTAGGTACAATGTAGTACAGCAGATTTCTAAAACTTTAAACATTTTTTTAAATTTTTTGAGACAGGGTCTGACTCTGTCACCCAGGCTGGAGTGCAGTGGCACAAGCACGGCTCACTGCAGCCTCCACCTTTTAGGCTCAAGAGATCCTCTCCCATCTCAGCACCACCTCCCCACTGTCCCTGAGTAGCTGGGACTATAGGTGCATGCCACCATGCCCAGCTAATTTTTTATTTTTAATAGAGACAAGGTCTCGCTATGTTGCTTAGGCTGGTCTTGAACTCCTGGGCTCAAGGGATCCTCCTGCCTCAGCCTCCCAAAGTGCTGGGACTACAGGCGTGAGCTACTGCGCCTGGCCTCTATAATTTATTCATCTTGCTTAACAGAAACTTTCTGCTCATTGATTAGTAATTCCTAATTTCCCTCACTCCCCAGCTCCTGACAATCATCATGCCACTCTTTGTTGATATAAGTTTGACTGTTTTAGACACTTCGTATAACTGGAATAATTCAGCATTTGTCTTTCCGTGACTGGTTTATTTCACTTAGCATAACGCCCTCAAGGCTCATTCACGTCATCACATGTTGCAGAATTCCCTTATTTTTAAAGGCTGACTAGTATTCTGCTGTGTGTATACACCACATTTTCTTTATCCATTCATTTGTTGATGGACATTTAGCTTGTTTCCATATCTTGGCTATGGTCAATAATGCCAATGAACGTGGGTGTGCAGATATCTCTTCAAGATACTGATTCAGTTTATTTGGATATATATCCAGAAATGGAATGGCTGGGTCATATAATCTCTTTCTTTCCTTCCTTTCCTTCCTTTGCCTTCCTTTCCTTCCTTTCCTCCCCTTCCCCTTCCTTCCTTTCTTCCTTCCTTTCTCTCTTTCCTTCTTTCTTTCTTTCTTCCTTTTGATGGAGTTTCACTCTTATTGCCCAGGCTGGAGGGCAATGGCATGATCTCAGCTCACTGCAACCTCTGCCTCCCAGGTTCAAGCAATTCTCCTGCCTCAGCCTCCTGAGTAGCTGGGATTACAGGCATGTGCCACCACGGCCAGTTAATTTTGTATTTTTAGTTGAGGCAGGGTTTCTCCATATTGGTCAGGCTGGTCTCGAACTCCTGACCTCAGGTAATCTGCCTGCCTCAGCCTCCCAAAGTGCTGGAATTACAGGCGTGAGCCACCTTACCCCGCCTATCTTTCATTTTTTGAAGAACCTCCATACCGTTTTCCATAGTGGCCACACCATTTTACATTCCCACCCAGCGTGTGCAAGGGTTCCATTTTCTCCACAGCCTTGCCCACAATTGTCTTTTGTTGTTTGGATAATTCTGGCTTTCTGCATTCTAAGCCCATTGTAGGATTGTACTTTTGGCCCTCTTGTGGTTGGATGGAGCCATGTCACTGTCGTAGCCAGTGGAGTTATGAGGTGGTTACATTTTACTTCCAAGGCCAGGGCATATAATGGCTAGTTGAAGACTCTCTAGAGCTCTCTTTTCCTCTGCCATGGTGATCAGCACCAAATGAGTGGCTACTCAGTCAGCTTGGGTTCCACACTGAGATATGGGGCAGTGTCCCCAGCCAGCCTTCAGTGGATATGCAGCATGTATGGGAAATAGACAAACAGACCTCTGTTCTTAGAAGCCACCAAGATTCTTCTTTTTTTGGTTACTGTGGCATACCCTGGTTTATCCTAACAGAGCTGGCTGTTAGAGGACAGTATCCTTACTGCTCTGAATTCCTGGTGCTCAGGAGAGTGCTCTGTATGTAAAAGGTACTTAATCAAGATTTGATTTATTTAGAAAACATTTCTTGTGTGTGCTTTTGAGGGATATGAAGCTCATTTAAAAATACTTGTTTCCCATTTTCCTCAATAAGCGGTAAGCATGTTAGGGACAGAAACCCTCTTGAACATTTCTGGCCTCATCTCCCCGCACCTTTGTCCTTAGTCCACAGGAAACTTAAAATGGCCTGGGTAGCTTTGGATGTGGAGTAGTTAAAGGCCCTTGAGGAGGGATGAGAAGCTGATCTGACAAGAAGAGAGCAGTGGTTCATTCCTGGACAAGAAGACAAATGAACAATTGAGGGAAAGAGCAGCTTCTGGAAAGATTTGGTAACAGTAAAGATAAGAGGCCAGTGAAGAGATCTTGGGAGGGACAAGGAGAGCTGGGAAAAGGGATAAGCTTGGAAACATGTTCTGATAAAAAGCCAGGCATTTCCTCTGTTATCTTTCACCAGTGCCCGAACAGAGTTACATCGTATACACTCTGGACACAAAGGAGAGCTGTCCTTGAGCCTCGACTCTGGGTGAGCCCTCTGGGTCTTAGATTTGAGATGCAATTTTCAAACTTGAAGATCACGGTGAGCAGAGAGATCTCTGAGCTACTGCCAATCCTAATGTCCCTTGTATTGAGCGTTGACTGTGTTGACAATGAAAAGCCAGAAGAGCCTCAAGGAGGAAAGAGGTCAATAGCCAAATGTTTCAAGAAGTCAAGGAAGGTGAGGATTCATAGTAAATAACAGTAACTACCAGTTGTCAGAGGCTTTCCTCTATGCCAGGCACTATTCCCTGAGCTTTACAAGCATCACCTAATTTAATCTTCACAGCAAACCTCTGCTGTCAGTAGTATCATCTCCATATTAGAGATAATTAAACTGAAGTTCAGAGAGATTAACTAACTTGTTCAAAGTCACATGGCTAATATGTGGCAAAGTGAGGATTTGAACCCAGATTTGTCTGGCTCCAAATCTTGTATTCTTTCCATTTCCCCACATTACCCCTAGTGATAGATTGTCAAACGTCACTTCAAATAAATCAAAGAAAAAAGCCCAACATATCCATTACCATTACTAGTTACACATAGCACCAGGAACCAGAGAGTTGGAATATAATAGAACTCCAGAAAATTTCCAAGCCTTATTTGGGCCTGAAGTTTCATCTTCTTTGCCCACTACCCTCCAATGCTTCCTATCCCCAAAGATTACAAAGAAGTGATATGTAGATATATTTCCTTTCCCTGCTGCAGTGCTGAGAGCAAGGAACTAACCAGAAGTGGGTGGAAGAAATCTGAGAAGGGAGTAGAAGGATGCTGGGCAAACTCTTCAGTTAGGGTCACTTATGACTTATGGGCCAAAGCAAGAGTCAATGGCCAGGCAGGGAACAGGTTCTGAGTTTTCTGAATTTCAGATACCACCCTATCTTCTACTAAGCCAGAGATGGCAGTGGTACCCACTTGAGGCTCAAGAAGAGGGGAATGATGTTGAATTAAGGACCACAGCACTGCAGAAACCTACTTAAAGGGGTTGAGTACACTGAATTGGACTTAGGTCCAGGTAACTGCGTACACCTTTAATATGTGGACTCCAGGCTCCTGGACACTTCACAGCACCGTCCACTCATCAGTACCAACCTTTCTCTACTGAGTGCCTCCTACCTTTCTTCATCCTCAGATAATTTTCCTAATGTACCATTTGCAGATTCATTTGTAGTTCTGTAATCTTTGGAAAACACATATTCGCTCCTCAGATCTTTATCGCTTTCTTTTTTTTTTTTGCTCTGCGTTCATACATTCTTTTTTACTTTTCTTTTTTCACTGAAAGGCATTCACCCCATCTATTGAGAGCATATGATATGACTTCATGTGTGGCAACAAAGAAAAGCTGAAATGTGCAGATATCAGTAAGGGAGGTTGTTCCACAGTTTTCTATCCTTTTAAAATGGTTTATCTCTATTAGATAATGAATAAGATTATGTTCAGCCAATCAGATTATTTCCTTGGAGAGCTTGAAATGGGAGTCTTGGCAACATGGTTGGATATCAGTAGAAGTTAAGATGTGGAATCTTAAGCAGAATCTAAGAATGGTGGACACTCCAGAACTGTAGATGTATATAGTTCAGCTGTGGGAAGTCCTTTTTAGCTCACGAAGCAATCAAGGCATTTTGTTTCACAGTTTTTTGTGACAGATAGGAAAAGGGTCTTTTATGAGAGTCTTCTCTACTGCTGAAAACTACTATTAATTCCGATAAATCATGCACATAATGGATTCAGGTCATCCCTTTATTAGGCAGCCTTATTCTGCTTATCAGTGTTCACAAGAGCAAACTTGCAGGGCTATGATGGAGTTCTTTAAAGAAGGGAAGTAGATCTCAAAACCATTCAGTGTAGATGAAACTCTGTGCCACTGGGGGTTCCTTGGATGCATAAAGAAAGTACCTTCTAGACTAAGACTTCTGCAAGGATGGTGCTCCCATGAGTTGCTCTCTTTCTCTCTCTCTCTCTCTCTCTCTCTCTCTCTCATTTTTCAAGGCTCTCAGCCCAGTATCCTACCCTTCTAACCAGAAACAATCCCCTTTCTCAAGAGTGGAGGAAGTTGTGCCGTTTGCTTGAATGGCATCTCAGGTTTCCTCTCTGCAGTCCCTTCTGGAAGGAGAGGAAATGGGTTCCAGTCCACGGGGCTGATACCTTACTAATGATCTTTAGAAGTAAGCCCCTTGTCAATATAGCACTTTATTTTAGTCCTCTGTTGCAGAGGGTTATGTATTTATGGCAGATTTATTGTCATTGGCCTTATACAAAGCCCTTCTCTTATTTTATTTTACTGATTTATTAACTTTTATCCCCATAATCAACTCCTATCCATCTCTCACATAGGCAACTCCTATGATGTTTAACTCCTATGATGTATCTTGTCACCCAGGTAGTGAGCATAGTATATAATAGGTAGTTTTTCAGCCCTTGCCTCCCTCCCTCTCTCCTGACTCTAGTAGTCCCCAGTGTCTATGGTTCCCCTCTTTATGTTCACATGTACCCAAGGTTTGTCTCCAACTTGTAAGTGAGGACATGTGGTATTTGGTTTTCTGTTTCTGCATCAGTTGGCTTAGGATAATGACCTCCAGCTGCATCCATGTTGCTGCAAAGGATGTGATTTCCTTCTTTTTGATGGCTGCATAGTATTCCATGGTATATGTGTACCACATTAAATGTGTATATATTTTAAGTGGTTTTATGTTATTTATCGGATTCTGTTGCTTATTTTAAAAACTATTTGCACAGGTTTTTTTTAAAGTCAACTTTTTTGAGGTATAATTTATATAAAACATAATGTGTAAATTTTGATGAATTTTGACATCTGCATATAGAACATTTTCATCACTCTGAAAGTTCCCTCATGCCCCATCTCAGTCAATGCCCACTTCCTCCCATCAGCCCCAGGCAACCACTGATCTGTTTTTTGTCACTGTAGATTAGGTTTGTGTTTTCTAGAGTTTCATGTGAATAAGCTTGTTCAGTATGTTCTTCTTTGGTCTGGATTTTTCCACTCAGGCTAATGCTTTTAAAAAATGTTTATTATTATTTTTATTATTATTCTTTTGAGACAGTGTTTCGCTCTTGTTGTCCAGGCTGGAGTGCAGTGGCATGATCTTGGCTCAGGTTCACTGCAACCTCCGCCTCCCGGGTTCAAGCAATTCTCCTGCCTCAGCCTACCAAGTAGCTGGGATTACAGGCACCCGCCACCATGTCTGGCTAATTTTGTTATTTTTGGTAGAGACAGGGTTTCACCATGTTGGCCAGGCTAGTCTCGAACTCCTGACCTCAGATGATCCACCCACCTTGGCCTCTCAAAGTGCTGGGATTACAGGCGTGAACCACCACACCCAGCTTGCTCTTTAGGTTCATCCGTATGTTGCATAGCAGTGGTTAATTCTTTGTTGCTGAATAGTATTCTATTACATGGAGATATCAGAATTTATCTGTTTACTAATTAATGGACTTTTGGGTTGTTTTCACTTATGGTGAATAAAGTTACTATGACAATTCAAGTTTTGACGTGGACATATGTCTTCATTTATCTTTGATAAATACCAAAGAGAGGAGTTGTTTGGTTGTATGATAAGTTTATGTTTAACTTTATAAGAAACTGTTAAACTGTTTTTCCAAAGTGGAGATACCAAGAAAATCAGCAATAATTTTGTTTATTTTATTTTTTTAACAAGTTTTTTTAAAATAGAGAAGGGACCTTGCTATGTCATCCAGGCTGGTCTCAAACTCCTGGCCTCAAGTGATCTGTTTGCCTTGGTACATTTTTTTTTTTTGAGATGTAGTTTCACTCCTGTTGTTCAGGCTGGAGTGCAATGGCACCATCTCGGCTCACTGCAACCTCTGCCTCCCAGGTTCAAACAATTCTCCTGCCTCAACCTCCCGAGTAGCTGGGGTTACAGTTGCTCACCACCCCACATGGCTAATTTTTGTATTTTTAGTAGAGACGAGGTTTCACCATGTTGGCCAGGCTGGTCTCGAATTCCTGGCTTCAGGTGATTCACCTGTCTCAGTCTCCCAAAGTGCTGGAATTACAGGCGTGAGCCACCATGCCCAGCCAGTACATTTTTAAATCGTTGAAAACAATCAAATTTCATTTAGAGATGTGAAAATTATACAAAATTTAAACTTGAGTGTCTATAAATAAGTTTTATTGGAATACAGCCACACTCATTTGCTTATATATTGTCTGTGGGTAATTTTGTCCTATAGCTGTAGAGTTGAGTAGTTGTGATAGTTGTGGCTGGCAAATCCTAAAGTATTTACCATCTGGGCTTTATAGAAAAAGTGACCTCCGGAGCATTAATTTTTCTTCAGACAACAAGAAAATTTATCTTGTCTTTTTTTTGTTTTTGGAGACAGGGTCTCTGTTGAGCTGGCTGGAGTGCAGTGGTGCAATTTTAGCTCATTGTAGCTTCGACCTCCTGGGCTCAAATGATTTTCCTGCCTCAGCCTCCCTAGTAGGTAGGACTACAGCTTTGCCCCACCATGCCCGGCTATTTAAAACTTTTTTTGTGTGTGTGTAGAGATGGAGTCTCGTTATGTTGCTGAGGCTGGTTTCAAACTCTTGGCTTCAAGCAATCCTCCTGCCTTAGCCTCCCGAATTGTGGGGATTACAGGCAGGAGCCTCTGCTCCTGGCTTGTTGTTTTCTTCCATGTTAGAAAGAAGATATTCCTCTTATTAGTATGTCTTTATTTCTGTCCATTTTGAAATGATAGACCTAGGCCAGGTGCAGTGGCTCACGCCTGTAATCCCAGCACTTTGGGAGGCTGAGGCGGGTGGATCACCTGAGGTCAGGAGTTTGAGACAAGCCATGGCCAACATGGTGAAACCTCGTCTCTACCAAAAATACAAAAATTAGCTGGGTGTGGTGGCGCGTGCCTGTAGTCCTAGCTACTCGGGGGGCTAAGGCAGGAGAACTGCTTGAACCCGGGGGGCAGAGGTTGCAATGAGCTGAGATGGTGCCACGGCACTCCAGCCTGGGCAACAGAGCAAGACTCTGTCTTAAAGAAAAAAGAAAAAGAAAAGAAAGATAGACCTTACCATTATTGTCCTAAAAAGCACTTGGCTCTTTCCTGATCTATCTGCTGGCCTTGTGTATAAGTTAGCCATTACTATGTAATGTTCCACTCCAAAACTCAGTGGCTTAAAACATCAATCCTTTATATTTGGCTAGATTGCCCTGCTTGAGGCTGGAATGCCTGGGGCAGCTCTGTTTCTCACTGTAGATCTGTGAGTCGCCTGGAGTAGCTGTGCCCCACGTATCTCTCATCCTCCTTGGACCACTGGGGCATGTTCTTCTCATAGTGATGGCAGAGACACAGAAGGGCAAATGAAAATATTCATCATCTCTTAAAACCTAGGCTTACAACCGGCACACCGTCACTTCTGCCCACATATCACTAGCCAAAGCAAATCACATGCCAAGGCCAAAGTGAAGGGAAAATGAAATAGAGTTCTCCTAGGATGAGACCTTGGCAAATGTGTGAATTCAAGTAGGGATGAAGAAGTAGGGCCAAGATTACAATCTACCATTTCTTTCTTTCTTTTTTGAGACAGAGTCTCGCTCTGTTGCCCAGGCTGGAGTGCAGTGGCACAATCTCGGCTCACTGCAACCTCCGCCTCCCGGATTCAAGCTAGTCTCCTGCTTCAGCCTCCTGAATAGCTGGGACTACAGTGGCCAGCCACCACGCCCGGCTAATTTTTTGTATTTTTTTTTGTAGAGACGGGGTTTCACTGAGTTAGCCAGGATGGTCTCGATCTCCTGAACTTGTGATCCGCCTGCCTCGGCCTCCCAAGTTGCTGGGGCAATCTACCATTTCTTATAAGAAAGACCAAGCTGGGCATGATGGCTCATGCCTTTAATCCTAGCACTTTGGGAGGCCAAAGCAGGAGAATTGCTTGAGACCAGGAATTCGAGGTTCCAGTGAGCTATGATTGTGCCACTGCACTCCAGCCTGGGTGACAGAACAAGACTGTCTCAAAAAAATAAGTAATAATAAAAAAAAGACCACAACAATAATAAATGGCTTTTCTTTTGCTACCTATGAGGGTGCTACTTGTTCCTATTAAATATGTACTGTTAAAAGTAAGGGCTATGGCTTTCCTGCTCATTCCACTCCATGAATACTGACATTCTGGTTTCCAGTGGTGATGGCCATGGAGCTATTAAGGTATTTTCCCCTGCTCTGCCCTTCATTTGGTATTATAATGAATCATCAACATATGGGACATCCTAAGATGTCCTTGTTGCTGGGAAGAACCCAAGGCGCAGAGAAGTATCACTCCTTTTCTGTCTTATCTCTTTTTCTCTCTCTTTTTTTCTCATTAATGAAAAACAAATTAGAGATGAAAATATTTTTCCCCTTCTTGGTTCTCCAGCTGTATTATAAAATTCTTCAGAGGCAAGGCCGTATCTTCTCTTTGTTAACGTCCCTTCCCCCTCTCCCAGCCTCCTCAGGCAGTGTGGTTGATACCTTCCTTGCCTGCCTGTCTGATCTCAAATGACTGTTCCCGTTCTGGTTCACTGATCTTGGCTCTGCCATGCTCCTCAAGGCAATAAATACCAGTCTGGACTGCCCAGAATGGAGTCCTCTGTCTGTTTTACCAGTTGAGAAGCCTCCTATCCCTCCCTGATCATTCATCATTCATGAAGCTCCTTCTTCTGCTTTTGACTGTTACTCTGCTCCTGGCCCAGGTCACCCCAGGTAAACAGGATCTCCAGAAGGGGATGGGAGTCAGGAAACCTGATGCATGTTCAGAGAACTCTGGGGACTCTGACAGGTTGGGCTGGGAGAATGGCCTGGTAGAGCTCATTGAGGCCTTTAGGTAGTCTCTCTAGTTATGGGGAAGTTTGAGTTCTCTGGTACCAAATGGTCTTCCCAGTGCCCAGTACTTGACCATTCCAACCTTATCTCTGGTTAGCTCTGGAAAAGCTGAACGTGATGACCTGAGGATGGGATAGGGTGTAAAGAGAGAGACTTGGGTATGGAGTATAGAGAAAATGGGGACTTTTTCAAAAACATTCATTGAAAGGATTTGAATTTTGATGCATTGTTGCCTCTAGGAAAATGGTTCTCAAATTTCTGATTGTTTGAGGATTCTGATTCCACTTTTTAATGCAACCTCAAATCATCTGGGTTACCTTAGGTTGTAGGTTCCCTGGAATAGCTGTTCCTAATTCCCTTGACTGGTTGGGGCCAGAGAAAAGTCCCAGGATGTTGTGAAGAAGGCAGTATGATATTCTTGGGAGTTTTAAAGGTGCCCTAGAAGACTTACAGATGTTAAATGAGTTTATTTAATATTCCTGTCACCTTTCATTGATATGGTCAGAGGGGGTACCAAAGAACAATGAGAAAAGGTGGCTAATTGCTACTGGGCACCTGGGTACATTATAATATGGGGGAGATAAAACCCTTGGGAGAGGGGTCCTCTTCCCCCTCCCAAGGAGCTGGCCAAGGAGGGGAAGCTATCCAGTAGGTCCTATGCCACTGAGTTGGGGGGACTCTGGGGGTTCTAACAGGGGGCACAAGTGAAGGAAGAAAGCGTAGTGGTCTATAATCTCCCTTAAACTTAGGGGATCCTGTGTAAGAGCTTCTTCCCCACAGACCTCCTCATTTCCCTCCTACTCCTCTACTGGGCTTTAGCCTCTTCCTTTCACACCTTTCTGCTTTCTTTCAAAACTGACTCTATTCTCTTCTTCCCTTTTGTTTTCAGTCATGAAATGTTGGGGCAAGTCAGGCAGGTGCAGAACAACATGTAAAGAAAGTGAAGTATACTATATATTATGCAAAACTGAGGCTAAGTGCTGTGTGGATCCCAAGTATGTACCTGTAAAACCAAAATTAACAGACACAAATACAAGCCTGGAATCAACTTCTGCAGTCTGACACCTCTCTTCCAACCTTGAGTCTCAACATCATGGGATCCTGCAGTTCTATTAAATCATTCTTGGCAACACCCTGTTTCTGTCTGATAGTTCCACCTAGTTACATTTAGAAACAAGTAAATAAAGAAGAAAGGTTGTGTGCGTGTGTGTGTGTGTGTGTGTGTGTGTGTCCGGTGTGCATGTTAGGAAGAACAGGATGGACCAGTAGGTGGTAACAATCTAAACCTTGCAAATAGCTCCTAGCCTGCTGACCCATAGCTGGTCCAAGAGGGCATGAATTAAAGAATATTCATTATATCTACTTGATTCCTGTTTTCTTCTAGACCAGCACTGCCAATAGAACATTCTGCCATGATGGAAATATTTCCTGTCTATGTTGTTCAATATGGTAGCTACTAGCCACATGTGGCTACTGAGCACTTGAAATGTGCCCAGTGTGAATGCGGACCCGAAGTTTTAATTTGATTCAATCGAGCTTTAAATTTATATAGCTAAATGTGGCTAGTGGTGATTGTATTGTATAGCAATGGCTTTAGAGTCTAGGCTGAGGCATGCTGTGGGTCTCAATCTATGAGTATTTTAGGGGAGTCCAGGAGGCAAGTATGATGAACACAAGAACCCATTCTTGGCCCATGGCCTCTTTCTACTCCCACACCAAAGGTTATAACTTTCCCTTGATCACACCTGCAGTTCTGCCCCTCAGGGGCTCTAGGGCAATGCCTCTTGTGAGTCTTCCTCATGGTGGACAGTGCTGGCATCAGGCCATCTGTGGATCCTTGCTCCATCTCTTTCCATTCCCTCTAGTTGTGGCCATGGGACATTAAACTGCTGGCTAATCATTTTGCAGGACAGATCCTGAACTGAGACGACAGGAATTTTACCACATTCAGCCCCATGATCCCAAGTATCCCCAACTCTTGCTACTTATCTGACTAATGTAAAAGAACTTGATTCTTTATCCTGAGTTGAAAAGTTCTATTTGGAGTCACCTGCCTCCTATTCAGCCCTTTCATACTGGAGTCCTGACCTGGCTTCAGCCCTATGTCCCCAGTTCACCTTCCTGATGACAAACTTCAGCCTCAGAGTCAGTGTCTAAGTATCATCAAGCTGTCTAGGGAAGAGCGTTCGAAGCAGGATCAGAAGATCTGGAGTCAAATCTTTGCTTAATCGCATGTCAGCTGCATGACCCTAGGCAAGCCATTTAACCCTCTCTGCTCTATTTTCTTGTCTCTAAAATGGGGAACTTTCCTACTCAAGTCATAGGGATGTCATGAGAATTAAATGAGATAACAGACAGGAAAGTGCCCAGCACAGAATCTAGCCCACATTCAGTTCTTGATAAATGTAAGTAGAATCTAGGTAGATCTCATTTTGTAATTTGCTACTTCTAGGCTCTGCGTAGCAATTTTTTGCCTGGAAAAAGTTAAATCCTCCTTCACTACGTTGCCACCAACTCCTACTTCTCAGAGTTAATAACTCTTAAAGTTGAAGTAAAGCTCTATACCCTACCATTTTTTCACTAATTTTCTTACCCTCCCGACTCAATTTCCGTCCAGTCTAGCCCTGTAATGTTTCTCTTGCAGACTTAGCTCCCTTGCTCTACTCTGCATTGTATCAATGCCAAACTCCCAACCATGGTAGAATACAACCACCTACTTGCTTTCTCTATAGGTAAACTTTATTTTTCAAGACAAGATCTTACTCTGTTACCCAGGCTGGAGTGCAGTAGTGTGATCATAGCTCATTACAGCCTTAAACTCCTGGATTCAAGGGATTATCCTGCCTCAGCTTCCCAAGTAGCTGGGACTACAGGTGTGTGCTACCACTCTTGGCAGTTAAAAAAAATTTTTTTTTAATAGAGATGGGGGTCTTGCTATGTTGCCCAGGCTGGTCTTGAACTCCTGGCCTTAAGTGATCATCCTCCTGCCTTGGTCTCCCTAAGGGTTGGGATTACAGGCGTAAGCCACTGTGCCTGACCTATATAGGTCAGCAGCTGATTGTTCTTAGAAAAAATAATCCAACTAGTCTCACTGATTTCACTGGAAATTCACGGCCTCCAACCTCAAAGACCACTCAACACTGCCCAGCTAATCTCCTGTTTTTCCCTAAGAAGCTTGATTTCTCATTCTTTGAAATGACTAGTCCATGATTTTTCCTTTCTCCTCAATCTTCTACCATTCCCTGTCCCCACCAAAATATCACTTCTTGCCTCATATTTCAAGAAAATAGAAGCCATCAGAAGCAACTCCTTCATCTTCTCTCTACTAAGTCTACACACTCCGGTATTGGGTCCTACAGCTCCTGTCTTCCTTTTGTTTTCAGTGGAAGAATGATGTCTACACCTGAGAAACTGGCCCCCTTACTTGTTCACATTTGTCTCCTCTCCCCTACTCAATAACTTCATATTCATTTATTCTCCTTATTCTCCCCTTCTCTGCCAGATCATTTCTATCATACAAAGATGTTCGAGTACCTCCCAGATTAAAAAAAAAAAAAGATCCCTGAGTCCCACATTCCTCTCTGGACGATGCCTCGTTTATTTGCAGTGCTTAAACAAATACTTCTCAAAATGTTGCCTGCCTTCACTTTATCCCTTTTTTCTCATTCACCTTTCAACTCAGTTCAATTTGGCTTTGACTGTGCCTCTGAACCTTTTCTAGTAAAGATTACCAACTATCTCCAGTGTTGCCAAACCCAACAGAGGCACCCCTGTTTTCCTCTTATTGACCTCTGAAGAGGTGTTTGACATTGAGGCCACGACATCCTCATTGAAATGCTTTCTTCTCTTGCCTTCTAAGATGGCAGACTCCCCTGGTTTTCCTCTGATCACCTCGGCCATTCATTTTCAGTCTTCTCTCCTGGCTCCTCCTTCCCTTTCCAAAGGCCAGGGACTTGTTTCTAGGCTCCTTTTGTCTTTTCTCTCTGCTCTTTTTCACTAGGTACTTTGACTACCCTCTATATGCTGATCACTCTCAAATTCATAGCTCCTACCCTAAACTTTCTCTAGTGTCTAAACTGGTATATCTTCCCCCTTAAATGACATCTCCATCTGGTCACCTAACATATCAGAATGGAACTCCTAATGGGGACCTCACCTCACTAGGCACTGTTAGTACCCTGTTATTTCCCTTCTTAGGAAATGGTAACAACATGTGCCCAGATGCACCAAACCTACAAGTCATGTGTGATTCCTCACTTCACCTCCCTGCATTCAATTTCTCAGCAAGTCCTGTGGCTCTACCTTCAAAACACATATCAAAATTATCCATTTCTCTCCATCTAGTTCAGGCCACTGCTATCTTCACCTGATCTTTTACAATAGTCTCCTGTTTTCTGTAATTAATTTTCCACATAGCAGCCAAATGGTAAATTATTTTCATTTTTTTCAGATCTAGTCCTAAATCCAGAAAGGTAAAGGATATCCTGTCACTACTCTGTTTTGCACCAAACAATAGCTTTCCATTTCATTAAGAATAACATCCAGATAACATCCAGACTCCTTGTCATGGACTGGGAGGCCCTGCCCTACCAGGCCTTGTTCACCTCTCTGGCCTCCTCCTTATACTCAGGTCACCCAGGTTTCCTTTCTGTTCCTTGATGTCAACAAGCTCTTTTGTTGTCTCAGGGCCTTGCTACATGCTGTTCCCTCTTCCCAAGAAGGCTCTGCCTCTGATGTTTATATGACTGTTTTTGTCCCATCCTCCAGGCCTTAATTTAAATGTCATTCTTGACTATTATATCTAATGAAGTCCTTTATATCACTAGGCAAATGTATGTCCTAGCACTTCTCAAAAATCAGTAATTATTTTGTTCATTTACTTGTTTCTTGTCTCTCTTCCAGGAGAATTTGGGTTTTATGATCGCAGGGACCCTGTTGGTTTTGCTCACCATTCCATGGTGCCTGGCACACTATCAGAACACAATAAGTATTTGCTACCTATATGAATAGTTAAACTCCAAGGATGGTCACTTTCCCACTCAAACAGGTTTTCCTTTTCAAGTTCTTGTGTTTTACCATTGCCTGAAACTCAAGCCTTCTTTTTCCACCCATGTTTTACTCTCCATGATTTAGGAAAACTCCTCTTTCCTTGATGTGGATGTTCTGAGAAGTGGCACAGCATGAGTTTAAGGGACCTTACAGAAGGGGGAAGTCTAAGATATTCAAGCGCTTCTTTCTGAGGTTCTGATGAACATTAGATTCAAGAAGAAAGGACTCAATCTGAGCATTCAGGGGTTTGAGTACATTATAGAACACATCTAGCAATGGGAAGTGGGTGGGAAGGGAGGGGTAGAAAATACTGTTTGTGCCCAAACTGGAGTTATCTAAATTCTGGTTACATTTACATGAAGCCTTTGTTCTATATTTTGAGTCCACAAAGATCTGTCTGTGTACAGGCAGTCATTCAAGAATCTGAAGGCAGGCCGGATGCTGTGGCTCACACCTGTAATCCCTGCACTTTGGGAGGCTGAGGCAGGTGGATCACTTAAGGTCAGGAGTTTGAGACCAGCCTGGCCAACATGGTGAAATCCCGTCTCTAGTAAAAATACAAAAAAATAGCCGGGTGTGGTGGTGGCCACTCGTAGTCCTAGCTACTCAGGAGGCTGAGGCAGGAGAATCATGTGAACCCAGGAGGCGGAGGTTGCAGTGAGCTGAGGTCACGCCACTGCACTCTAGCCCGGAAAACAGAGCGAGACTCCATCTCAAAAAAAAAAAAAAAAAAAAAAAAGAAAGAAAGAAAGAAAAAAAAATAATCTGATGGCAGCTCTATGCTGTCTTGAGACTGACTTTGTATGTTCATTTCTTGACTTCTCACATCAAGTCAGCCATCGAAGCCCCTTGATTCTTCCTCTGTGATGTTTTGGTGCAAACCTTACTCTCCTTACTCTTTTTGGGACTGCTATCTCAGCTCAGTCCCTCATTAGCAGTCTCCCTCCTCTTTCCCATATTGAGGCCTTCCACCCTGAGTTTTGCTGCTGTCCCTCTAATCTCTCTGCCAGGTCAGATTGTCCCACGTTCTGACACCCAATCTCACAAGAGTTCCTTACTGAATATAGCAACATTCCCTCAACATATTTGAAGATGAAACACCTTACATTTATTATTGGATGTAATGTAAGAGTTCATTAGAGAGCAATTTAAGCAAACAGGATAATTTCTTGGAAGGATAACATGTAGCTCATAAAATTGACCAGAAGTCTGGACAATCAGGCTTGGAAAGACTGAGACGGAGTGGGCAGCAGAAATAGCCTGCCAAGATCTTACCATGAGCATTGCTGCCAGAGCACTGTGCATCAGTATCACACCTGGACTCTTGCCATTGCTGCTGCCACTGTGTATTTCCTCCACCTTCCTTGTGGTTTGGCTTTAGCCCTTTAAGATTCAAGTCCCTTGTTGGAGCACCCAGTTGGCTGAGCCTGGGTCATGCACCTGTCTGCTAACTCCCAAGGTGGCAAAAGAGAATCTTTGCCTTTAAGATATTCTGTAGTTGAAGGTCAGCCTTCCTTTCCACCAAGACCACAAAAATAGAGACTAGCTTCCCTAATGGAAAGGAGCTCAGATACTGAGTGTCCAAAGATGCAGTAAATGACAACTGTCAGAGAATGTTACCCCAAATATTACAGCAGAATATTTTCCACCCCACCTTCGCTTTTCTGATAGCCAGGGCCAAGACTAGGGTGAGGAGCAGGAGGTGTCTAGGGTGTGACACATAAAGAGGCACTCACTCTCAGGCTCATGCAAATGCCTCCTTAAATGTCACCCTTTAAGTACCTGTTGCACTTCTCACTTCACCCTGGATCCAGCCCTGCCAATTGCATCCTGCACGTCACCTTTGCAGCACCCACTGCACCTGTACTTAACCTTTGCTTACTGTTCATCTTCATGATAGACTGTAATCTCCATGAAGACACAGACCATGACTGATTTGTTTTCTGTACCTGGAACAGAATCTGGCATAAATTGCATATTCAACCAATATTAGTTGAGCAATTGATGGTCTAAATGAGATATATAACTAGCTTAAAATAGACAGCAGAAATGGCCTCACAAGAAAATTCCTTCTTTCAGGTTTATTCACATTAGAAGAGTGTTTGATATTCAATGAGCACAGAATGATACTAAAATATATATTAAAAATATAAGATGAGACACTTAACAGAAATATGTGGTGGTCACGTCCATCACTGTGATAGTCACCAGTCAATGTTTTCATTATCAATGAGTAGACTGAGAGTTGTGTGAGGCTTGGTAGCTCATGTCTGTAATCCCAGCATTTTGGGAGGCCGAGGTGGGCAGATAACTTGAGGTCAAGAGTCTGAGACCAGACTGGCCAACATGGTGAAATACTGTCTCTATTTAAAAAATACAAATATTAGGCCAGGCACGGTGGCTCACACCTGTAATCCCAGCACTTTGGGAGGCTGAGGCGGGTGGATCACGAGGTCAGGAGTTCAAGACCAGCCTGACTGGTGAAACCCTGTCTCTACTAAAAATACAAAAATTAGCCGAGTATGGTGGCGCACACCTGTAATCCCAGCTACTCAGGAGGCTGAGGCAGGAGAATCGCTTGAACCTGGGAGGCGGAGGTTGCAGTGAGCCAAGATCGTGCCACTGCACTCCAGCCTGGGCGACAGAGTGAGACTTCATCTTAAAACAAAAACAAAAACAAAAAACAAAAATTAATCAGGAGTGGTGATGTGTGCTTGTAGTCCCAGCTACTTGAGAGGCTAAGGCAGGAGAATTGCTTGAACTCAGGAGGCGGAGGTTGCAGTGAGCCAAGATCATGCCACTGCACTCCAGCCTGGGTGACAGAACGAGACTTCATCTCAATAAATAAATAAATAAATAAATAAATAAATAAATAAATAAGGTTGTGCTTTCATAAATTAGGCAACATTTTCCTTCACTGTCTGGTATTCTCATTTAAAAGCAAGAACTTGGCTGGGCATGGTGGCTCATGCCTGTAATCCTAGCACTTTGGGAGGCTGAGGTGGGCAGATCACTTGAGGTCAAGAGTTCGAGACCGGCCTGGCAAACATGGTGAAACCCCGTCTCTACTAAAAATACAAAAAAATTAGCCAGGCGTGGTGGCAGGAGCCTGTAATCCCCGCTACTTGGGACGCTGAAGCAGGAGAATCGCTTGAACACAGGAGGCGGAGGTTTCAGCGAGCAGAGATCACACCACTGCACTCCAGCCTGGGCAACAGAGTGAGACTGCATCTCAAAAAACAACAAAAAAAAGCAAGGATACATGGTAAGTTGCTCAGTCTTGTGTATTAATCAGATCAACTATATACACATATTTAATGCTTTTTTAAATAAACTTTTTGGCAGGGTGATGTATCAAGAATTTAGTGTAGCAATTACCTCAAAATTTTTCCTCATTTTGTTTGAACAGATATCAGCAGAAAGAATGAAAAGATATTTTTCTGTCCTGTTTTTGGAAAGGAAGTCAGGATTTTGTGTTCTAAATCCTGGCCTTCCTTTTCTACTGGGGAATTGAAACCGTGTGTGTGTGTGTGTGTGTGTGTGCACGCGCGTGCGCGTGCATAGGTCAGGGGTTGCCCTGAAGACAACCCTTACAATTTTTTATTTGGGAGGAGTAGGCACAAAGAGGGCAATTAATTTGTATGGTTTCCAAACACCGCATGTTCTCACTCGTAAGTGGGAGTTGAACAATGGGAACACATGGATACAGGGAGGGGAACATCACACACCTGGGCTTGTTGGGGAGTGGGGGGCAAGGGGAGGGAGAGTATTAGGACAAATACCTAATGCATGGGGGCTTAAAACCTAGATGACAGGTTAATGGGTGCAGGAAACCACCATGGCACATGTATAACTATGTAACAAACCTGCACGTTCTGCACATGTATCCCAGAACTTAAAGTAAAATAAAATTTAAAAAAGTATAAAACTTTTGGAAGAAAAAAATTGTATCGTTTCAGAAGTGAGATGAGGAATTTTAGCTTCGAGGGCAAGAGAGAGGAGTGTCATGGCATCTAAGGGTGTTGAATTTCCTCAGAACTGGGAGAGGAGATGGGGGTTTGGCTCCAAGGGAGTTTGATGAAGCACCCCAAGGTAGCAGGTGCTGGACGGGGTTGCCTGCATGGAAGGCAGTCACTGTGGAGACAGCCACTGTGACCATAGCCCTGGGAGGGGCAGCAAAGGTCTTGATGGCTGAGCTCGTGGTTGGTGGAGGTAGACATGATGAAGAGCAATTTTCCAGCTGCCCAGAACTACCCAATGGGCCAGACATGGTGGCTCATGCCTGTAATTCCAGCACTTTGGGAGGCTGAGGAGGGCGGATCACATGAGGTCAGGAGTTCGAGACCAGCCTGGCCAACATGGTGAAACCCCATTTCTACTAAAAATACAAAATATTAGCTGGGTGTGGTGGTGTGTGCCTGTAATCTCAGCTACTCGGGAGGCTGAGGCAGGAGAATTGCTTGAACCTGGGAGGCGAAGGTTGCAGTGAGCCGAGATCATGCCATTGCACTCCAGCTTGGGCAACGAGAGTGAAATTCTGTCTCAAAAAAAAAAAACAAGAAAAAACAAAACAACAACAACAACACCACACACGCACACACACTCACACACACACACACACACACACACACCTCAATGAACAGCCAATGGAGTCCATCAGCAATATCCCAACCATGAAGAGCAAGGAAATAAAGGTCATCATCATTGAATAAGGACCAGATCCTTCCCCATTTCCCAGAACCATGGGGTCCTAGTGGGATCAAGTGGAGGATGGCATGAAATCCCAATAATAACTGACATTGGACATCTCACTAATTTGGCAAGTAGTGTCTTGGAGCTGCACTTAAAACAAATAAGTAATTACAGCATTTCCTGAGGCTTGAGTGTGGGGGGCATTCATAGCTGGTATGTGACTGTTAATATTTTAATAAATTGTAGGATAAATATTCTCACTAGCATTTATTTTTTTCCATGGAACAGTGCTTGAAATGGGACACAGTTGGGGATATGCTGGTGTAGAGGATTTCTCTGGAATCCAGCCACTCTAAAATAGCTGCATCACAATTTTATGCAAACTTGGTCCTCATATTATCTTTCTCTGAACCACCTACCCTTGCCTGGACACTTTTCCTACGTCACTGGGAAAGGAAGGAGATGGTGTAAATGCATGGAGGTGAAAGATGTCCATAAAAGGCTGTGACTTTATGACTCTTATTTCTTTCATCTTTTTGTCATATTATTAAACTAATAGGTTAGTGAGAGGAGTAAATGAGATAAGGTAAAAATACCTGGCCTGTGTGAACTCCTTCCTGGGAACTTGATAACTAGTATGAATGGTTCCCTACTCTCCCTGCTGTGGAATTTAGGCTGCAGGGAATGGGTGGCTTTTCAAGGACTTACAAATGCAACTGCACAGATTCGAGGGAGTGGGTGGTGTCCAGTCTTCAGAACTGGCCAGGCCAGGCTGTACCCATGTGGGAGGCATTACAAAGGCTGAAGCTACAGTCTGTTCTAGTCTTGGTGGGCCCCAGAAGATATCAGGCAGCAATTATGGGCCAAGTTGGCTCTCTGACTAAGACTCCCCTCATCCCGTATCTCCTGGCCTCTTTTCCCTTAGTGGCCTCTGCTTCTTGGCCACGATGCTCCCCATACTTCCCTTAGCCTTGGCCCAGATCTCCTAGCTGAATAGAAGAATCATCAAGCAACTGTCATGTTCCAGAGTCACAGGATGTAGAGACCTGAGAGGAACAAAGGGACTGAGCTCACTGGAGCTCAGGCTACGGCATTTGGAGATCTGAGAACAGATGCACATGTACACAGGTACTAAACAACACTGAAACACATGTTCTACATGTCTACATGCAAACTAATGTAAGAATCAATGCATGTACACATACACATTCAAATACTCACGCAAAATACATATAAACCATATAAACACATAAAATATACATAAAATATATAAAATTTGAGCACATAAACACTTGCACAAATCTACACATGTATACATAAGTACACACAAACAAAATACAACACAAATATAAACCCAGATATTGAAATATAAACGTTCTATTGCAATTAAATCATCTTTTTCAATTTCTCCTTATGTTGGTCAAGGCCATTTTTCTGAGTCATCACAGTACTCCCTGGGCAGTCCTTTGCAAACAGGGATTCCTAAGAGGGCTTATGAAATATTGAAAAGAGCTATAGTGAGGAAATGCCTGGAACCTCCAGGTTGGGAACTTCTGGTCTAGTACAATAATAACACCACATATTTATATTGAAGTCAAGTATCAGGTATTGTTCGAAGTGCCTTATGTGTAATCACTCATTTAATCCTAACATCAACCCTATGAAATATTATTACCCCCATTTTATAGAAGAGGAAACTGAGATTCAAAGAGGTTAACTAACTTTTTTTTGTTTTGAGACAGAGTCTCACACTTTTGCTTAGGCTGTAGTGCAGTGGTGTGATCTTGGCTCACTACAACTCTGCCTCCAGAATTCAAGCGATTCTCCTGCCTCAGCTTCCTGAATAGCCAGGATTACAGGCATGTCCCACCACACCTGGATAATTTTTGTATTTTTTAGTAGAGATTGGGTTTCACCATGTTGGCCAGGTTGGTCTCAAACTCCTGGCCTCAAATGATCTGCCTACCTCAGCCTTTCAAATTGCTGGGATTACAGGCGTGAGCCACCGCACCCAGCCTTAAGTAACTTTTATAAGGTAACACAGCCAGGAGACTAACTCCAGAATATAGGCTTGTAACTCCTCTGCTATGATGTCTCATTTCAATATTGAGTCCTGTAGATGTTGCATGACATGCTAAGGACACATGGTAAGTTGCTCAGTTTTGGACCAAATTGCATGCCTGGTGTGTTCATCACACTGCTGAATAGCACCCCCAAATTCCCTTATCCTGGTCAGCTCCATTACACACCAAGCAAGTCCTCATGAACAACTTTAGTAACGTTAAACACCAAGAAGTTTACAGCACTCCCAGTGGAATTCAAAATAAAACAACATTCAACTCTGAAATAAAATTTTACTTCTGTGAAATGATACAAAGCATTCCTGTCTACTGAAATTAAAGGGGGTTCTTTAGATTTTCTTGCTTTGTTTTGGCCCATGTCTTGCCAGTGCCCTGAGCCTGGGCAGGTGCTCAGTCCTCCTATTGAGCCATCCAGCCCTGATCGCAGGTCCCCCCTCACAGCTTTCTGCCCAGTGTATTTCCTCCATGCCTGACAGGGGCTTCTTGAGATCTTGCCTATTTTCTCCAAGCCCTAATCCCTGACACAACAGAGAAACTTGGCTTCGTTTTCACTGAGGCTGTAGAGGTCAAATGCGCTCAAGGCTCTAAATTCTCTCCTCCCTTACCTGGAAACAAAGAAATTGTAACTAAAATGTATCGAGCACTTACTACCTGCCAGGCACTGTTTTGAACTCTGGATAGGCACTTATCACTTAAAGGTCACAACAAACCATGAGCCCGTATTATTATCTCCAAAATTGGTTAAACAACTTGCCCATGGTCACTGCATCCGTAAGAGTGTTTAGCAAAGGGAATCTTTTGGCTGTTTGGAAGTTCAGAGAATTCCTAGAGCGAGGCTTAGAAAATGGGTAGGAACCAGGGAGGAAGGGTAGGAGGAGCCAGAGTGAAAAATCACCCCATGGACCTGGTCTAGTGAGGACACAGCTGCCACCAAACGCCATTGCTCAGGACCCTAAACTCTACCCCTATTTGCCCTGCTTCCCTATTGCCCCTGGAAACTGGACATCATAATGGACTCCTTTGTTAAGATAAATTATCTACTGTTCCTTCTTCCTGGAATCTTGAGCACCTGATTCAAAAAATAGTATGGAGTCATCTGATTGGCTGAACCTACCCACGTGTCCATATTCTAGCTGCAGGGAAGGCAGAAAAACAACAATTGAATGTTTTGCAGCCTTGAACTCCAAGACTCAATCAATCCTCCCATCTTGGCCCCCTGAGTAGCAGGGACTACAGGTGTGTACCACCACACTTGGCTAATTAAAAAATTTTTTTGTAGTGATGAGGTCACATATGTTGCCCAGGCTGGTCTGGAACTCCTGGGCTCAATCTGGTTCCCCCCTTGGCCTCCCAAAGCCCTGGAGTTACAGGGACTTGGGTTTCCTCCCCACTAGATCACTTCTCATAGCCTTACTCAATGTATAAGTTATTTATCTATAATTATTTATTAAAGTAAGCTATATTTATTTGTCTACAGATATTTATTAAATATTATTTAATATTTAATGTCAGGTATGTTAGAGATTGCTAGAACTCCACCCCCCATGTATCTCTTTCCCTTCTTAATAAGACAACCCCTATATTTTAGCTAGAAATGGTTGCCTAGAATAAGGAAAATATTTCCAGCCTCCCTTGCAGCTGCGCATGATGGTCTAAATGAGCTCTGGGAGGTGGACAGGATTGGAAGCAAAGGGTGCAACTTATTATTCTTATTTTTTGGAGGGACGGTGTCTCACCCTGTTGCCTAGGCTGGAGTGCAGTGGTACGATCTCAGCTCACTGCAACTTCCACCTCCTGGGTTCAAGCCATTCTCCTGCCTCAGGCTCCTGAGTAGCTGGGATTACGGTGCTCACCACCACGTCTGGCTAATTTTTTTTTTTTTTTTTGTATTTTTAGTAGAGACGAGGTTTCATCAGTTTGGCCAGGCTGGTCTTGAACTCCTACCTCAAATGATCCACCGACCTTGGCCTCCCAATGTGCTGGGATCACAGGTGTGAGCCACTGTGCCAAGCCGAGGGGTGAAACTTCTGAGTGGTGTCCTTAAAGGGAAAGGTGTTGCATTTCACTTCCATCACTCCTCCTTTCCTGATGGCTGGATGGGAACTTGACGGTGGGAACTGGAGCAGCTCAGGGTCATCACATGATGCAGCCTCTTGAGGATGGCAGAGCATCAAGCCAAAAGGAACCTAGATCCCTGCTGAATGGTGAAGCTGTCACACTTAACTGCATACCCAGACTTTTACATAAAAAAGAAATCCATGTCTGTCTTTTGGAATCATTCTTATTTGGGGGGAATATCAGTTAAAACAGTTGAATAAGTATCTTAATACACCAGGTGATGTTATGGGTACTGGGGTTATAAGCCAGGTTTCTGACATTCTAAGTGGAGAGACAAAAATCAAACATGTAAAATAAAATTTAAAAGAATAGATACATATATGAAGATCATAAACCAAGTTATTACAGTCCAGAGTGACTGTGGGTTGGAGTTACCGTTATCTAAGGTGGCCAGGGAAAGTCTCTCCAAGGAGGTGACATTTGGGATGATATGGAATGATGAGCAGGAGATTTTCATGGGAAGATTTGGAGAAAGAGCTTTACAGGGAGAACAGATGACAACTGCTAAGGCCCTGAACTGGAAACAAGATTGGCAAGTTCAAAGTTCTGAAAGACATTACACATGTGTATCCTTCTGTTAGAAAGCTGAGACACATGTGTATCCTTCTGTTAGAAAGCTGAGAATAAGTAATTCTCGTTTAATTTATTTTTTAAAATTTTTTTATTTTTATTTTCGAGATGGAGTTTTGCTCTGTCACCTAGGCTGGAGTGCAATAGCGTGATCTCAGCTCACTGCAACCTCTGCCTCCCAGGTTCAAGCAATTCTCCTGCCTCAACCTCCCTAGTAGCTGGGATTACAGGCACCTGGCTAATTTTTGTATTTTTAGTAGAGACGGGGTTTCACCATGTTGGCCAGGCTGGTCTCGAACTCCTGACCTTGTGATCTCCCTGTCTTCGCCTCCCAAAGTGCTGGGATTACAGGTGTGAGCCACCACACCTGGCCTGTTTAATTTAGTTTTTAAGATTTAAATATCTTTTAAACATTTATAGGAAAAAATATATTTTAAAACAGAACATAATCATGGAGAACAATATTGTCACCAAACATGACAAGACAGTTAATATAATAACAGCACTGAAGAGCTCTTGCAAATCAGCAAGTACCCAACAACACCCCAATAGAATTGTCCAGATATCTGACTAAATAATTCAAAAGGAAGAAACAAAGAGACAAATACATGTGTTGAATAAATGTTCTTACTATTTATCAGAGAAGTGCAAAGTAATTTTTAAGTTAAATATTTCTTGATATGTATTTATTATGCATTAATTAATTCCTTTGTGGGTCTCACAGGCCAAATGGCTTTAATTGACCTGTCCCTTTACTGGCATTGGTACTGGCCAGTTTCCCACACTCTCATCTTGTGCTTTGCTGAGACATCTGCTACACACTGTCCTTTGGCCTGGATGACCTCATATAAATCCCCTCCTGTTCTAATTCACTGCCCACAGCCCTGCTGATAAAAGCAAAGCTCATCTCTGCCGTGCTGCAGGGAACCCTATTTCCTTCCCCTGCAGCTCAGCCACCTCCTCCTCTCAGGTCTGCCAGCCATGAAACTTCTTTACCTGTTTCTTGCCATCCTTCTGGCCATAGAAGAACCAGTGATATCAGGTAACGTGAACCTCTCTCGGGGGTCTGGGTTCCTGGTCATGGGCTTCCCGTCTTTCCCTTCCCTCTCACTGTGGGCATCATCTGAAGCCTTTCCTTCTCTCCTGCAGCTTCGGGAGGTTTGCCCAGGATCATCTCAAGTTAATATCTCTCTCTGATTCTTTTTTGCCAGAGTGGTGGGATGATAGATGTTTGGAGCATCTGGTGCTTGAGGGCCAGGGTGGTATCCTGGTGGGAGCTTGGGAGAGGTTTGAGGGGCAAAGCGTGGGTGCAGGTTGGGGACTTGTTGAGGACTTCGGGAGACTAGAGTGGAAGCTGGGGTGAGTTGTGATGTGGAGGAAAAACCTTGGGATTGGAGTGATAGAAGGAATATTAGGATGAGCTGGAGGTGAGGAGCTGGGCTTCCCTGATGGTTTAGGGCAGAGTTGGAGACAGGATGGGATTTGGGGTTGAGTGGAGCTGGTGTTGAGGATTAGGCTGGGGCTTGGGCTGAGGCTGGGAGTCGGTGCTGGATGCTGCAGGGTGATTGGGTTCAGCTTGGTCATGGCATACTGCTGGGAATTGAGGTTAGTGACTTGATTAGATTAGGGTTAGATTAGATTAGATTAGGGTTTGGCTTGGAGTTGGGGCTTGGGGGCATTGAGTTGAGTAAGGCTGGGAGTTCTAATTAAGGCAGGCCTGAATGAGTTTGAGTTTGAATTGGGTTAATATAGGGTCAAGGAAGATTGCAGATTGGGATGCGGCTGGAGCTGAGGCTTGTTGGGCTTATGTGAAATAGGGTCAGGTTATTGATAAGAAACAGGGTCTGTGTAATGTGAGTGAATCCTCTTCGTTCCCTAATATTACAGGTGATCATGTCCTTTTCCCTTCATCCCTAGCTCTGCTAGGTGGGACATTAATTAGCTTCAGTTGATTCCAAAGTAAGGAGTAGGAAGTTGGGGGCTAGGAAGACAGAAGGGTGAGAAGTCCAAAAAAGGCTCTCCCAAAAACTTCGGAGCTCTCAGTTGGAACCATTGTCTCAGTTCTCTTCCCTCTCAAGGTCTCTTCTCTCTTTTCCTGGGACTGGGTCTGGCATTACTCACTCAGCTGGCTTTCTTCTCTTCTTCCCTGTCCTCCTGTTCCTCCTCTGCCTTGTCTTTTCTCTCCGCTTGAGGGATACTAACATCTGCTTAATTGTTGTTCATATGCCCCAAAGTAGAGTGTTGGATGGATGGACACTGCCGGTTGTTGTGCAAAGATGGTGAAGACAGCATCATACGCTGCCGAAATCGTAAACGGTGCTGTGTTCCTAGTCGTTATTTAACAATCCAACCAGTAACAATTCATGGAATCCTTGGCTGGACCACTCCTCAGATGTCCACAACAGCTCCAAAAATGAAGACAAATATAACTAATAGATAGAAATGACTTTGTTTCAGGTTGCTTAGGGTCCACATTTCATTAAAACTCACAAATTTGTTTCTGGTGTCTGTCAATCATAAGGAATGATACTTCAAATGGATTGAGGGTGGGGGGATGGCAGGGGGAGGTGAAGAGCTAGTCGAGAGAAGTCACTAGGGCTGGGTCATAGCGATGGTGTGATCATTACAGTCTTGAAGATGATTCCCCATCTACCAGCTGCAGGAGAGGCTATTGAGTCAGGAGTGGACTGGGGAGAACATGGTGGGAGCTGAGAGATTTAAAGGCATAGCAGATGCCTAAAGAGTGGGAGAATCCTTAGGCTGGGAGAGTTGGTCCATCTTGAGAGTGAATGGGCTGAGAGTGGATGGGGCTGAATATAACCCAAATCCTTGGGGTTCTAGAGAAACCAGCTGATGCTTTCTAGTGCTCAAGAGGCCCAGCCCCAGGGGTTAGAAGGTGTCTGAGTACTAAAAAAAGATAAAGCACATGATTTGCTTATTTATATATGAATTTGTTCATTATTCATTTTTTCCATTCTTTCACCGATTCATTCATTCATATTCACTTCAGCTCTGCCACTTACTACTGGCAGACTCTGCATATAAACCTCTCAGAACTTCATCTTCCTCCTCTGTAAATTAGAGTAATTGTAGAATCTATTTCAGGATTGCAGTAAGGATGAAATGACATAATAATGCAAAGGTAAGCACTCAACAAATGTCGTCACCTATTGTTCATTGATTTATTCAAGGATTTATGAAATATGAACTGTGTGCCTTCCAACTGTGTTAGAGTCTGAGGGAGACAGAAGCCTGTCTCATTTGAATTGGTACTTTAGCTGGGGAGAAGACTCACTCATGGGGAACATTTAAGAATCCTGTTTGGGAATCTAGAGAATCTGGGTGTCTTCCCAGACTTTATTCTCAAGTCCTATTCTCTGGGCCCCATTTAACCAACACAGTTAGTTTTTCACCCTGAACTGCGTCCTCTGCAGTGAGGCCAGGGACCAAGAGTGCTCGGTAAAGCATGGTTCATGGCATAGAGACAGACAGAAGGAGTTCATTATCATCCAGGAAGACTATTTGCTCTCAGCTCAATATTTCTGCCCTTAGACTCTGGAAAGAGGGGCCCCTCCTCTGGCTAAGTCCCTCCTCATGGGGTGAGGAGTTGCTAGGAGCAAGGGGAATATGCCCACGAGGAGCCTCTGCCTGCCCTCCTCCCTTTCTGGGTCATGCTTTGAGTAGCTGGGTCCTGGGATTGCCTGCCCAGAGAAACCTTGTGCCTGCTTCAAGGAGCTGCAGGGGCCTTTCCTCAAGGTCCCTCCCTGGAGGGTGGGGCCCACTGGGTGCCGACCCCTAGGCAGGAGAAGCATCAAGGGATGCTCTTGTTTGCAGGGTCTGTGGGCAGAGCTAGGGATGGGTGAGAAGAGAGGTGAGCTGTGGGCTGGGCAGGCTTCCCTCGGAATGCCATGTTCCTGCATGGAGTTCTGAGGAATCAGAGAATTATAAATTCAAACCTGACCTTTCAGGTCATTATGAAGGGCTATCTCGTAAATGAGGATAGATATATTTTATGTATTCTTTTTATTAGCTTGATTAAAACATTTAAGTATGCAGACAAAGGACATGACACAGTAGCCTTCATTTGCCTTCTTGCCTCAGGACCTGCAAATGTTAGGGTTGTGCCTGGTATTGGATCCTGCTCTGGCTGATAACCCATTTCTTTTAAAGAATTATTTTAAATTCACAAATAATAATTGCACATATTTATGGTGTACAGTGTGATAGTTCAATAAACGTATAGAAAGTGTAACCATCAAATCAGGGTAATTAGCATATCCATCACCTCAAACATTTATCATTTCTTTGTATTTAGAACATGCAAAGTCCTCTTTCTAGCTAACTGAAAATACACAATAGGCTGGGTGCGGTGGCTCACCCCCGTAATCCCAGCACTTTGGGAGGCCGAGGCAGGTGGATCACCACGAGGTCAGTAGTTTGAGACCAGCCTGATCAACATGGTGAAACCCTGTCTCTACTAAATATAAAAATTGAACCAGGCATGGTGGCTGTAATCCCAGCTACTTGGGAGGCTGAGGCAGGAGAATGGCGTGAACCCGGGAGGCGGAGCTTGCAGTGAGCCGAGATCCCGCCACTGCACTCCAGCCTGGGCGACAGAGCGAGACTCCGTCTCAAAAAAAAAAAAAAAAAAAAAGAAAAAGAAAAAGAAAAAGAAAATACGCAATAAATGATTGTTAACTATAGTCACCCTACAGAGCTATGGAACACTAGAACTTATTCCTCCTATCTAGCTGTGATTTTGTATCCGTTTAACCAGCCTCTTCCTATTCTCCCTTCCCACTTACCCTTCCCAGTCTCTGATAAACTCTATTTTACTCTCTACTTCAATGAAATCCACATTTTTAAGCTTCCACATATGAGTGAGAACAAGTAATATTTATCTTTCTGTATCTGGTTTATTTCACTTAACATCATGCTCATCTATGTTGCCACAAATGACAGAACTTCATGCTTTTTTTGTGGCCGAATAGTATTCCATTGTGTTTATGCAAACTTTCTTTATCCGTTCATCTGTTGATGCATACTTAGGTTCACAATCTATTTTTCAGCCCACTTCAGAGGCAGGAGCTGCATAATCTTTTCACAGTTTTGCTGCTTCTCTGGGAGCTGGGACACTTAGGCTGCCCATGAGAGCTACCTGTGCCCCGAGGCCCGGGGTGAGAACACCAAAAATGGTTCCTCACTGGTCTCCCTGCCCCCAGGTTTTCTCTGCATTAATCTCTATTATTAGAGGGATTCTTGGTAGGAAACTTCTCTATGTCATTCTCCTGCTTAGATTTCTTCCTTTGCTCATCACCACCCGGGGTCCAGACATTCAAAGCCCTCACGTGGTGACCCGGTTTCACCTCCCATGACTGTCCCTCACAGACCTTCTCTTCAGCCACTGCAACCCTCTCGCCATCCTCTCCTGCCCCCTACATTGCGTTTGTTCATGGCTCCCTCCAGCTGGTCCCCAACACTCAGCTCACCTCTGTGATGAACGCCTTCTCATCCTTCATAGCTCAGTTGATGCTCCCACCCATGAAAGTCTTCACATAAACTCTGTCTCACTATCTGTCTCTCTTTTTTTTTTTTGAGACACGGTCTTGCTTGGTTGCCTAGGATGGAGTGCAGTAGTGCGATCATGGCTCACTGTAGCCTAACCCTCCCAGGCTCAAGCAATCCTCCCACCTCAGCCTCCTGAGTAGCTGGGACTACACGTGTGCGCTACCATGCCTGGCTAATTTTTCTATTTGTGTTTTTAGAGGCAGGGTCTTACTATGTTGCCCAGTCTGCTCTCAAACTCCTGGGCTCCAGTGATCCACCTGCCTCAGCATCCCAAAGTGCTGGGATTACAGTCATGAGCCACCACACCCAGCCCTGTGTCATTATTTCTTAACAATTATAATAGCTATAATAATAGTTCTCATTGACCCTTGCTATGTGTCATTCCATTCTTACAACAATCCTCTTATTATCTCTATCTTACTTATTAGGAAACTGAAGTCCAGAGAGGTGACATAATTAGCCCAAGTCACACAGTATTAAGATAGAGCAGGGAATCAAACTGTGTTTTTTTTTTTTTTTTTTGTCTTTTGTTATTTGTCTTGTTTCTTTGATACAAAGTAGGTACTAAACTGTCACTGAGTAATGGCAGACATTGGATTATCACTTGATATGGGCATTCTATGAGAAAGGAACAATTCTCAGGGAATCCTAAAATGAGGCCTGAGTAGAGATCTGGAGTAGAAAAAGGATTTTTCAGTTGAGAAAACAGTGAGGCTTGAGGTGATATCATTCCTTGCCTCTTTTAGACTTTCTTCACTCTCCATCTAGCAGAATAATAGTCTTGTCTAGCAGTTTGTTAATTTGTATTCCTGGGGTCTAAGGCAGAAATGTTTGTTAATTGTATTGTGGATTCACATTCATTCTGATTAAGGTGAGAGCAGTAGCTTATTTTTTTCAGTTTTCTTTTCTTTTATTTTTGAAGTTTACAATAACATTGTCTAAATTCAGTTGGGATGGTGTCTTCTGGTGTCTATATTTTACAAAAATAGAAGGCAGAGAGAATTGACTCAGGTTAGGTTGAAAACAAAAAGAAAAGAATGATAATGATCATTACTGTTCTTACCACTCACATGAAGTGACATGGAAACAGTGGAAAAACTGTTTCTGAACATTAGAAAAAATTTTTAAAAATTTGTGTTAAAAGTCTACATTTCACGTATTTAGGGAGGATAATGTCAGAATGGAGGGATCTCAGCTGATCCTAATTAGCACACTTGCAGACTAGAGGACACTTTTTCCAAATTCCAATTTTCAAATTGCAGATATCTGCTTAAACTTAATGTTTTATACTGTGGTTGTGACTCACCTCTCATCCACTATGATTTGATTTCCCATACCATATCTATTATTCCTTCACTTTGATTCTCAGATCTTCATATAAGAACTCTTTTCTTTCTTCTTATAGTTTACTTTTTTGTTTTCGGTGAATTTTTTTTATCTTAAAAGTTGTTTTATTTTTATTTTTTGTGATAAATAGTAGGTGTATATATTTACGGGGCACATGAAATAGTTTGATACAGGAATTTAGTGTATACTGATCACATCAGGGTAAATGGGATATCCATTACCTCAAGCACTTATCTCTTCTTTGTATTACATAAAATCCAATTATACTCTTTTAGTTATTTTAAAATGTACGATAAATTATTGTGAACTGCAGTCATCCTGTTATGCTATCAAATACCAGATCTTATTCATTCTATGGAATTATATTTTTAAACCCTTGTAATTTACTCTTAAGAAGCTCCTGTTGGTGATCAAGTCTCTCAGTGGGTTTACTTTTGAAAATATCTAAATGTATCCTTATCTATTGTATTAGTCCATTTTCATACTGCTATGAAGAAATACCCAAGACTGGGTAATTTATGAAGAAAAAGAGGTTTAATGATTCACAGTTTCCCATGGCTGGGAGGTCTCACAGTCATGGCAGAAGGCAGAGAAGCAAAGGCACATTTTACATGATGGCAGGCAAAAGAGTGTGTGCGGGAGAACTGCCCTTTATAAAACCATCAGATCTTGTTGGACTTTATTTATTTATTTATTTATTTATTTTTGAGACAGAGTCTTGCTCTGTCGCCCAGGCTGCAGTGCAGTGGTGGGATCTCGGCTCACTGCAAGCTCCGCCTCCCGGGTTCACGCCACTCTCCTGTCTCAGCCTCCCTAGTAGCTGGGACTACAGGCGCCTGCCACCATGCCAGGCTAATCTTTGTATTTTTAGTCGAGATGGGGTTTCAGGGGTTTCACCGTGTTAGCCAGGATGGTCTCGATCTCCTGACCTCTTGATCTGCCCGCCTCGGCCTCCCAAAGTGCTAGGATTACAGGTGTGAGCCACCACACCTGGCCTTTTTTTTTTTTTTTTTTTTAAGACAGAGTCTTGTTCTGTTGCCCAGGCTGGAGTGCAGTGGCACGGTCTTGGCTCACTGTAGCCAGGCTCAAGCGATTCTCCTGCCTCAGCCTCCCAAGTAGCTGGGATTATAGATGTACACCACTATGCCTGGCTAATTTTTGTATTTTTTAGTAGAGACAAGGTTTCACCATGTTGGCCAGGCTTGTTCGAACTCCTGGCCTCAAGAGTCCCGTCCACCTCGGCCTCCCAAAGTGCTAGGATTACAGGCATGAGCCACCGCGCCTGGACAGATCTCATGAGACTTATTCACTATCCCAAGAACAGCACAGGAAAAACCTACTCCCATGATTCAATTACCTCCCACTGGGTCCCTCCCATGATATGTGGGGATTATGGGAGCTACAATTTAAGACGAGATTTGAGTGGGGCCACAGCCAAACTATATCATCAGTTAAGAAAATTTTAGCTACGTACACAGTTCTAGCTTGAACTTTTCCCTCAGCACTCAACATTTCTTTCTCTGTTTACTGGCTCTTTAAAGGCTATGGAGAATTTGATGTCCCTTTTCTAGGTTATCACTTTTTCTCCAAACTGAGTTTTGATTGGCGTCACAAACTGTCACTCTTAAGAAGTTATGACACGTATTATGTTATTGTGTAATTATTTGAATTATTGTCCCCTTTCCATCAATCCCCCAAACACACACATATTAGGTGGAAATCCTTAGGGGCTGAGATGATGTTTTATTTACATCTGCATGCCTGATGTTAAGCCCAGTGCTGGGCACGAATGCGATTTAGTGAGTGTTTCTTGAACATGAATAATGAATTCACCAGTGAAAGCATGAGTGGATCTGGTGGGGGCACAAAAGGCTGACTCCAGGTTCCAGGAATCTGGGTGGAGAAACTTCTGGGCTGGAGGGAGCAGAGGACCACTGTGTTAGGTCTACGTGGTTCTGGCTGGCAGGGTTAGCAAGGATGCAGAGGAGTTTCTGGGTCTTGCTCAAATGATAATTTAAAACAACAATAATAATTAACATTCATTTAGTTCTTACTATGTGTCAGTCCCTTATTGCCTTCTATGTATTCAGCCACTAATCCTCAAAATTCTAGGGGTTAGATATTTTTCCGGTCTATACTATACATATGAGAAAAAGGGTAGAACAGGGAGGTGCAGAAACTTGCCCCAGGATACACAGCAAGTAAAATGGGAACTGGGATTGGTCACCTAGGGATTCTTGTTTTTTAGATTTTGTTTTTTTAATCTCTCTATAGCCCCTTAGGTTATTTATTGATATTTTTACTTTTTATTTTGAAATAATTGTAGATTCACAGGAAGTTACAAGAGAGAGGTCCTGTGTACTCTTCACCCAGATTTCTCCAATGCTTAGATTTTATATAACTGTAATACAATATGAAAACCAGGAAACTGATATTGGTTCAATATATGTGTATACTTCTATGCCATTTCATCATGTGTAGATGTAACCACCATCATGACCAAGCTGCAGAACTGTTCCATCACCACGAAGATCTGCCACCTGTTGCTCCTTTAAAGTCATACCAGCCCTCTTCCCTGTCCCCACCCACTGTCACTATGCTTAACCCTTGGTAACCACTAATCTGTTTTCCCATCTCTATAGCTTTGTCACTTGACATTGCTGTGTAAATAGAATCATATGTGAGAGTTTGTGATTGGCTATTTCTTTTTTGGCTCAGCATTATGCTCTTTTTTTTTTTGAGACAGTGTCTGGCTCTGTCGCCCAGGCTGGAGTGCAGTGGTGTGATCTTAGCTCACTGTAACCTCTGCCTCCTGGGCTCAAGTGATCCTCCCACCTCAGCCTCCCCAGTAGCTGGGACTACAAATGCGTGCCACCACATGCGGCTAATTTTTTATTTTTTGTAGAGATGGGTTTTGCCATGTCACCCAGGCTGGTCTCGAACTCCTGAGCTCAAGTGATCTTCCCGCCTTGGCCTCACAAAGTGCCGGGATTACAGGCGTGAGCACTGTGCCCAGCTAAGCAGCATTATGCTCTTGAGATCCATCCACACTATGTGTATCAATAATTCGTTCCTTTTAGTTCTGAGTATTTCTAGCCATTGCATTAATGCAAGAAAAGGAAATGAAAGGCATGCAGATTAGACAGGAAGGAATAAAATGGTGTCTATTTGAAGATGTCATAATGGTTTATGTAGAAAATCCTAAGAAATCTACAAACAAAACAAAACAAAAAGCAAAGGCAAAATACCTAAAACTAATAAGTAGGTTCAGTAAGGTCCCAGGATACAAGGTAAACATACACAAATCAATTGTATTTCTATATAATAGCAATGAACATGTGCACTCTGAAGTTAAAAATATAATACCATTCAAAGTCACTCCAAGAAAATAAAACACTTAAGTGTACATCTAATGAACTATGTAGAGAAATTGTATGCTGAAAACTATAGAATATTGATAAAAGAAATAAGAGCTAAATAAATGAAGAGGCACACCATCTTCCTATCTTGTAAGACTCAAATAACAGATGTTAATTCTCCTCAAATTGACATAGGCATTTATGTCAAAATCCCAGCAAGATTTTTTGTAGATATAGACCAGATTATTCTGTCTATACCCTGCCTGAAGAGAAATCTGCAAAAGAATAAGAATAGCTAAAACAAATTTGAAAAAGGATAAAGTTGGAAGAATTATTTTACCAGATTTTAAGACTTATTATATAGTAATAGTAATTGAGATTGTGTGGTCTTGGTGGAGAAACAGGTACATCAATCAATGGAACAGAATAGGGAACTCAGAAATAGCCTCATAGAAGTACAGCCAACTGATTTTTGACAGAGGTGCAAAAGCAATTCATTGGAAGAAAGGTCCTTTTCGACACATGATGCTGGAGCAATTGAACATCTACAGGCGAAAAAAAAAAATCTAAACCTAAACCTAAACGTCACACCTTTCACAAATATTTACTTAAAATGGATCATAACCGCCAGGCGTGGTGGCTCACACCTGTAATCCCAGTGAATCAGGATGCTGAGGCGGGAGGATCACTTGAGCCCAGGAATTCCAGACCAGCCTGGGCAACATAGCAAGATCCCATCTCTACAAAAATAAAATAAATTAGCTGAGTGTGGTGACTGTGCCTCTAGTTCCCAGCTATTCGAGAGGCTAAGGTGGGAAGATCGCTTGAGTCCAGGAGTTTGAGGTTATAGTGAGCTATGATTGTGCCGCTGCACTCCAGCCCAGGCAAGATAGCAAGACCCCGTCTCTAAAGAGAATTATTTTTAAAGGAATATATATTTAAATATAAAATGTAAAACTATAAAATTTCTAGAAGAAAGCATGGGAAAAAACATTCAGACCGTGTGTTTGGTGAAGAGGTCTTAGATACAAAAGAACAACCTAGAAAAGAAGAGAATCAATAAATTGCACTTACTCAAAATTTTAAACTTTCACTCTGTGAAACACCCTGTGAAGAGGATGGTTGAAAAGACAAATTACAACAGGGCAAGATTATTTTCAAACCATATATCTGACAAAGAACTTGTATCTGGAACATAGAAACAACTCTTAAGACTCAACAGTATTTGCCGGGCATGGTGGCTCACGCCTGTAATCCCACCACTTTGGGAGGCTGAGGTGGGCAGATCACGAGGTCAGGAAATCGAGGCTATCCTGGCTAACATGGTGAAACCCCGTCTCTACTAAAAATACAAGAAATTAGCTGGGCGTGGTGGCAGGTGCCTGTAGTCCCAGCTGCTGGGGAGGCTGAGGCAGGAGAATGGTGTGAACCCGGGATGCAGAGCTTGCAGTGAGCTGAGATAGTGCCACTGCACTCCAGCCTGGATGACAGAGACAGAGACTCCATCTCACCAAAAAAAAAAAAAAAAAATTAGTTGGGTGTGGTGGCATGCACCTGTAATCCCAGCTACTCAGGAGACTGAGACAGGAGAATTGCTTGAACCTGGGAGGCAGAGGTTGCAATGAGCAGAGATCACACCACTGCACTGCAGCCTGGCGACAAAGCGAGACTTCTTCCACAAAAAAAAAAGACTCAACAGTAATAAACAACTCAATTAGAAATGGACAAAAGATATGAAAAGACATTTCACTGAAGAGGATATAGAGATAGCAAATAAGCATTTGAAAAGATGTTCAACATCATTAGCCATTAGGGAAATGCATATAAAGACTAGAATGAGATACTACTACATACTTATTAGAGCAGCTAAAATTAAAAATAGTGATTTTCCAAACTTTTTCTTAGTTTAGGCCCACTCAACCTCCATTATTTTGTCTTTTAATGCCTTCCGACAAATTAAAAAAATGTGTCCAGGCTGGGTGCAGTGGACTTTGGGAGGCTGAGGTGGGTGGATCACTTGAGGTCAGGAGTTTGAGACCAGCCTGGCCAACATGGTGAAACCCCATCTCTACTGAAAATACAAAAATTATCTGGGTGTGATGGCGTGCACCTGTAATCCTAGCTACATGGGAGGCTGAGGCATGAGAATCGCTTGAACCTGGGAGGCGGAGGTTGCAGTGAGCCAAGATTGCGCCACTGCACTCCAGCCTAAGCAACAGAGCAAGACTTGTCTAAAAAAAAAAAAAAAAGTGTCCACTTTTCATCTGCCAGGTATTTGTTCCAAATTACCTATTTTATTATTGCTAGAAGCAACAGTATACAAAAATCTTTATTTAGTCCATTGTATTTTTAAATGTTCCTGTCATTTTATTGAAAATTTCACCTATTATCAGGTTGTTCCTCTTCAATTTATAAACGATAGGGATTTTCAAAAACATTTCCTTTTGGGGAGAAGTTGTTAAATAAAGAAACACATGGTCTTAAAGAAAAAAATCCCCAACTCCTAATAGACCTGGAAACAACCAAAATGGCCCTCAGCAGACACATGGTTAAATAGACTGTACTACATTTATACTGTGGAATATTACTCAGAAGTAAAAGGAATGAACTATAGATACACACAACTTGGGTTGCTCTCAGTTCTGTTGATTGTCTTTTTTTTCATTAAAGTTAAGATTTTCCTGGTTCTCAGTATGATGAGTAATTTTTGCTGGAACGCGGATGTTTTTGATATTATTATGTTATGAGATGCTGGATCATATTTCAATGATCTTTGTTGGCTTGTCTCCTCTGATACAGCTCTGGTGAGGACAGTGGGATGCTGCCTGGATACTGCCAGGTGGGTGGAAGTCCAGGTGTATTTCCTCTGGTACTGCCTTGGTTGGGATGGGGAGGGATGTTCTGTTCCCCGTGTGGCCTCCAAGTCACATCTCAGGGAGTGGTGGCCCTGTTACTACTGTGTGGTGGTGAAAGTCTTGACTCTGCACTAGGCCCTCTCTGTCACCACCCCATCAGGGAAGTGGAGGGAGGGATGCCTTCTTCCCACCAGATAGGGGAAGTCGAGGCTTCCCACATGATTCCTATCGACACTGCATGGTGGTGATGGGCCTTGTGACCATCCAGCAGTGATAATAGTCCCCGCTCCCCACTTGGGTTCCACTCTGGGAGGTTACACCTCCTTACAGCATGGAGAGGGCAGAAGTCGAGGCTCTCCACGTAGCCTTCTTTGGTGGATGTATGAGTGGGAGTGTAGTTTTGTCTTTGGTTTTTCCTGGAGTGGAGTGGTTATTGTCTAAATTGTTCTTTCTTGCTAGGTTGACCTTTCCTGGTTCTTTGGCTAGAGAGAGGAGACTTTTCTTGGGACTCTATGTCTGCACTCGTTTGTGTTTCCAGGTTGTCAGTCTCTCCAGCACAAGTCTGGAATCGATGAGGCAAAAAGAAAACCCAGGGAATTCATGGCTGTGTCCTTCCTTAGGTCCTGAGGTCCCTGCCTTGTTCTTCTTTACTTTACCTTTCAGAGTGTACACACACACACACACATATACACACACAGACCCAGGGTTTTAAACCGAACTTGGCAGGACAAATAGAGAAAAAGACATTGACTCTTTTTTTTCTGGAAGTAGAAGTCACTATTGTCCTTTAGGTTTTCTCCCTGCTCCCCCTTTAGGTTTTTATGATGCTTCCCGACTTATCAGATTTATGTCACTCCTAGGTGAATTAACTATTTGTATTTTTTTTCCTTTGGCAGGCAAACGCCACATCCTTCGATGCATGGGTAACAGTGGAATTTGTAGGGCCTCTTGCAAAAAGAACGAACAGCCCTACCTCTATTGCAGAAATTGTCAGTCCTGCTGCCTCCAGTCCTACATGAGGATAAGCATTTCTGGCAAAGAGGAAAATACCGACTGGTCTTATGAGAAGCAGTGGCCAAGACTACCTTGAGTGCTGGTGATTACCATTCTCAAGCTCTCTGGGCACAGAGACCTGCTGTCAACCCCCCTCATTAAAATTCATGTGCCTGCTACCCTTGTCTGTCTTTGGTCCACTGGAAATCATAGTGAGAGACTGGGCTTTGCATGGTGACAATGTCTGTCTCATTCTGGGTGAGCCCCATGAGAAAGAAGGCTGGAAAACTGGGGAAACAATTACAGAGAAGCTAGACAAGCCGGTGAGGAAGGGGGAAGAATGAATCGAATGAGGGAGGGTCGAAGGCTTTAGGCAGATTTATGACTTAATCTGTGCCATGTAGAACTCAGGGAGGATCTTTAACCAGTGGGATGGATACATAGGGCAGTAGGTAGAGATCTTGTAGACAACTTTGGCCTAGTTCATGAAAAAACGTTATAACCAACAGAGCTGCTGTAATGTGGAATAAGCTGTGTTGGTTTCAAGCTGTGAGGCTGAAGGGCCTGTTTGGTGGTTATTGCAGAAGGTCTTTGAATATTGGATGCTGTTGTTGTTGATAGTTAAGGTCCTCCAATTCTTCAAAACCTAAGAGGCTTATGCCCCCAATGACAACTAACACCAGCTTTTTAATATAAAATTCTAATTTTACTTTTTGTGTCTTACCTCCCACTAGCAGTTCTAAATTCTGTCAAAAGTAGAGTAGTATTTAACCCATTATCTTTCTCTTCTTCTCTGATTCTCCTCAACTCATTACAGTTTGCCTTTGTGCTTATTTGCTATTGAACTGGCTCTGGCCAAGGTCACCAGTGGACCTCCTTTTTTTTTTTTTCATCATAATATCCCTTCTTATATGTATTAAAACTCATACCGAACAATGAGTTCTGGGTTGCAAAAGAGGATTTATTTTTTGCACCTGTCTATAAATCTTTGTCCACAAGTTAAACAAAAATATAAACAAGTGTAGCTGGACCTCCGTTTTGAAAGTTTCAGAATGTTCCTCAACTTGTATCTCAATCTGCCTCTAGGCAGCATTTCCACTATAGGTTATTCCCCCCTTGAAAACCTTAACTGCCTAGGGTTCTGTGATTTCACTCTTTGTTTTCTTCCTAACTTTCAGGCTCCCCCTTCTACATCATCTTTTGGGGTTCCTCTTCTGTTATTTGTCTCATTGGATTCTTCTGGGGTTACTCTTCTCTTCTGAGAATAAAAACTCTCCACATTCCTAGGAAAAGGCTGACAGTCCTATGGTCGTGATAATAAGTACATACCTTGAACTGTTTTAAACTTTTTTCATTGATCAACGACAACTTGCTTCAGTGAACACACTTCTGAAAGCTCATTGTCAGTGACAGCCTTATGCTTTGATTATGCCAATCAGCTTTGAATTCATTTCAGTGTACACACTTCTAAATTGTCATTAACCAATTCCCACCTCTGTAACCAACACAACTCCCTCAAAATGTGTTCCCCAAATGCTGTGTAAGTTCAACACTTCACTCTGGTGAAGGAGCTTATGATGGACCAGCATGGCTTTCCTGTTCTTAAGAAAGCAATCATTTCAGCATTTTGGTTTTAGACACTGAGTGATAGTTTCATCCTTTGACAATGATCTTTTTTTCTCCTTCCTCTGGTGCTGCCACCCATCCCAACAACAAGGTTTATGATCTGGACAAAAGTGTTGGTTCTGGACCTCTGTTTCAGGAAGAATACTGGTTGAGGAACCCAGGCTGATCCTCCCACTGAAAACAGTGAAAAAAACTTACTTAAAATATACAACAAAACTTTTAAAGCATCTTTAACCTTGCAAGAAAGTAAGGCCAAGAATATCAAAACCGTCTGGGTGCGGTGGCTCACACCTGTAATCCCAGCACTTTGGGAGGCCAAGGCGGGTGGATCACGAGGTCAGGAGTTCGAGACCAGCCTGACCAACATGATGAAACCCTGTTTCTACTAAAAATACCAAAATTAGCCAGGCATGGTGGCGTGCACTGGCAATCCCAGCTACTCAGGAGGCTGAGGCAGTAGAATCGCTTGAACCTGGGAGGCGGAGGTTGCTGTGAGCCGAGATTGCGCCACTGTCCTCTAGCCTGGGCGACAGATTGAGACTCTGTCTCAAAAAATAAAAATAAATAAAAAAAGAAAAAAAGAAAAAAAAGAATATTAAAACCAAGTGCAAGTGGGCACTCTTTCACAGGCAGTAACTGACGCTAGCTTTTGTCACAAAGGTACTTGCTGAATCAGGTGAACTTGAGTTTTGGTTTCCATGGCTTTGGCCAAGGTGGGGGTAAGCAGGGGAGAGAAGGCAGTGACTAGGGTCTGAAAAAATATGCGAGTCTAATAGGAGACCCCTATATAAATCTCAGTCCTTAAAGTGTTATGTATGCTGTGTAAAAATAAAGCAGATACATAAAACATTCCTTTTCCTTCACCAGAGGTTTTCAAGGAAAATTGCCTGATTATGAACCTAAGTATTCAGTAAATAGAAAAAAAATCTTCACTGAGAATTTATAACCTCAAGGTAGATCTCATAAAGTCTCTCAGCCTGAATTCACAGTACATGGGTCGTATGAAAAAAAAAATCAAGTTTAAAGTTGTCCCAGACTAGTAGTGCCAAAAAGACAGAAGAAAACAAAGGAGTAGACCTTTAACTCAGGACTCAACTAGTTTACTCAACTAAACTTCTGAGGAAAATAAACAGAGCAGAGCCCCAAATCACAAAACACACAAGGAAATAAGGCACCATGAATTAAGGTCAGCAGAAATCAGTCTAGAGATTCAGACTTTCAAAGACTTCAAATTTCAGAATTATCAGGAATAACAAGTTTAAAAAAATAATGAGACAGAAATTTCCCGTCATGAATTAGGTATTATCTAACCCCTTGAATAATACAATTAGACCTGTGAAGAAGAATTCCAATGTTAGTTGAAAGTAATATGTTCAAAATTGGAACTTAGCAGGTCTGGCAAGCATAAACTGCAGAAGCAGGTGGTTCAGATGCCTATGGCACCCATTCCTGCTTTATTGCCTCTTCTTCATCACACACTAATGGTATCATGAGGGGTTCCTATGGTTACTTAATAAAGGAGGAAAAAGCAAGGCCAGGTTTGTGGAATGGTCTGCATGACATGCTAGCACCAGACAGAAGTGCTGCATTACAGCATGATATGGCAGTGGCCCAAAAGACAGTGGTTAAGGGAAAACCTTCCAGTAGAAGGAAGGCTTGGTATGGATCTATAGTAATTCATGAACGCTGGTAATAGATTGGCTGGTTGTTTAGGTACTTGGAAAGAGCAAGATTGGAAAATTTGTAAAATGAAGTCTGTTGTAGAGTTATGTGGATGGGATAGGATGTGAAGATTTTTTTTTTTTTTTTTTTTTTTGCTATCAGAGGGAGACAAATAAAGCTCTCAGTAATCAGGTAGATAAATGATCCATCCTTTCACCCACAATTGGGGGTCCATGATTACCCTTGGATGTCCATGTGTGATCAAGGCTTGGTCAAAAAGATGGGTCTACAGAGCCATAAAAGCTTTTCGACAGCATTTCAACCCCAAAGCCACTGGGGCAAAAAGGAGTCTTCATAGCTCACACCTGGGGCGGCCAATTTCCTACAGTGAGAGATAAAACCTGGCTCCAAGGCCATAGTTAGTAGGAGAATGAATGCTTTCACCTGAAGTGTCTCCTGTTCTAGAAAAAAAGCTTTTAGTGTCATAGTAGCTACTCTCACAGATGCAAAGATTTAGAATTTTGATCATGACCACTTATGCTGCCATGAAGACAGCTGTTGAGAAGACAGAACGATACATGAAGAAATTGTTGTTGGAATAGCTAACTAAGCTATTGAAGTTGTGCATAGGTCACTAGCAAACAAGAAATACTAAAAATAGGTTATAACTTGTTGTGGAAATAATGTGACATTTCAAGAAGAGCACTGAAGAGTTTATCATTGGAAATAGTGAAAATTTTAGACTTCTTTACACAGCTGTTTCTATTAATAGAATTACATATTGGTGGGGGGTGGGAGGGTCACTGTGGTGTTTTCAGTGCTTTATCTGTATGTGACTTAGTTTATCACTCTGAGGACAGGGGTGAGTGATAGCCGAGAGGAAGTCATGAGCTATGGTGAACATTTGGAAGAGAGGTCTCAGTTCCCCTTCCCGCCTCAGACTCTTCAACCATATCTTTCTTGCTGCTTACTTCAAAGTAGTCTGTCGTGAACCTTACTGTTAAAATATCATCAATAATTCCTGGTGTTGAGTCACTCAAGGGTGTGGGAGATGTCGCAGGAACTCGCCTGTGGTCTTCATTGGATGGAATGCAGCAAGCTCGAAGATTTTTGCATGTATCTTTCACTGCTTCTCCATCTTTGCATTGTTTCCTGCAGTGCCCTGATCTGTTCCAGCATTTTTTTTCACCACTATAGGCTGAATAATAAAAGGAAAGACCATTGATTTTGGGTTACTGATGCTCTCAATTTCACTAGCATGACTGTATATCTCGCATCCTATATCCACACTGTGGATCATAATTAGATGACAGCTGCAAGACTCCCACCTCAGGTCTGGCAAATACTCAACCTCCCATTTGTCAATTTTTAACTATTCTGAAAGTGGGATGAATCTTACGATCAATGAAAAGAAACTTTAGTCATGAGGAATTGGGGCCACTTATAATGAAGCTACCTGTACCCTGTGAGTAAAGGTACCTGAGTAAAGAAAGTACATCTTTTTTTTTAGATGGAGTCTCACTCTGTCACCAGGCTGGAGTGCAGTGGCATGATCTCAGCTCACTGCAACCTCCGCCTCCCTGGTTCAAGCGATTCTCTTGCCTCAGCCTCCTGAGTAGCTGGGACTACAGGCACGCGCCACCACACCCAGCTAATTTTTGTATTTTTAGTCAGATGGGGTTTCATCATGTTGGTCAGGATGGTCTCGATCTCTTGACCTCATGATCCACCCACTTCGGCCTCCCAAAGTGCTGGGATTACAGGTGTGAGCCACAGCACCCGGCCAGAAAGTACATCTTGTTGCTACTTCAACAAGTGTGATTAAGTTATTTGCATTGGTCATATCCCATTCTACTGCAAAGTATACATTCACATGAGTATATAAAATATATCTGTGTAGTGTATGTTTATTGCAGCACAATTCGCAACTGCAAAGGTATGGAATCAACCTAAGTGCCTATCAACTGATGAGTGAATAAAGAAAATGTGGTATATATACACCATGGATTACTACTCATCCATAAAAAGGAACAAAATAATGTCTTTTGCAGCAACTTGGATGGAACTGGAGGCCATTATTTTAAGTGAAGTAACTCAGGAATTGAAAAACAAATACCACATGTTCTCACTTATAAGTGGGACCTAAGCTATGGGTACACAAGGGCGTACAGAGTGGTATAATGGACATTGGAGACTCAGAAGGGGGAAGAGTAAGAGGAGGGGGAGGGATGAAAAACTACCTATTGGGTATAATGTACACTACTCCAGTGATGGGTGCACTAAAATCTTAGACTTCACCACTATACAATTCATCCATGTAACCAAAATCCACTTGTACCCCTAAAGCTATTGAAATTAAAAAAATAAAAAATTATAAACCAAAGTATAAAATAAGCATATGTCCAAAAATACAAAAATTAGCCAGGCGTGGTGGCGCATGCCTATTGTCACAGCTACTCAGGAGGCTGAGACAGGAGAAACACTTGAACCTGGGAGACGGAGGCTGCAGTGAGTTGAGATCGTGCCACTGCACTTCAGCCTGGGCAACAGAGCGAGACTGTCTCAAAAAAGAAAAAAAAGAAAAAGAAAAAAAGTAGATAATAAGAGAAGAAAGTAAAACATACTTTATGTGGGATACATACTATAAGCATTATGAAAATACAAAAAAAAGATAAGCATTATGGAGAGAAACGAAGCAGGGAAGGGGTTTAGGAAGTGTGTGATTAGAAGGGAAATAGTGAAAGACTTCCCTTGAGGTTTGAGAAGGAAGAGAGAGGGCGAGCTACGAGACTAACTGGGGGCAGAGTATATATCAGGCAGAGGAAGCAGCAAGTGCAAAGGCTTAGAGGCAGGACCTGTCTCAAAGGTTCTGAAAAACAATAAGGTAGTTATGGTGAGTATAGAGTAAGTTAAGTGGAGAGTAACTGGAGAAAATATAATGGGAGTTGAGATCACATAGAATCTTGCAGGTCTTTGAAAGAAAGCCATTCAGAACTTTTGATCACAGGATGATGAGAGAAATGCAGATTAAAACAACAGCACGAGGGAGGCTGAGGCGAGTGGATCACTTGAGGTCCGGAGTTTGAAACTAGCCTGGCCAATGTGCTGAAACCCCATCTCTACTAAAAATACAAAAAGTAGCCAGGCTTGGTTGTGCGTGCCTGTAATTCCAGCTACTCGGGAGGCTGAGGCAGGGGAATCGCTTGAACCCCCGAGGCAGAGGTTGCAGCAAGCTGAGATCGCGCCATTGCACACCAGCCTGGGCAACAGAGCGAGACTCTGTTTCAAAACAGAAACAAATACAAAAAAGCAACCACAACAGTAAGAGGTTATTTTATACTCATCAGCTGGGTGTTTGAAGGATTATGGTGATAGAAAAACCCTTGTGTATTTTCGGTGAGAGGGTAGGGAGATATCTCTGTTCCTATAAATGTCACTGATTTCTATTCTTCTTCCCCAAATGTAGGGGCTTTTTAAGATAAAGCATCAAGACTTTATGCTTCTTTCATTATCTTAACTCTTTGCTCCAAGAGGATGGCTCCAATTTATCACTCTTAACACTCAGACTTGAAACCCCAGATCATGTAATATTTCCTTCACTTCCCATATGCTGAGTTTTTATAACTTGTGGATTTCATGTACAAAATCTTTCACATCTGTCTCTTTCCTAGTCTCAATATCTCCACTAGCACTCAAAGCAGACACAATTGCTTTCAAAGTGATCACACAGAATTATTCCTGTTTGTGTCTGGAATTGTAACTGAAGAATTACTAAAAACCCCCAGAGTTGGCAATTTCTGCTGGCAGTGTCCTTTAAGATACACAACTTCTGATTACTGACTTCTGGTTACCCAGAATCCCTTGGGGTAGGAACACAAGCATAGGAAGAGCCAGCAGCAGGAGTTTCATGGTCCCTGGGAAACAGGAGAGGTTTCCCTGTTTCCCTACCCTGAACGCCAGGGTAGACCCAGGCGTTCAGAACGCTGTGTGCAGTGGGAGTCTGAACAAGAGTTATTGGCCTCTCTGCAATGAGGGCAGAGGAATAGAGGAATTAATGGAACAAATATATATTTTTAATTTTCTTGCCCACCCCCACCAGACTTACATTTAACTTGGTTATTTGCCCTCTAGGAATCTATCCTATTTAAGCCCATATCCATATATGTAAATATATTAATGTTTGTACAAGCATATTCATTGATGTCTTGTTCGAAAATTAAGAAATGTCTCAAATGGCTATATATGACTTTATATGGCTTATCCTACAGCAGAACTATACAACTTTACAAACAATAAGGCAGATCTTTAGATGGTGACATGGAAAGATGGCCACAAAATAATAAGTGAAAGAAGAGTGCTGCATAGGGCCGGGTGCGGTGGCTCATGCCTGTAATCCCAGCACTTTGGGAGACCGAGGCGGATGGATCACCCGAGGTCAAGAGTTTGAGACCAGCCTTGCCAACATGGTGAAACCCCATCTCTACTAAAAATACAAAAATTAGTCGGACATGATGGTGCATGCCTGTAATCCCAGCTGCTTGGGAGGCTGAGGCAGGAGAATTGCTTGAACCCAGGAGGCAGAGGTTGCAGTGAGCTGAGATTGCGCCACTGCACTCCAGCCTGGGTGACAGATTGAGATTCCATCTTCAAAAAAAAAAAAAAAAAAAAACACAAGAGTGCTGCATAGCCATGCAGGGAGTGTGCTTACTTCGTTATAAAACAGAAATATTTAGATTCATTTTTATGTAAGTTCGATCATACATTGAAATGCACCTTGAAAAACATAAAGGAGAAACAGGCTCTCTTCACCAGTGATTTCAAAGTTCTGGTCATGCCTTTAGATATACTTAAGAAAGCAGTGATTATGAAAAGCTTAGATTTTCACTGTAGAAGGAAGAAGAAAAGCCAGTTCTGTCTTCCGTGTAACAGCTCTACCAGTGTTTTCTGACTTGTTCACCAAATTCTAGAATATTAGAAAACAAAAAGAACCTCATTATAGCTATAGCAGGACTTTTAGGGCCAAGAAAACATAGCAAAGTGGGCTGCAGGAATCATTTTCAAAAGCTGGCACAATCTGGAAAGAGAACAGATGTGAGCCGAGCTTTCCCCTAGTTTCTTAGGCGGCAACTTGGAATATAGAACCAAGGACAACTCTGGATGGTGGGACTGCCCCTGTCTATTGAGGATAACTTGCTCTACTCCCAGGTTTTACCCCAGCCAGGAGCATAGTCCCAGTGTGGGAACTGTGGAGCTGCCCATGTTGGGGAGTACCGTGACACATTGGAATTTTCATGAGCCAGAACCCACTATACCTCTATTTTTGTATCTTCCCTGACCTCTGATTACCTGGGATCACTTGGGGTAGGAGCACAAGCATAGGAAGAGCCAGCAGCAGGAGTTTCATGGTCCTTGGGAAGCAGGAGGTGGTAGATCCAGGAGTTCAGAATACTGTGTGCAGTGTGAGTCTGAACAAGAGTTTTATTGGCCTCTCTGCAGTGGGGGCAGAGGGATGGGCACAGAACCAGCCGGATATCTAAGAGCTTATCCATGCATAACATCAGTCTAGTGTGTGGCACATAAGCTGAGCATTTGATCCAGGCACTGGGAGGGCATGCAGAGGGTTACAAGTCACAGGTTTTGAGGAGGTGTTTGGAGCAATGGAGAGGGAAGATTCACACTGGGACATCTTCCCTAGCTTTCCCCGATCTCTCATTAGGGCTCAGCCCTTCTTCACAGCCCCTCTCACTCTAGCATAAACCTACTTTTGAATGGTCTACTTATCTGTGTGTCTCCCCGCACCAGCCTGTGAAATTCCTGAGAGTAGGGAACGTGTCTTTCATTTTTGAGCCCCCAAGGCACGAAGCATGCTCTCAGTGAAGGTTTGTGGAAATAAACGATAATGAACACATGTCAATCTATAAGCCAAATCCCTCTCTTACATATGTGCCCAACAGGGAAAATGACTTGCCCAAGAAGTCACTTGCTGCAGAAGTTTGAGGGAGATCATTTATAAGACTCAAAGGGGGATGCTACCCAATGTCATTAAAAAAAAAATTCCCTAGCTGGGTGTGGTGGTGGGTGCCTGTAATCCAAGCTACTCAGGAGGCTGAGTCAGGAGAATCGCTTAAACCCAGGAGGTGGAAGTTGCAGTGAGCTGAGATCGCACCACTGCACTCCAGCCTGGGCAACAGAGTGAGACTCTGTCTCAAAAAAAAAAAAAAAAATCCCTGCTGAAGACAGATCTACAATAATTTGGGATGTTACCTTTGACAACGGCACCATGAGGGTCATCAGAGGTCTGGGAGCTGTCCATGAAGACCCCAACATTTAGACTTGCCTTTGGGATGTGGAACCTCGATGTCACCCCCAGAGTCAGCCTAGGTCCTGCATTGCTTTAGTTGCATTTTCATCGTGTTTCAACTTTTGCTCCCTCTTGTTTACTCGGCTCTAAAAGTCTCTGTAAAGCTTTTACAGAGGAGGTTGCTGATTTTTCTCTTCTGGAATTGATAACTTTCACTGTGAGAATAATTGATGGGAATTAGCAGGGTTGCCATGTGATTGAGGAGACTTCTCTTCTGGATGGAACCATGTGGAAAGCGTAGCATGGTGGTGGGCTATTTTCAAATTAATTTTGTTTTATGTTTTTATTTTTTTGAGACAGGATCTCGCTCTGTAGCCCAGGCTAGGGTGCAGTGGTGCGATCACAGCTCATTGCAGCCTCAAGCTCCTGAGCTCAAGCAATCCTCCCACCTCAGCCTCCTGAGTAGCTGGGACTGCCCAGGTATTCACCACCATGCCCGAATATTTAAAAAAATTTTTTTGGGAGAGACAGGTCTTACTATGTTGCCCAGGCTAGTCTCAAACTCCTGGGTTCAAGTGGTCCTCCCTCCTTGGCCTCCCAAAGTGCTGGAATTACAGGCATGGGCCACTGCACCTGGCCTCCAAATTAATTTTAGATTAGTATGTTCTAACAGGCAGAACTCTCTTACTATGGAATTGTTTCCCAGAGAGGGAGGGGGTACTCTATAACTCATTTTTCAAGCAGGGTCTAAGTGATTAAATAGGATGGATTTCTATATAGAATAAAGAATGTCTTTTCTAGTTCCTTCTAAGCATACAAATCTATGTTCTTAATTTTATGAATGGTTTCTCTACATGTCCTGATAAGTGCAGAGATCCCTGACCCTTTCTAAACTGAAGAACTTGAGAAACACCTTTTTTCGCTCTTGCTACAGAAAAGCAGGAAAATCTGGATTACCCCTAACCCAATTCACAGAGCCTGATCTCATATCTGAGACGGTAGTGGTGGTGGTGGGAATGGAGAAGGGCTGTAAAAAAAAAAAAAAAAAAAAGGCCTGAAGCGGAAGGACTCATCACAGGGGAGAAGCTAGGTGGGTGTAGTCCATGTAGTCCATGGTGTCCCGCGAGTCCCTGGTCCACTGCCCACAGCCAGCCACTCTTGTCAAGGGATAAATGCAGTCCATATCCATTAAGAAATATACCTGAACTTTCCATTGCTGTTTACTTATTAGATTTTTATTATGCTGAAAGCTGTTTTCCTTCTTCTTCTTCTTTTTTAAGAGACAGCGTCTCACTCTGTCACCCAGGCTGGAGTGCAGTGGTGAGATCTCAGCTCACTGCAACCTCCGCCTCCCGGGTTTGAGCGATTCTCCTGCCTCAGCCTCCGAAGTAGCTGAGACTACAGGTGCACGCTACCATGCCCGGCTAATTTTTTTATTTTTAGTAAAGACGGGGTTTTGCCATGTTGACCAGGTTGGTCTCCAATTCCTGACCTCAAGTGATCCGCCCGCTTCAGCCTCCCTCATACTGTTGTTTTAATCTGCATTTCTCTTATCATCCTGTGATCAAAGGTTCTGAATGGCTTTCTTTCAAAGGCCTGCAAGACCCTATGTGATTTAAATTCCCATTATATTTTCTCCAAAGTGCTGGGATTACAGGCGTGAGCCACCATGTCCGGCCAAGTTCTTATTTTTTTTTTTAACTGCTTTATTGAGATATAATTAACAAACAACAAACTTCCAGTGTTTAAAGTACGTAATTTGATAATTTTGGCACGTATATACTCATGAAACTTTCATCACAATCAAGAAACTGAACATTTCTACTACCCCCAAACATTCTTCATGTCCCTTAGGAATCCCTCCCTCCTGCCTCCCCCAGAAGACCTCTGATCTATTTTGTAGATATAACTATACATTAGTTTGCATTCACCAGAATTTTATATAAGTGTAACCATAGAGTAGGTACTCTTTTTTTTTTATCTGGTTTCTATAAGTCACTGGCATTATTTGAGATTCAGCCATGTAACATGTTTCACCAGTTTACTCCTTTTATTGCTGAGTAGTATTCCATTGTATGAGTAAATCACAGTTTATCCATTCGGACATTTGACTTGTTTCCAGTTTTGACTATCACAAATGAGGATGCTATGAACATTCATGTACAAGTCTTTGTATGCACATATGATTTTTGGTCTTGTGAGAAAAATACCTAGGAGTAGATTGGCTGGATTGCATGGCAGGCATGGTTTCCCAGAGAGATAGGGGGTATTCCATAACTTTAACATATTAGGAAACTCTTTAACATATTAGGAAGCGGTTTTCCAAAGTGGTTGTATCATTTTGCATTCTCAATGTATAAGGGTTTCAGTTCCTTCATATCCTCACCAGTACTTGGTATAGTCAGTCTTTTTAATTTTAGTCATTCTAGTAGTTGTACAGTGGTATCTGTCCAAGGCTGTGGGGGGCCCACCTCTTTTTTTTTTTTTTTTTTTGATACGGAGTCTTGCTCTGTCGCCCCAGGCTGGAGTGCAGTGGCACAATCTCGGCTCACTGCAAGCTCCGCCTCCCGGGTTCACGTCATTCTCCTGCCTCAGCCTCCCGAGTAGCTGGGACTACAAGCGCCCGCCATCATGCCTGGCTAATTTTTTGTAGTTTTAGTGGAGACGGGGTTTCACCATGTTAGCCAGGATGGTCTCGATCTCCTGACCTCGTGATTCGCCCGCCTTGGCCTCCCAAAGTCCTGGGATTACAGGCGTGAGCCACTGCGCCCGGCCGTGGGGGCCCACCTCTTGCATCCGCATGGCCTGGATGTGAGACATGGAGTCAAAGGAGATTATTTTGGAACTTTAAGGTACAATGACTCCCCTGTTGGATTTCAGACTTGCATGGGGTCTGTAGCCCCTTTGTTTTGGACAATTTCTCCCATTTGAAACAGGTGTATTTACCCAATGCCTGTACCCTCATTGCATCTAGGAAGTAACTAACTTGCTTTCAATTTTACAGGCTCATGGGCAGAAGTGACTTGCCTTGTCTCAGATGAGACTTTGGACTTGGACTTTTAATTAACGCTGGAATGAGCTAAGACTTTTGGGGACTGTTGGAAAGGCATGATCATGTTTTGAAAAGTGAGAACATGAGATTTGGGAGGGACCAGGGGCCAGGGGTTTGTCTGTGTTCTCACCCAAAATCTCATCTTGAATTATAATCCCCACGTGTCAAGGGTGGGACCAGGTGGAGGTAATCAGATCATGGGGGCAGTTTCCCCCATGCTGTTCTCGTGATACTGAGTGAGTCTCACGAGATCTGAGTTTTATAAGCATCTGGCATTTTCCCTGCTTGCACTCACTCCGTCTTGCCGCCCTGTGAAGAAGGTGCCTGCTTCTCCTTTGCCTCTGCCATGATTGTAAATTTCCTGAGGCCTCCCCAGCAATGCAGAACTGTGAGTCAATTAAACCTCTTTCTTTTATAAATTACCCAGTCTCGGGTATTTCTTCATAACAGTGAGTGTGAGAACAGACTAATACAGCATCTCATTGTGGTTTTAATTTTTTTTTTTTTTTTTTTGAGACAGAGTCTTGCTCTGTTGCCCAGGCTGGAGTGCAGTGGCATGATCTCGGCTCACTGGAACCTCCACCTCCTGGGTTCAAGTAATTCTTCTGTCTCAGCTCCCAAGTAGGTGGGATTACAGGCACCCACTACCATGTCCGACTAATTTTTGTATTTTTAGTAGAGATGGGGTTTCACCATATTGGCCAGGCTGGTCTCTGACTCCTGACCTCCGGTGATCTGCCCACCTCGGACTCCCAAAGTGCTGGGATGACAGGCGTAAGCCACCGCACCTGGCTGATCTTAATTTTTAATTCCTTAATTAATAATGATTTTGAAAATCTTTCCACATGTAAAGTTGTTTTGGCTATACTATATCATTTGCATTTTCATATAAATTTAAAAATGTTTGTCAATTTCTGCATAAAATCTTAGTGGCATATTAATGGCAATTGCATTGAATCTATAGACCAATTTGGAGAAAACTGATGTCTTCACAATATTGAGTTTTCCAGTCCATAAAAATGATATTTCTTTCCACTTACTTAGGTCTTCTTAAATTGCACTCCACAATGTTTTATAGTTTTTAATAAACAGGCCTTGCTTACTTACTTTTTGTCAGATTTTCCCTTAGGTATTCCATATTTTCGGTGCTATTATAAATTATTATTTTGAAAACTTAATTTCAGATTGTTTATTGCTGACATATAGAAATACAACTGATTTTGTATATCGAACTTGTAGGCTACAACTTTGCCAAACTCACCTATTTGTTCTAGTAGCTTTCTCCTACACTCAGTGGGATTTTCTAATTTTTATTTTATTTATTTATTTGTTTATTTTTGAGATAGAGTTTTGCTCTGTCGCCCAGGCTGGGGTGCAGTGGCACGATCTTGGCTCACTGTAACCTCCACCTCCTGGGTTCAAGCGATTCTCCTGCCTCAGCCTCCCGAGTAGTTGGGACTACAGGAGCGTGCCACCACGCCCAGCTAATTTTTTTGTATTTTTAGTAGAGATGGGGTTTCACCGTGTTAGCCAGGATGGTCTGCATCTCCTGACCTCGTGATCTGCCTGCCTTCACTTCCCAGATTGCTGGGATTACGAGGGTGAGTCACCACACCTGGCCTGGGATTTTCTATGTAGAGAATTATGTCATCTGTTAATAGAGTTTTACTACTTCCCTCAGCCCCTGAGTCTTGATGCCTTTGATTTCTTTTTCTTGCCTTATTGCAGTCAGTGTTGAATAGCTGTGGTGAGACCAGACATTCTTCAGGAAAAAGTATTATGTCTTTTCCTATTTAGTGTGATGTTAGCTGTAGGCTTTTCTTATATGTTCCTTTTCAGGTGGAAAAGGTTCCCTTCTATTTTAGTTTTATTTTTACCAGAAATAGATTATTGGAATTGTCAACTTCCAATTTTCTGTGTCTACTGAGGTGACTACATGATTTTTCTTTTTTGCTTCATTAATACAGTGAATTACATTGCTTGATTTTCTTCTTTAAAAAAATTTTGTAGAGATGGAGGTTGCCCAGGGTGCTCTTGAACTCTTGGCCTGGAGTGATTCTCCTGCCTTGGTCCCTTTTTTCTTTCACTTGAAACACGAATAACTTTACTTTTTAAATTTATTTTAATGGATAAACATTGTATATATTAGAGCATACAACATGATGTTTTGAAATATTAATATGTATACATTGTGAAATGGCTAAATCCAGCTTATTAACATATGCATTATCACATATGTATCTTTTTTTGTGGTAAGAACACTTAAAATCTACTCTCTTATCAATTTCCAAGTATATAATTTGTTGTTATTAATGATAGTCACAATGTTGTACAATAGATCTCTTGAACTTATTCGTCCTGTCTATGCAATTTTGTATCCTTTGACCAACATTTCCCCAATTCTCCCCACCCCCCAGTCCTAGTAACCATCATTCTACTCTCTGCTTCTATGAGTTTGACTTTTTTAGATTTCACATGTAAGTGAGATCATTTATTTTTCTGTGCCTGGCTTATTTCACTTAACATAATGTCCCCCAGGTTCAAGTTTATCCATGTTGTTGCAAATGAGAGGATTTCCTTCTTTCTAAAGGCTGAACAGTATTCCCTTGTGTACATGTACCACATTTTCTTTACCCATTCATCTGCTGTTGGACACTTAGGTTGATTCCATGTCTTGGCTATTGTGAATAATGCTACAACATTGCTTGATTTTTGAATGTTAAACCGACCTTCCACTTCTGAGGCATGAAGGATTATGTATTATGCAGGATGTATTTTTTGGTCATGATGTATTATTATTTTTATATTTTATTGGATTTGATTTGCTAAAATTTTGTTTAGAACTTTTGCTTCTAGGTTCAGGATGAACATCACCAGTAAATTTTTCCTGATTAATCTAGCTAGAGGTTTATCAATTTTCTTTCTTCTTCCCCCAAATTCATCTTACTAAAATTTGGCTTCTGTACTCATCCTGTCACTGCATGGCTAAGGTCACCTTCTTAAAACCCTCATAGTTATGTTTTCTTTCTTTCTTTCTTTCTTTTTTTGAGACAGCTCTGTCCCCCAGGCTGGAGTGCAGTGGCGCTATCTTGGCTCACTGCAAGCTCCGCCTCCCAGGTTCACGCCATTCTCCTGCCTCAGCCTCCCGAGTAGCTGGGACTACAGGCGCCCGCCACCATGCCCGGCTAATTTTTTTGTATTTTTAGTAGATACGGGGTTTCACTGTGTTAGCCAGGATGGTCTCAATCTCCTGACCTCGTGATCTGCCCGCCTCAGCCTTCCAAAGTGCTGGGATTACAGGCGTGAGCCACTGCCCCAGCAGTTATGTTTTATTGATAGCTTCCTTTGCCTTTTGGCTCGATTTCTCATCATTCCCCCCCCCCCAATCCAATTTATTTATCTGAAAGGAACAAGAGAGTATTTTTCATGGAAAATACTGAAAGTCTTCGGGATTTCCTTCTATTTAATTAGTTTATCATTGTTTTTGTTTAGAATTAAATATTGGTGGGGATGGGACACCATGATATTTTCAGTGCCATGAGCAGCTCAAGGTCTTAATCCAGCCCTGTGAGAACAGAGATGAGTAACAGCAGACAGGAGGTCATGTGCTTTAATGGACCCATGAAAGAGAGACTCGAATAGTTGACAATCCCTTATCCGAGAAATCCCCCGGTTTTTTCTGCTTCACTCTAAATTCTTGTGGTCCATAATGATTATTACTGATACATTTGGTTATTTCCAAAATTATTACCAAAAGTTTGGGTTTTTGCGGTAGGTGATTGGGGATGGTCTCTGTGGTTAAGAATCTGTGTTGCTTGGAATGCAGCAATAGTCACCATTTTTACATGGCTTTTTAACCTGTTCACCAGGTTTGCAGTTTTTCCTGCAGTGTCCTTTTATGATCCAGCAAGATTTTTGGCTCCTGCAGACTGAAAAGAGTAAAGAAAGGTAATTAATTCAAGATATTGATGCTCATAGTCATAACAATGAGAGCCACTGTATCTGTAATCTTCACAACGATCCTGCAGACTGAAGAGAATTCATTAAGGAAAATTATGTAAACAAAGCCAGGTTTGGTATATATCATATTTCTAAGCATTTTACCATCAATGTCCAAGGAACTTGCTAGATAGCAGAAACTGGGGTTATTTGGCAAGATTATGTGAAATTAGTTGTATAAAGCAGGCTGATTTTTATTTTTTATTATTTTTTATTTTTTCGAGATGGAGTCTCAGTCTGTCACCCAGGCTGGAGTGCGGTGGCATGATCTCGGCTCACTGCAACCTCCGCCTCCCCAGTTGAAGCGATTCTTCTGCCTCAGCCTCCTGAGTAGCTGGGATTATAGGTGCATGCCACCATGCCCAGCTAATTTTTTGTAGAGATGGGGTTTCACCATGTTGCCCAGGCTGGTCTTGAACTCCTGACCTCAGGTGATCCGCTCGCCTCGGCCTCCCAGAGTGCTGGGATTGTAGGTGTGAGCCACTGCGCCTGGCCAAGGAAGCTAATTTAATTCCACCTCAGCTGAATTGTTTACATTTCCCATACCACAAGTATAGGAATTTCAACTGAAATTGGGTCCACAATTGTCACTTAAAATGTCTTAAAAATGATTGCGCTAGGCAGGAGGAAACTTTTAGGGGTGAAGGACGGGTTTATACCATAGATTGTGGTGATGATGGTTTCACAGGTGTAGACTTATCTCCAAATTCATCAACTTGTATGCATTAAATATGTACAGCTTTTGAATATCAGTCATATTTCAACAAAGTGTTTTAAAAAACAATTGCTCCATGAGGCAGCAAATGGAAGAAAATCGGTGTTTTAACTAGAGATCTCAGAACCATAGTTGTAGTAGATTATTTGCTGGTTCTCACAATTAAGCATACACCACAGTCTCCCCCAGGGGCTTGCTAAAACAGGTTTCTGGGCCAGCCCTCAGAGTTTCTGATTCAGTAGATCTGTAATGGGCTTAAAAATTTGCACTTTTAACAGGTTTCCAGGTGATGCTGATGCTGGTGGTCGGGAGAACCACTGTACTATAGAAAAGTTTATATCTTAGCCAGAATATCCACACACTAATAAATTCTTAAGAGGCGACAACCATTTTTTAAGTTTATAATTAACACTTAATAATTGTACATATTTATGGAATACAATGTGATGTTCCAATATATATATAAATTGTATAATGATAAAATTAGGGAAATTAGCATATCCATTATCTTAAACATTTATCATTGCTTTGTGATGAGAATATCCAAACACCTCTCTTCTATCTATTTTGAAATATACAATATATTATTGTCAACTCTGGTCATATTACTATGCAATAGACCACCAGAACTTATTCTTCCTATCTAACTGTAGTTTTATACTTACTGACCCGTTTCTCACCTTCTTCCCTTTGTTCTGCCTTCCCCATCCTCTGTTAACCACTATTCTACTCTCTACTTCTATAAGAACAACTTTTTAGAGTCCACATATGAGTGCAATCACATGGTATTTCTTTTTCTGTGCTTGGCTTATTTCACTTAACGTAATGTCTTCTAGGTTCATCCACGTTGCCGCAAATGACAAGATTTCATTTTTTTTTATGGCTGGATAATATTCCATTGCGTATATATGTCACATTTTCTTTATTCATTCATTTGCTGGTGGACACTGAGGTTGATTCTATGTCTTGGCTATTGTGAATAGTGCCGTAACAAACATGAGTGCACATATCTCTTTGACACACTGATTTCATTTCCTTTGGATATATACTCAGTAGTGGGATTGCTGGATCATATAATAATTATATTGTTAATTTTTTGAGGAACCTCCAAACCATTTTCCATAATGTCTGTACTAATTTACATCCTCACTAGCAGTATGTGAGTGTTCCCTTTTCACCACATCCTCACCAACACTTGCTATCCTTTTTTTTTTTACAGTAGTCATTCTGAATGGAGTGAGGTGATATCTCGTTGTAGTTTTGATCTACATTACCCTTATGCTTAGTGATGTTGAGCATTTTTTTTTCATATATCTGTTGGCCATTTGTATGTCTTATTTTGAGAGATATCTATTCAGGTTTTTTGCCCATTTTAAAATTGGGTTTTTTTTGGTTGTTGTTGAGTTCCTTGCATGTTTTGAATGTTAGTCCCTTTTCAGATGTGTGGTTTATAAATACATTCTCCATTCTGTAGGTTGTCTCTTTGCTCTGTTAGTTGTTTTCTTTGCTACGCAGAAGCTTTTTGGTTTAATGTAATCCCATTTGTCTATATGTGATTAGACAAGCTTTTGTTGCCTGTGCTTTTGAGGTTTTATACAAAAAATCCTTGCCTAGACCAATATTGTGGAGCTTTTCCCCCATGTTTCTTCCCATAGTTTTGGGTCTTACATTTAAGCCTTTAATCCATTTTGAGTTAATACTTGTATATGATTAGAAAAAAGAGTCTGGTTTCATCCTTCTGCATGTGGATATCCAGTTTTCCCAGCACCACTTATTGAAGAGGCTATACTTTCCCCATTGTGTGTACCTGGCACCTTAGTTTAAAATCAGTTAGCTGTAGTTGTGTGAATTTACTTCTAGGTTTTCTATTTTGTTCTGCTGGTCTATGTGTCTGTTTTGATGCCAATACTATGTTGTTTTGGTTGCTATAACTTTGTAGTATGTTTTGAAGTCAGGTAGTGTGATGTGATCAGCTTTGTTCTTTTTGCTCAAGATTGCTTTTGCTATTCAAGGTCTTTCATGGTTCCATATTAATTTTAGGAACATTTAGCTTAAAGATGTAACATCTCCAAGGTGGATGGAAATCTGCTTGCTTTTATTTTTGAGAAATGCTTGTAAAAGGCATTTGGTCATTTTACAGAAAACGTATAGGTAAGTCATAGAATTTACCAAGTCTCATGGGATAGAGTACAGGCAACTGACAATTTTTACTTTTAGAACCACCATCACTTAGATATCCAACAACAAAATCTGGCTATTGATTGCTAAATGAATCTGAATAGTTTTTCTAATGCCACATACTTTAATGAAAAAAGAAAAATAAGTTGGGAAATGCATCTGATATCATTGTCCATTTCATCATGCCTTGATGTTGTATTATTAATCTTAATAGTTCCCAAAGGATTTTTGGGAACCCTTTAGGAACTGGATTCAGTGCTTAACTAACAATGGCTGAAATTTGCTACCCTGTGTAACTTCAGTGATACCACATATCATGCTAAATGACCAAAGGATATAGAAGAATCAGCTTGAATGCTGAAAAAAAGGATAGAAGAAGAACAGCTGAAGGAAATCTGGATAAGGTTATGTAAAGTATACATCTAGACACTATATGTAACAAATCTATGCACGAGTTTTAAAAATTGAGTTTAAACGGAAGTAGAACATACTTCCAGAAATGTACACTAATTATTGGTATACAGCTGGATGAATCATCTTAGAAAAAACTACTCAGGTAACAAGGATTACAAAACCTCTTCATGACCTCTTCCAGTCATTAATGTTCCTCTTCCCCTCCGAGGTAATGCTGTCCTGACTTCTAATACCATGTAGTAGACTGACTGTAAAAAAGGCTCCAATTTTTTATCCCTTCTGGGATCCATGCCCTTTGCTGTGTAACTTTATGATGCCCTCTTATTACAGTCAGGGGGTCTACCTCACCATTTTGTTCTTGGTTCATCCACGTGACTTGCTTGTTAGTAAATGTGATTTCTTAGGTAGGGAAAAGTTTATTTACTAATGTGTTAGTTTCTCCCATCCAAGTCCCAACAAGGCCTGACCCTGCTTAGCTTCTGAGATCAGACAAGATTGTTGCATTTAGGGTGGTATGTCTGTAGACTAATGTGTTAGTTTCTAAATATGAGTTCTTTGCCATTCTTTTAGTGTTAATTTCTAATTTTATTTATTATGTAGGGGAATACAATCTGTATGCTGTTCTTTTTTTTTGGCATGCTATTCTTTAATGAAGTTTTCTTTGTGGTCTAAAATGTGGGACATTTTTGCAAATTTTTATATGTGCTCAAAAGAATGCTTACTCTCTGTTGAGCACAGAAATGTCCAGATATAAATATATATTCAATACATTCAAACTTATTGAATATATTGGCTAGACCTTCAATGTGTTGCTCTCAATCAAGTGTTAACATTTGAGTTGAAGATCTCTAAATACTATTGTTGACTTATCCATGAAGTGCTGTCATTTGTTGTTTTGTAAATTTGAAAGCTGAAATTATAGTTGCTAATATGTTCTTGTAGCTCAATAATAACAAATGATAATAATAATAATCTTTTAGAGACAAGGTCTCATTCTGTTGCTCAGGCTGGAGTGTAGTGGTAGCATGATCATGGCTCACTCTCTGTAGCCCTGACCTCCTGAGCTCTTGCCTCAGCTTCCCAAGTAGCTAGGACTATAGGTATGCACCACCATGGCCAGCTAATTAAAACTTTTTTTGTAGAGATGCAGGTCTCACTATGTTGCCCAGGCTGGCCTCCAACTCCAGGCTTCATGTCATCCTCCCGTCTGGGCTTCCCAAAGTGCTGGGATTACAGGAGTGAGTCACTGTGCTCAACCTCAAATATTTCTTTATCAGTATGTAAACCATCTCTTTGTCATTTATTATACATTTTGCTGTGAATTCTTCTCTGTCACATATTAAGATTGCCACTCCAGTTTTCTTTCTTTTTTTTTTTTGAGACAGGGTCTCACTCTGTTGCCCAGGCTGGAGGGCAGTGGTACAATTTGTTTCTCTTTTTATTTGAGTTTTTCCTCCAGTCTTTATGTGGCAAGCATTCTGAGTCCTCCTACGCTTGATAATATTTTTTATTATGCTCCTATATTTAAGTAGCAGTGTAGATGGATATAAAGTTCTAGGTTAAAAGTTCATTTTCTTCACTATTTAAAGTATTTAGTTTTTCTTTCACACCAGTGTTACAGTTGAGAAGTTGCCACAACCCAAATTTTTCTAGGTTTGCATGAAAAAGTTAATTTGAGTTTTCTAAAGCTTTTACTTTTTTGTCCTAGAAGCCAAGTGATTTCATCCAGTCATGTATGACCCAAGGAGACTTAGAAAAGGTGCTCATTAAAAACAAAATGATACACTTACCCGACCTAGCAAATTGACTTCTAGGAACTTGTTTAGACATTTTTACCCAAGTATATAAAAATATATGTGCAAGGCCAGGCACGGTGGCTCATGCCTGTAATCCCAGCACTTTGGAAGCCCGAGGTGGGCGGATCACAAGGTCAGGAGATCAAGACCATTCTGGCTAACACGGTGAAACCCCGTCTCTACTAAAAATACAAAAAATTAGCTGGGCGTGGTGGTAGGCACCTGTAGTCCCAGCTATTCGGGAGGCTGAGGCAGGAGAATGGTGTGAACCCAGGAGGCAGGGATTGCAGTGAGCCAAGATCACGCCACTGCACTCCAGCCTGGGCGACAGAGTGAGACTCCATCTCAAAAAAAAAAAAAAGTGTGTGTGTGTGTATATATATATATATATATATATATATATATATATATATGCAAAAGGTCAGTAGCAGTTTTGTTTGTTTTATCAAAGATCTGGAAATATTTCATTTTACACTCAATAGAGATTAGATGTATATAAATTAGGATCTATCCATATGATGGAATAACATGTAATTTCCAGAAGCAATGAGGCAAAATTTTATGTGCTGACAAGGAAGATGTCTAGAATATATTGCTGAATTTTAAAAATTTTAGAGCAAAGTATAGTTACCTTTTTTGGTTAAAAAAGAAGTACAGGTACATATATATTTATGTGGATTTATATATGCATAGAAAAAAGGTTTTAAGTGTCAGACAGAAGAGGAGAATGGTACCTTGTCTAAAAATTATTCAGGCCTTCATAAGCAGTAGTTTCAAAACTCTGGCCATTTGTTTGTGAAATCTTACTGGAAATCATTAACAAAAATCACAGACTTTTATGGTTGGAAAGGAGCAGAAGGGCCTGTACTTTCGTCCACATAGCTGGTCTGCAGATACTTTTATCCCAGAATAGGAGTACAGGAACTTTATATGAAGTGATAATAGAACTTAATGTCCAAGAAAGGCCTCAGGACTCATGATTTCGTAGAGATTAGAAAGACAGCTGAAGTCAGGCAGCCCCTCAGTTGGGTCACTGGGACATTGGAGCAAAGCACCATGTGCAATTTGGGATGCTGAGGTTATAGCTGAGTATGAAAAGGACTTCTCATAAGACACCGTGCCCTATTTTATGGTTCCAGGGATCCTGGCCAGATACACATTCCCAATATGGGGCCTTAGGTTTGTCCTAGGAGGAAAGCACTCTAATAAATTCAAGCCTAATCAACCATCCCCAAAAACCCTATCTCAATGAAGGAAAAGATATTAAGCCTTCCATGGACACTTCCCCATGCTAGCTCTTTTTCCCTTCTTCCTTGGTTCTGTTTACCTGGGAACATCTGAACAGGACCAAAAATACAGTAAGAGCCAGTAGCAAGAATTTTATGGTCTTTGAGAAGGATGTGGCAGATCCAGGAGTTGAGAACATCCTGCAATGGGGCTCTGGACTCAGGTTTTTATTTGCTTCCATGGGGCGGGGTCCAGGGCATGAGTCATAGGCAAAGAGAAGTATAAAGGGACATTGGTCCTTTGCCCAGTAGCATTAACTGATTATTCCCCACTCAGAGCTCTGTTCTAGATACACTGAGGGGAGGCAGAAGAATGGAAGAAAAGGTAAAACTGTCATGGAAGTATATACAGAGAGGATCCACAAACCAGGAAGTCTACCTTCCTATGGGAGTGTTGGGATCTCTGCTCAATATCCCCTCCCATTCTATCCTAACACTCGTCACATAGCATCAGAACCAACTGAAAACTCCTTGTTTCCAGAGCCAGGGGCTTAAACTTAGGGGGCTCAGAAAAGAATATTTTAGTATTCTTTTAATAATATTAATATTTTAATATTCTTTTCTTATACACATATTTTTAACACATTAAAAAATCTTAAATCTGTTAAACACATTGTAGTAAACCCATTTTTAGACAATGTATAACATCAGGCTCTTTGAAATAAAATAGGTCAGACTTCCTTATTTTACAGATGGGAGCACTGAGGTAAAGAGAGGAAGAGTGACTAGCAGGCAGGAGAGTTGGGGAAAGGATGCTTATAACAGGGCCTGAAATGCCCCCTTCCCAGGGTAGGTGAAGGGTCATGGGAATGCTACTTCTGACATGGGCATCCTGGAAAGAGTACAGTCACTTCTGTGAATGCCCAACACACAGAGCAAACTTCGCATCCAGCTGTCACCCAGGATCCACCTCAGTCTTGTTTCTCTTAGGGTTCATTTTCACTCTCTATCAGCCCCTGTGGAAAGGAGTCATATAACCATATACTTACATGCCTGTTTGGCCACAGAAGAACTAATAAAGCTCGAGAAGAGGGGCTTAATGTTATTTTTCTGAATAAATTTCCAGGTGGTTTATTTCCTTTGGTCACTTTTGTTTGTGATTGACTTCTGGCCTTAATGGACTATGGTCAGAAACAAGAGACTGATAATCTTTGGTTTTGGGAATTTAGTAATGATTTCTTTTTGCCAAAGAACTTGGTTCTTTCATATGATATGGGACAACGTCCTCTATTAAATTAAGCTTTTCACTCCCTTAATCAATGTAAATATTCTTACTTATTTTCTATTTACTTGAAGGGTAAAATACTCAGAGAACTATATTAAAATCCCCATGTGATTAAGCATTTAAACAAGTTCTTATATTTTTAGTAGTTTTTACATTACATACTTATTTTGTTGCTTTATTTTATGGTGCATACAATTCTATGTTGCCAAGGCTGGTCTTGAACTCCTGGCCTCAAGCAATCCTCCTGCCTTGACCTCCTAAAGTGTTGGAATTACAGGCATGAGCCATTGTGGTTGGCCACTGTACTGTGTTTCTTCCAGAATTGCAGATGAAAAGTCTGATGTTAGTTTGATTCTCTTTCCTTTGTTGGTATCTTGTATCTTTTGCCTAGAAGCTTCTGACACTGCCTTTTTATCCTGGAAATATAATTTAAAAAAAAATTTGTTTCTAGATAATGTGCTTTTTCTCATGGATATCCCTGGGACTTGGTGAATCCTCTCAATCTAAAAACTCATGTTTTCCTTCAGTTCTGAGAAATTTGCTTCTATTATGTTTCTAATTGTAACTTCTACTTTTTTCTTTCTAATTCTTGAGCTTATTATTTATAGAGGTGGCATGAAAGTGTTCTTTAAAATACTTTTCCCTCTTTGAGAGTGTAGCAGGTTTTTTCATGAAAGCATGAGGAATGTGCAGGAAGCATTACCCCAGCTAACAATTTTCTTTTTTTTTTTTTCAATTTTTTTTTTAAATTATACTTTAAGTTTTAGGGTACATGTGCACATTGTGCAGGTTAGTTACATATGTATACATGTGCCATGCTGGTGCGCTGCACCCACCAACTCGTCATCTAGCATTAGGTATAGCTCCCAATGCTATCCCTCCCCCCTCCCCCCACCCCACCACAGTCCTCAGAGTGTTCCCCTTCCTGTGTCCATGTGATCTCATTGTCCCACCTATGAGTGAGAATATGTGGTGTTTGGTTTTTTGTTCTTGCGATAGTTTACTGAGAATGATGATTTCCAATTTCATCCGTGTCCCTACAAAGGACATAAACTCATCATTTTTTATGGCTGCATAGTATTCCATGGTGTATATGTGCCACATTTTCTTAATCCAGTCTATCATTGTTGGACATTTGGGTTGGTTCCAAGTCTTTGCTATTGTGAATAATGCCGCAAATAAACAATTTTCATTTCATTGTATTTTGTTTTCCATTGTGAAATATCTCTTCCATTTCATCTTTTAGACCACCAATTTGTTACTTCTGGACCATCCTTTATTTCTTTTAATACAATTTTAAACTGACCAAAATGCTTTAAGTTATGTGCTTTTTTATGCTTTATTTCTATTTCCTGGAAAGTCTGTGTTATGTTAAAAATTTAAATTTTCATCTGATTCTTCTATTAGTTTCTCTTGAAAGAGGATGTAGTAGAAATAAACTGCTTTTGTCTGTACTTCATGACCCTGTGGGGAACTGCCTCTTGGTGAGGCTGCCAACCACAGGATCATAACTCCATAACCATTGGTGAGGACACATGGGCCATGGTGGGTGACTTAATCCTGGAGTTAGGATCTTGAGCAGAATAAACTGGGGGTCACATGCCTTTACCCTAGAAGCAAAATTGTGGCCTTCCTGTCTTCAGAGAAGATGTGCTCTTTCACTTTGTCTCATATGACAAGGAATTACCTGACGATAAGTCAGTGCAGATTTTGGGCATCTAAACAGGTGAATGACCACAACTGCCCCTTCATTAATAAGTGACAGAGCCAGCATTCAGATCCAAGTCTGTCTGACATCAGAGTTTTTGGTCTTAACCATTATGATATACTTTCTGCAAAACACTCATCTTCTTTAAAAGAGACTATCCTCTCTTTGTCCAAGGCAATATTTCCCCTGAGCCTCTTGACACCATTATCTGTTGCTTCCTCTGGGTCTTTGTTCCATTAATCACTTCTCATCCCCTTGTATTTTCAACTTCTTGCTCTCTATTGGATTCCTTTCCCCTCTAGACATAATTCCCTTCTCTGCTTATTGTCCTGGTCTGGCCTCTGAAGAGTCAAGAGTAGCTGTCATTTAACCATTGTATAACATTGTGTCAATTTTTTTTCTTGGATGAGCCACCATTCTGGAAAAGAAAGATAAAAATATCTACCTTATTGTGAGGATTCATCACATTAAAGGCTCAATATATGACCAAAGATACTATTGTTTTGTTTGTTAGATTATGAAGGCAAAGATGAGTTCCCAAGCATAAGTTCCTAAGCAAAAGGGTATTGATGTTGAGTCCACCTCTGTCTTGTGTGCAGATGCTAAAGATTACTCCCCCATAGCCCAATTCCTCTATCAAAGTTATGGGAGTGAACAGCCAGGGAGCACCTCCTCCTTTAGTCTTACCATGCTGAGGCTGCTGATACCTGGGGCATGACAAACATTTAATTATCTATTGCTGTATTATAATCAACCCCAATATCTTAGTGGCTTAAAATGATAATATAAATCCATTATCTCTAACAGTTTCTGTGAGTCTGGAATTCAGGAGTGGCTTGGCAGGGTACTTTCGGCTGTGGGTCTCTTATGAGGTTGCAGTTAGATGTTAGTCCTCTGAAGGCTCAACTAGAGCTGCAGGTTCTCTTCCTCATGGTTGACGAGTTGGTGTTGGTTCTTGGTAGAAGATCTCACAGTTCCTGTCCACAGGAAAATCCAGAAAAAGTGACTTTCAGGGAGTGAAAATCTCAAGAACCAAGACCATGAGGTGGAAATGACCTCAGTGAGTTTGCGGAACAGAAACATGGCTACTCTCTTTAAACAGGTCTATCTCCCTTCTTCATGAATGAATTCCCATTGCCTTCAGGGAAAGGGTTTCATTCATACCTCAGCTCCTTCCTCAGTGCCTAACACACAGCTTTGTCATGGTGCCACATGTTCCCTTAGATTAAAATTCTTCTTCAGGCTCATCTTGTATATTTCTTGCCCAAGTGCTAGAGTCAGTCATTTCTCCAAGGAAGCCTGTTTCTTTTACTAGAGAATGCTATTAGAAACCAAGTTCTGGACACTAGATATTCCTATTGCTACAGGGGTGTCATTGCTTCTAGACTCTCTAAGCTGACAGGACAAAGAAATATACATGTGTATGTTAACTCACATCCCCAGGGAAAGTAACTTTACTAACTAGTATATGATGCTTATGTGCAGTCCTTTTTGCCTTTAGTCTTAGAGACCCTGTTCATTTCCCAAGTTAGTCAGGTCAGCTCTTACCCTCCCAACTCCTTTCAGTGTGATTACTTCTCACATTTGTAACCCAGTAAGAGTCTTTTGTCATGGTCTGCCTTCTATCCTGGGACTCCCTGACCTCCTAAACAGTTTTTAAAATGTGCATAACTACTTTGCATACTTTGGGCTATAAAGTTCTATGGGTTTTCATAATGCATAATGTCATGTATTCACCATGACAGTGTCATACAATATGGTTTTACCATCCCCTAAATTTCCTTCATCTCACCCTCCTTCCTCCCCCCAAGTTCCTGGAAACCCCTGGTCTTTTTACTGCTCTATAGCCTTTGCCTTTTCCAAATCACATATAATTATGTAGCCTTTTCATACTAACTTTCACTTGGATAAGAGCTAGAAGAATTCCTTGGAATACCAGGCAGAGCCTCTTGTTCTCTTCCCTTACTATCCCCCAACGAAACAGAGTCTCTCTCTCTGTGGTGAACTGCCTGGAGCTGGGGAAGGGGTGACACAGACACTCCTGTGATTACCACTACTGGGACTATGCTGGGTCAGACGTGAAGCCGGCACAGCACTGGGTCTCACTCAAGGCCTGTGGTGCCCATGGCCTTGCTACTGCTGACGTTTACTTAAGGCCCAAGGGCTTTTCTGTCAGCAAATGGCAAATCCAGCCAGGCTTGTGTCCTTTCCTTCAGGGCAGTGAGCTCCCCTCTGCCCCAGGGCAGGTTCAGAAATGCCACTTGGGAACCAGGGCATGGAGTTGGGAATCTTCTTGGTGCTGTGCTCTACTGCAGCTGAGCTGGCACCCAAGCCACAAGACAAACTCCTTCCCACTCTTCCCTCCTTTCCTCACGCAGAAGGAGGGTCTTCCCATGGCCAACACTGTCCCAGGGCCATGGCAAGTAGTGCCTGGCTACTGCTGATGTTCACGCAAAGCGCAAGTGCTCTTCAGTCAGCTTGTGGTGAATGCTGCCAGGCCTGGATCTCTCCCTTCAGGGCAGTGAGCTTCCCTCTGGCCCAAGGTGGGACTAGAAATGCTGCCCAGAATCCAAGGCCTGGAATCAGGGGCCCCAGGAGCCCGCTTGGTACTCCACCCCACTGTGGCTGAGCTGGTGCCCAAGCTGAAAGACAAAGTCCCCTTTACTCTTCCCTCTCTTTTCCCTCAAGCAGAAGGAGTCCCTCCCCATGGCCACCATGGCTGGAATATGCTGGGTCATACCTGAAGCCAGTACAGCCCTGGGTCTCATGCAAGGCCTGCGGCGAGTACTTCCTGGGTACCCGTGATGTTTATTCAAGGCCCAAGGGCTCTTTATTTGGCAGGTAATTAATCTTGTCAGGACTGACAAAGACTTGTCAGGACTTTCCCTTTAAGGCAGTGGATTCTCTTCTGGCCCAAAGTGTGTTTAGAAATGTCGTCCAGGAGCTAGGTCCTAGAATGGGGGCCTGGGAACTTTGCTTGGTGCTCTGTTCTAATGTGGTTGAGCTTGTATCCAAGTTACAAGACAAAGTCCCCTTTACTCTCCCCTCTTCTTGCCTCATGCAGAAAGAAGTCTCTCTCAGAGCTGCACTGCCTGGGGTTGGAAGAGTGATGTGAGCACTCCCTTGGCTACCTCAGCTGGTGTCTCCCTAGGTCGCATGCCTCCCAAGTCCACTGGCTCTGAGCCCAGCACAGCACCAGGACCTAGCCAGGAATTGCAGTCCTTGTGGTCTAGACTGCCTTTCAAGCTTATTTAGGACACCAGAGTGCTTTAGCCTGTGGTGGTGGGGCTAGGTGGAACTCAGGTTCTGACTGTTGGGATGGGTGATTTGCCTCTGGCTAGGGGTGGTCCAAATGCTCCCTCCATGGGTGCCATCTGAATCCCACTTCATGTCGCTTTCTGCTGCACTGAGTTCCAATGCAAAGTCCCACAATCACTGCACCCCCTTTCCCCCAAGCACACTCTCTGCACCATGCAGCTGCTACCAAGGGATGGGAGAGGAGTGGTGTCAGTAATTCAAGGCTGTTTTTCCTACCCTCTTCAGTGCCTCTTTCCTTGATATGATGTTAAAACCAGGTACTGTGATCACTCACTTGATTTTTGGTTCTTATGAAAGTAGTTTCTTGCATGGTTAGTTGTTCAATTTGGTGTTCCTGTGAGTGGGCTGGGTTGTGGGGGGAACAATTGTTGGAGGGTTCTATTCACCCATATTGCTCCACCTCCTCTCATTGTTAATTAGTGTAGATTTAATCTGCTTCTGGGCAAATGAGTGAGGTTGTGCCTTGACTGTTTGGGAACAGGATTGGTGTACAAAAGATCCCAGAGACAAAAACCTTTAACTTGGAGTATTGCTTGTCTTCAGTGTTGGAGAACTGCTGCTCCCTGGAGGTCAAGTTTTCTTTCTTTCTTTTTTTTTTTTTTTTTTTTGAGATGGAGTTTTGCTCTTGTCACCTGGGCTATGGAGTGCAATGCCACGATCTTGGCTCACTGCAAGCTCCACCTCCCCGGTTCAAGTGATTCTCCTGCCTCAGCCCCCCAAATAGCTGGAATTAGAGGTGCCCGCCACCACGTCTGGCTAATTTTTGTATTTTTAGTAGAGACAAGGTTCGTCATGTTGGTCAGGCTGGTTTCGAACTCCTGACCTCAGGTGATCCACCTGCCTTGGCCTCTCAAAGTGCTGGGATTACAGGCATGAGCCACTGTGCCCGGCGAGTTCAAGTTTTAATTCACAGGATGCTCAAAGCAGCTGGGTAAGTGTTTTCTTTTCTTAATAGAATTTCATTTTTCATCCTTTTCTTTGGAAGTTAAGGGGTTGCTATGCAATTTACAGATGGACCAAAAATCTATAGTTTCTTCTGTTTTTTGATTGTGAGACTTTTTTTTTTTTTTTTGTGGGAGACCAGATTTTTTTTATTACTCAAATCAGTCTCCCCAGCATTTGGGGATCAGAATTTTTAAGGACAACTTGGTGGGTGGGGGGAAACCAGTGAGTCAGGAGTGCTGATTGGTCGTCAGGTCAGAGATGAAATCACAGGGAGTGGAAGATGTCTTCTTGTGCTGATTCAGTTCCTGGGCCCGGGAGGTGTAGGGGGGTAGGGGGTGGGGCAGGGTGGGCACAATTGTGAGACTTTTTCCTATGTGTGAGCCCATGCAAATTGAGAAACAGGGAGTGAGAATCCAAGAGGTTTCTCTAATCCTACCAACATGTCCATTTTTCTGATGCTTTCTGATGCTGCCTAAATAGCTGACAGTTGCAGAAGCCGTGTGACCCTTGAATGTTGGTGTGGATGTGATATGACTGAGGAGAGAAAGAGGTTTCCTTTAAAAGGTATCTCTACATTAGATAGGTGAGCCTGTCTATGGAGGTTATTGGAAAGGGTGTAAAGGTTTTATTAACTTTCAGGGAAAACAATTTTAAATCAAACCCAAATTCCAAGTGCCTTAAATTTGTTAGCACTTCAATAAAAAAACTCCAGCCTGGGAGAAAGTGGCAAGTGCTTGAGGAGTTGAGCCATCAATTAAACCTTGTAAGGTGTGCAAATACATTAAGAAAATTAAAGAAATACATCTTTGGAGGACTGAATCTTATAATAGGTTTGTACTTGAAAAGATTATTTGCAAATGAAGAAATTGAAGTACTGAATTGTTTAAAACCTTTTGGTCAAAAGGAATATTATACTCAGGAATAACATAAAATATATAAATAAAAAATGTATAAAGAACTCTGTCAAAATCACAAAGATCTTAAAAATAATTTTAATGGTGTTCTTGTTTTCTGATATAAATACTTTCACTTAAAAATGTTTTTGGATGAGAAAAGGCAAAATCTAATTTTAGTTAAATGACCTTAATGTTCCTTCCACGTACAATATGGGGAATAAAAGATATGCAAATTAACTTTAGGCTTAATGAGTAATCATAAAAAGGATTATAAAATCCTTCCACAAAGCTTTTAATATTATTTAGTTGAGGGAGAGATTTTATAGTTATATCCAGTTCCCATTAATACTCCCAAGCAGGGGAAACATTTTTATTTTTTGATAAAGTTTGGGTTAAAAGAAGTCTATATTTGTTCTCTCTGAATTTGCCTCAGTGGGAAATAAAAATACAAACATGAGATTTTTAGTCTATTTAAGACTTTTAATCTATTTATTATTTTACAAAACAGTTAAATACCTACATTCCTTACACTTAATTTGTAAATCAGATGTTTTTATTAATTATAATATTTAAATATATAAATAAAAACATAGGTCTTCAATTAAATTGAGCCACAATTTAAACATGTAGTGCATATAAATTTGGTTCTTATAAACTTCAGACAGTATTCTATTTATGTAGAGTTTATTCATCAGTTAAACCAGCTGGGCCTAGTTTTATAATGTTCTTGTTTCCCTGTAAAATTGTTGTTATAAGCTGTGATTTCATTATCCTTTAAAATTAACTTATGTTTTCTAAAATCCATCATTTAGGAGCTTTAGAACAATTTAATATTATGGCACTTGTAAATCTTTATTTATCTTGACACTTTTAAATAAAATTTGGAGAGATGCAGAAAGTGAAGTCTATCGTTACCATATTATCTTCATTTTAAAAAAAAATCTATTTATTCTCATGGATATAAATTAATTTGTTCTTCAGATTACCCAAATGAAGGTAGTTTATACCAACGGATTATATACATTGTCCAAAAATGTGCTTGACAAGGTGCTTATGTTTTAAACATTAGAACTTTTAAGCTTAAATTACATTGTCCTTTAATTACTGTTTAGTTAAGAACATATTGTAGGCTTCGAGTAGGCAGCTGCGGCCACATTCCCATGACAGGCTCCATTTTCTGGAGACTGTACAGCCCTTTGAGGTGAAATGGCTCCAGCGAGAGAGATGCAGGCAGTGGCAAAGAAGGGACCTCTGAGACCTCAGGCTGCCCATAGGGAGGGATCCTGAGGACCCAAGAGTCGCTAGGGCTTGTGCTTTTTTTCTTTGCAGTCACCGTGCCTATCATGAGGATGACCTTGGCCTGGATCACCTCTTTCCAGAACAAGCATCTCTGAATGTATCGGCAGGTGCTCAGCTTTGAGCCAGGCCCGGGTTTGACCATGGCCTGCAAAGGGTGTCAAATAAGCACCTTGGAGTGAACATGTTTGATAAGCTGAACCGTGATGGCTTTCATATAGTTTCTTATTTTTTGTTTCAAATGCTGGACCAGTCTCTCACCAAAGAAGTTTTTAAATTTTGTTGGCCACCATTTGACCAAGAAAGTGATACGATATTCAGGAAACATTGCTGTGAATGGTTAACAAGGATTTCTGCTGAATGTGGAAGCTTTCCTCAAATTGTTGTTCACTATTTATTTCTCCTAGCGGTTCTGTTTACTCATCTGATGTAACATCTTGCGAGATTTGTTGTAATAAAATATATGAAAACCAATTCTAAAAATTCTTTATGTTTTGCAGACATTTAATGTGAAATCACAAAGTTTGCACAAGCGCAATGCCAGATGCCATTTAGCACGTAACAAATGTTTACAAATTTTGCAAAGAGCAGATTGTATTACCCCAAAATCTCAGGAAAATGTACAATTATTAGTTAAGTATGTCTGAAATTTGAGATCTAGATGTATAGAACTGCAAAACCAAATTTAAAAAAATGGAACCCTATGGGTGACCAAAGTAGTATAGAAGAAAAAACTCAAAAGGTTGGGCCTTTGTGAACATCAGTGAATGAAACACTCATGTTTCTGGAAAAAGAGAAGTTGTTAGTTCAGTCCTTAGTCTAACCGATATGCTTTAGATGGAACTAATGCTATTAGTTGACTCTTGACAAAATTGAGAGACAGATGTGTCAGTTGCACATAGGAAATGTTTATGAGTCTGGAAAATGGAAACTCTTAAGTTATTCTGTTATATAATGAAGCCTTGAAAGTAATGAAATAGGAAAGTCAGGCTGACCAAGCACGATTGACAATAGACCTTCACTACCTGGAAAAAGATACCAAATTTTAGAGGGAAAGATAATCAGATCTGAAGCATATAAGCTATAGAATAAAAAGATCTCACAACTATAAGACATTCTATTGTTGAAAAGCAAGGGGAATGGCATAGGAAGTGGAAAGAATTTCTTGGTCTGTCTTCCTTCACTCTAATTAAAAGTTGAACTCCAGTTGTGGATCTTTTTTTTTTTTTGAGACGGAGTCTCGCTCTGTCGCCCAGGCTGGAGTGCAGTGGCGCGATCTCGGCTCACTGCAAGCTCCGCCTCCCGGGTTCACGCCATTCTCCTGCCTCAGCCTCCCGAGTAGCTGGGACTACAGGCGCCCGCTACCACGCCCGGCTAATTTTTTGTATTTTTAGTAGAGACGGGGTTTCACCGTGTTAGCCAGGATGGTCTCGATCTCCTGACCTCGTGATCCGCCCGCCTCGGCCTCCCAAAGTGCTGGGATTACAGGCGTGAGCCACCGCGCCCGGCCCAGTTGTGGATCTTTTACCACCTATGTCTCCCCTTTCATTTGGTCTTCCCTCAGAAGTGCACGCAAAGAGTATTCTTTTTCAGTATCCTGCTTCACTGATATTGCCAGAATCATTACCTGTGTTGCTTAATCAAAGAGAATTTATCGTTGTCTGGTTTCTGTTAGAAACCACTGTATCAGATTTTGGCCTTAGGTACACCTGAGCAACATCACCAAGAAAATGGTTGCAGAGGAGACAATGATACCTTGGGAGCTGTACATGATCTAGCCAACAGCCCTGCCTCTTTCTTGTTGCAGTCAGCTTCATCATCAGATAGAAACAATGCTACACCACTTGAAAAGGACAGGAAGATGAGAACTCCCAAAGAGAAAAATAAAACAATTTCTAAGAAAATACCAGATTTTGAAGTGGAAGATTCTCCATTATCAGATGTCGCAAAGAACAGAGAGTAGTGCATTTGGAGGGTCTCTGCCAGCTAAAAAAAAGTGGTCAGTTCCAAAAAAAAGCAAGATCATCTGCTAGAAGGGGTTGTTGGAGCAGTTTTATTTGGTTCACCACAGCTCTGTGAGAGAAAATAAGTAAATTTAGGGGAACTAATTGACTCTCTAGGTTCTAACCTCTTCTGAACAAGGAACCAGATTTCCCATACCCATAAAACTTGACAATGGAAATTAGGAGCTCATGGAGAAAAACTATTGAAATGGAAGAAAACAGAACTACAGAACCAATTCAAACGGATACTGAGCACAGAGAAGTATTGCTGGGATCATTACCTGATTTGTGTAATCAAAGAGGATTTAGCATAGTCGGTTTTCTCTTAAACCACTGTATGAGATTTCGGCCAGTCTCATTTGACTGAAATGAGACTGCAAGTGTGTGCCTCAGAAATACATGGTGATCAATCATATGGGTGAACCACCAATACAAAATCAGTCTGATTTGTTGAGTAAGAAAATAATTTGCGCCCAGCAAGGTGGCTCACGCCTGTAATCCCAGCACTCTGGGAGGCCGAGGCGGGCGGATCACGAGGTCAGGAGATAGAGACCATCCTGGCTAACACGGTCAAACCCTGTCTCTACTAAAAATACAAAAAATTAGCAGGGCATGGTGGTGGGCGCCTGTTGAGGCAGGAGAATGGCATGAACCCAGGAGGCGGAGCTTGCCGTAAGCCAAGATCATGCCACTGCACTCCAGCCTGGGTGACAGAGCCAGACTGTGTCTCAAAAAAAAAAAAATAATAATAATTTGCAAGCAAGATTTGGAATGTACAGCTTTACCAACCAAGCTTTCAGAAACTAGCCAAGAAGACATTCTCCCCTGCCATCAGCAATGGGATAGATGAGCTGGGTAGCAGTAAAGAGGAGTATATGAAAATATTGGACCATTCACAGGATTCCTGTAACAAACCTTCCATGAATAACACTACATTATGGAACTCTTTTCAGATATCAAGCGGAATTAGTTCTAAGAGTTGTAAGGATATTGATTTTAGCATATTTACATTTGGCATGAAACTTTTCCGGAGGAAGGTGGTCCCCTAAGTGTTAAAAGTTCCAGTAGCTTAGAGTCCAGTTTAAACTAGAGCCAAATAGTCCTGTGGACAGTGGCATTTTTCTAGGAGATATTATGGTAGATGGACAAACTACTCCAGAATCAGACTTCAATCTATAGGCTGTTTGCAGTAGATATGAGGCTCTGAAGAAATCTTTTTCCAAGAAAAGGGAAGAATTTTACCTGTCTAATCTTGAAACACTTGAAAGACACAAACCAGAATTGAGCCCTACTCCCCAAAATGTGCAAACAGATGATATGCTTAACTATTTGGACACTCATGATGTGCACATTGAATATGCAAAACCACATTTACACATGTCCCTTGGTGAAAGAAAAGTCTCTTTCACCACTAATTAAGTTTCCTCCAGTGGAACAAAGATTGACCACAATACCATGTAGTTTTGGAGAACTTCTACCTAATTCAAACGAAGAAGACATCTTGAATAAGAGCCTTGATGCAACAGAATCTTTGTCTGACTTGACAAGATGAAGCAATACGGAGTTAATATAACTATGATGTACTTAGACTGAAGCTATGCAACAGAATAGAAACTGATTTATAAGTTAAATACATGTTGGAAGTGTAACATTATTCTTCAAGGTCTAAAAAATTCTAAATGCCTTTTAGCCTCCTGTAGTATTTTTAGGTAAGGAAAGTATGTTGAATTATTTCTCTTTGTAGGGATATAGGGTTGAAATGTGAAGTATTTGGAAAGCAAATGTCAAGCAATGGGAAGCCATTTTGATTTCTTGAGTACCCTTGCAAACATTAAGTGACAAAAGTAGCTTAACTAATTTATTATAATTTCAGTTAGTTAACATAAGGATGTGTAGTTTTTGTTGTACCTTTACTAAGTGGTTAATATAATAGCCATTGAAGTTACTGATCTTTCATTTTAAAGAAATATACAACTTTTATTGTTTTTTGTTTCTGTTTTTTTTTGAGACAGAGTCTCGCCCTGTTGCCCAGGCTGGAGTGCGGTGGTGCGATCTCAGCTCACTGCAGCCTCTGCCTCCGGGGTTCAAGTGATGCTTATGCCTCAGCCACCTGAGTAGCTGGGACTACAGGCGCACATCACCATGCTCATCCAATTTTTGTATTTTCAGTAGAGATGGGGTTTTACCATGTTGGCCAGGCTGGTCTCGAACTCCTGGTCTCAAGTGATCCACCCGCCTTGGACTCCCAAAGTGCTGGAGTTACAGGCATGACCCACTGCACCTGACCTTTTATTCTTTCTTTATGGGACATTCTGTATTAACCAGAAAAAGTGAGAAAGGCCTTGGGATGTGTAGTCACACATGACATCACACACGTTGTGTGTGATGACAAATTTTAAGACTGGGAAAGCTCTAAACGGGCTTAATGATTATTCAAATAGATTGATTTTGAGAAATGATGTTTGGTGGAGTAAAGTGCATGTGATGATAAGTGAAGACTGGGGCAGAATGATTTTAAAGAAGAAAAAAGATGGAACTCTCATCTTTTCCTTTTAAGAAGGTGCTTAAAAGGAACCGTCAAACTACAAATCCATTCAGTGGGTGGTGTAACGTTTATATTGAGTCTAATTTAGTCTAATATTTAGTCTCATATTTAAACTAAATATAAATCCTAGTTTTACATTTTAACAAAAATATAAATCAAAAATTTCATTAGTTTGTTTAAAAATATATTGTATATATACACATATGTACATATCAAGATCTATTGAAGCTAATGAAAACAATAAATTTGAACTAAATAGAGGAGAAAAGATTGATAGATCAGAGAAAAGAAAGTTAAACTTAAGATATATACTATGTTCTCAATATGCCGTAGCAAATACTTCTTTGCTTTCTGTATACTTTGTACAGGTAGTCAACATTTTACCCTTGAGAAATTGTGTTTTTTCATATCTCAAAAGAGCTTTGACTCTCATTATGCACTTAACCTTAAGTGCATTTTATAATGTAGACAATTATAAAAAGAATAACAATTCCCTTGCCTCTGGAGTAGCTAAAATTTCTAATGATCCTTCTTTTAACATCTACAGTGTTGATTATAAGGTACCAAAACTTCAGTTATTCACCCAGGCTAGATGGTGACCTTCTCTTGATCTCATGTACCTATGCTCCTGTGTTCAACTGGTAGTGCTCACAGATATTCCCCTTGTCCAATATCAGGACTCAAATTTAGACCTTCAGAGAGTGACAGGCATCTCTTGCATGCAGACTAGCGTTGGCCTTCACAAGTAGCTGCTCTTTTGCACCAAATATTTGCTGTCTTACTTTGCTTATGTAATCTCTGGCACGACACACATACAGAAAGAAAGACAGCATTTTAGTAATAATTAGCCTCGATTAGTATGCTTTAGAGTCTTTCAGAATTACTCTACAATATTGTAAAAGAGATTTCATTTTATGGTGTTCAGGTAAAGAAAGTAGCTTATACTTCCATTTGGAGGCCTATTGTAACTATTTAGATAGATTTTTATATGTGTGAAATGTGGTCTAGATAAATATATTTCAATGATTCTGTGCATGTTGTTAGGAAGGGCAGAACCATGCCCACGTGTAAATATGTATGCAATGACTGTCTGCAGAAGGACTTGTATATACCTTGCCTCTTGATGGTATTTGGGCCACACTGTACAAAACAATGCCTTCACAGCCTTCACTGTGAAATATTAATGGTTAAAGCTCTGCTACCTCTTCAGGGACCAATCATGGGAGAAGAAGAATTGTGTTAGGTAATCTTGAGCTAGATTATTGCAAGGCACTCAGGAAGTGTGCCAATGCTTCTTCACAAGAAGCCCTCTAATTGATCCAGAATGGCATGTCGTTGAATAAGCTTGGCAATGGATTTCATATCAAGTTTAGTCAGTGGATATTTGCTCAAACCTCTCTGGAAAGGGCCCCACCAAGAGCCAACTTCAAACATGGTGTCCAGCCCTGAGGTATCTGCCTCCCACTGTAAGGAAATGTGTTCCTCACATATTTAACAACATCTTGTTTTTTTTTATTTTATTATTATTATACTTTAAGTTTTAGGGTACATGTGCACAATGTGCAGGTTAATTACATATGTATACATGTGCCATGCTGGTGTGCTGAACCCATTAACTCGTCATTTAGCATTAGGTATATCTCCTAAAGCTATCCCTCCCCCCTCCCCCCACCCCACAACAGTCCCCAGAGTGTGATGTTCCCCTTCCTGTGTCCATGTGTTCTCATTGTTCAATTCCCACCTATGAGTGAGAATATGCGGTGTTTGGTTTTTTGTTCTTGCGATAGTTTACTGAGAATGATGATTTCCAATTTCATCCATGTCCCTACAAAGGACATGAACTCATCATTTTTTATGGCTGCATAGTATTCCATGGTGTATATGTGCCACATTTTCTTAAACCAGTCTATCATTGTTGGACATTTGGGTTGGTTCCAAGTCTTTGCTATTGTGAATAGTGCCGCAATAAACATACATGTGCATGTGTCTTTATAGCAGCATGATTTAAGTCCTTTGGGTATATACCCAGTAATGGGATGGCCGGGTCAAATGGTATTTCTAGTTCTAGATCCCTGAGGAATCGCCACACTGACTTCCACAATGGTTGAACTAGTTTACAGTCCCACCAACAGTGTAAAAGTGTTCCTATTTGTCCACATCCTCTCCAGCACCTGTTGTTTCCTGACTTTTTAATGATTGCCATTCTAACTGGTGTGAGATGGTATCTTATTGTGGTTTTGATTTGCTTTTCTCTGATGGCCAGTGATGGTGAGCATGTTTTCATGTGTTTTTTGGCTGCATAAATGTCTTCTTTTGAGAAGTGTCTGTTCATGTCCTTCACCCACTTTTTGATGGGGTTGTTCGTTTTTTCCTTGTAAATTTGTTTGTGTTCATTGTAGATTCTGGATATTAGCCCTTTGTCAGATAAGTAGGTTGTGAAAATTTTCTCCCATTTTGTAGGTTGCCTGTTCACTCTGATGGTAGTTTCTTTTGCTGTGCAGAAGCTCTTTAGTTTAATTAGATCCCATTTGTCAATTTTGTCTTTTGTTGCCATTGCTTTTGGTGTTTTAGTCATGAAGTCCTTGCCCATGCCTATGTCCTGAATGGTAATTCCTAGGTTTTCTTCTAGGGTTTTTATGGTTTTAGATCTAACGTTTAAGTCTTTAATCCGTCTTGAATTAATTTTTGTATAAGGTGTAAGGAAGGGATCCAGTTTCAGCTTTCTACATATGGCTAGCCAGTTTTCCCAGCACCATTTATTAGATAGGGAATCCTTTCCCCATTGCTTGTTTTTCTCAGGTTTGTCAAAGATCAGATAGTTGTAGATACGCAGCGTTATTTCTGAGGGCTCTGTTCTGTTCCATTGATCTATATCTCTGTTTTGATACCAGTACCATGCTGTTTTGGTTACTGTAGCCTTGTAGTATAGTTTGAAGTCAGGTAGCATGATGCCTCCAGCTTTGTTCTTTTGGCTTAGGATTGACTTGGCGATGCGGGCTCTTTATTGGTTCCATATGAACTTTAAAGTAGTTTTTTCCAATTCTGTGATGAAAGTCATTGGTAGTTTGATGGGGATGGCATTGAATCTATAAATTACCTCGGACAGTATGGCCATTTTCATGATATTGATTCTTCCTACCCATGAGCATGGAATGTTCTTCCATTTATTTGTATCCTCTTTTATTTCCTTGAGCAGTGGTTTGTAGTTCTCCTTGAAGAGGTCCTTCACATCCCTTGTAAGTTGGATTCCTAGGTATTGTATTCTCTTTGAAGCAATTGTGAATGGGAGTTCACTCATGATTTGGCTCTCTGTTTGTCTGTTAATTGGTTTATAAGAATGCTTGTGATTTTTGTACATTGATTTTGTATCCTGAGACTTTGCTGAAGTTGCTTATCAGCTTAAGGAGATTTTGGGCTGAGACAATGGGGTTTTCTAGATATACAATCATGTCATCTGCAAACAGGGACAATTTGACTTCTTCTTTTCCTAATTGAATACCCTTTATTTCCTTCTTCTGCCTAATTGCCCTGGCCAGAACTTCCAACACTATGTTGAATAGGAGTGGTGAGAGAGGGCATCCCTGTCTTGTGCCAGTTTTCAAAGGGAATGCTTCCAGTTTTTGCCCATTCAGTATGATATTGGCTGTGGGTTTGTCACAGATAGCTCTTATTATTTTGAGATATGTCCCATCAATACCTAATTTATTGAGAGTTTTTAGCATGAAGCGTTGTTGAATTTTGTCAAAGGCCTTTTCTGCATCTTTTGAGATAATCATGTGGTTTTTGTCGTTGGTTCTGTTTATATGCTGGATTACATTTATTGATTTGCGTATATTGAACCAGCCTTGCATCCCAGGGATGAAGCCCACTTGATCATGGTGGATAAGCTTTTTGATGTGCTGCTGGATTCTGTTTGCCAGTATTTTATTGAGGATTTTTGCATCAATGTTCATCAAGGATATTGGTCTAAAATTCTCTTTTTTGGTTGTGTCTCTGCCCGGCTTTGGTATCAGGATGATGCTGGCCTCATAAAATGAGTTAGGGAGGATTCCCTCTTTTTCTATTGATTGGAATAGTTTCAGAAGGAATGGTACCAGTTCCTCCTTGTACCTCTGGTAGAATTCGGCTGTGAATCCATCTGGTCCTGGACTCTTTTTCATTGGTAAGCTATTGATTATTGCCACAATTTCAGAGCCTGTTATTGGTCTATTCAGAGATTCAACCTCTTCCTGGTTTAGTCTTGGGAGGGTGTATGTGTCAAGGAATTTATCCATTTCTTCTAGATTTTCTAGTTTATTTGCGTAGAGGTGTTTGTAGTATTCTCTGATGGTAGTTCGTATTTCTGTGGGATCAGTGGTGATATCCCCTTTATCATTTTTTATTGCATCTATTTGATTCTTCTCTCTTTTCTTCTTTATTAGTCTTGCTAGCAGTCTATCAATTTTGTTGATCCTTTCAAAAAACCAGATCCTGGATTCATTAATTTTTTGAAGGGTTTTTTTGTCTCTATTTCCTTCAGTTCTGCTCTGATTTTAGTTATTTCTTGCCTTCTGCTAGCTTTTGAATGTGTTTGCTCTTGCTTTTCTAGTTCCTTTAATTGTGATGTTAGGGTGTCAATTTTGGATCTTTCCTGCTTTCTCTTGTGGGCATTTAGTGCTATAAATTTCCCTCTACACACTACTTTGAATGTGTCCCAGAGATTTTGGTATGTTGTGTCTTTGTTCTCGTTGGTTTCAAAGAACATCTTTATTTCTGCCTTCATTTCGTTATGTACCCAGTAGTCATTCAGGAGCAGGTTGTTCAGTTTCCATGTAGTTGAGCGGTTTTGAGTGAGTTTCTTAATCCTGAGTTCTAGTTTGATTGCACTGTGGTCTGAGAGACAGTTTGTTATAATTTCTGATCTTTTACATTTGCTGAGGAGAGCTTTACTTCCAAGTATGTGGTCAATTTTGGAATAGGTGTGGTGTGGTGCTGAAAAAAAATGTATATTCCGTTGATTTGGGGTGGAGAGTTCTGTAGATGTCTATTAGGTCTGCTTGGTGCAGAGCTGAGTTCAATTCCTGGGTATCCTTGTTAACTTTCTGTCTCGTTGATCTAATGTTGACAGTGGGGTGTTAAAGTCTCCCATTATTATTGTGTGGGAGTCTAAGTCTCTTTGTAGGCCACTCAGGACTTGCTTTATGAATCTGGGTGCTGCTGTATTGGGTACATATATATTTAGGATAGTTAGTTAGGTCTTCTTGTTGAATTAATCCCTTTACCATTATGTAATGGCCTTCTTTGTTTCTTTTGATCTTTGTTGGTTTAAAGTCTGTTTTATCAGAGACTAGGATTGCAACCCCTGCCTTTTTTTGTTTTCCATTTGCTTGGTAGATCTTCCTCCATCCTTTTATTTTGGGCCTATGTGTGTCTCTGCATGTGAGATGGGTTTCCTGAATACAGCACACTGATGGGTCTTGACTCTTTATTCAATTTGCCAGTCTGTGTCTTTTAATTGGAGCATTTAGTCCATTTACATTTAAAGTTAATATTGTTATGTGTGAATTTGATCCTGTCATTATGATGTTAGCTGGTTATTTTGCTCGTTAGTTGATGCAGTTTCTTCCTAGCCTCGATGGTCTTTACAATTTGGCATGATTTTGCAGTGGCTGGTACCAGTTGTTCCTTTCCATGTTTAGTGCTTCCTTCAGGAGCTCTTTTAGGGCAGGCCTGGTGGTGACAAAATCTCTCAGCATTTGCTTGTCTGTAAAGTATTTTATTTCTCCTTCACTTATGAAGCTTAGTTTGGCTGGATATGAAATTCTGGATTCAAAATTCTTTTCTTTAAGCATGTTGAATATTGGCCCCCACTCTCTTCTGGCTTGTAGAGTTTCTGCCGAGAGATCCGCTGTTAGTCTGATGGGCTTCACTTTGTGGGTAACCCGACCTTTCTCTCTGGCTGCCCTTAACATTTTTTCCTTCATTTCAACTTTGGTGAATCTGACAATTATGTGTCTTGGAGTTGCTCTTCTCGAGGAGTATCTTTGTGGCATTCTCTGTATTTCCTGATTCTGAATGTTGGCCTGCCTTGCTAGATTGGGGAAGTTCTCCTGGATAATATCCTGCAGAGTGTTTTCCAACTTGGTTCCATTCTCCCCATCACTTTCAGGTACACCAGTCAGACGTAGATTTGGTCTTTTCACATAGTCCCATATTTCTTGGAGGCTTTGTTCGTTTCTTTTTATTCTTTTTTCTCTAAACTTCCCTTCTCGCTTCATTTCATTAATTTCATCTTTTATCACTGATACCCTTTCTTCCAGTTGATCGCATCGGCTCCTGAGGCTTCTACATTCTTCACATAGTTCTCGAGCCTTGCCTTTCATCTCCATCAGCTCCTTTAGGCACTTCTCTGTATTGGTTATTCTAGTTATACATTCGTCTAAATTTTTTTCAAAGTTTTCAACTTGTTTGCCTTTGGTTTGAATTTCCTCCTGTAGCTCGGAGTAGTTTGATCGTCTGAAGCCTTCTTCTCTCAACTCGTCAAAGTCATTCTCCGTCCAGCTTTGTTCTGTTGCTGGTGAGGAACTGTGTTCCTTTGGAGGAGGAGAGGCGCTCTGCTTTTTAGAGTTTCCAGTTTTTCTGCTCTGTTTTTTCCCCATCTTTGTGGTTTTATCTACTTTTGGTCTTTGATGATGGTGATGTACAGATGGGTTTTTGGTGGATGTCCTTTCTGTTTGTTAGTTTTCCTTCTAACAGACAGGACCCTCAGCTGCAGGTCTGTTGGAGTTTGCTAGAGGTCCACTCCAGACCCTGTTTGCCTGGGTTCCAGCAGCGGTGGCTGCAGAACAGTGGATTTTCGTGAACCTCGAATGCTGCTGTCTGATCATTCCTCTGGAAGTTTTGTCTCAGAGGAGTACCCGGTGGTGTGAGGTGTCAGTCTGCCCCTACTGGGGGGTGCCTCCCAGTTAGGCTGCTCGGGGGTCAGGGGTCAGGGACCCACTTGAGGAGGCAGTCTGCCTATTCTCAGATCTCCAGCTGTGTGCTGGGAGAACCGCTGCTCTCTTCAAAGCTGTCAGACAGGGACATTTAAGTCTGAAGAGGTTACTGCTGTCTTTTCATCTGTGCCCTGCCCCCAGAGGTGGAGCCTATAGAGGCAGGCAGGCCTCCTTGAGCTGTGGTGGGCTCCACCCAGTTCGAGCTTCCCGGCTGCTTTGTTTACCTAAGCAAGCCTGGGCAATGGCGGGCACCCCTCCCCCAGCCTCACTGCCGCCTTACAGTTTGATCTCAGACTGCTGTGCTAGCAATCAGCGAGACTCCGTGGGCGTAGGACCCTCTGAGCCAGGTGTGGGATATAATCTCCTGGTGTGCCATTTTTTAAGCCCATTGGAAAAGCGCAGTATTCGGGTGGGAGTGACCCGATTTTCCAGGTGCCGTCTGTCACCCCTTTCTCTGACTAGGAAAGGGAACTCCCTGACCCCTTGCACTTCCTGAGTGAGGCAATGCCTCACCATGCTTTGGCTTGCGCATGGTGCGCTGCATCCACTGTCCTGCACCCACCGTCTGGCACTCCCTAGTGAGATGAACCCGGTACCTCAGATGGAAATGCAGAAATCAGCCATCTTCTGCATTGCTCATGCTGGGAGCTGTAGACCGGAGCTGTTCCTATTTGGCCATCTTGGCTCCCGTTTAACATCTTGTTCTTAATTCGTGTTCTTTTTTTAGGCACAGAGACAAATGACCCACTTCTTAACAATGTCTTAAAATTACCTGAACAGCTGAAGACCCACTCTGCCATTGATCTCGCCCCTAAAATACCAGAGTTTTCAAGTAACTTCTACACTGCTACAGTGAATTCCACATTGAAACAATTACTGAAAATTTCCAATGAGAGAGCATTCAACTTTCTGGTTGATCTTGCTTTGGACTTCACTGGTTTGTTCCTAAAAATTAGATTCTTCTTCTTCATCTTCTTCCCATAAATACACAACCTATTTCTGCCAATAACGTGTTCATTTTCCAATCAGGAAATAAGTCCTTATATGGGACATATCTCACAACATGGGAAGTTTGAGAAAAAATGTAAATTTTTTCCTTTCCTTCAAAGAATAAGTCAATAGTGCTGACACTAAGCAAAATCTTGTGGTTTGATAGTTGCTATAGTTTTCTACAGAACTTTACAGATTGGCCATTGGACCTCAATTGTAAGGTAAAGAATGTTCACTTTAAAAGATTAAAACTGAAATGATAAGATTGTGTCTAGGTATTTTTGCTATGCTTTTGAGTATGAGATCCCAAAGACACAACATCAATAAATCCATTCAACTATCTTATTTATATGTAAAAGACCTAAATGTTTTAAAATGCTTGCTCACATACCACACGGCACCAAGGGAGAAATTCCCAGGACTTTCCCTTGGGACAATATGCATAACATTTGAATAGATTGATACTGGTTCAACCTTGCAGGATTGGTGCTTCTCTGTTTCATCACCATGGTAGGAAAATACAGAGGTACCTGCCTTTTATATAGTTGCCAGTGTTCCTGGCTTGTGAGGTTGTCAACAACAGCATTATATTAATCCTCATCATACCCTGGATTGCACTAAAAATGTCATACTTGCAGAATATAATGCCATATTGTTTCTGGTGAAACTTACAACTTTAAGAAGGGTGCTCTGAATTCCCCTGATTATCCTGTGGAACTGATGGCAGCTGTACATGAAGGTTGTGAGTTCCCCTGCCATATTCCGTAGGCTCAGCATTGGTGAATCCATTGCCAACTAACAAGATTCTACCATGTAGTTCAGCCAAATGAGTTTGGCCAAACACCCAGAAAAGTGAGGCATCTCAGGAATGTATACCACAGCCCTGTTTCAGAGGACTTCTTTTACCTCTCCTCAGTTCCCTGGCTATTCCTTCCTCTTTCTGCTCCATTTTTGCCATTCTTGATCATCTTGTTCTTTTCCATTGTCTTTGGGCCTTGAGCACATTTCTGTGAAAAGTTCGAAGCTTCTTCTTCTTCTTCTCCTCCTTCTCCTCCTTCTTCTTCTCCTTCTTCTTCTCCCCCTCCTCCTTCTCCTGCTCCTCCTTCTCCTGCTCCTCCTCCTCCTGCTCCTCCTCCTCCTGCTCCTCCTCATCCTGCTCCTCCTCCTCTCCTTCTTCTCTCCTTCTTCTCTCCTTCTTCTTCTCTCCTTCTTCTCTCTCTTCTTCTTCTTCTCTCTCTTCTTCTTCTCCTTCTCTCCTTCTCTCCTTCTTCTTCTCCTTCTGCTCTCCTTCTGCTCTCCTTCTTCTCTCCTTCTTCTCTCCTTCTTCTCTCCTTCTTCTCCTTCTCTCCTTCTTCCTCTCCTTCCTGTCCTTCTTCTCCTTCTTCTCTCCTTCTCCCCCTCCCCCTGCCCTTCCCCTCTTGCTCCTTCTTCTTCTTCCTTCTTCCTTCTCCTTCTCCTTCTTCTTCCTTTCCTTAGAGAGAGGGTCTCCTTTCATTGCCCAAGCTGGACTGGCACAATTGTAGCTTACTGCAGCCGTGGACTCCTGCACTCGAGAAATCCTCCCATCTTAGTCTCCCAAGTACCTGGGATTACAGATGTATACCACTATGCCTGGCTAATTTTTAATTTTTTTGTAAAGATGGAGTCTTGCCAGATTGCCCAGGCCCGTCTCAAACTTCCGGCCTTAAGCAATCCTCCCATCTCTCTCTAATAAAGTGCTAGGATTACAGGTGTAAGTCACCACACCTGGCCTAAAACCTTCTTTTGATCTTCTGAATGACTGAAACATTCTTGCAGGAGTTGTGTCTTGGGTTAGGTTCTCTGAAAGCAGATTGGGAGAGATTTTCATGTAGGAGGTTCATACGACATCTGTAAGGAAATGAAGAAGCAGGATTGGGCAGAGGGAGAAGTTAAATTAGAATGCAGTTGGCCAGATCAAGACCATCCTGGCCAACATAGTGAAACCCTGTCTCTACTAAAAATACAAAAATTAGCTGGGCGTGGTGGTGCATGCCTGTAATCCCAGCTACTTGGGAGGCTGAGGCAGGAGAATAGCTTGAACCAGGGAGTCGGAGGTTGCAGTGAGCCGAGATTGCGCCACTGCACTCCAGCCTGGCAACAAAGCAAGACTCTGTCTTAAAAAAAAAAAAATAGAATGCAGTTGCAGCAGAGGCCTCAGCTGGAGCTGGGGGACATTGAACCTTCTCTTTGACCAGATATTGGCTATAGGGCTCTTCCTGGGGAGAAGGTGGAGATCTTGGTTATGGCCGCTTCTTTCAGTAGAGGGAAATTCCCGGAGAGAGAGACTCAGCTGTGAATTGTCAGCAGCCAGCACTCCTGGCTGCTGGGGAAATGAAAGCTTCAGTCCTTATGGGCACCTGGGTGGTACAACACAGCATATATTTTGATATGTATAGTTTGTGTGACCTTTCTGGAAACATCTTATTGTTGACTGCTTAAATCTAGTGGACACTCTGAAAAAACCGTGGGTAGCTAGAGTGGCCAAGACTTGTGCTGTCCATGAGACTGAAAGAAGACTAAGGACAGATATGGATTTTCAAAGATTAAGCTCTATTATTTTCTTTTTTGAATGCATGCAATGATTTATTAAGTTATAATTTATTGGCTGGACTGAGTCTTGCAGATGATGGTGGCTTTGAAGCCCCAATTTACAAATCCTTATCCAAATTGGGTGTCTTTCAGGAGAACAAAGACTTGACATAAATTGATTGAACCAATCTCTTGTACAAAGTTGCATATAAATGAGAAATCGGCAGTGAGAGTTATCTGATTAAGAGGCAAAGAAGTTTTCAGAAAGACTTGAATGTAGAAAAGGGAATGTGAAGGATGAAAAGACGAATGTGAATGGGCCCTGATGGAAGAGGTTTGGCAAATGGAAAGTATATATAGAAGGATTCTGAATATTTGGAGACATCAGCTGGGTGTGGTGGCTCACGCCTGTAATCTCAGCACTTTGGGTGGCTGAGGTGGGTGGATCACCTGAGGTCAGGAGTTCGAGACCAGCCTGGCCAACCTGGTGAAACCCTGTCTCTACTAAAAATACAAAAATTAGCCAGGTCTGGTGGTGCAAGCCTGCAATCCCAGCTACTCAGGAGGCTGAGGCAGAAGAATAACTTGAACCTGGGAGGCAGAGGTTGCAGTCAGGTGAGATTGCACCATTGCACTCCAGCCTGGGCAACAAGAGAGAAACTCTGTCTCAAAAAGGAAAAAAAATTTAACACTTATTCACTTCTGTTTTCTTGCCTTTAAAATATACAGTATTGTAATGGAGCTGGAAGAAACCATTCAAATTTAGCAGTGACACTTATAGAATGCTGCATAATTTGCAACCTTTACTAATGAAAATTAAAAGTTCTTACATGTATATTAAGGAGTAATGCATACTGGAAAAATAAATCTGAAAAAAAGGAGCTAAAATATCTTCTACAAATTCAAGTCTAAGTAAAGTGCCACTGAGTGGCAACAGAGAGGGGCACCATCAATGTAAAACATGACATGCTCATATTTTGTTTATTAAAAACTCTCTTTTGTCTTTTTCTATATTGTAAGCTTTAAACTTGCATCTCCGTCCCCCTCTTAGTGATCACTGAGATTCCAGCACCTGTCCTTGAAACTATAAATTCTACTCACTGTTGGTGAAGTAAATTTCAACAAGGAGAAAATGTTCCCCGCTCCCATGCAGTTTGTGAGGAAAGCAGGTAATATTCAGGTTGATAAAACTATTCTTTTGAAGATTCATGCTAACAAAGAAGTTTTGTAAAATACCCAGACTTCAAAGTTTGTTGCTCTGCCCTGTGAAGTTAACCTTAACCTTCTTGAGGTCTGTAATTCCACTTGGTTGTCCTATTTATTATATTTGCCATATTTTATCTTTTCTCAAAGATAAAAAACCAGATGGCAATCACTGGATCTTCCCACTCCTCCCATAAAAACAGAACAAACAAGTATGATGACCCCAGAGGTTTCTTATCTAAACCAACATTGGACACATTTAAATTAATAATGAGTATTAAGAAAATATTGATACATTATTATTTTATAAATATTTCTTCTACTGTCCTCCATCCTACCCTGACTCTGTGAAGAAAATGTACTTTGTTCAAGACTTCAGATAAATCTGCATTCCCATCCTTGTTCTCAGGAGCTGCATGAGCTTGGGAAGGTTAACACCTCTCTTGGAACTTCCATTTTTGTATCTATATCTGTACTTACTGCCCACGTTGGGTTTAGGACAGAGCCTGACACAAAGTAGTTGCTTTTGTCATCTTCCCTCTCTTCCTGCTACCCTCAATTTTTATTCTCATCTCTTTGCTTTCTTCTTTGTTCCTATGGTGCTTAGCACAAGGCTGAATGCATAAGTGCTCCATAGCTCTTACACAACAGGAGGGAAGGACAATTTATTATTTTAAAGGGTTTCTTAAAAAACGCTTTTCATTATTATTTGTGTCTTACACAAAAGGACTAATGGTTTTTTTGTGAGGGATGATAACAAATTTTTTTTTTTTAGCTTTGTTCAGGTATAATTGACAAATAAAAATTTATATGTTTACATTGTACAATTGTTTTGATATATGTATACATTGTGAATTGATCACCACAATCAAGCTAATTAAAATATCCATTACCTCACATAGTTGCTATTTTTTTCCTTTTTTTTTGTGGTGAGAACACTTACCATGTACTAGCAAATATCACGTATATATTACTAACTGTAATCGCTATACTGCATATTATCTTCAGAACTTACTTTGCATAACTGAAACTTGGTACCCTGTGACAAATATCTCCCCATTTTCCCCTTCCCCCACCGTGGCAACCACCATTGTACGCTCTGCCTCTATGAGGGTGACAACACTATAGGTTGAAGAAAATACCCATTACCCAAGGGTATGTTTTTGGCATCCTTGTTGAAGACTAGGTGACTGAATGTGTAGAATTGTTTCTAGAATCTCTATTCTGTTCTGTTAGTCTATCTGTCTGTTTTTATGTGAGTACCATGCTGTTTCATTTACTGTAGATTTGTAATATATTTTGAAAACAGAAAGTGTGATGGATTTGTTCTTTTTGGGGTCTTTTGTAATTCCACATGAATTTTAGTGTTTTTGTTTGTTTCTGTGAAAAATGGCATTGGAATTTTGATAAGGATTGCATTGAATCTCTAGATCACTTTGGGTAGTATGAACATTTTAACAATATTAATTCTTCCCGTCCATGAACATGAGGTCTTTTCATTTACCTGTACCTTCTTTAATTTCCTTCAGCAACGTTTTATAATTTTCACTGTACGAGCCTTTCTCCTCTTTGATTAGGCTTATTCTTAAGTATTTTATGCTTTTTGTTGCCATTGTAAATATAACTGTTGTCTTAATTTCCTTTTCAGATTGTTTGTGCATAGAAATGCCACTGATTTTTGTATGTTGATTTTTATCCTGCGATTTTACTGAATTAGTTTCTTAGTTCTAACAGGGTTTTTTTGTTGAGTCTTTATGGTTTACTATATATATGATCATGTCATCTGGAAACAGAGATAATTTTACTTCTTCCTTTTAAATTTGGATGCCTTTTATTTCTTTGTCTTGTCTAATTGCTCTGACTAGGACTTCTAATACTGTATTGGGTAGAAACGGCAAGAGTGGGCCTCCTAGCCTTGTACCAGATCTTAGAGAAAAAACTTCCAGTTTATCCTCATTGATTATGTTAGTTTTTCAATTCATTGATTATGAATAATATAGGACTCTCTCAAGTGTGCTGGAGTTCTGGTCTTTTTTTAGGATTCTGGTCTTGTGTAGGGTGACCAGCAACTGAAGCCTGGTTTCAGGCAGCTTGATGAAGTTATCCTCATGTTCATTTCATGTTAGCATCTCTTTGTGGCTGTCTGCCAAGGGCTTTTTCAGTGTTGAGAGCCTTCAGTGTCGAGGTCTTTTCATTGTTGAGATTCAGTATGGGCTTTATTGTGTTAAGTTCCTCCTATACCTATTTTTTTTTTTTTTTTTTTGAGACGGAGTTTCGCTCTGTCGCCCCGGCTGGAGTGCAGTGGTGCAATCTCGACTCACTGCAAGCTCCACCTCCCGGGTTCACGCCATTCTCCTGCCTCAGCCTCCTGTGTAGCTGGGACTACAGGTGCGTGCCACCATGCCTGGCTAATTTTTGTATTTTTAGTAGAGACGGGGTTTCACCGTGTTAGCCAGGATGGTCTCGATCTCCTGACCTCGTGATCCGCCCGTCTCGGCCTCCCAAAGTGCTGGGATTACAGGCGTGAGCCACCGCGCCCGGCCACCTATTTTTTTTAAGAGATGGTTGATATGATTTCAATCTTCTTAAATTTCTGAAGACTTGTTTTGTGACCTAGCATGTGATTTATTCTGGAGAATGTTTCAGGTGTACTTGAGAAGAATGTGTAGTCCTCTGCTATTGAATAGAAAGTTCTATGTCTGTTAGGTCCGTTTGGTCTATAATATTGTTCAAGTCAGCTGTTTATTGATTTTTTCTGTCTGTATATTCCATCCATTTTTGAAAGTGGGGTATTGAAGTCTCCTACTATTATTGTATTGTTGCCAGTTTCTCCCTTCAGATCTGTCTACATTTGGTTTATATAATTATGTGCTCTGGTGTTGGGTAGGTTTATATTTATAAATGTTATATCATTCTATTGAATTAACCCTTTTATCATTATAAATGACTCTCTTTGTCCCTAGAGACCCTTTTATCATTATAATGACTTTCTTTGTCCCTAGAGATAGTTTTGACTTTAAGTCTATTTTGTCTGATATAAGTATAGCCATCCTTGCACCCTTGCTTTCTTTTGGTTACCTTTTACATGGAGTATTTTTTTTTTCCATCCCTTCATTTTCAGTCTATGTGTGCCCACAAATCTAAAGTGAGTCTCTTGTAGACAGCATATCATTGACTCTTTTTTTTTTTTAACCCATTCATATACTCTCCCTTTTTGATTGGGAAGTTTAATTCATTTACTTTAAAGTAATTATTAATAGGCGAGGGCTTTAGCTATTTTGTTACTCATTTTCTGAAAGGACAAATGATTTTCTTTTACCAGGAGAGAAAGCCCACTTTTGTTATGGATGCTGGCCAGTATCTCACTTTCCCATTCCAATGTCTAGATGGAATATATATTAAATGTTGTATCTCTGTTATGTTGACTTCAGATAAATTGCCTCTCTCTATATTTTGCTGACCAATACCCCACCATGCTTCAGGAGCTAATATAGTCAGAGTTCAGACTTGCTGCAAAAATTATTTTGCATCCTTCATAAATCAGTCACCTACTTCTCCTGGGACCCTGCAGCCACAGAGTTTCATATCCTGATCTTTGTCAATCTGCTTCATGGAATTCAAATAATATAGGACTCTCTCAAGTGTGCTGGAGTTCTGGTCTTTTTTTAGGATTCTGGTCTTGTGTAGGGTGGCCAGCAACTGAAGCCTGGTTTCAGGCAGCTTGATGAAGTTATCCCCATGTCCATTTCATGTTAGCATCTCTTTGTGGCTTTCTGCCAAGGTGGATTTAAGAGGTTGCTGCTTTTGCAGTGGTGGAAGGGTGGAAGACTTGGGCATGTGTCAGTCAAGGCTGGCGCTGATATGTTTGTCACTTAATATGCTATTGCCTGTTGTCTGTCAGCTTCACATCCAACCGTCTATGCTCTACTTTGCAATGCTGAGGCTAGCACACTACAAACAGGGGTTCTCCTTTGCAGAATGTTTCCTTAAGCTCTGCCAATAGGCGGTGCCAGGAGCACATTTCAAAGTTGGAGGGGGAAGAACTCTTTCCTATTTACTTCCTAAGGGCTTCCTATTTATTTCCTGTTGCCAACAGCATCACTCATTCTTGCTTCTTCACCCCAACACTGGGAGGGCATTCCTCTAGCACAGTTGAATCCAATTTGCAATTTTCCAACACAGCCAGCCTCATGATGCCTCATAGATACTAGTTCTAGCTGAGCAGAGCTCCTTCCTCAGAGATCTGAAATTCAGCTCAGCAGGTATCTTCCTCCAAGCTTCTAATTTATTTTTAATGGTTCCAACCTTTTTTCTTGTTATTCCCACCCTGGAATTGGTAGCTGATTCCTGCAGTTGCTACATCTGTGATAGCTGAGTGTCCTCTTTATTTTTTTCAATTCTTAAATGCCTATATAACAAATCTTTATATTAAAGTTAATATTAAATTTATTAATATGAACACTAATATTACACTTAAATGTTAAATAATCCCTGTTAAGATAACTGATAAAACTGTGACTCATACAATATGCAATTAGATGAAGGGTTAAGGGCAAGAGATTGAGTCCCAGTTGAGGAGGGGTAGGGATCTCTGAGAGATATTGGACACCAGGGATGAATTTTGTTGAACAGTGGGAAGAGGAGCTTGCAGTTAGGGAGATATTTGGAAGATGGTTCGGGATAAATACTAGGTGAGGAGTTGTATTGGGGGAATTAGGATTGGTATGAGGTAGTCTGGAGAGGGGGTGAAATTTATGGCCAAATGAATCTGGATATAGGGATTAGGCAGGGTGATGGGCTGAACTGGAGCTAGTGGTAGTAAAGTTAGGTTGTGGTTGTCTTGGGGTTAAACATGGATAGACCTTGGGTAGAGTAGGGTTGGAGTTTGGAGTTAAGATGGAAACAGAGTTTAGGCTCAATTTGAACAAAAGTGTGAGTGATCAGAACTTGGGATTGGTCTGTAGTTGTGTGGAACTTGAATCTGTGTTAGGCTTAAATGGAGCCACGTAATCAGGTAGATCGGGGTCTATTAAAATTTATTCTGTTCCCTCCTCCAAATGAAAATATCCAGAGGCCTTTCTCCATAACTTCCCAAATTCCTTGGGTGAGAACTTCATAGGCACTGAATGGTTCAAATGTTAGAATTTGGAAGTTGGCTAGAGGAAGAAAAAGGCTGGTATGATCAGAGAGGGCACCTCTTGAAGCTGAGCATTTCCACAAGAATACCCTGAGAGTAGTTTCTCACATCCCTCCACTATTTCAAAGTCAACACAATCATCTTTCTGTCCTTCTCGTCTCCCTCATCCAGACTCTCTTTTTTCTTGCGCTGCTCCTCAATTCTCTCTACATATGGGAACTAATCACTGCCAGTGTTTTTGTTTTCTTTTTAAAAAATATCCCACCAACACTGTTATACCCTGTAGATTGTTTTGTGAAGAAGACGAAGATGGGGAAACTGAGCCTCAGAAAGGAAAGTGACCTTCACACAGGCATTCAGTGGGTCACACACAATGGTGAAATTCAAAAGAAGATTTCTTCTGACTATCAGACTGAGCAATGAGGAAATATTAGAAGTGAAAATAAATTGATGTTGGCGATACAAAGTCTGATGGCGATACAAAGTATTACCCAAAAAACCGTGGTAATAAGGAACTTAAAAAAGGTACTGACATTTGCTTTGGGTGATGCAGCCGTGTGTCTCTGTCCGGATGGAAAGAGTGAGAGAGAGAGAGAGACTACCTTCCTGCACCTCTCTCTGTGTCAGCATTTTGCCCATTGCTCTGGTGGATTCTGAGAGAGTTTTGAGTATTTCGTAGTGGTCTTCCTATTCAGGGCGATTGGGAGAGGGCAATCCCTTCAGACTGGGGCGGAATTAGATCAGGTTTGAGTTTCATTCTGAGGAGGGCTCCCTGCAGCACTTATTCTCCCTATCTATGTGAGGCCTGCTGAGAAGGCATGCCAGGCAGCAGGGAGGAGTCCCCTGTCTGTTTGGATGTGGGAGGGGACATACAGGGGCACTGTGATTCAAATGCAGCAAGGACTGTAAAAGTTTTTGGTAGTTTTCTGGGATCTACCAGGAGGCCAGCAGATGTAGCTACTGTTTTGGGTTTCTGTGGGAGGCCATATACTAGCCTGACACAAAGGCATTCCTTCTTTCCAAAACTTCAGCGAAGAAAAAAAATATCCTTTTTTTGCTGCCATCCTGATCCAAAGAAAATAGAAGAAATAATTTTTAGTTTATTCAAATACTTATAAACAAGGGATGACTTTGAGCATTGTTTATATATTGGAATTATTTTTAGTTTATTTAGGTACTGAAGAATTTATTATACCTGGCCCTTCATAGAAGGATAAGCATGAAATGAGTGCTAATAAATAAATGTATTGTCAAGGGGAGCATCACTGTGGAGGAATTTCAATAGACTAAAATGCTGAGAACTTATGGTGACAGCTGTGGAGGAATTCACTTACTCCATTTCTTTTATGAAAACGGGTGCACTTGAAATTTTATGTATATATAACCTGAGTCTTCATGTGAGCACTGTATTGAAAATTATATTGAAAACATTGATAAGTTTGAGTATGTAAAAATATAAGAATTTCTGTCCATCAAAAGATACCCAAAAGAAAGTAAAAAGGTAAGCTACAAACTGTAAGGAACATAAATGTTCTTTGACAGGCAAATAGATAAATAAATTGTGATATATTCAAAGAATGAGCTACATATCAGGGAAAAGAAGTAAAATTCAGCTACACACAATAGTTGAATTTTAATAATAATAATATATTATGGATTGTAAAAGACAAATCTTAGAAGACTATGCATACCAAAGAAGACTTTGTTACCTCTTTTAAAAATAAAACTATTTTTTTCCCAGTTTTATTTTTCTCCCCAAAATTAAACTTTAAACAATAAAAATTACCATTATGCTACTTAGAAATACAAATAAATATGTTAAATTCTTGGGGAGTGGATAAGGAAAGGCAGGATGTGTGGGATTTTAGAGGAATACAGGAGTATTTAAATTTAAGTTATTGATGCTATTTTAGCTCTTGTATTTGTGAAGGACTCGTTATTTTTAAAATAAATGAATAAAAACATTACAATAAATAAACATTAAAGAGGGCTATAAAGATGCCAAAAATTTTGTATGGACCAAGATAATGGTATGCACCTCTGGTATATTAGAAAGGAAAAAAAAAACACACAAAAAAAACCCCCCACAAAAACCTATAGAACAATGGATATCGCAGCTGCAACTGGCATTATCTAGAAAGGAGTCAGCCTTCTCCAGCTGTTTCACTATATGTAGAGATGGTGTGGTACAATGGATATAGTTGAGGGTTTGGGATATGAATGTTGGCTTTATTACTTACTATTTAGAGAGACTTTGCTGGAAATTTGTAAGCACAAAACCAGAAAACAGCTATGAAGAATTAACTACTTAAATTTAATTACTTCTCTATGGCAAAATGTACCATACACAAATTAAAAGGTAAGTCCAACACTGGGAAAATATTTTATTACTTCTTTAGTTCAAAGATTTCTCTGGTGGGGCATGAGATAATCTTATGGGCAGTAAAGTACTTACCTGAAGGAGATTATAAAGTGACACTGTCTAATTTATAAGAGGATAAAGAAACCTAAGTTTGAAAAAAACTCAAGTTGCACATAACCTTGAGGTTCAGACATATTTAGACTTGTTTAGAAAAAGCAAAAGAGAAGATACTGGTCAAATAGCAACCAAATTTCAAGAATAGGCAGAAAGAATCTTCTTTCCCTAGTAGCCATGCTGAGCAACAAAGCTTAACATTGGGCTTAAGCATTTGCCTTGAACTCCATGGCAGAGTGAGTACTTTTCTGCTGAAAACATCTCTAAAATGGATATTTTTCATATTTTCTTAAATGATTTCATAAGCTTGCAAAAATTAAATAATATGGAACCAAGAAATTGAATTGAGAAGGGAGTCCTTTTAGGAAAAGAAACACTGAAACAGTTTCCACCTTGAGGGTATTTCCTGAACCATATGAACTTGAGTTATGCTTTTCATGGCCTTATGGAACTGAGAAATGGAAATTACTATCCAGAGTACCAGTGGTAAAAAACCTAATAAGAGACTCCTGCATCAATATGGGACTTCAAAGAATTGCGTCTTTACAATAACAGTGAGCTGGAAACAATCCCTACTCCCCAGTTGGATTGCAAGGAAAATGAACTGTTTTTAATTTAGTTAATGAGAAGATTGGGTGTGTGTGTGCAAGGGAGTCTCCTCTGAGATTTTGTAATCCCAAGCAGGCCCTCACTTAGTATATAGCCTGAATCATGGCACTCTGATGATATGAAAAATCTAAAGCTGAGAATCTAATTTACACAGGCCCAGACTGGTAATGCCCTTAGTTGCCTGACAGAAGTAAACATAAATATTCTCTGAAGAACTCATCTTAATCCTAGACCTCTTTAAAAAAGTTTAAAGAAAATGATCAGTTCGCAGACAAAAATCACAAAACTCTCAAGAAAATAAAGCATTATGAATGAGAAGCAGCAGAAAGAATAAATAGTAAACTCAAACCTGGAACAATTCAGATATTGAAGTTGTCAGTCACAGAATAGAAAGTAATTATCTTTATGGCTGGGCACATTGGCTCACGTCTGTAATCCCACACTTTGGGAGGGCAAGGTGGGCAGATCACCTGAGACTGGGAGTTCAAGACTAGCCTGGCCAACATGGTGAAACCCCCTCTCTGCTAAAAAAAAAAAATTAGCCAGGCGTGGTGGCATGTCCCCGTGATCCCATCCACTCGGGAGGCTGAGGCAGGAGAATCGCTTGAACCCAGAAGCCAGAGGTTGCAGTGAGATGAGATTGGGCCAGCCTGGGTGACAAAGCATTCCAGCCTGGGTGACAAAGCAAGACTCCATCTCAAAAAAAAAAAAAAAAAAGAAAAAATAATCATCTTTAATATGTTTCAAGAAAAAATCAAGACTTGAAATTATAAATAAAAAGCAAGCAGATCTTGGCCAAGTGCAGTGGCTCATGCCTGTAATCGCAGCACTTTAGGAGGTCGAGGCGGGTGGGTTGCCTGAGCTCAGGAGTTTGTGACCACCTGGGGCAAGATGATGAAACCCTGTCTCTACCAAAATACAAAAAATTAGCTGGATGTGGTGGTGCACACCTATAGTCTTAGCTACTGAGGGGGCTGAGGTGGGAGGATTGCTTGAGCCAGGGAGGTGGAGGTTGCAGTGAGCTGAGATCATGCCACTGCACTCCAGCCTGACTGACAGAGTGAGACCCCATCACAAAAAAAAAAAAAAAGGAAGCAGATCTGAAAAATAAATAGAAATAACTTGAAATAACGTGAAAATAAAAACTTGGATTTAACATTACATTAGACATAGCTGAAGAGAGAATTAGTGAATTAAGAGATTATTCAGAAGAAATTATTCAGAATTTAGTGCAGATAGACAAAAAGATTAAAAAAATAAAAGGGAGGTTAAGAGACATAGAAAATATAGTGAGAAGTCCTAAACATGTTTATTTGGAATTCTAGAAGGAAAGAGGAGAGAAAATGGGAGCAGAAGTAATAGTACCAGTTAACATGACTGAGAACTTGTGAACTGATGAAAAACACCAATCTTTCAGACTCAAAAAAAACCCTAATAAATCAAAACCAGGGTAAATATGAAAAATGCACATGTAGATAGAACACAGGGAAAATGTAGAATAATGAAAACAAGGAGAAGATCTGAAACCAGCTAGAGAAAAAGGTCCTATTACCTGCAAGGGAGCAAATATTAGACTGACAGCAACTTTTTCAGCATCAACAAAGAAAGCATGAAGACAATGATACTATATTTTCAGTGTGCTGAGGAAGAATAACTCTCACATATATTCCTACACCTAATGAAATTGTAATTTAAGAATGAAGATATACTGTAGATATTTTCAGATAAAATCTAGGAGAATTTTCTATAATAGGCTATCACCAAAGGAAATTCTAAGAGAGAAGCTTTAGACAGAAGGTCAATACTTGTAAATATGTGGCAAATTTGCAATCATTCATTGATAAAATAATAACAATAGTATTTTTCTTAACCAAAAACAATAAGATAAAATTAAAATTGCACATAAATTAGGAGATGAGTATTTGGGATTAAAAAAATAAAGTTGAAATGAATAGGAAATACACTAACCCAAAGAAAGCAGTTTAGCTAAATTAATATCACACAAAATAGACTTCCAGGAAAGAAAGCATTATTGAGATAAAAAGTATAACTGCGTAGTGATAAAATGTTCAACTTACTGGGAAGACATGTTTTCCAAACATATTTTTGTACCTTTATTAATACAGCATGGAAATATATGTAAATAAAAATCATCAGAAATAAAGAGGAATGGATGAATCCATAATTAAAGTCGGGGACTTAGAAATCCTCCTCTGAATATAGATGTGGTAATCACCAGTTAGTAGGATTAATCTAATATACAGAACACTGCATCCAAATGATACAAATTGTTCTCAAATAGAGACAAGAACATTTATAAAATATTATCACAGGCTGAGTGATATGGGACATCTTATCACATATCAACATAATGAATAACCTAAGAATATCTGCCTTATTTATTTGCCATTGTTACTTGACAAATTATAATTGTATATATGGAAGCTCTGTCTTTTGATTATATTGTAGGCATTTGTTATGGATAATTTTATATGCTTTTCTTATTGATTCATATGATATATATGACTTTTGGAGTATTGTAAGGAGACCTAAATTTAGGTGGCTAAACAGAATCCAGAAACCTCACAAGCATTAAAATGTAAATATTTTAGTTTTTCCAACTTAAATTGACTAGAACCAATAGCACCGTATTAGCAATGAGCATAAGTGCCCAGATTTTGGTCTGCAAGTCAAGTCTTCACTCAAAGCAACCAGGGCCATTTAGAAAAATGGCTGAACCCTGGTCTAGTGCTGTGGACTTACAGTGTGAGCCCAGGACATTTTCTTGTGCAGAAATCATCAAAGCTTTAAAAAACGAATGGGTCATGTAAAGGGATATATAATCCAGCCAGAGGAAATCTCTACTTGATAAGGTTATAACAATTTGAGCATCAAAAATAGTAACAAATAAAATGGACTGGAATACAATGAATCAATGAAAAGGCATGATTGTCTAAAGATACTCAGAGATGGGATAACCAGAAAAACTCATATGTCACCATTTGAAGCAGCTACTAAGCAAACTACTTACTTCAAAGACCAATAAGTAATTTGAAAGAATTAAGCATTTATCCTGCCTCTCCAGTAAGAGCTGTATTTCTAGTAATCAAATAGCTCTTGTTGATGAGGGAAAGCTATATTTTACTGAATTGTATTCTGCAACGCCTAAAGAATTTATTGATTCAGGCAAGGACCATAATTTGTGTTAAAACCATTAAGGATGTGATTGACATGGAACCAGATATTTGTTACTTGGCAAAAGTAACAACATACAGACCAATTTGAATATGAAAGTGAAAAATCAACACTGTCCAATAAAAAGACCAGACAGTCGTCACTTTAATTCACTTGTGAATCTGAATAGCAAGGGACATCCAGATATTAAATGACTTCTGATGTGATGCAGTATAAAGAACACAGCTTCAGCTCTGATACATTTTTGCCAAGATTATTAGTGTACATCAATAAAGCCATAAGAACTAACTTCCTACGTACAAAATAAATTGGTGAGGAAGCAAAAGGAAACTAGAAAATCAGAAGGTGGATCAGTGTAAAAACAACTGGCTCAATGTTTTCAACAAATCAGTGTGACAAAATGGGGACTGTGCTAGACTGAAAGAGATCAAAGGGATATAAATAAATCACATTCAGTCATTTAAGCATACCAGCTTCACGGAACATTTCTAGCACAATTGGGGAAATTTGAATATAGCCTGGGCGTTAAATATGAACAAAATGCGTTAAAATTGAAAAATGAAGATTATAAATGAAACAAAGCAGATTATGAAACAATGTGTAGTGAGATTTCATTTTAATAAAATCTATGCATAGAAAAAGATCCAGTAATATACAATAAGATGTTAACTGTGGCAATCTCTAGGTAATAGTGATATAGTGTTTTTATTGTTTCATTTTTTGCTTATCTGTATTTTAACATACAATAAAATATACCCCTTTTGTAATAATATTAGTTTAAAAATAAGCTAAGCATTAAATTTTAGATGCTAGAAAAACAGCAAGAGGATATCTAGAGAAACCAAGAGAAATGACATAATAAGTTCAGGCATTTCATTGAGTTTAACCCAATGGACTATAATAACAACGAATACCCTGGAATATAAATAACAGAACTGGAATCTTAATTCTTGCTAAAGATAAATAGATTTTTGATAATCTTATCAAGAAAAAAATGGAAATAATTAAAAACAGTTAAAAAGCTGGAAATAACTATAGACACCACAGAGATTAAGAATAATAAAACTCTATTATGAGGAAATATACATGATACATTTGAAAAATACTTAAAGGAAATACAGCCCATCAAGACTAGCACTGGAAGAAGTGCAAACCTGAGAAGATCAACCAAGCATAAAGACACTGAAATGGTACTGACAGGCCTCCCCCTCCCACTAAGTCTCAGACTCATAAAGTATTAACATTGAGTTCTACTTTGCTTTGCTTAAAATAGTTCAAGTTCTTTTGTCTTGGAATAATTATTATTAATACCCCCTTTATTCTCAAATGTGTCCTAGTTACATAAATTATAGAAGAATTGTATAATACCCTTAGATCTAGCAAACTTTGAAGGAACAGTTAATTCTTGTATTACACAAATTGTTCCAGAAAATAGAGGAAATGTAAAAGCTGCCTAAATGATCTTAGGAGGTCAGTGTTATCTTGACTTCAAAGGCAGGTAAAAACAATAGGAAAGAGAAACAATAGGCTGTAGCTCCTCTGCATATATATGCCAAAATCCCAAATAGAATAGTGAATAATGGAACCTAATACTGTGTTAAAAATATACTTCCTGTATATCAATTAGGATCTATCTGGAAGCCATGAGGATGAATAACAACAGAAACTCTAGCAATGTAAATCTCTAGCCTAATAGAAAAAAGAAGAATTATATGATTCTTAAATGATACATAGAAAATATTTTATAAATTTCAAAAATTAAGTATAATAGAATATTTAGCTAATTAGGAAGAGACGAGCACTATCAAACATGCTAAAGATTACATGCCAAAATTTTGTGGCAAATGTTAGATTTATTCAAGGATCTTTAGGTACAGTCCCTTTAAAATTGGAAAAAAGGCCGGGCGCAGTGGCTCACGCCTGTAATCCCAGCACTTTGGGAGGCCGAAGCGGGCGGATCACGAGGTCAGGAGATCGAGACCATCCTGGCTAACACGGTGAAACCCCGTCTCTACTAAAAATACAAAAATTAGCCGGGCATGGTGGCGGGTGACTGTAGTCCCAGCTACTCGGGAGGCTGAGGCAGGAGAATCGCTTGAACCCAGGAGGCAGAGGTTGCGGTGAGCCGAGATCGTGCCACTGCACTCCAGCCTGGGCAACTGATAGAGCGAGACTCCATCTCAAAAAAAAAAAAAAAAAAAAAAATTGGAAAAAAAACCAAGGACTCTCATTAATAATGCAAATATTTATTACAACAGTGGAGGGAGAGCCTGCCCTTGTTTTTAGGAAAAAATAAGAAATAAATTCAAGGACTAAAAAGTAGGAGCTAGTTCCACAGATTGTGGAAATCGATAAACAAATTCAAAGATTGATAGAAATAAATGGGCAAAGAATAGCCAATATAATTGTGAAGAACAAAGTTAGAGAATTTACATTCCTGGATATTAAGACTTATTATAAAGCCATAGTAATTAGTAAAATGTACTACTGATGCAAAGATAAAGAAACTAAGGAACAAAATAGAGTCTAGAAAGAGATCTAATCATGTATGATTCCATGAGAAAAGTAGAACAGTAGAGTAATGGCAGAAGGATGGTATTTTCAATAAATGGTTATCAGTTGATCTTTCCTTCACACCTAAAATCAGTTCCATGTAGATAATAATAATAATAAAACAATAAAGTTTTTAGAACAAACATAAGAAAGTATGTTTAAGACCTTGGGGTAAGTAAAGATTTCTTAAGACACAGAATGTACCAACTGTAAAGAAAGAGATTGATAAATTAGACTTCATTAAAATTAGGAACATCTGTTGAACAAAAGATGTCATTAAGAGGCAGAAAAGTTAAGCCACAAAATTGTGACAGCTATTTTCAAAACCTATAACCAACAAAGATCTTGTGTCTTGAATACATGAAGAATTTTTACAATTCATTAAGAAAAACTCAGACACGCACTCCAAGAACAAAAAAGCCAAAGTGTTGAACAGAGCATCCGAATGACCCATAAATATATGAAAAAGCTCTTAATTCCACTGGTCATTAAGGAAATACAAATTAAAACTGTAATGAGCTATCATTACACACAGAGATTAGCTAAACTTAATGAAGATTAACAATATCAAGTATCAGTGGGGGTGTATTAAAATGGTACACCACTTTGGGAAGCTATTTGACAGCAGATTAAAAAGCTGATCACATGCATATCTATGACCTCTCAATTTCCCCAATAGAAAGGCCTACATATGTGCATAAAAAGTTACGAACAAGAGTGTTCATAGTAGCATTATTTATAATGACCCCAAACTAGAAAGAACCCAATGCTTATGATCAGTAGTATGGATAAATTAGTTATGGTAATGGAACACTATGCCATAATAAAAATGAGTGAACAATTGCTATCTCCACACAACATGGACAGATCTCAAAACAATGATGAGTCAAACTTTCTGGAGACTGTAACTTTAATAGTAGAGTTACAGTCTATTCAGTCACTGATGCTTTTCTCACAGGTAAAGCACGTATCCAGGTGTGTTGCTCCTTCCTGTGATAGTGATGTGAGTTACCAGCAACACTTGGTAGTGTCCTTCTCAGCACTATGATAATCTAGCCTGCCATTGGGTAAGTTCAGTGTAGATTGTCTCCTAGTCTGTATTAGCAACATACCGTTTCAGGGGGATTCTTCCATCTTTTGGCCACACGATGGCGTAATAAGCCTAGGGAAATGAGAAAACTCTGTGATTTCCTTCGTATAAAGTAACAGGCTAGGCTTCACTGCTAAACACATAGCGCTTCCAAACATTAACTCAAAAGGAGAAATATCATGCTTGCTACAGGGAGTTAACCTTAAGTTTCATAGAACAAATACTAAGGCTCTGAGTCACTGTAAGCCAGTGGCTTCATTTAATTTAGCCAAATGGTTTTTTTTTCTTTTTTCTTTTCTCGTTTCTTTCTTTCTTTTTTTTTTTTTTTTTGAGACGGAGTCTCCCTCTGCTGGCCAGGCTGGAGTGCAGTGGCGCGATCTTGGCTCACTGCAACAACCTCTGCCTCCTGGGTTCAAGCGATCCTCCTGCCTCAGCCTCCCAAGTAGCTGGGATTACAGGCGCTCTCCACCATGCCCAGCTAATTTTTGTATTTTTTGTAGAGACGGGGTTTCGCCATGTTGGCCAGGCTGGTCTCAAACTCTTGGGCTCAAGTGATCTGTCCACCTCGGCCTCCCAAAGTGCTGGGATTACAGGTGTGAGCCACTGCACCTGGCATAGTTTAGCCAAATAATTCCTTAGAGTAAGTTTCATTTGTTCCATTTGTCCAGAAAACTGGGGATGATAGGAAGTATAAATTATTGGTATTTGTAGGGTTTTACTGAGCCCCTGATTTGCCACAGGGAGAATGATTTTCCATGTCAGATTCTCTATGTTCAGGAATTCCGAAGACTGGGATGTCATAATTTAGTAAGGCCTTGATCACTATTTGAGCACTTCCTTGAGCCAAAGCAAATACTTCTGTCCATCCAGGCATCATACTAAAGAGTATTTCTTAGCTTGTGATGACCGAAGCTCTATAATATTCATTTGCCACCGGGTCCTGGGAACTTTGGCCTGAGTGGGCTTCCTTGGCTTACTGTAGGTATTCCCTGTAAAGAAATTTTCTGACAGACAGCACATGCTCGTATTATTTACCGAATTATTTGACCTTATTACAGGAGTGGTAAGATTCCAAGATTTTCAGTATATTCCTTTTGTTTAAGTGATATTGCTGGTTGGATGGCATGAAAAACCAGTACAGGAATATCTCATTGGGTAATTCTCATATTTTCTGTGGTGCTCTTTTTAGCTTTCCTTGATGTCTAATTTTCTAACTTGGGGGGAGTCTCATATTACTGAAACCATGAATAGGACTCCCCATAGATGTGATGGGACTTCAATTTCCTCAGTCCAAATCTTAGTAGCTATTTTCATGCAAATTTATTTAGATAATTCATCTTATCTATGAGTTCTACAATGAACATAAATCTGTTGGGGAAATTGCAATGACTCTAACAAATCAACAGTCCATTTATGTGTGATATTTTGTTCTCATTAATGTTAGAAAGACTCTGTTCTTCCAAATTTGGTCTGTAGCATGACATGCCCCAAACACATATTTACTATCAGTATAGATATTGACTATATCTATGTAAAGATATGGCTAATTTAAAAGTTCATGTAATAGCTGAGTACTACTGCTTGCCTGCTTTTATGTTTGTTAGAACATCAACCTCTAACGCCTCATGAAGACAGATTGCCATCAGTGAGGTGGTGACCTGGAAGTACACCATCGACATTCACAAGTGCATCCATGGAGTGAACTTTAAAAAGTGTGTCCCTCATGGATGAAGCTGGAAACCATCAAACTGAGCAAACTATCGCAAGGACAGAAAACCAAACACCGCATGTTCTCACTCCTAGGTGGGAATTGAACAATGAGAACACTTGGACACAGGGTGGGGAACATCACACACTGGGGCCTGTCGTGGGGTGGGGGGAGGGGGGAGGGATAGCATTAGGAGATATACCTAATGTAAATGACGAGTTAATGGGTGCAGCACACCAACATGACACATGTATACATATGTAACAAACCTGCACGTTGTACACATGTACCCTAGAACTTAAAGTATAATTAAAAAAATTTTTTTTAAAGTGTGCCCCTCAGGCACTCAATGAGATCCAGAAATTTTCCATGAAGAGATGGGGTCTCCAAATGTGAGGATTGATATCAGGTTCAACAAAGCTGTTTGGGCTTAAGGAATAAAGAATGTCCTATACCATATCCATGTACAGTTGTCCAGAAAATGTAATGAGGATGAAGATTCACCAAACAAGCTCTATACTTTGGTTACCTGCGTACCTGTTACCACTTTCAAAAATCTACAGAAAGTCAATGTGGATAAGAACTGTTGATCATCAAATACACCAAATAAAGTTATAAAACAACCTTCTGAAAAAAAATTCAAGGTCAAGTAGCAAATGCTGATGTAGATGCTGCAGCGAGTTATCCAGGAGATCTAGCTAAGATTATTGATGAGGGTGTCTACACTAAGCAACAGATTTTCAATGTAAACAAAATAGCCTTCTATTGTAAGAAGGTGCCATCTAGCACTTTCATAGCTAGAGAAGAGAAGTCAATGCCTGGCTTAAAAGCTTTGAGAGACAGGCTGACTCTCTTGCTAGGGGCTTATGCAGCTGGTGACTTAAAGTTGAGACTAATGTTCTTTTACCATTTCAAAGATCCTAGGGTCCTTAAGAATTATGCTAAAGCTATAGCTTGTGTTCCAAAAATGGAACAACAAAGTCTGGATGACAGCACATTTGTTTACAGCATGGTTTAGTGAATATTTTAAGCCCACTGTTGAGACCTACTGCCGAGAAAAAAATTTCTCTCAAAATATCACTGATCATTGGCAATGTACCTAGTACCCAAGACCTCTGATGAAGATGTAAAAGGAGATTAACGTTGGTTTTATGCTGGCTAACACAATAATCACTTACAGCCCATGGATCAAGGAATAATTTTGACTTTCGGGTCTTATTATTTAAGAAATGCATTTCATAAGGCTATGGCTGCCATAGATACTGATTTCTCAAGACCAATTAGCCAAGACTCATTATACTCAAGCTATCAAAAATCAGGGAGAAAAAAATTCTGAAAAAAGCAAGAGAAAAGAAGCATATCGCATACAAGAAAGACTCAATACAGCTGTCAGTCAATTTCTCCACTGAAGCCTCACAGGTCAGGAGAGTGAGATGATATATTCAAAATGCTGAAGGAAAAAAGCTTCCAAACAAAAGTATTTTACTGAGCAAGTCCTTGCTTCTGAAATGAAGAAAAGATAAAGACTTTCACAGACAAACAAAATCTGAGAGAGTTCATTTCTACCAGGCCAGTCTATCAAGGAATGCTAAAGAAAATATTTCAAGCTGAAAGGAAAGGATGTTAATAACTAAAATGAAAACAGGTGCAAGTATGAAACTCACTGGTAAAAGTAAGTACACAGTTAAATTCAGAATACTCTAATACTGTAAAGATGATAAGTCACTAATATATTGAGTATAAAACAAAATACAAAACTATTAATAATAAGTTACAATAATCTGATAAGGGATACACACAATATAAACAGTAAATTGTGACATCAGAAACATAAATTATCAGGAGAGATACAATAAAAATGTAGAATCATATTTTGCAACCAAAGTTAAGTGGTTATCAGCTTTAAACAGCCGGTTATAACAACATATGTTTTGTGTAACCCTTATAGTAATCACAAAGCAAAAACTGACAGTAGATACACAAAGGATAAGAAGAAAGGAATCAAAGCATTCTAATATAGAAAATAATCTAATCACAAAGGAAGATAGCAAAAGAGGAAGAAAGGAACAAAGGATGTATAAAATAACCAGAAAAGAATGAACAAAATGGCAAAAGTAAATCCTTACCTATCAATACTTACTTTGAATGTAAATGGATTCAGTTTGCCAATTGAAGGAGTGGCTGAATTGATTTTTTTAAATGACTCAACTGTATTTTGCTTACAAGAGACTCATTTCAGTTTTAAGGAAACACATAGGCTGAAAGTTAAGTGATGGAAAAAGATGTTCCATGGAAAAAGAAACCAGAAAAGAGCAGGAACAGCTTTTCTTACAACAGAAAAAATAGACTTTAGGTAAAAAACCACAAAGTGAGACAAAGAAGGTCATTATATAATAATAAAGGGATCAATTAATTGAGAGATCAGCATGTCCATCACCTCAAATATTTATTATTTATTTGTGATGAGGTCATTTAAAAATCTTTCTTTTAGCTCTTTACATTATTATTAACTATAGATACTGGAGTACTATTCAGCCTTTAAAAAACAGAAAATTCTGTTATTTGCAATCATATGAATGAACCTAGAAGACACTATGTGAAGTGAAATAAAGCAGGCACAGAGAGACACATACCATATGATCTCACTTAGATGTGGAATCTAAAAAAATTGAACTCATAGACGTAGAGATTAGCATGGTTGTTACCAGAGCCTCGAGGGAGGGTGGATGGGGAAAGGGGAGACATTGGTCAATGGGTACAAACTTTCGGTTAGATAGGAGGAATAAGTTCTGGTGTTCTGTGGGCACAGCATGGTGACTACAGTTAAAAATAATTATTTATTTCTTTTTTTACAATTATACTTTAAGTGCTGGGGTACATGTGCAGAACGTGCAGGTTTGTTACATAGGTATACACGTGCCTCACATAGGTATACACGTGCTTATTTCTTATCTAATTGTTTATAAGTTTTTTCAAGTTTGCTTGCTTGCTTGGTTGATTCATTCATTCAAATTCGTTTCACACAAAATGCCAACTGGCTCTAATTTGTCTTTATTTCTTAATGGGAAGAAAGGCCCACACAGACATGAGCACTGCTGGCAAGTCTCCCACGCTTACACAGAGTATCCAGCTCAGATAAGTGATACATGTTGTCCTTCTTCCTGCCTGACATCAGGTATCTCCCATCCCTTTTAGTTCACTGCACAGAACCCTGACGCATTTCCAAAACTAATAAAGGCGGGCTACTGCTCTGCTACAGTGATCTCTGTTTGGTCACCTGCAACACAGCCCTTCATTCTGGTGGAACATGTCAGTCATGAAGCCCTGTTTAATGACCATTGCCATCCTTATGATCCTGGCTCAAAAGACTCCAGGTAACTCAGGCCTCTCTCAAAGGTTCTGGCGTCTTGCATGTGGTACTGGTATCTTGGTGACCTCTGCAGTGACTCCTACTCACATATAGTGGGCAACACCTAAAGCCTTTTCTGGTCTCAGGTGGGTCACAGATGTTATTCCCAAGGTTAATTTCATGTAAAGATCTCCCCTGGTTCTGCTCTGCCAAGACAAATTGAAGAGGTTGTTGATCCTGGCATAGTGGACAGTCTAAGCATGGAACATTTTAGGTAGTGCTGTCATTGGGATGGGGGCTTAATTCATGAGTTAGGTGTGAGAGACTGTGTGCAAGTTGAGGAGCTATAGGAGGGGTATAGCAGTTTGGAGTTGGGTAGGGAGTTGAGGTGGGGAGGTTGTAAGACCTTAGAGATAGGGTAATATCCAAAAAGTGAGTGGGGATGAGCATGGGGTGAATAATTGTATTTATAGGTTGGGCTGAATAGATGTTTTGGTGCATTCTAGAGAGGAAATGGTATTTTTTCTTGAATGGAGCTGGGGTAGAGTTGGTGCAACTGGGAGTTGGGGTATAGAGAGGTTTGTAGCTGGGTTGTGTTTTAGATTGATGCTGTGAATGGGGTTGGGTGGCTTGGATAGTGTTATGTTTGTATGTTTTGCAGTTGGGCTTTTGGTGGTTATTAGAAGAGGTAGGGCTTGAGTTGTAGTTAGTGTTTGCCTAAAGTGGGTATCTTATTCAGTCATGGGTATGTGAGGTTTATCTGGGCAGGGATTGACTTAGCCTGGGTTTGGGGGTGATTAAGCTTGAGTAAGACAGTTGAATTCATCACAGCAGGGTTGTGGCTATTGAAATAAGGAGAATATTGACTCCTTCTCAGATATATGATTTGCAAATATTTTCTCCCATTCCATAGGTTGTTTCTTCATTTTGTAGACTGTTTCCTTTGCTGTGCAGAAACTTTCTAGATTGCTGCAATCCCCTTGTTTATTTTTGCTTTTGTTGCCTGTGCTTTGGTGTCATATCCAGAAAATCCTTCCCAAGGCCAACGTCAAGAAGCTTTTTCTCTATGTTTTCTCCTAGGAGTTTTATAGTTTCAGGTCTTAGATTTAAGTCTTTAATCCATTTTGAATTTGTTTTTGTGTATGGTGTAAGATAAATATCCAATTTTATTATTTTGCATCTAGATACCTAGTTTTCCCAATACATTTATTGAAGAGACTATACTGTCATGAATATGTCCTAGAAATCTACTGTACAACACAGTTCCTATAGTTAACGGTACTGTGTTGGATATTTCAAAAATTACCAAGGGAGTGGATTTTATGTTAAGTGTTCTTAAAATAAGATTTGATGTACCAAAAATAATAAATAAGATGGTGGGAGAAAACTTTTAGGCGTGGATAGGTTTATGGCATAGATTGTGATGATGGTTTCATGGGTGTAATGTATGCTTATCTCCAAACTCATCAAAATGTATAAATTAAATATGTATAGCTTTTTGTGTGCCAATTGTACTTCAACAAAGTGATTTAAATAAGGAAATGGGGAGAATAAACACTGGATGAAAAATATCCAGTATTATTTTCAAATTCTGAAGAAAGTTTCTTAAGTGTGATTTTCAAGGGCACTGAAGAACAATAGATGTGACTGTAGATGGCTGAGATAGAGGAAGTCAGGAGACTGGAATGTTTGGAATTGTCTCCTGTCAAATCTTGGCATGTACAGAGAGATATGGGAGCAGTCTCAGCCCACCCTATAGAAAACCAAGATTGTTCTTCCTTCCTCGATAGTGAGTTCAGATTCATCTGATCTAGAGGTTTCTCCTCCTCTTCCTCTTTCTTCTCTGTTTTTCTTCTTCTTTTCCTCCTCTCTTTTCTCATATTCCTTCTATTTCACATTCTCATGCCTCCTTATTTCTCAGCTTCTTTTATTCCTTTGCTCAAGAGACATTTGTTCTCATGCTCAGTAAAGCTCAGTTCTCATTTCTAATGGTGGTAGAAAACACAAGTGGGTTTGCAAGAAACACAAACAACAACAAAAATGAAGACAGCACTCTATGCTTCAAGAGTTGTACATAGTGTAGCTTCCTTAATAATTATTGAGTACTTTTACTTGGCAGAATTTATGAGCAGGAACAGTTCTGGACAACATTTTCTATTAGGACAATCCAAACAAATTTTTCCTTTTATCCTCCCAAATGTATGCATATGAAATTAAACTGTTTGAAAGCCAAGACTTTGTCTTTTAAATCTACACATTTCTGATGTTGAGCTGAGTGTGTTGAATAGAGTAGGCTTTAGCAAATACTTATTGAATGAATGAATATGTAATGAATCATGGCTAATAAACATATATGAGTAGAAATAACCTTAGAGATTGGATGGGAGAGGATCATGTTTGGTTGCACAGCAGGCAGAGAAATAATATATCACATTGATTTTGGCTTGGGATGGAATTTTTAAAAAGGTCCAGAGGATACCTTTTGTTTTTTGACTTAAGACAGTTTAATTTGCTTTCAATACACTTCCAATGTGGAAAAATGAGCTGGGCAATGTCTATAGCTGAATGTGAGAAGGCTAGGCAGAATCGTGGCTTTCACTGCAAACAGGAGCCCATTAGTATTTTCTGGGGAACTCTTGCAAAGCACCCTTGCTCTGGCCTCTCCTTAGATATACTGAATCAGAAATTCTAGAGACTTAGTATGAATATACGTAAAAATATGCCAGGTTATTATGAAGTATGACATCTTATTAACCTCTTTTTTACACAAACACAGTGGAGACTTTCTAATTTGGTGCAAAGTCTCCCATTCCCATTTTCTGACATGGAGAGACTGGGTCCAGAGGGTTAAAATATAGCATGGTGCAGAGGGCCAGAGACTATGCTGAAATGCAAAAGCTGGTCCTCTGACTTCAATCGGAAGATGGAGAGATTATCAAAGTTAACATTAATTTGATGTGGATGTCAAAATTTGGGGCAATGCAGGGCAATCTAAGGTTAGAAAAGCTGTAGGAGTAAGAAACTGTAACTATCTATGACAAAATCTTTATTTTTATTTAAAAAATTTATTTAAATCACTGTAGGCAGAATCCTCTTGGGGTGGCCTTGACCAACTTTCTAAGGCAGCTTGCCCATTGCTCATTCTTGGTATCTGTGTTTCTATCCATCCCTCCAGTGACTGCAGACAGGAAATCTTGGGTCTCCAACTGCCCTCCAGTGTGTTTGGTAGAAAGGAAAAGTCCTAGAGGTCAGGTGTTAGCCAGAACAGTATGGATATCACTTGGGGGAGGCCCTTTGCAATCTTCTTCTCCCATAAGTATAATGGTGCTGAGAGAGAGAGAGAGTGTGCAGGTCCCATGATAAGGGTGAAGATTAAGGTGGGAAACACAGTGATATCATTGTGCTGGAGCATGGATGAATCAGTATCATTTTCAACCTCCTTTCTCTGGTTGACCAGCAGGCTGGTTGATGTTGGAGCAGTTGAAATCCCTCTCTGGATTCCTGGGGCAGTTTATACACACTCCAGTACCCAAATGTTATGGGACATCTGCCGTGGAGGCATTTCCCTCTTCTTTATTTCTCTTCCCGTTCTCCAACTTCACCTAAAATTGGGCATTTTACTTTCTCTAATCTAAAAATTAGCAAAGTATTCATTTTTTCCATGCAAGAAATAACATTATACTTGCTTTGTCCCATTTTCGTTAATGTTAATAGTGAATAAATTTGATTAATTGGAGACCTCTATCTATTTAGCACTGAGTCCATGGCCTGACACAGAGTGTTCATAAATGGGTGTGGAATGAGGGAGTGGGGGGATGGTTGAAAAGGTCCTTGAATGCCAAGCTAAGGATTTTGAACTCGGTTGAAATCTGTAGAAGGCCCTGTGTGTGTAGACATGATGCAGGATGATGCCGTCTTCTCTGTGCCTATCACAGAGAGGCAATGTGACACAGAGAGAAAAGAGCATAGGCTTGATGTCATGTAGACCAGAAATTGAATACTGGCTTGATCAAGTATAAGCTATGAGAATGCAGACAAAACAAAGCATCTCTTTGAGCCTCAGTGTCTTCATCTAAAGAGTGAAGATAACAGCAGGTTTTTATGAGGTTCAGTGAGCTATCATTTGTAAAATGCCTGTACATAGTTGATGCTGGACCATACCACAGTACATGGTAGTGATTGTTAATATTTCTTTCTAATTGCTCCTTTGTCTGTAGAACATCAAATAGGTAAGTAATACCATTGATGACTAATATTTATAGAATGCTGATTAAGTGTCAGGAACTTTGTCACTGGGGTATTTTCAGGCAAAGAGCTTATGTTCACTCATGTACACACCTGGATGACTTATACATAGCTATCAAGGTGCAATTAGCAATATGTGGAAAGTGCATGGTGAAGGTTTGTACAGTGAGCACATGTGCTCAATTTATGTGAGAATGTGGATCTGTGAATAAAGTGGGTTGTATACATGGGTCTGTGTATATGCCAGTATGCTGCCTGTGTATGCACAGTACCTGTTTCTGTAAGGCCAATGTACAAAGAGAGACAGTTGTAGTACTTGTTTGCTCCTATGTTTCAGAGGATAAAGGCATGCATGCACATAGGCTCAAATATTTGTGTGCTATCTGAGAGTAGATCCTGGCTGCCTCTGATTAGCTGTGTGTGAGGGTCACAGATCTCTGTAGGCACTTGGGGACATATGTGCTCACAGTGGCATACCTTGAAACCTCATACTCTCAGGAGAAGACTTTCATATCAACTACATCATCTAATATTCAATTACTTGTTATGTGCCAGATGCTTTTTTGAAAATACTACATACATGAACCTAGTCATTACTAAAACCTTAGGAACTTGGCTCTATTATTTTGCCTGTTGTGAAGATGATGCAATGGAGGACTGGAGAGCTGAAGTAACTTGCTTGAGGAGGGAGAGATGGTAAATGGCAGAGCCCAGATTTGAATCTAGGTAGTTTTGATTCCAGATCTTGTGCCCTTAATAGTCTTAGGGCGTGTTCCTTTAAATCATGCTTCATCACCCTATTATCACTGCTGCATGGAAACTAAACATGGCCATGTCTTTCCCAGGTGGCCTGTTCAGATCCCACAATGGCAAGAGCCGAGAGCCTTGGAATCCATGTGAGCTTTACCAAGGCATGTGCAGAAACGCCTGCAGAGAATATGAAATCCAATACTTAACCTGCCCAAATGATCAAAAGTGCTGCCTGAAACTTTCTGTGAAAATAACCAGTTCTAAAAATGTGAAGGAGGATTACGACTCTAACTCCAACTTGTCAGTTACAAACAGTTCAAGCTACTCTCACATTTGAATATCACCAACGTCTCCTCTGTAGTAATTTCTCCTCCATTCTGGAATGCTTTCCCTATAAAAAATGCATTCCTTTTTGTGGTGTGTCTTTCATCTGTGGGTAGTCATCATTGGTCTGGAGAGATTAAGCTGAGAGCTGTGAAGCTATGGAGTATAGGAATGGCCACTGGCCAATAAAGCCAATAAGATGTTGGCATCACTTAGTACAGGTGTGCCTAGAAAGGAGAAGGTCACCTTTCTGTTCTGTTTTGATACCATTCTGGTGACTGCAAAGGGAAGATGACAATTGTATTGAGTTTGGATGCTCCTGTGAACATGTAGAGGGATCAGGTCCTCCAAGTAAACGTTGTAGGCTAAGGAAAGAGACAATAGAGCTGCCTTTGATATCCAGAGAACTAACCTGGTATGTTTGCCATAATGATGAGTCCCCAGGAAGAACCAGAACAAGACAGAGGGATGAAAGTGAGTATAGAAATTTGTTAGACAAACTAGGGTAAAACTTTCTAAGTGGAAAGCAGAATAAACAGCCTTGTCATTGGGCATTCTTCCTGCTTTGAGGCTAGAGGACCATTTCTGGATGTGGGACAGAGGTAATGGTGGTTATGGTGCTAGAAAGCGATTTTGCACAGAGGCTGGACACTGTGCTTGATGTCCATACATTCCTGAGAATTGAGGAATATTGTCCTCCAAGTTCAAACTTAGTTCGCAACTAGTACTTGAAATGCTAAGAAATGTTCATTGTGTTATATATACTCCTCTTCTATGGCTAATGTCTAATTTCTCCCCCTGTTTGGATCCAGACTTCTAGAACTAGTGTTCCCAACTAAGTTCTCCAAAGTCTAGAGTCCCAATTTTACCTCAACTAAGAGAAATCTGCTTTTTGTGCCATCACTCCACTGAAATGGCCTTGCTTTTGGTTGCCAGTGTCTTTCTTGTTGAAAAATGTAAGCATTCTTTACATTTTACCATTTGCTTTGCCTTTAGCCAGAGTTTTACAACATTTCTCAATCCTTTGAAACACCCCCCTGCTTTTTTTTTTTTTTTTTTTTTGCCTTGGCTTCTGGTCTCTGCATGTTCTTTCTTAGTCATATTAGTCATATTTGGAGTTTCTTCTTCTGCCATCTGCCCTGTAATATTTCTTTGTCATTTTCACTACTTTTTCTATTTTTTTTATATACTTTGCTGGCATTTGCTCACTGTTTCTTAGATCAATGACAATCCCAGCCTAAACCAATGGATCCAAGGCCATGCACTAAATGACTAATTTATATGTGTGACTTTTAATTTGCATGAAGCTTAAAAGCCTGGTATGAAAGTTAAATGTTTATATACTAGAGATTTTCATTGACATTTAGACATGTTTGTTAGCAGAGGGTGGGGTTTTGACAGAAGCCAGGTTTCAAGGAGGAATGCATAAATTTGCTGGCCTACGTAGCATGACAAGGAAACAAATTTTACAGGAGGCTGAGGCATGAGAATCACTTGAACCTGGGAGGTGGAGGTTGCAGTGAGCTGAGATGGTGCCACTGTACTCCAGCCTGGGTGATGGAGTGAGACTCTGTCTCAAAAAAAAGAAAAAAAAAGAAAAAAAATTTAAAATTTGGAAGAAAGTATTGGCCTTGGATTCAGTAGCATAGTTGAGATATAATGTTTCCAGACTTTCTACTTTGGAAGTATTTGGAGAAGAAAAATTGTTGTGAATTTCAGGTTTAAGGTATAGATTGCTATTTCCCTGCCTCCACGTGTATTGAGAAAGAAACACGAATATGAAGTCAGCAGGATTTTTCTCTTGTTCTGTGACTTACATATCGAATTACATATTTGTTCTAATCTCTTGGATTACTCAGCCATTTCAGGCTCAAGATGTCCCAAAAATTAACTCCAAATCTGTTTACCCAGCTTTTCTGTCATCTTCCTATCCTCAGTAATTAGCACCCACAACTTTTCTTTCTGAAAAGCAGTTCTTATAAATGGCAAACACTTATTTAAAACTTTTGAGTCTGGTCATTCTTGTGGAACAATTTGGCATTGTTTGTAAGATCCTAGGAAGAATGGAGGTGGAATATAGGATGTGGGCTGAATTCACACATGACTGTACTTTCAGATTTTTCTCCATATCTGCTGCCCAAAGATACCATTGCTCCCAACTTGAGCTCAGAAATGCTTTGTATTTTCCAGTAGAGACTATCGGATGAGTCTGACCATATTTTTTGCTTGTCTGTTAACCCTTACCATGTGTACCTGAGAAAAATCAGATTACTCTTTTAGGTTAGACCCCACAGAGTGGGGTCCTCAGTTGAATGACCAAGAAGAAATTCCATTTCTGTTTAGCTTATATTAAACTACTGTGGTATTACTCGATATAATTTGGAATTGGTGACCAGAAATTACCCCCCCAACTAGTGGGCTTTTTTCCTGCTTTGTCCTGAGGACAGGATGTCCCAAAATATCTAAGAGAAAAATCTGGAAATTTCCCATTTTGGCCAGAAAGCAGTCATAGTATTTGTGGAAAGAAGAGGCTTACAAAAGAAATCAAAATTCTAACTTCTCATTCACAGAAAGACCTATAAGAGACTAAAAAGCATCATCAATGAAACTCAAAGGCAAAAATAAATAAATAAATAACCCTCAGAAGCCCTTTCAGATTCATGTAAAAAACCCACTGGCAAAAAGACAAAAAAAAATTAGAAAAACAGTTGTATTTATTTTCAAACTTAAAAAGCAACCAAATACCAGAGTTTCTATGTGCCTCTAGATTTTCTACAGAGATTCCTGAAACTCTATTAAATTGCCTCCATATAAGATTAAGCCCTCAAATCATTTGCACTAAAATTTCTTGTGTTTGGAAGAATATGCCCTAGAAAAAAATGATAAAGAGAAACTATTCCATTTAGATTAAATACACTAAAGACCTTTCACCAGGTTTACTCTGTTTTATGGAAATTAATTTTCCTGCTGTACAAACATAATAGATAAAAATAGAGAACTGTCTCCTCAGAGTATGTTTTAAATTACCAAGGCCAAGGGGGTAGATACATTTATTGTATTTTAATTTAATTTAATTACTTATTTTATTTTTATTTCCATCTTTCCTTTTATTCTTCTGTGCTGTTGCTCTTCCAGATTCCTGGATTACAGCAGTCCTCACTGATTTTACTCTTCTTTACATTGTTAAAGTCTTTATGATTGTATTTTATTTTATTTATTTTTAAAAGTTGTTTATTATTTATACTGTTTTTAAAATAAATTTTTGTGGGTACATAGTAGGTGTATATATTTATGGGATACATGAGATGTTTTGATACAGGCATGCAATGTGTAATTATCATATCATGGAGATTGGGGTATCCATCCCCTCAGGCATTTACAATCCAATTACATTCTTTTAGTTGTTTTAAAACGTACAGTTAGGTTATTATTAACTATAGTTACTCTGTTGTGCTATCAAATAGTAGGTTTTATTAATTCTTTTTTTTTTTGTACCCATTAACCATTCCCACTTACCCCTACATCCCCACTGCCCTTCCCAGCCTCTGGTAACCATCATTTTACTCTCTATGTCCAGAAATTCAATTGTTTTGAGTTTTAGATACCACAAATCAGTGAGAACATGTGATATTTGTCTTTCTGTGCTGGCTTATTTCACTTAACATAATGAATTCCAGTTCCATCCACATTGTTGCAAATGACAGCATCTTATTCTTTTTAATGACTGAATAGTATTCCTTTGAGTATATGTACCATATTTTCCTTATCCATTCATCTGTTGATGGATACTTAGGTTGCTTTCAAATCTTAGCTGTTGTGAACAGTGCTGCAACAAACATGGTAGTGCAGATACCTCTTCAATGTACTGATTTCCTTTCTTTTGGGGATGTACCCAGCAGTGGGATTGCTGGATCCTATAATACCTCTATTTTTAGTGTTTTGAGGAGCCTCCAAACTGTTCTCCACAGTGGTCATACTAACTTAAATTCCCACCAACAGTGTATGAGGGCTCCTTTTTCTCTACACCTTTGTCAGCATTCATTATTGCCTGTCTTTTAGATAAAAGCCATTTTAACTGGGGTGACATGATATCTCGTTGTAGTTTTGATTTGTATTTCTCTGATGATCAATGATGTTGAGCACCTTTTCACATGCCTGTTTGTCTTTTATATATCTTCTTTTGAGGGATGTCTATTCAACTCTCTTGTCCATCTTTGATTGGATTATTAGATTTTTTTTCTATAAAGATGTTTGAGGTCCTTATATATTCTGCTTATTAATCTCTTGTTAGATGGGTAATTTGCAAATATTTTCTTCCATTCTGTGGGTTGTTTTTTTACTTTGTTGATTATTTCCTTTCCTGTGCAGAAGCTTTTTAACTTGATGTGACCCCATTTGTACATTTTGCTTTGGTTGCCTGTGCCTGTGGAATATTGCTCAATACATTTTTGACCAGACTGAGGTCCTGAAGAATTTTTCCAGTATTTTTTTGTAGTCGTTCCATAGTTTGAGGTCTTAGATTTAAGTCTTTGATCTATTTCAATTTTATTTTTGTATATGGTGAGAGATGGGGTCTAGCTTCATTCTTCTGAGTATGGATATCCAGTTTCTGAGCACTATTTATTGAAAAGACTGTCTTTTCCCCAGTGTATGTTTTTGGCACATTTGTTGAAAATGAGTTCGTTGAAGGTGTCTGGTTTGTTTCTGTGTTCTCTATTCTATTCCATAGGTCTATATGTCTGTTTTTTTTTTTTTTTTTTTTTTTTTTTACCAATACCATGCTGTTTTGGTTACTATAGCACTGTAGTATAATTTGAAGTCAGGTAATGTGGTTCCTCCAGTTTTGTTCTTTTTGCTTAGGATAGCTTTCGCTATTCTGGGTCTTTTGTGGTTCTATGTAAATTTTAGAATGGTTTTTTTCTATTTCTGTGAAGAATGTCCTTGGTATTTTGATAGGGAATGCATTGAATCTGTAGATTGCTTTGGGTAGGATGGACATTTTAACAATATTGATTCTTCCAAACCATGAACATGGAATATCTTTCCATTTTTTGGTGTCCTTTTCAATTTCTCTCTTCAGTGTTTTATAGTTTTCATTATGGAGATATTTCACTTCTTTGGTTAAGTTAATTCCTAGGTATTTAATTTTATGTGTGGCTATTGTACATGGGATCACTTTTTTGATTTCTTTTTCACACTGTTTACTGTTGGCATATAGAAATACTACAGATTTTTGTATGTTGATTTTCTACCCTGAGACTTTACTGAATTTATCAGCTGTAAAAGTTTTTGGTGGTGTCTTTAGGTTTCTTCAAATATAAAATCATATTATCTGCAAACAAGGGTAATTTGACTTCTTCCACCCCAATTTGGATGCCCTTTATTTCATTCTCTTGTCTGACTGCTCTAGCTAGGACTTCCAGTACTGTGTTGACTAACAGTGGTGAAAGTGGGAATCCTTGTCATGCTCCAGATCTTAGAGGAAAGGCTTTCAGTTTTCCCCCATTCAGTATTATACTAGCTGTTTGTCTATCATATATGGCTTTTATTGTGTTGAGGTATGTTCCTTCTATATCCAGCTTTTTGAGGGTTTTTATCATGAGGGGATGTTGAATTTTATCAAATGCTTTTCCAGCATCAATCGAAATGATCATATGTTTTTGGTCCTCATTCTGTTGATGTAATGTATCACATTGATTAATTTGTTGTAGTTTTTTGAGGACTTTTGCATCAATATTCATCAGAGATATTGGCCTGTAGTTTTTGGTTTTTTTTTTTTTTGATGTGTCTTTGTCTGGTTTTGGTATCAGGATAATACTGGCTTCATGGATGAGTTTAGAAGTATTGTCTCCTCCTCTATTTTTCAGACCTCATGGATGAGTTTAGAAGTATTCTCTCCTCCTCTATTTTTCAGAATAGTTTGAGTAGGACTGGTATTAATTCTTTAAATGTTTGGTAGCATTCAGCAGTGAAGGCATCTGGTCCTGGGGTTTTCTATACTTGGAGCCTTTTTAGTACAGCCTCAGTCTCATTTCTTATTGGTCTCTTCAGGTTTGGATTTCTTCCTGGTTCAATCTTGGTGTGTCGCATGTGTCTAGGAATTCATCCATGTCTTCTAGGTTTTCCAATTTATTGACATAAACTTGCTCATAGCAGCCATTAATGATTCTTTGAATTTCTGTAGCATGAGTTGTAATGTCTCCTTTTTCATTTTTGATTTTATTTGTTTGGATCTTCTATCTTTTTTTCTTATTTAGTATGGCTAAAGGTTTGTCACTTTTGTTTAACTTTTCAAAAAAACAACTTTTTGTTTCATTGATCTTTTGTATTGTTCTCTTCATTTCAATTCCATTTATTTCTAGTCTGATATTTATTCTTTCTTTTCTTATACTATTTTTGGGTTTGGTTTGCTTTTGCTTTTCTTATTCTTTAAGATGCATCATTAGATTGTTTATTTGAAGTTTTTCCTCTTTTTCTGACATTGACCCTTATAGCTATAAACTTCTTAGTACTGCTTTTGCTGTATCCCATGGGTTTTCATATGTTGTGTTTCTGTTACCATTTGTTTCAAGAAATTTTTCAATTTCCTTAATCTCTTCAGTGTCCCACTGGTCATTCAGGAGTATATTGTTTAACTTCCATGTATTTGTATAGTTTACAAAATTCATCTTGAGGCCAGAGAAGATGCTTGATATTATTTCAATGTTTTGAATGTTTTAAGGCTTGTTTTGTGACCTAACATGTGATCTATTCTTGAGAATGATTCACGTGCTGAGGAAAAGAATGTGTATTCTGCAGCTGTTGGATGAAAACTCTGCAAATATTGTTTAGATTCATTTGGTCTATAGTGGATATTAAGTCTAATGTTTCTTTGTTGATTTTCTCTCTGGAAGATCTATCTTTGTGTTTGAAGGATATATATCAAATATATATTCAAATATATATATGTGTATATATATATTCAAATATATATGTGTATATATATATTCAAATATATATATGTGTATATATGTATTTAAATATATATATGTGTATATATATATTCAAATATATATATGTGTATATATATTCAAATATATATATGTGTATATATATTCAAATATATATGTGTATATATATATTCAAATATATATATGTGTATATATATATTCAAATATATATATTTACCAGATATACTATTCTAGGATAAGTTTTCTTCCTTCAGTACTTTTTAATTTAATTTAATTTTTTTGAGACAAGGTCTTGCTCTATTGCCCAGGCTGGAGTGTAGTAGCATAATCGCAGATCACTGCAGCCTTGATCTGCTGGGCCTAAGTGATCCTCGCACCTCAGCCATCTGAACAGCTGAGACTACAAGCACGTGCCACCACACCTGGCTAATTTTGTTTATTTATTTATTTTAATAGAGATGAGATCTCACTATGTTCTGCAGGCTGGTCTTGAACTCCTGAGCTCGAGTAATTTTCCTGCTTTGGCCTCCCAAAGTGCTGGGATTACAGGCATGAACCACCATGCCTGGACTCCTTCAGTGCTTTAAATATGTTATGCCACTCTCTCCTGGCATAAGCCTATAAGGTTTCTACTGAAAAGTCTGCTGCCAGACATATTGGAGCTCCATTGTGTGTTATTTGTTTATTTTCTCTTATTGGTTTTAGAATGTTTTCTTTAGCCTTGATCTATGGAAGTTTTATTATTATATGCCTTGAGGTAGTCTTCTTTGGGGTAAATCTACTTAGTGTTCTATAACCATCTTGTACTTGCACATTGATATCTTCCTCTGGGTTTGGGAAGTTCTCTGTTATTTTCCCTTTTAATAAACTCTCTACCCCTATCTCTCTTTCTCTACCTCCTCTTTAAGACAACTCTTAAATTTGCCCTTTTGAAGCTATTTTCTAGAGCTTATAGGCATGCTTTATTCTTTTTCATTTTTTTGTCTCCTCTGACTGTGTATTTTCAAATAGTCTGTCTTCAAGCTCACTAATTCTTTCTTCTGCTTGATCAATTCTGCTGTTTAAAAATGCTGATGTGTTCTTCAGTCTGCCAATTGTATTTTTCAGCTCTAGAGTTTCTACTTATTTTAAATTATTTTATTCTCTTTATTAAATTTATCTGGTAGAATTCTGAATTTCTTCTCTGTGTTATCTTGAATTTCTTAGAGTTGCCTCAAAACAGCTATTTTGAATTCTCTGTCTGAAAGGTCACATATCTCTGTTTCTCTATGATTGGTCTGTGATGCCTTATTTAGTTCATTTGGTGAGGTCATGTTTTCCTAGATGGTGTTGATGCTTATAGAGTTCTTTGGTGTCTGGGCAGAGAAGTTAGGTATTTATTGTAGTCTTCACTGTCTGGGCTTGTTTGTACTCGTCTTTCTTGGGAAGGCTTTCCAAATATTTGAAATGACTTGGGTATTGTGATCTAAGCTCTATCTGTTTTAGGGTGCACTCCAAGCCCAGTAACACTGTGGTTCTTTCAACCTCATAAAGGTACTGCCTTGATAGTCTTAGACAAGATTTGGAAGAATTCTCTGGATTACCAGGAAGATACTCTTTTCTCTTTCTTTACTTTCTCCCAAACAAATGGAATGTCTTTGTTCTGAGCCATTTAAAGTTGTGGGGGTGTCGGGGGGAGGAAGATGAGCACCTCTGTGGCCACCACCACTCTGGCTGTGCTGGGTCAGACTTGAAGCCAGCACAGAATTGGGTCTCACCCAAGGCCTGCTGTAACCACTCCCTGGTAGTAACTCCCTATGTTCTCTCAAGGCCGTGGGACTCTATAATCAGGAGGTGGCAAAGCAAACCAGGCCTATGTCCTTCCATTCAGGATGGCAAGTATCCTCAGACCCTGAGTGGGTCCATAGGTGTCATTCAGGAGTCAGAGATTAGAGTAAAAAGCCTTAGAAGTCTACCTGGTGTTCTGTTGTACTGCAGGTGAGCCAGCACTCAAACCACAAGATGCAGTTCTTCCCACTTTTCCATCCCCTTTCCAAAGGCAGAGGAGCCTCACCCCATAGCCATCACCACCATAGGACATGGAGAGTAGTGCCAGACTACTGCCAATGTTCCTTTATGGCCAAAGAGCTCTTAAGTCAGCTTGTGGTGAATGCTGCTTGGCCTGGGAATCACCCTTCAGGGCAGTGGGCTCCCCTTTGGCCCAGGGCAGATCCAGAATTGCCATCCAAGAGCCAAGTTCTAGAATCTAGAGTGCTTGGTATTCTACTCACCTGTGGCTGAGCTGGTACCTGAAGCCAGCAAGTCTCAGAGGCCCACCCAAGGCCCTCAACATAGTACTTGGGTATCTCTGCTGGTTATTCAGCACCCAAGGGCTCTTCAGTTAGCAGGCAGTGAATCGTTCCAGGACTGGGTTTTTTCCTTCAAAGCAGTGGGTTCCCTTGTGGCCCAGGGTGTGTCAAGAAATGTCATCCTGGAGCTAGGGCCAGAAAAAGGGGCCTCACGGCTCTCACTGGCACCCTATCCTGCTGTGGCTGAGCTGATATCCAAGATGCAAGACAAAGTTCTCCCCACTTTTCCCTCATCTCTCCTCAAGGAGAAAGAATGTGTCTCTTTCAGAGCCACAAGCTGTGCAGCTTGGGGTTAGAGGAGAGGTGATACCAGCACTCTCTTAGCGGTCCCGGCTGGAGTCTCAGTCAGTTGTGTGCACCCCTAGTCTACTGTCTCTGGGCTGAGTTCAGCATTAGGACTTGCCTAAGAGTTGCAGTTCTCTGGCCTACAGTGCTTTTCAAGTTTACTTAGACATCCAGAGCACTTTAGCCCTCAGTGGCAAGGTTTGCAAGAATTCAAGTTCTGGGATGGGCAACTCCCCTCTAGCTAGGGCTGATTTAACTGCTCCCACTGTGTGTGTATATGGGAGGGAGGGGGCACCAGCTGAGTTTGGTCTGGTTTTTCTTTCTGCTCTAACAGGAAAGCATTGAGTTCAATGCCTTACAATTGCTGTGCCCTCCCTCCCCCAGCACACAAAAATGCTCTCTGTACCATGCTGCTGCTCCCAGAGGATGGGGGAGGGGTGACATCTGTGATTCAAGACTTTTTTCTGCCTCTTTGGTGCATCTTTCAGTGATATAAAATTCTGAGGGCTCACCTCATTTTTGTTTCTATTGAAGATGGTTTGTGTCTGAGTGTGTGTATGTGTGTGTGTAGATAGTTGTTAAATTGGTGTCCTTGCAGGGCGGGATGATTGGTGAAGCCTTCTTTTCTGCCATCTTGCTTCACCTTCCTCCCCAATCCTTTCTTAAGACTCCATCTCTCAATGCTGTCACATTGGGGATTAAGTTTCAACATGAGTGTTAGAAGGGACAAATATTCAAACCATAGCAATGAGTAAGGAGATTGAATCAGTAATAAAATGTGTTGCATCAAAGAAAATCCCAGGACCTGATGGCTTTACCATGGAATTCTACCAAACATTTGTTTTATTATTTAGTTATTTATTTAACTTTTATTTTAGGTTCAGGGGTACATGTGCAGATTTGTCATCTAGGTGAGTTTCGTGTCATGGGAGTTTGGTGTACAGATTGTTTCATTACCCAGGTATTAAGCCTAGTATCTGATAGGTAGTTTTGCAATCCTCATCCTCCTCCCACCCTCCGCCCTCAAGTAGGCCCCAGTGTCTGTTGTTCCCTTCTTTGTGTTCATACATACTCTATGTTTAGCTCCCACTTATAAGTGAGAACATAGGGTATTTGATTTTCTGTTCTTGCATTGGTTCACGTAAGATAATGGCCTCCAGCTCCATCCATGCTGCTGCAAAGGACATGATTTCATTCTTTTTATGGCTGCATAGTATTCCATGGTGTATATATACCACATTTTCTTTATCCAGTCTACCATTGATGGGCATTTAGGTTGATTCCATGCCTGTGCTATTGTGAATAGTGCTTCAATGAACATACATGTGGATGTGGCTTTATCGTAGAATAATTTATATTCCTTGGGGCAAATACTCGGTAATGGGATTGCTTGGTCAAATGGTAATTCTGTTTTAGGCTGTTTGAGAAATAACCACACTGCTTTCCACAATGGTTGAACTAATTTACATTCCCACCAGCAGTGCATAAGTGTTTCCTTTTCTGCTCAACCTTGCCGGCATCTGTTATTTTTTGACTTTTTAATAATAGCCATTCTGACGGGTGTGAGATGATATCTCGTTGTGGTTTTGATTTACATTTCTGTAACAATTAGTGGTGTTGGGCATTTTTTCATACGTTTGTTGGTCACATATGTGCCTTCTTTTGTGAAGTGTCTGTTCATGCCTTTGCCCAGTTTTTAATGGGGTTGTTTTTTGCTTGTTAATTTTTTTTAAGTCTTTATAGATTCTGGATGTTAGACCTTTGTCAAATGCATAGTTTACAAATATTTTCCGCCATTCTGTAGGGTGTCTGTTTACTCTGTTGATAGATTCTTTTTGCTGTGCAGAAGCTATTTAGTTTAGTTGGTTCCCATTTATTACTTTGTGTTGCAATTGCTTTTGGTGTCTTTATCATGAAATCTTTGCCAGAGTCTATGTCCAGAATGATATTTCCTAGGTTATCGTCCAGGGTTTTTATAATTTTAAGTTTTACATTTAAGTCTTTAATCCATCTTGATTTGATTTTTTTAATATGATGTAAGAAAGGGGTCCAGTTTCAATCTTCTGCATATGTCTAGTCAGTCATACCAGCACCATTTATTGAATAGGGAGTCTTTTCCCCATTGCTTGTTTTTGTATACTTTGTCAAAGATCAGATGGTTGTAGGTGTGCAGCTTTATTTCTGGGCTCTATATTCTGTTCCATTGGTCTATGTGTCTTGTTTTTGTTACTGTAGCCTTGTAGTACAGTTTGAATTCGGGTTATGTGATGCATCCAGCTTTGCTCTTTTTGCTTAGGATTGCCCTTGCTATTCAGGCTCTTTTTTCACAGGAATTTCAAAATAGTTTTCCACATGAATTTCAATATACTTTTTTCTAATTCTATGAAGAATGTCAATGGTAGTTTGATAGGAATAGCACTGAATCTGCAAATTGCTTTAGGTAGCATGGCCATTTTGACAATATTGATTTTTCATATCCATGAGCATGAAATGTTTCTCCTTTTGTTTGTGTTATCTCTGATTTCTTTGAGCAGAGATGAACATTCTTTGAATGTTTTGTCATTCTGATTGTAGAGATCTTTTACCTCCCTGGCTAGCTGTATTCCTAGGTATTTTGTTCTTTTTGTGGCTATTGTGAATGAGATTGCACTCTTGACTTGGTTCTCAGTTGGATGTTGTTGGTATATAGGAATGCTACCTATTTTTGTACATTGATTTTGTATCCTGAAACTTTGCTGAAGTTGTGTATTATATCATGGAGCTTTCGGGCAATGACTATGGGATTTTCTAGGTATAGAATAATATTGTCTGCAAACAGGGATAGTTTGACTTCTTCTGTTTCTATTTAGATCCTTTTTTTTTCTTTCTCTCACCTGATTGTTCTGGCTAGCACTTCCAGTACTATGTTGAATAGAAGTGAGAGAGGGTATCCTAGTCTTGTTCTAGATTTCAAGGTGAATGCTTCCATCTTTTGCCCATTCAGTATAATGTTGGCCGTGGGGTTGTCATAGATGGCTCTTATTATTCTGAAGTATGTGCCTCCAGTGCCTAGTTCATTGAGAGTTTTTAACATGAAAGGGTGTTGAATTTTATTGAAAGTCTTTTCTGTATCTATTGAGACAATCATGTGGTTTTTGTTTTTCATTCTTTTTATGTGGTGAATCACATTTATTTACTTGCATATACTGAACCAGGCTTGCATCCAGGGATGAAGTCTACTTGGTTATGGCAGATAAGCTTTTTGATATGCTGCTGGATTCAGTTTGCCAGCATTTTGTTGAGGATTTTTGCATCTATGTTCATCAAAGATATTGCCATGAAGTTTTCTGATTTTGTTCTGTCTCTCAAAGGTTCTGGGGTCCTGCATGTGTATTGCAGTTTTGATGATGTGGTGTCAGGCAGCTTAGGGATTTTACCCTCAGGTTTGTATCATGTCAGGATCTCTTACTGGCTTTGTACTTCTAAGATCAAATTAAGAATGTGATGCTTTTGGTTGGTAGAGTGGTAGAGAGGATTGGCATAGAACAATTTAGGGTTAGCAATGTCATTGAGATGAAAGATTTGGATACAGGTTAGGTGTGAGAAATTGAGTTCAAGTTGAACATTTATAGGATGAATCAAGGGGCTATTTGGAGATTGGGTAGTGAATTGTAGTACAAAAAGGATGGGACCTTTGTGTTGGTGTAATGATAGAAACAATAAACAATGATGAGATGGAAGTGAGGATCATATTTATAAAATTAGGCTGGGGCAGTGGTTTGGGATAGGCTGGGTTAAGAATTGTATTTGTGGATGAATGTATCCAGCAGTGAAATTGGGTGAAACTGAGAATTGGAGTAGAGGACATTTGTGGATGAGCTGGTTGTTGGGTTGAAGCTGGGTGTTGGTGTTGGATGGCTTGACTAGTGTTGTGTTTGTCTTGGGATTGGGGCTTGAGTGGGCATAACATGGAGGTAGAACTGGGATTGGCATTTGGTTTTGTCAGATGTTTGGTGCAAAAAGAATGAATGTTGGGTTGTTATGAGCAGAATTTGGGTTAGTCTGGGATGAGGGCTGGCTAGAGTTTAATAAAACACCTGAGTGCACCACAGCAAGGGTCTTATGGAATGGCAACTAATTAGCCTTGAATAAAATATATCTAGTGTGTCCTTTCACATTCTTCAAAAACTCCCTTGAGTGTGACTTTCATTGACCATAAACAGCCCTAAATGTAGGAGAAGGCAGTGCAGGTAAATGAAATCAGGGGGCTAGAATGTTTCCAGATGCACACACACACACACACACACACAAACACACTCTCTACAAAAAGGAAATAAGAAACATAGGAGGAACATTAACTAGACATACAGACATATGGACAACCAACCAAAGTTATTTCTCCTTTCTTGGGAGTGAGTTCAGTTATGATGTCTAGCCTTTTGCCTTCTTCCTCCCCTTGCTTCTACTTCTACTGCTCCATAATCCCTTCCTTTTACTCTCCTCACTTTTTCTCTTACACTCCATCCTCCAAAACCCTTTTCCTTTTACCTTTTTTCTTGAGGTATCCTTGTTCCCATATTCAGTAAAACATAGGAATAGTAATCATCACTGCAAATGAATTTACAATAAAATGAAGACAGAACTTTATGTTTCAAGGGTTATAAAAAGTTCTCCTTCCTTAATGATTTTTAACATGTGTCCAGCTGGAATAATTCAGGGCCAGGAACTATTTTGAACAATCTCTTCTAATAAGAAAGTCACTCATTCTTTTCTTTTACCATCTCAAGCATACACATATGAGATTTATCTACTTACATTTTCATATAAGTCTCTGTATCCCTGTTAAGCTGAGTGTTTTATTTACTTTATTTGTAAATGTCTATTAAATAAATTAATATATAAATGATTTATGACTAAATAAATATAGTATGCCATAAGCAGATATAAATGAGACGGAAAGATCTTTGAAGTTTGAGGAGAACACAATTTGGGGTTCCCAGTTGGCAGAAGATAAATGTATCAGGTGTACTTAGATATATTTTTAAGAGCTCTGGATGGAACTATTAAAAAAGTACATGCATAAGTTATTGATGGTGGTTGTAGGTGTTACTTGATTTATGATGTTAAGCCATGGACTATATTGTGAGGGAAGACAGTCTGGGTGATACATAAATGTGAGAGTTAGAAGGTCATGATTGGGAATAGTTGAGGAATTAATATCAAGCGGGGGCTTATGATAGTGGTGAGGGGGACACTCATGCAAGATACCATTCCCTGGGCCCCTATCCAGGCCTACTGAATTTCTAGAGAAGAAGATTTAGTGTGAGAATTTAAAATAATTTCCTCAAATTATTTTAGTATGTTCTTGCCTCTAAAACTTCCTTCTCTATACACACTTGATATCTGATGCCCATATCTGAAACTCCTCTAAGTCCATTTCTGAGATAGAAAAGCTAGTTTCAGAGAGTTGAGACACAAAATCATTGTTAAAGTACATGCTGGGATGTGAAAGCAGGTCTCCTCTGTCTTCTGGTCTGAAGAGGGAGAGATTTCAAAGGTGACATTAATTTGACATGGGAGATACAATGCACAATGATTCAGGACAATATGAAGCCATGGAAGCTGTTCAAGAGAGAAGAGTAGCAAAGGTCTTTTATGAAACTTTTGGGTGCCACTATAGAAGGCTTCCTCCCAAGGCTGTCTTGGGCTACTCCACATGTGGAGAGACTGAAGAAAATGCATTATTTCTCCCTTATTCTTATTGTATATGTTCCTACTCCTCTCTCTGGTGACTAAAAACAGGAAGTGTTCCATCTGGTATGTTTGGGTGAGAGGAAAATTCTCCAGATCTAGTGTTATCCAGAAAAGTGTGGATGCCACCCTGGGGAAACCCCCTGCAGATATTCTCATCCTACTGTAAGTAGGATGGTGCCAGGAGAGACATCATGATGAGGGTTTTGAGGTAAAAAAAGATTGAGGTAAAAAAGACAGTGATACTATGATGCTGAAGCATGGATGAATGAGTGCCATTTTCATCCCCCTTCCTCTGGTTGACCAGCAAGGTGTCTGATGTAGCAGCAGTTGAGTACTTTCTCTGTATTTCTGTGGTAGTTTGAATGTACCACAGCATGCAAATGTCATTTACTTCACTTCTTTCCTTTTCTATCTTCCTGCTTCATCCATGCTTAAAGGAGAAAGGACGGACATTCCTTATAAAGAAAATCACAATCAAGAGTGGTACAGTTTACAGGTTCTTTGGACTCATTTTTATCAGTGTGGTAGGCATTGGAGACCTCTGTGTTCCTAGCCTGGTACAGAGTATGAAATGATAAACTGGTGTGGAATGAGGGGATGGATGGATTGTAGTAGCCTAAGCTGAAATACAGGCTAGAGAGTGTAGGTTTTATATTGAAGGCACTGGAAACTTCTTGTGTCCATTATTCAAGAAGATACCAGCCTCTCCAAGAAATTGTATTAGAAAGGTAAGCAATGTGACCGACAGGATAGAATATGTGTTATGAGTCATGTATGTTGATTTTATATCTGCAACTTGGTTGAATTTGTTTATTAGTTCTAGCATTTATTTTAGTGTGGAATATTTACAAATAAGATCATGTTGCCAAGACATGGAACCAATCCAAATGCCCATCAATGACAGACTAAAGAAAATGTGGTACATGTACACCATGGAATACTATGCAGCCATAAAAAGGAATGAGATCACATCCTTTGCAGGGACATGGATGAAGCTGGAAGCCATCATCCTCAGCAAACTAACACAGAAATAGAAAACTAGATCTCTGGCCTGAAGTGGAAGTGGAGGAAAGATGGAGGACCATCAGCACATGCCCATCGACATCCAGACCAGCAAGCTGCTCGATTGGCTTGTGGACAGAAGGTACTGCAGCCTGAAATGGCAGAGTCTGGTGCTGACGATCTGAGAGAAGATCAGTGCTGCCATCCAGGACATGCCAGAGAGCGAAGAGATCGCCCAGCTGCTGTCTGGATCCTACATTCACTACTTTCACTGCCTAAGAATCCTGGACCTTTTCAAAGGCACAGAGGCCTCCACGAAAAATATTTTTGGCTGATACTCTTCACAGTGGATGAAGGAATGGCAGGAGATTATAGCCCTGTATGAGAAGGACAACACCTACTTAGTGGAACTCTCTAGCCTCCTGGTTTGGAATGTCAACTATGAGATCCCCTCACTGAAGAAGCAGATTGCCAAGTGCCAGCAGCTGCAGCAAGAATACAGCTGCAAGGAGGAGGAGTGCCAGGCAGGGGCTGCTGAGATGGGGGAGCAGTTCTACCACTCCTGCAAGCAGTATGGCATCATGGGCGAAAATACCCGAGGAGAACTGCTGGCCCTGGTGAAGGACCTGCCAAGTCAGCTGGCTGAGACTGGGGCAGCGGCGCAGCAGTCCCTGGGGGAAGCCATCGAAGTGTACCAGGCCTCTGTGGGGTTTGTGTGTGATAGCCCCACAGAGCAGGTGTTGCCAATGCTGTGGTTCGTGCAGAAGCGGGGAAACTCAACGGTGTACGAGTGGAGGACAGGGACAGAGCCCTCTGTCGTGGAGCGACCCCACCTCGAGGAGCTTCCTGAGCAGGTGGCAGAAGACGCGATTGACTGGGGCGACTTTGGGGTAGAGGCAGTGTCTGGGGGGACTGACGCTGGCATCTCTGCCGAGGCTGCTGGAATCGACTGGGGCATCTTCCCGGAATCAGACTCAAAGGACCTTGGAGATGATGGGATAGACTAGGGAGACGATGCTGTTGCTTTGCAGATCACAGTGGTGGAAGCAGGAATCCAGGCTCCAGAAGGTGTTGCCAGGGGCCCAGATGCTCTGACACTTCTTGAATACACTGAGACCCAGAATCAGTTCCTTGATGAGCTCATGGAACTTGAGATCTTCTTAGCCCAGAGAGCAGTGGAGTTGAGTGAGAAGGCAGATGTCCTGTCTGTGAGCCAGTTCCAGCTGGCTCCAGTCATCCTGCAGGGCCAGACCAAAGAGAAGATGGTTATCATGGTGTCAGTGTTGGAAGATCTGATTGGCAAACTTACCAGTCTTCAACTGCAACACCTGTTTATGAACCTGGCCTCACCAAGGTATGTGGACCGAGTGACTGAATTCCTCCAGCAAAACCTGAAGCAGTCCCAGCTGCTGGCTTTGAAGAAAGAGCTGATGGTGCAGAAGCAGCAGGAGGCACTTGAGGAGCAGGAGGCTCTGGAGCCTAAGCTGGACCTGCTGCTGGAGAAGACCAAGGAGCTGCAGAAGCTGATTGAAGCTGACATCTCCAAGAGGTACAGCGGGCGCCCTGTGAACCTGATGGGAACCTCTCTGTGACACCCTCCGTGTTCTTGTCTGCCCATCTTCTCAGCAATTGGGATGAAGATGACAGCCAGGGCTGATGTTTTGGGGCCCTTCAAGGCAAAAGACCAGGCCGACTGGAAGACGGAAAGCCACAGGAAGGAAGCGGCACCTGATGGTGATCTTGGCACTCTCCATGTTCTCTACAAGAAGCTGTGGTGATTGGCCCTGTGGCCTGTCAGGTGAAAACCACAGCTTCTCCTTCTAGTTAGTATAGCGGACTTAATAAAAGAGGAAAAAACAAACAAACAAAAATAGAAACAGAAAACCAAACACTGCAAGTTCTCACTTATAAGTGGGACCTGAACAATGAGAACACATGGACACAGGGAGGGGAACAACACACAGTGGGGCCTTTTGGAGCGGGGAGAAAAGAAGGAGAGCATCAGGACAAATAGCTAATGCATGCCAGGCTTAAAATCTAGGTGACTGGTTGGTAGGTGCAGCAAACCACCATGACACGCATATACATACTTATGTAAGAAACCTGCATGTTCTGCACATGCACATGTATCCCGGAACTTAAAGTAAAAAAAAAAAGAAAAGAAAAGAAAAGAAAAAGATCATGTTGCCTGTGAATAGAGATAATTCTACTTCTTCTTTCCAGTTTGGATGCCTTCTATTTATTTTTCTTGCCAAATTGCTATGGTCAGGACTTCTAGTACTATGTTGGAATAGAACATAGTAGACTAGAAGTGGTGAAAGTGAGGATGCTTATCTTGTTCCTGATCTTAGAGAAAAAGCTTTCAGATTTTCATCATTGAGTATGATATTATCTGTGGAACTTTTATATATTACTTTTATTATGTTGAGGCAAATTCCTTTCATTCCTAGTTTATTGGATGCTTTTATCATAAAAGGTTGTTGAATTTTCAAATGGCTTATCTGCAATTTAGATAATCATGTGTTTTTTCCCCATAATTCTATTTCCCCTTAATGTGGTATATTATACTGATTGATTTTCAAATGTTGAACAATTCTTGTATTTAAGGAAAAAAATCCCATTTGATCATGATGTATAATCATTTTAAATTGCTCTTTAATTCTGTTTGCCAGTTTTTAAAATGGATTTTTGCATCAATATATGTCAGTGATAGTGGTTTATAGTTTTATTTTCTTGTAGTGTCTGTGTCTGTGTCTGTCTTTGGTGTAAGTGCAATGTTGGCCTTGTAAAATAAGTTTGGAAGCACTTCCTCCTCTTCAGGTTTTTGGAAGAGTTCGAGGAGGATTAACGTTAATTCTTTAAATGTTTGGTAGAACTCACCAGTGAAGTAAGTTGATCCTAGACTTTTGTTGTTGTTTTTGGTAGGTTTTTGATATCTGATTCAATCTCTTTACTTATTAAAGGTCTGTTCAGATTTTCTATTTCTTCCTAATTCAGTCTTGGCAGGTTAGGGGTTTCTAGGAATTTATCAATTTTATCTAGGTTATCCGATCTGTTGGCATACAATTGTTCATATAGTAGTCTCTTATAATCCTTTTCACTTCTATAAAAGTGGTAGTAATATCCCCTTATTCATTTCTAATTTTAGTTATTTGAGCATTCTTATTTTTTCCTTTTAGTCTACATAAGATTTTTTGATTTTATTGAACTTCTTTATAAATGTTTTTAAAACGTTCATTTTAGGTTCAGGGGTACTTGTGCAGGTTTGTTATATAGGTAAACTCCTGTTACAGGGGTGTGTCATACAGATTATTTCATCACCTAGGTACTAAGCCCAGTTATTTTTTCTGCTTCTTTCCCTCCTCCTGCCCTCCACCCTCAGATAGGCCCCAGTGTTTGTTGTTCCTTTCTTTGTGTCTGTGTGTTCTCATCATTTGGCTCCCACTTGTAAGTGAGAACATGCAGTATTTGGTTTGCTGTTCCTGCGTTGGTTTGCTAAGAATAATGGCCTCCAGCACCATGTTCCTGCAAAGGACATGATATAATTCTTCTTTATGGCTGCATAATATTCACATTTTCTTTATCCAGTGTACCACTGATGGGCAGTTAGGTTGATTCCATAGCTTGGCCATTGTGAATAGTTCTGCAATAAGCATACACGTTCCTGTGTCTTTATGATAGAATGATTTATATCCCTTTGGGTGTATACCCAGCAGTGGGATTGCTGGGTTGAATGGTAGTTATTTTTTTAGCTCTTTGAGAAATAACCACACCACTTTCCACAATGGTTGAACTAATTTACACTCCCTCCAATAGTATATAACTATTCTATTTTCTCTGCACATCTGTTATTTTTTGACTTTTTAGTAACAGCCATTCTGACTGGTGTGAGATGGTATCTCATTGTGGTTTTGATGTACATTTCTCTAATGATTAGTGATATTGAGCTTTTTTTCATGTGCTTATTGGCAACATGTGTGTCTTCTTTTGAAAAGTGCTGTTCATGTCCTTTGCCCACTTTTTAATGGGGTAGTTTTTTTCTTGAAAATTTGTTTACATTCCTTATAGATGCTGGATATTAGACTTGCGTCAGGTGCGTAGTTTGCAAAATTTTTCTCCTATTCTGTAGGTATATTAATCTGTTCTCACATTGCTATAAAGAAATAACTGAGACTGGGTACTTTAAAGGAAAAGAATTTAAATTGGCTCATGGTTCCATAAGCTGTACAAGAAGCATTGAGGCTTCTGCTTCTGGGGAGGCCTCAGGAAGCTTTCAATCATGGTGGAAGGCAAAGGGGGAGCAAGGCATCTCACATGATGGGAGCAGGAGCAAGAGAGAGAGAACAAGTGGGGAAAGGTGCCACACACTTTTAAACAACCAGAGCTCATGAGAACATCAAGGGGATGGTGCAAAACCATCTTGAAGGATCCACCCCCATGATCCTATCATCTGCCATCAGGCACCACCTCCAACATTGGGGATTAAAATTGAACATGAGATTTGGATGGCGACACAGATCCAAAACATGTCAGTAAGTTGTCTGTTTACTCTGTTGATAGTTTCTTTTGCTGTGTAGAAGCGCTTTAGTTTAATTAGATCCATTTGTCAATTTTTGCTTTTGTTGCAATTGCTTTTGGCATCTTCTTCATGAAATCTTTGCTGATTCTTATGTCCAGAATGGTATTGCCTAGGTTGTCATCCAGGGTTTTTATAGTTTGGGGTTTTACATTTAAGTCTATAATCCATCTTGAGTTGATTTTTGCATATGGTATAAGGAAAGGGTCCAGTTTCAATCTTCGGCATATGGCTAGCTAATTATCTTAGTACCATTTATTGAATAGGGAGTCCTTTCCCCATTGCTTGTTTTTGTCAGCTTTGTCGAAGATCAGATGGTTGTAGGTGTGTGGCCTTATTTCTGGCCTCTCTGTTCTGTTGCATTGGTCTATGTATCCGTTTTTGTACTAGTACCATGATGTTTTGGTTACTGTAGCCCTGTGGAATAATTTGAATTTGAGTAGCATGATGCCTCTTGTTTTGTTCTTTTTGCTTAGGATTGCTTTGGCTATTGGGGCTTTTTGTTCCACATGAATTTTAAAATAGTATGTTTTTCTAATTCTGTGAAGAATGTCATTGGTAGCTTGATAGGAATAGCATTGAATCTGTAAATTGCTTTGGGCAAGAATGGCCATTTTAATGATATTGATTCTTTCTATCTATGAGCATGAAATGCTTTCCATTTGTTTGTGTCCTCTCTGGTTTCTTTGAGTAACAGTGTTTTGTAATTCTCATTGTAGAGATCTTTCACCTCCATGGTTAGCTGTATTCTTAGGTATTTTATTCTTTTTGTGGCAATTGTAAATGGAATTGTGTTCCTGATGTGGCTTCCACCTGGCTGTTGTTAGTATATAAGAATGTTAGTGATTTTTGTATGTTGATTTTGTATCTTGAAACTCTGCTGAAGTTGTGTATCAGCTTAAGAATCTTTTGGGCCGAGACTAGGGGGTTTTCTAGATACAGAATCATGTTATCTGCAAACAGGAATAGTTTGACTTCCTCTCTTCCTATTTGGATGCCCTTTATTTTTTTCTCTGGTTCAATTCCTCTGGATAGGACTTCCAGTAATATGTTGAATAGCAGTAGTGACAGAGAGCATACTTGTCCTTTCCTTTTTCAAGGTAAATGTTTCCAGCTTTTGCCCATTCAGTGTGATGTTGGCTGTAGGTTTGTCATAGATAGCTCTTATTTTGAGGTATGTTCCTCTGTACCTATTTTTTTCAGTTTTTAAAATGAAGGGATGTTAAATTTTATCAAAAGCCTTTTCTGCTTTGATCATCACCACCTATTGAGATGATCATGTGGTTTTTGTTTTTGGTTCTGTTTATGTGATGAATCATGTTTATTAATTTGCATATGTTGAACCAAGCTTGCATCCCAGGGATAAAGCTTATTTGACCATGGTGTGTAAGCTTTTTGATGTGCTGCTGGATTTGGCTTGCCAGTATTTTGTTGAGGATTTTTGCATCAATATTCATCAAGGATATTGGCCTGAAGTTTTATTTTTTTATTGTATCTCTGCTAGCTTTTAGTATCAGGATGATGCTGGCCTCATAGTATAAGTTGAAGAGGAGTCCCTTCTCCTCAATTTTTTTTTGTAATACTTTCAGTAGGAATGGTACCAGCTCTTCTTTATATACCTGGTAGAATTCTGCTGTGAATCTGTCTAATCATGGGCTTTTTTTTGGTTGGAAGGCTATTTACTACTGATTCAATTTCGGAGTTCATTATTGGTCTGTTTGGGGATTCAATTTCTTCCTGATTCAATCTTGGGAGGGTGTGTGTGTCCAGGAATTTATCCATTTCTTCTAGATTCTCAACCTAGACTTTCTAGTTTGTGTGTATAAACAAGGTCATAGTAGCCTCTGACAGTTGTATTTCTGTGGGGTCAATGGTAATATTCTCTTTGTTGTTTCCAATTGTGTTTATTTGGATCGTCTCTCTTCTTTGTTAGTCTAGATAATGGCCTATCTTATGAATTTTTTCAAAAAACCAACTCCTGGGTTCATTGATATTTTGGATTTTTTAAAATGTGTTTTCAATCATGGCCAGGTTGGGGCCCTGGGAGAGGCCAGCAGACTGAGAGTTGCTCAGGTCAAACAGGTCCCATCTCATGGGCAAGAATGCCCTACAGTGTTTAGGTCCAAAAGTTCCCCTAGGGCTAAAGTCTCATATGGGAGCAAGTCGAGCCTAGGAGGATGGGTGTCCCTTGTCATGCTCCATTACAGATACTCCTGCACCAAACCCTCTGGGCTCCACACCGGCTGAAGTTCTGCCTCTACCACTTCTCTAAGCAGCTCTCCTTGCCAGCACAAGTGTCTGTGGTGGTTGAGGGGTCTCCTGCTGGGATTCCAGAGGCCTGTGGCGAGAGGCTCCTTGCCTGTTTAACTCACCCCTTCCACAGGATTTGTTGGGGGCCAGGAACGAGTTCAGAAGTGCAGTAGCCCCGTGCAGGGTTCTCAGCTCCCTTTCCATTCAGCCTAGCATCTGCGTCTTTCCTCTGTCTGCTTTAATGCCTTCCGCCTGCAGAGCTGCTAGGAGTGCACCAGTCTTCCCGATGTCCTGGTACCTCGGTGGGATATGTTCCTCCTGGCTGCATCCGGTTGGCCATCTTGTAGCAGGAGTCTTAAAGTTTTGAAACACCAACTCTTTGTTTTATTGGTCTTATCTGTCATTTTCCTGTTTTCTATGCTTATCTTTATTCTAATATTTATTATTTTCTTCCTTCCATTAGACTTGGGTTTAGTTTGTGTACTTTTAATCTTTAAGGTATAAAGTTAGGTTATTGATTTGAGATCTTTCATTTTCTTAATGTAAAACTTTATACAATAAGTTTGCCTCTTAGTATTGCTTTGATGAATCATATAAATTTTGGTGTGCTGTGTTTTCATTTTAATTTGTCTCAAGATATTTTCCAATGTTCTTTGTGGTTTCTTTTCTTTTTTCTTTTTTTTTTTTTGAGATGGAGTCTCGCTCTGTCCCCCAGGCTGGAGTGCAGTGGCGCGATCTCGGCTCACTGCAAGCTCCGCCTCCCGGGTTCACGCCATTCTCCTGACTCAGCCTCCCGAGTAGCTGGGACTACAGGTGCCCGCCACTGCACTCGGCTAATTTTTTGTATTTTTAGTAGAGACGGGGTTTCACCGTGTTAGCCAGGATGGTCTCGATCTCCTCACCTCGTGATCTGCCCACCTCGGCCTCCCAAAGTGCTGGGATTACAGGTGTGAGCCACCGCACCCAGCCATCTTTGTGGTTTCTTCTTTGACCACTGGTTGCTTATGAATATGTTTTTGGGACTGACATCAACAAGATGGTAAAACAGAACATTGCAGTGCTCATCCCACTGTGGAAACATCAATTTGAACAATTATTCACATACAAAAATAGCTTTAAAGGAGCCAAGGAAACCAGGTGAGAGACTACAGCACCTGGGCAGCCCAGAAATAAGAAAATATGCATTGAAGAAAGTAAGAAGAATCATTTTACATTACCCACCTCATCCCTCTCCCAGTCCCAGGCAGAACACCTAGAAGAGATGTATCTTCTGCTTGGGGGAAGGAGAGGAAAGTAAGCACAAGCCTTTGCCTTGAACCCCAACACCAGGCCCACCTCAATAAAACCCAGTGCAGGGCAGGCCCCTACAGACCCGGACTCCTGGCCGGTACCTGTAGACTAAGCCTCCAGTTCTTTCCCAGCACCACATGGAATCCCACAGCCCCTGCAGACTTGGTCTCCAGGCCTTCCCACTACTAGGCTGACCCCAGCAGTGCAAGCTCCAGGCCAACCCCAGTGCTGGGCTAACTTAATGACCCTGAGCATCAGACCTGCCTCAGTGACTGGACAGCTCCCATAGACTGAAGCTCCAGGTTGGTGCTTGCAGTCCCAGACTCCAAGAATGCCCAGTGGACTTGGTCACCCCAGTACCAGGATGACCCCAGCAGACCAGACTCTGTACTTCCCATAACACTGGGCTGGCCCCCACTGCCCCAGGCTTCATAATTGCCCCAGCACCAGGCTAGCCCCAGCAGCCCTACTCATCAGATCGGTCCCTGTGGATACAGGCTCAAGGCCTACCCAGTGACAGGTCAGCTCCTGCAGCCCCAGACTCCAGGACTGTCCCAGGTTTCAGACCAACCCTGAGCAAGATTGGCCCACACACTCCCAGGCTTTGGGCCCATCCTGGTGCTGGACTGGAAACCCTGGCCTCAGGCACCAGACCAGTAAACATGGACACTGTCCTCAGGCCTGCCGAGTGACAGGCCTGTCTCTGTGGCCCCACACATACTCCTAACTAGCCTCTGTGGCCCACACTCCAGCAGACCCAAGGTCTAGTTCGGGTCTGCCCAGTAGACCTCAGTAGCAGGCTGGCCCCTGTGGACTGAGGCTGCAAGTTCACCCCTGTAGATCTAGGACCCAGACCCTATCTTAGTTTGTGCTGCTAAGATAAAATACTGCAGACTGGGTAATTTATATACAAAAGAAATTTATTTATCATGGTCTGGAGGCTGGGAAATTCAAGATCAAGGCATTGGCTAATTTGGGGTCTAGAGAGGGCTGCTGTCTGCTTTCAAGATGATCCCTCAGTGCTATGTCCTCTGCAGGGGAGAAATACTGTACCCTCACATGCCAGAAGAAACCAAAGGGCAAGAGAGAATTCTCTTCAGTCACAAACACCTTTATAAGGTTGCTAATCCCATTCATGAGGGCTCCACCCTCATGACTTAATAATCTCTCAAAGGTGGCACCCCTTAATCCTATAGCATTGGGTGTTAAGTTTTAACATAAATCTTGGAGGGGACACCATCATTGAAACCACAGCAGGCCAACCCTACTGAACTCAGGCCCCACGCCCATCCCAGTGGACCCATGTGACTGGCCCATCACAGAAAGTGGCTGGCTCCTGCAGACCCAGGCTCAAGGCCCACCCCAGTACTAGATCAACCCCCTCGGACTTAGGCTTCAGGCCAGCCCCATGGATACAGACTCCAGTCTCAGCCTTGGGGACCCAGGCTCCAGGCCCACCTCCATGAACGCAATCAACAAGTCTATCCCACTGGATCCAGGCTCCAGGCCCAACCCTGTGGGTCCATGTGCCAGGCCCTTTGATACGCTGACCCAGACACCAACCCAGCTTGCCTGAGGAATTCAATGCAAGCCCATTCACGGACCATGCCAGACACCATGCTTAGAATGTCTTGTATATAGACATTAACATAAGGAACATCAGGAAACATGAAAAACCAAGGAGATATACATAACGCCACCAAAAAAAAAACAAAACAAAAAACAAAAAACAACACAGTAATCTTCCAATAGCTGACCCCAAATAACTGCAGATATACAAAATGCCTCACAAAGAATTTATAATTATTTATAAATTATTGTTTTAGGGAAGCTCAGTGAACTTTAAGAAAATAAAGAGAAACATTTGGGTGGTATCAGAAAACCATTAAATGACCAAAATTAGAAATTTAACAGAGAAATTGAAATTATTTTAAAAATCAAATAGAAATTACTTAAAAAATCAACTAGAAATATATGCAATGAACAAATGCAACAGAGAGCATCAACAGGAAAATTGATCAAAGAGAAAAAAGAATCTGTGGAGTCAAAGACAGATTATATCAAAATATATAGGCAGAGGAGAAAAATGAAAAAAGAATAAGAAAGGAATGAAGAAAGCTAATGGGATTTATAGGACAACATCAAAAGAACAAATATTGAAGCTATAGAATATCAATAAGGGGAAGAAAGCATCAAAGGGGTAATCTTCTTATTTAAAGAAATGGTAGAACATTGCAGAAAAAGAAAACTACAGGTCAATATTTCTTATGAACATTGATGCAAACATCCTCAACAAAATACTAGAAATATGAATTCAGCAGCACATTAAAAGTATTATTTACCATGACCAAATGAGATTTTTTTCCAAGAATGCAAGAGTGGCTTAATATGTGCAAATCAATAAATGTGATATGCCACATTAAAAATGTGCAGAACACAAACCATAAGATCATCTTAATAGAGGCAGAGAAAGCATTTGATAAAATTAATCATCCTTTCTGATTAAAAACTGTCAACAAACTAGGTGTAGAAGGAATGTACCTCAACACAATAAAGGCTTTATATGATAAACCACAGCTTACGTCATACTGAATGGTGAAAAGTTGAATACTTTTCCTCTAAGATCGAGAACAAAACAAGAATGCCCGTTCTTGCCACTTCTATCCACTATAGTCCTGAAAGTCCTAGCCAGAGCAGTTAGGCTAGAAAAGGAGATAAGAAGCATCCAAAGCAGAAAGAAAGAAGTAAAATGGTCACTGTTTGCATATGATATGATCTTATATACAGAAAACTCTAAAGACTACACACAAAAATTACAAGTAATAAACAAATTTATTAAAGTGGCAGGATACAAAATCAACATACACAAATCCGTAGTGTTTCTACACCTTAACAACAAACTTTGCAGAAAAAAACTACCCCATTCACAATAGGTACAAAAAATAAAATTCTTAAGAATAAGTTTAATCAAGGAGGTGAAAGATTTGTACACTAAAAACTATAAAACATTGATAAAATAAATTGAAGAAGACACAAATAAATGAAAAGATATCTGTGTTTATGAATTGGAAGATTTAATATTGTTAAAATTTTTATACTATCCAAAGTGATCTACAGATTCAATGCAATCCCTATCAAAATTCCAGTGATGTTTTTCCCAGAAATAGAAAAAACAATTTAAATAGAAAAAAACAATTAAATATTCAGGGTCAAGAAAACCTGAATAGCCAAAGCAGACTTGAGCAAAAAGATCAAAGCCAGAGGCATATACTACCAGACTTCAAAATATATTACAAAGCTGTAATAATCATAATAGCATGATACTGGCATAAAAATAGACACATAGAACAATAGCACAGAATTAAGAGCCCAGAAAGAAACTTACACATTTAAGGTTAATTTATTTTTGATAAAGATACAAAGAGCACACAATAAGTAAAGGAAGTCTGTTGTTGGGAGAAGTGGACATGCACATACAGAAGAATGAAAGTAGACCCTCATCTCACACCATATTCAAAATCAACTCAAAATGGATTAAAAACTTAAATATGAGACCTGAAGCTAAAACAATCAGAAGAAATCATAGGGGAAAAACTTCATGACCTTGGTAAGGAAATGATTTTTTGATACGACCTCAAAGTATAAGCAACAAAAGCAAAAATAGACAAATGGGATTATGTAAAACTAAAAAGCTTCTATACTTTTCCCCCCCCACTGTCTAAAGGAGATACTACTTAATTATATAAAACGCAGGTAATAAAATACATTTCTGTCTTTCTAATCAGGCAGTGAGGCATAAACTGTTTGGGCAATTTTTTAATTTTAAAAATTTTTTTAGATGTAAGAAAAGAACTTTATTTCCATATGCTGCTTGGGGCGGGGCCTGATGGGGGCTACAGACAGGTGCTCCCCGGTCCCAACCCCTATAGCTGCCAGGAAAGCCTGAAGATGTACAGTAAGTGGGTCTTTCGGAGGACAGCCCGGAGTGGGAGGAGCCCTGGGTCCCCTCTTTTAGGACGTCCTCGCGGGTCCCCTCGTGGAGCCCATCCTGGATGGCCTGCAGGCGGTGTCGCTTCTCACTGAGCCAGCGGCCGCCCTCCAGGACATTGTGGTGGGACCTCCACCGTGGCAGCTTCATGATCCAGAAGGCCACCCGGGGATGGAGCTCTGCATGGAAGTTGTCCATAGCCTTCCGGATGGACACCAGGGCCGCCGCCTACTCCATCCTGGGTACCTTCCAGTTACCCTCGAAGCTCCCCTCCGCCGGCTGGATGGATGCCACCACCTTCTCGGAGATCAGCACCTCTCCTGTCTTATTGTCGGTCACCTTGTCAATATGGAGGTGGCTGGAGAGGGTGTTGTTCCTCAGCTGGTGCTCCTCGTTCTCCTCTTGTTGGTAGTTCCTAGGGAGGCCCCGGAAGTCCATGGGGGCAGAGAAGAAGCTGTCTATGCCCCGAAGCAGGTCATCTTTCAGGAAAAGTCGGCTGAAGCCTTGGAGTAGGCTCTGGAGGCCTGTAAGACCCAAGGAGCTCTCTTGGGCATGAGCATCGTGGATAGAGGCTGCAGTGAAGGAGGTCACCAGGGCAGAGAGGAGCAGCAGCAGGACCAGCGGATGCCGCATTGCGGGGGGAGTGAGGGAGGTTTCTTCCACCCCACGCCCCTTCTTCTGGGCTCCGCCTTTATGCTAGACAACAGCCTGGTCACTGCACTCCAGGACTCTGGCCGCCCACGGACTGTTTGGCACAGTCTCAGCTCACTGGAACCCCCACCACCCGGGTTCAAGCAATTCTCCTGCCTCAGCCTCCCGAGTAGCTGGGATTACAGGTGTGCACCACCACACCTGGCTAATTTTTGTATTTTTAGTAGAAACGGGGTTTCACCATGTTGGCCAGGCTGGTCTCGAACTCCTGACCTCAAGTGATCCACCTGCCTCAGCCTCCCAAAGTGCTGGGATTACAGGCATGAGCCACTCTGGTGCCATCTGCTGTTATGCTAATGAGGATTTTCTTACATGTGACTTGACACTTTTCCTATGTTTAGAATTCTTTGTCTTTAACTTTTGACAATTTGACTATAATCTGCCTCAGAGAGGACATTTATGGATTGACTGTGTTTAGGGATCGTTGAGTTTCCTGTGTCTGGATGTCTATATCTCTGGCAAGAATTGGGAAGTTTTCAGCTAATATTTCATTAAATACATTTTCTTTGACTTTTCCTCTCTTCTGGAACTTTTAAAATTTGAATTTTTTTTTTTTTGCTTTGGTATCTTATATGTCTTCTTTCTTTTTTTCTTTTCTTCCTTTTTTTTTCATCTCACTGGGTTACTTCAAAAGCTCAGTTTTCAAGTTCAGAAAGATTCTTCTGCTTAATCTAGTTTATATTAGAAGCTCTACATTGTATTTTTGCTTTTATTCATTGTGTTATTCAGTTCCAGGATTTCTGTTTGCTTCTTCTTTTTATGATATGCATCTCTTTGTTGAATTTCTCATTCAGATAGTGAATTGTTTTCTTGATTTGTAATGTTTATCTGTGTTCTCTTGTATCTCTGTGTTTCCTTACAATCATTATTTTGAATTACTTTCCAGGCATTTCATAGATTTCTTTTTATGGGGAGGTCTATTACTGAAGAATTATTTTGTTCATTTGGAGGTGTTGTCTTTGCTTGCTTTTTCATGTTTCTTGTGTCCTTACATTGATATCTGTACATATGGTGTAACTGACATTTCTTTCAATTTTATGGAGTAACTTTTGTAAGGAAAAACATTTCCCTGTAGAAGTATCTATAATGTAAGTTGGGTAGGGTGCTTTGGCTTTGATTTTGGGTGGACACTGTAGTGTGGTCTCCATATGATTACTTTGGCTGTCATTAACATTAGTGATGTCTGCGAACTCCTTAGCATCTTAGGGTGTAGTTATTTGTGGAAGCTGTGGTGAGGCTTTGGCAGTTTCAGATGTGCTGGATGGGCTGGTTCATAGGCCCCTATGTTGAATGTGCAGGCACTGGTGGTGATGGTTATGTGCTTCATGTGGGCTAGTCTTTGGGCCCCAGGTCGGATGCACAGGCACCAGCAGTGGCAGTGTAATGCCCTGAGTGGGATGGTCCTTGGTTACTCAAGCAGAGTGTAAATGCTGGCTGGGCAGTTCCTCCTTGGGCCCCCAGGTGGGCACCCAAGTGCTGGCAATATCTCTAGTTGGGTGAGTGGACTGGTTTCATTTCCTGAGTGGAGTAGTTGGGAGCTGGTGGTTTCTGTAGTGGGTTGGGCAGGTAAGTCTCTGGGCCCTTGGGTGGTATTTATGGTGTTTCATGGCCCCACTGCTGGAGAGGAGTGAGGTTGCTGTTGGTGGCAGCAGGTCCAGGAAGGTTGCTCTCAGGCTCTGGGGAGCTCACACTTTGGTTCTCTATGTCCTTGAGCCAGTATACCGGTTGTGTTGGACCATCTGTTCCCTGGGGTGTGGGATGTTGTGTGGTCTCAGATGCTGGCAGTGTGGTTGTGCCACTGGGCTTAGCCAGCACTATGATGCTGCAGCCCTTTGAGTGGGTGTGGGTGGATATTGGTGAGGTCTCAGGGTTGTGGAGATGCAGGAGCTATTGGTCTCCATGGCGGGATATAGTCTGTTGTTGTATTTGCTCTCAAAATGGCACCATACTATAGCAGCCTGCATTCCAGGGATGGGCCCCTGTGCAAATTCTCTCCCTGGAACAAATGCAGTCACGTGGATTCCAGGCAGCTTTCCAGACTAGGCTCAGGACATGTGAGGGTCTAGGAGCTTTTCTGCAGTTAGAACTTCAGGCATTTCTGGTGGGAGTGTGGACTGATACGTATCTTTCAGTTACCTTTTTCCCAACAATGCGGAGTTCCTCCTGGCTCTGAGCTGATTCAGCTGGCTGCCTTGATTCCTTCTCTATGCTGCCATCTTGAGCTTTTGTGCCTCAGAGTCCCTGTTGCTTCTCTGCTGGATTCCAGCATTCTCTTCTAGACACTTTATTTGATATGTGGTTATCTATTATGTTGGTTCATAGGTAATTGAAGTTTTCTATCATTACCTTTAACGCCCCAAACCACATTTACTTTTGCACCAACCTAATACTGTTTAGTCCTTCTCTGTAAAAGTGGTAAGTTCTGGATGCTTCTAGTCAGCCATCATGATCTATATTTACCAGTGGGTTTTGTACTTTCAAACATTATAGTCTTACTAAGTAGCATCCTTTTATTTCATTAGAAATAATTCCCTTTAGTCTTTCTTGTAAGGCAAGCCTTGTGCTGATAAACTCCCTCAGCTTTTCTGTGTCTAGGAAAGCTTTATCTTTCCTTCATTTGTGGAGTGCAGATTTCCTGCATAAAGTATTCTTGGTTGGCAGTTTTTTTTCTTCAACACTTTGGATATATCATTGCATTCTCCTGGTCTGTAAGGTTTTTACTGAGAAATCTGTTGCTAGCCTTATTGGAACTCCATTACAAGTTATTTGCATATTTTCTCTCGCTGCTTTCAAGATGCTCCCTTTGTCTTTGATTTTTGACTGTTGAGTGTATGTCTTCATGTAGTCTTTTTGAGTTTAATCTGATTCAAAACCTTTAACCTTCTTGTATCTGTATATTTATATCTTTTTCCAGATTTGGGAAGTTTTTTACTCTTATTTCTTTAAATAAGCTTTCTACTCCTTTGGCTCTCTCTTCTTCTTCAGAAACTTATAATTTGAATATTTGTTCTTTTGGTGCTGTCTCATAAATCCTGTAATGTTTTTTCATTCTTTTTGTTTATTTTTCTCATTTGACTGTATGTTTTCAATTTTACAGATTCTTTCTTCTGTTTGATCAATTTTGCTGTTGATGCTTTTTATTGTATTTTTTATTTATTCATTGTGTATTTCAGCTCTATAATTTAAAACAATTTCAATTTCTATTAAATTTCTCATTTTGTCATTTATTGTTTTCCTGATTTTACTGAATTGCTTCTCTGTATTTTCTTGGAGTCTGCTGAGCTGCTTTATTTATTTACTTATTATTTTTATTTTTTTTTTGAGACAGTCTCACTTTATCACCCAAGCTGGAGTACAGTGGTACGATCTCAGCTCACTGCAAACTCCACCTTCCAGGTTCAAGAAATTCTCCTGCCTCAGCCTGCCAAGTAGCTGGGACTACAGGTGTCTGCCACCACACCCAGCTGAGTTTTGTATTTTTAGTAGAGACAGGGCTTCACCATGTTGGCCAGGCTGGTCTTGAACTCCTGACCTCAGGTGATCCACCCACCTCGGCCTCCCAAAGTGCTGGGATTACAGGCATGAGCTACCGCACCCAGCCTGCTTAGCTTCTTTAAAACAATTATTTTGATTTCTTTGTCACACAGTTTGTATATTTCCATTTCTTTAGGGGACCAGGTACTAGGAAATTATCATATTCTTTGTTATTATGTGTCCTTGGTTTTTAAATGTTTCTTATGTTAATATCATCATATTTGATGGAGCAATCACCTTTTTCAGACTTTACAGGTTAATTCTGGTGTGGAAAGACCTGCCTCTATGGAGGGAGGGGAGTGCAAGGGTGCTTTCTGAGTGAAGGGTAACTGTTCTGGCATCACTGAAGGTACAGTGGTATAATGTCTGTGCAGCTCTGTCAACTGATGCTGGTGTTGATTAAAATTGCAGGAATCCTTAGTGACCAATACTGTGGATGCCAGCAGTGGCAGTGAGGATTGCTGAGGTCTTTGATGGTGTTGGCTGCTAAGGTCTTCTGTATCTCTTTTTCTCCCGCTAGGGAAATTGTGGCTGCATGAATCCCTCTTGACACTGAACCTGTCTTGTGGCTTGCTTGTAGTGCTGGTGGCACTGGTGTTTGATGAGTGGCACCCATGGAGTGGCCATGTTGCTGAGGCCTGCAGCACAGGTATGTTTGGAGAGACTATGGCTCTGGGATCTGGAGTGGTAATGACACTGGCACCAAGGGCACAGGCACCCCAACTGCCTCATTAGTAACAATCTAAAGTGTGATACTTGTGAAGCAGTCAGGGGATCAAGAAGGAGAGCATAGGCAGGGTTACAGGGGCTCTGGGCTTGCAGTGGAGCTAGCTGTCTATGGCAGTTGAACTGGTGTCTGGAGAGAACATAGCTTCGGGGCCTGGAGTACAAACTAGCTTGCTATAGTGATGATTTCAGGGTCTGAGATGTGTGTGTGTGAGGTGCAGCCCCAGAGCCCAAATTCTCATGGGGATTAGTGCACATGGGGATTGACAGTGATGGTGGCTTCTTTCCCAAAGCAGTTCAGCAGTAGTGCTTCTTGGAGGAAGGAGGGTTGTGCAGCTGCATCTCTCAAAGGTTCCCCAGTGGGAATGACTATTGTTAACCTTTGTGGCAAATGATGCTGTTGTCTTCTTCAGAGTAGGCCACTGGGACCATAGTGGTTTACACTGCATAACTGACACTCTGCCTTTCTTCTTTGTTTCTAACTGTCTCCTATAGTCTCAGATATGCTGACCTCACTAGCAATCCTTTCTTTGTGGATGTTCTCCATTTTGTTTGTTTGTTTTTGGTCCACTGTGTTGCTACAGATTTTTAAATGTTTAATGGGCCCTTGAGCTGTCTCAGGGCTGTTTTGATTTTGAGGATAGCTAGCTGGATAGATAGAGAAAGAGAGAAAGAGAGAGAGATCTTTTTTGGTAGGGTATGAAGGCTGGTATCTCCTATTCTTATTCTTTTTTTTTTCCATAGGTTATTGGAGTACAGGTGGTATTTGGTTCCATGAGTAAGTTCTTTAGTGGTGTTTTGTGAGATTTTGGTGCACCAGCCACCCGAGCAGTATACCCTGTACTTTATTTGTAGTGTTTTATCCCTCGCCCCCTTCTCACTCTTCCCCTTAAGTCCCCACATTTCATTGTATCTCCTATTCTTATTCTTATAAACACAATAACTTATTTACATATGTTACATGTAAAGAACATGGTAACATAGTAAATGGTTGTGTACTTTATCTTATTTTGACCTTACAATATACTGAGAAAGGTAGTATTAAATAATATCCACTTTATGGAAAAGGAATCTGATGCTCAGAAAGTTTTGATGTCCTCCCCAAAAGAGTGGCAGAACAGGGAAGTGGAATAAACTTTTCTGGCTCCAGGGGATCATTCCATGATGATCAAATAGGAACAGATCCAGTCTACAGGTCCCAGTGTGAGCGACACAGAAGACAGGTGATTTCTGCATTTCCAACTCAGTTTTGAAGAGAGCAGTGGTTCTCCCAGCATCGAGTTTGAGATCTGAGAACAGACAGACTGCCCCCTCAAGTGTGTCCCTGACCCCCGAGTAGCCTAACTGGGAGACACCTACCAGTAGGGGCCGACTGACACCTCATACAGCCGGGTGCCCCTCTGAGACGAAGCTTCCAGAGGAAGGATCAGGCAGCAACGTTTGCTGTTCTGCAATATTTGCTGTTTTGCAGCCACCACTGGTGACACCTAGGCAAACAGGGTCTGGAGTGGACCTCCAGCAAACTCTAACAGACCTGCAGCTGAGGGTCCTGACTGTTAAGAAGGAAAACTAACAAACGGAAAGGAATAGTATCAACATCAACAAAAGGACATGCATACCAAAACCCCATCTGTACGTCACCATCATCAAAGACCAAAGGTAGATAAAACCACAATGATGGGGAGAAACCAGAGCAGAAAAACTGAAAATTCTAAAAACCAGAGCGCCTCTTCTCTTCCAAAGGATTGCAGCTCCTCACCAGCAATGGAACAAAGCTGGATGGAGAATGACTGATGAGCTGATAGAAGTAGGCTTCAGAAGATTGGTAATAACAAACTTCTCCGAGCTAAAGGAGGATGTTCGAACCCATCTTAAGGAAGCTAAAAACCTTGAAAAAAGATTAGATGAATGGCTAACTAGAATAAACAGTATAGAGAAGACCTTAAATGATCTGATGGAGCTGAAAACCATGGCACGAGAACTACGTGACGCATGCACAAGCTTCAGTAGCCAATTCGATCAAGTGGAAGAAAGGGTATCAGTGATTGAAGATCAAATGAATGAAATGAAGCGAGAAGAGAAGTTTAGAGAAAAAAGAGTAAAAAGAAACGAACAAAGCCTCCAAGAAATATGAGACTATGTGAAAAGACCAAATCTACATTTCACTGGTGTACCTGAAAGTTACAGGGAGAATGGAACCAAGTTGGAAAACACTCTGCTGGATATTATCCAGGAGAACTGCCCCAACCTAGCAAGGCAGGCCAACATTCAAATTCAGGAAATGCAGAGAACACCGGAAAGACACTCTTCGAGAAGAGCAACCCCAAGACACATAATTGTCAGATTCACCAAGGCTGAAATGCAGGAAAAAATGTTAAGGGCAGCCAGAGAGAAAGGTCGGGTTACCCACAAAGGGAAGCCCATCAGACTAACAGCTGATCTCTCAGCAGAAACTCTACAAGCCAGAAGAGAGTGGGGCCAATATTCAACATTCTTAAAGAAAGAATTTTCAACCAGAATTTCATATCCAGCCAAACTAAAGCATAAGTGAAGGAGAAATAAAATCCTTTACAGACAAGCAAATGCTGAGTGATTTTGTCACCACCAGGCCTGCCTCACAGGAGCTCCTGAAGGAAGCAATAAACATGGAAAGGAACAACCAGTACCAGCCACTGCAAAAACATGCCAAATTGTAAAAACCATCGATACTAGGAAGAAACTGCATCAACTAATGAGCAAAATAACCAGCTAACATCATAACAACAGGATCAAATTCACACATAACAATATTAACCTTAAATGTAAATGGGCTAAATGCTCCAATTAAAAGACACAGACTGGCAAGTTGGATAAAGAGTCAAGACCCATCAGCGTGCTGTATTCAGGAGACCCATCTCACGTGCAGAGACACAGATAGACTCAAAGGGATGGAGGAAGATCTACCAAGCAAACGGAAAACAAAAAAAAGCAGGGTTTGCAATCCTAGTTTCTGATAAAACAGACTTTAAACCAACAAATATCAAAAGAGACAAAGAAGGCCATTACATAATGGTAAAGGGATCAATTCAACAAGAAGGGCTAACTATCCTAAATATATATGCACCCAATACAGGAGCACCCAGATTCATAAAGCAAGTTCTTAGAGACCTACAAAGAGACTTAGACTCCCACACAATAATAATGGGAGACTTTAACACCCCACTGTCAACATTAGACAGATCAACAAAACAGAAAGTTAACAAGGATATCCAGGACTTGAACCCAGCTCTGTACCAAGCAGACCTAATAGACATCTACAGAACTCTCCACCCCAAGTCAACAGAATATACATTCTTCTCAGCACCACATCGCACTTGTTCCAAAATTGACCACATAGTTGGAAGTAAGGCACTCCTCAGCAAATGTAAAAAAACAGAAATCATAACAAACTGTCTCTCAGACCACAGTGCAATCAAATTAGAACTCAGGATTAAGAAACTCACTCAAAACTGCACAACTACATAGAAACTGAGCAACTTGCTCCTGAATGACTACTGGGTAAATAATGAAATGAAGGCAGAAATAAAGATGTTCTTTGAAACCAATGCAAACAAAAACATAATATACCAGAATCTCTGGGACACATTTAAAGCAGTGTGTAGAGGGAAATTTGTAGCACTAGATGCCCACAAGGGGAAGCAGGAAAGATCTAAAATCGACACCCTAATATCACAATTAAAAGAACTAGAGAAGCAAGAGCCAACATATTCAAAGGCTAGCCGAAGGCAAGAAATAACTAAGATCAGAGCAGAACTGAAGGAGATAGAGGCACAAAAACTCTTCAAAAAAATCAATGAATCCTGGAGCTGGTTTTTTGAAAAGATCAACAAAATTGATAGACCGCTAGCAAGACTAATAAAGAAGAAAAGAGAGAAGAATCAAATAGACACAATAAAAAATGATAAAGAGGATATCACCACCGATCCCACAGAAATACAAACTACCATCAGAGAATACTATAAACCCCTCTATGCAAATAAACTGTAAAATCTAGAAGAAATGGATAAATCCCTGGACACATACACCATCCCAAGACTAAACCAGGAAGAAGTTGAATCCCTGAGTAGACCAATAACAGGCTCTGAAATTCAGGAATAATTAATAGCCTACCAACCAAAAAAAGTCCAGGACCAGATGGATTCACAGCTGAATTCTACCAGAGGTACAAAGAGGAGCTGGTACCATTCCTTCTGAAACTATTCCAATAAAAAGAAAAAGAAGGAATCATCCCTAACTCATTTTATGAGGCCAGCATCATCCTAATACCAAAGCCTGGCAGAAACACAACAAGAAAAAAAGAGAATTTTAGACCAATATCCTTGATGAACATTGATGCCAAAATCCTCAATAAAATACTGGCAAACCAAATCCAGCAGCACATCAAAAAGCTTATCCACCACGATCAAGTTGGCTTCATCCCTAGGATGCAAGGCTGGTTCAACATATGCAAATCAATAAACGTAATCCATCACATAAACAGAGTCAAAGACAAAAAAACACATGATTATCTGAATAGATGCAGAAAAGGCCTTTGACAAAATTCAACAGCCCTTCATGCTAAAAACTGTCAATAAACTAGGTATTGATGGGATGTATAATAAGAGCCATTTATGACAAACCCACAGCCAATATCATACTGAATGGGCAAAAACTGGAAGCATTCCCTTTGAAAACTGGCACAAGACAGGGATGCCCTCTCTCACCACTCCTATTCAACATAGTGTTGGAAGTTCTGGCCAGGTCAATCAGGCAGGAGAAAGAAATAAAGGATATTCAATTAGGAAAAGAGGAAGTCAAATTGTCCCTGTTTGCAGATGACATGATTGTATATTTGGAAAACACCATCATCTCAGCCCAAAATCCCCTTAAGCTGATAAGCAACTTCAGCAAAGTCTCAGGATACAAAATCAATGTGCAAAAATCACAAGCATTCTTATACACCAATAACAGACAGAGAGCCAAATCATAAGTGAACTCCCAATCACAATTGCTTCAAAGAGAATAAAATACCTAGGAATCCAACTTACAAGGGATGTGAAGGACCTCTTCAAGCAGAACTACAAACCACTGCTCAAAAAATAAAAGAGGACACAAACAAATGGAAGAACATTCCATGCTCATGGACAGGAAGAATCAATATCGTGAAAATGGCCATACTGCCCAAGGTAATTTATAGATCCAGTGCCATCCCCATCAAGCTACCAATGACTGTCTTCACAGAATTGGAAAAAAGTACTTTAAAGTTCATATGGAACCAAAAAAGAGCCCACATTGCCAAGACAATCCTAAGCCAAAAGAACAAAACTGGAGGCATCATGCTACTTGACTTCAAACTATACTACAAGGCTACAGTAACCAAAACAGCATGGTACTGGTACCAAAACAGAGACATAGACCAATGGAACAGAACAGAGCCCTCAGAAATAATACCACACATCTGCAACCATCTGATCTTTGACAAACCTGACAAAAACAGGAAATGGGGAAAGGATTCCCTATTTAATAAATGGTGCCGGGAAAACTGGCTAGCCATATGTAGAAAGCTGAAACTGGATCCCTTCCTTACACCTTATACAAAAATTAATTCAAGATGGATTAAAGACTTAAATGTTAGATCTAAAACCATAAAAACCATAGAAGAAAACCTAGGCAATACCATTCAGGACATAGTCATGGGCAAGGACTTCATGGCTAAAACACCGAAAACAATGGCAACAGAAGCCAAAATAGACAAATGGGATCTAATTAAACTAAGAGCTTCTGCACAGCAAAAGAAACTACCATCAGAGTGAACAGGCAACCTACAGAATGGGAGAAAATTTTTGCAATCTACCCATCTGACAAAGGGCTAATATCTAGAATCTACAAAGAACTTAAACAAATGTACAAGAAAAAATCAAACAACCCCATCAAAAAGTGGGCGAAGGATATGAACAGACACTTCTCAAAAGAAGACATTTATGCAGCCAAAAAACACATGAAAAAAGGCTCATCATCACTGGCCATCAGAGAAATACAAATCAAAACCACAATGAGATACCATCTCACACCAGTTAGAATGGTAATCATTAAAAAGTCAGGAAACAACAGGTGCTGGAGAGGATGTGGAGAAACAGGAACACTTTTACACTGTTGGGGGGACTGTAAACTAGTTCAACCATTGTAGAAGGTAGTGTGGCGATTCTTCAGGGATCTAGAACTAGAAATACCATTTGACCCAGCCATCCCATTACTGGGTATATACCCAAAGGATTATAAATCATGCTACTATAAAGACACATGCACACCTATGTTTATTGCGGCACTATTCACAACAGCAGAGACTTGGAACCAACCCAAATGTCCATCAATGATAGACTGTATTAAGAAAATGTGGTACATATACACCGTGGAATACTATGCAGCCATAAAAAAGGATGAGTTCATGTCCTTTATAGGGACATAGATGAAGGTGGAAACCATCATTCTCAGCAAACTATTGCAAGGACAGAAAACCAAACATTGCATGTTCTCACTCATAGGTGGGAATTGAACAATAAGAACACTTGGACACAGGGTAGGGAATATCACACACCGGGGCCTGTCATGGGGTGGGGGGAGGGGGGAGGGATAGCATTAGGAGAAATACCTAATGTAAATGACCAGTTAATGGGTGCAGCACAGCAACATGGCACATGTATACATATGTAACAAAACTGCACGTTGTGTACATGTACCCTGTAACTTAAAGTGTAATAATAAAAAAAAGTTTCTGGCTCCAAAGAATAGGCTCTTAAGTACAACCACATATTGCATCTAAAAACTTACTGGATAAGTATGAGTTTTATGAGATATTCAATGCTAGAGAGTTAATGCTTCTGAAATGAGTATAAGCTGGTTCTATATGTAGAAGGCATGGCTACACCGACAAAAGATCAAGAGGTAGACAATGCCTTATCAAAACTAGAAGCTAACTTTGAATCAGTTTGCTTTATGATTGAATTGTAGCAACTAAATTCTACTATATCAGCCTACCAAGGGAAAGGGTGGACCCTCTCTGGATGAAGATAATATCATTGGAAGCTCTACAATATTTTATACAATGTGTCTGGAAATCAACAAAATATTAGTTGTCCATTAACCTCTGTTCAACCTTTTATGCTATTATTGTTATGCATATTAATTATATAAATATTATAATGCCCTAAGATATTATTTATTATTATAATTGTTTTTTATAGTCAATATTCATTTAGATGTACCAAACAGTTATCACTTATAATATTCTTTATAAGTGGAGTTTTTTGGCCAAAATGAAAATAATTCTAGTTAGAAGCATGAAAATAAAAAAAATACTTTACTGTAGGTTTGCCTTTTTAAAATGTAGCAAAATCACAGTTATTTGCAAAAATATTCTAGGTTCCAATCAGTTTTTCTCTGGGCTTTTCCTTACGCTTTGTTAGTTAAGAAGTGTTTTAAAAAATTACTTCTTATATCATCATTCTTGTCAATTTTCTTTTTAATTTTCAACTAATGTAATTCTTACTGATCCTCATTTATTAATGACTTTGCATATTAACAGTTTAATTTTATAACATGACTATCAATATCTAGAGAAAATCCCGCATATTCAAGAAGGTTTAAATGTCACTTGACGACAATTTGCCATGCATTTTTGCATGTTCACAATTAGTCCATGGAAGACATTGACCTGCTGGGTTTGGGAGAGGCACAGATTCTAAGAAATTGGGATGTTTGAGTGGAGACTTATTTCACCAATGAGTTTTTAAATTAATAAATATTCTTAGGATGACTTTTCTTCCCCACTTAACCTCTTTTCAGAAGGGGATGGAGTAATCTGGTTTGCAATAAGAAACTTTCAGGCAGAAGGGGCAGTCTATAAAAAGAAGGGCAAGAAATTAGATTAATTAATTTCCAAGAATAAGGTTGTTTTGGGAGGTCCACGGTGGGAATTGAAAGGGAGGAGGAACTGGATATAAAACTACTGAGGCAGGCAGGGATTATCATAAAGGGAGTTGAGAATTGATTCCTGAAAGGGTTATGTAGCTTTTGGACAATTTGGAAAGAAAAAAGTTTCATATTTGGATTGTAGAGATGTTCTTCTGGCAACTGTATGAAAAGCCTGGAGTGAGTCGAAGTCCTAATGAGAGAAAAAGAGATGACTAGGATGCTGATGTTATGGTATGTCTGTATCAGTCTGCCAGGGCTGTCACAACAAAGTGTCGCAGATCAGGTGGCTTAAACAATACAAATTTATTTTCTCACAATTCAGGAGGCTAAAAATCTGAGATCAAGGTGTCAGTAGGGTTGATTTCTTCTGAGTCTTCTCTCTTTGACTTGTAGATGGTCATGATCTCCTTGGATCTTAACGTGGTCTTCTTGCTGTGGGTCATAATTATTTGTAAAATAATTCTGTCCTAATTTCTTCTTATAAGAACAGTAGTCCGATCGAATTTGTATCTGTCCTAATGACTTCATTTAAACTCAGTCACCTCTTTCAAGACTCTGTCTCCAAATGCAGTCACATTTTGAAGCACTGGAGGTTCTGACTTCAACACACAATTTTTGGGGGGGTGGGGCACAAAATTCATTCCACAGCAATGGACAAGGAAAGATGATGGCTGAACTGGAAGACTAGAGGCAGAGATGAAGGGCAGGTGCTATAGAAGCAGACTTGGAAAGTCTGCGTGGCTAACATGATATATGCGTATGGGGAAGCAAGGAGGAACAGAAGGTGTATTTTAGGGTTATGGTTTGAGTACCCAGATTGAGGTATACATTTCCTATTTCCCAGTCTCTCTCTTCATCTTCCATGTCTTTGCTCTCTAAGGTGGCATCTTCTGCAGTCATAGGTAGAGAGTGCATGATTTTCACCATAATGTAAAGAATGAAGAAGGCCTTAAAGGTTGAAAGGTATATGGAGTTTATAGTCCAGACCAATGCTTCCATTTTGAAGATGCCTCATAGTATTCTAGTGGGGGGAAATGAGAGAACTGACAGGAAGTACTTTGGGAACTGGGCTGAAGGGTTAGTGGCTGCCATTACTGTGATGATTGCTGTACCTTGCCTTTGGACTGTGTCCTCCAGATCGTTGTGTCAACAGAAGGTATGGATACTGTTCAACTTCAGATGTGATTGGCATTGGCCCCTGAGCTGCAACTCTCTGTAAAGCCGGAGCCATTTCTCGCTAGCCGAGTGCAACCTAGGATAACCTTTATTTGAACCTGGATGAACCTGCTGGGACTGGGTTCATTACACATTTTAACCACAAGAGGGCACACAAAGCTCTTTCTTCACCACACCTTCCCTATTAAAGAGGTTGGTTCTGTGTGGGAAGGGTAAAGTGAAGCTTTTCGTAATGCAGCAATCTCTTTCCACTATGGGGAAGCACGGTACCTGAAGCCAGGCATTGCAGGTTCAAAGTCCTGTTACTGAACTAGCTATCTGTGCCATTTAGGGCAAGTCACTTAAACTCTCTGTGACTTAGTTTCCTCTTCTGGCGAAGGGGCACACTAGTTCCTATCTCCTGGAGCTGTTGTTGGGACAAAATGAAGTAAAATGCTTAGGACAAGACCTTGCACATAATAAGTTCTCACTAAATCTTGGGCCTTTTATTTTCCTCTTCCATTTGCTTGGGAGCAGGAATAGTTTCCTCCTGCTCAGAGGGCATGCCAATCTTTGGACAGCCAAAGGTGCCTAGGAATTTGGGGTAAGGGATAAGTTCCAAGAGTAAGACCATATGGCAGAGCCTTGAGCTAAATTTTGAGCTAAAGACAGAGAAGGACACTTTCTGGATTACTCTGTTTTATTGCAACTCTCCAGGATGAGACATTAGGTAAGAATCTGTAGCTAAGGTCCAATTTGCGTTAACCTGGTAAACTTCTACATTCAGGGACCCGGACAGAGGTTTAGGAATTCAAGATCTAGATCCTATAAAATTTTCTTACCTTGAAAACCACTATTATTAGTCATATCCAGGGACAGCTTAGAGCATTGTTGGGCTACAGCAGGCTAGAGAGATATATTGATAGCAGGAATGAGCTTGTTTTTCTAACGGGCCCTGTGAAGACTTGACAGAGATCTAGGAAAATGCAGGTGCCCCCGATAGCCATTTCATTGACTCATTATAATGACTTAAAATTCTGAATTAGGAGTCGCAACTAGATATATAGCTCACTTGTCTCTTTTTGGTCGTGAATGTGTGATAGTTTATCCTTTTCTTTAGGGACACAGCAAATATGTTTTTCCCCACATTTTTCTTTCTTCCTCTCAATTTCTTTGCATGATTTCCTGCATCTGCCAGTTCCATAATAGCACCTTCTGATCCATCCATCTATCAAAATAAGCAAACACATGAATATATAAATACATTTGAAAAATAAATACAATTAAAGAAAGGATGTTGGTAATAGTAATAATGGTTAGAGTGAAACATTGATTTTGACACTTAAAGGCATTCATGGGAATGTTATAAATTTGTGCATGTTTAATGACTAGGAGTAGTTATCTTCCTCTAATCAGCTCTAATTGAATTTTATTCCTATGCTTATGATACTTTCTTCTCTGTCATTTTTCACAGTCTCACTAAATCTGGTTCTACTTCCTCTCTAAATCTAGATGCTTGCCAGGGAGTGGGACTAAGCCTTCAATTATCTTTTTTATCCTCTCTCCATTCATTATTCATCTAACCACAATTTGTTGAGCATCTACTATGTGCCAGGCATTGTTTGTTCTAGGGGTGCTTGCCCCAGGGGTTGTTTAAAGCAAGACCCTGAACAATGGATGACCAATTTACATTTCTGAGCTGCAGGCTGAAGTTGTGTTTGTGTGTGTGTGTGTTGGGGGGTGGGTGCAGGGAGGGTTTAACACTGTGCCCTTCTCTGATTTATTTTCTGTGACTCTAAGTCAACGCAGACTGCAAACCCAGTTTTCTCAGCACATTGGATTCATTTGAGGGATCATTATATCTTAATCTAAACTACAGATTCTTTCCACTTGTCTTTTCCCCAAACTCTTCTTCTGGGAGATAATTCCTAATTCTCTGTCTTTTACCAGAATGTTCAGGCTGAAAAAAATCAGTCACATTGACTCTCACTTTTCTCTTCCAGTATTTCATAAGTCAATATGTAGATTCTTTCTCCAAAATGTCTCTTGCATCTGCAACTCCCTCTATTCTACTTGCCCTCGCTGGAACATAAGGCATGCTCAAGCCAACTCAGGGTTAGCCCAGAATAACCTTCTTTTGCTTCTAGAACAACTGAGTGATTGGCAAAGGCTTTCAGCTTGAATAGCTGCTCCAAGAGAGGATGTGACTTCCAACAGCAACGACCCAAAGGAAATCACAGAATTAAAAATCATCAACTTTAGAGCCCCTGGGAAGCCTAAGGGGAAAACATTTCCATTAGAAAGTTATTCACCACCTGGCCATGATGCCTGTTTATACTGTTAGAGAGCTTTGAGCGTGTTCAACTTGAAAGCCAAAATCTTCTGCTGTAACCCCAGCTCCATACTGTGAGCCTGTTTTTATAAACCTGTAGATATCAAACATCAACTTACAACTTTTTCACCATATATTCCAAGACAAGAGCAAGTTGCCTCTTCTGCCTGCTTTAAAGGAGCACTCAAAGCCCAACAACAGTGGAGAAGTGAAGTAATGAGACTGATTATTAGAAGAGGTAGTATCAACTGAAAGTGGGGTTGAAGTGAGAGACTCACAGGATGAGACTGTTGACATATGGGCCAGAGGCATTCAGGATACTAGAGATGTTGGGGTTGCTTCTGCATATGGAAGGGACTTCATATAAAACACCTTGGCCTCTGCAGATATTCTCCAGGTTCCCTAATGAGAACCACCACCATGGTCAGGCCTGACAGGCTGCCCTTCTTATGGGAGCATATTCATTATAAGCCTTTCATCAGATCTCAGCCATCCCTGTGGGCTCTCCTTGCTTCTACACATGTTCAATTTTCCAGTGATTCTGTGGTTAGGACCCCATCCTTACTCCCTTTTCCCTTCTCTCCATGGTTCTGTTTACCTGGGGCAGTCTGAGCCAGGACCACAAGGACAACTAAGGCCAGGACAGAGAGTTTAATGTCTCCTGAGAGGGGTGAGAAATGATCTGGCAGCATTCTGAGTGTGCTGGGGAAGCTGGGTGTGCACTCAGCATTTTATTGACCTAGGCAAGGCTGACTCACAGACAAAAAATTAGAGAAGGGCAGAATGTTACACCACCCAGAACATCAGCCTGCCACTCAGCAGTATAAACTGATTATCCGGTGTTCAGGGTCCTGCTCTAGATATCCTTGGGGATGGTGAAAGGCACGAGCAGAGGAGGTACAAGTCCTCTCCAAGGCTGTTGCACTGGCCAGAGAACAGATCCCTTCTCCAAGAAGCCTTTCCTGTCCCTCTCCTTCAGAATTTATCCCCCTCCCCTACATTCTCACAGCTGCTGTTTTCTTTTTCTCTGTGTGTTTATCATGACACACTGGAACTAAGTGTTTTTCTAGTTCCTCCTCCCATTCAGAATGATACCCTAAGGGAAACTTTTAATAGACAGTGAGACCCCTGAGGTTAGGAACAGGCTGTCATTTTGGTACACCCAGAGCATACAGTGAACATGTGTTGAAAAGCACTGAGTGAGTGAACGCACATGTGGCATATAATTGTATCCCAGTAGCTCTTAGAATTGGCATTTCCCAGCTAAGAAAATGCAGGCTGAGAGTGGAAAAGAATTGTCTAGGGTCCTACCATGAGCAAGAAAGAAACGGACTGGGGTGGAAGCCCTCATAACCCAACTCGTTGTCCAGCTCTTAACTCTGAATTTGTATCCTATTTTCCTGCTCCAAATCCTTCATATCAACCATTTCTGGGTCTTTCTTGGACTCCAGCCTCAAACAACAAAGCAAAAAATATTTCATGCTGTTTTTCCAACAAAAAGAAGAGGGCACTGCCCAGGCTCCATTAGGAGGGCTGCCTGTGGGCCCACTGGATCTTCCTTTTTGGGTTCCTTGTCCTTTTCCGCCTTTGGGTGAGTCCAGTGTGCATCGGTTTTACTCTCCTCTTTCTACATGCAGGCAGCGGACCTGATGGGGTTCAGGAAATTTGTTTTGCTTTTAGGATTTGGACAGAACTTTCTTCAGGAAAGCAATGAACATCAATGTCATCCACTGAACTTTCACTGTCAGGCAGCAACTATGCTAAGCACTTTATATATATGACCCCCTGGAATCCTCACAGGAGCCCTGTTAGGCAGGTGTGATGTGCTCAGGGTTACACAGTGACTATGAGTGAGGTCTGGATTCAGATCTGGGTTACCTGTCCCCAGATAACATGTTCTTTCTGTCATCCCAGAGGATTATGCCTGAGCAATGATGGAAGGAGAGGTCTGTTTAACTTGAAAAGCAGTAAACAGCTGGAGAGAGTCATAATTGCTGTCTTCAAGTATCTGAAAGGCATGTTCTCTGTAGGCCCACAGGGCAGAACTAATAGGCCTGAGTGGAAACTGCAAGGGCACAAGTTTTGAAACTCATCAGAAAGACCTCTGAAGATGGGAACCATCTGGAAAATGGTTAGACTGCCTGGAGGAGCTAGCTGGTGGCTCCTGCTGTTTTAAAGCTGCAAACTGAGACGACATGACCACTCCCCTCAGATTCTGCAGGGAGGATGGCTGAATTGGCTGCATGTGGGTCTGTGCACTGGCACAATTCTAGGCACTGAGCTTAAGAGAAGAAAGCAAAGTCCGGCCATTCTAATTAGGGAGAGGGACAACATATAGTGTCAGTTGGTGATAAGTGCTATAAAGAAAAATAGGGAAAGGAGAATAGAGAATAATATACTTGTGTGTGTGTGTATGATAATATGTGTGTGCGGGTGTGCGTGTGAAAGGCACACAGGATTGAGTGTAGAGTAAGAGGAATAGAGAATATTGATATACATCTGTGGGTGTGTGTGTGTGTGTAAGGCACATAGGATTGAGTGCAGTATAAGGGGAATAGAGAATAATATGATATACGTGTATGTGTGGGTGTGTGTGTGTAAGGCACATAGGATTGAGTGCAGTATAAGGGGAATAGAGAATAATATGATATACGTGTATGTGTGAGTGTGTGTGTGACACACAGGTTTGAGTGCAGAGTAAGGGGAACAGAATAATATACATGTGTATGTGTGAGTGTGAGTGTGTGTGTGTGTTAGGCACACAGGATTGAGTGCACAGTAAGGGGAATAGAGAATAACATGATATATGTGTGTGTGGCTATTTTGAGCAGGAGGGTCAAGTAAGGACTCATTGAGGAAGTGGCATAGGGCAGAACCTGAATGTACTAGGAATTGAACCACATAGATATCTAGAATCTTCCAGGCAGAGAGAACAGCAAGAGCAAAGCCCCTGAGGCAAAAAAGTGTTTGGTATGCTGGGAAGAGCAAGAGGTCAAGTGTGGTTGGAGTAGTGGGAGCAAGAGAACAGATAGAAGAAACGGAAATCATAGAGGCAGGCACAGCTACATCCTATCAGATCCAATAGGCCCTCGTTAAGGACTTTGGAATTTATTTAAAATGTGATGAGAAATTGTAGTTTATATTTTAAGTGATCTTTCAAATCTGAAAGTTTATTTCTGTCTATGAGACATCATGTTCTCTATCTAAAAAGTAAAGTATTTGGGCTAAACTAATGTTTCCTGAAATATGTGGTCCATACCATTGATAGTATGTGTGATCATTTAGGCAGCACAAAAAAGCATATGTTTTTAATAGTTATTTACGTTAATGCTCATTTGAGAAAAAATTCACTAGTCCTTGATGTCGTGGTTTTATATATAACATCACTCAGGATTTGGGCTTGGTATGGATTTAAGTAAATGGACTGTGTTGATCTCTATAAGGAATATATATATATCTTTATGAGACAGAGTCTTGCTCTGTCGCCCAGGCTGGAGTGCAGTGGGCAATCTCGACTCACTGCAAGCTCCGCCTCCCAGGTTCAAGCAATTCTCCTGCCTCAGCCTCCCACGTAGCTGGGATTAGAGTCATGTGCCACCACACCTGGCTAATTTTTCTATTTTTAGTAGAGACGGGGTTTTACCATGTTGGCTAGGCTGGTCTCGAACTCCTGACCTCATATGATCCTCCCGTCTTGACCTCCGAAACTGCTGTGATTACAGGCGTGAGTCATCGTGCCTGGCCTCTAAGAAATATTAAGTACACAATATAACAGGCTATAGAGAATATGGCAAAAATTGTTTATAAGGTGGTATACAAATAGCTAATGTTTGTAGCTAGAAAATCGATAAGGACCATTCTATGAAATAGAAAACTGAAGCTCAAAAAGGTTAACTGACTTTCTTAAGGGCACACAGCTGGTAAGGCATGGGGAGCAGAAACTGGGTCTTGGTTCATCTGACTCCAAATCCATTGCTCCTTGCATCAGGGAACACTGTCTCACCAAACACATAAGCCTCTGACTTTGTCTTTCTTTGATTATTTATTAACTTTTTATTTTGAAATATAAATTAACAGGAAATTGCAGAGATAGTAAAGAAATCCTGTGTGCCTTTTACTCAGTTTCCCCTAAATGTTACATTTTGCATAACTATAGTACAATATCAAAACCAGTAAACTGACATTGGCACAATGTTTTTGTATAGTTCTATGTCATTTGATCACAGGTGTAGATTAGCAATTAATATGCAAAACTCTTCAGTCACTGCAAAGATCTCCCTTGTGCTACTACTCCCTTATAGTCACACTCAACCCCCTGCACCCTCCATCCCTAAACTCTGTAAACTACTAATTTGTTCTCCATCTCTATACTCTTATCTTTTTTTTTTTTTGAGATAGAGTCACACTCTGTCACCGAGGCTGGAGTGCGATCTCAGCTGACTCCAACCTCCATCTCCCGGGTTCAAGTGATTCTCCTGCCTCAGCCTCCCAAGTAGCTGGGATTACAAGTGTGTGCCACCATGCCCGACTAATTTTTATATTTTTAGTAGAGATGGGGTTTCACGATGTTGCCCAGGCAGGTCTCAAACTCCTGACCTCAGATGATCTGCCCGCTTTGGCCTCCCAAAGTGCTGGGGTTACAGGCATGAGCCACCATGCCTGGCCTAGTTTTGTCATTTTAAGAAGGTTATATAAATGGAATTATACAGTATATAGCCTTTTGGGGTTGTATCTACCAATAGTTTGTTCATTTCATTCCTGAGTAGTGTTTCATGGTGTGGATGTACCACAGTTTATTTAACTGTTAACCTATTGTAGAATATTTTGATTATTTCCAGTTTTACATTATTATAAATAAAGCTGATATGAATATTTATGCATAGTTTTTTTCTGTGAATGTAAGTTTTCATTTTTCTGGATGAATATCTGGTAACCACTATTCTATTTTCTACTTCTAAGAGATCAACTTTTTAGCTACCTCATATGAATGAGATCATATGGTATTTGTCTTTAGGGTCTGGCTTATTTCACTTAACATAATGTCCTCCAAGTTCACCCATGTTGCCACAAATGATGGGATTTCATTCATTTTTATGGCTGAATAGTGTTTCGTTATGTATATATACTAAATTTTCTCTATTCAGTCATCTGTTGATGGGCACTTTGGTTGATTCTATATCTTGGCTACTGAGAATACTGCTGCAATAAACCTAGGAGTGCCGACATCTCCTTGACATACTGATTTCCTTTCCTTTGGATATATACCCAGTAATAGGGTTGCTGAGTAATATGGTAGTTTTATTTTTAATTTTTTGAGAAACCTCCATACTATTTTCCATAATGGCTGTACTAATTTAAATCTCCATCAACAATGAGTAAATGTTCTTTTTTCTCCACATTCTTGCCAGCATTTTAATCTTTTGTCTCTTTGACAGTAGCCATTCTAACTGGAATAAGGAAATATCTCATTTTGGTTTTGACTTGCTTTTCCCTGATTATTAGTGCTGTTGAGCATTTCTTCATATAACTTTTGGCTATTTGTCTTATTTTGAGGAGTGTCTCTTCAGATCATTTGCCAATTTTTAAATCAGGTTATTTGGTGGTCTTTTTATTTTTTCTCTTGAGTTGTTTCAGTTTCTTATATATTCTGGATATTAACCACTTGTCATATATATAGTTTGCAAATATTTCTCCCATTCTGTAGCTGTCTGTTCACTCTGAATGTTTCCTTTGCTGTAGAGTTTTTAGTTTGATTTAATCCCATTTGTCTATTTTTGCTTTTGTTGCCTATGCTTGTAGAGTCATAGCCAAAAAATCTTTCCTTGACACCCATCCTCTTGTGAAAATAGTACTTTTGAAAAATAAAAAAAGTAACAAAAAATCTTTGCCTCAGTCTAATGTCATGAAGTATTTCTCCAATGTTTTCTCCTACTAATTCCTTAGTTTCAAGTCTTACATTCAAGTCTTTCAATCATTTTTAGTTGATTTTTGAATATGGTGAAAGATAAGGATCTAGTTTCATTTTTGTTCATGTGGCTATCCAGTTCCCTAGTACCATTTATCGAAGAGACTGTCCTATTCCCAATGTGTGTCCTTGGAAATTTTTTTTAAAGTCAGTTGGCTATAGATGTGCAGATTTGTTTCTGGTCTTTCTATTCTGTTCCATTGGTCTATGTGTCTGATTTTATGCCAATATCAACCTATTTTGGTCACTAGATCTTTATAGTATATTTTAAAGTAAGGTAGTGTGATACCTTTAGATTTGCTGTTTTTGCTCTAGATTGCTTTGGTTATTAAAAGTCTTTTGCAGTTCAATAGAAACAAGGATTGTTTTTTCTATTTCTGTAAAGAATGTCATTAATATGTTGATGACATTCATGGTCCAGGACACATAGCCCTCCTGTGCAAATAACTCATAATCTTCCTGAGCCCAGCTATCACCAGACACTTGCAAGTTAGCTCACTGCAACTTTGGGGTTATGAGTACTGCTCGCAGCACTCTGCAGCCCAAGAACCATTCTTTAAAATCTCCAGCAAGCTTTTGTTTCCTTTCAGTCAGCTCCTCTCGTGCTGATTCTGTTCATTGCTTCTTTGCAACATATTTTCATACTTTCTCTAATAAATCTGCCTTTCTTTACCTACATCTGTCATAGTAAATTATTTTAACCCTGTGCCACTGGCCCAGATAGTTGTCACTCATCTGCGACAGTTTCCCAAAAACTTAACTACTAATAGCCTTGTGAAAGTTGTCAAAATCAAAATGGGTTAAGAAAATCCGGACAAATAGAGCCAGGGAAGGTCATGAAGAGAGGGTTCTCATATTTGTGTGCCTGATAACAAAAATCATCACAAAAGACTGCAAAAGCCACAACCTTAAACAAAGGCCACTGCAACCTTATGCAAAAAAATACTTCTAAAAGGACATCTGCCTAGCAACTACCTGTCGGACTTCAGACTGGCATCACCCTTATTATTGATCTTTGTAATCAAGGATAATTATTTCAAAATAATTATGTCATCCTCCTCATTTTTTCCTTTAAAAGCCTTTGTCATCCTTGACTTCCCTGAATATGCACATAGTTTACTGCGGCATGTGTATTTCCACTGTAATGTTTTATTCCCAAATAAATATATATATGTATTTTTAGAGAGCCACTCTCTGTTATTTAAATTGACAGCCTACTATTGACTGGAAGCCTTGTAAATAACATAAACAGTCAATTAACATATATTTTGTATCTTAAATGTATTATATACAGTATTCTTACAATGAAGTAAGCTAGACAAAATAAAATGTTATTAAGAAAATTATAAGGAAGAGAAAATATATATTTACCATTCATTAAATGGAAATGGATCATCATAAAGGTCTTCATCCTCATTGTCTTCACATTGACTAGGCTGAGGAGGAGAAAAAGGAGGGGTTAGTCTTCCTGTGGCAGGGTGGCAGAGGCAAAAAAAAAATCCACATATAAGTGGAACTGTGCAGTTCAAACCCATGCCGTTCAAGAGTCAACGTATTTGAAAAGCAGCCATGTCTTCTGATCAGCAAAAATACTCATGTATTTAACTTTAGAGTTCTTGCCTATCATTTGCATGCTGTAGAAATTGTTAGCAGAGAAATAACTTGAGATGATGGAGAGTTTTGTTCAATGCCTTACAGAAGTTTTATAAACAGTTCAAACATGATTGTCAAAAACAAGTAAATTAGGCATAAGTGTTCACAAATAAACTCCTCATAGTTTCAAAAAATGTTTTTGGTAATTTGAAATCTTAAAGCAGAATTACATAATATATACCAGTTAAATGTCTTGGTAATTGCTAAATAAGTTAAAATACTAAAACATTAATTATTAAGTATAAGCTTTAAGTTTGTATACTTTGGCATTTTGTTTCTATATGATGTAGACAAACTAAATATATTTGAATCTCTGTTAGTAAATTAAAAAAACTTCTTTGAGGAGCAAAAAACTTGTTTTTTCAAGAACAATTTTTTTCACAATGTCTAAAAATTGTGAAATATATAGTCATAAAATGTTGGTATATTACAAATAGCTCAAATAACTTACTTCCTAGTTATTCACAAAAATTTGTTTGCAAAGTAAGTTTATTCTCAAACTTGGCCTGATTATTAACATAATGAAGCAAGAATAACTACATAGGCTTCTTTTAAAGTTGTTTTGCTGGAAATTTTTACAAGGAATCTCAGATTAGATTTTTAAAAACCTCTCAATGCTAGGAAGCCAAACCAAGGCAGTCATTGAATTTTACCTGCTGTATCTAATATCTTGAGGTTCCTGGGTCTACCCAGAAGTGAAAACTTTTACTCATTCATTATAAGGTTGGGAAACCTTGAAGCCAAGAAGTCTATGCACATTTGTAAATATGACATTCCAGTCAAAGCCTTGGAAATACAATTTGTGTTTTCAGTTGTATCCTGTTATAAAGAGAACTAAGTCTTATTGAACTTATGCAAATAGCCATAAGGCCATAAGAATAAGAATACTCACAAATAGTTTCCAAATTCTGGAGGGATTACACATGGAGGAAAATCAAAAGTCTCAATTTTTGTTTACAAAAGTATATTTCACCAAATTGCTATAAACTATAAAGAGCTTAAAAGAAAAAACTTTTTTTTTTTTTGCAAACAAATTGGTCTTACCATGGTGGTTATTTTTGGTAGAAATGGAGAAAACTGTAGAAAGAAAAATTACATTTCAAAAGAAAACTGTATTACACCTATTATTAGATTGTAGCCCTGTTCATTATTTTGAGTTGTGATTATTTACCTGTAGACTGGACTGGATTCTGATTTCTTCCAGTTTTCTATAATACTTGGCCAGAATTCTGCAACAAAGAATGAGAACTGCTCAGTACCTGAAACCTTATAGGCTAAAGCTGGACAATTCGATATAAATTTCAAGTAACACCTCTCATGCCTGATGCATGGGTCACAGATAATTCACGAGAATGCTGATGCTACAACCAGAGACATTCAAACTGCAAACCATGATTTGAAGTTGCCAACTTCATGCTGTGGACAGCTTTTCCCAAGACCATTGGAACAAAGCTGTCTACCATAATAAAGTTCTTACCTATCTTCATTTTTTCTTACTTATGCCTAGCTCTTTCACTTGGCAGGATAATGGTGTAGTTAAAATTTTACAATCAGTAGCTTCTGTGGGTAACCTGCACTCCCTGATTTCATTTAATCCAATCATGAGATGTTAGATTACTTACTAACTCAATAGGGAGGAATCTGCAGTTGATGACATTTCTTATTGTGCGTAGATAAATACATCAGGTTTTATAGAGCAGATACCTTGATTCAAATGGGTAGACTCCTAGTTTGTGTATTTGATGTTGGTTGGTTTAGGTCATGGGGACCCTGGCTAAGAAGCATACTCCAAACTCTTGGTGTTATCGTCTTTTATTTATATTTATTATTATTATTATTTTTATTATTTTTGAGATGGAGTCTCGCCCTGTTGCCCAGGCTGGAGTGCTGTGGCGTGATCTTGGCTCACTGCAACCTCCACCTCCCGGGTTCAAGCGATTCTCCTGCCTCAGTCTCCCGAGTAGCTGGGACTACAGGAGCTCGCCACCACGGCCAGCTAATTTTTGTATTTTTAATAGAGACCAGGTTTCACCATGTTGGCCAGGATGGTCTCAATCTCCTGACCTCGTGATCCGCCCGCCTCGGCTTCCCAAAGTGCTGGGATTACAGGCGAGAGCCACGGCGCCCAGCCCAGTGTTATCCTCTTAATAGTCATAATATTAGTCCCGTGGTGCGTTTTATCCTCTTAAAGTTTTAAATTTTCGATACAGCCATCTGTCAAATCTCAAATGATCTCTCTCTAGCTGGAACAACCAAATCTCAAAGAAATGCATAATAAGGAAGACACTAATGGATGCAGGCGACAGATAAGGGAGAAGGTCCCCAGAGAATCTCCAACAGGCCGGTGCACTGGGAGGGTGGGGTGGAGCCTCGGAAGTTCACGCCATTTGAAGAGGGGAGGAGCCTGGCCTCTCCTGTTCGTGTGTGGTAACCTGGGATTCAATAGGTGAGGTGGAGACCCTGTTAACAGGATTCCATCCCACTTTGCTGAGATGTTTTTTCTTTTTCCTTTTCACCCAATAAATTCTGTTCCCTGTCACCCTTCAAAGTGTCTGGGAGCATAATCTTTCCTGGTTATGTAACAAAAACCTGGTTTTTCCTAGAACACCGTAAACTATGGACACTATAATCTACAAATGGCATGCTGAGGCTGGAAACCCAAAATCATGGTAACAGTAATGTGGATGCCCTAGATTTTGGTCACACTCTCACTTAGGTGAGCATGACCAAAAGGGGGCAATTGTTAAATAAAAATTGTAAGAGGCTATTGTTCTGGACTAAGTTTCTGTACTAGGCCTCAAGAGACCAGACTAAAAATCAAAATGGAGTCACCCATGCTAAAGTTTCATGTCACCAAACCCAAACTAATCTGTTATTCCACCTTCCAAGAAATCAGAAGAAAGATGTAACAGCCAATTTCCCAAACGGGCCAATTTAAATCTACAATCGGCATGATAATGAAGTTCACAACATTATCTTTATTTGTTACACAACAGAAGGTAGTCTGAAGTAACCTGCTGTTAATTAATCAGTTATTCTTCTACTGTTCTATCTCCCTGTCCGCATCCTACAAGAAACATAGCTTTGAAGCAACTAATACATAGCTTCGAAGCAACTCTGTTCTTTTCTTCTGTTTTTTTTTTTTTTTTCTTTTGAGACGGAGTCTCACTCTTGTTGCCCAGTCTGGAGTGCAATGGCCATGATCCTGGCTCACTGCAACCTCCACCTTCCGGGTTCAAGCGATTCTTCTGCCTCAGCCTCCCGAGTAGCTGGGATTACAGACATGCGCCACCACGCCCTGCTAATTTTTGTATTTTTCATAGAGACAGGGTTTCAGGGTTTCTCCATGTTGGCCAGGCTGGTCTCAAACTCCTAACCTCTGGTGATTTCACCTGCCTCGGCCTCCCAAAGTGCTGGGATTACAGGCTTGAGCCACCGTGCCTGGCCTTTGCTTCTGCTTTCTTCAGCCCTTCTCTTTCTACAAGGCCAAACATTTCTGCTCAGTTCATCAGAACACTTATTCTATTTTATGAAATGAAGTGTTATTTGATGCTAGAATTGCAATAAAGCCAATTTAGATCTGAAAATTTATTGAAACTTTGTCCCTTGACATTATTTTTGACCATTTTGACTTTTAATCTTCATACTAGTGTTATGTATGATTTACCTACCACTATTGCATTATTGGAGTATTCTGAATTTGACTATGTATTTACCTCTACCAATGAGTTTTATACTTTCACATGTATTTATGATAGTCATTATTGTCCTTTTGTTTCCAGTTAAAGAACTCTCTTAAGCACTTCTTGTAAGACAGATCTAGTGGTAATTGATTCCTTCAGCTTTTTCTTGTCTAATGAAAGACTTTATTTCTCTTTCATTTCTGAAGGCAGCTTTGCTGGGTAGTATTCTTGGAGTGAAGTGGTGCCTTACCCCCAGGGACCCAGAGCTCAAGGAGCTGGCCCTAAGGTGAGGGTGCACCAGCGACTTGGATGTGGAGGATAAGTGGCTAACTGATAGCTTGGCCCTAGGGAGAAGGTCATAGCAGCAGCTCTGCTCGAGGATGGCACACTACCAGGTGGGCATGGTGCAGTGGCGGCTGAACCTCAGGGATGGAGGGATGCAAATGCTACTCACTCCCAGAGTAGGAAGCACTCTAGCAGTGGTTCTAGCTTCAAGATGGCACAAGGAGGTAGCAGCACAAACCAGGAGTGAGTTCGGTGGAGCACAGTGTGGGCTCCTTCTCTGGGGGTAGCTCAGCATATGGAGTCTAGGGACTTCCCTCAACGGGACTCAGAGCCTTTGAGGACTGCAGAAGTGTTTGTAATAGTGATGAGTGTTGCTGGGGTCCCCTTGCTTAACTTTTCCATCACAGCTCAGAGCTGGGTCTCAACTTGGGGAAGGGTGTGGTGGAGGCAAGGTGTTTCCTTACCTTTTGTTTGTGGTCATCCTGGGTTGCTGTGGTCTATGGGATTTCTGCTGCTTCTTTGCTGTTCTCCTGTGCTCTGCTTTAGCTAGCAGCTCCTGGTCGGCCATCTTGCTGATGTTCTGAAAATCCTCAATGAGATTCTGGACTTCTCATAAAGATATTTTGTTACCTATATCATTGTCAGATCTCTGTTTGTGTGAGAGAATGAGAGCTAAGACTCCCTATTCCACCATCTTGCTGATATCACTATATCAAATAAGTCACTTTCTGATTGTTAAATTTTGGAGTTCACCTATCTATTTTAATTATTTTCTAAATCAAAAATAAAATTTGTTGGGTAGGTAACTGGGGCAAAAGCAGTGTTTGGGGCATGAGGCAGCTTGCACGGAAATATTTTAACTCTGAAAACCTTCTCACCAACACTAACAGCCATATATTGTCTTAGTATGGCAGATTTTTTGAGAAGTTCCTGTGTATTTCAGAGGCTTCAGATTGATATCACTTGCCAAAATTCTGCAGCTGACTGAAGTCAGACCTAATGTCATTGATCACCTGATAACAAGCTCTTCTATTTGCCACATTTCTAAACTGTTCTTTTCAGTTTAGGATGTGGTAAGAACATGCAGTTTCTCTCTTGACCCCCAGGGCGATGCCACACAAAGCTTGGGATCTACCTGCAGGTATTAACATAATCAGAGCATGATGTTCCGAGAAAGGGATAATTAATTTGGCCCTGCAGGGTGTGCCACGTTTCTTGGACAACTCAGTGTACAATTTGAGATTTACTGAGCCATGAATGGGCTCTTGGCAGCTCCATTTATTTGCTTCTTATTACATTGTATTCCACTACACTCCATTCCTTTCCACTCCACTCCATTCCACTCCACTCCATTCCTTTCCTGTCCAATCAATTCGATTCCTTTCCACTCCATTCCATTAAATTCCATTCTATTCCATTTTATTTCATTCCGTTCCATTGCATACCATGCCATTCCATTTGATTCCATTTTATTGCATTCCATTCCATTCGAGACCGTTCAACTCCAGTCCATTCCATTCTAGTCCATTCCTCTCCAATCCATTCCATTTGATTCCATTGCATTCGATTCCATTCCATTCTATTCCATTCTCTTCAATTCCATTCCCTTCGATTCCATTACACTGCATTCAATTCCATGCCATTCGATTCCATGTCATTCGATTCCATTCCATTCGAGACCATTCCATTCCAGTCCATTCCATTCGAGTCCATTGCATTCCAGTCCATTCCATTCAATTCCATTCCATTCGAATTTGTTCCATTTGATTTCATTACATTCTATCTTATTCCATTTGATTACATTCCATTCAAACCCATTCTATTCGATTTGATTCGATTCCATTCCTTTCCATGCGAGACCATTCCATTGGATTCCATTCCATTCGATTCTTTTCCATTCGAATCCATTCCATTCGATTCCATTCCAATCGAGACCGTTCCATTCCAGTCCATTACCTTCGAGTCCATTCCATTCCAGTCCATTCAATTCTATTCCATTTCGTTCAATTCCATTACATTCGATTCCATTACATTCGATTTCATTTCATTGCATTCCATTCAATTCCATTCAAATCCATTCCATTTTATTCCATTCCAAGAGACCATTCCATTCCAGTCCATTCCATTCGATTCAATTGCATTGCAGTCCATTCCATTCAATTCCATTCGATTTCATTTCATTCAATTCCATTCTATTCGATTCCATTCCATTAGATTCCATTCCATTGCAATCCTTTCCATTCCATTCGATTGCGTTTTATTCGAACCCATTCTATTCGATTCCATTATATTAGTTTCAAATTCCTTTCTTTTGTTTCCATTACACCCGATTCCATTCCATTCAAATCCATTCCATTCAAGTCCATTCCATTACATTCCATTGCATTCTGTTCCATTCCATTGCATTCCATTGGATTGCATTCCATTCAAGTTAATTCCATTCCATTCCATTCCATTCCATTCCATTCCATTCCATTCGAATCCTTTCCATTCCATTCCATTCCATTCGAGTCCATTCCCTTCGAGTTTGTTCCTTTCAAGTCCATTCCATTACAGTCCATTCCATTCGATTCCATCCCATTTGAATCCATACCCCTCGGTTGTATTCCTTTCAAGTCCATTCCATTCGAATCTATTCTGTTCGAGTCCATTCCACTCGAATACATTCCATTTCAGGCCATTCTACTCGAGTCCATTTCATTCCAGTGTATAGCATTCAATTCCATTCCATTCGAGTCCATTCCATTCCATTCCATTTAATTGAATTCCATTCCATTCGTTTCAATTCCATTCCACAAGGTTCAATTCCATTCGATTCAATTCTATTCGATTCCATTCCATTCGAGTCTTTTCAATTTGAGTCCTTACCATTCCATTCCTTTAAATTCGAGTCCATTCCTATTCCATTCCATTCTATTCAATTCCATACCATTCTATTCCATTGCATTTCATTCGATTCCATTCCATTCCATTCCTTTTGATTACATGCCATTCGAATCCAATACATTCCATTCGATTGCCTTCCATTCGAGTCTATTCCATTGGAGTACATTTCATTCGAGTCAATTCCATTCTAGTCCATTCCAATCGATTCCATTCCTTTCCATTACATACGTACGGTTCCATTCCAGTCCATTACATTCGAGTCCATTCAATTTGATTCCATTAAGTTCGACTCCATTCCATTCCATTCAATTCCATTCCATTCGATTGCTTTCCATTCGAGTCCATTCAATTGGAGTCCGTTTCATTCGAGTCCATTCCATTCTAGTCCATTCCAATCGATTCCTTTCCATTCGATTCCATTCCATTCGATTGCATTCCGTTCGAGTCGATTCCATTTGATTCCATTACATTCGAGTCAATACAATTCCGCTCCATTGCATTCGAGTCCATTCCATTCCATTCTATTCCATTGCATTCCATTCAATTCCATTTGATTCCATTCCATTCAATTCCATTCCATTCGATTCCATTCCATTCCATTCCATTCGATACCATTCCATTCCAATCCATTCAATTCGAGTCCATTCCATTCGATTCCATTCTATTACATTCCAATCGAATCGATTCCATTCCATTCAATTCCATTCAGTATGATTTGATTCCATTCCATTCGATTCAATTCCATTCGATTCCATTCCTTTCCATTCCATTCCATTCCACTCCACTCCACTCCACTACATTCAATTCCATTCCAACACATTCCATTCCACTCTACTGCACTCCATTCACCACAATCCACTCGATTCCATTCGATGCCATTTGATTTCATTATGTTCCGTTCCATTCCATTCGATTCCATTCCATTTGATTTCTTTCCATTTGATCCCATTCCATTCGATCCCATTTTATTCAATTCCATTGCATTCGATTCCATTCCAATCGAGTCCATTGCAATCCAGTACATTCCATTCGATTCCATTCCATTCCATTCGATTCCATTTGCTTCCATTCCATTGCATTCCTTTCGATTCCATTACATTTGTGACAGTTCCATTCCAGTACATTCCATTCGAATCCATTCCATTCCAGTCCATTCCTTTCGAATCCATTCCGTTTGATTCCATTTCATTCGATTGCATTCCTTTCGGGTCCATTCCAATGGAGTCCATTCCATTCGAGTCCATTCCATTCCAGTTCATTCCATTCCATTCCATTTCATTCGAGTCCATTCCATTCCTTTCCATTACATACGTACGGTTCCAGTCCATTACATTCGAGTACATTCCATTCCATTCTATTCCATTCCATTAAATTTCATTCGATTCCATTCCATGCGAGTCCATTCCATTCAAGTCCATTTATTTGAGTCCATTCCATTCCAGTCCATTACATTCGAGTCCACTCCAGTTCATTCCATTCCGTTCCATTCCATTCCATTCGAATACATTCCATTCCAGTCCCTTCAATTCGAATCCAAACCATTTCATTCCATTCCACTTGAATCCATTCCATTCCATTCCATTCTATTTCATTGTATTCCATTCTATTCCATTCTATTTCTCTGCTTTTGATTCCATTGCATGCCCTTTTATTCCTTTTGATTCCATTCCATTCTATTTCATTCCATTCCATTCTATAACACTACTTTTGATTCCATTGCATGCCCTTTTATTCCATTCGGTTCCATTCCATTCCATTCAATTCCGTTCCATTCCATTCCATTGCATTTTAGTTGATTCCATTCCATTCTATTCCATTAAATTCCATTCCATTAAATTCCATTTCAGTGCATTCCATTCCATTCCATTCCATTCCATTCGACTCACTTCCATTCCATTAGAGGCTATTCCATTCCATTCCATTGCATTCCATTCCATTCCATTCCATTCCATTGCATTCCATTCCATTCCATTGCATTCCATTCCATTCCATTCCATTCCATTCCATTCCATTCCATTCCATTCCATTGCATTCCATTCCATTCCATTCCATTGCATTCCATTCCATTCCATTCCATTGCATTCCATTCCATTCCATTGCATTCCATTCCATTCCATTCCATTCCATTCCATTCCATTCCATTCCATTGCATTCCATTCCATTCCATTGCATTCCATTCCATTCCATTCCATTCCATTCCATTGCATTCCATTCCATTCCATTCCATTCCATTCCATTCCATTCCATTCCATTCCATTGCATTCCATTCCATTCCATTGCATTCCATTGCATTGCATTCCATTCCATTCCATTCCATTGCATTCCATTCCATTCCATTCCATTTCATTCGATTAGATTCCATTCCATTCGATTCCATAACATTCGATTCCAATTCATTCGATCCCATTCCATTCAATCCATTCCATTTGATTCCATTCCATTCGATACCATTCCATTCGTGCCCATTCCAATCGAGTGCATTCCATTGCAATCCATTCCTTTCAATTCCATTCCGTTCTATTCTGTTCCATTGCATTCTATTCCATTCTGTTCCATTCCATTCCGTTACATTATGCTCCAGTTGAGGCCATTCCATTCTAATCCATTCAATTTGTGTCAATTCCATTCGATTCCATTCCATTCGATTCTATTCATTCGATTTCATTCCATTCGAGTCCATTCCATTCCAGTCCATTACATTCGATTCCATTCCTTTCCATTCCAGTCTATTCAATTCCATTCGTTTCCTTTCCATTCGAGATCATACCATTCCATTCCATTCCTTTCGAGGCCATTCCATTCCAGTTCTTTCCGTTCCATTCCATTCCATTCCCTTCCTTTCGAGTTCATTCCGTTCCTTTCCATTGGAAACCATTCCATTCCATTTGATTCCATTCCATTCGATTCCATTCCATATGATTCCTTTCCTTTCGGGTCCATTCCATTCGAGTCCATTCCTTTCACTTCCATTCCATTCCGTTCCAGTCCATTCCATTCTTGTCGATTCCGTTCTATTCCATTCCTTTCCCTTCCACTCCATTCCATTCCATTCCATTCGATTCCATACCATTCCATTCTATTCCATTCAAGACAGTTCCATTCCAGTCCATTCCATTCGTGTTCATTTGATTTGTTCTCATTCCATTATATTCCATTCCATTCAATTACATTCCGTTTGATTGCATTCCATTCGAGTCCATGCGTTTCCAGTCCATTACATTCGAGTCCATTCCGTTCTATTCCACTCCATTCCGTTCCATTCCAGTCCATTCCATTCCATTCGATTCGATTCCATTCCATTCCATTCCATTCCTTTGAATTCTATTCCATTTGATTCTCTTCCATTCGAGACCGTTCCATTCAAGTCCATTCCTTTTCAGTCCATTGAATTCCTGTCCATTCCATTCGATTTTATTCCTTTAGAGTATATTCCAATGGATTCCATTCCATTCGAGTCCATGCCATTCGAGTCCATACCATTCCAATCCATTCCATTCCATACCATTCCATTCCATTCGATTTCATTCTCTTCCTGTCCATTCCATTGCATTCTATTCCTTTTGATTCTATTCAAATCCGTTCCATTCGATTTGATTCCATCTGATTCCATTCCATTCGAGTCCATTCCATTCCATTCTATTACATTCGAGTCCATTTCATTCCATTCAATTACATTCTATTCCATTCCATTCCATTCGAATCCATTCCATTCCGTTGCTTTCCATACCATTCCAATTCATTCTATTCCATTCCGTTCGTTACAATTTCATTCAAGACAATTCCATTCGAGTCCATTCCATTTCAGTCCATTCCATTGCAGTCCGTTCCATTCAAGTCCATTCCATTCCATTATATTTCACTAAATTTCATTCGTTTCAATTCCATTTGACTCGATTTCATTCCATTCGAGTCAATTCAATTCCTGGCCATTATATTCAAGTCCATTCCATTCTATTCTATTCCATTCCATTCCTTTCGATTTTATTCCGTCGTGTCCAATCCATTCGAATCCATTCCATTCCATTCCATTCGAGATTGAACCATTTCAATCCATTCAATTCAATTAAATTCCATTCAATGCCATTCCATTTGATCCCATTCCATTCGAGTCCATTCCATTCCAGTCCATTACATTCGAGTGGACTCTTTTCCATTCCAGTCAATTCAATTCCATTGTATTCCCTTCCATTTGAGCCGTTCCATTCCAGTCCATTCCTTACGGGTCCATTCCATTCCAGTCCTGTCCATTCCATTTTTTTTGATTCCCTTCCATTCGAGTCCGTTCCATTCCATTCCATTGCATTCAATTCCATTCAATTCCATTCCATTCCATTCCATTCCATTTTATTCTGATCTATTCGATTCCATTCCATTCAAGCCATTCCATTCCAGTCCATTCCTTTTGAGTCCATTCCATTCCAGTCCATTCCATTAGACTGCATTCCATTAAAGTCCATTCCATTCGTTTCCATTCCATTCCATTCTTTTCCATTCGAGTCCATTCCATTCCAATCCATTCCATTCCATTCCATACATTTCCTTTCCATTCAATTCCATTCTGCTCCTGTCCATTCCATTCCATTCGATTCCATTCAAATCCATTCCATTCGATTTGATTCCATTCGATTCCCTTCCATTTGAGCCCATTCCATTCCATTCCATTTGAGTCCATTGCATTCCATTCAATTCCATTCTATTCCATTCCATTCCGTTCGAATGCATTCCATTTGATTGCATTCCATACCATTCCAATCCATTCTATTCCCTTCCCTTCGTTACCATTCCATTCAAGACAATTCTGTTCGAGTCCATTCCATTTCAGTCCATTCCATTCCATTCCATTCCATTATATTCCATTCTATTTCATTCGTTTTGATTCCATTTCATTCGATTTCATTCCATTCGAGTAAATTACATTCAAGTCCGTTCCATTCCATTCCATTCCATTCCATTCAAATCCATTGTATTCCCTTCCATTCGATTCCATTGCATTCGATTCCACTCCATTCGACTCCATTCCATTCGAGTCCTTTCTATTTTAGTAGATTGCATTTGAGTCCATTCCATTCCATTCCTTTCCATTCGATGCCATTCCTTTCGATTTCATTCAATTCCGTTCCATTCCATTCGAGACCTTTCCATTCTGATGCATTCATTTTTAGTCCATTCCATTCGATTCCATTCTATTACATTCCAATACATTCGATTCCATTCAATTCGGTTTGATTCCATGCCTTTCAATTCAATTCCTTTCGATTTCATACGATTCCATTTCATTCCATTCCATTTTATTTCATTCCATACATTTCATTCCACTCCACTCCACTCCACTCCACTACATTCAATTCCAATCCAACCAATTCAATTCCACTGCATTCCTCTCCACTCCGCTGCATCTGAATCCATTCGATTCCATTTGTTGCCATTTGATTCCTTTCCGATCGCTTCCATTACATTCGACTCCGTTCCACTCTATTCCATTCCATTCCATCCCATTCCATTTGATCTCATTTTACTCGATTCCATTGCATTTGATTCCATTTCATTCGAGTCCATTCAAATCGATTCCATTCCATTCCACTACATTCCATTCGATTCCATTCCATTCCATTCCATTTGTTTCCATTTGATTCCATTCCTTTTGTTTCAATTCTATTCCATTGCATTCCTTTCAATTCCATTATATTGCATTCCTTCCGATTCTATTCCATTCAAGACCATTCCATTCCAGTACATTCCATTCAAATACATTCCATTCCAGTCCATTCCATTCGAATCCATTCCATTCTATTCCATTCTGTTCGATTGCATTCCCTTTGGGTCCATTCCAATGAAGTCCATTCTATTCGAGTCCATTCCATTCCAGTCCATTCCATTCCATTTCATTCCATTCCATTCTATTGCATTCCATTCCTCTAGAGTCCATTCCATTAGAGTCCACTCCATTTGAGTCCATTCTATTCCAGTCCGTTACATTGGAGTCCATTCCAATCCATTACATTCTATTCCTTTCCATTCCATTCCATTCTATTCCATTCCGTTCCATTCCATTCCATTCGATTTTATTCCATTCCAATCTATTCTTTTTGAATCAATTTCATTCCATTCTCTTCCATTCCATTTGATTCTATTCCATTCGAGTACATTCCATTCCAGTCCATTCCATTAAATTCCATTCGATTCCATTTCATTGCATTCCATTCTATTCGATTCCATTCCATTCGATTCCATGGCGTTTGAGTCCCTTCCATTCGAGTCCTTTCGATTCCACTATATTACACTCGAGTAAATTCCATTCCATTCCATTCCATTCCATTTGATTCTGTTCCATTCTATTCCATTCCATTCCATTTTATTCCATTCCATTCGATTCCATTCCACTCAATTCCACTCAATTCGAGACTGTTCCATTCCATTCCATTCTACTCAAGTCCATTCCATTCGATTCCATTCCATTCGAGACCATTCCATTCCAGTCCATTCCATTCGAGTCCATTCCTTTCCATTCCAGTCCATTCCATTTGATTCAATTCTATTCGAGTCATTTCCATTCCGTTCCAGTCAATTCCATTCCATTCCATTCCATTTGATGCCATTCTTTCGAGTCCATTCCTTTTGAGTCTAATCCGTTGCAGTCCATTCCATCTAGTCCTTTCCATTCCAGTCCAATCCATTCCATTCGTTTCTATTCCATTCCATTCCATTCCATTCCAATCCTTTCCATTCCATTCCATTCCATTCGAGACCTTTCCTTTCCAGTGCCTTCCATTCTTTTCCATTCTATTCCATTCGAGACCTTTCCATTCCAGTGCATTCCATTCTTTTCCATTCCATTCCATTCTATTCCATTCCTTTCCAATCCTTTCCATTCGATTCCATTCCGTTCGAAACCTTTCCATTCCAGTGAATTCCATTCTTCTCCATTACATATGATTCCATTCCGTGAGATTCCATTCCATTTGTTTCAATTACATTCGTGTCCATTCCAATCCAGTCAATTATATTCCAGTCCATGCCCTTCCGTTCCAGTCCTTTCCATTCCATTTGATTCCATTACATTCGATTCCATTACATTCAACTGCATTCCATTCGATGCCATTCCATTGAAGACCATTCCACTCCATTCCATTCCTTTCGAGTCCATTTCATTCCATTCCTTTCTATTCAGTTCCGTTCCGCTCGATTCCATTCCATTCGATTGCATTTCTTTTGATCCCTTTCCATTCGATCCCATTCCATTCGATTCCATTCCATTTGAGTGCATTGCAGTCAAGTCCTTTCCATTCCAGTGCATTCAATTTGATTCCATTACATTCCATTTCATTCCATTCCATTCAATTCCATTCCATTCGATTCTATTCCATTTCATTCTATTACATTCGATTCCATTCCATTCAAATTCATTCCTTTCTAGTCCCTTCCAATTGAGTCCATTCCACTGGAGTCCATTCAATTCCATTCGATTACATTCGAGGACATTTCGTTCCATTCCATTCTATTCCTTTCCAGTCCATTCATTCTAATCTTTTTCATGCCATTCCATTCCATTCATTCCACTCCATTCCATTCCATTCGATTGTTTGCCACTCCATTGCATTCCGTTAGATTCCATTCCATTCCATTCCATTTCATTAAATTCCATACGAATCCATTCCATTCCATTCCAGTTCATTCGAATCCATTCCATTCCATTCCATTCGATTCCATTCTTTTCCATATTATTCCATTCCATTCCATTCCATTCCAGTACATTCTGTTCCTGTCCATGCCATTCCATTCCATTTGATTCCATACCATTCCATTCCATTCCAGTACATTCTGTTCCTGTCCATGCCATTCCATTCCATTTGATTCCATACCATTCCATTCCATTCCATTAGATTCCATTCCATTCAATTCTACTCCATTGTATTCCATTCTTTAGATTCCATTACATTAGGGTCAGTTCCATTCCATTTCATTCCATTCCATTAGAGAGCATTGCATTCCATGCAATTCTATTCCATTCCATGCCATTCTATTCCATTCCATTCCGTTCGAATCCTTTTCATTCAATTCCATTCAACTCCATTCGATTGCACTCCATTCAATTTCATTCGATTTCATTCCATTCCTTTTGATTGCATTTCATTCCATTCCGTTCGAATCCATTCCATTCCTTTCGATTGAATTCCGTTCATTCCATTCCATTCTGTTAGATTCCATTACATTTGATTCAATTCCAATCCATTCTGTTCGAATCCATTCCATTCCAGTCCATTCCCTTCGAATCCATTCCATTCTTTTCAAATGCATTCCGTTCGAGTCCATTCAACTCCATTCCATTCCGTTCAAATCAATTCCATTCCATTCCATTTCATTCAATTCCATTCATTCCATTCCATTCCGTTTGATTACATTACATTCTATTCAATTCCGATCCATTCTGTTCGAATCCATTCCATTCCAGTCCATTTCCTTCGAGTCCATTCCATTCCATTCGAATCCATTCCGTTTGAGTCCGTTCTACATCATTCCATTCAGTTTAAATCAATTCCATTCCATTCCATTCCACTGCAGCCCATTCCATTCCAGTTCATTTCATTCCGATCCATTCTGTTTGAATCCATTGCATTCCGTTCCATTTCATACCATTCCATTCCATTCCATTCCTTTCAATTCCATTCCTTTCCATTCCATTCCATTCCATTCCATTCCATTCCATTCCAATCCATTCCTTTCCAGTCCATTCTATTCCATTCCATTAAATTCCATTTCATTCGATTCTGTTCCATTCCATTCCATTCCATTTTATTTCATTCCGTTTGATTCCTGTCCATTTGAGTCCATTCCCTTCCAGTCTAATCCGTTGGAGTCCATTCCATTCTATTGCATTCCATTCCATTTCAATGGATTCCATTTCATTCCATTTGAGACCGTTCAATTCCAGTCCATTCCATTTGAGTACATTCCATTCCATTCCATTGCTTACCATTCCATTCGATTCCATTTGATTCAATTCCTTTCAATTCCCTTCCATTTGATTCCATTCCAATCAATTGCATTCCATTGACTTCCATTCCATTCTATACCGTTCGATACCATTCACTTCCTGTCCCCTCCATTCAATTACATTCGATTCCATTCCATTAAATTCAATTCCATTCCGTTCGATTCCTTTCCGTTAGATTCCATTCCATTCCAGTCCATTGCGTTCAAGTCCATTCCATTCGAGTCCATTCCATTCTGTTCCATTGCACTTGACTGCATTCCATTAGATTCCATTCCATTTGACTGCATTCCATTCGAGTCCATTGCATTCGAATCCATTCCACTCTAGTCCTTTCAATTCCATTCGATTCCCTTCCATTCTATTCCATTCCATTCCAGTACGTTCAATTCCAGCCCAGTATTTTTTATTGTCTTCCATTGAATTCTTTTCCATTCTAATCCCTTCCATTCGATTCCATTCCATTCCAGTCCATTGCTTTCGACTCCATTCCATTCGGGTCCATTCCATTCGCCTCCATTCCATTTGATTTCCTTCCATTCTATTCCATTCCATTCCATTTGAGTTCATTCCATTCGAATGCATTCCAATACAGTCCATTCCATTCCATTCCAATCTATGCGATTCTATTACAATCCATTCCATTCCATTCCATTCCATTCCATTCCATTCCATTCCATTCCATTCCATTCTATTCCATTCAATTTCATTCCATTCAATTCCATTCCATTTGGGTCATTTCCATTCCATTCTATTTCGTTATATTGAATTCCATTCCATTGCATTTGGGTCCTTTCCATTCCATTCCATTTCGTTCTATTCCACTCCATTCCATTCCATTCCATTCCATTCCATTCCATTGCATTCCATTCCGTTCGATTCTATTCCAATCTATTCCTTTCCATTTGATTCCATTCCATTCGATTGCATTACATTCGAGTCCATTCCATTCGAATCCATTTCAATTGAGTTCATTCCATTCCATTCCATTCGGTTTGATTACGTGCAATTCCATTACAGTCCATTCCGTTCCATTCCATTCTGTTTGATTCCGTTCCTTTCCATTCCATTCAATTACACTCCATTCTATTCGATTCCATTCCTTCCATTCCACTCCATTTCATTCCATTCCATTCTATTCCATTCCATGCCACTCCATTTCATTTCATTCCATTCTATTCCATTCCATGCCACTCCATTTTATTCCATTCCATTCCATTCGACTCCATTCCATTCCATTCCATTCCATTCCATTCCATTCCATCCCATTCCATCCCATTCCTTTCCATTCGGTACCTTTCCATTCCATTCAATGTCGTTCTATTCAGTTACATTCCATTCCATTCAATTCCATTCCATTCGAGTCCATTCCATTCCATTTTATTCAATTCCACTCCGTTCCATTCCATTTCATTCCGTTGCATTCCATTCAGTTCCATTCTATTCCATTCTATTAGAGTATGTTCCATTCCATTCCTTTTCATTCCAGTTCATTACATTTGAGTCTATTCTATTCCATTCCTTTCTATTCCATTCCATGCAATTCCATTTCATTCCATTCTTTTTCATTTCAATCCATTCCATTCGAGTCTGTTCCATGCCAGTCCATTACATTTGTGTCCGTTACATTCCATTCTTTCCATTCCATTCCATTCCAATCCATTCCATTCCATTCCACTCGATTGCATTCCTTTCCATTACATTTGAGTCCATTCCATTCCCTTCCGTTCCCTTCCATTTGATTCCAATCTATGGGATTCCATTCCATTCTATTCCATTCCATTCGATTCCATTCCATTTGATTCCACTCCATTCGATTGCATTCCGTTCGAATCCATTCCAATTGAATCGATTCCATTTGAATCCTTTCCATTCCAATCCAGTCCATTCCATTCGATTCCATTCCATTCAATTACATTACGTTCTAGGGTATTCCTTTGGATTCCAATCCATTCAAACCCATTGCATTCTAGTCCATTCCATTCGTGTCCATTCCATTCGATTCGATTCCGTTGCAGTCCATTCCATTCGAGTCCATTTTGTTCTATTCTATTCCATTCCATTCGATTTCTTTTGATTCAGTTTCATTCGAGTCCATTCCATTCCCATTGTTTTGATTCCATTCCATATCTGTCTATTCTATTGAAATACATTCCATTTCATTCCATTCTGTTCCATTCTATTCGATTCCATTCCATTCGATTCCATTCTGTTCAATTCCATTCCATTCCATTCTATTCCATTCCACTCCATTCCTTTTTATTCCCTTCCTTTCCATTAGTGTCCATTCCATTCCATTCGTGTTCTTTCTTTTCGAGTCCATTCCATTCCACTGCATTCCATTCCATTCCACTACAGTCTACCCCAATTCACTGCATTCCATCCAACTTCATTCCATTTTATTTCACTCCAAGAAATCCATTTCACTCCATACCATTCCATTGCATTCCATTCCATTCCGTTACATTCCATTCTATTATATTCCACTCCTTTCCAATCCAGTCTGTTCAATTACATTCTTTCCCTTTCCATTCCCTTATACTCCATCCACTCCACTCCACTACACTACATTCAATTCATTTCCAACCCATTCCATTCCAACCCATTCCAATCCATTTCACCACAAGCCATTCGAATCCATTCGATACCATTCTATTCCATTCAGTTCGATTAAATTCCATTCTTTCCATTTCATTTGATCCCTTTCAATTTGAATGCATTGCATTCCATTCCATTCCTTTCGATTCCATTCCATTCCATCACATGCCATTTGATTCCATTCCATTAGAATACATTCCATTTGACTCCATTCCATTCAATTCCATTCCATTTGATTTCTTTCCTTTCGATTCCATTGCATTCCTTTCCATTCCATTCTGTTCGATTACATTCCATTTGTTTCCATTCCATTCCATTCAATTCAATTCTATTCCATTCCACTCCATTCCTTTCGATTCGATTCAATTCCATTCCATTCCTTTCCTTTCGATTCCATTCCATTCAATTCCGTTCCATTTGAGTCAATTCCATTTGATTCCATTCCATTCCAGTCCATTCCTTTCGAGTCCGATACATTAGGTTCCATTCAATTTGATTCCATTCCATTCAAGACCGTTCCATTCCAGTCCATTACTTTCGACTCCATTCCATTCGATTCCATTCCATTCGATTCCACTGTATTGGACTCCATTCCATTCGATTCCATTCCAATGCATTCTATTTCACTGCATTCTATTCAATTCCTTTCGAGTCCATTCCATTGGAGTCCATATCATTCCAGTTCATTCCATTCGAGTCCATTACATTCCAGTGCATTCCACTCCTGTCCATTCCATTTGATTCCTTACACTTCAATTTCATTCCTTTCGATTGCATTCCATTCATGTCCATTCAAACAGAGTCCATTCCATTCCATTGCATTCCATTCGAGTCCATTCCACTGAAGTCCATTTCATTCCAGTTCATTACATTAGAGTCCATTACATTCTATCCCATTCCAATCCATTCCATTCCTATCGAGTTCCTTCCATTCGAGTCCATTCCTTTTGACTCCGTTCCACTGCATTCCATTCTATTCGATTCCATCCCATGTGATTCCATTCCATTCGAGTCCATTGCATTTGAGTCCTTTCCATTCGATTCCATTCCATTCCAGTCCATTCCATTTGATTTCAATCCATTCGATTCCATCACATTCAATTCCATGCCGTTCCATTCGATTCCATTCCATTCCATTTGATTCCATTCCATTCCAGTCCATTCCATTTGAGTCTATTCTATTCTACTCCATTCCATTCGTGTCCATTCCTTTCTATTCCATTCCATTCGAATCTGTTCCTTTTGATTGCATTCCATTCGAGTCCATTGCATTCGAATCCACAATAATCGAGTCCATTCCATTCACATCCTTTCAATTCGAGTCCACTCCGTTTGAGTCCTTTCCGTTTGAGTCCATTCCATTCAATTTCTTCCATTACTGTCCATTCCATTCCATTCAATTCCAGTCCATTCCATACGAGTCCATTCCATTCCAGTCAATGACATTCGAGTGCATTCCATTCCATTCCTTCCATTACAGTTCACTCCATTCCTTTCCATTCAATTGAATTCCATTCCATTCCGTTCCGTTCCATTCCAGTCTATTCCATTCCATTCCATTCAATCCCATTCCATTCCATTCTTTTCTATTCCATTCCATTCCATTCCATTCAATCCCATTCCATTCCATTCCTTTCTATTCCATTCCATTCCATTCCATTTCATTCCATTCCAATCCATTCCATTCCATTCCATTTAATTCCATTCCTGTCCATTCCATTTGATTCCATTCCATTCCAGTTACATTCGTGTGCATTCCATTCCATTCCTTCCATTACAGTCCATTCCTTTCCATTCCACTTTTGTCCTTTCCATTCTATTCCATTTCAATTCATTCCATTCGATTCCATTCCATTTCAGTCAATTACGTTCGAGTCCATTCAATTCCATTCCTTCCATTACAGTCCATTGCATTCCATTCCATTCACTTTTCTTCCATTATATTAGAGTCTGTTCCATTCCATTCCCTTCCATTCCCTTCCTTTACATTCGAGTGCATTCCATTCCATTCATTCCATTACAGTCAATCCCATTCTATTCCATTCCATTCGGTTAAATTCCATTCCATTGCATTCCGTTCCATTCCATTATATTCCATTCCATTCCATTCCACTCCATTCCATTCGTTCCCTTCCTTTTGATTCCATTCCATTCCATTCCCTTCCATTCCATTCTATTCCATTCAATTCCATTGCAGTATATTGGATTCCATTGAACTCGATTCCATTCCATTCTATTCCATTCCTTTCGATTGCATTATATTCAATTCCATTCCACTCCATTCCGTTCCATTCCATTCCATTCCATTCCATTCCATTCCATTCCATTAAATTGCATTTCACTTGGTTCCATTCTATTCGATTCCATTCTATTCAATTTGATTGCAGTCCATTCTATTCCATTCCATTCATTTCCATTCCATTCGTGTCCATTCAATTACATACCATTCCATTTGAGTCTAATCCATTCCAGTCCATTACATTCTAGTCCATTGCATTCCATTCCATTCCATTCCAGTCCATTCCAATCCCTTCCATTCCATTTGATTCCACTCCACTCGTTTCCATTGCCTTCCATTCCATTCCATTGCATTCCAATCCATTCGATGCAATTCCTTTGCATTCCATTCCATTATATTCCAATCCATTGCTTTGCCTTTGATTGGTTTGATTGCATACGATTCCATTCCTTTCGAGACCGTTCCATTCCATTCCATGACATTTGATTCCTTTCCTTTGGCTTCCATTCCATTCAATTCCATTCCATTAAATTCCATTTCATTCGATTCCATTCCATTCGATTCCATTCCATTCCAATCCATTCTATTCGATTCCATTCCATTTCATTCCATTCCATTTGATTGCATTCCTTTCGAGTCCATTCTTTTGACTCCATTTCATTCCAGTCCATTCAAGTTCATTCCATTCCATTCCATTCGATTCCATTCCATTCGATTCCATTCCATTTGATTGCATTCCTTTCGAGTCCATTCTTTAGACTACATTCCATTCCAATCCATTCCACTCCAGATCATTCCATTCGATTCTATTTCATTCCAATCCACTCCATTCTATTAATTTCGAGATCTTTCCATTCCACTCCATTCGATTCCAGTCCATTCTATTCCATTGGAATTCACACGACTCCATTCCAGTTGATTCCATTCCATTCGATTCCATCCCATTCAATTCCATTCCATTCGATTGCTTTCTGTTCGATTGCATTCCATTCAAATCCATTCCAATCGTGTCCATTTCTTTCGAGTTCATTCCATTCGAGTCCATTCCATTTGAGTCCATTCCATTTCATTCTATTTCATTCCGTTCCATTCCATTCCTGTTGATTCCATTCCATTCACTTCGAGTACATTCCATTCGATTCCATTCCATTGCAGTCCATTCCATTCCATTCCAGTGTAATACATTCTATTTCATTCCATTCCATTCGATTCCATTCCGTACGATTCCATTCCTTTCAATTCCTTCCCATTTAATTCCATTCCACTCAATAGCATTACATTCGAGACCATTCCTTTTGAATCTATTCCATTCGAGTCCATTCCATTCAAATCCGTTCCATTCAAGTCCATTCCTTTTATATTGATTCGATTCCAGTCCTTTCCATACTCGTACATTCCATTACATTTGATTTGATTCGATTCCATTCCATTCCAGTTCCTTCCATTCCTTTCCATTCCAGTCGATTCCATTCCATTCGATTCCATTCCATTTGAGTCAATTCTATTTGAGTACATTGCATTTGAGTCTTTTCCACTCTAGTTCTTTACGTTTGAGTCCATTCCATTCCATTCCATCCCATTCCATTGCATTCCATTCCATCCCAATCTATTCCATTTGATTCCATTCCTTTCGATTCCATTCCTATCCATTAGAATCCATTCCATTCAATTACAATCCATTCGAGTCCATTCCATTCCAGTCTCTGCATTCCATTCCATTGTATTCGATTCCACTCCGATTGATTCCATTCTATTCAATTCTATTCCATTGGATCCCATTCCATTCCATTCCGTTCTATTCAATTCCATTCCATTCGAACCCATTCCGTTCGATTCCATTCCATTCAATTCGTATCACTTCCATTCGATTTCATTCTATTCTATTCCATTCCATTCGATTCCATTCCTTTCAAATCTATCCCATTCAAGTCGATATCATTCCTGTCCATTCCATTTTAGTCCATTCTATTCCGTTCCATATCATTCCTGTAAATTCCTTTTGATTACATTCCATTCGATTTCTTTCTATTCAATTCCATTCCATTCGATTGCATTCTATTCGAGTCCTTTCCAGTCGAATCCATTCCATTCGAGTCCATTCCATTACAGTCCATTCAATTCCATTCCATTGCATTCCGTTCGTTTCCATTGCATTCCATTTGATTACATTCCATTTGAGTCAATTCCATTCAACTCCATTCCATTCCAGTCCTTTATATTATAGTACATTCCATTCCATTCCATTCCATTCCATTCCAATCGAGTCTATTCCATTCATGTCAATTCCTTTCGACTGCATTCCATTAGAGTCCATTCCATTCTATTCCATCCTATTTGATTCCATTCCACACTACAGCATTCCATTCGAGACCATTCCATTTGAATCCATTCCTTTCGAGTCCCTTGCATTTGAATCATTTACATTCAAGTCCATTCCGTTCAAGTGTTTTCTATTCCAGTCTTTCATTCGTGTCCATTCCATTCCATTCAATTCGATTCCATTCCATTCCATTAAATACCATTCCGTTCCACTCCATTACCTTCTATGCCATTCCATTCAATCCCATTCCCTTCCATTCAATTCCATTCCATTCGATTCCATTCCATTCGATTTCATTCCATTTGAGTCCATTACTTTCGAGTTCATTCCATTCGAGTCCTTTCCATTCCAGGCTTTTACATTCAAGTCCATTCCATTCGAGTCCATTCCATTCGAGTTCTTACCATTCCAGCCCTTTACATTCGAGTCCATTCCATTCCATTTCATTCCAGTCCATTCCATCCCATTCCATTCCACTTGATTCCATTCCGTTCGATACTATTCCATTCCATTCGAATCCATTCCATTCGATTCAATTCCTTTCGATTACATTCTATTCCATTCCATTCCATTCCATTCGATTCCATTGCATTTTATTCCTTTCCATTTGATTCTATTCTATTCAATTCCATTCCATTCGATTTCATTCTATTGCATTCCATTCGATTTTATTCAACTCCATTCCATTCAAGTACATTCCATTCGAGTGCTTATCATTCCAGTCCATTCCATTCGAGTCCACTTCATTCCGTTCCATTCAATTTTCGTCCATAGCATTCTACTCCATTCCATTCATTTCCATTGCATTCAATTGCATTCCTTTCGAGTCCATTCCATTCGAGTCCACTCCTTTCGAATCAATTCCATTAGAGTCAATTCCATTCAATTCCATTCCATTCCTATTTGATTCTATTCCACTCCATTCCATTCCATTCCATTCCATTGCATTCCATTTGAGTCAATTCCATTCAAGTCAATTACATTGCAGTCCTTTACATTCGAATACATTCCATTCCATTCCACTGCATTCTGTTCCATTCCATTGAAGTCCATTCCATTCGACTACATTCCTTTTGACTCATTTCCTTTACAGTCCTTTCCTTTGATTCCATCCAACTTGATTCCATTCCACACGATAGCATTCCTTTTGAGACCACTCCATTTGAATCCATTCCATTCGACTCCATTCCATGCACATCATTTCCATTTGAGTACATTCGATTCGAGTTTATTCCATTGCAGTCCTTTACATTCGAGTGCATTCCATTCCATTTGATTCCTTTCAATATGAGTCCATTCCATTCGAGTGCTTTCCATTCGAGTCCTTTCCATTCCAATCCTTTACATTTGAGTCCATTCCATTGCATTCCATTCCATTCCATTCCATTCCATTCCATTCCATTCCATTCCATCCCATTCCATCCCATTCCATTCTAATTGATTCCATTTCATTTGATTCCTTTCCATTCCATTCGTATCCGTTCTATTCGTTTCCATTCTATTTGATTGCATTCTATTCAAGTCTATTCCATTCCAGTCCATTGCATTCAATTCCATTGCATTCGATTTCTTTTCATTTAATTCCATTTTTTTTGAGTCCATTACGTTCGAGTCCATGTTATTCCAGTCCATTCCTTTTGAGTCCATTCCATTTCATTCCGTATCATTCCATTCCATTCCATTCCATTATATTCGAATCCATTCCATTTGATTCCATTCTATTCGAGTCCATTCCATTGTAGTACAATCCTTTCTATTCCATTCCATTACAGTCCATTCCATTCCATTCCTTTCCATTCCATTCCTTTCCATTCCATTCCATTTGATTGCGTTCCATTCGAGTCAATTCCATTCCAGTCCACTCCATTCCAGTCCTTAACATTCGAGTTCATTCCATTCCATTACATTACATTCCTTTCCAACTCCACTGGAGTCCATTCCATTCGAGTCCATTCCTTTCGAATCCATTCTATTACAGTGCAGTCCATTTGATTCTATCCCATTTGATTCCATTACACTGTATAGCATTCCATTCAATACCATTCGATTTGAATCCATTCCATTCTAGTCCACTGCATTAAAATCCTTTCCATTCAAGTCCATTCCATTCAAGTCCATTCCATTCCAGTCCTTTACATTCGAGTACATTCCATTCCATTCAATTCTATTCCATTCCATTCCATTCCATTCCATGCCATTACATTAGATCCCTTTCCATTCCCTTCCTTTCCATTCCATTCCATTCCAGTCGGTTCCATTCTATTCGATTCCATGCCATTCGATTCCTCAAATGGACGCATTTGAGTCCATTCCATTCGATTCCATTCCATTTGAGTCCTTTCCATTCCAGCCCTTTACATTCGAGTCCATTGCATTACAGTCCATTCCATTCCATTCCATTCCTTTCCATTCATTTCCATTCCACTTTATTCAATTTCATTCCATTCAAGTCAATTCCACTTAAGTCCATTTCATTCCCTTCCTTATATTCGAGTATATTCTATTCGATTCCTTTCCATTCACTTCCGTTCCATTTGAGTCCACTCCATTCGAGTCCATTCCTTTTGAGTCCATTCAGTTACAGTCCATTCCATTGAATTCCATCCTATTTGATTCCATTCCACACGATAGCATTCCTTTCGAGACATTTCGTTTGAATCCATTCCATTTGTGTTAATTCCTTTTAAATCTTTTCCATTCGAGTCCATTCCATTCAAGTCCATTGCATTCTAGTCTTTTTATTCGAGCACATTCCATTCTATTCCATTCCATTCCATTCCATTCCATTCCATTCCATTCCATTCCATTCCATTCCATTCCATTCCTTTCTATTCCAATCCTTTCCATTCCATTCAATTCCATTCAATCCCTTTCCATTCGATTCCAGTCTTTTTGATTCCACTCCAATAGTTTCCATTCCATTTGTGTCTTTACAATTCGAGTCCATTCCTTTCCAGTCCTTTACATTCGAGTCCATTCCATAGCATTCCATTCCATTCCGTTCCATTCCATTTTTTCCAATTCCATTTTTTCCCATTCCATTTGAAGCCATTCCATTCAATTTCCACCCATTCGATTCCATTCGATTCCATTCGATTCCATTCCATTCCATTCCATTCCATTCCTTTCAATTCCTTTCGAATCTAATCCATATGATTCCTTTCCTTTCCATTCCATTCCATTCCATTTCATTCCATTCTTTCCCTTTCCATTTGATTCCATTCCATTTCATGCCATTGCATTGGATTTCATTCCTTTCTATTCCATTCCATTACTTTCCTTTCCATTCCATTTGATGATATTCCATTTGATTCCGTTCAATTCCATGTGATTCAATTCCATTCCCTTCCATTCCATTCGATTCAATTTGATTCTGTTCCTTTCCATTCCATTCCATTCCATTCCATTCCATTCCATTCCATTCCATTCAAGTCCATTCCATTTGATTCCATTGCATTCCATTCCATTTCATTCGATTCAATTTCATTCGAAACCGTTCCATTCCAGTCTTTTCCACTGGAGTCCATTCCATTCCATTCCATTCCATTCCATTCCATTCCATTCCATTCCTTTCCATTCCATTCCATTCCACTCGGGTTGATTCCATTCCATTTGATTCTTTCCTATTCAATTCCATTAAATTCGATTCGATTCCATTCCATTCCATTCCATTCATACCCCTTCAATTCGATTCCATTTCATTCGATTCGAATACCTTACATAAGTTTCCATTCCATTGGATTCCATTCCTTTTGATTCCATTCCTTTCGAGTACAAAACTTTTGAGTCTATATCATTCCAGTCCATTCCATTCGAGTCCAATCAATTCCTTTGCTTTCCATTCCAGTCCATTCCATTGGATTCGATAGCTTTCCATTCGGGTTGATTCCATTCACATCCATTACATTCCACTCCTATACATTCAAGTACATTCCATTTTATTCCATTCAATTCCACTCCTATACATTCGAGTATATTCCATTTTATGCCATTCCATTCCATTCCATTGTGTTCAATTCCATTCGAGTCCATTCTTTTCTAGTCCATTTTTTTGAGTCCCTTCAATTACAGTCCATTTCATTTATATTCCATTGCATTTGATTCTATTCCACTCTATAGCATTCCTTTCAAGACCATTCCATTTGAATCCACTGCATTCGGGCCCATTCCGTTCGAATCCTTTCCATTCGAGTCCATTCCATTCAAGTCCATTCCATTCCAGTACTTTACATTGGAGTACAATCCATTCCGTTCGATTCCATTGCATTTCATTCCATTCCATTCAATTCTATTCCATTCCATTACATTCTATTCTATCGCATTCCATTTGATTCCATTCCATTTGATTTCATTCCATTCAAGTCGATTCCATTCCTTTCCATTGCTTTTGATTCTATTCCATGTGATTCCATTCCATTCCACTCGATTCAATATCATTCCCTTCCATTCCATTCCATTCCATTCCATTCGACTCAATTCCCTTCCATGCCATTTCATTCCTTTCCATTCAAGTCCATTCCTTTTGATTTCATTCCATTCGATTCCATTCCATTCGACTCTTTTACATTTGAAACCGTTCTAGTCCTTTCCATTCCATTCGATTCATTTCCATTCCAGTGTTTTTCGTTTGATTCCTTTGCATTCAATTCCAATCCATTTGATTCCTTTCTATTCAATTCCATTCCATTTGATTGCATTCCATTGCATACCATTCCATTCGATTCCATTCCATCCGAACACATTACATTCGTTTTCATTCCATTCGATTCCATTCCATTCAATTCCATTCCTATTTAGTCCATTTCATTCGACTCCATATCATTAAAGTCCATTGAATTCGAGTCCATTCCGTTGCAATCGAGTCCATTTCATTCCATTTCTTTCGAGTGCATTCCATTCATTTCAAGTCAATTCCATTCCATTGCTTTCGAGTCCACTCAATACCATTCCATTCCTTTCGAGTCCATTCCATTGCATTCCATTCCATTTGAGTCCACTACATTCCATTCCATTCCATTCCATTCCATTCCATTCCATTCCATTCAAGTCCATTTCACTCCATTACGTTCCATTCCACTCGAGTCCATTCCATTCCATTTGTGTCCATTCCATTCCATTCCATTCGAGTCCATTCCATTGCATTCCACTCGTGTCCATTCCATTCATTTCCATTCGAGTCAATTCCATTCCATTCCATTCTGTTCCATTAGTGTCCATTCCTTTCATTTTGAGTCCATTCCCTTCCATTCCATTCGAGTCTATTCCATTCTATTCCATTTGAGTGCATTCCATTCCATTCCAGTAGGATCCTTACCTTTAAGTTGCATTTTATTAAATTCGAGTCCATTCCATTCCATTCCGTTCCTTTCATGTTCATTCAATTCCATTCATTTCCATTCCATACTATTCATTTGAAATCCGTTCCTTTCCATTCCATTCTATTCCATTCAAGCCCATTCCATTCCATAACATTCCACTCCATTTGAGTCCATACGATTCTATTCCATTCCATTCCATTCCAATTGGGTCCAATCCTTTCCATTCCATTCGAGTCCACTCCATTCCATTTGAGTCCATTCAATTCCATGCCATTCCACTCGAGTAATTTCCATTCCATTCCATTCCATTCTAGTCCGTTGTTTTCCTTTGGAGTCCATTCCATTCCATTCCATTCCATTAGAGTCCATTCCATTCCATTCTATTCCATTCCATTCCATTCTTTTAAAGTCCATTTATTTCCATTCCATACGATTTGAGTCCATTCGTATACAGTCCATTCCATTGTATTCCATTCGAGTCCATTCCATTCCACTCGAATCCCTTTCATTTCATTACATTACATTACATTCGAGTCCGTTCCATAGCATAACACTCTGTTTGACGTGAGTCCATTCAATTCCATTCTATTTCATTCAAATCCAGTCTACTCTATTCTATTCGAGTCCATTCCATTTCATTCCATTCCAGTCGCATCCATTCCATTCCATTCCATTCCATTCCATTCGAGTCCATTGCATTCCTTTCCATTCTTGTCCATTCCATTCCATTCGAGTCCATTCCATTCCATTTTATTCGAGTCAATTCCATTCCATTCCCTTCTATTAAATTGAAGTAAATTCCATTCCATTGCACTCCATTCCATTCCAGTGCATTCCACTCCATTCCATTCCATTCGTGTCCATTCCATTCGAGCATATTCCATTCCATTCTATTTAATTCGAGTCCATTCCATTCGATTCAATTCATTCAAGTCCATTCCATTCCATTCCACTTGATTCCATTCCATTCGAGTCCATTCAATTACATTAAATTCCTTTTGACTCAATTCCATTCCATTCACGTCAATTCCTTTCCATTTCATTCGAGTCCGTTCCATTCCATTCCATTCTATTCCATTAAAGTCCATTCCTTTCCTTGCTACTCTTTTCCATTCTATTGCTTTCCATTCCATTCCATTCCATTCCATTCCGTTAAATTCCTTTCAATTCGTGTCCATTCCATTCCATTCCTTTCGAGTCCATTCCATTCCATTCTATTCTATGCGAGTACATTCCATTCCATTCCATTCCAATCCATTTCATTCGAGTCCATTCCATTCCATTCGTGTCCATAACATTCCATTCCTTTAGATTTCATTCCATTCCATGCCACCCCATTTGAGTCCATTCCTTTCCATTCCATTCCAATCCGTTCCATTCTGCTCCATTCCATTCCATTCCAATCCTTTCCATTCCATTCCTTTCTAGTTCTTTTCTTTCCTTTACATTCCATACCATTGTAGTTCATTCCATTCCGTTATGTTCCATTTCATTCTATTCAATTCAAATCCTTTCCATTCCATTTGAGTACATCCCACTCCATGCCATTCGAGTCCATTCCTTTCCATTCGAGTCCAGTCCATTCCATTGCATTCGAGTCCATTCAATTCCATGCTATTCCATTTGAATCCATTCTTTTCTATTCCATTCCATTTGAGTCCAATCCATTCAAACCCATTCAATTCCACTCCTCTCAATTCCATTCCATTCAATCCATTCCATTCCATTCCATTTCATTCCATTCCATTCCAATTCATTCGAGTCAATTGCATTCCATTCCATTCCTTTCCATTTCTTTAGAGTCCATTCAATTCAGTTGCATTTCATTAGAATGCATTCCATTCCATTCCACTCCATTCCATTCCTTTCGAGTCCGTTCCATTCCATTCCACTCCGTTTGGGTAAATTTCATTCCATTTCATTCCATTCCATTCCAGTCCATTCTTTTCCGTTATATTCCACTCCATTCATCTCCATTCAATTCTATTCCATTCCATTTTCTTCCATTCCACTCCATTTCATTTGATACCACTCATTCCCTCTCCATCCACTCCATTGTATTCCATTCGAATTCTTTCCATTCCATTCCATTCCATTCGCTTCCTTTCCATCCCATTCCAGTTCGTTCGAGTCCATCCGAGTCCATTCCATTCCATTCCATTCGAGTCCATTGCATTCCTTTCCATTCGAGTCCATTCCATTCCAACCTGTTACATTCGAGTCTTTTCCATTCCATTCCGTTTGAGTCCATTCAATTCCATCTCATTCCTTTCGAGTCTATTCCATTCCATTACATTCGAGTCCATTCCATTCTATTCCATACCAGTCCATTCCATTGCATTCCATTCTATTCCTTTCTAGTCCCTTCCATTCCATTCCATTCCATTCTTTTCGAGTCCATTCCATTCCGTTCTCGTCCATTCCATTTCTTTCCATTCGTTTCCATTCCATTCCTTTCTAGTGCAATCCATTAAAACCATTTCCACACGAGTCCATTCCATTCCATTCCATTCGAGTGCATTCAATTCCATCCAATACTATTTGAGTCCATTCCATTGCATTCCATTCCATTCCATTCCAGTCCAGTCCATTCCATTCTATTCCAATCAAGTTCACTCCATTCCATTTGAGTCCGTTCCATTTAATTCCATTCCATTCCATTCCTTTCCATTTCATTCGGTTCCATTCCTTTGGAGTCCATTCAAATAAATTGCTTTTCGTTCGAGTCCATTCCATTCCATTCCATTCGAGTCCATTCTATTCCATTGCATTCGAGTGTATTCTTTTCCATTCCACTCCATTCCGTTCCATTTGATTCCATTACATTCCATTACATTTGTGTCCATTCCACTCCAACACATTCCAGTCCATTCGAGTCCATTCAATTCCTTTCCATTCCATTCGAGTCTGTTTCTCTCCATTCCATTCGACTCGATTCCATTCCACTCCATTCCATTTGAGTGCATTCCATTCTATTCAATTCGAGTCCAGTCTATTCCATTCGAATCCTTTCCATTCTATTCCATTCGAGTCCATTCCATTCTATTCCATTATATTTTATTCGAGTCCATTACATTCAATTCCATTCTACTGGAGTCCATTCAATTCTATTCGTATCCATTCCATTCCATTCCATTCAAGTCCATTCCATTCCATTCTATTCCATTTGAATCCATTCCATTCCATTACTTTCTAGTCCATTCCACTCAAACCCATTCCATTCGAGTCCATTCCATTCCGCTCCATAAGTGTCCATTCCATTAGATTCCATTCCATTGCATGCGAGTCCATTCCATTCCTTTGAAGTTCATTCCATTCTGTTCCTTTCAAATCCTTTCCATTCCATTCCTTTCTATTCCATTCAAGTTCGTTCTATTCCATTCAAATCCATTCCATTCCTTTCCATTTCATTCGGGTCCATTCCATTCCATTCCATTGCATTCAAGTGCATTCTATTGCATTCGAGTCCATTCCATTCTATTCCACTCAAATCCATTCCATTCCTTTCCATTTAATTCGAGTCCATTCCATTCCTTTCCATTCCATTCGAGTCCATTCCATTCCATTCCATTCGAGTCGGTTCCATTCCATTCCTCTCCTTTCCATTCCATTCCATTCCATCCCATCCCATTCCATTTGGTGTCTTCCATTCCATTACATTCCAGTCCATTCTATTCCATTTGGGTCCATTCCAATCCATTCCATTTGAGTCCATTCTATTCCATTCGAGTGCATTCCATTCCATTCCATTCTAGTCTATTCCATTCCATTCAATTCCATTCGATTCCATTCCGTTATATTCCACTTCATTCGAATCAATTCGTTTCCACTCCATTAATATCCATTCCATTCCATTATATTCCATTCCACTCCATTCAGGTCCATTCCATTCCATTCCATTCCATTCGAGACCATTCCTTTCCATTGCATTTCATTAATATCCATTGTTTTCCATTCCACTCGAGTCGATTCCATTCCATTCCATTCCAATCCATTCTAGTCTATTCAATTCCATTCCATTCATTTCCATTCCTTTCGCGTCCATTCAGTTCAGTTGCATTCCATTAGAATCCATTCCATTCCATTCCATTCCATTCCATTCCATTCTTTCGATTCCATTCCATTCCATTCCACTTCATTTGAGTAAATTTCATTCCGTTCCTTTCCATTCCATTGGAGAGCATTCTATTCCATTCAATTCCATTCCATTCATCTCCATTCAATTCTATTCCATTCCATTTGATTCCATTCCACTCTATTCCATTCGAGTCCACTCCTTTCCTCACCATTCCATTTGAGTCCCTTCCATTCTATTCCATTCGAGTTCATTCCGTTCCATACCATTCCATTCCAGTCCATTCCATCCCATTCCATTACGTTCGAGTCCATTCGAGGCCATTCCTTTCGTTCCATTCGAGTCCATTCCATTCCATTCCATTAAAGTGCATTCTTTCCATTCCATTATATTCCATTCCATTCCATTCCATTCCATTCGAGTGCATTCCTTTCCATTCCAATCCATTCCATTCCATTTGATTCCTTTATATTCCATTCCATTCGTGTCCACTCCATTCCAACACATTCCAATCCATTCGAGTCCCTTCAATTCCATTCCATTCCATTCGAGTCCATTTTACTCCATTCCATTGGTGTCAATTCCATTCCATTCCATTCCATTCTACTCAATTCTAGTCTAATCTATTCCATTTGAGTCCTTTACATTCTTTTCCTTTCGAGTCCATTCCATTCCATTGCATTCCATTCTAGTCCATTCGATTCCGTTCTATTCAATTTGAAACCATTCCATTCCATTCTTTTCTAGTCCATTCCATTGAAACCCATTCCATTCGAGTCCATTCCATCCCACTCCACAAGTGTCCATTTCGTTAAATTCCATTCCGTTACATTTGAGTCCATTCCATTTATTTGAAATCCATTCCATTACTTTTTTGTCTTTTCCATTCCATTCTATTCTATTCCATTCTAGTGCATTGCATTCCAATCCATTCCATTCCATTACCTTCCTTTCCATTCCATTCCTTTCCATTCCATTCCATTCCATTCCATTCCATTCCATTCCATTCCATTCCATTCGGCTCCATTCCATTCCATTCAAGTCCATTCCATTCCATTCAAGTCCATTCCATTGCATTAGAGTCCTTTCCATTCTATTGCAGTCAAGTTCATTCCATTCCATTCGAGTCCCTTCCACTCCATTCCATTCAGTTGGAATCCATTCCATTCCATTTGAGACCAATCAATTCCCTGCAGTTCAATTAGAGTCCGTTCCATCCCATTCCATTCAATTCGGGTCCATTCCATTGCATACCTTTCCATTCATTTCGAGACCATTCAATTCCATTCCATTGTATTCGAGTCCATTCCATTCAATTCCATTCGATTCCCTTCCATTCCCTTCCATTCCATTCCATTCTTTGTGTCCATTCAATTCTATTGTATTCCATTCGTGTCCATTCCAATCCATTCCATTCCATTCCATTCCATTCAATTTGAATCCATTCCTTTCCATTCCATTACTTTCGAGTCCATTTCGTTCCGTTACATTCCATTCCATTCGAGTTCATTCCATTCCGTTACTTTCCATTCCGTTCGAGTCCATTCATTTCCATTCCATTCCATTCGAAACCATTCCCCTCCTTTCCGTTCGAGTCCAATCCATTCCATTCCATTCCATTCCATTCCATTCCATTCCATTCCATTCCATTCCGTTCGAATCCATTTGAGTCCATTCCATTCCATACAACTCCATTCCATTACATTCCATTCAAGTCCATTCTTTCCATTCCATTCCATTCCATTCCATTCCATTCCATTCCATTCGAGTGCATTCCTTTCCATTTCATACCATTTGATTCCATTACATTCCATTGCATTCGTGTCCACTCCATTCCAATACATTCCAATCCATTCGAGTCCGTTCAATTCCATTCCATTACACTAGAGTCCATTTCACTCCATTGTATTGGAGTCCATTTCTTTCCACTGCATTCCATTTGATTCCATTCCATTCCATTCAATTCCAGTCCATTCTATTCCGTTTGTGTCCTTTCCAATCTTTTCCATTTGAGTGAATTCCATTCTATTCCATTCGATTCCATTCCATTTCATTCTATTCAATTTGAATCCATTACATTCAATTCCTTTCTAGTTCACTCCATAAGAGTCCACTCCAGAAGAGTCCATTACATTAAGTTCCATTACTTTACATTCGAGTCCATTCCACTCCTTTGGATTCCATTCCATTCCATTACTTTTGAGTCCATTCCATTCCATTCCTTTCCATTCCATTCCATTTCATTCCATTCCATTTCATTTGGATCCATTAAATTCCATTGCATTCAAGTCCATTCCATTCAATTCAATTCCTTTCCTTTCCATTGTACTCCAGTCCATTTCATTCCATTCCATTGGTGTCCATTCTATTCCATTCCAATTAGAATCCATGCAATTCCATTCCAATCCAATTGAGCCCAATCAATTTTAATCTGTTCAATTCGTGTCTGTTCCATTCCATTCCATTCCATTCTAGTCCATTCCATTGCATTCCATTCAATTCATTTCGAGACCATTCAATTTCATTCCATTCTATTCGAGTCCATTCCATTAAATTCCATTCGATTCCTTTCCATTCCATTCCATTCTATTCCTTTCGGGTCCATTCAATTCTGTTGCATTCCATTCGGGTGCATTCCAATCCATTCCATTCCATTCCATTCCGTTCCATTCCATTCCATTCCAATCAATTTGTGTCCATTCCGTTCCATTCGAGTCCATTTCATTCCGTTACATTCCGTTCCATTCGAGTTCGTTCCATTCTGTTCCATTCCATTCCATTCGATTCCATTCATTTCCATTGCATTTCATTCGAGACCATTCCACTCCATTCCGTTTGAGTCCAATACATTCCATTCGAATCCATTCCATTCCATTGCATTTGAGTCCATTCCATTAAAATCCATTCCATTCCAGTCCATTCAATTCCATTCCTTTCGAATCCATTAAATTCCATTCCAATTGAGTGCAATCCATTCCTTTCAATTCAATTCGAGTCCATTCCATTCCATTCCATTTGTGTCCATTCCATTCAATTCCATTCGTGTCCCATTAAATTCCATTCGAGTCCACTCCATTGCTTTCCATTCCTTTTGAGTCCATTCCATTCGCGTCCATTCCAATGCATTCCATTCCATACCTTTCAAGTCAATTCAATTCCATTCCATTTCATTTGAGTCCATTCCATACCATTCCATTTGAGACCATTCCATTGCATTCCATTCCATTCATGCCTTTTCTATTATATTCCATTCGAGTCCATTCCTTTCCATTCCATTAGAGTCTGTTACATTGAATTCCATTGTAGGACTTTCAAGTCCACTCCATTCAATTATGTTCCTTTCGTGTCCATTCCATGCCATTCGATTCCATTCGATTCCTTTCCTTTCACGTCCTTTCCATTCCAATCCATTCTATTCCATTCCATTCCCTTCCAATCCATTCCATTCGTGTCCATTCCATTCCATTCCATCCTTGTCCATTGCATTCCATTCCATTCCATTAGAGTCCATTCCATTCCATTCCATTAGAGTACATTACTGTAGATTGCAATCCAGTAAATTCCATTCTATTCCATTTTAGTCCATTCTATTCCATTCTATTCCATTCGAGTCCATTCCATTGCATTCGAGTCCTTTCCGTTCCATTCCCTTCGATTCCCGTCCATTCCATTCCATTCCATTCCATTCCATTCCATTGCTTTGCATTTTATTCCATTCCTCTCCATTTCATTTCATTGCTTTCCATTTCATTCCGTTCTCTTTCATTCCATTTTATTCCATTCCATTCCTTTCCTCTCCATTCCATTCTTTTCCATTCCATTAAATTCCATTCGTGTTCATTCCATTCCATTCCATTCGAGTCTATTCCTTTCCATTGCACAGCATTCGAGTCCATTCCACAGCATTCCATTTCATTCGAGTCCTTTCCATTCATTTCCATTCCTCTCCACTTGGGTTGATTCCATTCCATTCCATTCCATTTCATTCCATTTCTTTCAAATCGATTGGATTCCGAGTCCATGCCATTCCATTCGAGTTCAATTATTTCCACTACATTCCATTCAATTCGAGTCCACTCCATACCAATACGTTCAGTTCAATTTGAGTCCATTCCATTCCATTCCATTCCATTCCATTCCATTCCATTCCGTTCCATTCCATTAGTCCTTTCCACTCCATTCAGTTCGATTCCTTTCCATTCCATTCCATTTGAGTCCATTCCTTTCTATTCCTTTCGAGTAAATTCCATTCCATTCCATTTTAGTCCATTCCATTCCATACTGTTCCATTCCACTCATCTCGATTCCATCTAATTCCATTCCATTTGAGCCCATTCCATTCCTTTCCATTCCATTTGAGCCCATTTCTTTCCATTCCATGGCATTCCACTCTAGTCAATACCATTCCATTCCATTCCAACCGAGTTCATTCCATTCCATTCGAGTCCAATCTGTTCCACTCCATTCGAGTCCATTCCATTCCATTCGAAACCATTCCATTCCATTCCATTACTTTCAAATCCATTCAATTCCATTCCATTCCATTCGGCCTCATTCCATTCCATTTCATTCCATTCCATTCCTTTGCATTCCATTCCATCACTTACGAGTCCGTTCCAATCCATTCCATTCCATTCCATTCCATTCCATTCCATTCCATTCCATCCCACTCCAATCCATTCCATTTGATTCCATTCAATTCTCAAGTGCTTTGCATTCCATTCGAGTCCATTTCATTGCATTCCATTCGAGTCCTTTCCATTCCCTTCCATTCCATTCGGAGACATTCCGTTCTATTCCATTCGAGTGCATTCAATTCCATTCCATTTCTCTCCATTGTGTTCCATTCCATTCCAATCCATTCCACTCCATTCCGTTCCATTCCCTTTGGGTCCATTCTTTTTTTTCCACTCGATTCCATTCCATTCAATTCGAGTCCATCCATTCCATTCCATTAGAGTCCATTCCATTCCATTCCCTCAGAGTCCATTGCATTGCATTCCATTCCATTCCACTCCATTCCATTCTTTTCCATTCCTTTCTGGTCCCTTCAATTCAACTGCATTCCATTCGAGTGCATTCCATTGTATTGCATTCCATTACTTTCCATTCCATTTCGTTCCATTCAATTCCATTCGAGTCCATTGCATTGCATTCCTTTCGAGCTTATTTCATTCCATTACATTCCATTCCATTCGAGTTAATTCTATCCCCTTATGTCCCATTCCTTTCGAGTCCATTCCATTCCATAGCATTCCATTCCATTCGGTTGCACTCCATTCCTTTCCTTTCGAGTCCGTTTCATTCCATTCGAATCCAATCCATTCCATTCGAGTGCTTTCCATTTTTTCCATTCGAGTCCATTCCATTAAATTCCATTCCATTGCATTCCTTTTGATTCCATTCTATTAAATACCATTCCATTCCATTCGTGTCCATTCCACTGCATTCCATTCGAGTCCATTCCATTGCATTCCATTCCATGAGAGTCCATTCGTTTCTTTTCCATTCGAGATGATTCCATTCCATTCCTTTCAAGTGCATTCAATTCCATTCCATTTCATTTAACTCTAGTCGACCCCATTCCATTCCATTCCATTTTATTCAATTCCCTTCCATTCTATTCCATTCTAGTCTATTCTATTCCATTACATTACATTCGTTTCGAGTCCATTAAATTCCATACCATTCCATTCCTTTCCATTCCACTCCATTCCATTCCGTTACTTTCCATTCAACTCCATTCTACTCCATTCGAGCCCATATCGTTGCATTCCATTGGAGTCTATTCCATTACGTTCCATTGCATTCAGAGCCATTCTATTTTATTCTATTCGAGTCCATTCAATGCAATTCCATTCCTTTCCATTCAAGTCCATTAAACTCCATTCGACTCCATTCCATTCCATTCCATTCAGGTCAATTCCATTCCATTTCATTCAGGTCCATTCCACTGTATTCCATTCTATTCCATTCAAGTCCATTCCATTCCAGTCCATTCCATTCCATTTCATTCCATTCCAGTCCACTCCTTTCAATTCGAAACCATTCCATTCCATTCCGTTCGATTACAATACATTTCATTCTGTTCTATTCCACTCGATTCCTTTCCGTTCCTTTGCATTCCATTGCATTCCTCTCCATTGCATTCCATTCCATTCCATTGTGATCCATTCTCTTCCGTTCCATTCCACTCTATTCCATTCCATTCCATTCGAGCACATTTCATTCCATTACATTGCATTCAATTCGAGTTCATTCCATTCCGTTATACTGCATTCCATTCGACTTCATTAAATGCCATTCAATCCCGTTCGAGTCCATTTCATTCCATTCCGTTTGAGTCCTTTCCATTCTATTTGAGTCCGTTCCATTCCATTGCATTCGAGTACATTGCATTCCATGTTATTCCATTTGAATCCGTTCTATTCGATTCCATTGCAGTCCATTCCATTCAAACCCATTTTATTCCACTGCATTCTATTCCATTCCGTTCTATTCCATTCTATTTGAGCCCACTCTATTCCATTTTATTCCATCCCATTCCACTCCATTCCATTCAGGTGCACTCCATTCAATTCCATTTGAGTCAAATCCGTTCCATTCCATTCGAGTCCATTCCAGTGCATTGCATTCCATTCGAGTCCATTCCATTGTATTCCATCCCATTCTTTTCAAGTCCATTCCATTCCATTCCATGCAATTCAAGTCCATTCCATTGCAGTCCATTCCCTTCGTGTCTGTTCTATTCGACTCCAATCCATTCCATTCCATTAGATTCCGTTAGAATAAATTTCACTGTATTCAATTCGTGTCCATTCCATTCCATTCCATTCCATTCCATTACATTACATTCTAGTCCATTGCATTCCATTCGAGTCCATTCCATTCCATTCCACTCTGGTCCAATCCAATCCAATTCTTTCGAGTCCATTCAATTGCGTTCCATTCTATTTCATTCAAGTGTATTCCGTTCCATTCCATTGCAGTCCAGTCCATTCCAATCCATTCCATTCCATTCCATTCCATTCCATTCCATTCCATTCATGGCCATTCCATTCCATTCCATTCCATTCGTAACCATTCCATTGCTTTCCCTTCGATTAAAATCCATTTCATTTTATTCTATTCCATTCGATTCCATTCCATTGCATTGCATTCCATTCCATTCCTCTCCATTGCATAACATTCCAATCCATTCCAATCTACTCCATTCCATTCCAATCCATTCCATTTGGGTCAATTCCATTCCATTCCATTCGAGTCCATTCCATTCCATTCCATTCCATTCAATTCCATTCCATTCCATTCATTTCGAGTCCATTCCATTCAACTTTATTCCATTCGAGTCTTTTCCTTTCCAATCCATTCCAATGCATTCCATTGCATTGGAGTCTATTCCATTCCATTCCATTCCATTCGAGTCCATTTCATTCCATTAACTTCCATTCCATTGGAGTCCATTCCATTCCGTTACATTCCATTCCTTTTGAGTCCATTGAATTCCGTTCCTTTCCATTTGAATCCATTGCAATCCATTCCATTCGAGTGCAATCCATTCCATTCCCTTTGATTCCATTCCTTTCTATTACATTCAAATCCATTCCATTCCATTCCATTCCATTCCATTCCATTCCATTCCATTCCATTCCATTCCATTGTGTTCCATTCCAGTCTATTTCATTCCATTCCATTCCTTTCAATTTGTGTCCATTCCATTCCGTTCCATTCTGGTCCATTACATTCCATTCGAGTCCATTCTTTTCCATTCCATTCAAGTCCATTCCATTAAATTCCTTTCAATTCCATTACATCCTAGTCCATTGAATTCCATTCCATTCCATTCCATTCGATTCCATTCCATTCCATTTGTGTCCATTCCATTCCATGCCATTCCACTAGATTATTTTCCTTTCTATTCCATTCGAGTCCATTCCGTTATATTCCATTCCATTCCTGTTCATTCCATTACATTCTACTCCATTCCATTCTGTTCCATTCAAGTGAACTCCAATCCCATCCTTTGCATTCGAGTTCGTTCCATTCCATTCCATTCCATTCCATTCCAATCGAGTCCATTGCATTGCATTCCATTCCACTCGAGTCCATTTTACTCCATTCCATTCGAGTCCAATCCATTCCTTTCGATTCTGGTCCATTCCATTCCATTTCATTCGAATCCCATTCATTCCATTCCATGCTTTTCTATTCAAGTCCATTCCATTCCATTCCATTCATTTCATTCCATTCCATTCCATTCCAGTCCATTTCATTCCACTCCATTTCCATTCCATTCGAGTAAATTCCATTCCATTCCATTTGACAACTTTCCATTCCATTCTATTGCATTCGAGTCCATTCCATTCTTTTCCATTAGAGTCCATTCCATTAGAGTCCAATCCGGTAAATTATATTCTATTTCATTTGACACCATCCCATTCCACTCCATTGCATTTGAGTCCATTCCACTCCATTCGAGTCCATTCCATTCAATTCCATTGGATTCCAATCCATTCCATTCCATTCCATTCTATTCCATTCAGGTCCTTTTCATTCCATTCCATTGTATTTCTGTTCATTCCATTGCATTACATTCCTTTCTGGTCCATTCTTCCTCATTACATTACATTCGAGGCCATTCCTTTCGATTCTGGTCCATTCCATTCCATTTCATTCGAGTCCCATCCATTCCATTCCATGCTTTTCTATTCAAGTCCATTCCATTCCATTCCATTCCATTCCATTCCATTCCATTCCATTCCAATCATTCCATTCCATTCCATTCCAGTCCATTTCATTCCACTCCATTCCATTCCATTCGTGTAAATTCCATTCCATTCCATTTGACACTTTTCCATTCCATTCTATTGCATTCGAGTCCATTCCATTCTTTTCCTTTAGAGTCCATTGCATTAGAGTCCAATCCGGTAAATTATATTCTATTGTATTCGACACCGTCCCATTCCACTCCATTCCATTTGAGTCCATTCCACTCCATTCGAGTCCATTCCATTCAATTCCATTTGATCCAATCCATTCCAATTCATTCCATTCTATTCCATTCATGTCCTTTTCATTCCATTCCATTGTATTTCAGTCCATTCCATTGCATTACATTCCTTTCTGGTCCATTCTTCCTCATTACATTACATTCGAGGCCATTCCATTCCATTCGAGTACATTCCATTCCATTCCATTCCGTTCTATTCCATTCCATTCGAGTCCATTCCATTCCATTCGAGTTCCATCCATTCCATTTCGTTCCATTCGTGTCCATTCCAATCCATTTCACTTGGGTACATTCCATTTCATTCCATTCTATTCAATTCAAGAACATTCCATTCCAAACAATTCCATTCTATTCCAGTCCATTTCATTCCTTTCCATTCCATTCCATTCCATTCCAATCCACTCGTCCCATTGCTTTCCATTCCATTGGATTCCATTCCTTTCCATTCCATTTCATTCCATTCCATCCCATTACATTCGAGTGCATTCCATTCCATGCCATTCAATTCGAGTCCGTTCCATTCCATTCCTTTCCATTCCATTCCATTCCGCTCCGTTACTTTCCTTTCCATTCGAATCCATAGTATTCTATTCCATTCGATTCCATTCCATTCCATTCCCTTCAAGTCCATTCCATTTCATTCCATTCCATTCCATTCGAGTCCTTTACCTTCCATTCCATTCCGTTCGAGTCCATTAGATTCCATGCCATTCCATTCCATTCGAGTCCATTACCTTCCATTCCATTCCGTTCGAGTCCATTCGATTCCATGCCATTCCATTCGAGTCCGTTCCATTCCTTTCCATTCCATTATATTCGGGTCCAGTACATTCCATTCCTTTCGAGTACTTTCCATTGCATTCCATTTCCTTTGAGTCCACTCCATTCCCTTCCATTCCACTTGAGTTGATTCAATTCCATTCCATTCTATTCTAGTTCATTCCATTGCATTCAAGTCCATTCCATTCCATTCCATTCCGTTCCATTCCATTCCATTCCATTCCTTTCCATTCCATTCCTTTCAAGTCCATTCCATTCAACTGCATTCCATTGGATTCCATTCCATTCCATTCCATTCCATTCCATTCCATTCCATTCGAGTCCATTCTATTCCATTTCGGTCCGTTCCATTCCATTCAATTCGATTCCATTCCATTCCATACCTTTATAGTCCATTCAATTCCATTCCATTCCATTAGAGTCCCTGCCATTCCATTGTATTAGATTCCAATCCGTTAGTGTCCATTCTATTAAATTCCATTCCTTTCTATTCGAGGCCATTCCATTCAATTCGAGTCCTTTCCATTCCATTCCCTTCAAATCCATTCCTTTCCTTTCCTTTCTATTCCATTCAACTCCATTCCATTCTATTCCATTGCATTCCTTTATAGTCCATTCAATTCCATTCCATTCCATTAGAGTCCATGCCGTTCCATTCTATTAGATTCCAATCCATTAGTGTCCATTCTAGTAAATTCCATTCCATTCTATTCGAGGCCATTCCATTCAATTCTAGTCCTTTCCAATTCATTCCCTTCGAATCCATTCCTTTCTATTCCATTCAACTCCATTCCATTCCATTCCATTGCATTCCATTGCAGTCCATTCCATTCTTTTCAATTCGGGTCCATTCCGTTCCATTCCATTTTGGTCCATTCCATTCCATTCGAGTCCATTCTATTCCATTCTATTGCATTCCATTGCATTGTATTCGTGTCCATTCCATTCCGTTCGATTGAATTCCATTATATTGAATTCAAGTCCATTCAATTCCATTAAATTCGAGCCCTTTCCATTATATTCCATTCGTTCCAAATCCATTCCATTCTATTGCTTTTGAGTACATTCCATTCCATTAGAGTCCGTTCATTAAATTAAATTCCATTCCATTCCATTGCATTCCCTTTGAATCCATTCCATTCCATTCCATTCCATTCCATTTTATTCCGTTCGAATCCATTCCATGCATTTCCATTCCATTCCATTACATTTCATTGGGTTCCATTCCATTCAATTCCTTTCGAGTTCTTTCCATTCCATTCCACTCGGGTCCATTACTTTCCATTCCATTCCATTCCATTAAATCCATTCCATTCCTTTTGAGTCCCTTCAATTCAGTTGCATTCCATTCGAGTCCATTTCATTCCATTCCATTCCCTTTCACTTGAGTCCATTTCTTTCCATTCAATTCGAGTCCATTTCATTCCGTTACGTTCCATTCCATTCGAGTCCATTCCATTCCATTCCATTCCATTGGAGTCCATCCGAATCCATTCCATTGAAGTCCATTCCATTCCACTCCATTCTGTTCATATCCATTCCATTTTCTTCCATTCAAGTCCATTTTATTCCATTCCATTTCAGTCCATTCCATTCAATTCCATTTCATTCCATTCGAGTCCATTCCATTCCATTCCATTTGGTTCGAGTCCATTCCATTCCAGTCGTGTCCATTCCATTCCATTCCATTAGCATCCATTCCATTCCATTGTATTCCATATGTGTCCATTCCATTTCATTCCATTCATGATAATTCCATTCCAACACTCTCGATTCCATTTCATTGCATTCCATTCCTTTTGATTCCGTTCTGTTCTATTCTAATCGACTCCATTCCATTCCATTCCAATTCAGTCCATTCCCTTTCATTCCATTGTATTCCATTCGAGTCTATTCCATTCCATTCGATTGCATTCGAGTTCATTCCATTCCATTCGATTCCATTCTATTGCCTTCAATTCAAGTCCATTGCATTCCATCCAATTCCATTCGAGACAATTGCATTCCATTCCATTCGAGTTCATTCGTTTGCATTCCATTATATTCGGGTCCATTCCTTTACATTCCATTCGAGTCCATTCCATTGCATTCAATTCCATTCCTTTCGAGTCCATTCAATTCTATTCCATTCCATTCCTATCCATTCCATTCCATTCCATTCCATTCAAGTCCATTCCATTGCATTCCATTCCATTCGAGTCCTGTGTATTCCATTCCATTCAAGTCCGTTCCATTGCATTCCATTCCTTTCCTTTCAGATCAATTCAATTCCATTCCATTACATTCTTGTCCTTTCTACTTGAGTCCATTCCATTGCATTCCATTCCATTCAAATCCATACTATTCTATTCCATTCGAGTCTATTCCATTCAATTCCGTTCAAGTCCATTCCATTCTATTCCATTAGAGTGCCTTCCATTCCTTTACATTAGTGTTCATTCTATTAAATTCCATTGTATTCCATTTGAGTCCATTCTATTCTATTTCATTTCATTCGTGTCCATTCCATTCCATTTGGGTCCATTCCATTCCATACCTTTTTTCCATTCATGTATATTTTATTCCAATCCATTCCATTCCAGTCCGTATCATTCCATTCCATTCCATACCATTCCTTTCCATTCCATTGCATTCCATTTGTGGCCATTCCTTTCCATTCCATTCAACTCCATTCCATTATGTTTCATTGCATTTGATTCCAGTCCATTCCATTCCCTTCCATTCGAGTCCGTTTCATTCCATTCCATTCCATTCCATTACATTTGGGTCCATTCAGTTATTTTGACTCCAGTCTATTTCATTTCATTGTATTCCACTTTAATCGTTTCCATTCCATTCAATTTCATGCGAGTCCACTCTATTCCATTTGAGTCCATTCCATGCCATTCTATTCGAGTCTATTCCATTCCATTCCATTCCATTCCAATCCTTTCAATTCCTTTGGAGTCCATTCCATTCCATTCCACTCTATTCCATACCATTCCATTCTATTCAAGTCCATTTCCTTCCATTGCATTCCATTCCATTCGAGTCCATTCCATACAGTTACATTCTTTTTTATTCGAGTCCATTCAATTCCATTGCATTCCAGTCGATTCCATTCCACTACATTCCATTCAAGTTCATTCGATTCCTTTCCATTCCATTTCATTCCACTAGAGTCGATTTCATTCCATTGTATTCCATTCCATTCACGAACATTCCATTCCTTTCCAATCAAGTCCATTCCATTCCTTTCCATTCCATTAGAATCGGGTCGATTTCATACCATTTCATTCTATTCCAGTTCTTTCCCTTCCATTCGTGCCCATTCTAGGCCATTCCATTAGAGTCCATTACATTTCATTTCATTCCATTCCATTGCATTGCATTCCATTCCATTCCTTTCAAGTCCATTCAATTCCATTCCATTCCGTTCACCTCCATTCCGTTCCATTCCCTTCCTTTGCCTTCCATTCCATTCCATTCCATTCCATTCGATTCGGGTCCATTCCATCCCATTCAATTCGATTCCATTTCATTAAATTCCGTTCCATTCCATTCCATTCAATTCCACTCCATTCCCATCCATTCCATTCCATTCCATTCGAGTCCATTACATTTCATTCTAATACATTATATTCAGGTCCATTAAATTCCATTCCTTTCAAATCTATGCCACTTCATTTCATTCCATTCAAGTCCATTCCTTTTCATTCCTTTTCATTCCATTCGAGTCCATTCCATAACATTCCATTCCATTCGAGTCCGATCCATTCCATTTCATTCCATTGGAGTACATTCCATTCCATTCTATTCCGTTCCATTCCATTCCATTCCATTCCATTTGAGTCCATTCCATTCCATTCCGTTTCATTCAGTTCCTTTCCATTCCATTCCATTGAAGTCCATACCATTCCATTGCTTTCCTTTCGAGTCCATAACTTTCCATTCCATTGGCGTACAATGCATTCCATTAAATTCTATTCCATTCAAGGAATTCCATTCCATTTCATTCTATTCCATTCCCCTACAGTCAATTCCATTCCATTCGATGCCATTCCATTCTATGCGGGTCCATTCCATTCCATTCGATTCTATTCCTTTTCTTTCTTTTCAATTCGACTCCATTCCTATACATTCCATTCCACTCAAATCCATTCCATTCCATTGCATTTCATTCCATTCCATGCCATTGCATTCGAGTCCATTCCATTCCGTTCCATTCGAGTCCAGTGCATTCCATTCCATTCGAGTCCATTTCGTTGCATTACATTCCTTCCCTTTCGACAACATTCAATTCTATTACATTGTGTTTGAGTCCCTCCCATTTGATTCTATTGTATTGCATTCCATTCCATTGGATTCCTTTCCATTCTATTTCATTCGTCTCCATTCCATTTCTATCCATTAGTGTCTTTTCCTTTAAATTCCGTTGCATTCCATTTGAGTCAGTTCTATTACATTCCGTTACATTCGTGTCCATTCCATTCCACACGAACCGATTCCATTCCATTACTTTCGAGTCCATTCAATTCCATTCCATTCTTTTCCAAACTAGTCCATTCCATTCCTTTCCATTCCTTTCCATTCCATTCCATTCCATTCCGTTCCATTCTGTTCCGTTCCGTTTCATTCCATTCCATTACAATCCATTCCAGTCCATTCCATTCCATTCCATTCTGTTCCGTTCTGTTCCGTTCCGTTACATTCCATTCCATTCCATGCCTTTCCATTCCATTCAATTTGGGTACGTTTCTTTCCATTCCATTCGATCCCAATCCAATCAATGTGAGTCCACTCCATACCATTCCGTTTGAGTACGTTCCATTCCTTTCCGTTCGAATCCATTCCATTCCATTCTATTCCATTGAAGTCCATTACATTCCATTCAAGTCCATTCCATTCCCTTCCATTCCTTTCGATTCTACTCCATTCTATTCCATTTGACTCCATTGCAGTTCATTCTTTTGAGTGCATTCTATTCCATTTCATTTTAGTCGATTCTATTCTATTCCATTCCTTTCGACACCACTCCATTCCATTCGATTTCATTCCATTCAATTCCATTTGAGTCCATTCCATTCCAGTCCATTCCATTCCATTGCAATCCATTCGATTCCTTCTAGTCAATTCAATTCAATTGCATTCCATTGGAGTCCATTCCATTCGAGTCCATTCCATTTCATTGTATTTCATTTCATTCCATTCCATTCAAGTCCATTTCTTTGCCTTACACTGCATTCCATTCGCGTCCATTCCATGCCATTGCATTCCATTCCATTCGAGTCCTTTCAATTCAATTCGTTTCCATTGTAGTCCATTCCTTTCCATTACATTCCATTCCATTCGTATCCTTTCAATTCCATTCCATTCTAGACCATTCTACTCCATTCCATTCAAGTCCATTAAATTCCACTGCATTCAATTCAACTCCATTCCATTCTATTCCATTCGAGTGCATTCCATTTCATTTCATTTGAGTCCATTCCATTCCATTCCATTCGAGCCCTTTCCATTCTATTCCATTTGAGTACTTTCCATTCCATTCTATTCCATTGATTTCCTTTCCATTCCATTCAGTTCCACTCCATTTCATTCCATTCGAATCCATTCCACTCCATTCCATTCCATTCGGGTCCATTCCATTCCATTTCATTCCTTTCAAGTCCATTCCAATGCATTCTATTCCATTTTAGTCGATTCGATTCGATTCCATTCCATTCGAGTCCATTCCTTTCCATTTGTGTCCATTCCATTCCATTCTATTTGAGTCCATTCCATTCAAGTCCATTCCATTCCATTCAAATCCATTCGATTCCTTTCGAGTGCATTCCATTCAATTGCATTTCACTGGAGTCCATTCCATTCAATTCCATTCCATTTAATTCGAGTCCATTCCATTTCATTGCATTGCATTCCATTCCATTCGAGTCCTTTTCTTTGCATTACATTGCATTCCATACGAGTCCATTCCATGCCATTCCATTCCATTCCATTCGAGTACTTTCAATTCAATTCCATTCCATTATACTCTATTCCATTCCGTTACATTCCATTCCATTCGAGTCCTTTCAATTCCATTCTATTCCATTCTAGTCCTTTCTACTTCATTTCATTCAAGTCCATTCCATTCCGCTGCATTCCATTCGAGTCCATTCCATTCTATTCCATTCGATTCCATTCCATTTCATTCCATTCGATTCAGTACCACTCTATTCCTTTCGTGTCAATTCCGTTCCTTTCTATTCCATTTGATTCCATTCCATTCCATTCCACTCAAATCAATTCCATTTCAACCCATTCGATTCCATTTCATTCCCTTCCATTCCTTTCGATTCCATTCCTTTCTATTCCCTTTGAGTAAATTCCATTCCATTTCATTATAGTCTATTCCATTGCATTCCATTCCATTCGAGTCCATTCCATTCCATTCCTTTCGAGCCCATTCCACTTCATTCTATTGTATTCCTTTCAACTCCTTTCCGTTCCATTCCATTGCTTTCATGTCCATTCCATTCCCTTCTAGTCCATTACATTCAAGTCCATTCCATTCCATTCTATTACTTTTGAATCCGTTATATTCCATTCAATTTCATTCGAATAAATTCGAATCAACTCAATTCAAGTCAATTAAATTGCATTCCATTCCATTCGGGTCCAATCTTTTCCATTCCATTTGAGTCCATTCCATTGAATTCCATTCCATTCCTTTCAAGGCCATTCTATTGCATTCCGTTCCTGTCGAGTGCATTCTATTCCATTCCAATCCATTCGAGTCCTTTCCTTTGTATTCCATTCCATTCGAGTCCATTCCATTCTATTCCTTTTGAATCCATTCCATTCCATTCCATTATGTTCCGTTCCATCAAGTTCCACTGTATTCCATTCAAGTCCATTCCATTCCATTCCATTCCATTCCATTCCATTCCATTCCATTCCATTCCAGTGTATTGCATTCCGTTCCATTCCATTCCATTCCATTCCATTCCATTCCATTCCATTCCACTCCATTCCACTCCATTCCATTCCACTCCATTCCATTCCATTCCATTCCTTTCCATTCCATTGCTTTCCATTCCTTTCGGATCCATTCAATTCCGTTTTATTCAAGTCCATTCCATTCAATTCCATTGCATTGAATTCCATTCCATTCCATTGCATTCCATTCCATTGCATTCCATTCCATTTGGGTCCGTTCCTTTCCATTCCATTTGTGTCCATTCCATTCCATTCCATTCCATTCCATTCCATTCCATTCCATTCCATTCGAGTCCATTCTCTTTCATTCCATTCCACTCGATTTTTTCCATTCCAATCCATTCCATTCGAGTCCTTTCCATTCCGTTCCTTTCGAGTCCATTCCATTCCATTCTATTCTCTTCCATTTCATTCCCTTCAAGTCCGTTCCATTCCATTCCATTCCATTCAAATCCATTCCAATCCATTCCATTGTATTCCATTCGAATCCATTCCATTCCATTCCATAGCATTCCATTTCATTACTTTCTAGTCCATTCAATTGGATTTTATTCCACTCGAGTCCATTCCATTCCATTCTACACGAATCCATTCCATTCCATTCTATTCTGTTTCTTTCGATTCCATTTCATTCCATTCCATTCCGTTATAGTCCATTCCATTCCATTTGAGTCCATTCCTTTCCAAATCATTCAAGTGCATTCCATTCCGTTCCATTCCTTTTTATTCTGTTCCATTCCTTTGTATTCGAGTCCATTCCATTCCATTTCATTAAATTCGATTCCAGTCCATTTCATTCCTTTCCATTTGAGTCCGTACCATTCCATTCCATTCGATTAAACTTGGGTCGATTCCATTCCATTCCATTCGAGTCCATTCCATTCCATTCAATTCCATCCTATTGCATTACATTAGAGTCCATTCTATTCCATTCCATTTCATTCCATTCCATTCCATTCCATTCCATTCAAGGTTGGTCCATTCCATTCCATTCCATTCGAGTCCATTCGATTGCATTTGATTCCATTCCATTAAATTCCTTTAAATTTCATTCGAGTCCTTTCAATTACATTGGAATAAATTCCATTCCATTCCCTTCGAGTCCATTCCATTCCATCCCATTCATTTCCATTCAAGTCCATTCCATTCCATTTTATTCCATTCCATTCAAGTCCATTCCATTCCAATCCATTCATGTCTTTTCCATTCCATTTCATTCCACTCGAGTCGTTTCCATTCCATTCCATTCGGGTCCATTCCATTCCATTTGAATCCATTCCATTTCATTCAGGTCCATTCCATTCCATTTAATTCTATTCCATTGTATTCCGTTCGAGTTCATTCCATTGCATTCCATTCTAGTACATTCCTTTACATTCCGCTCTATTCCATTTGAGTCCATTCCATTCCATTCGAATCCATTCCATTCCGTTCGAGTCCATTCCATTCCAATCCATTCCACTCCATTCGATTCCTTTCTATTCCATTTCAGTCCATTCCATTCAATTCCATTCCATTCCAAACCATTTCATTAGATTCCATTGCATTCCATTCCTTTCGAATCCATTCAATTCTATTCCATTCCATTTGAGTCCAATCCATTGTATTCCATTCGATTCGAGTTCATTCCATTCCATTCCGATTGAATCTATTCCATTCCTTTCCATTGCATTCTATTCCATTCTGTTACATTCGAGTCCAATACACTCCATTCCATTCCATTCGTGTCCATTCCATTCCATTCCATTGCATTCCATTTGGGTCCATTGCTTTCAATTCCGTTCAAGTCAATTCCATTCCATTCCATTCGAGTCCATTCCATTCCACTCCATTCCATTACGGTCCATTACATTAAATTCCGTTGTATTCCATTCCATTCTATTGCATTCCATTCTTGTCAATTCCATTCAGTTAGAGTCCATTCCCTTCCTTTTAAATCCATTCCTTTCCATTACATTCTATTCCACTGAAGTCCATTATATTCCATACCATTCCATTCCATTCCAATCCATTCCATTCCATTCCGTTCCAGTCCTTTCCATTCTTTTCCATTCGATTCCATTCCATTGCATTCCATTCCATTCTTTTCGGATGCAATGCATTCCATTCCGTTCCATTCCATTCGCATACATTCCTTTCCATTCCGTTCCATTCCATTCGCATACATTCCTTTCCATTCCGTTCCATTCCATTCCACACGAATCCAATCTATTCCTTTCCATTCGAATCCATTCAATTGCATTCCATTCCATTCGATTCCATTCCACTATATTCCATTTGAGTCCGTTCCATTCCATTCATGTCCATTCCTTTACATTTGACTCCATTGTATTCTATTCCGTTCATGTGAATTCCAATCAATTCTATTGCATTGGATTCCATTCCATTCCATTCAATTCGAGTCATTTCTATTCCTTTTCATTCCATTCGAGTCCATTGCATTCCATTCCATTCCACTCGAGCCTATTGCACTCCATTACTTATGAGACCATTCCATTCAATTTCATTCAAGTCCATTCCATTCCGTTTGTGTCCATTTCATTCCGTTTTTTCGAGTCATTTCCATTCCATTCATTCCATTCCATTCCATTCCAGTCCATTTCATTCCAATCCATTCCATTCCATTCCATTCGAGTCCATTCCTTTCCACTCCATTCAAATCCATTCCATTGCATTCTATTTCATTCGTGTTCTTTGCATTCCTTTGTATTACAGTCAATTCCATTCCATTCAATTACATTCCACTCGCGTCAATTCCATACCATTCCATTCGAGTTCTTTACTTTCCATTCGAGCCCATTCCTTTCCATTCCATTCGAGTCCATTCCATTCCATTCCATTCCATTCCATTCCATTCCATTGCATTCCTGTCCATTCCATTCCTTTCAATTCCATTCAATTCCATTCCATTCCGTTTGAGTGCATTCCATTCCTTTCCAATCCATTCAATTCGAGTCCATTCCATTCCTTTCCATTCCATTCCATTAGAGTCCATTCCATTCCATTACTTTCCTGTCCTGTCCATCTCATTCCATTCCATTCGAGTCCAATCCATTCCCTTAAATTCCACTCGAGTCATTTCCATTCCATTCCATTAGAATCCTTTCCATTCCTTTCGATTCCATTCCATTCCATTCCATTCCATTCCATTCCATTCCATTCCATTCCATTCCTTTCCATTCCTTTCGAGCCCATTCAATTCAGTTGCATTCCACTCGAGTGGACTCCATTCCATTCTATTCCATTGCATTCCATTAGAGTCCATTCCTTTACATTCCATTTCATTTGAGTAAATTTCATTCCATTACCTTACGTTCCTTTTGAGTATATTCCATTGCATTCCATTCTATTCCATTCTATTCGAGTCCATTCATTTCCATTCCATATTATTTGTTCCAAGTGCACTCCATTCTTCTCCATTCCATGCCAGTCCCTTCTATTCCACACCATTCCATTCGAGTCAATTCCATTCCATTCCATTCAAGTCCATTTCACTCAATTCCGTTTGAGTCAATCCCTTTCCATTCCATTTGAGTCCATTCCATTGCATTCCATTACTTTCGAGTCAATTCCATTCCATTCCCATCGATTCCATTTCATTAAAGTCCATTCTGTTAAATTTCATTCCCTTTCCTTCGAGTCCATTCCATTCCATTCCATTCCATTCGAGTACATTCTATTCCATTTTCTTTGATTGCTTTCCATTCCATTCCGTTATAGTCCATTGAAGTCCATTCCTTTCCTTTTCATTAAATTCCATTCCAGTCAATTCCTTTCCATTCCGTTCCATTGCATTCTGTTCGATTCCATTCCACTCCATTCAATTCCATTCGAGTAAATTTCATTATATTACCTTCCATTCAATTCGAGTACATTCCATTCTGTTACATTCCTTTCTTTTCGAGTTCATTCATTTCCATTGCAATCAAATCGTTTGCAATGTACTCCATTCCATTCGAGTCCATTCCGTTCCACTCCATTCCATTCATGTCCATTCCATTCTATAACATTTCAATCCTTTCCATTCCATTACATTCGAGTCCATTCGATTCCATTTTATTCGAGTCCATTCCATTGCATTCCATACCGTTTGATTACATTCCATTAATTTCCATTCGAGTCCATTCAATTCCAATCCATTCCATTTGATTCCATTCCATTTTATTCCTTTCATACCCATTCCATTCCTTTCCATTCCATTTCATTGCATTCCATTCCTTCCCATTCTATTCCATTCCATTCCATTCAATTCCATTCAATTCCATTCAGGTCCAATCCATTCAATTCCATTGGAGTCAATTGCATTCCATTCCATTCGAGTCCTTTCCATTGCATTGCATTCCAATCCTTTCTAGTCCATTCAATTCCATTTCATTCCATTCGAATCCATTCCATTCTATTTTGTTCGAGTCCATTCCATTGCACTCCATTCCATTCGAGTCCAGTGCATTTTAGTCCATTTTTGTCCACACCGTTCCATTCCATTAGAGTCCATTCCATTAAATTTCGTTGTATTTCTTTCGAGTCCGTTCCATTCCATTCCTTTCCATTTGAGTCCATTACAGTCTATTCCATTCCATTGCATTCCATTCCATTCCATTCCTTTCCATTCCATTCCATTCCGTCCGAGACTATTCCATCCCATTCGAGTCAATTTCATTCCATTTCTTCCCACTCACATCGAGTCAATTCTACTCCATTCTTTCGATTCCATTCCACTCCAATCCGTTGGAGTCCATTGCATTCCACACAATTCCATTTGAGTCCATCCCATTCTATTCCATTCTTGTCCATTCCATTCAATTCCATCCGAGTACATTCCATTCCATTCCATTCCATTCAGGTCCTTTCCATTCCATTCAATTTGAGTCCATTCCACTGCATTCCATTCCAGTCTGTCTGAGACCATTCCATTCCATTCTATTAGATTCCGTTCGAGGCGATTTCATTCCATTACCTTCCATTCAAGTCGAATCCATTCAATTATAATCCATTCGAGTCCATTCCACTCCATTCCATTCGAGTCCATTCCATTCCACACCATTCCCTTCAAGTCCATCCCATTCTGTTCCATTCGAGTCCATTCCAGTCAGTTCCATTCGAGTCAGTTCTGTTCCATTCCATTTGAGTCCATTCCATTCCATTGCATTCCATTACATGCGAGTCTATTCCATTCTATTCCATTCCATTCTATTCCTTTCCATTCCATTCCATTCCATTAGATTCCATTCCATTAGAGTGCATTCCATTAAATTCCATTCCATTCAATTCGAGTCCATTCCATTTCAATCTAGTTCATTCCTTTCCATTCCCTTCAAGTGCATTCCACTCCATTCTTTTCTATTCAAATCCACTCCAATCCATTCCACTCATCTCCATTCCAAAACATTCCATTCCATTCCATTCCATTGCATTCCATTCTATTCCATTCCATGGCATTCTGTTCCATTCCATTCCATTCCATGACATTCCATTCCATTCCAATCCATTCTATTCCATTCCACTGTGGTCCATTGTATTCCATATGATTCCATATGATTCCATTCCTTTTCATTCCATTAGTTTTGAGTCTTTTCCATTCCAACCCATTCCATTCGAGTCCATTCCATTCCATTCCATTAGAATCCATTACATTCAGTTACATTCTAGTACATTCCATTCCATTCCGTTCTATTCTGTTCGTGTCCATTAAATTCCATTACATTCCAGACTAGTGCATTCCATTCCAGTCGATTCCATTACATTCCATTCCTTTGCGGTTCATTCCATTCCATTCTATTCCAATTGATTCGATTCCATTTCATTCTATTCCATTTGAGTCCGTTGCATACCATTCAATTCCATTAGAATCCATTCCATTCCAACCCATTTCATTCGCGGCCATTCCATTACATTCCTTTCGAATCCCTTCCATTCCATTTGATTCCAATCCATTCCATTCCATTCCATTCAGATCCACTCCACTCCATTCCATTCCATTCCATTTGAGTCCATTCCTCTGCATTCCTGTCCATTCCATTCGAGTCAATTCCATTCCAATCCATTCCATTCCATCTGATTCCATTTCATACTATTCCATTCGTGTCCATTGCATTCCATTCCATTCTAGTACATTCCATTCCATTTAATTGTGTTCTGTTAGTCTCCATTCCTTTCCATTTAATTCCATACAAGTCCGTTCCATTCCATTCCATTCCAGTCCATTCCATTCCGTTCTATTCGAATTGAGTCAGTTCTATTCCATTCTATTCCATTTGAGTCCATTCCATTCCATTCAATTCCATCAGAGTCCATTCCATTCCAACCCATTACATTCGAGTCTTTTCCTTTCCATTCTGTTCGAATCCATTCCATTCCATTCGATTCCATGTGGCTCCATTCCACTCCATTCCATTCCATTTGATTCCATTCCATTCCATTCCATTCCATTCGAGTCCAATCCATTCCATTAATTTCTATTCCATTCAAGCTCATTCGATTCCATTCCGTTCCATTTCATTTCATTCCATTCCATTCCAATCCAGTGCATTCCATTCCATTCCATTCCATTCCAGTACAGTCCATTCCATTCCATTCGAATCCATTCCATTCTTTTCATGTCCATTCCTTTCCATTCGTTTCCATTGGAGTCCATTCCATTCCATTCCATGCCTTTCGAGTACATTCCATTCCATTCCAGTCAATGCCATTCCATTCGCTTCAATTCCATTCTATTCCATTCCATTCCATTTGAGTCCTTTCCATTCCTTTCGAGTCCGTTTCAATCCATTACATTCCATTCAAATTGACTCCATTCAATTCCATTCCATTCGTGTCTGTTCCACTCCATTTCATTCGAGTCTGTTCAATTCCACATCATTCCCTTTGTGTCCATCCCATTCTGTTCTACTAGAGTCCATTTCAGTCAATTCCTTTTGACTCAATTCCATTCCATTCCATTTAAGTCCATTCCATTGCATTCCATTCCATGTGACTCTATTTCATTCCATTCCATTCAATTCGATTCCATTCCATTCCATTGGATTCTATTCCAAAGAGTCCATTCCATTAAATTCCATTCCATTCCATTCCAGTCCTTTCCATTCCATTCGAGTCCATTCCTTTCCATTCAATTCAAGTCCGTTCCATTCAATTCCATTCAAATACACTTCATTCAATTCCACTCATCTCCGTTCCACTACATTCCCTTCCATTCCACTCAATTCCATTCCATTTCATTCCATTCCATTCTATTCCATTCCATTCCTTTCTATTACATTCCATTCTATTCCATTCCATTCCAGTCAATAACATTCAATTGCATTCCATTCCAATCCATTCCATTCCGTTCGGGTCCAATCCATTCCATTCAAGTCCTTTCCTTTCCATTCCATTCCATTCGAGTCCATTCCTTTCCATTTTATTCCACTCGAGTCCATTACATTTGATTCCATTCCATTCCTTTCCATTCCATTCCATTCAAGTCCAATCTATTCCATTATATTCTATTCCATTCATGCCCATTCCATTACATTCCATTGCATTTCATTCAATTCCATTCCTTTCCAGTGCTTTCCATTCCTCTCCATTCCAGTAGGGTCCATTCCATTCCATTCGATTCCATTCCATTCAATTCGGGTCCATTGCATTCCATTCATGTCCATTCCTTTCCATTCCATTCTGTTTGAGTCCATTACTTTCCATTCAATTCCATTCGAGTCCATTCCTTTCCATTCCATTCCAGTCGAGTCAATTCCATTCCATTCAAATCCTTTCCATTTGAGTCCATTCCATTCCTTACGAGTTCATTCCCTTCGATTCTATTCCTTTCTATTGCTTTCGAGTCCATTCAATTCAGTTGCATTCCACTCGAGTCGATTCCATTCGATTCGAATCTATTCCATTCCATTCCATTGCATTCCACTCAAGTCCATTCCATTCCATTCCATTCGATTCCATACCATTCCATGCCATTTCATTCAGATCCAATCCATTGAACTCCTTTTGATTCAGTTCCATTCCATTACATTTGAGTCCATTGCATTGCATTTCATTCCAATCCTTTCTAATCCATTCAATTCCTTTCAGTTCCATTTGTGTCCATTCCCTTCCATTCCATTCGAGTCTATTGCATTGTATTCCATTCCATTCAAGTCCATTCCATTTTATTCCATTCGAGTAAACAGCATTCCATTCCATTGGTGTCCATTCCATCAAATTCCATTGTATTTCATTCGAGTCCGTTCCATTCCATTTCATTCCGTCTGAGAATATTCCATTCCATTTGGTCCGAGACCATTCCATTCCATCCGAGTCCATTTCATTCCATTCCATTCCATTCCAATCGAGTACACTTAATTTCATTCGAGGCCATTCCACTCCATTCCATTCCAATCCATTCCAATCAACACCATTCCATTCGAGTCCATTCCATTCTTCTCCATTCGAGTCCATTCCCTTGACTTCCATTCGAATCAATTCCATTCTTTCCATTCGAGTCCATTCCATTGCATTCAATTCCATTCGAATCCATTCCATTCCGTTCCGTTCGAGTGCATTCCAATCCATTCCATCGGATTCCATTCCATTAGATTCCATTCTATTACATTCCATTCCCTTCCATTAGAGTTCATTCCATTCCTTTCGAGTCCATTGCTTTCCATTCCCTTCGAGTCCATTCCATTCCATTCCCTTCTATTCCATTGAAGTCCATTCCATTCCATTTCATTCCATTCCTTTCCATTCCATTCCATTCCTTTCCATTCCATTCCATTCCATTCTATACCATTGAAGTCCATTCCATTCCATTTCATTGAATTAAATTTGATTCAATTCCATTCCATTTCATTCTATTCCCATCCTTACCATTCCATTCGATTACATCCCCTTGTATTCCATTCCATTCAATTCGATCCCATTCCATTTGATTCCATTCCATTCGATTCAATTCCTTTCGAGTCCATTCCATTCCAGTCCATTCCATTAGAGTCCATTCCATTCAATTCCATTCCATTCTATTCGAGTCCACTCCATTCGAGTCCTTTCCATTCAATTCGATTGCATTCGATTAAATTGTATTCCATTCCTTTCCTTTATATTCGACTCCATTCCATTCGATTCCATTCCGTTCGAGACCATTCCATTCCACTCCATTCCATTCGAATGTATTTCGTTGCAATGCATTCCGTTTGAATCTATTCCATTTGAGTATATTCAATTCAAATGCATTCCATTGGAGTCCATTTATTCCATTACCTTCCATTCCATTCCCTTCATTTCCATTCCATTCGATTCCACGCATTTTCATTCCTTTCCATTCCCTTCCATTCCATTCCATTTGAGTCTTTTCCATTCCAGCCTTTCCATTCCAGTCTATTCCATTCCCGTCCATTCCATTCGATTCGGTTCCATTTGATTCTCTTCCTTTTGATTCCATTCCTTTGGATTTCATTCCATTCGATTCCATTTCATTTGATTCCATTCCAGTCGTGTCCATTCCATTTGAGTCTATTCCATTCCAACGAATTCCACTGCATGCCATTCGCTTTGATTCCATTCCATTTGGTTCCATTCCTTTCGATTCCATTCCATTCGATTCCATTCCATTAGAGTTCCTTACATTCGGGTACATTACATTCCAGTCCATTACATACTAATCCTTTCCAATTCATTAGATTCCATTCCATTCTAATCCTTTCCATTCCGTTCGATTCCATTCCATTCATTTTATTTCCATCCGACCCCATTCCATTCCATTCCTTTCCATTCGATTAAATTCCATTCGAATTCATGTGATTCTATTCTGTTATATTCTAGACCATTCCATTCCAGTTGATTCTATTCAATTCGTTTCCATTCGATTACATTCCTTTCGTTTCCATTCTATTCGAGTCCATACCGTTAGACTACATTACATTCCAGTACATTCCATCTGAGTCCATTCCATTCCAGTCCATTCCATTCGATTCCATTCCAGTCGTATTCATTCCATTCGAGTCAATTCCATTCGAGTACATTCCATTCCAGGCCATTCCATTCGAGTACATTCCATTCACTTCCCTTCCATTCCAATCTATTCTATTGGAGTCCATTCCATTCGATTAAGTTCCCTTTTATTACATTCGATTTCATTCAATTCTATTCCATTGGACTGTATTGCATTCAATTTCTTTGCAATCAATTCCATTCCTTTACATTAAATCCTATTCTATTCAAGTCCATTCCATTCCATTCCATTCCATTCCATTCCATTCCATTCCATTCCACTCCACTGTACTCCACTGGATTCCATCCCAGTCCACTCCATTCAATTACTTCTTTGCCCTCCATTTCTCTCAATTAATTTCCATTCCATTGCATTCCATTCCATTCAGTTGCATTCCATTGCATTCCACTCGATTCCATTCCCTTCCATTCCATTGCATTCCATTTGATTTGATGCCTTCCATTACATTTCATTCAATTCGATTTGATTTCATTTCATCCGATTACATTACATGCGAGTCTATTGCATTTGAGTCTATACCATTCCAGTGTATTCCAATGGAGTCCATTCCATTTGATTCCTTTGCATTCTATTCCATTCCATTCCATTTCATTTCATTCCATTCCATTCCATTCCTTTCCTTTCCATTGTATTCCACTCCATTCCTTTATATTCGATTCGATTCCATTCAAGTCCATTTCATTCAAATCCATTCCAGTCAACTCCATTCCATTCGATTCCATTCCATTCGATTCCATTCCGTTCGATTCCATTCCATTCATTTTCATTCCATTGGAGTCCATTTTATTCGGGTTCATTCCTTCCCAGTCCATTCCATACGAGTCCATTCCATTCATGTCCATTCCACTCCAGTGCATTACATTGGAGTCCATTGCATTCCATTCCATTCTTTTCCATTCTGTTCCATTCCATTCAAGTCTATTACATTCGAGTCCATTCAATTCTGGTATATAACATTCGAGTCAATTCCATTTCATTCCATTCCATGCGGTTCCATTTCATTCCAGTTCATTACATTCGAGTCCTTTCCATTCCATTCCCTTACATTGTATTCCAGTCCGTTCGATTGTATTCCGTTCGGTTGCATTCCATTACATTCTTTAGATTCCATTCTTTTCGAGTCCGTTCTTTTTTAGTCCATTCCATTTGGGTCCCTTCCATTCCTATCGATTCCGTTCCATTCAATTACATTTGATTCCAATGCATTCCATTCCAATCCTTTCCATTCCATTCGTTAACATTCCATTCGATTCCATTCCATTCAACTCGATTCCATTCCATTTGATTTCATTCCATTCAATTCAATTCCTTTCGAGTCCTTTCCATTCCAGTGCATTACGTTAGAGTCCGTTCCATTCGACTCCATTCCATTCCATTCCATTCCATTCTATTCAAGTAATTTCCATTTGAGTCCATTCCATTCTATTCCATTCCATTTGAATAAATTCCTTTCCATTTCTTTTTATTCTATTCATTTCCATTCCAGTATATTCTATTTCAGTCGAGACCATTCCATTCCACACTATTCCATTCCCATGTATTCCATTGCAGTCCATTCCGTTTGAATCTATTCCATTCGAGAACATTCCATTCGAATCCATTCCATTCGAGTCCATTCCCTTCCATTATCTTCCATTCCATTCCTTTCCATTCAATTCGTTTCCATTCCATTCCATTCCTTTACATTCCGTTCAATTGCATTCAACTCAATTCAATTGCATTCCAATCGAGTCCATTCCAGTAAATTCCATTCTAGTCCATTCCATTCCATTCGAGTTCATTCCATTACTTTCCATTCAATTCCATTCGAGTCCATTACAGTCTATTCCATTCCATTCCCTTCGTCTCCATTCAATTCCATTCGTGTCCAATCCATTCCATTCTATTCTAGTCCATTCCATTCCATTATATTCAATTTGAGTCCACTCCATTTCATTCAATTCGTGTCCATTCCATTGCAACACATTCCATTCGAGTCCACACCATTCCGTTTCATTCAAATCAATTCCGTTCTATTCCATTCGATTCCATTCCTTTCCATTCCATTCGAGATCATTCCATTCCATTCGAATCCATTCCCTTCAATTCTACTCCATTGAAGTGCATTCCATTCCATTCCAATGCATTCCATTTGATTCCATTCCAATCCAAGCGGTTCCATTCCATTCCCTTCGAGTCCATTCCATTCCATTTGAGTCCATTCAATTCCATTCCATTCGAGTTCATTCCTTTCAATTCCTTTCGATTCCATTCCATTCCTTTCCATCCCTTTGGAGTCCATTCCATTCCATTCCATTCCATTCCATTCCATTCCATTCCATTCCATTCCATTTGAGTCCATTCCATTCCATTCCATTCCATTCCATTCCATTCCATTCCATTCCATTCCATTCCATTCCATTCCGTTAGGGTCTGTTCCATTCCATTCCATTCTGTTTATTTTCATTCCATTCCATTCGATTCAGGTCCATTCCATTGCATTCCATTCGAGTCAATTCCATTCCATTCAAGTAAATTCCATTCCATTCAATTCGAGTCTATTACATTTCATTCGAGTCCATTTTATTCCATTCCATTCCTTTCAAGTCCATTGCATTCCATTCATTTCCATTTCATTGCATTCATGTCCATGCCATTCCATTCGGGTAAATTCCATTCCATTCCACTCGATTCCATTACATTGCATTCCATTCATTCGAGTCCATTCCATTCCATTCCATTCAACTCGAGTTGATAACATTTCATTCCAGTCCATTTGGCTTCATTCCATTCAATTCGAATCCATTCCATTGCAATCCATTCCATCAGAGTCCATTCCATTCTCTTCCTTTTGAGTCCACTCCCTTCCATTCCATGAGTTTCCATTGCATTAAATTTCATTCTATTCCAATCAAGTATGTTCCATTCCATTCCATTCCATTTTATTCATGTCCATTCCATTCCATTCCATTCGAGTCCATTCTATCCCATTCCATTCAAGTCCAATCCATTCCATTAAATTCTCTTCCATTCAAGTTCATTCCATTCCGTTCATTCACTGCATTCCTTTCAGGTCCATTCCATTCCATTCCATTCCATTCCATTCTAGTCGATTTCATTCCACTCATTTCCATTCGAGTCCATTCCATTCCATTCCATTCCATTCCATTCGAGTCCATTCCATTGCATTCCATTCCATTCGAGTCCATTTCATTCCATTCGAGTCCTTTCAATTCTATTCCATTCGAGTCCATTTTATCCATTCCATTCGTGTCCAATCCAATCCATTGCATTCCGTTCGAGTCCATTCCATTCCATTCTGTTCCATTCCAGTCCATTCCATTCCATTCCATTCCATTCCATTCTATTCCATTAAATTCCATTCAATTCGACATCATTCCATTCCATTCCTTTCCATTCCATTCTATTCCATTAAATTCCATGCAATTCGACATCATTCCATTCCATTCCTTTGCATTCCTATTCACTCTTTTCCATTCCATTCCATTCCATTCAAGTCCATTCCATTTGAGGTCATTCCTTTCCCTTCCATTACATTGGATTCCTTTCCATTCCATTCCATTCCATTCGAGTCCATTCCGTTAAACTTCATTCGAGTTGTGTCCATTCCATTCGAGTCTATTTCATTCCAATCCATGCCATTCGAGTCCATTCCATTCCATTCCATTCCATTCCACTCCTTTCCATTGCATTCAATTGCATTCGAGTCTATTCCATTACATTCCAATCCATTCGAGTTAATTCCATTCTATTCGAGTGCATTCCTTTCCATTCAAGTGCATTCCTTTACTTTCGAGTACATTCAAATCCATTCCTTTCCATTCGAGATCATTCAATTCCATTCCATTTCATTCGACTCCATTCCATTCCAATCCATTCGATTCCATTCCTTTCCATTCGAGTCCAGTCCATTCCATTCAATTCCATTCCATTTCGGTCCATTTCTTTGCATTCCATTCCACTGAATTCCATTCGTTTCCATTCCTTTCCATTCCATTCGACTTGAATCCTTTATATTCCATTCTATTTCTTTCCATTCAAGTCCATGCCATTCCATTCCATTCCATTCCGTTCAATTCCATTCCATTCCACTCGAGTCCATTCCGTTCCATTCACTTCCATTACATCCCATTCAAATCCATTCCATTTGATTCCACTTGACTCCATAGCATTCCATTTCATTCGTTTCCATTCCATGGCATTCCATTCCATGGCATTCCATTCCATTCCATTCCATTCCATTCCATTCCATTCCATTCCATTCCATTCCATTCCATTCCAGTTGTTTCCATTCAATTCAAATCGATTCCATTCTATTTCCTCCATTCCATTCCATTCCATTCCATTGCACTCGCATTGATTCCATTCCATTCCATTCCATTGCATTCCACTCCATTCCGTTCCATTCCATTCCATTACACTCACATTGATTCCATTCCATTCCATTCAATTCCACTGCATTCGATTCCATTACATTCAGTTCCTTTGCATTCCATTCCTTTCCATTCCGTTCCTTTCCATTTCATTCCACTCGTGTTGATTCCATTCCATTCCATTCCATTCCAGTTGACTCCATTCCATTCCATGCCCTTGCATTCCTTTCCAATCCATTCCATTCCATTCCATTCCATGTCATTCCTTTCCATTCTAATCGGGTGGATTCCATTGCATTGCATTCCATTCCGTTCCCTTCCTTTCCATTCTACTCGGGTTGATTCCATTGCATTCCATTCCATTCCCTTCCATTCCATTCCATTCCATTCCATTCCATTCTATTCCACTCGGGTTGATTCCATTCCATTACATTCCCTTCCATTCCATTCCATTCCATTCCACTCGCGTTGAATCCATTCCATTCCATTCCATTGAAATGCATTCCATTCCATTTCATTCCATTCCATTCCACTCGCTATGATTCCATTCCTTTCCATTCCATTCCATTCCATTCCATTCCATTCCATTCCATTCCATTCCATTCCATTTCATTGCATTCCATTCCATTCCACTCGGCTTGATTCCATTCCATTCCATTCCATTCATTTCCATTCCATTCCATTCCACTCGGGTTGCTTCCATTCCATTGCATTCCATTGCATTCCATTCCATTCCATTCCATTCCATTCCATTCCACTCGGGTGGATTCCATTCCACTCTATATCATTCCATTGCATTCCATTCCAGTCGTGTTGATTCCATTCCATTCCTTTCCATTTCATTTCATTCCATTCCATTTCATTCCACTCGTGTTGATTCCATTCCATTCCATTCCATTCCATTCCATTCCATTCCATTCCATTGCATTTCAGTCAGGTTGATTCCATTCATTCCATTCCATTCCATTCCATTCCATTCCATTCCATTCCATTCCATTCCACTCGTGTAAAGTCCATTCCATTCCATTCCAATCCATTCCATTCCACTTGTGTTGATTCCATTCCATTCCATTCCATTCCATTCCATTCCATTCAATTCAATTCCACTTGGTTTTATTCCATTCCATTCCATTCCATTGCATTCCATTTCATTCTATTCCATGTCATTCCATTCCATTCCACTCCATTCCATTCCATTCCTCTCATTTTGAATGCATTCCATTCCATTCCATTCCATTCCATTCCATTCCATTCCGTCCCATTCCATTCCATTCCATTCCTTTACATTGCAGTCGGTTTTACTCCATTTCATTCCATTCCATTCCATTCCATTCCATTGCAGTCCGTTTTACTCCATTTCATTCCATTCCATTCCATTCCATTCCATTCCATTCCATTCCATTCCATTCCATTCCATTCGGGTTGATTCCATTGCATTCCATTCCATTCCATTCTTTTCCATTCCATTCCCTTCCATTCCAGTAGGGTTGACTCTATTCCTTTCCATTCAATTCCTTTGCATTCCATTCCATTCCTTTCCATTCCTATCATGTTGATTCCATTCCATTCAAATCCACTATATTCCATGCGGTTTGATTCCAATCCATTTCATTCCATTCCATTCCATTCCATTCCATTTAATTCCATTCCATTCCACTCGGGTTGATTCCATTCCCTTCCATTCCATTCCATTCGGTTCCTTTCCATTCCATTCCATTCCATTGCTTTCCATTCCATTCCATTCCATTCCTATCCATTCCACACTGGTTGATTCCATTCCAATCCGTTCCATTCCATTCCATTCCATTCCATTCCGTTCCATTCCATTCCATTCCATTCCATTCCATTCCATTCCATTCCATTCCTTTCCACTCGGGTTGATTCCATTCCAATCCATTCCATTCATTCCATTCCATTCCATTCCTTTCCTTTCCAATCAGGTGTATTCCATTCATTTACATTATATTACTTTTCATTCCATTCCATTCCACTCGAATTTATTCCATTCCAGTTCATTCCTTTCCATTCCATTCCATTCCATTCCGTTCCATTCCTTTACACTGGATTGGATTCCATTCCATTCCATTCCATTCCGTTCAATACCTTTCCATTCCATTCCACTCGGGATGATTCTATTGAATTCCACTCCATTCCTTTACATTCCATTCCATTCCACTCGTTTTGATTCCATTGCATTTCTTTCCTTTCCATTCCATTCCTTTCCATACCATTCCATTCCATTCCATTTCATTCCATACCTTTCCCTTCCACTCACGTTCATTCCACTCCATGCCATTCCATTCCATTACATTACATTCCACTCGGGTTGATTCCATTCCATTCCAATCCATTCCATTCCATTCCATTCCATTCCACTCGTGTTGATTCCATTCAGTGCCATTCCATTCCTTTCCATTCCATTCCATTCCTTTCCATTCCACACGGGTTGATTCCTGTCCATTCCATTAGATTCCATTCCTTTAGTGTCCATTCCATTAAATTCCACTCCATTCTTTTCGAGTACATTCCATTCCATTTCTGTTCAATCCATTTCATTTCCTTCAATTCCATTCCATTAAATTCCGTTCTTTACCATTCAAGTCCATTCCAATCCATTCCATTCCAGTCCATTCCATTCCATTCCTTCGGGGTCCTTTGCATTCCATTGTACTCCATTCTATTCGGTTCCTTTCCTTCCATTCGAGTAAATTCCATTCCTTTCCATTCCTTTTGAGTCCCTTACATTCCATTCCATTCCATTTGAGCGCATTCCATTCCATTCCATTGCATTCGAGTCCATTCCATTCCATTCCATTCCATTCCATTCCATTCCATTCCTTTTCCACTGCACTCCATTCTATTCCATTCCATTCCATTCGTGTCCATTCCATTCCATTCCAATCCATTCCATTCCATTCCATTCCATTCGAGTCCATTCCATTCCATTTCATTCTAATCGAGTGGATTCCCTTCTATTCCATTCCATTCGAGTGCCTTCCATTCCATTCAATTCCATTCCTTTCCATTCAAGTCCATTCAATTCCATTCATGTACATTCATATCCGTTCCATTCCATTCAATTACATTAAATTCGATTCCTTTCCATGTGACTCCATTCCATTCCAATACATTAGAGTCCATTCCTTTCTATTCGATGCCATGCCATTCCATTCAAGTCCTTTCTCCTCCATTCCATTCTACTAGAGTGCATTCCATTTCATTCGAATCCATTCCATTCCATTCAATTCCATTCCATTAGACTCCATTCCATTCCACTCCATTCGATTAAATTCCATTCCATTCGAATCCTTTCCTTTCTATTCCTTTCCATTAGAGTCCTTTCTATTCCATTTCAATTCATTCAATTCTAGTCCATGCCATTCCATGCCATTCCATTCCATTCCATTCCTTTCCATTCCATTCCATTCAATTCCTTTCCATTCCATTCGAGTCCATTCTGTTACATTCCATTCCATTACATTCCATTCGAATCCATTCCATTCCATTCCACTCGAGTCCATTGCATTTCATTCCAATCATTTGGAGTCCATTCCTTGCTTTCTATTCCTTTCGAGGCCATTCCATTCCATTCCATTCCATTCCATGTGAGTCAATTCCATTCCATTCCATTCGATACCATTTCTTTGCATTCCACTCCTTTAGAGTCCATTGAATTCTATTCCGTTTGAATCCATTCCATTCCATTAGATTAGTTTCCATTCCATTAGTGTCCATTCCATTAAATTCCATTCCATTCTATTCGAGTCCAGTCCATTCCCTTCCATTCTTTTGAGGTCCATTTGATTCATTTGCATTCCGTTTGAGTCCATTCCATTCCATTCCATTCCATTCCATTCCATTCCATTCCACTCCATTCCATTCCTTTTCATTCGAATCCATACTATTCAGCTGTATTCCATTCCTTTCGTGTCCTTTCAATTCCATTGCACTACATTGGAGTCCATTCCATTCCATTCCATTCGAGTCCTTTCCATTCCATTCAATTCAAATCCATTCCATTCCATTCCATTCCATTCCATTCCATTCCATTCCATTCAATTCGTGTCCATTCCAATCCATTCCATTCCATTCGAGTACATTCCAATCCATTCCATTCCATTCCATTCGAGTCCATTCCTCCCCATTCCGTTCCATTCCATTGGAATCCATTCCATTCCATTCCTTTCGGGTCCATTCCATTAAATTCCATTCGAGTGAATTGCTTTCCATTCCATTCGAGTCCATTCTATTATATTCCATTTCATTCCTTTCTAGACAACTAAATTCCATTTGATTCCATTCAAGTCTCTTCAATTCCCTTCCATTTGATTCCATTCCATTATATTCCATTCCACTTAAGTCCATTCCATTCTATTCCATTGGTGTGCATTCCATTCAATTCATAAGGCCCACTTCCTTTACAGTTTATTCCGTTAAGTTCCATTCCATTCCATTCGAGTCTATTAGGTTCCATTCGATTCCATTACATTACATTGCTTTGATTCCATTCCATCTCATTCCATTCAATCCCATTCAAGTCCATTCCATTCCTTTCCATTCCATTAAATTCCAATCCATTCCATTCCATTAGAGTCCATTCTGTTCCATTCTATTGGAGTCCTTTCAATTCCATTCCATTACAATCATGTCCTTTCAAATCCATTCCATTCCATTCCATTCGAGTCCATTCCATTGCATTCCATTGCATTCCATTTGAGTCAATTGCATTCCATTCAATTCCAGTCCACTCCATTCCTCTACATTCCTTTCGAGTGCATTCAATTCTATTCCATTCAAATCCATTCCATTCCATTCCTTTCCTTTCCATTCCATTCCATTCGAGTCCATTCGATTGCATTGAATTCCGTTCAAGTCCATTCCATTCCATTCCATTCCATTTGAGTCCATTCCATTCCATTCCACTTGAGTCCATTCCAACACATTCCATTCAAGTCCATTCCATTTCATTGCATTCAAATCCATTCCATTCCGTTCCATTCCATTAGATTCCATTCCTTTCCATTCAATTCCATTGGAGTCCATTCTATTCTATTCCATTCGAGTCCATTCCATTCCATTCCATTCGAGTCCGTTTCATTCCATTCCATTCCATTCCATTTGAGTCCATTCCATACCAAGACATTTTGACCTATTCGAGTCCCTTCAATTCCATTCCATTGCATTCTATTCCATTTCAACTTATTCCATTCGAATCCATTCCATTACTTTCCATTCCATTCCAATCGAGTCATTTCCTTTCTATTACTTTTGAGTCAATTCCTTTCCATTCCATTCGTGTCCATTCCATTCCTTTCCACTCCACTGGAGTCAATTTTACTCCATTCCATTCCATTCCATTCAATTCCTTTCCATTCCTTTCCTTTCGAGTTCATTCTATTCTATTCCATTCCATTCCATTCCATTCCGTTCCATTCCACTGGAGTCGATTGCATACCATTCAACTTCATTTGAGTTCTTTCTCTTCCATTGGACTCCATGCCATTCCATTAATTTTGAGTCCATTCCATTACATTCCATTTGAGTCCATTCTATTCCATTCTATTCTATTCCATTCCAGTCCATTCCATTCCATTCCATTGGAGACCATTCCAATGCATTCCATTCCTTTCGAGTCCATTCCTTTCCATTCCATTCGAGTCCATTCCATTGCATTCCATTTCATTCTTTTTGATTCCTTTCAATTCTATTCAATTACTTTCGAGTCCATTCCTTTCGGTTCGAGTACATTGCATTGCTTTCCATTCCATTGTTTTCGAATCCATTCAGTTCCATTCCGTTACTTTTGAGTCCTTTCGTTTCCATTCCATTAGAGTCCATTCCATTAAATGCCATTGTTTTTCATTGCTTTCTATTTCATTCTATTCTTTTCAATTCCATTCCATTCTATTCCATTCCATTCCCTTCGTTTTGAGTCCATTCGTTTCCATTACATTCTATTCGATTCAAGTCCATTCCATTCCATACCATTCCATTCAATTCCAATCCATTCCATTCCGTTTCATTCCAGTCCTTTCCATTCTATTCCATTAGAATATATTCCATTCCATTCCATTACATTCTTTTTGATTCCATTCCATTCCATTCCATTCCATTCGAGTGGATTCCAATCCATTCCATTGGAGTCCATTCTATGCCATTCCATTCCATTCGAGTTCATTCCATTCCATTCCTTTCGACTCCATTCCACTCCTTTCCATTCCATTTGAGTCTATTCCATTCCATTCGGGTCCATTCCATTAAATTCCATTCGAGTCAATTCCTTTCCATTCCGTTCGTGTCCATTCCGTTACATTCCATTCCATTCTTTTCTAGACCGCTAAATTCCATTCCATTCCATTCATGTCTCTTCCATTCCATTCCATTCGAGTCCATTCCATTGCATTCCATTCCATTTAATTCCATTCCATTCTATTCCATTGGTGTGCATTCCATTCAATTCATTAGACTCAGTTTCATTACAGTTTATTACTTTAAATTCCACTCCATTCCATTCGAGTCTATTAGGTTCCATTCGATTCCATTCCATTCCATTCCATTGTTTTGAGTCCATTCTATCCCATCCCATTCTATTCCATTCAAGTCCATTCCATTCCTTTCCATTCCATTAAATTTGAATCCATTCCATTCCATCCCATTCCATTGCAGTCCATCCCGTTCCATTCCATTGGAGTCCTTTCAATTCCATTCCATTACAATCAAGTCCATTCAAATCCATTCCATTCCATTCCATTCGAGTCCATCCCATTGTAATCCATTCGAAACAATTCCATTCCATTCCATTCCTGTGCACTGCATTCCTCTCCATTCCCTTTGAGTGCATTGCATTCTATTCCATTCAAATCCATTCCATTCCACTCCATTCGAGTCCATTGCATTGCATTGAATTCCGTTCAAGTCCATTCCATTCCATTCGAGTCCATTCCATTCCATTCAAATCGAGTCCATTCCATTCCATTCCATTTGTGTCCGTTCCATTACAACCCATTCCATTCAAGTCCTTTCCATTGCATTGCATTCAAATCCATTCCATTCCGTTCCATTCCATTCAACTCCATTCTTTTCCATTCCATTCCATTCGAGTCCTTTCCATTCCATTCCATTTGAGTCCATTCTTTTCCATTCCATTTGAGTCCGTTCCATTCCGTTTCATTTCATTCGAGTCCGTTTCATTCCATTCCATTCCATTCGAGTCCATTCCATACCAAGATATTTTGTTCTATTCGAGTCCCTTCAATTCCATTCCATTCCATTTAATTCCATTATACTCCATTCCATTCAAATCCATTCCATTACTTTCCATGCCATTCCAATCGAGTCATTTCCTTTCTATTATATTTGAGTCAATTCCTTTACGTTCCATTCGTGTCCATTGCATTGCATTCCATTCCATTCCATTCCATTGCATTGCATTCCATTCCACTGGATTCAATTTTATTCCATTCCATTCCATTCAAGTCCATTTCTTTCTTTTCCATTCGAGTCAAATCAATTCCATTCCATTCCATTCCATTCCAATTGAGTCGGTTCCATACCATTCAACTTCATTCGAGTTCTTTCTCTTCCAGGCGAGTCCATTCCATTAAATTTGAGTCCATTCCATTCCGTTCCATTCAAGTCGTTTTCATTCCATTCAATTCCATTCCATTCCAGTCCCTTCGATTCCATTCAGTTCCATTCCATTCCTGTCCATTCCATTCCATTCCATTGGAGACCATTCCAATGCCCTCCATTCCATTCGAGTCCATTCCATTCCATTCCATTCGAGTCCATTCCATTGCATTGCATTTCATTCTTTTCGATTCCATTCAATTCCATTCAATTGCTTTCGAGTCCTTTCCGTTCCATTCCATTCGGGTGAATTCCATTGCATTCCATTCCATTCTTTTCGAATCCATTCGTTTCCATTCCATTACTTTTGAGTCCATTCATTTCCATTCCATTACAGTCCATTCCATTAAATTCCATTGTGTTCCATTCCATTCTATTTCATTCCATTTTTTGCCATCCCATTCCATTCTTGTACACTCCATTCCCTTCCTTTGGAATCCATTCCTTTCTATTACATTCTATTTGATTCTAGTGCATTCCATTCCATTACTTTCCATTCAATTCCAATCCATTCCATTCCGTTTCATTCAAGTCTTTTCCATTCTATTCTATTAGAGTCCATTCAATTCCATTCCATTACTGTCAGGTCCTTTCCATTCCATTCCATTGCATTCGAGTGCATTCCATTCCATTCCATTCGAGTCCATTCCATTCCATTCCATTAAACTCGAGTCGTTTCCTTTCCATTGCATTCCATTCGAGTCCTTTCCATTCCATTCGAATCCATTCCATTCCTTTCCTTTCGAGTCCATTCTATTCCATTCCATTCCATTCCTTTCGAGTAATTCGATTCCATTCCATTCCTTTTGAGTCCATTCCATTCCATTCCATTAAACCTGAGTTGTTTCCGTTTTACTGCATTCCATTTGAGTCCAATCCATTCCATTCAATTCAAGTCCATTCTATTCCATTCCATTTCCTTCCATTCCATTCGAGTCCATTGGATTCCATTCCATTCCTTTCAATTCCATTCCATTCCATTCCATTCCATTCCATTCCATTCCATTCCATTTATTTCCCTTCGAGTCCATTCCATTCCATTCCATTCGAGTCCATTGCATTCCAGTCCCTTCCATTCCATTCCAATCCATTTGATTCCTTTCGAGTCCATTAAATTCAGTTGCATTCAATTCGAGTCCATTCCATTCCATTCCATTCCATTCCATTCCATTCCATTCGAGTACATTCCATTACATTCGAGTCCATTCCATTCCATTCCACTGCTTTCCATTCCATTCTTGTCTATTCTATTCCATTCGAGTCCATTCCATTGCATTCCATTTGTGTCCATTGCATTCGATTCTATTCCATTTTAGTCCATTCCGTTCCATTCCATTTGAATGCATTCCATTTCAACCAGTTTGATTCCATTTCATTTCAATCCATTCCTTTCGATTCCATTCTCTTCTAGTCCATAGACTTCCATTCCATTCCTTTGCAATCGAGTTTATTCCATTTCACTCCATTCCATTCCATTCGAGTCTATTCCATTCCATTCCATTTCATTCAAGTCCATTCCATTCCATTCTCTTCGATTCCATTCCATTCCATTAGAGTCCATTCCATTCCATTCCATTCCTTTTGAGTCCATTCAATTCCAATCCATTACAGTCCCTCCCATTCCATTCTATTCCTTTTGAGTCTATTCCATTCCATTCAATTCCATTCAAGTCAATTCCATTCCATTGCATTCAATTTTATTCCATTGTATCCAATTCCATTCATGTCCAATTCTTTCCATACCATTCAAGTCCATTCCATTGCACACCATTCCGTTCCTTTCGGGTCCATTGAATTCAATTAGATTCCATTCAAGTCCATTCCGTTCCATTCCATTCGAGTCTACTCCATTATATTACATTCCATGCAAGTGCATTCCATTCTAGTCCATTCAAATCCATTCCATTCCATTACTTTATGGTCCATTCCATTAAATTCCATTTTATTCCATTCGAGTCCATTCCATTCCATTCCATTCCTTTCTATTCCATTCATGTCCATTCCATTCACGTCCATTCCATTCCGTTCCATTCCATTCCATTCCATTCCAATCCTTTCCATTCCTTTTGGACACATTCTATTCCATTATTTTCGAGTCAATTCCATTCAACATCATATCTTTCCATTCCATTCCATGTGGGTCCTTTCCATTCCATTCCATTTGAATCCATTTGTTTCCATTCGATTGCATTCCATTCCTTTCCATTTCATTCTATTAAATTCCACTCCATTCCATTTCATTCCATTCAATTCCACTCCCTTCCCTTCGAGTCCAATCCATTCAAATGCATTCCATTCGAGTCTGTTCCTTTGCATTCCATTACATTCGATTCTAGTGCATGACATTCCATTCAAGTTCATTCCATTGCATTCCACTCCATTCCTTTCGAGACCATTCAATTCCATTCCATTCCATTCCATTCGAGTCCATTCCATTCGAGTCCATCCCATTGCATTGCATTCGACTGGATTCCACTCTATTCTATTCCATTGGAGTCCATTCCATTACCTTCCATTAGAGTCCATTCCATTAAATTCCATTTTATTCCATACGAGTCAATTCTATTCCATTCTATTCCGTTCGTGTTCATTCCATTACACTGGAATCCATTCCACTCCGTTACATTCGAGTCCATTCCAATCCATTCCATTCTATTCCAATCAAGTCCAATCCACTCCATTCCAGTCTGTTCCATTCCATTCCAGCCTGTTCCATTACTTTCCATTCCAATGCATTCCATTCCATTTAGTTCCATTCCAGTCCAGTCCGACCCATTCCATTCCATTCCGTTCCATTCCATTCCATTCCTTTCCATTACATTTCATTCCATTCCATTCTATTTGTTTCCAATCTATTCGATTCCATTCCAATCGGTTAAATTCCATTCCATTCCATTGGAGTCCAATCCATTCCATTTCGTTAAATTTGATTCCATTCCATTCCATTCCATTCCATTCCATTCCATTCCATTCCATTCCATTGCATTCGAGTCCGTTCCATTCCATTCCATTCCATTCCATTCCATTCCCCTTGGGTCCATTCCTTTCCATTCCATTCCATTCTTGTCCATTCCATTCCATTCGACTTGAATGATTTGCAATCCATTCCATTCAATTCGAGTCCATTCCATTCCATTTTGATTCCATTCCATTCTATTAAATTCATATCCATTCTATTCCATTCCATTCCATTCCATTCCATTCGAGTCCATTCCATTTCGTTCAATTCCATTCCATTTGAGTCCATTCCATTCCTTTCCATTCCATTCGGATCCATTGTATTTCGTTCCATTCGACTCCATTCCATTCAATTCCATTGCGTTCGTTTGCAGTTCATCCCATCCCTTTCCATTCGAGTGCTTTCAATTACATTCCATTCAACTCCATTCCATTCCTTTCGATTCCATTCGGGTCCATTCCATTCCATTCCTTTTGAGTCCATTCCATTCCGTTCCATTCCATTTGAGTCGATTCCATTCCATTCCATTCCATTCCACTCGATTCTTTTCCATTCTTTTGCGATTCATTCAAGTCCATTTCATTCCATTCGTGTCAATTTTGTTCCATTCCATTCTTTTTGAGTGTATTCCATTCATTTCCTTTCGAGAGAATTCCATTGCATTCAATCCGAGTCCATTCCGTTGCATTCCATTCCATTCCTTTTGAGAAAATTCAATTCCATTCTATTCCATTGTAGTCAATTCAATTCCATTACGTTTGAGTCCAATCCACTGCATTCCATTCCATTCCTTTCTAGTCAGTTGAATTGCATTGCATTCCATTCCTTTCCATCTGTGTCCGTTTCATTCCATTACATTCCAATTGAGTCAATTCCATTTCATTCCATTGGAGACCTTTTCATTCAGTTCAGTTATAATCCATTCAAGTCCATTCCATTCCATTCCATTGCTTTTGTGTCCATTCCATTCCATTTGAGTCCATTCCACTCTCTTCCTTTTGATTCTGTTCTACTCCATTCCATTCTCTTCTTTTCAAATCCATTCAATTCCATACCATTCCATTCCTTTCCATTCGATCCCATTCCATTCCATGCAATTCGGGTCCATTCCATTCCATTCCATTCGAGTCCATTCCATTCTATTCGAATCCATTCCAATCCATTCTATTCCGATTAAGTCCTTTACATTCCATTGCAATTGAGTCCATTGCATTCCAACCCATTCCATTCTAGTCCATTCAATTCCATTCCATTCTAATACATTTCATTCCATTGAATTACATTCCATTCGAGTCCATTCCACCCCATTCCATTCCATTCGAGTCCATTCCATTACATTCCATTCCATTCGAGACCACTACAGTCCATTCCATTCGGGTCCATTCTATTCTATTCCATTTGAGTCAATTCCATTCGATTCCATTCGAGCCCTTTCTGTTGCATTTCATTCCATTCCTTTCGAGACCATTCAATTCCATTCCATTCCATTCCATTCGAGTCCATTCGATTCCATTTCATTAAAGTCCACTCCATTGCATTCCATTCCATTCGAGTCCATTCCATTCTATTCCGTTCGAATCAATTCCTATCCTTTCCATTCAGGTCCGTGCCATTCCTTTGGTTTTGAGCCCATTTTATTCCATTCCATTGCATTCCATTGCATTCCATTCCATTCCATTCCATTCCATTCCACTTCATTCCATTCCATTCCTTTCCATTCCAATCCATTCCTTTCTAGTGCATTCGATTCCATTTCGTTGCACTCGAATCCATTCCAAGCATTCCATTCCATTCCATTCCATTCCACTCTATTCGAGTCCATTCCATTCCGTTTTTTTCCATTCCATTCCATTCTATTCGAGTCCATTCCATTCCGTTTCTTTCCATTCCATTCCTATTTCATTCGATTTCATTCTATTCCATTCGAGTCCATTCAATTCCATTCAATTCCATTCTATTCCTTTCCATTCCATAATATTCCATTCCACTGCATTCCATTCCATTCGACTCCATTTCATTGCATTCCGTTCGAGTCCATTCCATTTAGGTACATATCATTCCATCCCATTCCATTCCGTTCCATTCCATTTCATTCCATTCGAATCCTTTCCATTCCATTACATTCAATTCCTTTCCATTGCATTTCATACCAGTCGAATCAATTCCATTCCATTCCATTCCATTCCATTCTCTTCCATTCCATTCGAGTCCATTCCATTCCATCCTATTCCATTCGTTTCCAGTCCTTTCCATTCCATTCGAGTCCATTTCACTGCATTCCATTGTATTTGATTCCATTCCATTCGAGTCCATTTCACTGCATTCCATTGCATTCGATTCCATTGCATTCCAGTCGAATCAATTCCATTCCATTCCATTCCTGTCCATTCCACTCCATTCTATTTCACTTGAGTCCATTCCATTCCAACTCATTTCATTCGAGTTCATTCCTTTCCATTTCGTTCGAATCCATTCCATTCCATTCCATTTCATTTGAGTCCATTGCATTCCTTTCCAATCCAATCCAGTCCATTCCCTTCAATGCCTTCCATTTGAGGTCCAGTCCATTCAATTCCATGCGTGTCAATTGCATTCCATTCCTTTAGAGTCTATTCCATTTCATTTCTTTGCATTCGAGTCCATTCCATTACTTTACATTCGAGTCCATTCCATTGCATTCCATTCCATTTTTTGAGTCCATTCCATTCCATTCCATTCTATTCCATTCCATTCCATTCCATTCGAGTCCATTCCATTCCATTCCGTTAGAATCCATTGCTTTCCATTCCAGTCAATTCCATTCCATTCCATTCCATTCCACTCGACTGCATTCCATTCCATTCCATTCCATTTCTTTCGAGTCCATACATTACAATTGCATTCCATTCGAGACCAATTCTTTCCATTCCATTCGATTCCATTCCATTCCTTTCGATTGTATTCCTTTCCATTCGACTCCATTCGAGTAAATTTCATTCCATTACATTCCATTATATTTGAGTCCATTGCATTCCGTTATATTCTATTAAATTCGATTGCTTTCAATTCCAATTCTTTTCATTTGATACCATTACAATCCATTCCATTCGAGTCCACTCCATTCCTCTCCAATCCTTTTGAGTGCATTGCATTCTATTCCATACAATTCCAATCCTTTCCATTCCATTCTTTTCGAGTCCATTGCATTGCATTGCATTCCTTTCAAGACCTTTCCATTCCATACAAGTCCATTCCATTCCATTCAATTCGAGTCCATTTCATTCCATTCCATTCCGTTTGAGTCAATTTCATTCCAACCCATTCCATTCGAGTCCATTCCATTCCATTGCATTCGAATCCTTTCCATTCCATTCCATTCCTTTCGATTCCATTCCTTTCCATTCCATTCCTTTCGAGTCCATTCCATTCTATTCCATTTGAGTCCATTCCATTTTTTTCCATTCGTGTCCATTCCAATCCATTCTATTCCATACGAGTGCATTCCATAACCTTCTTTTGAGTCCATTTCATTCCATTCGAGCACATTCCTTTACCTTCCATTCGAGTCCATTCCATTCCATTCTGTTCCATTTAAGTCCATTCCATTCCTTTCCATTCGAGTACATTCCATTCCTTCCCATTCCAATAGAGTCCATTCAATTCCCTTCCATTTGAGTCCATTCCATTCCATTCCATCCCATTCTAGTCTATTCCATTTCATTCGACTCCATTTCATTGCATTCTTTTTGAGTCCATTCCATTGTATTCCATATCCTTCAATTCGATTCCATTCCATTCCATTTCATTCCATTCGATCCCATTCCATTCCATTCCATTCCATTCCTTTCGAGTCCATTCAATTCCGTTGAATTCCATAGGGTTCCATTCTATTCCATTCCATTTCATTCGAGTCCATTCCACTGCATTCCATTGCATTCAAATCCATTCCTTTCCATTCCATTCTCCTCGACTCGATTCCAATTCATTCCATTACATTCGTGTCCATGCATTCCAATTCCTTTCGTGTCTGTTCCATTCCATTTGAGTCCAATGCCTTCCATTCCATTCGAGTCCATTCCATTAAAACCCATTCCATTCCAGTCTCTTCCCTTCCATTCCATTCCATTACATTCCGTTCCATTCTATTTGGGTCCATTCAAATCCTCTCCATTCGAGTCCATTCCATTGCATTCCATTCGAGTCTATTCCTTTCCATTGCATGCCTTTCGACTTCATTCCACTGCATTCCATTTCATTCGAATCCATCCCATTCCATTCCATTCCACTCTAGTCTATTCCATTCCATTGCATGCCATTCGAGTCCACTCCACTGCATTCCATACCATTCGAGTCCATTCAATGCCATTCCGTTCCAAAAGACACCATTCCACTCCATTACGTTAGAGTAAATTCCATTCGATTCGAGTGTAATCCATTACATTGTACTCGAGTTCACTCCATTCCACACTATTCCATTTGAGTCCATTCCTTCAAATTCTATTCGAGTCCATTCCATTCAAACCCATTCAATTCCTGTCCATTCTACTCCATTCCATTCTTTTCCATTCAATTGCATTCCAATCTATTTGAGCAGAATCCATTCCATTGCATTCAATTTGAGTCCATACCATTCCATTCCATTCCATTTGGCTCCATTCCCATCAATTCCACTAGAGTCAATTCCATTCCTTTCCATTCGAGTCCATTCTATTGCATTCCATTCCATTTGATTCTATTCCACTCCATTGCATTGCATTGCATTGCATTCCATTCCATTCCATTCCATTCCATTCCATTCCATTCCATTCCATGTTTTCCATCCCAGTCCATTGGAGTCCATTCAATTCCATTCTATTCCATTCGAGTCCATTCCATTCTATTCCTTTTCAGTCCATTCTATTACATTCGAGTCTATTCCATTCTATTCCATTCAAGTCCATTCCATTCCTTTCCATTAAATTAGAGTCCATTCCATTAAATTCCATTGTATTCCATTTGAGTTCATTCCATTCCATTCCCTTCCATTTATGTCCATTCCATTCCAATCCAGTCCATTCCATTCCATTCCTTTCGAGTCCTTTCCATTCCATTCCAATCCATTCCATTCCATTCCATTCCATTCCATTCCATTCCATTCCATTCCATTCCGTTCTATTCCATTCAGGCCCATTCCATTGCATACCTCTCAATGCCATTCCATTCCATTCCATTCCATTCCATTCCATTCTGGTCAATTCCTTAAAATTCAATTCAAGTCCATTCCATTCCATTTCATATCAATCGGGTCCATTCCTTTCCATTCCATTCCACTTGAGTCTATTGCATTCCATTCCATTTCATTCCATTCCATTCGGGTCCATTCCTTTCGAGTCCATTCCAATCCATTCTATCGCATTTGGGTTTCTTGCATTCCATTCCATTCCATTCCATTCCATTCCATTCCATTCCATTCCATTCCATTCCATTCGAGTCCAATCTTTTTCCTTACATTCCAGTGCATTCCATTCGGGTCTTTTACATTCCATTCCTTTCGAGTAAATTGCATACCATTCCATCACATTAGTGGTCATTCCATTCCATTCCATTCTACTCGAGTCTTTTCCGTTACACTCCATTCCATTCGAGTCCATTTCATTCCATTGGAGTTCATTCCAATCCAATTCATTCGAGTCTATTCCATTCCCTTCCCTACCATTACATTTCACTCTATTCCATTCCATGTTTTCCAATTCCTTTCCATTTCATTCCATTCGAGTCCATTCATATCCATTCCGTACCATTCGATTAAATTCCATTCCATTCATTTCTATTTCATTCGAGTCCATTCCATTCCATTCCATTCAATTTGAGTCCATTTCCTTCCATTCCATTCAAGTTCATTCCATACCATTATATACCGTTTGAATCAAATCCAATAAATTCCTCTTCATTCCATTAGAATCCATTCCAATCCATTCCATTCAAGTCCATTCCATTCCATTCCATTCCATTCCACTCGAGTCCATTTAAATCCATTTGATTCCATTCCATATCATTCGACTCCATTCCATTCCTTTCCATTCTATTCCATTCAAGTCCATTCCATTCCATTCCATTCCAATCGTGTCCATTCCAACACGTTCCTTTCGGGTCTATTCCATTCCATTCTAAGGCATTTGAGTCCATTCCATTCCATTACAGTTGAGTCCCTTCCATTACATTCACTCTGAGTCCTTTCCCCTCCATTCCGTTTCATTACATTCCATTCAAATCCATTCCGTTCCATTCAAATCCATTCCATTCCATTTCATTCAACTCCGTTTGATTCCATTCCATTCTAATCCATTCAGCTCAAATCCATTCCTTTCTATTCCGTTGCATTCCACTCAATTCATGTCCATTCCATTCCATTCCATTCATTTCCATTCGAGTCCATTCTTTTCCATTCCATTAGGGTACATTCCAATTTATTCCAATTGAGTCAATTCCATTCTATTCAATTTGAGTCCAATCCATTCCACTGCGTTTGAATCCATTCCATTCCATTCCATTCTATTCCAATCCATTACATTACATTCAATTCAATTCCTTGTCAATTCTATTCAACTCCATTCGAGTCCATTCCATTCCATTCCCTTCCATTCCATTCCATTCGAGTCTATTCCATTCCATTGCATGCCATTCCAATTTTTTCCACTACGTTCCATTTCTGTCGTTTCCCTTCCATTCCATTACACTCAAGTCGATTCCATTCCATTCCATTTCATTGGAGACCATTCCATTCGAGTCCATTTCATTCCATTCCATTCCATTCCATTAAATTCCATTCCATTCCTTTCTATTCATTTTGTGTCCATTGAATTCAACTGCATTCAATTCGAGTCTATTCCATTTCATTCCCTGCCATTGCATTCCCTTCCATTACATTTGAGTCCTTTCCATTCCATTCCATTCCATTCGAGTCCATTTCATTCCATTCCATTCCATTCCGTTCCATTCGTGTTCATTCCATTCCATTCCATTCGTCTTCATTCCATTCCATTCCATTCTATTCCCTTACAGTCCATTGCATTCAATTCCATTCGAGTCCATTCAACTCCATTTTATTCGAGTCCATTCAATTCCATTCGAGTCCATTCCATTGCATTCGATTCAAATCCATTCCATGCTAATTCATTTGAGTCCATTCCATTCAATTCCATTCAAGTGAATTCCATTTAAACCCATTCCATTCCATTCCATTCCATTCCATTCCATTCGAACCCATTCCTTTCCATTCCATTCCATTCCATTTGAGACCAATCCATTCCATTTGATTCAATTCGACAACTTTTCGATCCATTACATTCAGGTCCATTCCATTCAATTCCATTCGAGTCAAATCCATTCCATTCCATTCAAGGCCATTCGATTACATTTCATTCCATTCGAATCCATTCCATTCCATTTGAGTCCATTCCATTCCATTCCTTTCTATTCGATTCCGTTCCATTCCGTTCCGTTAAATTCGTGTAAATTCCTTCCCATTCCATTCCATTCTGTTCCGTTCATCACCATTCCATTCCATTTAATTTGGTTACATTATATTCAGTTCTAGTCCATTCCATTAATTTGCATTTGCGTCCGTTCAATTCCATTCGACTCCATTCTATTCCATTGCAGTCCATTCGAGTCCATTCCATTCAATTCCGTTCCATTCGAGTCTATTGCATTCCATTGCATTCTATTTGGGTCCATTCCACTGCATTCCATTTGATTCGACTCAATTTCATTCAATTCCATTCTATTCCACTCAACTCGATTCCATTCCATTCCATTCCATTCGAGTCCATTGCATTTTATTCGAGTCCATTCCATTCGATTCTATTAAATTCGAATCCATTCCATTGCATTCCATTTCATTCCATTCCATTGCTTTCGGGACCATTCAATTCAACTGCGTTACATTCGGGTACATTCCTTCCCATTCCTTTCCATTCCATTGAATTCCACATGAGCAAATTTCATTCCATTACATTCCTTTCGAGTCCATTGCATTCCACTCCATTTCATTCCGTTCCAATCCATTCTTTTCGAGTCCATTCAATTGCATTCCATAACATTCAAGTCCATTCCATTCCATTTCATTCCATACCATTATATTCCATTTCATTAAAGTGCATTTCATTCCATTATATTTCATTCCATTCGAGTCCATTTCCTTCCATTACATTCCATTTGACTCGAATCCATTCAACTGCATTCCATTCCATTTGAATCCATTGCACTCCATTCCATTTGATTCCATTCCATTCCATTAGAGTCCATTCCATTCTATTCGATTCGATTCCATTCCTTTCCATTCCATTATATTGCATTTCATTAGATTTCAATACATTAAATTCCATTCCATTCCACTCGAGTCCTCTCCATTCCTATGCCTTTGAGTCCATTCCATTCCATTCCATTCCATTCCATTCCATTCCATTCCATTCCATTCCCTTCCATTCCATTCTATTCCCTTCCATTCCATTCCTTTCAATTCAGGTCCATTCCATTCCATTGCATTCGAGTCCATTCCATTCCATTCCATTCCATTCCAATCCAGTCCATTCCAATCCAGTCCATTCAATTCCATTCCATTCCATTCGATTCCATTCCGTTGAAATCCATTCCATTCCATTCCATTGGAGTCCATTCCATTACATCCCATCCTTTTCCATTCGAGTCCGTTCTATTCCATTCTATTTCTTCATTTCATTTCCATTCCATTGGAGTCCATTCCATTCCATTCCATTCCTTTCGATTCCATTCCGTTCTATTCTATTCCATCTAAGTCCATTTCTTTCCAGACCTTACTATTTCATTTCATTCCTTTCCATTCCATTCCATCCAATTCCTTTCCATTCCATTCGATTCCGTTCTATATGTGTCAATTCTATTCCATTTCATTCGAGTCAATTAAATTCCATTCCACTCCGTTGGGGTCCATTCCTTTCCTTTTCATTCCTTTCACGTCCATTCCTTTCCATTCCATTCCATTCCATTCCATTCCATTCCATTCCATTCCGTTCTGGTTCATTCCATTGCCTTCCATTCCATTCGAGTCCAATCCTTTCCATTCCATTCAATTCCATTCGGGTTCATTCCATTCCATTCTATTCGAGTGCATTCCGTTCCATTCCACTCCATTCCATTTCATTCAGGTCCATTCCATTCCACTCCATTCCATTCGAGTCCATTCCATTTCATTTGAGTCCATTCCTTTCCATTCCATTCGAGTCCATTACATTCAATTCTATTCTATTTAATTAGAGTCCAATCCATTCATTTCCATTCCATTCGAGTCCAATCCATTCCATTTGAGTCCATTCCATTCCACTCCATTCTATTCGAGTCCATTCCACTCCATTCCTTTCCATTTGCGTCCATTCCATTCCAATCTATTCCTTTCGGTTCCATTCCATTCAATTCCATTTTATTCCATTCCATTCCATTCGTGTCCATTCCATTGCATTCCATTCTATTCTTTCGAGACCATTCAATTTGATTTCTTTCCATTCGAATCCGTTGCATTTCATTCCATTCTAGTCCATTCCTTTGCATTCCATTACATTCGAGTCCATTCCATTCTCTTCCATTCTATTCCATTCGAGTCCATTCTTTGCATTCCATTAGATTCCTTTCGATTATAATTGACTGATTTAATTCCATTCCATTCTATTTGAGACAATTCTGTTCCATTTGAGTCCATTCCATTCCATTGCCTTCGAGTCCATTCCTTTCATTTCCATTGTATTCCATTCCAGTCCACTCCATTCCGTTCGATTCCAATCAAGTCAATTCCATTCCATTCCATTCCATTCCATTCCATTCCATTATATTCCACTGTATTCCATTCAAGTCCACTCCATTCCATTCCATTACATTAAAATCCATTCCATTCCATTCCATTCCACTCCATTCCATTCCGTTCGGTTCCATTCCATTCCATTCCATTCCATTCCATTCCATTCCATTCCATTCCATTCCATTCTATTCCATTCCATTCCAATGAAGTCCATTGCATTCCATTCCATTCCATTCGAGTCCATTCCATTTCATTCCATTCAAGTCCATTCAATTCCATTCCTTTAGAGTCCATTCCATTAAATCCCATTCTATTCCATTCAAATCCGTTCCATTCCATTCCATTCAAATCGTATCCATTCTATTCCTTTAGAGTCCATTCCATTCCATTCCTTTCTCGTCCATTCCATTCTTTTCCATTCGATTCCATTGAAGTCCATTCCATTCCATACCATTCCATTCCATTCCATTCCATTCCATTCCATTCGGGTCCATTCCATTGCATTCCATTCCATTCGAGTCCATTCATTTCCATTCCCTTCCATCCGGGTCCATTCCACTCCATTCTATTCCGTTCGTGTCCTTAAATGTCTATTGCATTCCGTTCCGTTCGTGTCATTTCAATTCCATTCCATTCGAGTCCATTACATTGTATTCCATTCAAGTCAACTCCATTGCACTCGAGTCTTTTCCATTCCATTACATACATTTCGAGTCCATTCCATTGCACTCGAGTCGTTTCCGTTCCATTACATACCTTTCAAGTCCATTCCTTTCGATTCCATTTAATTCGAGTACATTCCATTCCATTACATTCGAGTCCAACCCATTTTGTTCTATTCCATTCGACTCCATTCCATTCCATTCCATTCGAGTCCATTCCATCCCATTCCATTCGGTTCCAATCTATTCCATTCCATTCCATTGCACTCGAGTTCATTCCATTCCATTCCATTCAATTGCATTCCATTCTATTCCATTCCATTCCATTCGTGTCTATTCTTTTCCATTCCATTCCATTCCATTCGATTCCATTCCGTTACTTTCCATTCCATTCCATTCCATTCCATTCCATTCCATTCCATTCGGGTCCAATCCTTTCCATGGCATTCGTGTCCCTTCCATTCCATTCATTTCCATTCCATTCCATGCCACTCCATTCGATTCCATTCGGTTATGTTCCATTTCATTTGAGTCCATTACATTCCACTCCATTCCACTCGAGTCGATTCCATTCCATTCGAGTCCATTCCATTACATTCGAGTCCATTCTATTCCATTCCATTCGTGTCCTTTCCATTCCATTCCTTTCCATTCCATTCAATTTTATTCCTGTCGACTCAATTCAATTCAATTGCATACAATGCAAGTCCATTGCATTCCGTTCCATTCCATTCTATTACATTTGACTCCATTCCATTCTATTCTATTCCATTCATGTCCAGTCCATTCGAGTCCATTCCATTCAATCCATATGAGTCGGTTCCATTCCATTTCAGTCCTTTGCATTCCATTCCATTTGAGTCCATTGCATTCCATTCTATTCCATTTCAGTCCTTTGCATTCCATTCCATTTGTGTCCATTCCATTCCAACCCATTCCTGTCGAGCCCGTTCAATTCCATTCCATGCGAGTTCATTCCATTCCATTCCTTTCCTTTCAAGTCCACTTCACTCCATTCCATTCCATTCGAGTCCATTTCATTGCATTAAATTTCTTTTGGGTCCATTCCATTCAATTAAATTTCATTCCTATCAAGATCATTCAAGTCCATTCTATTCCATTCGATTCCATTCCATTCCATTCCATTCCATTCCATTCCATTCCATTCCATTCCATTGCATTCCATTCCATTAGAGTCCCTTCCACTCTATTCCATTCGAGTCCATTCCTTTCCATTCCATTAGTTTCCATTCTGTAAGAATCCATTACAATAAATTCCATTCCATTCCATTCCATTCGAGTCCATTGTTTTCCATTGGAGTCCATTCCATTCTTTAGACTTGATGACCTTTCCATTCCATTACATTCTATTCCATTCAAGTCCGTTCCATTCCATTCCATTCCAGTCCAGTCCATTGCATCCCATTCCATTACATTACATGCCATTCAATTTGGGTCCAGTGCATTCGAGTCCATTCCATTCCATTCCGTTTCTTTTGAGTTCATACCACTGCATTCCTTTCGAGTCCATTGCATTCCAGTCCATTATAGTCCATTCCTTTAAACACCATTCCATTCCATTTGAGTCCATTCCCTTCCATTACATTCCACTCAAGTATTTTCCATTCCTTTCAATTCCATTAGTGTCCATTCCGTTGCACTCCATTCCATTCGACTCGAGTCGATTCTATTGCATTACATTCCATTTGAGTCCATTCCATTTCATTCGATTCCATTGCATTCCATTTCATTCTATACGAGTCCATTCCATTCCATTCCATTCCTTTCGGATCCCTTCAATACAACTACATTCCATTCGAGGCCATTCCATTCCATTCCATTCCATTGCATTCCATTCTGGTCCATTCCATTCCATTCCATTCATTTCCATTCCATTCCGTTTGAGTCCAATCCATTCCATTAATTTTGATTCCATTCCATTCCATTCTATTCTATTTCATTAGAGTCCATTCCATTCCATACCATTCCACTCCATTAAATTCCAGTCCTTGCCCTTCCATTCGATACCATTCCATTCGGGCCCATTCAATTCCATTCCCCTCGGGTCCGTTCCATTCCATTCCACTCAATTCAGGTCCATTCCATTCCCTTCCATTCCAATCGAGACCATTTCTTTCCATTCCATTCCATTGCATTCGTGTTAATTTCATTCCATTCCATTCGAGTCCATTCCATTCCGTTCCATTCCGTTTAACTTCAATCCATTAGACTCAATTCAATTCTATTTGCGTGATTTCCATTCCATTACATTCGAGTCCATTCCACTCCATTCCATTCCTATAGAGTTTATTCCATCCCATCCCTTTCGACTCCATTTCAATCCATTCCATTACATTCGAGTCCATTCCTTTCCAATCCATTCGAATCAATTCCATTGCATTCCATTCCATTAGAATCCACTCCATTCTATTAAATTTAAGTCCTTTCCATTCCGTTCCATTCCATTCCTGTCCAGTCCATTCCGTTCGAGTCCATTCCATTCCATTTCATACGAGTCAATTCAATTACTCCATTCCATATGAGTACATTCAATTCCATTCCTCCATTCCATTTGAGTACATTCAGTTCCATTCCATTCCAATAGAGTCCATTCCATTCCAATTCATTTGAGTCCATTCCATACCATTCCATTATATTCGAGTCCATTCCATTCCATTCTATTCCATTCTATTCGAGACCATTCCTTTCCATTCCATTTCGTTCCATTCGTGTCCATTCCATTCAAATGCATTTCTTTCAGTTCAATTCCACTCTTTTCCATTCAAGTCTATTCAATTCCATTCCATTCCATTCCAGTCCATTCCTTTGCATTCCATTCCATTCGAGTCCATTCTATTGCATTCCATTCGAGTCCGTTCCATTCGTTTTTTTTACAATAAATTCCATTAAATCACATTCTACTCCATTCAAGTCTGTTCCTTTCCATTCCATTCCATTCCATTTATATCCATTTTATTCCATTTGAGTCCATTCCATTGCAATCCTTTTAAGTCCATTCCTTTCCACTCCATTCTATTCCATTCAAGTCCATTCCATTCCATATCATTCCATTCCATTCTATTCCATTCCATTGCATTCCATTCCATTCCATTCGTATCCATTGTATTCCATTCGAGTCCATTCCATTCCAATCCTTTTAAGTCCTTTCCTTTCCATCCATACTACTCCATTCAAGTCCATTCCATTCCATACCACTGCATTCCATTCTATTCCATTCCATTCTTTCCATTCGAGTCCATTCCATTCATTCCCTCTCCATTCGGGTCCATTCCATTCCATTCTATTCGATTCATTTCCATTCCTTTCCATTCCATTCCATCCCATTCCATTCGGTTCCATTCCACTCCATTCCATTCCATTCGAGTCCATTCCATTCCATTCGAATCCACTCCATTGTACTCGAGTCATTTCCCTTCCATTCCATACCATTCGAGTCCATTCCATTCCATTCCATTCATTTTGAATCCATTCCATACCATTTCATTCTAGTCCAATCCATTCGAATTCATTCGAGTCCAATCCATTCATTTCTTTTCCATTCGATTCCATTCCATTGCATTCCATTCCATTTGAGTCCATTCCATTCCATTCCATTCCATTCCATTCCATTGGAGTCCATACCATTCCAATCCGTTCCGTTGCATTGCATTCCATTCCATTCGTGTCCATTCCATTCCTTTCCATTGCGTTCCATTCCATTCCATTCGGGTCCATTCCATTCCATTTCATTGAGGTCCATTCCATTCCATGCCATTCGTGTCACTTCCATTCCACTCAAGTCCATTCCATTCCATTCCATTCAATTTCATTCGAGTCAATTCCATTCCATTCCATTCCATTCCATTCATGTCCATTGCATTCCTTTCCATTCCATTCCATTCCATTCCAATCCATTCGGGTCCATTCCATTCCATTTCATTGAGGTCCATTCCATTCCATGCCATTCGTGTCCCTTCCATTCCACTCGAGTCCATTCCATTCCACTCCATTGAAGTCCATTCAATTGCACTCCGTTTCATTCGAGTCCATTCCGTTCCACTCCATTCCACTCGAGTTGACTCCATTCCACTCCATTTCATTCGAGTCCATTCCGTTCCATTGAAGTCCATACCATTCCATTCCATTCATGTCCATTCCATTCCATTCCAATCCATTTCGTTCCATTCGAATCCATTCGATTTCTTTCCTTTCGAGTCAATTCAATTCAACTGCATTACATGCGAGTCCATTTCATTCCATTCTGTTCCATTCAATTCTATTCCATTCAATTCCATTCCATTTGATACATTCCATTAGATTCCATTCCGTGCAATTCTATTTGAATCCATTCCATTCCATTCCATTCCATTCGATCCCATTCCAATCCATTCCATTCTGTTAGGGTCCATTCCATTCTGTTCCATTCAAGTCTTTTCCATTCCAATCCATTCCAATCAATTCCATTCAATTCCATTCCATTTCATTCGAGTCCGTTTCATTTCATTCCATTCGAGTCCATTGCATTCCATTCCATTAGAGTCCATTCCATTAAACCCATTCTATTCCACTTGAGT